>NC_000003.12:72510000-73760000 GCF_000001405.40 Homo sapiens
AATGCACATTATTAAGGACGAGGTCCCCCATGTTTGTTAGAGTCTCAGAGACAATGAAAGTTTAGAAAAGAGACCCAGCATTTATCTGTGTGAATGTTTTAATTAGGGCTTCCTTCCACCCTCCAACTGAGGGCAGGAACTCTGTCTCAGACACCATTGTTCCTCCGGCACTCAGCCCTGTGCCAAGCTCATAAGACATGCTTACTAAGTATTTGTTGCAGCAAGAATGGAAGGAAGAAAATAAAGAGGAGAGGCTGGGGACAATGGAGGATGGGAGGGAGGAAGGTTGGGGTTGGTCATACAAACATGAGTGTTCAGGTCGCTGGGATAGAATTTTCATTGTAATTTAGGAAACTGACCTTCTGATTTATACAACAGTCTCGTGAGCATGGTTAATGGATTTTCCCTCAGGCATAGACCTGTTCCTGGTGTGCTGTCAAATCAGGATTCTTAAGCCTGAAAAGTTTATGGCCAGAGCCTGGACCTGGGTGAATGCACAAGCAGGTCTCCTCAGGAGACAGACAGCTGGCTTTTCCCCAGGTGGAGAAGGAGGGCTTTAGTTTTCCTGTAATTGCATTTCTACTGCAATAATAGTGTCTGCTGTCTTCTCGCAGTGCTGGGGACATTCAAAGCCAGTGTGCCAGTGCCTAGGACAGTGCTGGCACCCAGTAGGTGCTCAGCAAACATTTACTGTGCAAAGGGATGTTGTGCTATTTTGGGTAACTGATAAAATATAGATTTGCACAATTGTTTTTGCAATTACAGCTAAAAACATGATTGAATAACCCACAAGCTATAGTCTGCAACTACAGACATTCTAAAGTAATAAGGCTAACAGGAATTCAAAAAACCAAATCATTACTAGTTTTGAAACACAGTGTCCCTAAACAGACACGAGAGCCTAATGCCCAAACCAGCCCTCCTGCCTATGGGGTTTTCCAGGCCTTGCTTGACACCTTCTAGATGGTAGCAGTTTACAACTTGGTAGGCAGCAGCATGGAGCCTTAAAAAAGAACAATTTCAATTTAAGATTTGGTTGAGGATTTCTAGATACTTAGTGAAAATTCATAAAGCTGCAAAGTACTGCTCCATGACAACTGAAAGATGGTCATGTCTCCCGTTGGTGACTTAGGTAGATCTGTATCTTATTCTCTCATTCCCTTCTCAGGGCACACACACACACTCACATACACACACATGCGCATACACACAGCTTGATTTCTTCTGAAAAAAAAAAAAAAAAAAAAGGAATACCTGTGTGGTGCTATATTATTTATCTATTTCTGTGTAACAGTTTACCCCAAAACTTAGCAATGCAAAGTAACAAATGTTGATTATCTCAAACAGGCTCTGACGGTCATGAATGCAGGTGCAGTTTACCTGCGTGGTAAGGTCTCCTGAGCTCTCATGAGGGTGCAGCCAAACTGTCCGCCAAGGCTGCAGCCTTAGCAACGTTCAACTGGGGCTGGAGGAGCTGCCTCCAAAACCACTCATGTGTTTATTGGCTGGCCTCAGTTTCCTGCTGGCTCTTAGCCTGAAGCTTTAGTTCCTTCCCGCATGAGCTACTATATAAGGTACTTATACATGGTTGCTTGCTTCCCTCAGAGAGGAGAAACAGATAGACTGACCAACAGACAGACACACAGATGGACAGGGTCAGAGACAGGAAAGAGAGAGAGAAGTTGCAGCTTTTTATGACTTAATTTTGGAGGGGCATACCATCACTTCTCTATAGGCCATTGGCCACACAGACCAACTGTGATACAGCACAGGGGGGAAATAAACAAAGGTGTGTCTATCAGGAGAAGGGGACCACTAGGGGCCATCTTGGGGATCACTAAGGGCCACAAATCCCTTGACATTCCTCCCTGCAAAAAGTAGAAAACGAATTTCCTTCCCTTTGAATAAGAGCTAGACTCAGTGACTTTCTTGTTACAACAGGAATGAAGTGGAAGTGATTTTGCACAGATAAGGTCATAAGAAGCATCGCGACATCCATTTTTCTCTCTTGAATCACTCTTTCTGGGGGAAGACAGTGTCCGTGTTGTTAAGACACTCAGGCAGCCCTATGGAGAAGCCCATATGAGAGGAACTGAGGCCTCCTGCCTTACCAGCTGGCTGGTCATAAATAAAACATCTTAAAAGTGGATTCTCCAACTGGCCAGGCACAGTGGCTCATGCCTGGTAGTCCCAGCACTTTGGGAAGCGGAGGTGGATAGATCATTTGAGGTCAGGAGCTCGAGACCAGCTTGGCCAACATGGCGAGACCCTGTCCCTACTAAAAATACAAAAATTAGCCAGGTGTAGTGGCGCTTGTAATCTCAGCTACTCAGGAGGCTGAGGCAGGGGAATCGCTTGAACCTGGGAGGCAGAGGTTGCGGTGAACTGAGATCTCGCCACTGCAGTCCAGCCTGGGCGACAAACTGAGACTCCATCTCAAAAAAAAAAAAAAAAAAAAGCAGGGTGTGGGGGGGATCTTTCAGCCCCAGGCAAGCATTGAGATGATTGCAGCCCTGAGTGCAACCTCATGAGAGACCCTGAGCCGGGCCACCCAGCTAAGCTCATCCCAAATTCTTGACTTACAGAAAATGACATGATAAATATTTATTATTATTTTAAGTCATTAAGTTCTGGGGTCATTTGTTATGCAATGATAGATAATACAAAGTGCTAATTGAATTTCAGTGTTCTTAGCTGCAAATAACGGAATCTGCCCTAGTTAGTTTAAGTAGACAAGGAATGTGTTAAAGGATCTACGTAGTTCACTGAGTTCCTGGGAGAACTAAAGGATGAGGCTTGGAGCTACAAAGCCATGACTCTTCCAGTGGAGACCCTTCTGCTGCCATTGCTGGGCACAGACCCCCTATATTCTAGTGACAGAGTGCTGCCATTTTGCTTCCGTGAGCTGGATGTCTCCACCACCACCACTTGTAAAGAATGAACTCCGCATGGCACTTACTTCTAAACCAAAGCCTGTACAAGAATTTGGTCATATATCTGTTCCCTGGTACAATGGTTCATTTTATGTGTCAACTTGGCTGCGTCATTGTGCCCAGGTATTTGGTCAACCATTATTCTGGATGTTTTTGTGAGGGTGTTTTTGAAGGAGATCAACATTTAAATCAGTGTACTTTGAGTAAAGCAGACTGCCCTCCCTAATGTGGGTAGGCCTCATCCAACCAATTGGAGGCCATAACTGAACAAAACCTGATCTCCTCCAAGCAAGAGGGAATTCTGCCAGAAGACTGCCTTTGGACTTGAACCGTAACATTTTCTCCTTCCTGATCTCCGTAATTGCGTGGGCCAATTTCTTAAAACAAATTTCTCCCTCTCTCTATCTACACATCCTATTGGTTCTGTTTCTCTGGAGAACTCTGATTAATACACCTAGTTACAAGGGAAGCTCATTAAGTGAGTTTCTGGCTTAAGCACGTTCAGACCCATAAGAAGAGAAATTCTACAGATATTGGAAAGGTGTCCTAGTTGCTAGGTGGCCACAAAGCCTAGCTAATATCCACTATACTTGTTATGTTAATAGTCAAACTGGCAGGATGCAGTGGCTCAGGCCTGTGATCCCAGCATTTTGGGAGGCTGAGGTGAGCAGATGGCTTGAGCCCAGGAGTTCAAGACCAGCCTAGGCAATATGGTAAAACCCCATCTCTACAAAAAATTACCTGGGCATGGTGGCACATGCCTGTGGACCCAGCTACTCAGGGGGCTGAGGCAGGAGGATTACCTGAGCCTGCAAGGTCCAGGTTGCAGTGAGATGTGATTGTGCCACTGCACTCCCGCCTGTGCGAGTGAGATGCTGTCTCAAATAAACAAATAAATAGCCAAACATCATAGCAATCTTTTATATCAAATTAAACTTATCCCTCAATACCACTTCTTTCCCCAATCCACAGAGAAAAGCAGATAATCATTTGATGTATATCCCTCAAGCTATTTTTTTCCAAGCTGTAGACTTTAAATATGTGTTTGGGGCATGTGCCTGGTGAGATCCCAGGGAGTTCACCTGAGATTCAAGCTTTTGCTCAACAGACGCTATGGTCTTTCTTCTGTATGCACCTTCTTCCTTTAATTATATACACTTGTAAATAATGAATAACATTTCCCTCAAGAGATTTTCTAATTTTATCTCTTGATCCAAATTAAAGTGTGACCATAATTTCTTCTCTAGAGATTGATATTGTGTGCCTGTAAGTAAAGTTATAAGCATTGCAGTCCCATGGGAAGAGGGTGGTAATTCTTTCCTGGCTAAAATTTCGTGAAATCTCATGAATTCAGATTCCTTAAAATCGGAATTTGCGATTATTCAGCCTTACCTGGGTTGGAGTTTGCTTTTCATTTTCTCTGGGCAAAGCAATTAAATTTAAAAAAAAAAAAAAAAAAAAGACAAATTACAAGAGGAATATTTCAGGAGTACAGTTTTAAAAGGTTTTAGTATCCAATTTATTGGGGCCCAAGTGGAACCTGCTACACAGAAGTAATAGAAGTAATTTCTTTTTTTTTTTCTGTAAGCTGAAAGGAGCAAAGAGGAAGACTGATTTTATCATAGGGTCTTTAAATTTTCAAACAAGATCCCCATACAATTTTGTCTCTTACTTTAAACAATAGCAAAGCTGGAATGTATGTGTGACTTTTGATTTGAAAAGACAGCATTCATCTAGGATTATGATTCGGGAACAATCAGTGATCAAATAGAATTATCAAAGAGGAAGGAGATCCCAAAATGATCGCCAAAATGGTCCTCTAAAACAGAAAATCTGACCGGGTGTGGTGGCTCACGCCTTTAATCCCAGCACTTTGGGAGGCTGAGGCAGGTGGATCATGAGGTCTGGAGTTTGAGACCAGCCTGGCCAACATAGTGAAACCCTGTCTCTACTAAAAATACAAAACTTAGCCGAGCATGGTGGCATGCGCCTGTGGTCCCAGTTACTTGGGAGGTTGAAGCAGGAGAATCGTTTGAACCGGGGAGGCAGAGGTTGCGGTGAGCCAAGATGGTGCCACAGCACTCCAGCCTGAGCAACAGAGCGAGACTCCATCTCAAATAAAATAAAATAAAATAAAATAAAATAATAAAATAAAATAAAACAGAAAATCTTTTTAATAAAGCAAGCAAGCAAAATTCAGGCACAATAGAAGTATAATTATGACTTCCTTGAATGTTTTAAAATAAAATTAAAAACCTGTAATGATGCTAGTTAAGTTTCTGATGTCGAGGTGGACACAATTCCCTTGGTATGAAGCAGAATGACACTTAAAAATCATGCTTTCTCAGTAGAGAGAGCCTCTGACCTGTAATCTTGGCCTGTTGTTTGTTGGAGAATAGTTTCTGCTTAAAGAAATTGATCCCCTTAGCCCGTGGGACACTGGGCAGCATCTGGGGCTGACAGAGAGCCCAGGAAAAAAAACTTCTGGCTTCCTGTGGTGCTGTTTCTGTACCCCAGTGAGCCATACAGACATTATCATCTTCCAGCTGTCCTTTCATGAAAAACTTGGGAAGCTCTGCAGGAAAAAGAACAAGAGAGCCTCTCCTTCGTACCATTTTCTTGGCAGCTGTGAGTAACTTTGAGTAACCATCCTCCGACACCTAATTGAATGTGGTGTAGAGACACTGTTGGGGACACAGTCCACTATCATCCCACAGGCCTTTGGGTCCACACCCTTCCAGCTTCATCATTAAAAAAAAAAATACTACACGGGATTCATGTTTGTTTTTAAATGTGAACATTACGGAAGGTGATGATTAAAAAGTGGCATCCCTTTGTTAACTGTTAAGAGTTGGATGTGTATCTTTCCAATCCTTTTCTCCAGGCATGAGTAAACAGTAACTTTTATTTGTTCTCTATTACTGTCATTGGTCTATTCAGTCATCTGCTTAACCATCTGAAATATGCACGTACCTGCCAGAAATGAAGGAGGCATATATGCCAGGCAGCCATTTGATTGAACACTCAACTGTATGATAGAGGATTCTTCTTGGTGCAAGTAACATAAAACATGATTCAAACCATCTTAAGCAAAAGTGAAAAAAAATGTACAGGCTTTCCTTACACAAAAGTGATGGGGCAGGTCCAATTTAAAGTACAGTATGATGCAAGGGCCCAGTGACATCATCTAAATCCTGTGTGTCTCTGTCTCCCCCTCCTCCCTTCTTTCCCCACGTTGGCTTCCTTCTCCAGGTCCAATGCCAGTGGTTGCAGGGCCCATGCCCTTTCAAGTTCAAGTCCAGGGGAAATATGAAGAGCCCCAGCGCAAGTCTCACTGTGTCTTATTGTCTCAGGCCACCCTTTCTGAAGGAGCCGATCCCCTGTCCCTTGTTACTCCTATTTCCCATTACTCTGTTTTATTTTCTTCAAAACACTTACTGCCTATTGAAATTATGCTAAGTATTTGTTACTTGTTTATTGTCTGTCTGTTTCCCACTGGAAAATAAGCTTCACCAGAGCAGCATCCTCATCTGGCTTGATCCTTGCTGTATATCCCAGCTCTTCTCAATAAATATTTGTTGAATGAATGAATGAGTGAGTGAGTCACCGAGGCCAGGAAAATAGCATGCACTACTGGCCAGGCTTCAGTCACATGACCCCTCTGCAAAATACCTGGAATGAGAGCTGGGGAGAAGACGGTACCCCAGAGAAAAATCAGGGTACTGTTGGCTGAAGAAAGGTGACTGGAATGGATGTTCATGGGTAAAAACCACAAAGATCCACCACATCAGCTAAGCTTAGACCTGGATTTCCCATGTGTGGGATCAAATACTGTAGTGCTGTGTTTGAATGTTGGCTTTGCCACTTTGCTTCTCTAAGGTTTGGCTTCCCTCATGAATAAAATAAGAAACAGACCTAACTCTTCATGTGACAATTAGAAAAAATATACACTAAGTGACCAATAAACAGTGGAGACTCAATAAATATTAGCTTTTACTATTTCTGTGGCCCTGGTTATCTATTCTCCATTCCTAGTGATCATATCTTTTTGGTGTTTTAAACAAATCCAATGCAAAACACACCTTGAAGGCCCCAAATATAAGGGAATTAAATGTTGTTTACATGGTCACTCTACTTTTTGAAAGCAAAGTTATCAGAAAATTTGGCCCAGTATGGTGTCTCTCTGATACTGGAGGCTGCCAGTAAACGATGATTTGAGGGGATTCCCAGCCAGGGTGATTTTTAAAATATTTAACAATTGGCCCAACTGGGCATTGACCTGGCAGTGATCTGATGATCACTGGATCAATCAGAATGGATATTAGCCTTACATAGCATGTCTAGTTGTCATCGGATGCTTTGATTGGAGGCTAGTCTAGCCAGGAATCACTTTTGGTCAACCCAATCAGCATCTGGTCACAGAGCTTCACATGAGGAGTGGCTGGGGCTATGCTTTACCACTATCCAGGAAGATCTTTTCCACCCCAATTTATGACCAAGGTGTAACTTGGTATTTGTGATGCCAGGGATGATAGCAGCCCAACCCAAGAGGAAGCTCCCGGGCTTTTCCACATTGAGCCACAGACTCTGACCTTTATATCATGCCTGCTCAGCTAATATAGCCACACAATCATTCCTTAATAAGCTTCACTTTCAAACCTGTCCACGTTGTTTCCCTGTCAGAGCCAATGTTTGCTTACAAGTCTCGTCTCATCAGTACGAGAAAGGCAATCCTTAACTTTTACCTAACCCCGGAGAAAGTTTCATTTGGTCAACAGTTTGATGATAAGAGATAAAAGGGAAGAGTCTAGAAATGGATAGCCAGTGGAGAAACATAATTTTCTATTTTATACTTGTTGATATATTCTGTCTTGTCAACAATGGTCTTGTTTCACTTTCCTGATTTAAGAAGAAAGCAATATAGGTTTTCTTTTTGTTGGCTTTAAAAACAAAGTCATAGCGAATACATTTCCTTTTAAATGAGAGGTCAGCAAACTTTTTCTGTAAAGAGCCAGATAGTAAATATTGCAGGCTTTGCAGGCCATATGGTCTCTGTTACAACTACTCAACTTTGTCTTTGTAGCGCACAAGCAGCCAGAGGCAATACACACACAAATGGGTGTGGCTGGCTTCCAGTAAAATTTTATTTATTGATGCTAAAATTTGAATTTCATGTAATGTACACTTTCTCAATCAGTAGTAAAAATCATTCACAATTTGTAGGTTACACAAAACAGGCAGCAGGCCAGATTTGGCCCACTGATCATAGTTTGCCAGGCCCTGCTCTAAAATAATAAAATACCAGAGATAAGATAAACAGTCCCCTTTAAACTTGTGGAAAATTTCAGACATATACAAAAGCAGAGAGAATAATGTAATAATCCTCCAGGTATCCATGACCCTGTTTCAACAATGACTAACTCGGCCAGGCGCAGTGGCTCATGCCTGTTATCCCAGCACTTTGGGAGGCCAAGGCAGGCAGATCACGAGGTCAGGAGTTCAAGACTAGCCTGGCCAACATAGTGAAATCCCATCTCTACTAAAAATACAAAAATTAGCCAGGCGTGGTGGCATGTGCCTGTAGTCCCAGCTACTCGGGAGCCTGAGGCAGGAGAATCACTCGAACTGGGGAGGCAGAGGTTGCAGTGAGCCGAGATCACACCACTGCACTCCAGCCTGAGCGACAGAGTGAGACTCTGTCTCAAAGAAAAAAAAAGACTAATCATGTGACATCTATAGCCCCACTCGCTCACCCACTACCCTTTATTCACAGTTTATTTATCCAGACATCGTATTTATCCATAGTTATCCATGTGTATCATGTTTATCCATAAATCATATTTAATTTATCCATAGTAAAGGTGTCCATTTATGACATTTATCCATAAATACTTCTATAGACAGTTTTAAAGGTAACACAGTTGACCCTCAAACAACATAGGTTCAAACTGCATGAGTCCATTTATCTGTGGATTTAGTTCTGCCTCTGTCACCCTGGAGAGCAAGACAAACTCATCCTCTTTCTCTTCCTCATCAGCCTACTCAACATGAAGGTGATGAGGATGAAAACCTTTATGATGATCCACTTCTACCTAATGAATAGTAAATATATTTTCTCTTTCCTAATAACACTTTCTTTTATCTACCTTACTTTATTGCATGAATACAGCATATAATACATGTAACATACAAAATACGTGTTAGCCAACTCTTTGTTATCAGTAAGACTTCCAGTCAACAGTAGGCTACTACTAGGTAAGTTTTCGGGGCATTAAAAGTGATACATAGAGTTTTGACTGTGTGGGGTGTTGGGGTCCCTATCCTTGTGTTGTTCCAAGGATCAACTGTACTTCATTTTAAAACATTGTTATCAGCTGAGTGCAGTGGCATACACGCCTGTAATCCCAGCACTTTGGGAGGCCAAGGAAGGAGGACAGCTTGATTTCAGAAGTTTGAGACCAGCCTGGGCAATATAGTGAAGCCCTGTCTTTACAAAAAGTATTAAAAAATTAGCTGGCCGTAGTGGTGCATGCCAGTAGTCCCAGCTACTCAGGAGGCTGAGGTAGGAGGATCACTTGAGCCTGGGAGGTCGAGGCTGCAGTGAGGTGTGATTGCACCACTGCACTCCAGCCTGGGTGACACAGTGAGACCCCGTTTCAAAATAAATAAATAAATAAATAAATACACACACACACACACACACACACACACACACATACATATCATTGTCACACCTAAATAACAATAATTTTAATTTAAAATGTGTTATGAGCAGAATTTCACAAACTCCTTAATTAACACAACATCACCTATGCCTCCATTACAGGGTAGTGGTTTCTCAAGCCAGACATCCTGCTCTTGAAATATGGTGCCACCACTTAGTAGTGATGGGGTATGGGAGAAGGCACTCAACCTCCCTGACCTCAGTTTTCTTATCTGTAAAAGTGAGGATGTTAAAAGTATGTGGCTCATAACGTTGCTGTGAGAATTAAATGCCTTAAAACCCATGAAGCACTTAGAACAATGTCTGCCACATAATAAGTGTAGCCAAGTGTTAGCAATACCATTAACTTTTTGCTCCTGCTTATGTTCTGTTCTTTGTGAGTCCTCGTGAGTGCAAGTACAGAAGCACCCTGGACAAGCTCAAGTGAAAAGTGTGTTGGGGAGTTGGTGTTAGTCTACAGGGACACACAGAAGCTAAAAACAGGAAGCAGAGAGCAACTAGCCCTATACAGGAAAACAGGAAAGTCAAAATCAGGGCTATTTGGGACCTCCTTCCTCTCTCCCAGGCCCTCCATTTGCCATTCCCTCCCAGTGAATGTCTGCTTTGCTTTCTTTTTTTTCATCCCTGGCCCTGCATGGCTCACAGTCCTGACCATCCTTCCTGACCTCTTAGCAAAGCTTCCACCATGAAGTGCCAATCGTCTCTGTGTTTCTTAGAGTTCAAATCCTTGAGGAAGAATCGATAAGCTGACCTTTGGTCAGAGGTGAAGTGTCCATCCCTTGGCCTACAATGGGGGATGAGGGCTAAAGGTCATAGTATACCAAGTGACCATTTCAGAAGCCCTGGTGAGCAGCTGAATCAATCCTCGAGGAAGGGCTGGGTTATGCTGTGCTAACAGTTACCTGAAATCTCAGTGGCCTGAAGCAACAGCAGTTTATTTCTCATTCATGTGCACATCTATCAGGAAGGGCTGAGGGTCTCGCTCCTCCAGAACCCAGGCTGCTGAAGCAGCTCCTACCTGGAACCCTGGCAGGGGCAAACGAGTCTCTGGAGAGAAGCCACATTAACTCTGAAAGCTTCTGCTCTAGGCTAGTCACTATCTTCAAGTGGGCAGGAAAGCACAATCCTACCGTGTACCCAGAAGGAGAGAGAGCCGAAGTATTTGTGGACATCCTCATGCATAACACAGAGGCAATGATAAACAGCTACCATCTATGTCCTCATCATATCAGTCTGATCCTGTACATAAAGGCACTCAGAGAAATCCATGCAACCATTACTGTGAAAGCAGATGATCACTTTCTTCCTGGATTGAAATGCCCATTCTAAGGGTAGTAGAGTTTTTTCTTAAGGCAAAAACAGCTGTAACACCATTAACTTTTTCACCCTGGACTCATTTTTCATCTCTTAAGTCATCAACGTTATTTGAGAACCTCTCCTGGTGCCTCCCATTTCTCTTAAGGTAAACAAGTTGAAATTAGTCAGAGTAGTTAGAACAGACCTCGACCCCGGTGGGTGAGTAATTGTGCACCTTTCTGAATGAGGCTGGTGTTTTCTTTGACAATCATTGCACTGCCTACTCAAATTCTGTCCGAGATCTCGGTGTCCCAGCTGTGCTGCCCCATTAGAAGTATTCACTCAGATTTTCCACATCTTCTGAATATTTCCCCCGAGAAGTCATCCTGTTTTTGATGTACCACTTCTTGAATGTGTGTCTTCCAAATTTTTGGTGTTTTAACCAGTAAGACAACAACTGTTTTATTGCCTGAATAAGCCTAAAACCAGCTCTGTGCACCATTTTTCTTATGAGAAAGTCACACCAGCTCATTGCCTGTGTAGCAAGGCCAAAAGTTACACTCCTCACCTCAGATGTGCAAAAAATATCATTAAAAGAAAAATGTTCCATTAACTGGCCTCATTTAGCTCTGGAGTCCCCATTCCTGCTAATGGTGGGGAAAATGTAAACTTGACAATTGGACATCATTCTGCTTCTTCTGACTTAAAATGGTCATTTTCACGTGGCCAATTCCAGTTCAAATTCCCTAAGGGGTCTGTTTCTCTCATCTTAAGAAGTTTCTAGGTTGGGCGCTGTACTCATCCCTGTAATCCCAGCACTTTGGAAGGCTAAGGCAGGTGGATCACTTGAATTTGGGAGTTCCAGACCAGCCTGGCCAATATGGTGAAACCCCGCCTCTGCTAAAAATACGAAAATTAGCCTAGCATGGTGGTGCACATCTGTAATCCCAGCTACTAGGGAGCCACAAGAATCACTTGAACCCCAGAGGCGGAGGTTGCAGTGAGCCCAGATCGCACCACTATACTCCAGCCTGGGCAACAGAAAAAAAAAAAAGAGATGTTTTCATCCTTCATATTATTTCTCAAGATGGCATCTGTGAACAACCCAAATATCCATCAATAGTAGAGCAGATAAATAAACTGTGGCATAATCACACAACGGAATACTCCCCAGCATCACAGGGAAATGGAACTGCTACCCACAATGGCATGGATGAATCTCAGAGGTATAATGTTGAGTGAACAAAATCAGACAACAAAGACTACACACTGTAGGATTCCTCTTCTATAAAGTTCAAAAACTCACCTATCATGATCGAGTTACAAAATGGTTATCTTTGGCAGAGGGTATTGACTGGAAGAAGGCACAAAAGAGCCTTCTAGGGTGCTGGCCTGGCCTATATCCTGATTTGGGTGGTAGGTACGTAGGTGTACACATAGGTGCGCACGCATTGAGCTGTATTTTTAGCATTTGTGTACTTCGCTGTGTGTTGCATCTCAGTAAAGCAGTCCCCACCACAAAGACAGCTTCTGGATACAGGCAAGAGCTTAAACAGCTTTGGGTGCTGGAGAAGGAACCGCTCATCTGTGGAAATCCACTGGCCTTCCTGGAGAGGTCTTTCCAAGTAGTCGGCTTGTCCTCTGACGGCACCTGCTGAGGAGTGTCTGGTTCCCCTGCTCACATCTCCTTTGCTTTAACCTCCTGCGATGAGCTCCTGAGCTCAACTCCAGACCTCTGGTTCACCAGTCCTCTTAGCCTTTCAGCCACTACCCTCCTCCAGCTTGGAAACCCTTGGGGTCCTAAGGGCCTGTTGACCTGGACGTCTCTCTCAGCCATTTCTGCTACCCTGGCCTAGCAGCCACTCCCATCTGGGCCTTGTAAAGGAGGGGATGTGCCTCCCCTGTGCCAAAAGGGCTTTCTGCTTACCCCTTTTGTCTGACAGCAACTGCCTGTGATGTTTCCTCTCTATGCGCTGATGTCCTCCCGTTTCCTGGAGCAATCCCGGGAGAAGGGAGGGAGGGAAAGAAACTGTATTGACATGCACAGAAATAAGGCACACTGAGAGGTATTTTAAAATCTATTATGTCCCTTACCCTTGATTTCTTTTAGGTAGAGTCTGGTTTCTTTTCATTATGTGACTTGGGTGATTCAAATCAGCATGGTTAGGATAGAATCACGGTATTTTAGCAATGAAGAGGTTCTTAATCATCATTTCAAATTCCAAGAGGGACGATTTCCAATTGTGTGGTCCTAAGTACATGAACACATTTATTATCCTGCTTCCCACCCAGCCCCCAACACACATAAGCATCACTCATCAATCATTATGATCACCAAGAAGATGCCTCCCGACACATCCACAGTTCTAAATGTCCCAAGGCAGGGTTTAGCCTCATTTGTTTATTTTGCAGATAACGAAATTGAAGCCCAAAGCAGAAAAATGACTTATCCAAGCCCCTGACAAAACAGGGCCTGATTTCCAGTTCCGTGAGATTTGTAGGTCACCCTGTTAACTTTTGGTGTAAGTTTGAGGAACTAAAACGAGGCACTGCAAGGGAACTTCTGTTTCTTACTGAATTTCTGCTTTCCTTTCTGGCAGTAGAAGCTGTCCCATGTCACTTCCTCTTTCCCTCCCTGAGAGTTAGCAGATAGCGTGGTGCCAGAGCCATTGCTTCCCTCTCAAGCAGAGGGGCAGTGGAGGCATGTCTGAGAACTTGCTGGCAGACACACCCAGTGTGGACCTGCCCTATTTATCCACACTCTCCACCCTGACCACATTAGACAGATATGCAAACACTCAGCATCCGGCAAACCCCCCACCACCCTCCCGGCCAAGTCTCATCACAGATCCATAAAAGACAGTGAAAATACACCGAGGTCTGATTTATTCTACTTTAGATGCAAAGACTGCTCCATCCCATCACCCCATGTCATTCAGATACAGGCGGCTTGATGCTGGCAGCATGTGGAGCAAAGTAAGTGAGGAGGAGGTTCAGCACAGTGGCTGGGAACACAGGAGTTAGAGCCATTCGTTCATGCATTCATGTAAGCACTCATTCATTCATGCATGCAAGCATTCAAGCACTGGTTCATTCATTCTCCATTCCAGTGTTTATTGAGCTCTTACAATCGTTGGGTTCATTCTGGGCATCAGGTAACATGCTGGTAAACACAATAGATGTGTTCCCAACCTTGTGAACTTACAGTCTCTAGATTGAGCTCAAAACCTGGCCCTGCCACTGAACACCTATGTGGCCTTGGGTGAATTGCTGAATCTCTCTGAACCTCTACCTCTTCATCAATAAAACAGGAAAATAGAAATAGAGTTGTGAAGAGTAAGTATAAAAAAGGATGGGAAGGAACTAGCCCAGTTCCTGGTATATAATAGGTGGTAAGTAGGTCACAGTTACTATTATTGCTAAAAATTTAACATTCGATAGGAACAATCCCTAAATCCGTATACCTAAAACCTGGACATGAAATTTTGGCTAAGAGCTCTATATTTTACCTAAATTATGTATAATAAACCAGCTTTTTTCAAAGATGTGTAGTTGTATATCATAAATCAAATACACATATATATAAGGTGTATATCATAAACAAAAAACCCTATGTGTGTATAGTATGTGTGTGTGTATGTGTGTGTATCTTAACTGGCATGGTATCATAATTTCTATATTCTTTTTTTTTTTTTTTTTTTTTTTGAGGTGGAGTCTTGCTCTGTCGTCCAGGCTGGAGTGCAGTGGCGTGATCCCAGCCTGGCTCACTGCAACCTCCACCTCTCAGGTTCAAGCAATTCTCCTGACTCAGCCAACCAAGTAGCTGGGACTACAGGTGTGTGCCACCACGCCTGGCTAATTTTTATATTTCTAGTAGAGACGGGGTTTCACCGTGTTGGCCAGGCTGGTCTTGAACTCCTGACCTCAGGTGCTCCCCACCACCCAACCTCGGTCTCCCAAAGTGGTGGGATTACAGGCATGAGCCACCGCGCCCGGCTGAGAATTTCTATATTCTAATGTAAGACAATGATACTTTGTATGGATACACAATTTTAAAAGAGGCTTGGGCCAGGTGCTGTGGCTCATGCCTGTAATCCCAACATTTTGGCAGGCTGAGGCAGGCAGATTGCTTGAGCTCAGGAGTTCAAGACCAGCCTGGACAACATGGTGAAACCCCATCTCAAATACAAAAAATACAAAAAATTAGTTGGGCGTAATGGCACATACCTGCAGTCCCAGCGACTCAGGAGGCTGCGGTGGGAAGATCTCTTGAACCCAGGAGGCAGAGGTTGCAGTGAGATGAGATCGCACCACTGCACTCCAGCCTGGGGAACAGAGCAAGACCCCACCTCAAAAATAAATAACTAAATAAAAATAAAAACGAAAGATGCTTGGACAAAGAAAACATGACATAAGCCATGAGTCTTTTAATATTCTATTCTCTTCCTGGGCCTCCGCTCTTGACAGACACTTTACCTTATTTAGCCTCTGCTGCCTGGTCTTGAAACCTCTAAATAGATGGGTTATTTCAGGCTGGCCAAACCCTCGAAATTATTTGCCAGCAGCATTTTGGAAACATATCCCCTTACTGCGAGAAACAGCAGCCAAAGCAAAGGACTGTGTGGTTGCTCCCAATCCCCTTCCTTCTGAGCCTCTGCTTCGGCTGCTGGGTTCAGCTCACAGAAGGCACTGTAGGCGAAGGAACGAGTGTGGCTTTGAGGTCTTTGCCAAGTGCGTGACCCATGGAAAGTTACCAAGCTATGAGAGCCTCAGTTTCCCCATTGGTAAAGAGGGACATAAATGTCACTTTGCAGGGTTATTGGGATAATTGACTAGGTCAGTGATGAAAATAGTCACTCATAAATGGCAGCTAAGGGTCCAGCACAGTGGCTCACAGCTGTAATCCCAGCACTTTAGGAGGCCAAGGCAGGTAGATCACCTGAAGTCAGGAGTTCGAGACCAGCCTGGTCAACATGGTGAAACCCCATCTCTACTAAAAATACAAAAATTAGCTAGGTGTAGTGGCCATGTGCCTGTTATCCCAGCTACTTAGGAGGCTGAGGCACGAGAATCTCTTGAACCCAGGAAGCGGAGGTTGCAGTGAGCCGAGATTGTGCCACTGCTTTCCAGCCTGGGCAACAGGGCGAGACTGCATCTCAAAAAATAAATAAATAAATGGCAGCTAAGGAATAGATAAAACTTTTCATTACAAATCGGGGATTAGCCTCAATGTACAAACTTCCTGGGAAGGGTGGTGGGCTTTACACATGGTGGAAGTCCGTGACATTCCTGGGCCTTTCCTATAGACCCTTTACATGAGGGAGGGAGGGAGGGAGGGAGGAGTAGACAGACTCCTCCAGACTTCAGGTGCAGGAAGGGCCCAGGCAGAAGGGAGGTACAACACAGGAGCTGGCCAGAGCACCGAGGAGATATTTCTACCACGGTTTGGCCTTGTCTGCCTCTGGGTTTGGCAGGGTTCCTTAAAGCTCATCACAAATCAACAGGGTAAGGTATGGTTCTAAAAAGATGCTCGTCTCATCAAAGCTAAACGTTTTAGGTGCATCAGCTTGCTGATTTCAACTTGCAGACTTTTCACAGGGTCTTCCAAATGGCCCAGAAACTGCCTACGCACACAAATAGCTTATGACTCCATGGTTCTGTATACTTTGAAGAGGCTTTCCTACACTTTTCTTTTTTCTTTCAACACTGTTTATCGAGAGTCTGGAGTCTGTTATGTTCTAGGTGTCATCTCTGGAGCTGGGAACCCAGCAGTGAAGAGAGGGGGCCAAGTCCTTGCCTTCTTGAGCTTGATCTCTTGGGAGCATTCAGAGTAAATTGTGGTGCAGAGGCCCAGAGGCAGGCCAGCGGCTACAATTCCTACTCTACACATGAGGACATTGAGGCTCAGAATAGTACATGACTTACCTACAGCGACCCATCAGATAAAATGAAGATCTAGGTCTTGAACTTGTTCACTCATTTATTTCAGAACTCTTAGCACTCAGGGAATATTTCAAATATTTCACTCTCAAAAATATTTGTTTATTTTTTAGATGCAGTCTCACCCTGTCGCCCAGGCTGGAGCGCAGTGGCACGATCTCGGCTCACTGCAACCTCCACCTCCTAAGTTGAAGAAATTCTCATGCCTCAGCCTCCTAAGTAGCTGGGATAACAGGCACATGCCACCACCAGTTGCAAAGCTATTTGTTCCAGCTTTCCCCCAAACCAAGGGTCATCTATTACTGGTTATATAATCATTAGTATTAATGGCTAATATTTACGGAGTGCATGTTACATACCAAGTGCTATACTGAGAGTTTTATGAGGATTATCTCATTTAAATCTATCAAGAAATCTATTAGTGAGTACTGTTAATATCCCCATTTACAGATGAGGAAACTGAGGCTTAGAAAGGTTAAACTTATCCAGGGACACATAGCTAGTGAGCAGTGGTGAAGGAGAATAGAGATTAGCAGTCTCACCTTCTGCCACTAAAAGACTTTTTTGAAACATAATGCCCAACCGAAAATAATTCTAGCAATAAATGAAGATATGGCTTCTCCAAACTGGCCCCACGGAGGGGCACGAGCCTGGGGCTTTCCACCAAAACTGAGCTCCAAGAAACTTTTCCAAGGCCCAGGATTGGGGCCAAGGTCGGCAACAAGGAAGACAGCAAAGACTGTCCAGAAGGAGCACTGGGAGAGCCAAAAAGATGGAATCACCAAGGCCAACTCACAGGGTTGGACAAGGAGGTAACTGGGTACAAGGTTTTGGAAAAGAACTAGAGACCCAGGATCAAGAAAGCAACGGGGATGGTAAAATACTGAGGTTGGGAGAGAAGTGCTGAGAAACCAGAGTGAGGAGCTGAGAGGATGTGCAGCCTCACCTGGGCTGCAGGGAGAACCAGGAAGGACGCTGAGTCCCCGTCACCTTCGGGCTCTGAAATTTACAATGTGCTTCCCTACGTGTTCACTTTGCTCTTCCTTTCCACCCTGAAGGGAGGCTTTCCTCAATGCCAGCCTCTTTGGAAGCAGGCTTTCAGGGGTGCAAGAGGAAAGTTATCTTTATTCAAGAGGATTCCAAGAAGCAAAGGCAATGACACACATTTTTAAAGTTTCTGTGGTACCTTTGGGCTTTGAGAACTTGATATAGCTGTGAAGAACAAGGGCTTTGGATTGAGATGGATTTGGGTTTGAATTCCAGTTCTACTTGGGAGCTGTGGGGCCCTGAGCAAGTCATTACTCTGTTGGTGCCTCTATTTACTCATTTGCATAGTGGGAACTAAAAACATCTACTTTATAGGTTATTAGGATTAAATTAAGTATGTTATCCTAAGAAATTTTTAGCCCAGAGCAAGTACTCAACAAATAAAAGGTATTACTATTGTTATGTGAGTTTTGTTTGTTTTTGAGATAGGGTCTCACCCTGTCACCTAAGCTGGAGTGCAGTGGCACGATCATGGCTCACTGCAGCCTTGATCTCCCAGGCTGAGGTGATCCCCCTACCTCAGCCTCCTTAGCAGCTAGGACTACAGGCGTGCACCACCACACCCGGCTAATTTTTGTATTTTTTGTAGACACAGGTTTCACTGTAATTCCCAGGCTGGTCTCGAGCTCATGGACTCAAGCGATCTGCCTGCTTCGGCCTCCCAAATTGCTGGAATTACAGGCATGAGTCACCACACCTGGCCTGTTATGAGTTTTAAAAGCAGATTCTGCAGTTTGGCAGTTTCTTACAAAATAAACATACTTTTACCGTATAATCCAGCAATTGGGCTCCTTGGTACTTACCCAAAGGAGTCGTAAACTGTAAACCTACGTCTACTCAAAAACCTGTACATGGATATTTATAACGGCCTTATTCATAATTGCCAAAGCTTGGAAGCAACCAAGACATCCTTCAGTAGGTAAATGGATAAACTGTGGTATACATCCACAATACTCTTCAGCATTAAAAAGAGGTAAGCTGTCAGACCATGAAAAGACATGGAGGAACCTACATACTACCGAGTGAACACGCCAATCTGAAAAGGCTACATACTACATGGTTCCAACCATATGACATTCTGGAAAAGGTAAAACAATGCCCACTGTGTAAAGATCAGCGGTAGCTAGGGGTTGTGGGGAGAAAAGAATGAGTAGGTAGAGCACAGAGGGTTTTTAGGGCAGTGAAACTCTTCTGTGTGATACTAAAAGTGCCTGCATGTCCTTATACATTTGTCCAAATCCATAGAATGTGCACCACGCCAAGAGTGAGCCCCACTGTAAACTATGGACTCTGGGTGATAATGATGTGTCAATGTAGGTTCGTCAGTTGTAACACATGCACTACTCTGGTGGGGATGTTGATAGTGGGGGAGGCTGTGCGTGCTTGGGGAGGACAGCCGGCATATGGGAACTTTGTACTTTCACTTAATCTTGCTGTGAGCCTAAGAGTGCTCTAAAAAATAAATATATTTTTTTAAACTCCACAAATAAAATAAACCAAGGCTATAGTTCCTAATTGAGAGGGGGGAGAATTTCCTGATGTCATCTTCTCCCTGAATCCACTTCTGATCACCCCAACCAAATTATTACTTTTATTTTTTGAGACAGAGTCTCGCTCTATTGCCCAGGCTGGAGTGCAACGGCTCGATCTTGGCTCACTGCAACCTCCACCTCCCAGGTTCAAGCAATTCTCATGCCTCAGCCTCCCAAGTAGCTGGGACTACAGGTGCACACCACCACACCTGGCTGATTTTTGAATTTTTCGTAGAGACAGGGCTTTGCCATGTTAGCCAGGCTGGTCTCGAACTCCTGACCTCAAGTGATCCACTGGCCTTGGCCTCCCAAAGTGTTGGGATTACAGGTGTCCAGAGTTGTACACTGTGTCCAGCCCCCCAGCCAAATTATTAAAATGTCTTTCCTTACTCAGGATTCTCAGTGCATTGCAACTTATCTGGCAATCATTTTGATTACATGATTAGAGGATTGATCTTATTTTCCTTACTATAATATATTGGAAGATTCTTATAGGAATGACAGTGCACTACTCAGTTCTCTATCTTGCAGTGCCTTCACCATGTCTTGCACATGGATGGTACTTAAAACACATAGTTTTGAATGTAACCAACAGATTTTATTATAAATTTCTGTACTGGCCAATAAGGTAGTCAGTAGCCACATGTGACTATTTAAATATAAAATTAATTTAAAACTAAATTTAAAAATCAGTTCCTCAGTTGCACTGGCCACACTCCAAGGTCTCCATAGCCACATGTAGCTAGTGGTGGCCACGTTGGAAAGCTCAGATACGGGACATGTCCATCATTGCAAAAAGTTCTATTGGACAATACTATTCTGGAACATTCTTGTTCAACTTTTTCATGTGGTTATTGGATTTAGGTTATCTTTGCAATGTTTAAACTTTATTTTTAATTTTTTAAAAAAATATTTTCTTAAACACGGTTTGAACTGCCCAGATTGTGCTCTCTAAATACCATTTACACTCAGAGAAATCAGGCTCTTTAGATAAATGACTGATTCCAATCTAAGGCAAGACATATATAAGATAAGCCTCTCTACCTAGTCTCATATAAGATAAGAAAGCTATCAAAGACTACTGGGGTGATGTCAAAAGGACTCAGGGGTCAACTTATAGAGGCTCTCATTGGACACCAGTGGGATAATCTGAGCATCAATAAGACTCACCACAAAGGATTGAGTTGTATTGCATAAGTAAAATTTCATGACTTCATAATGGCAGTGAAACAAAAATAAACAAACTCTCAATCCCTTTGGAAGATGACAATTAAGTTTTTTAAAACTAGTAAGTAAAAGGGAAAAGTCAAGCATTTATCCTGTCTTTTCTATATGAATTGTTCCTCAGGGTCACCATAAATGGCTGAGGAGAGACCATTTCTGTCTATAGAAGTATTTCAGCTAGTAAATAGAAAAGGAATAAAATAATTAGAGTATGGCATTTTGCAAACCATACTGAAATAATGGATCTAGCAAATGATCATCAGTGTTTGCTAACATCACAGAGAGATGATCAGACATAAGGGGCCTGCTATGGTAAGAACATAAACCTGTGAAGCCAAATCTAACCTGAGACCAAGCCCAAGGATCTGTCAACCAATCATGAGGAAATGCAGGGGAGGAGGAACATGTTAAATGACACTACTGGGATGAAGCCAGAGAATCCAGACCTTGGGAAACTTAATACAGAGGGAAAAAAAATAGGTGAAAAGGGAACTATAGATGAAAAGAAACTGAAGGGACATCTGATGTAGCAGCCAAATGCAATGCATAGACCTTGTTTAGATTCTCATGTAAACAAATCAATTGTAAGGAAGAAAGAGGGACAGGAAGAGAATTGGAGACATTTAAATACTGACTAGGTATTTGGGTATATTAAGAAATTATTATTGATTTTAAAGTATGGTTATGTATAGTGGTCATGTCTTTTATAAATAATTCTTATTCTTTTTTAGTTTAAATTTTTATTTTTTTAATTTATTTTTGCAGAGATGGGTTCTCACTATGTTGCCCAGGCTAGTCTTGAACTCCTGGGCTCAAGTGATCTTCCTGCCTTGGCCTCCCAAAGTGCTGGGATTACAGGTGTGAGTCACTGCACCCAGGAATTTTTGTCCTTTAGAGACACATATGAAACATTTCCAGATGAATGGTATGATACTGAGATTTACTCAAAATAATACAGGGTGAAGGCACAAAGTAGGTGGGGAGTACAGATAAGATCGGCCATGAGTGGTTGATTGCTGTAGCTGGGCTTATTGTACATGTGTTACAATTTTCATAATAAAAAGTTCATCTCTCTGATTTAGTCTCAGTGTCTTGCCTGGCTCAACTGTGAGCTTTTTAAAAATAAATTCTCCAGATTGGCATTGTTCTGTTCTAATTTTGACAAGTGGAGGGGCTTAGGCATGAATGTTCTGAGGCAAAACCAGTCTCTGAAAACATCCGAGGGCTGTTTAATGAGAAATCTTAGCAAGTTTTTCCCAAATGGCAACCAGATTACAAAGCCTTACATTCTGCTGAGGTTTTCTTCCTTCTCAGCGTATTCAAATCCACTAACCAGATTTATCATTCCTCAAGAAACGTGCAAATTACATTACATTTTTCCAGAAATTTGCAGGTCATCCTAGAGGGGTTTTGAAGTGCAAGGGGAAGTGTCTTCTCCTCATCTTCATCTTTCTCCTTCTCCTCTTCCTTTAATAAAATGTAGAGAAACTCCTCTTTCCACTGCGCCACTGGCCCCATGCTTGAGAAACACCTCTTTTGAGGAATAACCGATGCTACCTTCTGGGAGAGCTTTCTCTGGCCTTTTCCCTTTTCATCTTCCAAACATGTGTCAGGATCAAGACCTAGAAGCTAAAGCCTCTGGGTTGAAGGAGGCTTTTCTTGTGGGTCAGACTCCTGGGCGTAGGTGAGCATTGTTTTCCAAGACTGCATCTTTCAAACAGGTTAAAACGTCTCCATGGCATG
The DNA here is from genome assembly GCF_000001405.40 of Homo sapiens. Taxonomy (NCBI): domain Eukaryota; kingdom Metazoa; phylum Chordata; class Mammalia; order Primates; family Hominidae; genus Homo; species Homo sapiens. The sequence goes on from NC_000003.12 coordinate 72,532,440, forward strand.
GGACCAGTGTCTATTTTCGCTTTTCTCCCAGGAAGCCTGACCACCTCTTTTGATTCCTATTAAGTAAGTTCCAGTCACTTTCCAGACCCACTCCTGTGATTATCCCCTGTGAACCAGCTGGAGTCCTGGATATTCTGACACTCTTCACTTATACACCTGCAGACACTCTCACATTGTGGCAGACTGCTAGCTGTCCCCCATCCCCTGCCTCCTCTCTATCCTCTCCTCCTTTCAGTGTAAAGACTGCCCAGTAAAGACTATAATTCCCAGCTTTCCTTACAGTAGGATGTAGCCATTAGACTACAAGCCAATGGGCAGAGAGAATAGCCAATGGTCCTAGCCAATGGGCTAAACAGAATAACGCTGGTACAATTTCTGGATCTTGTCCTCAGATTAAAAAGCTCCCTGTCCCCCTCCTACTGGTAGGGAAATGGTGAGAAATTGGCTCCCAAGCAGAAGCCTTGAGATGAGAACAGTGATCCAACCAGCTCTGGATTCCTACCTCTGGACTACGACAAGAGAGAGAAATTACTTGTATCTCGTATATGCCACCGCAGCTTCAGAACTCTGTAACAGCAGATTACCCTGTATCTCAACTGATACAGAGGGCTAACTACAATCACTGGGTGTGAATTTTACCTGGGCAACTTGGGCAACTCTAAGCATAGCTTTATTTCCATTTACCTGAGGTAGCCCCTCTCCATCACCTTGTCCCAATTTGGTGTCTGCACATCCATTCAGTGCAGTCACTTTGATGATGTGTCCATAGCTATAAACTCAAGGATCACTTCTTGAGGCAGAAATTTCCAACATCTTCTCTTAAAAATCAAGTGACGAGGGTTTTGAAATACCTAGCAGCACTGGGCTCTATTCCTATTTTCTCAAGTCCCTAGGGCTTGTGTCTTTATGGCTCTTTCTTAGAAAGACCATTTCCTACCAAGAGCCAACTGATTTGGCCAACACCAGCAGATGTACTCCATTACAACTAATAATGGGACTCAAGTACTTTAGAAGCTTTTACTAATTGAGCCGCTGAATATCCCTATGAAGTAGGTAACTATTATTGTCCCCAATTACTGTCAAGACGCTGAGCTGCAGAGACATTAAGTGGCTTGCCAGAATCGTGCAGTGGAGTCCCAGGCAGAGCAAGTTCCTGAACGGAGGATGAATTTCAGCCCCAATCAAAGGAACCAGGATTGGCCAGAAAGTCAATCAGGAGACCTGTGTTCCAGTGGCAGCTCTGTCATTAACCACCGAGTGGAAGTCACTTCCTTTTTCTGTGTTCGTGTGCGTGTGTGTGTGTGAAGAGAGTGTGTGTGTGTGAGAGAGCGTGTGTGTAAAAGAGAAGATATGCCTGTGTGTGTGTGTCTTTGTGTGTGTGCCTGTGTAGTAGTGTGTGTGGTTTTGTGTGGGTGTGTGTGATTGTGTATGTTTGTGTGTGGTTGTGTGGGTGTGTGGTTGTGTGTGGGGCTGTGTGTGTGTGGTTTTGTGTGTGTGGCTGTATGTGTGTTTGTGTGGTTCTGTGTAGTGTGTCTGTATGGTCTGTATGTTTATGTGTGTGATTTTGTGTGTGGTTGTGTGTGTGTTTGTGTGAGGTTGTGTGTTATGTGTGTGGTTTTGTGTGGGTGTGAGATTGTATGTTTGTGTGTGTGGTTGTGTGGATGTGTGGTTGTATGTGTGATTGTGTGTGGTTGTGTGTGTGTGGTTGTGTGTGTGTGTGGTTATATGTGTGGTTGTGTGTGGTGTGTGTGGTCTGTATGTTTATGTGTGTGTGTGTGTGTTTGTGGTTGTGTGTGTGGTTGTGTGTGGTGTGTGTGTGGTTGTGTATGTGTGTGGTTGTGTGTGTATGTGTGTGGTTGTGTGTATGTGGTTGTGTGTATGCGTATGATTGTGTGTGTATTTGTGTGGTTGTGTGTGGTTGTGGTTGTATGTAGTCTGAATAATCCGCCCTCCCTTTGGGATTTTTTCCACTGAGGGTGGAAGTGGAGTTTCCCCTGAAAGAACAGATATTCCCACTGCTGATCCTTCCGGGAGAAGTTAATCCTGAGACAGGAAATAAAGATTTAAAGAAGAGAAAAGTTTTTATTGGGCCAAGACTCCAAGGTGAAGAAAGGCCTGGAGTGAGTGGTTTCAGAATGGAAATGGGGGAGAATGGCCTGCGTCTGGTTGAAGCATGGTCTCCAGGGGCTTTGAGGAGTTGGGAGATGGCTCAGGACGCAGGGTGAGGGAGGACAGGGAATTCGCTGCTCCTCTCTCGGCCAAGGTGCAGACCTCGAAGAAAGTGGTGATCAGCTAAGGCCAATGCAGGAATGTAGCAGGGCCAGCAGCCTGGAGAAAGAAAATGTGAGGGACTGTGCCCAAAAGTGCAAACCAGTACCCTGAGAAATGTTCTGAATCTACAGGGAAACTGAGGAGAGGAAATTTCACACCGTGAACCCACTGTGGACTATGTCCTAGCAATCGGGGAACAAACAGAAGGCACAGGCTGTTGTGGCCTGGGACACAGGGGTGCTTTATACAAGGAGATGGAGTACAAGTGGATACCTTCTAAGGCTCCTTCTTGCTGAAATGTATACTCCATAGTCCAGTTGGGCTAGAAACTCTGCCCCCAGGCCCCTGGGAGGGTCTGACCAAGGAATTTCACCCAGGTGTTGGTTCACTCTGGCCCTGGCCATTGTCTACCCACCCTGAATCAAGTATGACCAGCTAAGGTTGGGTTTAGGGCCTGCATTTTTGGGCAGATGAAAATGGCCAGGGGTTGGGGGGTGAGAGTCTGTGGTCTCTCCCTTCTATTCCCAGCTTTTTTTTTTTTTTTTTTTTGAGATGGAGGGAGTCTTGCTCTGTCACCCAGGTTGGAGTGCAGTGGTGTGTGATCTCAGTTCACTGCAACCTCTGCCTCCCAGGTTCAAGCGATTCTCCTGCCTCAGCCTCCCGAGTAGCTGGAATTACAGGCACGCACCACGACTTCTGGCTAATTTTTGTATTTTTAGTAGAGACAGGGTTTCACCATGTTGGTCAGGCTAGTCTCGAACTTCCTGGCCCCAGCACACACCTCAAGTGATCCTCCAGCCTCAGTCTCCCAAAGTGCTGGGATTACAAGCATGAGCCACTGTGCCCAGCTCCCAACTTTTAAAAATGAATTAAAATTAATTGTCTAATTCATTGTTGTCTACAGTTCGATGGATTTTGACAAATGCCACCACCACCCCAATCGAGAACATTTTCATCCACCTCCCAAGACCCCTCATGGCTCTTTCCAGTTAATCCCCTCACCCTTCAACAGACAACCAATATTCTGATTTCTATCACCTTAGTTCAGTTTTGTCTGTTCTACAACTTGCTATAAGTGGTACCAAACTCTATATGCTCCCTCTCTCTCCACTTTTAACATGCAAATGATGTCTGCAATTACTTTCCATGAGTAAGCAGGTCACATGAAGAACACACACCGCCTTGATCCAGTGGCTCTGCATCTCCCCCAACACACCAGACTGTGCAGTCGTGAGTGTGCTAAGTCGAACCACATGAAATGTCGTTTTTGATTTAGTGGCAGCGGGGCCAATCTCTCCCTTCCCCTCTTCTGAAGTCCTCCAATCTCAGGGCCTGCTGACCCCCTGCTTCCTGGCCCCAGCACACAGCAATCGCTCTACCCTGAGAGTCCCAGCGTCCTGAGAGGTTCTATTTTTGGCTAGAATAACAATCTCCAATGCAGGCACAGAGCTGTTCAGCTTAATAGCTAATAATAATATTAGCTACCATTTACTGAAGGCTCTCTCTTCAAGACACTGAGCTTAGTGTTTGCATACATTATCCCATGTAATTTTTACAGCCTCCCAGTGAGGCATTATCTCCATTTTACCCACTAGGAAACAGGCTCAGAGAGGTTAGAAAGCTGCTTCGAAGCTTTCTGTGGGCGAACGACTCACCTGGGGATCTGTTAAAATGCAGATCCTTACTCAGTAGGTCTGGGCTGGCCTGAGATTCTGCATCTAGTAACAAACTCCCAATTGGTGCTGATGTTGCTGGTTCATGGATCACACTTGGAGTAGCAAGGGATGAGATAATCCCTCTAAGGTCAATTACCAGCAAGGGGACATTCAACAATATGAATGTCTTCTTTCAAACCCAATGTTTTTAAAGTCTGTTTATGTAGTGGGGAGAAGAAAACAAACAAACAAACTGGGGCAGAATTCCTTTTCCAGGAGGCAAGTGCTTTTGTTCAGCAAAACCTCCTGATGAGATACTTAGGTTGTGGAAAGCGCTCCCTCCAGGCAAGGCAGGAATGGGCTACAAATTAGACAAAGAGATAGCTAAAGTACTCTTCAAGGGAGATGAACAAGTAAATCTAGGGGCTGGAAGCTGAAGAGAAAGCAAGATGGGGGTGGGTGCTGGAGCCCACAAGGAGAAGAGGAAGATGAACTTCCCTGGAGGTGGGAAGGCTGTATGGACTCTTACAGTTTTAGGTGTTGGCTCTGTTGGGCTAGAAGCATTTGATGTTGTTAGGATCGTTCAGCCAAGTCTGTTACACACCATAGTCTTGAGTTGGTGGAAGCTTGGAAAGAGGAGAGATGGGGGTGGGGTTTGAATGACCCTTGAATATTTAATGCGCATGTGCAGTGGGCAAAGATGGAGACGTCAACCTAAAAGGAAAGTCAGAGGCAGTGACGAGAGGAGCCCCTCCCTCCGACACTGCCTCCACCCGTCTCCTGAGAGAAACACGGGGTTTTCCCTGTTCTTGAGCTCGGGGTTCAAGCCCAACTTGTTTACAATTTTAAAGGCAATTACCATAAGATTTTACATCTTTTATTTAATTTATTGCATGTGACAACCTTGGGAGGTGAGAGGCTAGGATCGTCATCCCCATTTTACAGATGCAGAAAGCAAGGCTGGGAGGGTGAGCTTTGGCACTGTTCCCACAGCCACACAGCTGAAGGGCATCAGAGATGGGACCAAAAGTGTGCTCTGAACCCTCCCTGTGAATCAGAATCTCCTGGGGAGATTTTAAAAAGTACCAATTTGCCTAGATCTCCGCCAGGCCATCTGCATTCTGTTTGTCTGAGTTGGGCCCAAGCATCAGGATGTTTCAAAAGATCCTCATTGGCTCCAGTGTTCAGGCAGGAGGAGAACCTTGCACTCGATGGTTCATGTAAAGTGCGTAGCTCAGCACCGGGCTCAGAGCCGGGCAGTAATCAGCCCAGTTAGCATCAGCTGCTGTGGATATTTTTACTATGCAAACTCAAGCCCTATGACACCATGCTGTCGCCCACTGGTTCTCAAACTCTACCAAGCATCAGAGTCACCTGGAGGGCTTGTTAAAACACAGAAAGCTGGGTTCACCCCCTGAGCTTCTGGGGTCTGGGTTAGGAATCCAGAAGGTGCCTTTCTGACAAGCTGCCTTTCTTAATGCTGCTGTTCCAGGGATCACACTTTGCGAACCAGCTCTGTAAACAAAGCAAGGCAAGACGACTCAAAAGGGCACATGATTTTCAATCCTTCCAACTTGGGATCAAGTGGCCAGACTGAGTGGGGCCCTTCCAGTGGCCTGCCATGACAGATGGCAGGACTGGGTGTTGGGCGACCTTTGGCAGGTACATCGCCTAGCAGGTGTGACTAAGACATTGCCGGTTCGTGGCCGACATTCTGGGACCTGGTCCTACATTCAATGGCTGACAGGAGCCTGAAATGGATAGAAAACACCTGTAGCCTAGGCAACACAGTCTGGCTCATACAATTACAGACTACTTGAAAAAGAGAACAGTGAGGAGGAAGGGAGGAAATGAACATGTGTAAGAAAAGAGGAGCTCAGTGTCAAATGTTCCGTATGCTTGCATGTTCATACATGCTCTCACAGACACACGTAGACACTACTGCATACTATACATATTCTTTCAACCTGGGCTGGGAAAGAGGAACCAAGACAAGGGTTCTGGAACCTACTTTGGCTTTTCTGCTCTCAGGCAAGAAGCCAGACATTGTCCCATTTGAGTTGCCATAAATTGGGTCATGGGACCACCCCCATCACCATCACCCTGACCACAGTCTGGTCAGATCTGCTAGCCCCAAACTGCCACGTGTAGACATAAGGGAGCCTGGCAGCCAATGAGGAGGCCTGGTGCAAAAACTCTGACTGACAGAGAAGCCCTGCAGTAGACAAATGGGAACTATCCAAGTTAGGGCTTACCCTCTGGGGGACACATAGAGTGGAGGGAAACAAGCCGAGGTGGCAGAAAGGGAAGACAGAAAGAGTAGGTGGGGCTGAGTCACCACTCAACAGTCTTTTTTTTTTTTTTAAATCGTGGTATTTTTTCTACCATAAGCATTTTTATTGATTTTTTTTTTATTTATTTATTTTGTAGAGACAAGGTAATGTTGCCTAGGCTGGTCTTGAACTCCTGAGCTAAAGTGATACTCCCTGTTTGGCATTCCAAAGTGTTGGGATTACAGGTGTCAGCCACTGCATCTGGTGGTGGCTGATGCCTGTATTTTTATTTTTAAATTTTAAACAAAATTTAATGTTTAATTTAATTTATATTTATGTACTTCTCTATTTAAGTTCAGAGATAGGGTCTCATTGTATCTCCTAGCCTGGATTTGAATTCTTGGGCTCAAGTCATCCCGCCTCAGCCTCCTGAGTAGCTAGGATAATAGGCATATGCCATCACACCCTGCGAGGACAGTCTTAGAGTAGGCAGTCCCTTCTGAGGGAGTGACAAGATGGCCAGGTCGCTGGAACTGCTGATGTAGCCTCACCCATATTCCGTACTGGCTTGTTGACCTTAAAGCTTTTTGAATAAGCAGAGCTCATTACCTCCTTCTATTCCACCCCATGGAGCAGGGATGGAGGTTTGGGTCTAACTCAAATGCTCTGACGGGCCATCAGCTCCAAAACAGATAGAACACTCACTGAATTCAAAAAGCTATGCACACATGGGGGTGGTCTCTCCTTGCCCCCTTCTTCTACGTGGCTGAGCAGGAAAAGCAATGACCACCCCAGCCATTTCTGTCTCTTTAGATTCCTGTTCTACTCCCACATAGAACCCCCCTCACCCTACCTTTGCACACATATTCTCTCTCTCTCTCTCTCTCTCTCTCTCTCTCTCTCTCTCTCTCTGCTCACTGATGGGTGGGTTCTGCCCTTTCCTCTCATTGCAGTGGTAAGATGAGGAAGTCTATATGGGCTGCTTTGGTTCTAGATCACAAGTGTTGCATCAACTCAGATAAAAAGGTTCTATATCAGAGCTCACCAGTCTGCATTGGACATGCATAGGGAGCCCCAGTTAAATAAAAATGTATTTCATTCAGGACTCTTGGTTGCCAACAAAAAGAAGCCCAATTCAAATTGGCTTAAAAATTTAAAAAGATGAGAGAAGGGAAGAGGGTGCTTTTGCTTCAGTGGCTTCTGATACAGCTGAGTCCAGCAGCTCAACAATCACATCAAGACTCACTGTTTCCCCATTTCTCGCCTCAACTTGCCTTTATTCCTGAGTGGTAAGCACCACTATCAGCTACTCAAGGCTCACGCTCTACCAGTAGAAACAAACGAAGCCCTGTGATTCTCTTAGATTCAAGCCAGAGTCCTGGAAGACCTAGGTCAGCCAGGCCTGGGTTGCAAACCTATCAATGCACCCTCTGCTGGACTGGTCAGGCCTGGGTTCTGTGCCCACTCCTGGACAGAGAGTGGGCGAAGTCTGGCTCCCAAAGGATAGTCAGGGTCCTGTTACCAGAAGAATGGAGAACGGATGCTGGGAAGGCAAAACCAACAAAGGCTGACCACAATATATTTCATAGTTTCATTCTCTGCATCTTTATCTTTCTCAAGCAGAGATGTTCTAAAGCAGGATTTGGGTATGCCAACGTCCTGACCAAAACCATCTCCTTAACACCCTCCAGCATCACCATTTCCCATGAGCCTGGCCATGTGTTTGCTGGGATGGTTTATTTCATGTCCTCACTTCTTCCTATAAATTGTAGGACTTACTTATCCTTGTCAATTTCTTTTCTCTGCTTTGTAAGATGGCACGCGGCTTCATGACATCTCTCCAAAGGGCCTGAAGGCTGTGCCCCACATGCATCGCCTCAGGGCAAAAGCACATGCAAAACAAGCCACTCTTGGAAGCTGCCTCTTAAAGCAGAGCATCTCGGGTAATTCCCTGAGTCCCTAATAACACTGCTTCCTTGAGCCCCAAGGCTTCCAAAAGCTACAGGAGCATCCCAGATCTAATTTCCTAATAATATCTGTCTTTCTATTCTCTGCTATAACATAGCTTAGAACAAAAGCAAAAATATAGGGGCTCCTTTTTGATAAATTTTTCAAGGTAATACCTATCCAGAAGAAAGTAATCCCGGATATACAAATTAAGCATATTACAATCACTTCTATGTACAAGCACATGGATACCTATGTCATTTCTAATGAAAACAAGTGGAAATCATCTAAATATACAGCCAAATGAGATCAGTTAAGTGGCTAATGGTTCATTCACACAGCCATTCTGCAGCATTATGCGGGAACACTATGCAGCCAATAAAAATAATGTAGAAGAATATTGAATAATGTGAGAATATAGTCAGGATACGTTGCTCAGTGAAAAGAGAATAAAATCCTACCTTCAATTTCTTTTTTTTTTTTTTTTTTTTGAGACGGAGTTTCGCTCTTTTTGCCCAGGCTGGAGTGGTGCAATGGTGCGATCTCAGCTCACTGCAACCTCCACCTCCCAGGTTCAAGCGATTCTCCTCCCTCAGCCTCTCAAGTAGCTGGGATTACAGGAGCCCACCACCACACCTGGCTAATTTTTTGTATTTTTAGTAGAGACAGGGTTTCACCATGTTGGCCAGGATGGTCTTGATCTCTTGACCTCGTGATCTGCCCACCTTGGCCTCCCAAAGTGCTGAGATTACAGGTGTGAGCCACCGCGCCCAGCCGCTCCTACCTTCAATTTCTAAAAACTTGTACACACATTGCTATGGATTGAATTGTATCCTTCCCACCACTACTCAAATGCTGAAGCCCTAACCCCTAATGTCACTGTGTGTGGAAATAGGGACTACAATGAGGCAATTAAGGCTAAATAAGGGTATAAGGATGGGGCTTTCTTAGAATAGGATTGGTATCCTTAGAAGAGATACCAGAGAGCTTACTTGCTCTCTGTCTTCACATGTATGCAACCCAGGTGTCAGCTGGGGCTGTGGTCTCATTAGAGGCTTGACTGGGGAAGGACCTGCTTTCCAGCCCCCTCAGGCTGCTGGCAGAATTCAGTTACTTGTGGTTTAGGACTGAAGGTCTCAGTTACTTACTGACTGTTGAACAGACGCCACCCTCAGCTCCTAGAGGATACCACTGGGGTGTCCCTCCCGTGTGGGTTTCCTAAAAATGACGCTTGCTTCTTCAAAGTTAGCGGGGGATGCAGAAACCACACCAACATCTATGTCATGTAATCAGGTACATATAACTGCACACATTCTGTCACGTTTGCTGTATTCTATTGGTTAGAAGCAGGTCACAGTTCCATCCACACTCAAAAGTGGACCCTCACAAGGGCATGACCACAGGCAGATCATGGGGGCCATCATAAGCTACTGTCACAAAAGCTGTAAATAATTTTATTGATCATATTTAACACATTTAAAATGCTAAATGATGAAAGTTTTTTTACATCCTGCCCTAGAGACTTATTTTCACAGGACTTCAATTTTCTCTCATCTTATTTTTGTGACTGTCACTCATATCTTTCATATCCTATTTGCTTTACTATGTACACTTTTTTTTTTTTTTTGAGATGGAGTCTTGCTCTGTCACCCAGGCTGGAGTTCAGTGGCACAATGTTGGCTCACTGCAACCTCCGCCTCCCAGGTTCAAGTGATTCTCCTGCCTCAGCCTCCCAAGTAGCTGGGATTACAAGAATGCACCACCATGACTGGCAAATTTTTTTTTTTTTTTTTTTTAGTAGAGATGGGTTTCACCATCTTGGCCATGCTGGTCTCAAACTCCTGACCTCAGGTGATCTGCCTGCCTTGACCTCCCAAGGTGCTGGGATTACAGGCATGAGCCACTGCACCTGGCCTATGTACACTTTTTTTACATTGACTTTTATGCTTATTAGAGATGAGGTCTTGCAGTTCCATTCAGGCAACAGTGCAGTGGCATGATCATAGCTTGCTGTAACCTCAAATCCCTGGGCTCAAGTGATCCTCCTGCTTCAGCCTCCCAAGTAGCTAGGACTACAGGTGTGCACCATCATGCCCAGCCAATTTTTAAATATTTTGCAGAGACAGGGTCTTGCTATGTTGCCCAGGCTGGTCTCAAACTCCCGGCTTCAAGTGATCCTCCTACCTCAGCCCCCCAAATTGCTGGGATTACGGGCATGAGCTACTGCACCAGGCGTATGTAAACTTTTTAATAAAATGTAACGTACCCACGGAAAAACAAACAAATCGTAAATGTATACAGTTTGATGACTTTTCATAAAGTGACTGCACCCACATAATCAGTACCCAAACCAAGAATCAGCATATTTCAGGCTCCTGGAAAGCCCCTTGTGCCTCCTGGCAGTCACTGTGCACGCCCCCATCCCCACCAAGGGTGCCCACACTCCTGGCAGGGCTGCATATTTTAAGATATTCTCTTCCTCCTCTAACTTTTTCATGCCTGTCAATCTCACTTACAAAGTTGTGAGATTGTAGGATTAAGGATTTAGATACCAAACCTGCTCAGCCAACCAGGACCAAAAAGAACCTTTGCTACAGACCCAATTCTGATAGAAATGATGTTTTGGCTCAAGTAGGATTGAATTGCTGGAATTTGCTGGGTGATGGCATCCTCCCCACCAGAGAAATTGGAAGGGGAAAACTCTATTTAAGGGAATTGAAGGCAGAGAGAGGCAAAGCTACTGTTAGGTGCTCGTTTGTTCCTTAAAGTATGTCCCTATTTCCACACCGAAGTGAATTACTCCCCAGGGAAGTGAAGAAAACTGCAGATGTGATTGAGAAACTGTTAGAATTCTCTAAAACAGCACTGTCTAGAAGAAATATAACACAAGCCTCATTATGCAATTTAAAAATTTCTGGTGACCTGGGCCTGGTGGCTCATGCCTGTAATCCCAGCACGTTGGGAAGCCTAAATGGGAAGATCATTTAAGGCCAGGAGTTTGAGACTAGCCTGGGCAACATAATGAGACACCATCTCTATGGAAAAAAAAAAAAAAAAAAAAAAAAGTAGCCGGGCATGGTGATGCACACATATAAGTCCCAGCTACTCCAGAGGCTGAAATAGGAGGATCCCTTGAGCCCAGGAGTTTGAAGCTGCAGTGAGCTCTGATCACACTGCTGCACTCCAACCTGGGCAACAGAGCAAGACCCCATCTCTCTAAAAAAATAAATAAATAAAGTGAAATACATAAAAAAATTAAAATTTTTCTTGTAGGCACATTTAAAAAGTCAGAGGAAACAGGATTTCATAATTTTAATAACCATTAATAAATATTAAATAATAGTAATTCAATTTTAACAATATTTTATTTTCATATACTATATCCAAAATATTATAATTTTCACCTATAATCAATATAAAACTATGAATGAAATATTTTAAATGCAATAAGACATTTTACACTTTTTTCATTCTAAGTCTCTGAAACCCAATATTTTACATCTAATATTTTACATGTCAGTTCAGACGAGCCACATTTCAATTGCTCAGAGGCATATGTGGCTGATGGTTACCATATTGACCAGAGCAGTTTTAAGCAACCAGGAAGAAGTGTCAGGAAATGAGCAAAAAAAAAAAAAAAAAAAAAAAAATCCAAGTTTTCAAATGGTCCAAGAGTGGGTTGCAATAATACCCAAATGACAAATACGTATTCACTCATCAAACATGTTTGATGCAGGAGACTGAAAAAAGAACTCAAAGCTTCCGCCCTTAAGAACCTCATAAGGGAGACAAATGTATAGACCATTATAACATCAAGTGGCAAGTGCAGTACCAGAGATAAGCAAGAAGGAGCAGAGAGATGGCCCATCAGCTGGGAGGGTGGAGGGAGAATACACATTCTAATACTACCCTCCATTACAACTAGTTACAGTGCCTGAAATGCTCATCATGCAATGAATTCTGGGTCATGAAAACAGTCTGGTTAAAATGCAAATACGTACTCAGGCAGGGTAAACACATAAACGTATGCATGCCCATTTACATTCATTGTTTTTTGAAAACCAGATTTATTTGTGTTCTCTAGTGGAAAACAGAGCTGGAGGTATAGGGGAGAGATACGGGACTCAAGGCTCAACTGTGGAGCACTCAGGCTCTGAAGGCTTCTGAGAGGAGACCTCGTCAAGGAGAAAGAGCATTGAAAGTGAAGATTTAGGTGTCAAATAGAGAGGCTGAAAACTGCCTGAATTTGCCCATGGAGAAACCAGTCCAGACCAATGCCTTTCTTTATCTGAACACATGGCCCTCAGACCTCCTGCAACAGACTCACCTGCATATATTGTTAAAAATGTGTAGCCCTTGGCTGAGTGCAGTGGCTCACTCCTGTAATCCCAGCATTTTGAGAGGCCGAGGCATGAGGATTGCTTGAGCCCAGGAGTTCGAGTCCAGCCTGGGCAATGTAGCAAGACTTCATCTCTATAAAAAAAACTTAGAAAAAAATTTTAAAAATGCATAGCCTTATAACCCTGGGCCCCACCCCAGACCTCTTATGGTAAACAGTATTACAGTTCCCAGTCATTTGCTCCTTCTTTCCTATAAGACAATGATACATGGGGTTTTTTTGTTTTTTTTGTTTTTGGTTTTTTTTGAGGAGGAGTCTCACTTTAACACCCAGGCTGGAGTACAGTGGCACTATCTGGGCCCACTGCAACCTCCACCTCCCAGGTTCAAGTGATTCTCCTGCCTCAGCCTCCCAAGTAGCTGTGACTACAGTCGTGCACCACCATGCCTGGCTAATTTTTTTTTTTTTTGTTTGGTAGAGACAGGATTTCACCATATTGGCCAGGCTGGTTTTGAACTCCTCACCTCAGGTGATCTACCTGCCTCGGCCTCCCAAAGTGCTGGGATTACAGGCGTGAGCCACCACACCCAGCCTGATGATACATCTCTGATGCAAGTGTATGTCCCCTATGGGGCTGTTCCTTCTGTGTGAGTCCTTAAATGAAGAAAGTGTGGCAGATCTGATACACAGCCAATATGAAATGTCAGTAGAAAACAAACCTTTTTTTCATTATACGCCACTGAGATTTGAGGAATCATTTGTTACTGCAGTATAACCAAGCAAGTGCCAGCTGATACACATACTGAATCAACATTTCTAGAGGAGAAGGTAGATCCTGTGAATCTCCATTTTTCCCCATGGGACCCTGATTCTCACTAATGTCACCCAAACAAACAAATAAGATATATTCCGTTTGAGAAGTGAGCCTTTCATCAGACTGAAAGTTGAATGCTGGCCACAAATCAAATAGACACTTAAGAGTTTCGGGTTTCCATAAGGCAGAGTGTTCTGTGTAAATACAAGTTTTTGTTTGTTTGTTTGTTTGTTTGTTTGAGATGGGGTCTTGCTCTGTGGCCCAGGCTGGAGTTCAGTGGTGCGATCTCGGCTCACTGCAACCTCTGCCTCCCAGGTTCAAGCGATTCTTCTGCCTCAGCCTCCCGAGTAGCTGGGATTATAGGTGCACGCCACCACACCTGGCTAATTTTTGTATTTTTAGTAGAGATGGGGTTTCACCATGTTGGTCAGGCTGGTCTTGAACTCCTGACCTCGTGATCTGCCTGCCTCTGCCTCCCAAAGTGCTGGGATTACAGGCGTGAGCCACCACACCCGCCCGTAAATACAAGTCTTAATTGCTCAGCCAATTACAGTCCTAGAAATTAAGGAAAAGTAAAGCTAGACAGAAGCAGCCTCGCTAGCTCATCTGCAAGCTTGGAGTTCTTGTTCTATGCAAGGCCCTGGCCCTGGCCCTGAAGAGAGCTCCATGCAGCAAGCCCGAGCATCCCTGTCCCTGTGAGGCTTTCATCCATGGTTCCCTGACAATCAGGATTCTTGTTTTTCTGAGTTGGGCAGTGCTGTGGTCTGCATGTGCTCTCCAAAACTCCTGGGTTGAAAGTTTCTTTTTTTTGTGGAGTCTCACTCTGCTGCCCAGTCTGGAGTGCAAATGGCACAATCTCAGCTCACTGCAACCTCTGCCTCCCAGGTTCAAGCGATTCTCCTCCCTCAGCCTCCCAAGTAGCTGGGATTACAGATGCCCACCTCCACGCCTGGCTAATTTTTGTATTTTTAGTAGAGACAGGGTTTCACTATGTTGGCCAGGCTGGTCTCAAACTCCTGACCTGAAGTGATCCGCCTGCCTTGGCCTTCCAAAGTACTGGGATTATAGGCGTGAGCCACCACACCCGGCCCATATGTTAAAACTTAATCGACAATGTGATGATATTATTAGGTGGCGTCTTTAGGATGTGATTAAGTCGTGAGGGTAGAGCCCTTGTGAATGGGATTAATGCCCTTATAAAATGGCTGGGAAGAATTCCCTAGGCCCATTTTGCCCTTCATGTGAGGACACAGCCTTTGTTCCCTCTGGAGGAAGAAGCAACAAGGTGCCATCTTGGAAGCAGAGGCCAGGCCTCACCAGACATCGAACCTGCCTTGATCTTGGACTTCCAGCCTCCAGAACTCTGAGAAATAAATTTCTGTTCTTTATAAATTACTCAGCCTCAGGCATTTTGTTCTAGTGGCCCCCATGCAGCTCTTGTTCCAGAAGGGGAGGCTGGCATTGCTCACCCAGGGTAACCATCCATTTCTAACAGACATGGCAGTCACCACGTACTTCTAAAAGGAAGCTTGGGACAATATAGCACCCCTCCCTGCTTGCCATCCTTCAGTGGCTCTCCATTGCTTTTAGGAGTGCAGCCAGACTCCTTATCCGGGCACAGAAGGCCCTTTGTGAACTGACCTTGGCTTACCTCACTGGTCTCTCCTTCTCTCTCTCTCTCTGCACTCTAGCCATGCAAATATTTCTATAGTTCCTCAAAGTCACCACCCTCTCTTTCTCACCTCTGGGCTTTTGCATGTACTGTTGCTCTGCCTGGAATATGCTAGATTCAACTAACTCTGGGGCTCAGTTTACGTGTGACTTCTTTCAGAAAGACTTCTCTGACAATTACCAGTCCCCCAAATGAAAAAAAAACCCACTGGGCAGAAGGACTCCCTTAGGGGCTCAGCCACACTCTATTTCTGCAGCCTTGTTCTTAGCCCAGCGGATGGAGTCCACCCCATTAAATGTGCACTTCTCTGGCAGTCTGTAAGCCCTGAGAGAAGGGACTCTGTCCTCCCAGTATTCCCTCAGCCAGTGCAGTGCCTGCCACATGGCAGGTGCTCAATATATATTTCTTGCATGAATGAACAAACAAGGAATTTAAAAACCATTAGCAAAGCTCCTTTCTGAAACTACGCTGGCCTGGGATGCAGATGATTCTTAATAAATTTCTCACTTTCCCATGAATTTGGCAATAACTTATCTATCTCTTCCTCACTCCACTGCCGACTGCCACTCCCTCTTCTCTTTAATGTTCTTCTTGGGGTTCTGAGCCTTACCAACCACTGAGCTCTCCCTTGGCTGAATAACGACCAGGGAAGAGCCACCCCAACCCTGTTCTTTGAGCACCTACTAGGTGCAAGGGCACTGGATGCATGTCTGAAAGAATGCACCAACCACCCCGGGAGGTAAACTGTATTATTTTTGAACATTTCCAAAGTTGTGAAATATAACATTTGTATTCAGCCAGGTGCAGTGGCTCACACCTGTAATCCTAGCACTTTGGGAGACCGAGGTGGGCAGACCACCTGAGGTCAGGAGTTCAAGACCAGCCTGACCAACATGGAGAAACCCCATCTCTACTAAAAATACAAAAAAAAAATTAGCTGGGAGTGGTGGTGTGCACCTGTAATCCCAGCTACTTGGGAGGCTGAGGCAAGAGAATCACTTGAACCCGGGAGGCGGAGGTTGCAGTGAGCCGAGATCACGCCATTGCACTCCAGCCTGAGCAACAAGAGTGAAACTCCATCTCAAAAAAACAAAAAACAAAAAACAAAAAATTTGTATTCACAAACACCAAAAGCATAAATGTAGAGTTTAACAAAGTATTATCAACTAACATCTGCTTCCTCACTGCCCAGGTCCAGGTAAGTTGTCCATATCCCAGGGGCCTCACATCCTGTCCAGGCCACCACCTCTTCCCTCCCAGTTGGTAATAGCTTCCTTGCTTTGTTGAAGACACCTAAGCAGGCACCCCTAAACCACAGAGTGCTGTGCTTTTGAAAACCTCTTGATTAAAGTGTACTTGACATACGGTACACTGCACATATTTAAGGTATGATTTTAAGGTAGATATTATTATTGTCTTGATTTGTGAGATGAGGACAGTGAGGCCCAGAGAGGGGAAGTTGACTCTCCCAGGGCCCCACACCATCTGTGACGCTAATGGCAGCCTGGGCAAGGCTGGGATGGGGGTGTCCCAGGTTGGCAGGGAGACTCAGGGCAACTGGGATGAGCTCTAATACAGACCCAAAAAAGTCCGGGGGAAGAGCAGAAAGGAAGTAAAGAAGTAAGCTCATGCCTGGGCTTTGTTTCCCAGACATTCCCATCAGAGTGCATTTAAACCTCCTCCTTCCCACTGTTTCCCTTCACCCCTCCTTAGCGCTCCTCATGGAGACAGCTGGGTGTAGTTGCTATGAACGGAAGAGAACTCCTGGGGCTGAGAAGCCCAGGGAAGAACCATTCAGTTCCTCATTTTCCCAGCTAACAGCTTATAAAAATCTGTTATTTCACTAACAATTGAGTATGTGGAAACACATTGGAGTCGAGGATCATCCTCATTCAAGGCATGCACACAGAGAGGCAGCAGAGCACAGGGGGTAAAGGGCAGCCCTTGGGGTCACATTCTGAGCCTGGCTCTCACCTTCCAGGGTCCTCGGGCAGGGTCTTTTCCTCCCTGATCAGCGTCCGTTTCTCCTTTTAATGTGAGGTCGCAGCAGGTGCATCCGCGAAGACAATGCCTGTACAGCACTTGGTACTGCACCTGGCACAGAAGGAGGGCTTTGAAAATATTGGCTATGGTGGCGAATAAAAAATAACGTGACATGACAGAGGTAGAGAGCAAGAGACTTAGTCTTTATAGAATCCCCAAGGATGTGCCTTTGTTCTGGAGCATTCGAGGTGGAGACTCTGATGGTACCAACTTCAGAGGGGGCCACGCAGCCCTTGGTGGGGCTCATCAGCATTTGGAGAGGGTCCCGGGGGACCTCTGCAGTGAGATGGAGGGATGCAAGGAGTGAAGAGCCGCCTGTCACCAGCACGCCCTCCCCATGCATCCCATATGCACTGCTGGCAGCAGCCACCCCACTGGAAGCCATCTGGCCTCAGTCAGCATCCCTGCCCCTGTCCCCAGTGCCAGCCTAGGGCTGCCTAGGTGACGGAGCTCAACTGCAGGGCTGCATCCCTCCCTAGGGGGCTTGCTAAGACCAGGATGTGAGGAGTAGACACACTCAAGGAAAAGGGTGGAAGGTGAGGAGGTAATGTCACGATAGGCACCTAAGGCCCGGTCGTCAGATGAACAAGGAAGTCCAGGGGCAGGTACTGTGGGGAGGAGCAGGCCACGGTCTCACCTCTCTCTGTGCCTCTGCTTCGATTTTCTCTCTCCTCTTCCTTCCTGCTTTCACTTTTGCTTTCTTCCCTTGCCCTCCCTCCTCCTCCTCTTGTCCTTTCCCTCTCTCTTAGGATGAAATAGATTCCTAGGGCTGCCATAGCAAGTCACCACAAACTGGGTGGCTTCAAACAACAGAAGTTTGTTTTCTCACAGTTCTGGAGGCCTGAAGTCCAAAATGAAGGTATTGGCTGGGTTGGTTCCTTCTGGAGGCTCTGAGAAAGCAGCCTCCATCCCCTGCCTCCCCCAGCTTCCGGTGGCTTCAGCAATCCTTGGCATTTCTTGGCTTGTGGCCACATTACTCCAATCTCTGCCTCCATCTTTACATGGCCCCGCCGCTGTGTCTCTGGGTGTCATGTCTCCGTCCTTTCCCATATGAAGACACCAGTCATTGGATTTAGGGCCCACCCTAAATCCAGGATTATCTCATCTCTAGATCTTTAACTCAATTACATCTGCCAAGACCTTTTTCTCCAATAAGGTATTTTTTCTTTTTCTTTTTAAATTTGTTATTTTCTTTTTTTTCTTCCTGGTTCTTAGTAAGTGTGCACCAAATAAGGTCTTATTCCGAGGTTCTGGGTGAACATACCTTGGCGGGGAGCACTATAACCAACTAAACTCTTTCACTTTCTCTGCACACACTTACTCTTCATTCCCCCACTCCGGACCCATTTCTCTCCCCCTGCTTTTCCCTTCCCTCCTTCCTTTGTCTCACCCTCTCCCCTTTTCTCTCTTGCTCTTCCTCTCTTTCTCCTCTCCTCTTCCTCAGCTTACTCATTTCATAAACTTCTGTTTTGTGCTGCCCCATTACTTAGCTTGCACTGATCATAACCCCATGTAAGTTTGTAGCTCTGGTGCCCAGCAACAGCTAGTCTAGAATTTTTACTCTTATTTAAAATTCTGGTGAAAACAGATTTGATTGGCTCAGCCTGGTCAAGTGTCCAACCAGCTGTGGGTGGAGGGGTGTCAGAAAGTGAATATTGAGTTACAAGCAACCAACTGTGTCTGCTGCATCTTCTTAGGGGCATTCCTCAGTAGTGTTTTCTTCCGTTTAATTTTCATTACAGAAATGTTCAAATGTACAGGAGAGAATAGCACAATGAACCCCATGTACCATTGCCCAGCTTCAACAACCATATTTTGCCATTCTTATTTCATCTCTCTCTCTCTCTCTCTCTCTCTCTCTCTGCCCCAGCCCCCTTTTTCATCCCTCCTTGGATCATTAAAAGCAATTGGCTGGCAGATCACTTGAGGTCAGGAGTTAGAGACCATCCTGGCCAACACGGTGAAACCCTGTCTCCACTAATAATGCATTTAAAAAATTAGCTGGAGGCTGGGCACGGTGGCTCAAGCCTGTAATCCCAGCACTTTGGGAGGCTGAGGTGGGCGGATCACCTGAGGTCAGGAATTTGAGAGCAGCCTGGCCAACATGGCAAAACCCCGTCTCCACTAAAAACATAAAAAATTAGCTGGGCATGGTGGCGGGTGTCTGTAATCCCAGCTACTTGGGAGGTTGAGGCAGGAGAATTGCTTGAACCTGGGAGGCAAGAGGTTGCAGTGAGCGGAGATTGCACCACTGCACTCCAGCCTGGGGGACAGGGCAAGACTCCATCTCAAAAAGCAAAACAAAATAAAAGCAATTGTGTAATATACTTTATTTTTTAGAGTAGGAATAGCTTCAGGTACACAGCAAACTTGAGCATAAAGTACAGAGAGTTCCCACATACCCCCTGCTCCCCATGCACAGCCCCCCCAACTATCAGCATGTACCAGAGTGGCACATTTGTTACAGCTGATGAACCTACATTGACGCAGTGCCATCACTCACAGCCCATTTGGGGATGGCTATTGACAGGTGATCATTTCTTTTCTTTTCCTTTTTTTTTTTTTTTTTTTTTTGTGAGACAGGATCTCACTCTGTCACCCAGGCTGGAGTGCAGTGGCACGATCATGACTTAGTGCAACCTCAAACCCCCGGGTTCAAGCTATTCGCTCACCTCAGCCTCCCGAGTAGCTGGGACTACAAGTATGTGCCATTGCACCAGGCTAATTTTTCTTTATTTTGTACAGACAGAAGTCTCGCTATGTTGCCCAAGCTGGTCTTGAACTCCTGACCTCAAGCTGTCCTCCCACCTCAGCCTCCCAAAGTGCTGAAATTATAGGTGTGAGCCACTGCACCCGGCTCATTTCACTTTTGAATACTACAATGTATATCGGTGACAGATACAACCTGATATTATGACATCAGAAACCTCTCAATGGGATGCAACGGCAAGTACAGGCACCATTTATAAGAGTCTTGCCACAAATGATGAACCTGAATCTCATCAAGCCTCTGGAGCTCATCATTAGTTTACAGGAAATACCACAGACTCACAGTAATACAAATGCCTTCCAATTCCGTAGAGCTGCTTGACTTTTTAAAGCACATTTACATGGATTATGGCCTCCTTTTATAGCCATAGTCACCCTAGATTTGGGTTGACAAGATAAACATTCTTATTCCCATTTCAGAGACTGAATAATTAAGGTAACAAGGAAGTGAAATGAGAACTTAATTGAGGGCCACCAGACTTGGTTTCAAGTCCTGGCTCTACCACTAATCACCTTTGTGACCTTGGGCAAGGCTGGGACCCCACAAAGCTACGGTTAATGCATCCAGATTTGCCCAGGACAACCCTGGTTTACACCTGCTGAACCTGTGTGGTTATCATCTGAGACTTCTTTTTCTCTAAAACGTGTTCCAGTCTGGGTGTGGTAGCTCAGGCCTGTAATCGCAGCACTTTGGGAGGCCAAGGTGAGCGGATCACTGGAGGCCAGGAGTTTGAGACCAGCCTGGCCAACATGGTGAAACCCCGTCTCTACTAAAAATACAAAAATTAGCCAGGAGTGGTGGCGGGCGCCTGTAATCCCAGCTACTGGGGAGGCTGAGGCAAGAGAATCACTTGAACCTGAGAGGCTGAGGTTGCAGTGAGCCGAGATCATACTATTACACTCCAGCCTGGGCGAACAGAGCAAGACTCCATCTAGAAAATAAAAATTAAAAAATAAATAAAATAAAATAAAATGTGCTCCAGCTTGGACAATAAATTATATAGTTCCCTTACCTAAAGCCGTAGATGACGAGGAGTATGGACCAAGCCAGTGGTTTTCTATCCTGGTTGCACAACAGAATCACTAGGGGAGAGTTTCTAAGCTTCCAATGCTTCAACCCCACCCTAAACCAATCAAATCAAGATTTGCAGGGGTGGGACCTGACATGGAATGTGATTGGAGCTTCCTATGTGATTCTAATGTGCAGCCAGGGTTACAGCCACGCCATTGGGTGCTCCTGTCACTGAACAGCAGCCAGTTACTAACAGTGACAAGCATCACCTGGCAGCTTGTGTAAATGAGGAAGCTCAGGTCCCACAGCATTCCAACTGTCTTCGTCTGTTTGTGCTGCTGTAACAAAATACCACGAATTGGATAATATACTAGCAATAGAAACTTACTTCTAACTGGGCGCAGTGGCTCACACCTTTAATCCCAGCACTTTGGGAGGCTGAAGCAGGCAGATCACTTGAGGCCAGGAGTTCAAGACCAGCATGGCCGACATGGGGAAAACCTGTTTCTACTAAAAATACAAAAATTAGCCTGACGCACTGGTTTCCCAGCTACTCGAGAGGCTGAGGCACGAGAATGGGTTGAACCTGGGGAATGGAGGTTGCAGTGAGCCGAGATCACATCCACTGTGCTCCAGCCTGGGTGACAGAGCAAGACTCCATCTCAAAATGAAAAAAAAAAAAAATAAAAAGAAAAGAAACTTACTTCTCACAATTCTAGAGGTCAGGATGTCCAAGGTGGAGGTGCCATCGGTCTTTGTATCTGGTGATGCCTTGAACACTGTGTTCTCCAGATAGGAGGAATGCTATGTCCTCACATGGCGCAAGGGATGGAAGGACAAAAGAGCATCCCTTTCAACCTTGAGCCCTTTTATAAGGGTGCTAATCCCATTCATGAGAGTGGCATCCTCATGACTTAATCACCTCCCAAAGGCTACACCTCTTAATACTCTTGCATTATGGATTAATTTTGTTTATTTACTTATTTATTTATGTTTTGAGACAGAGTCTCGCTCTGTCACTCAGGATGGAGTGCAATGACATGATCTCGGCTCACTGCAACCTCTGCCTCCTAGGCTCAAGTGATTCTCCTGCCTCAGCCTCCCAAGTAGCTGGGACTACAGGTGCCTGCCACTACGCTCAGCTAATTTTTGTATGTTTAGTAGAGACAGGGTTTTGCCATGTTGGCCAGGCTGGTCTCAAACTCCTGACCTCAAGTGATCCGCCTGCCTCAGCCTCCCAAAATGCTGAGATTACAGGCATGAACCACTGTGCCTGGCCAGATTAATTCTGAACAAGAATTTTGGAGGGGACACCATCATTCAAACCATAGCACCTACACACTGAATCAGAATTTGCATTTGAACAAGATCCCCTAAGGATCTTGCACTTTGAAGTTTGAGAAGCACCTCTCTAAAAGCCCTAAAAGCTGACTACTTCTAAATGACCTGGCCAATATCCCTTGGCTGGTAAGCGTCAGACCTTAGCCTGAGCAACTGGCTCTCGGTTTCTTATTTTGTTTACTTTTTATCTTTGAAGATGGGGTCTCATTCTGTCACCCAGGCTGGAATGCAGTGGCAAGATCATAGCTCACTGCAGCCTCAAACTCCTGGACACAAGCAATCCTCCCACCTCAGCCCATTTTACAGATGAGAAAAGTTGAGGCTCAGAGAGATTAAGTCATTTGCCGGAGGTCATGGAGGAGCCAGTTATGAGCAGCAGGCCACACCGAACTCAGAGCCAGTCACTGGGCTAGTTGAAAGGATCCCAATGCAAGCAAAATGCAGACACTCTGAGACCAGGGAAGAGAAATTAAATTCAGTTTCATTTTGCTTTTTAGGGCAGAAGAAAGGGCTAGAAGAAGTAAAGCAGAGATGAGAAGGATGTAAGAGGAATTTGATCATCTAAAAATTGGGGCACACTTTATAATTCTGTCTTTAAAAAACGATTCGGGGCTGGTTGCGGTGGCTCACACTTGTAATCCCAGCACTTTGGGAGGCTGAGGTGGGAGGATCACCTGAGCCCAAGAGTTTGAGACCAGAGTGGGCAACATAGCAAGACCCCTATCTCTACAAAACAAATTTAAAAGTTAGCCAGGTACGGTGGCACGCACCTGTAGTCCCATCTACTCGGGAGGCTGAGGTGGGAGGATAGCTTGAGCCCAGTAGTTTGAGGCTGCAGTGAGCTATGATCTCACCACTGCACTCCAGCATGGACAACAGAGTGAGACCTTGTCTCAGAAAAAAAAAAAACAACAAAACAAACAAACAAAAAACAGATTTGGGGTGTGTGCCCCAAGTTGCTGGAGAAAAAGAGGACCAGGTTGACCCTAACCCTCTGGAGGCTTCAAAATGTCTCCCTGTGTGTTGGATGGTGTCACTTGAGGTCAGTTTCCAGGAAAGATAGCAAGGTGTACTATAAGAAACCACCTTGATATGTGGGGGCTTAAGACAAGCCTTTGTTATTGCTCTCAAGTCTATTTCTCAAATTAGGCATGTCCACTGATCTGGGTCCAGCGGAGCTGACCTCCACTGGGCTCACTCAGACATCTAACATCAGTGACAGGTTGTCTGGGGCTGTCTAGTCTTCGATGGCCTCACTTACACATCTGGAGGCCAGCAGGCTGTTGGCTGGGGTGATGGTGGAGTTTCAGCCTTGTGTCTCTCACCATCCAGCAGGCTAGCTCAGGCTTGTTCACATGGCAGCAGTGCAGTTCCAAGGGAGGGAGCAGAAACATGCAAGGACAGATGCAGTCGGCCACACACTCAATCAGCTGCGTATTATCCATGGGGGTGCCAGCAATGATTCAAGAGGTGGGAAAATAGGTGCCACCTCTTGATAAGGTCATGCTGCAAGGAGTGGGACATTGTGGCCATTTTTGAAAAAAAATTTACAGATTGGTTTATGGAAGCAGAAATATAAAACAATAGGGACAAACAATAGATAAATAATGAGGGTAGAGGAGAGGAGGTGGGGGGAGGAAGATTTTTTTTTAGTGCCAAAACACTAGTTTATTTATTGATTGATTCTTTTAACAAATACTTAGTGAGCATCTACTGTGGACCAGGTGCTATGCTGGCCCTGAAGGTATAACAGGAGGTAGACCTAGAACCTGCCCTCCTGGGTCTTACAGTTTAGAGCAGGAGACAGAAAAGGAAACCTACCCTACAATTCACCATGGCAAGTGCTATGTTAGGGGAAGTGCGGACAACTTTGGGGACTCACAGTAGGAATACCTAACCGGTCTCAGATGACAGAAGGAACCAGGGAAGGCTTTAGTCATAAACTCTGAAGCAAAATCCATGGTATGAACCATGCCAAAGAGGAGCTGGAGAAGAGAGAAAAGCAACTGAGAAAATGGAATCCCAGAGACAAGGGAGAGTACAGCTTGTATGGCTGGAGTAAAAAGCTGGAAGATGAGAGTTGAGAGAAGCAGATAGAGACTTATGCAAGAGAAGCAAAGGAGGCCGGGCACGGTGGTTCATGCCTGTAATCCCAGCACTTTGAGAGGCCAAGGTGGGTAGATCACTTGAGCTCAGGAGTTCGAGACCAGCCTGGCCAACATGGTGAAACCCCGTCTCTACTAAAAATATGAAAATTAGTCAGGCGTGGTAGCGCATGACTGTAATTCCAGCTACTTGGGAGGCTGAGGCACGAGAATTGCTTGAACCCAGGAGGAGAAAGTTGCAGTGAGCCAAGATCGCACCACTGCACTCCAGCCTGGGCAACAGAGAGAGATTCTGTCTCAAAAACAAGAAAGAAAGAGAGAGAAGTGAAGGAGTTAACACTTCACAAGGAAAGATTTTTTTTTTTTTGAGACGGAGTCTCGCTCTGTCACCCAGGCTGGAGCGCAGTGGCATGCGACCTCAGCTCACTGCAAGCTCCGCCTCCCGGGTTCATGCCATTCTCCTGCTTCAGCCTCCCAAGTAGCTGGGACTACAGGCGCCCATCGCCACGCCCAGCTAATTTTTTGTATTTTTAGTAGAGACGGGGTTTCACCACGTTAGCCAGGATGGTCTTGATCTCCTGACCTCATGATCCACCCGCCTCAGCCTCCCAAAGTGCTGGGATTACAGGCGTGAGGAAAGATTTTTAACTTGCCAGATTAGATTGGCATGTTACAAAGACCACTTGCTCATCTTGGTATGGAAGGTGGACATTTTGGGGAGAAGATTTTTGTAGGAATGGGGAAGATGAGATTTAGGAAATACTGAGCAATCCAAGCATAAAATGATGGCTGAACTAAAAGGAGACTATAGGAATACAGAGTGGTGAACACACTGGAGAGATCCTTAGAAGGAAAATGCTCCAGGATTGTGTAGGAGAGGGCAGACTTTCCCTCTACCCTATGAGGCACTTGATAATTGCATCTATGAAATCAGCTGATAGTAGGCAGATGAACAGGTGATATAGTTTGGATGTGTCCCAGTCCAAATCTCATGTCGAATTGTAATCTCCAATGTTGGAGGTGGGGCCTTGTTGGAAGTAAATGCTCGGTGCTGCCAAGTGAAAATAGCACTCAGGCAAAAGTTCTCTCAGCAAGGCAATTTACTTCTATAGAAGGGTGCGTCTCACAGATGGAGCAATGGCGAGAGCACACCGGACGATGGAGGGGAAGGGGTTCTTATTCCTGACACAGGTAGCCCCTACTGTTGTGTCTTTCCC
The DNA here is from genome assembly GCF_000001405.40 of Homo sapiens. NCBI lineage: Eukaryota > Metazoa > Chordata > Mammalia > Primates > Hominidae > Homo > Homo sapiens. Next base: position 72,557,898 of record NC_000003.12, read on the forward strand.
CTATTGGCTAGGGTTGGACAGCACAGTCTAAGCTAATTCTGATTGGCTATTTTAAAGAGAGCAAGGGTATGAGCCAGAGTGGTGGGGTGAGTAGTTTTGGCGGGAGGGACAGTTACAGAGCAGGTGACTAAGGATTACTAAGGACAGAACAGGCGACTAAGGATGCCTAAGGACAGAACAGGTGATAGAGGCTAGGAGGGGGTTGTTTACTGAAACTACGGGCAAGGAAGGTAAAGAATGAGGAAGTTAGCTTTAAAATGGAGAACAAAGAACAGGGAAGCTGAACGTACTGACATATTGGTTCTTTGAAGAAGAACTCAGAACTTATTGTACTTAACAATTTTTCTCCCTCTTGAATTTTAAAGGAAGTTAACAGGCTAAACTTGGAAGAGGAATTTACTATATCCTACAGCCTGGTAGGAGGTGATTGGATCATAAGGGCAGATTTCTCATGAATGGTTTAGTACCATCCCCCTGGTACTGTCCTCAAGATAGAGATGGTGAGTGAATTCACAAGCAATCTGGTTGTTTAAAAGTGTGTAGCACCTCCTGCCTCTCTCTCTTGCTCCTGTTTTCGCCATGTGACCTGCTGACTCCCTTTTGCCTTCTGCCATGATTGTAAGTTTCCCGAGGCCACCCCAGAAGCCAAGCAGACATCAGCATAATGCTTCCTGTACAGTTGAAGAGCCATGAGCCAATTAAACCTCTTTTCTTTATAAATTACCCAGTCTCAGGGTTTTTTTGTTGTTTTGTTTTGTTTTTGTGGCAGGGTCTCACTCTGTTGCCCAGGCTAGAATTCAGTGGCGCAATCTCTGCTCACTGCAACCTCTGCCTCCTGGGTTCAATCAATTCTCATATCTCAGTCTCTTAAGTAGTTGGGATGACAAACATGCACCACCATGCCCGGCTAATTTTTGTGTTTTTAGTACAGATGGGATTTCACCATGTTGGCCAGGCTGCTTCAGGTATTTCTTTATAGCAATGGGAGAATGGACTAATACTAAAGAAGAAAAGGTGAACACATTGATTACATGCACAGAGGCATTACATGAAAGAAAAGTGAATACCCCCAAATCCAGTAAGATCTAGAAGTTTAGATCCTGTCTTCATGTATGACAGGGGAGGGGGTTTTGGCAACTTAAGGGAAAATGGATGATTTGGGGGAAAGATAAATGGGCCCTCAGAAGAATACACAACAACCTGTGACAAAGTCTGTCTTGGCATGGCATCGACCTCCTGTCCCCTCTCCTGTGATAGGAGCCAATCTTCCCTGGTTGATGAGAGTCCAGGGAGGGGATTCATGACCACTGAGTTTCTTTTGGGGAGTCCACTTTAGGCAGATAAAGGGAACCCAGAGAAAGCTCTGCCTGTATTGCTATTCCCTGAATGCCCTCAGGCCAAAGCAATCAGAATACCAAACCAGCATGTTTTGGGGTGACATTTCCTGAATGCCTTCATCTGGTAATAACTGCAAGACAGCAGAAAATTCTAGAATGTTGTCTGGAATTTCTAGCTTCAGTGAGATGGATAGATGGTGGTACTATTCAGCAAGATAGAAAACCTTGGTTAAGGATAGTTGCCTTCATTGAGCACAAAATTTGATTCTAAGCTTCCCAGCAGCAAAGGCAAAAGGAAAACAAGATAAATGACCTCATCTCAAGGTTCCCTAACACGAACCACACCAGTGCACTATAGAAACCAAACTTCCTCATAAGGTACACAAGGGGAATTGACTGAGGGGATCTCTGTAGAAAGGAGTGTGAACCAAATAAAAGAAAAGGCCTTTGGCAGTAGTTCTATAAAAGATGCAGAAATGTTCTTTGCAGGCCTGTTCGGTATATCAGCATCGACCCCTGATAAAAGCTGAGAGCAAGATATTAAATCACAGCTCTGTAGAGTAATTTGTTCAAAAAAAGTCAGTGGAATGGCCTCTGGGTACCTAACTTGCTAAAGAGTTTTGAGCTCCCAGCATCTAGAGAATTGAGAGATTGGACAAATGAAAGGCACTTGCACTAATTAATACATTTTATAAACTTGAAATTAGGAGTTCAAGACCTACATGTGTAACTTAGTGCCCCAGGATAATTTTAAAGGGAAAAATATGAAAGTCCCAATTCCAGCAAATACCATTAACAACATAATCAAATAACTTAGGGCTTCATTTTTAAAATGTTGAAGCAATTAGAATCCATTGTGGCCTGGGCGCGGTGGCTCACGCCTGTAATCCTGGCACTTTGGGAGGCCAAGGCAGACAGATCACTTGAGGTCAGGAGTTCAAAACCAACCTGGCCAACATGGTGAAATCCCATCTCTACTAAAAATACAAAAATTAGCCAGGCATGGTGGCATGCGTCTGTAATCCCAGCCAGCTACTTGAGAGGCTTAGGCAGGAGAATCGCTTGAACCCGGGGGGCGGAGGTTGCAGTGAGCTCAGATAGAGCCACTGCACTTCAGTCTGAGCAATAGAGCAAGACTCCGTCTCAAAAAAAAAAAAAAAAAAAAAAGAATCCATTGTGGGTTTTTTTTTTAATTAAATTTTTTCCTGATTACTAAGGTAATTCAGGTTTATTATAGAAATTAGGAAATTTCGGAGAAGTAGAAAGAAAAAAGTCATCTCTAATCCCAGCAAAGATATCTAACTGCTGTTAATATTGTGAGATATATATAAATATATATATATACACACACATACATATATGTCTTTCCAATCATTTTTCTAGGCCTACATATAAGTAAATATTTTTCTCTTAAAAGAATTAGGATAAGGCTGGATCAACTGTTTTACATCCTGCTTTTTTTCACTACATTTGCTAATGACAAATAGAAGCCTTTGTTTTAAAGGAATTTAATGTTCCAATGACTTCTCTCAATTTCTCAAAATCTGTGTTTTTGTCACTCGTGTGGACTTTGGTGTAGTAACTCTGCTTGTCCTACTAGCTTTCTGAAAAACAGAAGAGAGGCTGGTGAACTTGACTTTTTCTTGCCAAGGACTTAATTGTGTCATTTATAATAGAGATCTTGGGGCCTGGCATTTTAGCACACTGAGAAAGAAATATGCTAATGTGTTGTCCTTCACAGAGAGCACAAGAATAATTAGCCACCCCAGGGCCACTCCTAAACAGGTTGTTGAAGCCTTGTTGCCTCCCTTCCTGGGGAACTTTCCAGAGGGAAATTCTTCCCTAGTAACTATTCTACTGGCATGCAACTTCAATGCTTCCTTTCTCTTCCCTGCAATGTCATTGTGGTAGATTGTAAAAAGGGACACAATACTACTTCTCTCATCAGAGATTAAGTTTATTTTCTAAGCCCTTGAATCAGGGCTGACCTTGTGATTTTTGTTGATCCGTAGAAGTGGCGGATGTGACAACGTGTCAGTTCGAAGCCTAGGACTTAAGAGGTCTCACTATTCTTGTTGCTCCTTTCCACCAACATGCAAACAAGCCTGGGCTAGCCTGTTGGGTGAAAAAAAAAAAACACTTGGAGAGAGGCCCCATTCATTCCAGCCAAGACCATTATAAACCAGCAGCCCCAGTGACCATGGGGGAGCCCAGTGGAAACTAGCTAAACCCAGACCAGACCAGAAGAACTGAAACTGATGACTTACTAAACTGAGAGCTAAATAAATGGTAGTTGTTTTGCGTTAGTAAGCTTTAGGGTAGTTGATTACACAGGAAAGGCTGGCTGATAGAATCACCTGGGGCGGGGGCAGAGGTTGCTTTATTCTGTTTACGATAAAGTATTAATGTAAAAGCATTAATTGCGTAGCACCAGGTATGTAATAAGCATTCAACAAATGGCATTAGTATCAAATGAGATGAGGGTATTGGCAGGGCTGGTACCTTCTGGAGGCTTCTGGAGAGAATCCATTTCCCTGCCTTTCACAGCTTCCAAAGGCTGCCTGCATTCCTTGGCTTATGGACACTGGATAAGACACAAAGACACAAAGGCAAAAACTATATCTATTTTGATTATGGGCACTAGTAGGTGGTCCCTAAATGATACTAATGCCATTTGTTGAATGCTTATTCCATACCTGGTGCTATGCAATTAATGCTTTTACATTAGTTGTTACTTTATCATAAACAGAATAAAGCAACCTCTGCCCCCGCCCCAAAAAGATGTGCACATTTCAATACCCAGAACCTGTGAATATGTTTTCTTACATAGCAAAGGGAATTTTGAAGATGTGATTGAGTTAAGGCTCTTTAAATGGAGAGATTATTCTGGATTATCCAGGTGAGACCAATGTAATCACAAGGCTCCTTATAACAGGGAGGCAGGAGGATCAAAGACGAAGAAAGGAGATGTGACTATGGAAACAGGATGAAGTGATGTGCTGTGAAGATGGAGGAAGGGGCCACAAGCCAAGGAATGCAGGCAGCCTTTGGAAGCTATGAAAGGCAGGGAAATGGATTCTCCTCAGAAGCCTCCAGAAGGTACCAGCCCTGCCAATACACTGATCTCATACTTCAGACCTCTAGGACTATAAGAGAATAAATTTGTGTTGTGTTAAGCCACAAAATTTGTTACAGCAGGAATAGTAAGCTAATACAGATTTAATTCCCATGAAACTTTATAAAGTACACACTACTGTCATCATTTCCATTTTACTTATGAGGAAACTGAGCCTCAGACCAGCTAAGTAACTTTCCCAGCAGTTAAGTGGCAGCACTATGTCAAAACTGGCCTCCTAAACCTTACACTCTAGAGCCTCCCACTGGGTCAGAGAAAGACCACAGGATTTGGAGTCCAGACGGGAAGCACCTCTATAAAAAAATTGAAATGAGGAGTTGGATCAGATGACTTCAAACGATCCCTTCCTGTCCTAATTTTCTGTGACTTCTAAACACTGAATCCGCATCTTTCAGTGCCAGGTTCCCAAACTTGCAAGAGGAGCAGGTAGGACTCAGAGGGGCTCAGTCACATCTGAAGAAGGAGTCAAAAGAAATCTCCAGAAATGGAGTGTGGACCATACCAAACCAGGACCTTTAAAAAAGGTAACAGGGGGCTGGGCGCGATGGCTCACGCCTGTAATCCCAGCACTTTGGGAGCCCAAGGCGGGCGGATCACGAGGTCAGGAGACCGAGACCATCCTGGCTGACACGGTGAAACCCCGTCTCTATTAAAAAATATATATATATAAAAATTAGCCGGGCGTGGTGGCGGGTGCGTGTAGTCCCAGCTACTCGGGAGGCTGAGGCAAGAGAATGGCATGAACCTGAGAGGTGGAGGTTGCAGTGAGCCAAGATCGTGCCACTGCACGCCAGCCTGGGCGACAGAGCGAGACTCCGTCTCAAAAATAAAAAAATAAAAATAAAAAATAACAGCTGTCAGAATTCTAGTAGATAGTGCCATGGCCCCCTTAAATCCACAGAATGAGCACTGTGGTGGCCTCCCCACCCTCCACCGGCCCAGCTCTGATGTGTAGTAGCTCAGGGTTTGTATGAGTTCCACTTAACTGCTGGGAAAGTTACTTAGCTGGTCTGAGGCTCAGTTTCCTCATAAGTAAAATGGAAATGATGACAGTAGTGTGTACTTTATAAAGTTTCATGGGAATTAAATCTGTATTAGTTTACTATTCCTGCTGTAATAAATTTTGTGGCTTAACACAACACAAATTTATTCTCTTGCAGTCCTAGAGGTCTGAAGTTTGAGATCAGTGTATTGGCAGGGCTGGTACCTTCTGGAGGCTTCTGGGAAGAATCCATTTCCCTGCCTTTCACAGCTTCCGGAGGAGAAGCAATTGAGCCAGCTCATCCCCAGGATGAGCTGTGATTGGCCCAAGTCCTTCATTATAATCTCATCTCCCTTGCCACAGTGATTAATAAGAATGATGTTCAGGGACTTCTGTTTGGTGATTGAAGAAAGAGAGCTCTCTCTTATTCCTGAGAGTATAGTGTGCAGATATGAGGCCTGGGACAGCTGTAGCCACTTTGTTACAATGAGGGAAGCCAGTCTGAGGATAAAGCCAGTGCACAGAGAAGGGCAGAACAGAGAAACTTACAGAGAAACTGAGCCACGTCCTTGATCAAACTATTCCTGAAGTCTAACCTCCCTCTGAACCTTAAAGTAAATAAAACCTAATAAATTCTCTTTATTGGTTCAAGACAGTTTTAGGAGCTTTGTTTTTTATGCTTTACTTTTAAAGCAAAACTATCCTAACAGACATCAACCAGTCACCTCTATAGTACCTAGTTACAGGGACAGATATAGGCAATTTTTCTCACAGTTTAGCTTCCTGGGAGAACCACTTGGCTCTTGGCCATTTCTCTCCTTACACTTCTTATCTTCCCTACAATCAACTATAGCTTCCTGTATCCTTAAGCACCTGTTTTGATTCTAGCTAGCTCATGCAGATAACTATTTTTTGACTTTATTTCAGCCTGTATTTCTTTGCTCTCTGCTCTACTACTGGCCCTCACTGTTGTCTTGAGTTTCTTTATAATGAATTCTGGTCTGTCTGATATGCCAGTCTCATCAGCCACAAATCAGTGGTCAAAAACTCTGGGCCCAGTCCTCCCTTCTCAGAGGACCAAGGAAGCCATAACCTTCCCACTACTTGAACCCTCTGGGTGATGAAATGGCCCCAGGGACAGAGGCTTCCGCTGAACCGCCCAAACTTGGATGAAGTGTCAAGCAGGCTAAAGCAGTGAAGGAAGGGTTCTCGGTCTCTGAACATCACCAAGCAGAGGCTATACTGGCCCTGACCCACGGTGCTGTAAGGGAGGCCCCTGATCAAGGGAAGAAACCAGAAACATGAAAGTAAAGAGATCTGCATTACAGTCCCAGCTCTTTCACCACAGGGCTCTGAGGCCTTGGCCCTCCTCTGGGCCTCATTTTCTTCATCTGTAAAAAAGGTTGCAGAAGTCTTTAGCCCCGGTTGATATTTGAGCAACCTCATGAGAGACCTTGAGCCAGAACCACTTAGCAAATCAGCTCGCAAATTCTAACCTACAGAAACTATGAGATCATAAATGTGTGTTTTTTGAAGCCTTTACATTTGAGGGTACAGTCGTCCCCTGGTATCTGCAGGGATTGGTTCCAGGACCCCTTCAGATACCAAAATCCATGGATGCTCAGGTTCCTGATATAAAAGGATATAGTCCCCAAAGTTATTTGGTGCTGGTAATCTGTTCAGGGATTTTGAACTTGGAATTCATGTAGGAATTTCAGGTGGCCAAAGTTTTCCAGTGAGATTATTCGTAGTTTCCATTATATTATCAAAGGAAGATGTAACACAAAATTTTTAGAAGTACAGGCCTACATTATCTTAAAGGTTCTTCTCAGCTTTGGCAATCTGTCATTCTAGATGCCTTACGACAGTGGATTCGCTATAAGGAATGCATTCAAATGCAGGCACATAAGGTGCGAATTAGGGAAGTCAGAATTGCCCCAAGCCTTCCAGTTTTATCTAAAATTCAGAATTCTATGTAAATTCCAGTTGCATCTTCCCTGTACAATAATTCTTAGGTATACTAACCTTTGAGAACCACCGAGCTAGACCGGAGGAAGACACAAAGAGAAATTCTACAAGCTCGTATTTTGGGCACTTAAACCATTCTCCTTTAAAAGAACTACCATCTAGACCCCCAAACCAAAAACTACACCGTAAAATAAGGTTTGTCGTTCCCAGGGTGTGCAAAGCACTGGTGGAACAGAGGAGAAGCAATCAATACTGCCTGGAAGGGACACAGGAAGCTGAGGAACGCTCCAGAGAAGGTGATGTCAGGGCACGGCAGGGTGTCCTGGGCAGGGGGAGAGCATGTGCAGAGACCCGCAGGCTCAGATGCCAGTGTTCACCATGCAGGGGGGACTGGGAGGCATGTAGAGAGGTGAAATGGTGGGAGATGGGGCTGGGGAGAAATTGGGACTGGATTTTCAAGGCCTTGTGAGCTGTGTTAAGGGCTTAGCGCCAGCACTGGCAGGCAGGGCAGAGGGTATACACACACAGGTGGGATGTCAAACAAAGCTCTGGGCAAACGCACCCCTGAGCTGCATGGAAGAAGAGCCTGGCTGGGTCTCAGGTAGCCTGGGAACAGCCCCCTGCATATTCTCTATATCTCAGCCCAGGAGACTGGCTGGAGGAAAATAAAGCCTTCTTGGGGGAGGCTAAGTTCACTTTGTCCAAGGGTGGCTTATTAGGTTAATAGTGTAGCCCTGCAAGAAATGAATGGAAACTGACTTTTTACACATGTATTAGTTATCTATTGCTGCAAAACAAACTACACTATCCTTGGATTCCACATCTGTGGATTTAACCAGCCATGGACCAAAAATATTCAAAAAATAACAACGAAAATAATAATACAATAAAAATAATACAAATAAAAAAGAATACAGTATAACAACTATTCATACATAACATTACATTGTATTAGGTATTATAAGTAATCTAGAGATAATTTCAAATATACAGGAAGATGTACATAGATTATAGGCAAATACTATACCCTTTTATATCAGGAACTTGAGCATCCATGGATTTTGGTATCTGAAGGGGTCCTGGAACCAATCCCTGCAGATACCAAGGGATGACTATACCCTCAAATTTAGAGGCTTCAAACAACACACATTTATGATCTCACAGTTTCTGTGGGTTAGAAATTTGGGAGCTGATTTTCTAAGTGGTTCTGGCTCAAGGTCTCTCATGAGGTTGCTCAAATATCAATAGGGCTAAATACTTCTGAAAGCTCACGTGGGGTGAGTGGGGCCTCCAAGCTGCTCACTCACATGGCTGTGGGCAGGAGGCCTCAGTTTCTCACCACCTGGGCTTCTCTGTAGGGCTGATTGAGTGTCCTCAGAACATGGCAGCTGACTTCCCTCAGAGCAGATGATCCAAGAGAGAGCCAGGAGGAGGTTGAAACCCCTTTTATGCTCTGATCTTGGATGTTACTGTCAGATCCTCCACAGTATTCATTACAAGTGAGTCTCTAAGTGCAGCCCACACTTAGTAAGTCCCTAAGTCCAGCCAACGCTTTTTAAAAATGGAGCGTCACTCTGTCGCCCAGGCTGGAGTGCAGTGGCATGATCTCGGCTCACTGCAACCTCTACCTCCTGGGTTCAAGCGATTCTTGTGCCTCAGCCTCCTGAGTAGCTGGGATTATAGGCAACCGCCACCATGCCCGCCTAATTTTTGTATTTTTAATAGAGATGGGGTTTTGCCATGTTGGTAGGTTCATCTTTTGAAGGGAAAAGTGTCAAAGAATATTGGACATATTTTTAAGCCACCATAAGCCAATCTAAAGTAATAATTTTAGGAATATTCTCAGGTGTGACAGCCCAGGCAGACACATTCCTAGGTTAATGGTTATCAGATTCATTGTACATACAAATCATCTGGGGGTGCTTGGTAAAAGGAAAGATTCCTATGCCTACCTCCAAAATATTCTATATTAGGAGCTTGGGAGTACGGCCCAGAAATTTGCCTATTTTGCTAAGTTGTCAGGGTATTCTAACACAGATGAGGTCCGGGAATCTGCATTTTGGTAAGTCCCCAAGGTTATTTGGTGCTGGTAATCTGTAAAAATACCCACCTCAGAACTGACAATAATTGCCAGTTGGTATGGCAGTTTAGAAATTCCAATACATTTGGGAATAACTAAGTGGTTAGAAGGTCAGCCAAGGACAGAGGCCACAATAAAGTAGCACATGGGCACAGCTCTCCATGAACACCCACACGGAGAGAGGGCAGCAATCACAACACGTTTTCTACTCTCCTGGACCAAGTCCCTGGGAGCTTCTCAACACAACACTCCAGGCAGCCACCTCTAACCATTCACAGTTGGCGTAGGACTTGTGACCTATTTGCAATCCTTAACCTAAGGTCACATGCCCAGGAATCCACCAGTTCTGACATGTGACAGTGCTTTAGAGTTCTGGCCAGACAGAGATTTCTTCAGCATGCACTGAGAAGGAGCTGGGCACAGCTATGATCAATTTTATAAATGAACGTGGATAATGGGGTGGAAAGCAGGGATAGGATCTTGGAGGATAGGAGGTGTTCTTGGCTAGACTCATCCCTGGGAAACTTTGGTCTGGTTCAAATGTTGAGACACTCAAGTAACAGGCTCAGGATAGAGGCCTGTACTTCCCCCTGATGAGGAACAGGGTTTAGGAGGTGGGCCAGGGGGTGGCCCTTTGTTTAGTTAGCCTTTTCTGGTTCTTCATGGAGCTTGTAGGAAGATTGCCAGGACCCTCTGTGAGTTTCCAGGCATTGTCTGGGCCCCTCTTGCTCTCTTTTTATGGGATGGTTTATGTCTGCTCCTCGGCCCTGGGAGGGAACCCGCACAAGAGTTGCTAAGCAGCTGGTGGAGCCTTTCTGTTTTAAGCCAGGACACTATTGTCTCTCTCTTTATTTCCCATAAGGAGCCGTGACCCAGGTGGTTACTGAGCTGCCGCCAAGTCTGCAGTGCTATTGGTCCAGAAAAGGGCAAAGAGCGAACAGAGCCATCAAACAGCGTGAGGAGCAGGTGAGGGGTATGAGAGCCCAGTACGAATAACTGTGGCAAAGCCTGGGCCTCACACCCTCGTGTACACATCACGCCCCTGCAAGTTCACCTCCACTGTTCAGGGTCCGATCGCCTGGAGGATGGGTGTGGCTTTTCACGCAGGGACCCGCAGGCTCAGACCTATTTCCCCAGCGGCTTCTGTGGACTGCAGAATCAGGGAAACGTTTCCCCAAGAGGCTTGACATGGCATTGTGTCGAACCCCTGGAAAACCTTACCCCCCAAACCTTCCTCCCTCTGCTGCTTGTCTCTAACTGGGCTGTTTCTAAGGCAATTGTAGCTATATAATTTTCTATTTTTTCCCCACACTTAATCATGCTCCTTGTTAAAAAAACATTAGAAAATAAAGATATGAATTAAAAAAACCACCCTACACCCAAAGATAACCACTGTTAACATTCTGAGATATTCCTTCTAGACTTTTTCTCTCTCTGCATGCGTGTGTACGTGCGCGCGTGAGTGTATTTATATATATGCGTGTATATATATAAAATCAGGCACCACTGATATTTTGGATGGGATAAATCTTTTTTGCAGGGGGCTGTTCTGTGAACTGTAGAATATTTATCAGCACCCCTGGTCTTCCCACCCACTAGATGCCAGTGGCACTCCCCACCCCCACTTGGGATAACTAAACCTATCTCTAGATATTATCAAATGTCCACAGAGGGACAAAATCACCCTCTGTTTAAAATCACTGCTTTGGGCAGGCATGGTGGCTCACTCCTGTAATCCCAGCACTTTGGGAGGCTGAGGTGGGCAGATCACTTAAGGTCAGGAGTTTGAGACCGGCCTGGCCAACATGGTGAAACCCCGTCTCTACTAAAATTACAAAAATTAGCTGGGAGTGGTGGTGAGTGCCTGTAATCCCAGCTACTCGAAAGGCTGAGGCAGGAGAATCGCTTGAACCCGGGAGGCAGAGGTTGCGGTGAGCTGAGATCACGCCACTGCACTTCAGCCTGGGCAACAGAGTGAGACCCCATCTCACTCTGTGAGATAAAAATAAAATAAATAAAAATAAAAATAAATCACTGCTTAGACACACACACACACACACACACACACACACACACACACACACTAAATGAAATCATATTGTAAATACTTTCTTGTCTTTAAAAAAATTTACCATGCCATGAACTCTTTCTGTTGCCAGCTATTAGGAATCTACACACCATTTTTTGCAATGGCCATAGAGCTCTCCGTCAGTTGGGCTCAACGTGAAGTAATGTACATCACCAGTCCCGTTACTGGACACTGTGTATGTATACCGCACAGCCTGCCTTATAAGCTGCTTTTTAAATTTAAAATATCGTGAACATCTTTCCATGTCATAGCTGTGGGATGTTGACCAAGTCATTTCACCTCTCTAAAGCTCCATTTCCTCCTTTGCGGAATAGGGGGTGTACTGTGAGAATCAATGACCAGGACAAGTGTTCTGTGCTTAGCGCAGACTCTGGCACAGGAGGCACCCGCAATAAAGGGCCACAGCTGTGTTTAATGTCCTTGTTATGGTCCCTACGTCATGATTTTTAAATGGCTTTTTATGGCCATCTCTCATATGCAGACACCATACATTATTAAATTAGGCCCTATAGTTGGACTTTTAGGTGGTTCCCAAATTTCCACTATCATAAATCACTCTACCATTAATACAATTATGCATCATTTCCACTGATGTCTGGGGAAATTAGTAAAAGTGAATAAGCCGATCCACCTATCCTAACCTGGGACTTACGAAACAAAAGACAAATTATTTTCTTCATAACCCAGTTTTAGACAAATTGTATCCCCTTCTTCCTGTTAAGCTCTGCCCCCAGCGCCTCCAGCCCTGCTTGTTTATCTGGTCCTGAGTCACGTGCTAACCAGCACCGTAGGGCATGGTTCCTAGGCTAAGCCCAGGTTGGTCTTTTACTGCTCTTACGCCAAGCCCAAGTCCCCTTCTTTCTGCCTTGAGACCACCCAGCATTGTATTCAAGTGCCTGCAGGATTCCTCTTCTATTTGGTTTTTAAGTTACAGGTATACAATATGTGATGTATATAATGCATGTGTACAGTTTAAAGAGTGATAATAAAATGAATATCCCTGGACAAGCCTGGTGGCACACACCTGTAATCCCAGCACTTTGGGAGGCCGAGGTGGGAGGACTACTTCAGCCCAGGAGTTCAAGACCAGCCTGGGCGATATAGTGAGACCCCCATCTCCTCACAAAATAAAATTTTAAAAAATTAGCCAGGGGTGATGGCACATGCCTGTGGTCCCAGCTACGGGAGGTCAATATGGGAGGATTGCTTGAGCCTGGGAGGTTGAGGCTGCAGTGAGCCATAATTGTGCCACTGCATTCCAGCCTGGATAACACAGCAAGACGCTGTCTCAAAAAAAAAAAAAAAAAAAAAAAAGAATATCCCTGTGTCTACCACCCAGGCCAAAAAATAAAAGTCAATACCCAAAAGTGCCTAACAGCGTTGTGTGTCTCTCCTGCTTCCTGGGTGTCTGGGGTAAAAGGGGAGGGTCCACTGGGAACACCCCAGCTGACCCCTTACTGGCTCTGTGGCCTTGGGCACATTAGTTAACTCTGGGAGCTGATACAGGAGTATCTTCTCTTTGAAATGGAAGATTGACCCACAGATTAAATGAGATGCTTCTTTTGGTAAACCCTGAGCCCAGAGCTTGGCACCAAGGAGGTGCCCAAAGCACAGGAGCTAATTGTTTTTACTATGGAGGGGAGTTTCTGGACAGGGAATTCAAGAACATGGTTGTCGCCTGGCACTGCCAGCCCCTTAGCTCTGTGAGCCTAGGCAAGGCAAGCCCTGGGCCTCAGTTTTCTCAGGTGGGAAATGAAGGGGCTGGACTCACTAGGAAAGCTCTAACTTCCTTTCCAGCTGTGACCTGTTGAACTTCTACTAATCATTAAGCCAAGGAAAATGGGTTACGATGAAGCAAGAACTTGACAGAGGGTCACTGTTTACAGTGCCTTTAGCTGGCTCCTAGAAACAGTGTGACTGGCCCAAAAGAACATGGTCAGAAGGTAATAATCGGGTTAATAATGATAATACTTCCAACACTTTTTCTGGGGGATGCTGTACTAAGAGCTGCATACATATCCTTTTATTTAACTCTGAAGTTAAACAAATCTATCTGATAGATTGTATTTTTATGCCTATTTTACGGAAGTGGAAATGGGCTCAGAGAGGCTCTATGGCTTCTCCAAGGTCATGGAGCCCTGGCCTTTTCCATCTGTAAGCCTGTGCTTAAACCAGCACTGCTCAGACCTTAACGAGCACCTGCGTCACACGGGGATCTTGTGGAAATGCAGATTCCGATGCCGCAAGTCTGGGGTGGGGCCCGAGATCCTACATTACTAACAAATTCCCGGATGATGCTGAGGCTGGTGCTCTTCTCATTACCCTTTGAGTACTGAGACTTGGCCACTGTTGCACTCTCCGGGAGCCAAGCTGAGCAGGGACGCAGGGTCTCAGACTCTTTGGTTTCAGTCAACATCAACTTCCCGGCTATTTTTATCACATCCCAGGAAGAGAAACTGTCGGCATCACATACCAAACAAGACTGCTTCTGGGTCAGACATACCAGAAAGGAAACGTTTCCTGTTGACAATAAGGTCCTAGTTTCTCCCTCTGGCAATGTTTATTTTTCCAGGCATTTGTTGAAACCTTCATATCTTGTCCTACTGAGGACGGTGATTCAAGACACAAACTCACAGTTGATTTCAGCCACACACCTTCATGCTAGCATTGGGCATTCAACCTATCCCAGGTGCCCTGTCAGATCCCAAACACGGCATAACATTTATTTTGGCTGCCACTAAGGGTCTGTGCTTTATCCTGTTAGTCGTGCCCATCAAGTCTGGAAGGGAATTTATACATAGGCTACTCCCAGAAAGGAAGCCTTTTACTTGTAGAGTCCAGAGGGAGACACAAAACATTTCTTTTTCCCCACAAGTCATCATTTAGTCCATAAAAATGGGCATTTGGGAGCCCCTCCTGGCTCTGGTCTCCCTGGATCCCCTTCTCCTGTCTCTCCTCTGTCCCCAGTTCTGCTGAGGTCCTGGCATCATTTTTCTGTCTCTCTGCTCTCCCCCTCCCAGGGTCGTGGCTCCGTGCTGAAATAGCCTGTCCTCCAGGGTCTTCAGAGGGGAACATCCAGACAGGACAAACACGTGTTTCTCTTCCAGAACTGTGATGCGTTATTCTGCCGACAGTGCCTCAGTTTCCTCTTTGGGGAACTGCATCCGTGTCGAAAAGGACCAAGGCGGAGGGATGGGCAATCTCAACTTCTGATTCTGCTGATACCGCTTCTGCAATGTTCCATGCGGTGTGAGGCTGAAGGGGGCCATCAAGGGATGGGAGCGGGGTGCAGCTTGCCCTGAGTAACAGGGAAGGGGAGTGGCCTCACGTCAAAGCAGCCCGAACAGAAGAGGGCAGTTACAGCACGCGCGAGAATGCCTGTGTGATGCCGTAGAAATGCCTCCCAGACCTGACATTGTGCTGCAAGGTGACAGTGAATATGTGACAACTGCAGATGCATTCGTAAGAACTGCAGATCCTTTTGTAGTTCTTGAGTGTGATGATCGGGTGCTCACACTCATGTGTGAGATATGCCACCCTCGAACCTCATTTTGAAGTCAGCACGTTACCTGTCTGACATGAAAACAAACCAAAAAACTGTAGACGCTGTTCTCTTGAGGAAATAATGAGTTATAATTGTTGCTGACCAGTTTGGCATGGGGCTAAGTCTTTCCACCTTAATTTCTTCCCGCGTGCCGCAAGACCTTCAAGCCTTTGGTCAATATTCGCTACTTCAAAGTCCAGAAAGGCCTTCTGTGAATCCAGGCTGCACGCAAATACCCACAGAGCCAGCGTCACAGACTTGTGACCTCTGAAGTCACACGCGGCCCCACTCTCAGAAGAGCCCTGCGCTTGTCACAGTGCTCTGCCCACACCCTCTGGAAATTCACAATACATTTTGAACACAGGATCTACATTTTCATTTTGTACCGAGCCTGGCAAATTACGTAGCCAGTCCTGAATTCCAAGGATAGCCACTGGGTTCTCAGACCTGACTTCCTTTTCCTTCCAATTAAAACAAAATTTCAAGTCTGTTGCTGGTCATGGCAGAACCATCCGAAATCAGGAACTGGACTCAGAGCTGCAAGCTTGGTCTACCTGTAGGAGGAATTCCTCTCCCTAGGCCAGGACTCTCTGGAAAAAGACTCTGGAGAAGAGGGTGGGGAGCTGTGCTGGGGCCCAGCTCTGCACCTTCAGATATTTTAACTAGGTGTCAGGGAACCCTGCCATGCCCCATAGTCTGGTGGCAATATTTGTCCCTCTGCCAGAAGCACAACTTAAACGTCTCTATCTTCCGGTCCTAGAGAAGCTATTTCATTCTGACCAATTTGGCCTGCATATAATGGATAGTCCTGTGTTCAGAAAGGTGTTGTATGAGCCCCAGTGACAGAAGGGGCTAGCGGTAGAGTGTGAAGACACAGTGTCCCATGGCTCTCAGGGACTTTATTGGGACAACTGGGGCAATTTGAGTTTCGACTGTATATTTGACACTATTATTGTATCAATGTCTGTTTTCTCGGCTGTGATGATAGTCTTTCTGATTATGGAGGAGGATACTCCTTGTTTTGGTAGACACATTCTAAAGAATTTACAGGTGAAATTCCATGAAGTCTGCAACTTACTTTCAAATGTTCTGGGAGAAAATGATATATGTAATATATATATTTACATGAGAGTTTTCCTCTGAAATCTCTAGATTCTAAAGTCTAAAGATTCTCTAATAATGCATTTATTGTGAATTGTGCAACATTGCAGCTTTGAGGTTGGAGTAATCTCTATTTCATGCTGGCTTTAGTCCATGTTGACTGTGGAAGTTTGCAGTCATTTCTTTATTAATGAAAACTGACAGGTGGACACTATTACCACCTTGTATTGGTCAGACTTTACCAGAGGAAATCCAGGATTCTTCGCATGAACAACTGTGTCAATAAAAACAAATTCCCTCTGAGAAAATTAAAATAAGTAATAAAGACTCAGGCTGGGCATGGTGGTTCACACTTGTAATCCAGCAGTTTGGGACACTGAAAAAGGAGAATCACTTGAGTCCAGAAGTTCAAGACCAGCCTAGGCTACCAAGCAAGACTCCATCTCCACAAAAAATAAAAATAAAGACTCTCTCTCTCTTTCTCACACAGCTTCATCTATCTAATGTATCTTATCTATCTATCGTCTATCTATCTATAAACAGAGAGAAGAGGGAGACAGATAAATAAAGCAAATATGGAGAAATGTTATTGGTTGGTGAGACTGGTTGAAAGTGTATATATTTTTTCAATTTTTCTTTGGCTTGAAGTCCCTCTAAATAAAATGTTGAGAGGGAAAATACACTATTTCTCCCGATGAGGTTGTCATCACTGGGAGATAAGATGTCTATCATCTTACTTTGGGCTACCCCAGAAGCAAATCCTGAGATGAAGGTTCAAGTGCAACTTGTTTATTCCGTAAGTGATCCAGGAAACAGCAGTGGAGAAGTGAGGTGGGAGAAGGCAACCAAAAAGGAGAATATCATCAAGTCTCTGCCATCTCTGAAAGTCAAGGGGACTTCACACCTGGGAAACTCTGGAGTCACATAGAATGTCTCAGGTGAGAGCCGGGGTATTTATACCCAATGCAGTCACAAGATGGGGGCTGCCCCCATGGGTGTGGCAGCCAGAGAAGGCCCCGAGCAGTAGGTATTCGGGCCGAGCACTAGTAAGGCCTAGCATCTGCTCCACAATCTTCCATCCATTCATTCAACCAACTTCCACCTCGTGGACTCAGGGCCAGGCCCTCGCTAGGTGCTGGGGAAATAGTCCTCATGAAGACAGATGCAACCTCTGCTCCCACAGGAGAATGAGAACAAGTGGGGAAAACAAACAAAAACCAGGTAAACAAAAATTGACAACAGAGGGGAAATTACAATTCACCTGGTCATCTAGTCATTGAACTTTTAGTAAGCACCTATTGTGTGTTGGTCATAATTGCAGACATAGGGAATATATAGATGAAACAAGAATTGTAGGGCCTTAAGCAATTCATGAATTTTTTTTTCTTGAAGGAAAACAATCTAGTCGAAGTCCTCACAGCTCCAGAGGGGTGAGACACTGAAATCCAGCTGCAAGGATATTTAAAGAACAGGCCCATTGCTTACATTTAGCTAGAAAAGCCCCTCTCTCCACCCCATCCACCATCCTCCCAGGGTGCTAACTCTAGCCTGAGAACTGACCCCGAGGACTGTCCTTCAATTAACTGAATTTGCTCCTGAAACAATGGCAGCAGAAGGGTACACTCTGGGCTAAGCGTGGTGGCTCACGTCTGTAATCCCAGCACTTTGGGAGGCCGAGGCAGGCAGATCACTTGAGGCCAAGAGTTTGAGACAAGCCTGGCCAAAATGATGAAACCCCATCTCTACTAAAACTACAAAAAGTAGCTGAGCATGGTGGTACACGCCTGTAGTCCGAGCTACTTGGGAGGCTGAGGCAGGAGAATCGCTTGAACCTGGGAGGAGGAGGTTGCAGTGAGCTGAGATTGTGCCTCTGCACTCCAGCCTGGGAGACACAGACAGACTGTGTGTGTGAAAAAAAAAAGAAAAAAGAAAAGAAGGGCACACTCTGGCTCTGTTCTCAAGTCCCAGGCTCTTCTGGATTTTGTGGTGCCTGTAAGTACCTTGATGTTCCCCAGAGGAAAGAGGGGACCTGGAGTCCACCTGTGAAAATCACACTACCTCCCTTTCTGCCTGGCTACCTTGAAAACTCCCAAACATTGCTCCCTTGTCATCTAAAATTAGAGACATCCACAAAATCTGGTTCGACTCCCTCCTGAACACCAAATAATTTGTACTAGATTCATCACTTAACTGATGATGGCAATATGTTGTGTGATTTCAGCATCAAACACATTGCACTTCCATCATCGTGTCCATCGGGCAACAAAGACAGAGATGAGGTTACTTCTCATCTCATGCCTCTCAGAGATGAGGCATGTGTTACAAACATCAAACACTGAGCTTTGGGTAGTTGCTGCTGTTTTTTATTTGTTTTTCTGTTTGTTTTGTTTTTAATGTCAGGCACAGTGGTTCAAGCCTATAGTCCCTGGAGGCTGGAGGCTGAGGCAGGAGGATATTTGAAATCCCCGAGCCCAGGAATTCGAGGCTGCAGTGAGCTATGATCATACCACAGCACTCAAGCCTGAGCAATATAGTGAGACCCTGTCTCTAAAAAATTTAACTACCTGACAGAGGAGATACTGTGATCATGAAAGTGGTTTTCCTAGGGCAAGACTTATCCGTTGCACTCCAGATGTGCTGACTCATGCAATTTCCCCAAATGTGGGAAACTCGACTACATAATTTCTGGTGGTAGGGGACTGCGTTCATGTTCTCCCCTACTAAAAAATAAAAATTAAAAAATAAATAAATAAAAATTCCACTGAACTAAAAACAAACAAAAAAATCCAGAAGGCAAGAATTAGCACTTTGAGAATTGCAGACCTATTGTTCTGAGCTTGTTTCTCCAATGTGGTGTGGAGTGAATCCTTTTCTTTCAGTCAAGTCTCTATTGCTTTCCTATAACTTCGATGAAGGAGAACTCACACTTTTTAAAAGGAAGGCCCAGGAAAGCTATCCATCCAGGCTGTGTGTTGGTTCGTGAATGGTGCCAGGCCGGCAGTAGAGGAAGCTCTGGCCTGAAGGTTGGCTCAACCCCATTTTTCATTGGGCCAGCTTTGGGCAACCCACACCCACACCCACACCCACACGCTACATTGTTCTGTGTTCAAGAGCTTCCTTGAAGCCTCTCTTCTCTCTCTCCCTATTTTTTTTTCTTTTTTTTTCTTTTTTTTGAGATGGAGTCTCCGTCTGTCATCCAGGCTGGAGTGAAGTCACATGATCTCGGCTCACTGCAGCCTCCGCCTCCCAGGTTCAAGCAATTCTCATATCTCAGTCTCCAGAGTAGCTGACTACAGGCACGTGCCCCCACACCCAACTAATTTTTCTATTTTTTGTAAAGACGGGGTTTTGCCATGTTGGCTGGGCTGGTCTTGAACTCCTGTCCTCAAGTGATCTGCCTGCCTCAACCTCCCAAAGTGCTGAGATTACAGGCATAAGCCACTGTGCCCAGTCTCTTTTCTTTCTCTTTTGCAAATAATCTATCTCAGGGCCCTGTGGGCTCTGCATCTGTCTAGGCTGTGCTCCTCATAGCTGGCCTCCAGCCTCTCCACACAGCAGTCACAGGAAGCCTCCTAAATGCACATGTACTGATGGGGGCTTCTCCACCAAGGCCATCAGCTGCTCCCTGTGCTCTCCGGGAGGAAGCCCTTACTCCTTGACACAACATCAAAGCTCCCACCAAGGCCCCAGCTCTCCAGCCCCAGCTCCGTCTCTCCTTTCCTCCAATTCTGCATCCCGGCAAAAAGAATTACCTGCTGCGCCTCTAACAGTCCAAGACATCTGCAAATACATTTGCCTCTACCTGGAAAGGACTTCTTCCTTTTGCCCCTTCACCTTCCCAAACCCCTCTCTTCACATAACCCATTTTCCCTCCTTTCTCTAGACTTTGCTTAGATGCCACCTCCTCTAGCTGGCCTTGCCTGACCCCTGACACTTGGGTGAGATGCTACCCGTGGGCTCCCCAATCACAGCAGCCAGGGATGGGTTTGTAGTTTTACCTGTGTCTCACAGAGCTCCCAGTGTGGAACACAGGCTCGATAAATGCGTGAATGATATGTGGATGAGTATGCGGATGGACGTTTGCTAGGCACTCGGTTGGCCACTGAAATGGGGTTGTTCTAGATAGGTGCTGTGTAAGTGGGGGCCACCAACTGGTACTGCTTGTCCACTGGCTATTACCGATTTGCAACTAATTAAATACAGACATTGAGTGTGTTTCAAAACTTATAAAGCACTTTAACTGAGTGATTTTATGTCTGCTGAATCTAATAATAAAAAACACTGAGCTCGTATTTTGTATGCCTTGGTTTTATTTTTTTCCATTAAATTATGTCAATTGTATTTTACTGTATTGGTCTGCAATGGATTAGAAATCTCAAACATTGGCTGGGTGCAGTAGCTCATGCCTGTAATCCCATCACTTTGGGAGGCAGAGGCGGGCGGATCACTTAAGGTCAGGAGTTCGAGACCAGACTGGCCAACATGGCAAAAGCCCCTCTCTACTAAAAATACAAAAATTAGCTGGGAGTGGTGGCGGGCGCCTGTAACCCCAGCTACTTGGGAGGCTGAGGCATGAGAATCGCTTGAATCCAGGAGCTGGAGGTTGCAGTGAGCCAAGACTGTGCCACAGCACTCCAGCCTGAGCAACAGAGCAAGACTCTGTCTCAAACAACAAAAAAAGAAATCTCAAAAACTGACCTTTTATGCCCAGATAATTTGAGAAGCACTGTTCTACACTGTTCCTAGGGCAACAAGACAAATGTGTGTGGGGTCTCAGTGTGTGCGTATGTGTGTGTGTGGTGTTTGTGGAGTGGGTGACAACAGGAAAGGGAAGAATTTAGAAGGTAAACTTGGCTGAATCTGCATTCGCAGGGAAGCTTTTCCATATGAAAACGTCAAAAGACTTTCTCAGAATCAAATACGCCAGAATAAACAGCTTATAGAATGGTCTTCTGAACCTGATGTCCCCAAAGGGAGAATAAATTGCAGCTATTAAGATCATCCTATTCATTTAACTGACCGAGACAGCCCCATGCACGTGGTGGCCCATGCCATAAAAATGTGTCTCTCTCAAAAAACAAACAAACAAAACACCAAAATTTTGATAAATGATTATTTATCTTGAATGCAAAATAAATAAATAAAGCATCTTTCTCACTTACTTTGGAGACATGATTTTTAAATTTGTTTCCTAACTTTCCCCAATCTGGCTTCCATTAGAGAACTATTCCCAAATTAACCTCTGTGCCCTCTCAAGTAAAGAATGCAAGAGATTTCTACCAGCTATTTTCTCCCATTTCGAACATGCCACGTGTGTTTAACAGCAGGCAGAGATTTCCAGGCTAGAAGTGGTAGTAAAGGGATCTTTTAGCAACTGTTCTTTGAAAATCGGCACAGTTTTTTTTTTAATGACAGGCACCCCTTTTGCCCCAAAAGGTCTCTCACATTGCTATCCTGAGCCAAATGTTTAATTGATGCTAAGGAATTTTACATTCAGTCACCTTCCAAGTGCTGAGCAAATGAAGTGCCAATAGGCTATGTGATGGGGGACCAGGGTAAAGATTGAACTTTATCTGTGCTCGTGAGGAGAGATCAGATAAGTCACCAGTGGCTTCAGCAACAATGAGTTATCATTCGCCACACTTGTGAAGGAAAAGGTCAAAGCACACGGTGGTGAACATGCATTTGAGGCCCCAGAAACGGTTTTCTTAGCCACGGCCTCCGGAATCAC
The DNA here is from genome assembly GCF_000001405.40 of Homo sapiens. Lineage (NCBI taxonomy): Eukaryota > Metazoa > Chordata > Mammalia > Primates > Hominidae > Homo > Homo sapiens. The sequence continues at coordinate 72,579,866 of NC_000003.12, forward strand.
ACACACTGGGTTATTTCTTTGAAGGCAGAGCTAAACATATGTAGCGGAAAAGTTCAGGGTTCAAAGTGTAATTTCAAAAACAAAGAACCAAGTTTCCCACTTAAACATCTAGGTAAATGGACACAGGCCATGAGCTTAGAAGCAAAGGCACATCTTTTCTGCACAGACTGCCAAAATGCCGCTGAATCTTCCTCCCGAGAGCCATACCCTAGGTCCACACCCTTCTATACTCACTCTGGGCTTACTGTGAGGTTTGATTCGATTGATGGGAAAGCAGCAAATGTGGCCCAGGTAGAGATTTCTTTTTTTTTTTTGAGACAGGGTTTCACTGTGTCGCCCAGGCTGGAGTACAGAGGCACAGTCTCAGCTCACTAAAGCCTCAACCTCCCAGGCTCAAGTGATCCTCCCACCTCAGCCTCCCAATTAGCTGGGACTACAGGCATAGGCCACCATGACCAGCTAATTTTTCTATTTTTTGTAGAGATGGAGTTTCACCATGTTGCCTAGCCTGGTCTCCAACTCCTGGGCTCAAGTGATCTGCCCACATCAGCCTCCCAAAGTGCTGGGATTACAGGCATGAATCACTGTGCCCAGCCCCGCAAGTAGAGCTTTGAATAGTACTGTACCTTGGCACTTGCCCTTGTTTGCTGCTCGTTGGAACCCTGAGTCCACCATATGAACAAGCCTGAGTTAGCCACCTGGAGGATGAGAGGCTACCTGGAGCAGAGATGAGCCCTCCCAACTGAAGCCCTTCAGGACCAGTTAGCCTGCTTAATGCCGGATAGGTGAGTGAGGCCATGCTAGATCATACAGCCCCAGCCGAGCCACCAGCTGCCCATGGAGATCAGCCACATACCCCACACAAGAGGAACCACCCAACTGACCCATGGGATCATAAAAAATAATAACTGTCATTTTAAGCCTATGATAAGGTAGTTTGCTACACAGGAAAAGCCAACTGATATGCATTCATTCATTTATTCATTCATCCACTTATTTATTTAACAAATATGTGTTGAGAGCCTTCTGTTGGCTCACTGTGCTAGGCAGAAAGGCAACTGAAAGAGGCCATGAGCTCCTTAAAGCCAAGGATATAGCTTATTTGTCTCTGTTTTCCAGGCCTGGCACACTCCAGCATATATATAGGAGGTGCTCAAAAACTTTATCTAATAAACACATGAATTGGAATTAATCCCAAGGGGACAATTATAGATCTCAAGCTTTAAAAGTGCAGATTGCTTGACTCAGCAATTCCACTTCTGAGAATTTAATGTAAGGAAATATTACAAGAATGTCCTATCATAGCCTCGTTTACAGTGGCTTCATTGGATTTGGTTGAAAACACAATGGTGGCAATAGCAGTGTAGTCTCTGTGACAATTTGGTTGAAAAGAATATTGCAATCATGGGTGCAGGTAATTTCGATCCCCTGTGGAGTAGCTTTATGACCTTTTTGTTCCTTTAGACAAAAAAAAAAAAGTTAAGTATCTTTCAGAATTTGGGGGATTTCATTCTCCTCTACTTTTAAAATTTCTAATTCCCTTTCAGACAATTAAATATGCTCTGGTCTGCTAATAATAAGAAGAAACAAATTGTTTTATGTCTGTCAATAGGGAGTTGGTTAAAGGACAGCGCAAGCATACGATGGGTGTGCCTCATTTTAAGGGATATGGTAGAGACAGGATAGAGCTGTATGCCTCTGTTTACATCAAAAGGTGGTCATTATGTCCATCAGGGTTCTCCAGGGAAACAGAATTCAGAAAGAGAGAGAGAGATTTTAAGGAATTGGCTTACATGATTGGCGGAGTCTGCCAAGTCTGAAATTTGTAGGGTAGGCTGGCAGGCTAGAAACCCAGACAAGAGTTGATGTTATATCCCAGTCTGAAATCTGCAGGCTGTCAGGCTGGAAACTGAGGAAGATTTCCATGATCCTTCCTCTCCAAGAAACCTCAGTTTCGGCTCTAAGACCTTCACATGATTGGATGAAGCCCACCCACATTATCAAAGGTAATCTCCTTTATTTATAGTCAGCTGATTGTAGATGCGCATTACCTCTGTGAAATACCTTCATAGCAGCATCTAGATTGGTGTTTGACCAAACAACTGTGCACCATAACCTAGCCAAGGTAACGCATAAAATTTAACCATCGCTGTCATAAGTTGGAAAAAAAAATCAACTAAAAAATAGAATAATTTGGTTCTATTTTTAAAGAGGAAAATTATAACATATCTATAGAAAAGAAATTAGGAAAGGTCCGCACCAATATGTTAACAATGATTGTCTCTGGGAGGGTCTGATTGCTGGTCTCTCTCCTCTCTGCTGGTCTGGTTTTCCTGTTTTGCCTGAAAAGAGAAAGCCTAGCTATTGAAAGAAAACAAATAAAAGGAACAAAGAATTAAAGAACCTTGTCAATGCCCTTCAGCCAAAGACCACCCAGGAACACACCTGTTGTTGAACAAGTTGGTTTTGTTACTGGTAGAAACTAGAGAGCATGAATACCATGGGGAACTGTGGTAGTTTCCGTAGAGGGTGTTAGAAAGAATCTATTACAGGATTTGGGCTTTGGTTGAGTGATCTGGCGGAAGGCTTAAGGAAACAGGCTCACTCTAGATTCAGTGCTGTCAGAAAGCAACCACAATTCTAGAATTCAGTATCACAATAAGTCTTACGTATACGGAAGGCAAACTAAATCAAGGATAAAGCTGTAATTGACAAAGAAGCAACAGTCACTCGTGTTTGGTGAGAAAAAGAGATGTTTGGTATCTTATGGGTTACACAATGACCTTCTTTTCAGTTTACTTTATCCTGGTTGCAGAGTGACCTTGTCTGTGTTCTATGAGATTGTGTCTGTCCAACAGCAGAACACCATGGCCCTGCTGTATCACACTGGTTCCCAGGTGCCAGAGATTACCCTTTTTTTTTTTTTTCCCCCTCTACCTGAATAGGGATAATACTAGGAACTTTACTTGCACCGAAAAAAACAAAAAGTCTGGAGAGGCTTTATTTTCTGTAACTGATTCTTCCTCTGTTTTCTTAGCCATGTTTTCCTGAAAGTATTAATTTAGTAAATTGAACCAGGATTAGTTTTTCAATCACTAGTGCAAATATCATAAATTTTGAGCATTCTATCCAAGACATGAAATGGTGAACACTAGGATCGTTTCCATCTTTTAGGCGATAGTTGCTTCAGTTGCTTCTTTGTTAGTCTAATCCCAAACCAGAGCGTTTTTTTTGTTTTTTTAAAGACAGAGTCTCACTCTGTTGCCCAGGCTAGAATGCAGTGGCACAATGTTGGCTTACACAACCTCTGCTTCCCAGGTGATTCTCCTGCCTCAGCCTCCAAAGTAGTTGGGATTACAGGCGCTGACACCATGCCTGGCTAATTTTTGTATTTTTAGTAGAGACGAGATTTTGCCATGTTGGCCAGGCTGAGTTCGCTGTTGCCTTCATCCAAGCTTAAGTCTTCACACTTTTAGTAAGACTTTACCTACACGACAATACATAATGACCCACCAAACACACGCCTACCACATAGTTAAGCCCAGCCCTTGGCCATTAACAGGAGCTCTCTCAGCCCTCCTAATAACATCTGGCCTAGCTATATGATTTCACTTTAAATCCACTACCCTACTAACACTGGGCCTACTAACCAGCACACTGACCACAGACCAGGCTGGTCTCGAACTCCTAGCCTCAAGTGATCCGCCCACCTCAGCTTCCCAAAGTGCTGGGATTACAGGTGTGAGCCACTGCACCCAGCCACCAGGGCATAATTGACTGGAAATAGGGAGGTGTTGAAAAGAAGAAAACAAAACTTTAGATTTTTTTTTAAATGATTATTTTGCTGAAAGATGCTTAAAGAGTTGGAATATCATTCCAGGCAAAATTTCCCCTTGGCAAACAAAAATTTCCTTTTTGTATAAACATAGTGACTGAGAATTTTCATTATCAACGAATTCAGCATTCCAACCATACTGACAGCTTAATCAATTTGCTTCCAGCCAAATTGCTCTTGACCAAATTGTCTGCTATGATATATAACAGTAAAACATTGGAAATAACCTAAACATCCAACAAGAAGGTTACTGAAGAAAGCCAAATAAACCATGGTTCATCAATACAATAAATGTCATGCATTCACTTAAAGCAACATACATATACATTTCTTTTGAAAGGAGTAAATGAATGCTTCTAAACATTTAGGGAAAGAGTCACATTTACAAATAAGCCCAATTTAGGTTTGGTTGTTGTTTTGTTTTTTGTTTTTTTGAGACAGGATCTCATTCTGTCACCCAGGCTGGAGTGATCACAGATCACTGCAGCCTTGAACTCCTAGGCTCAAGCAATCCTCCCACCTCAGCCTCCCGAGTAGCTGGGACCACAGGTGCACACCACCAAGCTCAGCTAATTTTTAAATTTTTTGTAAAGACAAGGTCACACCAGGTTTCCCATACTGCTCTCAAACTCCTGGGCTCAAGCAGTCCTCCTCCCTTGGCCTCTCAAAGCACGGGATTACAGATGTGAGCCACCACACTGGCCCCAATTTAATTGTGACCATACGGCAAATTCTAGGAATTTGACCAATAGAGACAGTTCCTCTTTTCTCTTAAATATGACCCACCTTTCACTGTTTGTTCACCAAACCTAATATTTCCTAACTATTCTTTGCTTGGTTTTTTGGAATACAGGAATCAAGTAGAAAGCAAATCTACTCAGTTCTAAACTGGCAGGGGTGGCTGGGTGTGGTGGCTCATGCTTGTAATCCCAGCATTTTGGGAGACCAAAGTGGGAGCATTGCTTGAGCCTGAGAGTTTGAGACCAGCCTGGGCAACACAGCAAGATCCTGTCTTCATTTTTAAAATAAAAAAATAAAATTGCAGGGGTGATTCCAACAATATAGCACCTGGTCCAATGTCCAGGAAGTAGAGGCTGAAATGTCAGCTCATGTCATGTCAACCCAGGAACAGAGCACTTTCTCTGTGAGAAAGATTTTACTCTTTAACTAAGCCATGGTGCCTTCCTTCTCCTGGACTTTGCTTAAAAAAATTTTTTTTGAACAGCTTTATTGAGGTATAATTAACATATAGTAAACTGCACATATTTAAGGCATGCAATACAATGAGTTTTGATTTATTCATACATCGGTGTGATTATAACCACAATCAAGGTAATGAACATAGCCATTCCCCCCAAAAGTTTCCTTGTGTGTCTTCTAATCCTTCCGATATGGTTTGGCTGTGCCCCCACCCAAATCTCATCTTGAATTATAGCTTCCACAATTCCCATGTGTTGTGGGAGGGACCACGCGGGAGATAACTGAATCATGGGGGCAGCTTCCCCCATATTGTCGTGGTAGTGAATGAGTCTCATGAGATCTGATGGTTTTATAAGGGGAAACCCCTTTTGCTTTGCTCTCATTTCTTCTGCCTGCTGCCATGTAACATGTGCCTTTCACCTTCCACCATGATTGTCAGGCCTCCCCAGCCATGTGGAACTGTGAGTCCATTAAATCTCTTTTTTCTTATAAATTACCCAGTCTTGAATATGTCTCTATCAGCAGTGTGAGAACAGACTAATATACCTTCCTTTCCACCTCTTCCCAATCTCCCCTTTGAGCAACCATTGCTTTCTGTCACTATAGATTAGGTTCCATTTTCTAGAGTTTTGTATTGTTGTCAGCATCGGTAACTTATTCCTTTTGACTGCTGAGTAGCAGGACACTGTATGGATGCACAACGTTTTGTTTACGCATTTAGCGACTGAAGGGCACTCGGATTGTTTTCAGTTTGGGGCAATCACACATAAAGCTGCTATAGACATTCGAACATTCTTGTGCAGGTCTTTGCATGGACATCAACTTTCCTTTCTCTTGGGTAAATATCTAAGAGTATAATGGCTGGATCAAATGGTAAGTTTAACTTTTTAAGAAACTGCCAAACTGCCTTCCAAAGTGCTTGCACCATTTAATGTTCCCATCAGCAGTGAGTGGGCATCTGGACTTTGTTTTCAACCCAGAGAGAAGCCTGGGTCTGAGGACCCCAGAAACTGGGTTCTTCTGAGGAGGGCCACACTTTACATAGGCATCTTTAGGAGAGGGCCCTGGAAGAGGTGGGGGACACAGCACTAGGGTGGGAATCAGCCACAGTCCACCAGGAAATTGGGGAGGCCAGTTTTGTCTGAGAGCTGGTGGGCTCTGAATATATTCCACGCTTTCTTTGTCCCAGCCTGGGGAGTGGGGGTGGAAGTAGAGGAGGAAAAGAATTTCAATGAGCTGCTTTTGACTTGATGTCATTTTGTTGGTTTCAATAACTATTTGTTGAAATAATCTGTGCCAAAGGAGGCCAAAAGGGAAGAGGCATAGGACTGGGGTTCAAAGAGCAGACCCTGAAGAGTCCTTGGAGGACGAGGGAGAGTGCGAGAGGCTTAGCAGGGTGGACAGTGATTCTCATTTTACAAAAATGCCCAGTATCGAGATTGCTGCAGTGTTTTCAGTGCTGGGGAAATGACATCCCTAAGGCTTGCATTCTAGATCCTCAAAAAACAAATTGCCCTTTTAAAGTCTCACGGTTAAAGAGATATTTGGTGTCTCTTGAACATGTGGTCGGAGGGTTTTCTGATGGGAATCCTTGGTTGTTTTTAACAAAATAAGCCAGATCCAGAGGCTGCGTGACAGGACCCGGGCACCTCTCAGGCTGTCTTCTCACAGTTTGTCTTCTTTCCTAGCCTAATTTCTAGACTCTCTGCACCTGTGGTCTTTGTTTCACTCCAGCATCACCTTTTCAGCCTCTGCCATTAATTGGACTCATTGAATGCACTGGGCTCATGCCGGCTTCCTAGTTGCTGAATCCAGAGGCCTTTTCTCAGATCTTGTTCTCCTGCTCTCATGGCACCATTTTGATATGGAAGATGGGCAGAGAAGTGCTGGGAAGGGAAGGGCATGGTGCCTGGCTACGGCTCCACCCCCGAGCCTATGGACCTAGGTGAAGACAGGCACTCCTGCCTTCATGCACAAATGTTGCATTTCCCAAGGCCACCCTGGTCGGCCACACCCTGATCCTGTGCTGTAAATAAACCGGAGACCTTAGTGGGTATGCACACAAGAAGTAGCTGAGCCATTGAGCAGAACACACCAGCCGAAGAACACACAAGCAGCTGGACGTCAGGAGCACACTGGCAGGCACCTGCAGGCTGGCAGGCCATCGACCAGCACAACAACATGGAGTTTGGCTGGGGCAGTTGGAGGGGAGCCCCACTGCTGAGCGGCCTGACTCTAGGGGAAAACCACCTTTCCATTCCATCTCCCTTCAGCTCCCCCATCTGCTGAGAGCTACTTCCACTCAATAAAACCTTGCATTCATTCTCCAAGCCCACATGTGATCCGATTCTTCCAGTACACCAAAGCAAGAAACCCTGGGATACAGAAAGCCCTCTGTCCTTGTGATAAGGCAGGGAGTCTAATAGAGCTGACTAACACAAGCCACCTACAAATGGCAAAACTAAAAGAGCACCCCATAACACATGCCCACTGGGGCTTCAGGAGCTATAAGTATTCACCCCTAGATGCTGCCTTGGGATGGGAGCCCCACAGCCTGCCCATCTGCCTGCTCCCCCTAGAGGTTTGAGCAGCGGGGCACTGAAGAAGCGAGCCACACACACCCTGTGAAGGGGACAAGGGAACTTTTCCCATTTCAATATGGTCTTCTCACTCACCTCCTCCCTCTAGACAGCTCTCCTGCCTAGGTCTCCATGGCGCTGTTCTACCTAGCTCTCCTGCTGCAGGTTGACTCCCCTGGTAAGCTGTCTCTAAGATGGAGATGATCAGGGAGTGCTCTCAGCATCACTCCGTGGAGGGAGCAGAGGGAAGCAGGACTGGGAGGGAGAAGCTGAATTGTGAAATAGTCTCAGCAAAGGCCTCAGCCAGCTCCACAGGGACAGGCATTCGGGGCACTGAGTTGGAGCAAAAGAATCAGGTCTTTACACACCCGGTTGATCAGTCGCTGGGGGTGGGCTCCCTGGAAGTAGGCAAGGCTTTGGGCAAGGTGGTGTTATTTAGCCACGGGCCATTCATTCCAACAGTGTTGCCAGCAGCTGGGGGAATCAGTCCCTCCCCAAAAGGGGATCTAGGCAGCACACTACAGTGTCCACAACACCTTCCTTCTCTCCAGCCGCTCCTTCCCTGGTGTAGGTGACCACTTTCCTCTGGTCTCAGGCTATGGCCTTCTGCTCTTCTCTATTTACAATCTCTTTTGTAAAACACTAATAAAGTATTTTATTTACACTTCATACAAGAACAGTAACTAGCATTTATTGGGTGCATCCTATGAGTAGATGCCAGGCACTGTGCTAGGCACTGCCGATATATTATCTCATTCAAGTTCCCAGAAACCCACTGGCATTAGGGGATATCAAAACTCTTTATCACAGCCAAGGAAAGTGCCAGAAGAGTCTTCTTAAAAAAACAAAGCAAAATCCTTTTTCTACCATGTCATCTCCCTCCTAGCTCAAGGCCCTTTGATGGCTCCCAATTACTGTTGGAATAAAAGCCCAGACTCCTAACTCAGCACCCAAAGCCCTCCGAAACCTGTCCTGAGCCTCCCTTTTTACAATTCTTCCTTTTTCCATTCCTGCCAAACCAAGCCCTTCACTAGGACTTTCAGCTGGCCTGCTCCAACCTGCTCCGAGACTAGCTCGGCTTAGCTCTTAACTATGCCTGTCCCTTCCTTTGACAGTCATTCATTCACGTATCTGTTTCCTCATCTATTGTAGACCTAACATATACTAGGCTGTGTGTTGGGCATTGGGGATACAATGCTGAACAGACACAGCCTGTCCTCCGCTTCAGAATCTTAAAATTGTGCAAGAAAGACGAATGTTATTCAAACTTGCCAAATTTTCAGTTATTTATTTATTAATTATTATTATTATTTTTTGAGACAGAGTCTTGCTCTGTCACCCAGGCTGGAGTGCAGTGGAGCAATCTCAGCTCACTGCAACCTCTGCCTCCTGCGTTCAAGCAATCCCCTGCCTCAGCCTCCCAAGTAGCTGGGATTACAGGTGCCCACCACCACGCCCAGCTAATTTTTGTATTTTTAGTAGATATGGGGTTTCACCATGTTGGCCAGGCTGGTCTCAAACTCCTGACCTCAGGTGATCCACCCTCCTTGGCCTCCCAAAGAGCTGGGATTACAGGTGTGAGCCACCATGCCCAGCCTCAAATAGTTATTGAATTCCAGCTTTGACTCAATGCTAAGAGGGGAGCATCAAGGGGTGTTGAAAGCTTAAAAGGGAGCGCTGAGGACCCTTGGTGAGCCAGGTGCTCTTCCAGTGCCCGTGGATGTGGCTGTGTAACTCAGTCGCTTCCCTGCTTTCTTCGTGGGGCCTAACGTAAGTGTTTCTCCTTTTCAGCTCTCCCCTTTCTCCTCTTAATATCTACATTGCCTGTTGCCTCAACTACTCAATCCTGTGCAGCTTTGCTTTCTCAATGTAAAGCGCTGTCGTCTCTCAGGTACATTTTGAGTCTTATGAATGATAGTTATCACTGATTTGAGGACATATCCTGTGCCAAGCAGTCTCTATGCTCTCACACTGTTCAGCAATTGCAATATCCTCACAACCATCCTTCTTCTTCTTCTCATGATCCCATTGTCTTAGTCCCGGAGGAAGTAACCCTGAGACAGGGACTCAGAGCACCTGGTTTACTTGGCAGTTTAAAGAAACATGGGCAGGTCAGTGGGGAGGTCATGGAAGGGAGGGTGTATTATCAGTCAAGTTCACCCTGGGGGAAAACCAGAGCCAAATCCCGCTGGGGAAATTCTGAGAAGTGGCATAGAATGCGTCTCAGAATCACCGTACCCAGGGGGTGAAGGAGTTGGGGTGCTTATTCACCAATTCCCACCAGACGCTGGTTGAGGGCTGTGTGTAGGTGGGAATGGCACTAATTCCTGGGCACTGCTGGCACCTGCAAGGGCAGGCAAAGTGGGCATCGGCAGCCTGAGAAAGCCCCCAGGGGAAGAAATGGAGGTGCCAGAGTACACTGAAGTGGTGAGGACGGAGGGCCTACTACGCCCATATTACAGATAAGTAAACAGAGGCTTCGAGGAGTCAGTCCAAGGTCACATGGCTAGGAACTATCAGAGCCAGGATGAACTGAAGTCTTTCTGGCTCTAAAACAACATAAAATGCCCCTTGAGAGGCATTATCTTATCTTAACCTCCAGTAACCCTTACAGCTCTTTGCACAGGGCTAAGAACCCAGTAAAGAATCCAAAACTGCTTCCTGATTGAGGAGCCTGAACGATGAGGAGCTTCTTAGACCCACAGAATAACAAGGCTTTTTTTCTTTGTTTGTGTTTTTGAGACTGAGTCTCACTCTATTGCCCAGGCTGGAGTGCAGTGGCGTGATCTCGGCTCACTGCAACTTTGGCCTCCTGGGTACAAGCGATTCTCTTGCCTCAGCCTCCTGAGTAGCTGGGACTACAGGTGAACACCACCACGCCTGGCTAATTTTTTTATTTTTAGTAGAGACAGGGTTTCACCATGTTGGCCAGACTTGCCTCAAACTCCTGACCTCAGATGATCCGCCTGCCTCGGCTTCCCAAAGTGCTGGGATTACAGGCGTGAGCCACCATGCCAAGCCAATAACAAGCTTTTAAATGTGCCTCCCTTCTCCATGATAGCAGGTGCGATCACCTAGTTTCTGAATACATTCATGAGTGTCTCGACCCCTTTTTACCTTATCACCTCTTGGACTTGTTTGAAAAGAGGAAAACAGGCCCACAGTCAACGACGGCTTCCTGTCATGAAGCTGAGGCCAGAACTGGAGTTGCTACTCTTGGTCTTCAGCAAAAATTCAAATGCCCATGCAATCCTTTTTTTCCCCTCCATGAAATTCCCCTAACTCGGTTAAAGAAAAAAAGTCAGTCAATTTACATGGTAACAGAAAAGGACAGGGCCTGGTATAAAATATTCCCCCATCTGCACCGGAGGGCACGGCCTACACGCTTCAAGAGCACAGCGGAGGCCCCGGGGATTTGTTTTTCTTTCCCTGACCCGGGGACTCTGATCTCTCACTTAACCTCTGACCTCTTCAATTCAGATAACAGGGAACTGGCAGCTGGGTTGGGGGCAGCTCTGAATGCCACTGGACTCCGCCTGGGTTCATTCTGGCCATGGAGACAGAACAAAGGGAGGTGGCCCTTCCCCGTGAAGCACCCCAGGGCGGCAGGCAGTCCTGTGGGGGCCCCTGCTCAGGTGCCCACCCCGGGGAGCATAGAGGGTTACCTCATTACAGCTAATGCCATTTAGAGCCTACTTTGTGCGGACAGGAAAAAAAATTAAAGCAACATCAATACCTTGATTTGACTCCATTTAAAAACTTCAGACTGAAATAGGCCTCAGCAAAGATCCATGCCCCTCCCTGCAGAGAGGCCTTTTTCCTCCCTACCTTAGGCCTCATTTAAAACAGGGCTATAGTCTGCATTTTAACAGCAGCTATTTAGAGGTGGGTATGAGCCACTTGTTTGAAATTGAATCAGCCATTTTTATTAAGCCATATATTTTCATTCTTGCCGGTGACGCTGGGAGACGATTTTCCAGCCTCTCTGTTTTGCTTTCCAGTGTATTTTCATTGGGAGGAGAGCTGCAAATCCAGGCCCTGCAACCTCCAATTACCCTGCTCCAACCCCATGCTGCTGGGTTGGACCCAACTCTTCACAGCAACCTCAGAAACAATGAATTTTAACCCCCGCACCCGCAACACCAAAACAAATTCCTTCCTAAATAAGGAGCCCGTTGGCTCCTTCCTAGCTGAATTCCCAGCCCCCATCTCCCAACTCCAGTTTCCAGTTTTGTGGCTGCCGCTGCTCCTGCTTGCTGGTGACTTGGCAGCTCAGCAGTGACCACCCACGGTCGTGCCCCAGGGCTGGATGACTACTTAATCTCTGCTAGGAGTTTGGCAAGAGGCTATTCACTGCCTTTAGACAATTAGACATCTCGAGGGACAGACATTTTTTTGGAGCCTCTAGTTCCCAGCTGCATGTGGGTGGGCCTTTTATTCATTCATTCATTCATTCACTGATACATTCATTCACTCACTTATTTATTCTTTCGTTTATTCATTGATTGCTTTGGAACAGCACCTGACACAGAAGGATGACAGCATGTCAGTAGCTGTCATTCATATCCACAGCCAACATTTATCAGGGACCTCCTACTATGTACCAGGAACTGAAGATGAAATAAATAAAACCCAGCCTCTGCCTTCGTGAGATCATACTATCAGAATGTGGTTTTGCACATTGGGATCACTCGGGGAGCTTTTAAGAAAAGCCTATACTAGGCCCCACCCGCAGAGATTCCGATGTGATTAGTCCATGGTGGGGCCAAGGTATCTGCATTTTGTAAAGGCTTCCACATGTTTCTAACGTGCAACCAGGGCTGAAAGCCACGGCTCAAGAAGGAAGGGCAGATAAGGAGACAGCTCTGCCCCAGGGTGAGGAGGGCAAGAGTAAAGTTCTGTGGATGCAAGGAGAGATGGACTCTAACCCTGCCTGAGGTCAGGAAGGCTTTCTAGAGGAAGGAGGCCTGAAGACAGAAGTCAGCATGGGATGGGCCAAGGTACTGGGAAAGGAGAAAGGGGGAGAAGATTCCAGGAGATGGGAACAGCACAGCAATGGCCTGGGTTGAAGGCAAGCATTGCACGTAGGACAATTTCCGATGATTGCATATGGCTGGAGTTGTGTGTGAGAGAAGGGAGCAGGGGATGGAGGAGACAGCTGGCCGAGCAACCCTGCTAAGGGACTAACAGGGTGTTTTGTCATCCATGTAAGGGGTTCAAACACTGCCTAAAAGCAATAGGGAGCAGAGGAGGGAAATGATTAATTTTGCATTTTATTTTATTATTTTTAAATTAATTTACTTATGTATTTTTGAGACGGAGACTCGCTCTGTCACCCAGGCTGGAGTGCAGTGGTATGATCTCGGCTCACTGCAACTTCCGCCTCCTGGGTTCAAGCGATTCTTGTGCCTCAGCCTCTCGAGTAGTTGGGATGACAGGTGCATGCCACCACACCCAGCTAATTTTTTTTGTATTTTTAGTAGAGACGGGGTCTCCCTAGGTTGCCCAGGTTGGTCTCAAACTCCTGGCTCAAGTGATGCACCCGCCTCAGCCTCCCAAAGTGCTGGAATTACAGGCATGAGCCACCACGCCCAGCCAATTTTGCATTTTAGAAAACTCCTGGCCGGGCGCAATGGCTCACGCCTGTAATCCCAGCACTCTGGGAGGCCGAGGCAGGCAGATCACGAGGTCAGGAGATCAGGACCATGCTGGCTAACATGGTGAAACCCCGTCTCTACTAAAAAAAATACAAAGAAATTAGCCAGGCGTGGTGGTGGGTGCCTGTAGTCCCAGCTACTCAGGAGGCTGAGGCAAGAGAAGGGCGTGAACCTGGGAGGCGGAGCTTGCAGTGAGCCGAGATCATGGTGCCATTGCACTCCATCCTGGGCAAAAGAGCGAAACTCTGTCTCAAAAAAAAAAAAAAAGAAAAGAAAACTCCTTCAGCTGTAGAATGGACTAGAGCGCAGCCAGACAGGAAGCCAGGTGAGAAATGACAATGACTGGACGCAGGGATGTATCAGTTTAACTTAGGCTGGGCTCCCCTACACCTTGAGATAGTCTAGAAAAGGAGTCAGAATTGTCCCACCTAAGGAATGAAGAAACTGGTGTATTTGCCCACAGACCCCTGTCTGGTGTTGGTCCAGGGCCTCTCCTGGAGGCATCAATGCCCCAGCATCCTGGCCTGCCCACCCCACTCCCACAGGCATGCTCCTGGCCAAAGCAAGCTCCCTGGCAGAGAATGACAGGCACCTACAAGGACACCATCCCTGGCTGTGGGAACAGTGGTGCCCAGGGCACATGTACAAGGCTGCAGCAGAGGCTGTGACTAGGTCTTTACCCAGTGATGGAGGGCATGAGAGACTGAGGCCAGGAAGAGGCTGGTGAGTGTGGTGAGATTGACAGGTGCAGATGGAAATGAGGAGGCAAGGGTTGCCATCAAAAGGAGGATGGCAACCCTCCAGCACGCTGACTGAGGGCACGAGCAAGTGAAACCTTTAATCCCCAGGGTCAGATCAGCACAAATACAGCCATGTGCCGGCCAACAACCTTCTGAGCATCCATGCAGGGCAGGATCATGGGATTCTGGTTGTTTGAGCTGCATGGACTTTTGGTTTCCAGGAGAGAAGAATTTGCAGTATTTGTAGGAGGCTTGGCTTTAGGCACATAAAAAGGCCTTAACAGACTTTAATTCCGGGTCACCCCCACCCACAACCTTGTGTTCCTCCCTCTCCTCTCCCCATGATGTAATCTCTGATGTAATCCTTGGTATATTTCTGTTCCCTGTCTCTCCTATCCAATCAGCTGCTGTGTTGGTTGTGAATTATTTGAAGGCAAGAAATCCACTCAAACTAATTCAAGTCCAGGAGGCCAGTTTTGGGGAAGATATGAGAGCTGGGGGAAGAACCGAGGGCAGGAAATGTAGCCAGGCTCCCTTTAGGTTCAGAAGCAGAGACCACTAAGACCCCAGGGGTAGAGAAAAGGCTTTTCCTATTTTTTCTGAAGCCACATGGTCTCTCATCTCCCCCTCTATCTTTTCATCTGTTCCATCTCTGTCTCATTTTTGTTCCTCTCTGCGACCTCTCTCTGTGTCTCCGGTATTTGTGCTCAGGTGAGCACATGGCCACTCCAACCTGGCATTCTGTGGCCTCTTAGTTTAAGCCAATATAAATAGGCTTCAGTCTTTATGTCTCAGTTCCTAATTCACAAGGGAGAGTACTGGATTGGTAAGTATTAGAAGACCCAAATCAAACTGGTTCCAGGAAAAAAAGCAAATTTTTTGCCTCAAGTAACTTAAAAGTCAAGGGTAGGCATCAGGCATTGCTGGATCCAGGGGCTTAAGTTCTTTTGTCAGGAATTCTGATGCTCAGCCCTTTTTTGATCTGTGTTGGTTTCATTTTCAGGCAAGTTCCCTCCAGCTTTAGATCCTCTAGTTTAGCAGTCTCAGTAGAAAGGTGGCTTCTTTCTGCCAGAAGTTCCAATCACATTCCTAGGGTTGACTCTCACTGAGCCAACCCAGATCACAGCCCCCTTGCTGAACCAGTTGCTCTGTCCAGTGGATGGAAATGCTGATGGGCCAGACCTGAGTGACACTGCACCCTGAAACCAGATGGACTAAAAACAGGAGAATGGCCAGGCACGGTGGTTCATGCCTGCTATCCCAGCACTTTGGGAGGCCAAGGTGGGAGGATAGCTTGAGTGGCCAGGAGTTCGAGACCAGCCCGGGCAACATAGCAAAACCTTGTCTCTACAAAAAATAGAAAAATTAGCTGGGCCCAGTGGTGTGCGCCTGTAGTCCCAGCTACTCAGGAGGCTGAAGTGGAAGGATCACCTGAGCCTGGGAAGGTCGAGGCTGCAGTGAGGAGCAAAAAAAAAAAAAAAAAAGCAGGAGGAGAATTTTTCTCCAAAGAAGACTGAGGTGCTGGTACCAGAAAAAGGAAAAGGAGGCATGGATTTGAGGAGGCAGAAGTAAACAACCAACATGGTCAAGGGGTGACATCACACCCTTCCACCCACCCTAAAGAGCTCTGAACAAAGCAGGTTTCTTATAACAATATGGGAACCAAAGCAGTCACCACGCTCTCCTGTCAATGTTATCTGAACAATCTCACAGACATCTGCTTCTTCCTTTCTGTGACTGGGGCACCAGCCAGGGCTGACCATCAGCATGTGTGCACTGATATGGCCACCATCGTTGTTAAAGTACTGCACTATTTCCGTCACCTGTTGGTAAATATCCACCGGCCTGAGTCCCTGGCTTCCCCCACCTAGGCCACTCAGGCCCTCTTTTGAATCCCACAGATTGCCACAGGCTAGCCACTGAAGGGTTAATGCTGAGTGCAGCAGGGGCCTCCAAGACCCTGACCCAGCCGCTTCTGATTGGTTGATGCTCATGACCTACCAGTTGTCTCATTGATCTGGTACCAGTAGTTAAATATTTTGAATATCACCCTGGCTGGCAACAGTTTCCTATCTACTCTCCTTCATTCCCCTCCATCCCTCGACTCCCACAGTCTTCCTTCACACAGCCTTCTTAAACTCTGATCTGCACTACTCACTGGCCTCCTCATCATTCTCCCCTGCATCAGGTCCTGACTCCTTCGTAGGTCTCCAGCTGCCCCTGTGAGCTGGTCCCAAATGCCTTTTCAGCCTCACCTTCCCACCCACCTCCCACCCAAATGGCTTGCTTTTCCAAATACGCATGCCTCCTCATGCTTCTCTGCCTTTGCCCAAGCTGTTCCCTTTTTCTGATATTCTTTACCCACATATTTATGGAGGGCCTACTGTGTATGTGTCAGGTGCTGGCTTGGAGGAATAGACTGAGCAGGGAAGGTGGAGACAAAAAAGACAGACAGATGTTGTGAAATGTCTCCAATGGAGAAGCTCAGCCTGGAAGCAGAAAGGGGCACTTAACCCCAGGTCCCAGGAGCTCCCTGAAGGAGGATTCCTGGAGGATGAGTAGGAGGCCAGGAGGTCTGGGGCACAGCAATGAAGTCAAGGAAGCCAGCCTGCCATGCTGTGATTCCAGGGGTCCAGCAATCTGCTTCAATGTGCCCGATGTCTGAGCACACCTCCCGTTTGCTGAGCGCTTTCCATGTGCCGGGCACTTGCTGAGCTTTCCATGCTTGATCTCACTCAGTCCTCACCACCACCCTGCGAGGTGAGGCTGTGCAGAAAATGCAGCTCAGAGAGAAGACTCACACAGCTTGTGAGCAGCAGACCTGCCATCTAAGCCCAGGCTCCCTAGACACTCTGTTCACCCCTCACCCCATTCCCATGCCCCCTGTTTTAGGGCAGAGCACCTGCTCCACCACCCATCATTAGCAAGCTGGGCCTAAGAAGAATAATCTGGCTTCCCCACAGTGCTCGGTCCACAAAGACAATCCTAGACGTGGAAAAGCAGGGAGGGGGTGGCAAGCCCTGCTCTTGGCCACTAACAAGCTGATATTTGATGTGGTTCAGCAGGTGACCTGCCTCCTTGGCTCAGTTGCGCAAAAAATGGGGATAAAAATATCTTGGGGCACTAAACAGGATAATACATAGAAAGCCATTAAACGTGAGCCACTATGTCACCTACTCTTTCAGGACCAGATGAGAAAATGGGATAAGAAGGAAAACAAGGACTCATGCTTAGGTACCCTGGGCACAATTCCTTCCTTCCCAGACAGGGAGGGAGCCTGACTACATACCTCCTCTCTCTCTCTGCAATCAAACACATCTGGGTTGGCCTATCTGCTGTGTGATTTTGGGTAAGTCACTTAACTTCTCTGAACTTTCCTACCTTCACAATAGAGATCATTATGGGGCTCTGCCTTCATTCACTCAGCAAGCCACATGCAGCAACTACTATTTGCCAGGCATGGTAGTAGGAGCTGATGATGTAAGCAAGACAAGCCCCTGCACTCATGGAGTTTATATTCTAAGGGGAAATACAGACCAACACACACATGCACCCACACACAGTCAGGCTTTCAAATAGTGATAAGCATTCGGAAGAAAATAAAACAGGACAATGGTGCAGGAAGGAGGAGGCTGCCCGTGACAAAGTGGTCGGGGGGGGGCTGTCTGTGAAGGTAACCTGGGATCTGATACCCAGTTGGAGGGGAGAAACCTGGCAGACAAAGATCTGGGGAAGAGCTGTTCAGCCAACAGGAGCAGCAAGTACAGAAGCCCTGGGGCATGAAGGAACTTGGTCTATTTTAGGTATAGAGAAAGCCCAGTGGGGCTGGAGTGTGCCAATCAGAGTGAGGGAGAATGGCAGGAATGTGGGGAAAATTCAAGATGAGGCCCTGAAAGGACTTACATGGGCCTCTGACCCATGCCAAGGGCTCCATGCAATGTCAGCTACTTTGCCTGTGCTGTCCTCCCACGGGGCAGCAGGTTGGCTCATGCCAGGGAGTCACTGGCCACCAGAAGGCTGCTGCTTATACACAGGCAAATACGGTAATTCTTTTCCTCCACCTCCCAGCAGTAGCAGCAGCAGCAGGGATATGAATTGATTGTCAGAAGCTGTTTAAGGGCCTGTGATTGAGGAGATGATCTGAGGTAAGCTGCTCCAGTGAAATAAAGGCCAACAGCTGCCTGGTTCCACATCAGCGCTGCGCTTTTCTAAAAGGCAGCTTTGCCTTCCAGCACCCACCCCCACTCCACCCCCAGGAGGCGGGGAGCTCTCCCTTCATACTCTGGGGGAGGGAGATCCTATTTAGTGACAGATGAGATGTTGGGGACTAAACCCGAGGGCGTTGAGAAGTGTAATGGCTGTGGCTGAATATGTCAGTTTCCTGTTCTTTGTGGGTGGGGTCTCAGTTATGAATAAGAATTTCATGGAAATTTTGGGATTGAAAGGAAGGAGGGATTCGGGGAGAATCAGTCCCATCTCAAATTAAAATCTGTGCATTCCTGGGCTTTCAAGTGTAGCACTTTACACAGAATCAATTTTTTCATCTGAAATACGCATTCATCCATCTATTAATTTATTCGTTTACTTATTCACTCCTTTAACAAATATAAAATGCATAAGAGCTTGGGCTTTAATCACTGGATTTTTTAATATTTTAAAATTATTTTTCTAGAGACAGAGTCTTGCTATGTTGCCCAGACAGGACTCAAACTCCTGAGTCCAAGGGATCCTCCCGCCTCAGCCTCCCAAGTAGCTGGGACTACAGGTGTGTGCCACCATGCCCGGTTTGACAGATAGATTTAACGGGTTTGGCTACTTACTAGCTATGTGGCCTCAGGCAATTCACCTCACCTCTCTGAGTCCCGGGATACTCATACCTACCTCACAAGACTATTTGAGGATTATCCAGATAATGCTCACTAGGGACTGAGCCCAGTGCCTGGCACCGGCAAGTGACCATTCGCTACAGTGTACCAGAGAGCAAAAGAGGTGCCGCAAGGTTACAAAATGAAATCAGACAAAGCCCGTTTAGGAGCTCACAGTCCAGGATGTAAATAACCATGCCATGAGGAGCATATCTTAAATGTTCTAAGAGGCACAGAAAAAGTGACATGGCAAAAGATTTCTTCCTGTTAAAAAAAAATGAGGAAGACTCAAGAGGGAATTGGAAGTGACATTCGAGCTGAGCCTTAAAGGGTGGGTAAGGAGACCAGGGGGCGAGGCAAACAAAGGCACATTCCTAGAACCTTGCGAAGTGTGGTTCATGGACGAGCAGCACCTGCTTCACCCGGGAGCTTGCTCAAAATACAGATTCTCAGTCCCACCCAGACCCACTGGATCAGAATCTGCATTCGAACAACTGGGAGGTTTGGGTGCAGATGAAAGTCTGAGGAGCTCAGGACAGATGATCTCTGCTATCTCTGAGAAATGCCTTTGTGGCAAAGGAAGGAAGGAAGAAGAGATAACCTCCCCATGTGTTTGGGCCAATGACAAGGTCATATAGATGTGCCCACCCTGGGACCTTGGCCGGGGCGCCCCAGAACCAGAGGCCTCCAGGTGTGCAGGGAGCAGATACCCAGAGACTAATCTGCAGGGAAGGTCAGGCACCTGGGTGGCAGATGTTGCAGGGCAAAATGTTCTCTGAAGCCTCAGTTGAGCCTGTTGGCTCAGGGGACGGGACTGCAGTCCTGGCCACTTATCCATTCAATTCACTCATTCTACAAATACATACCGGGCACCTTTGCGAGCCAGGTACCAGCCAAGTTCTGCGTCTAGCAATGTCATGAGCCCTCAGGCAAGCCCCTCTTCCTCAGTTCTCAGTTTCTCCATTTGTCAGGTCTGGGTTGGTGTGCTTTCTATAATGCCTGAAGTCACCTCCACCCCATTTTCTGATTCCCCCTGTCCCTTTCTTTCCCAGTGTTTCCTTCTTTTCTCTATTCTCCTCTCTGCACTATTCCTCACATTGGTTTCCATCCGCACAATATGGAAAATCCCAGCACCTCTCTTTCTTAGACCGAGTTCCCAGAAGCAGAGTGGGAAATGAGGGTTCGTGTGAAAGTGACTTATTAGGAAGTGGGGTGATAGAACTGGGGAACAAGGAGACAAATAGAGGGTACTTTTGTCTCCATCCTGCAGGGGAGTGCTGGGGACAGTGTGGCTTGAGCCTCAGAGCTGTCCCCACTGGGAAGATCAGGGTGAGGGAGCTGAGTAGACCATAAATTCCCAGGCACTTCCACTCTCCACTGGCTGCAGCAGCCTGAGGACAGCCCCCTCGACAGAGACTCAGGTGCAGGCTAGCCGGAGTGAGAGCTGGCCTTTCTGAAAACGGCAAAGGGACCCAAGGGTGGAGCGCAGGGGATGCGCTCACAGCATCCACTACATTGTCTAAATAATTATAGGCCAGGTGGAATTGAGGTTCCAAAGACATAATAATAACAATAATGTTAGACCCAAACCTATCTTTTATCAAGCACTTACTTTGAGCCAACCACTGCCCTACACATGGACCATGCAGTATCTCATTTAATCTATGGGACAAATTTCTGAGGCTTTCAAGTTTTCTAACTCCCACTCCACCCCCAGCCCATGCAACACCGCTCTTTCTTTGATCTTTCCAATTCCAAACAAAACAGTTATTCACATGTATGACGATTATAGAAGCTATGAAACTAGCATGGAGAAAAGCCTTCAGGCAAGAACACCTGAGGAGTCCTCACTCCACCACCAGCCACTGCCAGGGGATGGTAATTGTCTGGAAGACTGAATGATTTGACTTCCCAGACACTTGCACAGAGACTTCTCATTGGGTCCTTTAGTGGGCCTGGAAATTTCTCTAAGAGCTGTAGATAATATAAAATCTCATAGACCAAATTTAAGGGTGATTTAGAGCATTTTTCAAGGGTACTTTGGACTTCCAGCTGACTTTACAACAGAACCCCGTGTGAAAACGTTAAGTCTGAAGCACCGTCAGTGTTTCAACTCACAGAGAAGAGGACAGAGGCACAGAGAGGGAACAGAACCTGCTCAGGGTCACACAGCTAATAGGAGAAGGTGGTAGGGTTGTTGCTGAGGCATTTAGGTATCAAATCTGTGTTCCTGACTGCAAGGCCACACTGTGCCTGAGGGAGAAGGAGGAACACTCAGTGTTTTCTGGAAACCATGAGGGGCCTGGTCACTCTGAGGACTGTGCGGTAGCAGCCCTCGGCTCTGTCCCTCCTTGGCTCCACAGAGAGGAGATAATCCCTCATCCATCTTTCACCCAGCCTCGCGTGGTCCCTATTGGCAGCAGCTGCCTGACACTGCCTCTGAAAGATGCCTAAGACTCTGCGAACCCAGTGTTTAATGCATGCAAAGCCTTTTCCAAAGAAGTCACTTAAAAAGATTACACAGGACAGAATCACCCCTCCTGCCTCCAGCTTAGAGAGTCTTTGCAGCTGGCCTGGAGCTAAGCTAAGGAAGCAGAGTCTATAGCAGCCTGAAAATAAAGTGAGCCTTCATTGGAGAAATCACTCAGAACACCAGCTGCAAGAGCTCTGCTCACTGATTCATTCAGCAACTCTTTGCTCTATATCTGAGTGCAGGCACCACACCAGGCTTTAGGGATGGACTGGGGACATGGTCCCTGCCCTCCTGGAGCTTACATTCTAGGAGAAAGGCCCCACTCCCACAGGAATGCCCATCTTACCACGTGATTCTCCCCAAAATGGGGGATCCTTTTCCTTGCTTGTCCCTGGAGGACAGCTCAGATGCTTCTTCACTCTCGCTGCAAGGCTCAGGATGGAGGTCCTGGGGAGAAGGCCATTCTGGTTTCATTTACTTTTCTCTTTAGCTTCCTCTCTCTCCTCTTTCTGAACACCCTCCTTGCTATCTGGATGGAAGAAGGGGCAAAAGGAAGAAGGAATAAAATGTTCGTGAATGAAGAAGAACAGAAGAAAAAAGTTGAGGATGACAGGAAGGGAAGAGAACAAAGTAAGGCTGGGGATGACGACACCTGTGGCCAACCCAGTGATGGAGGGTGGGATGAATGTGAAGCCACCGAGGACCTGGATGTCCTCTCCCTTTTACCAAAGCCCTTCAGGCACTGACGGGACTGGGAAAAGAGGAGAGGACTGACAGATATGAAGAGATTGAGAAGAAACATCATCCAACCTTGTAGCAGCAACCCCCAAGGTCACCAGCCTGCTCAGATTTTTTTTTTTTTCAGTATGAAACACTTAACAATCCTTCTCACACTTGCCAGTAGCTTATGGCAGAGGTCAGCAAACTACAGCCTGTGGGATAATCCCACCTGCTGCCTGACTTTGTAAATAAAGTTTTATTGGAACACAGCCACTCTCAGTTCTGTATTGTCAAGGGCTGCTTTCACACTACAACACAGAGCTGATTAGTTGCAACAGAGACTGTGTGGTCTGCAAAGCCTAAAATATTTACTAGCTGGCTGCTTACAGAAAAAGTTTGCCAACCCTTGGGTGTTATTCCTAGGCTCTTGAGCCTTCAGAGTTCTAAAATTGCTTATCAATTCTTCAGCACTTCCTTTAAATCCACTCATCAAATATTTATAGAAGCCTACTGTATTAGAATATTCTCTTTTTGTTGCAAGTGATGGAAAACTCAGCTCACGTGGGCTCCAGCTAAAAAAGCGGGGGAGAGGGTTCTTGTTTCCTGTAACTGAAAAGTCCAGGGATTGAGGGACTTCAAGCATGGCTGACCCCAGGAGCTCAAACAACAGCAGCATGATATGGCGGTTAGAAACAACTTGCTTCTAACCAACAGAACACAGCAAAGGTGATGAGTTGTCATTTTCATGATTAGGTTACAAGAGATTATAACCTCCGTCTTGCTAGCAGACTCTCTCTCTTGCCTTCTCAGCTTGTGCACTCGGATGAAGATAGCTGCCATGTTGGAAGGGCCTGCATGGCCAGAAATGGAGGCAGCTTCCAGTCAACAACCAGTGAGGACTGAGACTCTCGATCAAACAGCCCTCCCAGGAACCAAATTCCACCAACAACCATGTGAGCTTGGGTGCAGATCTTTTCTCAATCAAACCTCCCGCTGAGATGCCAGCTATGGCTGACATCTTGCTTGCAAACTGATGAAAGACCCAGAAGCAGGGGACCTGGCTGAACTGCGCCCAGATTCCTGACCCATGGAAACTGTGAGATAATGAGAGAGAGAGAGAGAGAGAGAGAGAGAGAGAGAGAGAGAGAGTGTGTGTGTGTGTGTGTGTGTGTGTGTGTGTGTGTTTAAATATATATATTTTTCGTAGAGATGGAGTCTTGCTTTGTTGCCCAGGTTGATCTTAAACTTCTGGCCTCAAACGATCCTCCCAAAGTGCTGGGATTACAGGCGTGAGCCACCATGTCTGGCCATGTATGTTTTTTGGTTTTTGTGTTTTTTTTGAGACAGGGTTTTGCTCTGTCTTCCAGACTGGAGTGTGGCAGTGCAATCTCAGGTCACTGCAACCTCTGCCACCCGGGTTCAAGCAATTCTCCTGCCTCAGCCTCCCGAGTAGCTGGGATTACAGGCATGCACCACCGTGCCTGCCTAATTTTGTATTTTTAGTAGAGACAGGGTTTTGCCATGTTGGCCAGGCTGGTCTCGAACTCCTGACCTCAAGTGATCTGCTTGCTTTGGCCTCCCAAAGTGCTGGGATTACAGGTGTGAGCCACTGCTCCCAGTCCCACGTACATTGTTTTAAGCAGCCAGGTTTGTGGCAATTTTCTATGCAGCAATGAATAATGAATACATACCCTCATCTCTGAGAGAGGCTGGGAAGGTAATTTTTAGCTTGGTACATTGCCATCACCAACAAAATTGGGGTTCCCTACGAAAAAGGAGGAGAATGGATATTGCTGGGAAAGGCACAGGTATCTCACAGAAGCCACTGAGGCATACCTGGGAGGAGAAGCCAGTGTCTTGGATCAGGGCAGTGGCAGCAGGAATGGAGGGTAGCGATTGGATTCCTGGTTCCTGAGGTAGCAGCAATCTTATTTCTTTTAGAACAGTCTTCCTTTCACTTATTACCAGTTGGCAAGGTCCCCTTAGCTCCTCTCATACATGACCTGGTTCCTACACAGAGTTCCAGAAATGGAGCTCAAATCAGAAATCCAAAGCATTGCAGGAAAAACAGACTGGGCACAAAAGCCACTGGCTAGTTCCAAGTCACACCTTTCCTCTCATTCCCCGCTATTCAGTGGGTTTCTGGTAGTATGATTCAGTAGGATCTGGTAGTATGGCAAAAACCTCTTTCCTGGAGAGTTGAGAAAGTCTGCGATTCCAGATGCAGAAATAAAACTTATCCTTTAAAGTGTCTGCAGAAATGAAAAGAAACCCAGGTCCCTTTATAAATGTTTTAAAAATATACAGTACAGATTTGGGGGTCTAGACATGAATTTTATGGTTTAAAATCCAGCTAACCTAACCCTTCTGAGTCTCCACTTGGGGAGTTTGGAAAATGCATAATTTTAAGGGAGGCTGAATTTATGAGCGTTGTAGTTATAGCAACAGACACTTTAGATTCTGGGAGGCAGGTCCATGAGACTGTTACATAACAGTCAACTTTGTGGTTAAAAAAAAAAATGCAGGGAACACCAAGGCTGCTAAAAAATACATATAATAGAACCAAAAGACGAGGGAGATGGCAGGCAAGAGGGACAAAAATGAAGGCTGCAAAGGCTTTTTCAAAGAACATGATGAATCTTCTTGTGAAGGGGCAGGAGCTTCATCTCGCAGGCTTGCTGCTGCCAGCTCAGGCATGTAGGGAGAAACTCATCAGACAAAAGAGCAGACAAAAATATGGATGCAGCACTCAGGGGCCTGCCAAGCTGAGGATTAGGAAACAACAAAAAACACATGGATCGTGGAGGGGAGAGCTGCCTTCCGAGGGAACCTTGATCTAGGGAAGCCCAAAACGAAGGCATGGGTCAGGGCTGGGATGCTGTTTCCTCCTCTCATTTTCCTAATTCCGAGGCAGTCCCTACTATCCCGGGGAACTGTTCTTTGGAAGGTAGAGAGGTCAAAGATGCATCTCCCCAAGACTTCAGAAATCATGCTCTCTACCATGAAGCACTGGTACAAGATTGGAATCTCATGGTGCCCATGGTGTTGTGGTCGTGGAACAAGATTGGAGTCTCGTGGTGGTGTGATCGTGGGCAGAACAGCCTTTTGAACCAGGCAACAAGGGTCTTGCCCTGGCCTCCCACTTCAAAGGGTCCCCTCTGGGTTTGCGCCTCCTCAAAGGGGCAGATGTTTAAGGAGTCCATGGGACCAAGGAGATGTGCCCACCTGAGCCCCATGCACTCCCGCTTCCAGGCCCTAGTCTGGGTTCCTGGAATCCTTACTTCTCTGCCCAAGTAGCTGTAATCCTGTTTCCAGAATGTGCGTTGGCCTCTTCCCTTCTTTCTTTGTTGGAAGTCCAAACCTGCCCACCAGCATGTGCACCCAAGTCTGAGAGTTGACTTAGGGGCAGCTGTTTGAAGGACAGCGGGGATGGACATGGAGTTTGAAGGACATGGATATGCAGCTGGAGTGTCCACAAACGAGAGAGAGAGAGAGAGAGAGAGAGAGAGACAGAGACAGAGACAGAGACAGAGAGAGAAAGACAGCATGCATGAGTGAGGGACATTCTTCACAATGCAAAATGGAACGA
Organism: Homo sapiens; assembly: GCF_000001405.40. Taxonomy (NCBI): domain Eukaryota; kingdom Metazoa; phylum Chordata; class Mammalia; order Primates; family Hominidae; genus Homo; species Homo sapiens. Next base: position 72,605,524 of record NC_000003.12, read on the forward strand.
GAGGTGGAACAGAAGGGGAGTGGGTGGAGTCAGGGCTGCTCTCCCTGCAAGATCACATTTGGGTGTGGAGGACCAAGGAGCCCGAGAAATCTAAAGTCCATCCTGGTGTTGCAGGGCATTAGGAAGATACATTTGTCCAAGTTGGAGGGTAGAACTTATTTTACATAGCATTTTGTACTGGGATGGATAATGTTTGAATACTTAGATATCGCTTTCATAAGCCCCCACTTGCACTCTTGCCACAGGGGCCAGCCTGAACACAGAGCTTGTGGTTCTGCTCTGCTTAGCTCCCATCATCCTGGCAGAAGGAGGAAAGGCAGTTGGAGGTGTCAAACCCTTTCCTACTGTGAAGTCAGACACTAAAAGATAATTCGGCAAGCTATAAAAAAAACAAAAAGCCCACTGGACCCTTGGCTGGAGTGCAACAGGGCCATCACGGTCATCCTCCATTGCACATGACACATGATGGCTGCAGAGTCATTATTCTGCTCCTGACATGTGCCCTCTCCTCCAGTGACTTCAGCCAGGGGCCCAGGCTCCTGCAAAGGAGCCCCTCACCCCTCACCTGCCCCCCAACCCCCTGCCTCCCCCGAGCTGGTCCACACAACTGAAGCAAAAAGCCATCTCCTATCTCAGCTTCAGACCCTAGCAAGAAAAATCAATAGCAGTTTGGCCCCTGGCCAGTCCTGTGTCACTCTGGACAAGCCAGTCTTATTTGCCATCCCCTAGATGAAGCCAGGGCACCAGAGCCTTCAGACAGAAAGAAGCCCAAATCCTCTTCCTAGGATGATCTTGGCATAGCCCTGATTTACAACCTCAGGGATCTGCTCCGGCCTCAGGTGCCCCAGCCGGGCAGTCTCCAGTCCGAGGGATAACTGAGCTGCCTGTTCAGCTATTTCTAGGCATAGCAGTGACCTCAGCTAGAGCCCCAGGCCCATCCAGGTGTGCCTGGTAAATGGATGGGATGGGCCTCTGAAATGTCTTTGCACGTGGGCTCAGAGTGCCTCTGAGAGAGGACTAGCCCTAAGGGAAAACAGAGCCGGGAGCCTTAAGCTTGGCCTAATAACAAAGCCTTGATTGTTAAGGAGGGCACATATACCATGAGGTCTGCTCTTAGGTTTTCTATTCCAGCCTGGCTTCCTGTAGACTGGGGTAGGAGGGAGGAGGGCCATAAAGACTGCAGGGAGAAAAAAGCTACAAGTTTTTTATTAAAACTCCATCAGGCCTTTCTGAGGGGGAATCATGTTTAAGCCTCCTTTCCCATACCCACTTCCCTCGGGAACACACAAATTAATAACGACAACATTGAGTTAGTGCTTATGTTGTGCCAGGCACCGAGCTAAGAACTTAGATCCATTTTCTCATTTAACTTTTACTACTATAGCCTGATGAAATAGTACATTTTTCATCAAGTACATTTTATGGATAAGAAAGCCAAGACACAAGGAGTGTCACCCAGATAGTAAAAAGGTCAAACCAGGGTTTCTTGTTGTCTTTTGTTTTGTTTTTTGAGACGGAGTTTCGCTCTTGTTGCCCAGGCTGGAGTGCAATGGTATGATCTTGGCTCATGGCAACCTCTGCCTCCTGGATTCCAGAGATTCTCCTGCCTCAGCCTCCCAACTAGCTGGGATTACAGGCACCTGCCACCATGCCTGGCTAATTTTTGCATTTTTAGTAGAGATGGGGTTTCACCATGTTGGCCAGGCTGGTCCTGAACTTCTGACCTCAGGTGATCCGCTTGCCTCGGCCTCCCAAAGTGCTGAGATTACAGGTGTGAGCCACTGTGCCCGGCCCAAACCAGGGTTTGAATCTTGGCCGTTCCACTACAGCCTCTTCTCTTTACCACTGAACCATACCAATCTGGTCAATTCTGGGAACTGAGTGGATCAGGTTTGAAGGAGAGTGAAGTTATATAATGCATTAAAAGATCAGGCCATGATTGCAATTCATAGATTCCACTTCTTCCATGTAGCCAGCATGCAAGAAAACATTAGACTTGTATCAGCAAGTGGTGGGAGGAATTAAAGGGATCAGAGCTCACCAGATTCTCTGGTTTGAAGCTGAATCAACTGTAGTAGTTTGAATGGCATCCCCTCAGAATTTGTGTTCATCAGCAACCTCAGAATGTGACCTTATTTGAAAATAGCCTCTTCACAGAAGTAATTAGTTAACAAGAAGTTATACTGGTTTAAGGTGGGACCTAAATACAATGACTGGTGTCCTTATAAGAAGAGGAGAGGAACACACAGAAGATAAGGCCATGTGAAGACAGAGGCAGGGATCAAAGCAAGGCAGCTACAAGCCAGGGAGCCCCAAGGACTTCCGACAACCCCAAACGCTAGGAGGAGTCAAGGAAGTATCCTTCCTCTCACCTTCAGTGGGAGCATGCTCCTGTCAATAGCTGGCTTCATGCTTCTACCTCTAGAACTGTGAGAGAAAGCATTGCTGTTGTTTTAAGCCATGCACTTCATGGTACTTGGTTACAGCAGTCCTAGAAAATTAATACAATAGTTTAGAAAAGCAAGGATGTTCCATGTGGTCCAATTGAGCTACCAAAGTCGTCTGTGTTGCAGTTCGGGGTCCAAGCCCCAGCTACCAAAACAATGTGACTTGGCTTCCTATTGGTCATTACTCCTTGTATGCGTATCTCTCTTAGATTGGTAGACAGTCATCTTTTTTCTTTGGCTGCCCAGCACTCATTTTACATTCTGATTTTTCCAGAAATCTTCATCTTTCATTCTAGATTACTTTTGGGGGAATTATCTCATTTTTGGTTAATGAGATCTGCAGGGAAAGTACTGCATCATGGGATGGGATCATCTCCCACTACAGAACTCAAAGGCACAGTCCCTGCCTCTCTCTAGCTTAATATGTTGGAGAACAGGCCCACCATGTAAGCTCAGGCAATTGGATTTTCTTTCCTGGGCTACTGTATAATGAAAGATCAAGAGTGAGGCCATTCCATGCAGGGTGACATGCTCGCAGAAAGGTTCCTGCTTGGAGACTGCTGCTGTGATTCATGCCATAGCCTCCAACATTGCCTTAGTTTCTGCTCCTATCCAAGTCTTATCCATTAGTCCAGAATCCATTTCCCATTCTAACAGCATGCAGATTTCCTTTTGGAAAATTACCTTCTGTCATTGTATGAGCATCTCCTATATGTTAGCTAGAGTTGATCTCTGTTGCTTGCAACCACAAACTCTAATTGATACACTGAAGAGACTGATGGAGAGGGGGCAGTTTGGCCTGAGCAGGACTTAAGTTTTGAAGGGCTTTTGGACAAAGAAAAAAATGAACCATAATACTATAACAACTTTATCCAAATACATGTATCACTGATGGGAGTGTAAATTGGTCTAATCACTTTGAAAGTCTGTTTGGCAGAACAGACACATGAAAAAATGCTCATCATCACTGGCCATCAGAGAAATGCAAATCAAAACCACAATGAGATACCATCTCACACCAGTTAGAATGGCAATCATTAAAAAGTCAGGAAACAACAGGTGCTGGAGAGGGTGTGGAGAAATAGGAACACTTTTACACTATTGTGGGACGGTAAACTAGTTCAACCATTGTGGAAGACAGTGTGGCGATTCCTCATGGATCTAGAACTAGAAATACCATTTGACCCAGCAATCCCATTACTGGGTATATACCCAAAGGATTATAAATCATGCTGCTATAAAGACACCTGCACACGTATGTGTATTGCGGCACTATTCACAATAGCAAAGACTTGGAACCAACCCAAATATCCATCAGTGATAGACTGGATTAAGAAAATGTGGCACATATACACCATGGAATACTATGCAGCCATAAAAAAGGATGAGTTCATGTCCTTTGTAGGGACATGGATGAAGCTGGAAACCATCATTCTCAGCAAACTATCGCAAGGACAGAAAACCAAACACCGCATGTTCTCACTCCTAGGTGGGAATTGAACAATCATAACACTTGCACACAGGGTGGGGAACATCACACACTGGGGCCTGTCGTGGGGTCGGGGGAAGGGGGAGGGATAGCATTAGGAGATATACCTAATGTAAATGACGAGTTAATGGGTGCAGCACACCAACATGGCACATGTATACATATGTAACAAACCTGCACATTGTGCACATGTACCCTAGAACTTAAGGTATAATAATAATAAAAAATAAACAAATAAATAACATTTAAAAAAGAAAGTCTGTTTGGCAGTATTGACTAAAGCTAAACATATGCATAGCCTATGACCTAGCAACAATTTATACATACACACATGCACACACACACGCATACACACACACATGTACATGCACACACATATGTATATATCCCTAACAGAAATGCTTGCATATGTTCACCAAAAGACATGAACAAAGATGTTCACAACAGCACTACTCGTAAGAGTCCCAAACTGGAAACTACCCAAATGCCCATCTACACTAGAATGGATAACTAAACATTGTATGTGCTATATCCACGCAATGGCATACTACACAGAAATGAAAATTATAAGCTACAGCTGTATTCACTAATGTAACTATATCTTACGAACATAATGTTAAGCAAAATAAACTAGATTTTAAAAAGTCTATATGATTCCTATTTATATCAAGTTTTAAAAGAGGCAACCAGAATCTATAGTGTTAGAAGTTAGGATAGCAGGGCCAGGAGCGGTGGCTCATGCCTGTAATCCCAGCACTTTGGGAGGCCAAGGCTGGCAGATCATCTGAGGTCAGGAGTTCGAGACCAGCCCTGGCCAACATGGCGAAATCCCATCTGTATACAGAAAAAGACATAAATTGTAAGTTACAAAAAAAAAAATGTACAAAATACAAAAAAAGTCCAAAAATACAAAAAAATTAGCCAGGTATGGTGGTGCACACCTGTAGTCCCAGCTACTTGGGAGGCTGAGGCAGGAGAATCACTTGAACCTGGGAGGCGGACATTGCAGTGATTGGAGATCGCGCCACTGCAGTCCAGCCTGGGCAACAGAGCAAGACTCCATTTCAAAAAAAAGAATTAGGATAGCGGTTACCCTGGGGAAGGGGGGCTACCCTTGCTAATGGAAGGGGGCACAAAGGAGATTCTCTGGTGCTGGGAATCTGCTGCTTCTTGATCTTAGTGCTGGTTACATGCGTGGGTTCATTTTATGAAAAATATGAAAAATCCATGGAGCTGAATACTTATGATTTATGTCTCTTTCTATATACATACTACACTTTAATAAAGCTTACCCAAAATCTCTTATTCAGATTCCTCATGCTCTCCAACAGATTATTATACTATAGGGGGGATGACACTTGAGGACTCCTGCCCATTGAGGACTCCTGAAAACATGCAGCTTCAGGTCCTCGGGGGAACCAGCAAAGCAGAAATGAGAAGTCACAGTGCCCTGCATCAGGCACAATTGTACCCAATTGTACAGGGAAAGCAGCAGTGGTACCTCATATACCAAGGGTGCCCAGAATAAGGAGGCAAGAGCAGGAGAAAGGAAATAGAGTGGTTTATGCCAGGATGTACTGACTGTTCATATTTATGAGCACATATGTGGCACCCTAATGACTTCTATAAATACTTACTAGGGGAAGATTCAGTAAAAAGCCTGGATCCTGCCTTATAAGTGGGGGCAAGAGCCGACAAAAGCCTGGTACATGTCACTGGGTCTGGTCTGGCAACTCAAGGGAGACAGAAGCATCAGGGATCTTTGGCAATGCCACTCCACAAAAGTTAAAGGCGACAATAAACAAAGAGTTTGGTCAAAACAAAACCTACAGCTTCCAATGGCTCATTCACTGCAGGTTGCAAAGTGTCTGATATCTTTACATATTTTAGTGCGTTTGATTTACCCAGTATCCCGATGAGATAGGTATGCTAGGGGGAGAAAAGCTTGTGTCATTAAGTGGTAGGGTATAGCACATTAATTCTAAGAACACACATACTGAAATTAGACCCGATTTCAAATTCTGACTCTGATAGGCTGGATGCAGTGGCTCATGCCTGTAATCCCACCACTTTAAGAGGCCATGGTTGGTGGATCCCTTGAACCCAGGAGTTCCAGACCAGCCTGGGCAACACTGTGAAACCTCATCTCTACAAAACATGCAAAAATTAGCCGGGCATGGTAGTGTGTGCCTGTAGTCCCAGCTACTCGGGTGGCTGTGGCGGGAGGATCACTTGAGTACAGGAGGTGGAGTTTGCAGTGAGCTGAGATCGTGCCACTGCACCACTATACTCCAGCCTGGGCGACAGAGTGAGACCCTGTCTAAAAAGAAAAGAAAAAAGAAAAAAAATTAGCCAGGCATGGTGGTGCGTGCTTATAGTCCCAGCTACTGGAGAAGCTGAGGTGAGAGGTTTGCTCGAGCCCAAGAGTTTGAGGCTGCAGTAAGCTATGACTGCACCACTGCATTCCAACCTGGGTGGCAGAATGAGACCTCATCTGTAGAAAAAAAAATTCTCTTTTTTTTTTTTTTTTTGAGATGGAGTCTCACTGTGTTGCCCAGGCTGGAGTGCAATGGCATGATCTCGGCTCACTGCAACCTCCGCCCCCTGGGTTCAAGCAATTCTCCTGCCTCAGCCTCCTGAGTAGCTAGGACTACAGTCATGCACCACCATGCCCAACTAATGTTTGTATTTTTAGTAGAAACAAGGTTTCATCATGTTGGCCAGGCTGGTCTCAAACTCCTGACCTCAAGTGATCCACCCACCTCAGTCTCCCAAAGTGCTGGGATTACAGGTGTGAGCCACCATGCCTGGCCCTGATTCTTTTATTTATTAGTTATATAGTCTTGAATTTGTTCCTTAATTTCACTGAGCCTCAATTTTCTTTTTTTTTTTTTGTTTTGAGATGGAGTCTGTCTCTGTCCCCCAGGCTGGAGTGCAGTGGTGCCATCTCGGTTCACTGCAACCTCCACTTCCCAGGTTCAAGCAATTCTCCTGCCTCAGCCTCGCAAGTAGCTGGGATTACAGGCGCCTACCATCACTCCCGGCTAATTTTTTGTGTTTTTACTAGAGACGGGGTTTCACCATGTTGGTTAGGCTGGTCTCGAACTCCTGGCCTCAAGTGATCTTCCTGCCTCGGCCTCCCAAAGTGCTGGGATTATAGGCGTGAGCCACTGTGCCCATCCGAGCCTCAGTTTTCTCATCTATAAAATGTGAACAATAATATTACCTACCCCATTATATGGTTGTAAAGATTAAACAAGAAAATGCATATGAAGTACTTAGCAGAGTGCCTGACCTACAGAAAGATCTCAGTGTTACTGTTTTTCTTATCATTTTTTATAATCTTTTCATTTATTTTAAAGAGAAACTGTAGAATATTAAGCAAGAACGGCATTTATGATTTATCTTTTGTAAACTTTAAAATGGAGTCTGTTAGCTACAATACTCTGTGATAAATATTTTTGAACATGCTTTTATTGTCATGTAACTCCTCAGAATCAATAAAGATATTATCAATTCACACATGCCCAGGACATAATATCTTAAATGCTGGTGGTCACCTAGCCCCACTGGCTCACAACTGCTGAACCCAAATTGTTTCTTTCTGTTAGGATCTTATCTGGACATTAATCCCTACAGCAGGTGGGAGGGAAGGGCATGGCCTTTTTTTCCCCAGAGGTGCTGTCAATGATAAGAGGAGAATGAAGACTCCTAATCGATTCCTATTGAGGAGGCTACAGGGGTACTTGAGGAGAGGCAATGGAAAGGTCATTAAGGACACTTTGGGGTAATTTATGGGGTCTCATTATCTTTTCTCCTAAAAATACATAAAATCTGGCAAACTCTTCATCTGTTTTGGAAAAAATATCTAAGAGAATAGAATATATCAAGAAGGGCCAAGTGGATGTTTCCATCAACCATGTAGCCCCATCTCCCCTGGAGATTTTGGCCAGTTGTGGTGGTTCACATCTGTAATCCCAGCACTTTGAGAGGCTGAGGCAGGAGGATCACTTGAGGCCAGGAGTTCGAGACCAGGGTGGACAACAAAGTGAGACCACCCCCGACCCCGCCAAAAATAAAAAAAAAAAAATTAGCTAGGCGTGATGGTGCATGCCTGTAGTACCAGCTACTCAGGAAACTGAGATGGGAGGATTGCTTGAGCCTAGGAAGTTGAGGCTGCAGTGAGCCAAGATCACACCACTGTACTCCAGGCTGGGTGACAAAGCAAGACTCAGTCTCAGATAAATAAATAAATTAATTAATTAATAGGAGATTTTCTCTTTGCTAACATTCCTAACTCGAATGGCCTATTTGTAAAGAATAAGCAGAAGGTGTAATTACAGAGATATTATGCATGTCTTGTATTTCTAAGGTCCAACATCTCTCAATATGTGCTCTGCACAAGTAACTCAGCAAATAGGGTTCTAGGAGGAAACAAGTGTGGGGACATTTAACACTATTATCAAGGATATTTTGTTGCTGTCTCCCTAGCATAGTTCCCCCACCTTCCATTTTTCTTTGGGGACTCACCCTCCCCTACACTCTGACTCTGGAATCTGGCTAGAGTGTCATCCCTCCCTCTAGGAGTGGAGTGTGTGGTCTAGGCCTCAGCCAATCAGCAGGTCATATTTCCCTAGTCACAGTGATTGGTTCAGAAGTGAGTACGTGACTCATTCAGAACCAATGAGACACAATGAGGTTTTCACAGTGGGTGCTGGGAAAAAGGCAAATATTTTTTCCCATTGGTTTACCCAGTGAGATGTGATACTGGAGCTGTGGCAGCCATCTTGTGGTCACTAGGTGAGAGCTTACCTGAGCCAGGACAGAAACAAAATGAAACAAACAAACAAACAAAACAACAACAACAACAACAAAATGGATGGAAAGCATGTGGCAGCTACAAAAATGCCCCTCTCAGATCTCCTGTCATGGGGAGGGTAGTTGACTAATGGCCCCAGCTGCTGCTCTCCAAATCTGAATCCATCACCACACTGTGACCAAGACCATTTTTTCCATGGCTGCTCCCTGACAGTGAAAGAGCCCAGCAGGGACTCCAGGGCAGATCCGTTTCCGCAGGAGACAGGCCCATAGCCACACCAAACTGCAAGGGAGGCTGGAGAATATAGCCTTTATCTTAGGCAGTCACGTGCCCAGCTAAAAACTATGAGCTTTTATAAGAAGGTGCAAAAGGATATCGTGGACAACTAGAAATCTCTGCCACTGAGATTTTAATTTTCTGGACATAACCACAGATGGTTCCTCCCTCTGGTTCCCTTTCTGCCTTCTAATTACTCCTGTGCAGTCCTTCTTTACAATGCAATGTGCTTACCTCCCATCCCCCACACCACCATCAAAGTTCACACTTGGTTATCTTTCTCCTACTGTTGTAAAAATAACCTCTTGCTTCTTCCCTCTCTGTGGCAAATTCATCCTGGCTAAGCCAACCACATGAGGCTTCTTAAATGCCGCTTTGTACACACTTCCTCTTGTTTCTTACCATTGAAGCCCCTTGTCTATGGGGGGAAAGAACAACCTCTTTGGTCTTTTTCTCTGGACTCTCCCTAATCTGGCCTCTTCCTGACTACTTGAAGCTCATTCTCACCATGACCTGGCAAACTGGGGCTGCTTCTCTTCACCAATATACAGCTCCTCACCAGTTTTTTGTTTTTGTTTTTGTTTTTCATGTTTATTGCCTGTTGTTTACCCCAGGTCCTCTGTCTTTTTTGACCTTCTCCTGGACCGTTGGTCTTTTGCAGATAAAGAACAGATTTTCAGACTACCTCAAGCCATTACTCCAGTGAATTGCAAGGACACATATAACATATTGATAACAGGGATCTCAAGAGAAACCAAGAAAGGTGAACTGCTGAGCTTCCTGGAGTCTGGAATAGACTTTAGAATTTGACAAAGCAAGTTGGTTTGTTGGTTAAATTGTGGACTTTGGAGTCCAACCGGCTGGGTTTTTGAGGCTTGGTTCTTCCAGTTACTAGCTATGCGATCTTGAGCAAATGAATTAAGCTTCCTTTCCACATTTGATAAGTAGGATAAAGATAAAACCACCTCTATAGGGTTGTTGGGAGGTTAAATGAGATGATATATATAAGCCACTTAGCCCAGGGCCTAGAAAATAGAAGGCACTCAGTAAATGCAGGTGGGTCTTGTGTTTGGAGTCCACACAGGAACTAGATCAGCTAGCCCAAGCTGCAGAGAGAGTTGAGGGATCCTCACTCCATTCCACACTTCTCACAACCCAGTTACTCTGTCTCCATTTCTCTGTGTCTTCTCTAGCTTTTCTACTGTTTACTGATTCTTTCTTCATATTTCAGCTTCAGTCCTTCTGGATTGGCACTGCTGATTGTGGCACCTCTTGGGCACAGCATTTCCTGCCCGGCTCTATGCCCCTGAGCAGCTCCTATTGGCTGTCCCTGGTCAGGGTTGCATGCTGGTCCAATCATCCCTGGCGCAAAGGAGAGGCCGTGGACATGAAAGGAAGGAGCCACTGGGTACATGTGGTGTCACAGATGGCCTGCTCTGCACTTCTACTTCTAAAGCACAGATGGGAAGAAATGGATCTTGTCTACGATCTACCCTGTACCCAACTGGGCACTTACACAGAAGCCTCACTCATTCAGGACTGCATTAGAATTCTCATGGCTAGGTTGGCCGTCACTTCATTTTAAAAAAAAATTATATTTTACGACTGCATTGGCATAAAGAATAACATCTAGGCTGGATTCATTGTTACATATTGATTTTTTTATATTTATTTTTTTTTCCTGTTTGTAAAGGAAAATAACAACACTATCATGTATCCCTAACAGTATCTGGGCCTCTGGCACTGTGTCTACTAGGCCTAATGGAAAAGTAGATCCTGCATTCACCCATTCAATAAATATGTATTGAACATCTACTATGGGCCAGGCACTGCGCTAAGTATAGAGAGTACAGAGGTGAGGAAAATAGAGTTCCTGTCCTCATTGGTTTAATTTTCTAGTGTAAGCTCCAGATCATTCCTCAAAACCTCAAAACACGGTATGGAGTTTTCTGAGGCTATTTCTCACTAGTAATTATGGGGAACTGGGATTAAAAGAGCCCTTCTTCTGTTGCTTTAACACTTGGACTTAGTAGGAAAAGATAAAATCACCAGCATGCTAATTGAACGGGCTATGCCTAAACAAAGACAATGTACAGTTCATCTAAGTTCTGAGAACAATGGGAGGTGGTGTGCGCTTTCATCCTGTGCTCCTCCTTTCTAGGGAAGACTCCTTTGGGAGGCAGTGCGGGGCAGTGGTTAAGCAGCAGGCTCTGGAGTGTTCCAACTCCAGCCCCAGCTCTTCCTGGCTTCACAGTTTTGAGTAGGTTATCCTCGCTCCACCTTAGTTTTCTCAAATCTAAAATGTTTCTGCAGGACTTTTATGAGGATTACAGGAGAAAACTCGTTTGTAGCATGGTGAGAGCTCAAGAAATGTGTGCTATTAATTAATATTAGTGGCTGCCCGAGACCATGAGGCTGTCTGCATGCTGAGACAAAGAGTGGTCTAATCCATTAGCGATATTGGCCAAGGACAGCGCCTTTGTTCTGTATCTCCTACCTCGAGAGAAGACTCGGGGTATAAGACCAGAGCACCAAGGCAAGGGCGATATTTACAACAGCCTCCATAGGCTGAGTGCGCCCTGTACATGGGGTTTTTGCTGCTTACTTGAATCACAGTATTTCATTTAATACTCTCCAGTCAAGGGTAAGATAGGCATTACTGTCCCCGTTTTACAGTAGAGAACACAGAGGCCTAGGAAGGTAAGTAGATGGCATGGCAGAGGGGAAACTGCAGCCATGGGGACTGTCCTCCCTTGGGCTCTTCTCTTTTAGCCAGGGTTGCAGGTGGAAGTAGCCCCCAGTGAGACTGCAGGGAGGACCTGGCTTGGTGCTAGCATCAGTTAAATCACATATTTGACAGTGCTGGTGGGCAGGTACTTTGTGGATAAATCATCAATCCAGGGAAGGGGGTTTCTGGCTGCTGCTAAGATGGAATCTAGGACTTCTCAGGCATGCGACATTTCCCAGACTCGGGGAAAGCAGTGGAAGAACACTGAACAGTGTTTAGCCCTTTCCCCTCTTTCTTTGAGCCAATGAGGCCATTCAGCATTTGTGTTCACCAAGCCTCCCGAGTGGTTTTTGTCGCAGCTGCTGAAGTCAATAATAGCAGCAGCCATAGGGAGATTTATAGGGGAAGTTCACATCTTCACCTCTCAAAATTGTAAGTAAATACAAAGCTCCCACAAACCACATGGTACGTTGTTTAAATCCCTGTGCAGAATCCATAGGTCTGGCCCCTGCCCACTTCTCCCAGTGCTCTCTCCACTTCTCTCTGCCTGGCCTTTGCTCTCTGTTAATATTTAACTGCTCCTAATTCCTCAAGAGCCTATTCTGATTCTCCTTTCTATGTGGTTTTCCAAGATGCACTTCTCCATGGGATGCTGCTCCCCATCCAGAAATCTACTGTTCTACTCCCTCCCTCATCATCCTTTCTACCAGAAACCCTTCTTCTATCAGTCATTGTGTAACAAACCACCCAGATTTAGCAGCTTAACTCAACTATTCTTATTGCTCATGGTTATTTGAGGTGCTGTGAGTTGACTGAGCTCCACTGAAAGTTTCTCACGCGGGGTCTCTCAGCCAGTTGCAGTCAGATGGCAGCCAGGGATGGAGTTATCTGAAGGCTCAACTGGACTGGACATCCAACATAGCTCCTTCACACACCTGTCCCTTGCCTGGGTGAGATGGGTGGAAAAGCTGGCTATGGAGATGGTATTTCTGTGTCTTCTTGTGATGCCTTCCCATGGCTAGGTTGGGCTTCCTCACAGCATGGTGGCCTCAGCATAGTCAGACTTTTGACATGACAGCTGATTTCTCCCAGAACATGCATTCCAAGAGACCAAGGTGGAAGCTGCAAGGCCTTTTATGACCTAGCCTTGGAAGTCACACAGAGCCACTTCTACCACGTTCTGTTGGTTATATAGGCCAGCCCAGACTCAACACGGGAAGGAACTAAAAAAAAGGCATGAATGTCAAGCAGTGTGTCTCATTGAGAGCCATCTTGAAGACTGGCTACCACACCTTCTGGTCTTTCCCCGTTCTCTGCACATCATGTACATCCTACCTAAGAACTTATCTTAGGACTTTACAGTTGCTTCTCTTCTGTCTCTCTACTCCACCATGAGTGCTGTTGTTTAACTATTTTTGAGCCTTTGGTGCCTGGTCTTGTGCCTGGCACTCACTAAACACACGTCACTTTATAGAATTGAGCCAAACTGTGACTTAGAGCTCCCCCAGCCTCAAGGCTCCAATCAGATGGCTCCCCCACCACCAACTGAAAGAGGAGCACCCCCAAACTTGGACCCAGTCCAGGCCTGTTACCCTACAGACAACACAAAACAAAGCACTTCTCTTTTTTCCCTCTAGGACGACAAGTTAATTCAGTTCTTGAAAAAGATGCCAACTGACAGCCCCACAGATTGAGAAACATATGTCTTCCTCCAGAGGGGCCTTGCGTGTGGAGAAGCATGGGCGGTTTCTGAGGAGGGCAGCTGGGCGTGGGCATGCGTGGAGACCCAGCCATGGACCTCTACTCTCAAGGGCCAAGCCTGCCCCTCTAGAAACAGCCAAGGTGGGGAGGATGTTTCCTTAACAAAGATATCACCTCCGGGCACAATCTGACAATCTGTCTGGCTTCAAGCTTCAGTTCTGCCTGAGTTCTTCCAGCTTTGTTAGATTTTAGGTGGCTTGGGGTGGGAGGAAGAATGAAGAAGAAACACATCTTATCTTGATAGTGAAGACCCGGGGAATGAATTCAAGGGAAGGATGATGGATGAAGTGGAAGAAAAAGAAGAGAAAATATCCTTCCTAGATAAGATACAAGGGAACTGCTCATTCGTTCCTGCTCTCATTAACTACTTCACTCACCTTTCTCCAAATCATGACCCAAGCCTTCTTCTTTATTAAAAATAATATAACAAGAGTTATCAATTAGTGAGTGCTTGCTATAGAGCAGGTACTCTGCTAAACACTTTATGTATATTATCCTGCTTAATCTGCACCATTCTGGGAGATGGTTGTCTTACCTGTCCCTCCCCACTCCACCTCAGCTAAGCCATCCCACCCCTGCCATTTTATGGAAAAAGAAACTGAGGTTCAGAGAGGTCAAGTAGTTTGGCAAAGATTACAGAGCTCAGGCCAGAAAAGATGGCTCACACCTGTAATTCCACCACTTTGGGAGGCTGAGGAGGGCAGATCACCTGAGATCAGGAGTTCAAGACCAGCCTGGCTAACATAGTGAAACTCCGTCTCTACTAAAAATATAAAAATTAGCCAGGTGTGGTGGTGCAGGCCTGTAATCCCAGCTACAAGGGAGGCTGAGGCAAAAGGATCGCTTTAACCCGGGAGGCAGAGGTTGCAGTGAGCTGAGATAGTGCCACTGCACTCCAGCCTGAGTGATGGAGTGAGACTCCATCTCAAAAAAAAAAGAAAAAAGAAAACAAACAAACAAAAAAACAAAGATTACAGAGCTCATACATGGCAGAGCCAAGATTCTTACCCTGGCCTGTCAGCTTCTAGAGCCTTGATACTCAAAGTTGGTCAAGCAGCATCAGTATCACCTAGGAGCTTATTGGAAATACATTTGAGGACATCCCCACCCCAGGACCTATTAGATCAGAATCAGTATTTTTATAACATCACCAGGTGATTATTTTACACACTGAAGTTTGAGAAAAGCTGTCCGCTGTCCTAGAGCTTGTGTGGCCTCAGCCTTTGTCCTCCAGGTGGAAGCAGTCCTGAGGGCACTGGCTTAATGCACAGGCATTGACAGAGCCTTGGCTGATTGGTGATTGTTGCCCAGCACAGGTGGGCAAGAGCATATGCAATTGACCATTGTAGAATGGGGTTGAGGACACAACCGACCCCAGATTGCTGCTATCAAGCACAGTCATTGGGATGTCCCATTCTGCAGCCCCTCAAGACAACGTTACCAGTGGAAAGAAATTCTTTGTAAAATGTTTAGTTTTCTACTATGTATAATTTACATTCGGCTAAATACTCAAGTTTTACTCATGTAATCACTACCCCAGTGAAGGTATCAACATTCCCTGCACTCCAGATGGCTCTCTCCTACTCTATCCCCCTCAAAATCAACACCCTCCAAAATGACCTCTATTATCATAGATTCAGTTCACCTGTTTCTAAACTTCAACTAAATAGAATCACCCTGAATGTTTTCTTTTGTATTGATGTATCTGTGACATTCGGCCATGTTACTGTATATTTCAGTATTTCATTCTCTTTCATTACTCAGTAGTACTCCATACATGAACACACCACAGTTTCTGTGTTGTTTCTGTTTGGGGGATATTATTAATAAAGCTGCTATGGATATTTCCGTACCTGTTTTTGGGTAGACATCCACGCTCATTTCTCTTAGATTAAGTGCACAAGCATGGAATTGCTTTTATTCAGCATATATTAAGTTGTTTTGTTGTTGTTTGTTTGGGTTTTTCTTTTTGAGACAGAGTTTCTGTCTGTCACCCAGGTTGGAGTGCCCGGGTGTGATCTCAGCTCACAGCAACCTCTGCCTCCCGGATTCAAGAGATTCTTGTGCCTCAGCCTCCCAAGTAGCTGGGATTACAGGTGCACACCACCTTGCCCGCAATTTTTTTTTTTTTTTTTGTATTTTTAGTAGAGATGGGATTTCGCCATGTTAGCCAGGCTGATCTCAAACTCCCTATCTCAAGTGATCCACCTACCTCGGCCTCCGAAAATGTTGGGATTACAGGTGTGAGCCACTGCACCTGGCCCAACATATATTAAGTTATATTAGCTACTGTCAAACAGTTTTTCCAAGTGGTTGTACCAATTTATACTGCTGCTAAAATGTGTGAGAGTGGGGACTCTTTTTAAGCCTAGCCCCATAGTTAGCCAGGATTCCATTACTCTTTACTGAGTTGCTCTCCTTTGGAAAGAGAAAGAGAGATTTTCTCCTAATTTCTTATCCAAGAAATGATGGCATTACACATCATCTGAAATCAATAGATTGTCAATACCTGGTTGTTTGCCTTCAGGTATTGACAATAAAAGGATACAGAGCCCTTTTATGACACACCAGAAAAGACACCTGGTCCCAATGAGCTGCAACAATTGCATCTATATATTAATAGCTTCTGTTCACATTAGAAAAAAGCTCCCAAAGATGTAATCAACTTTTACAAACATATGGGGCAAATTTCTGGGCCATGCATGGGGAATTCATGGCACAACTCACATTAATGGTAACCTGAAATAATAGGAGCTCTGTCAAATTACACCCCTGAGGTCTTCTCCACATCGGAGGCCATATATTAACACTCACACCTCCCTCCTGGGACCCTTTGGTTGACTGGAAAGAGGTGAGACTTGGGTCTCAGAGGTATGGTCAGGGGCACAAAGCCCACACTAATCGCTCACTGACCCTTGACCAGCCATTTAGCCTTTCTACAACTCAATGTCCCTTCCAATAAACGGGCGGCCTGACTTCCAGACTTTCCTCTTTCCCCTCCCTCCTCTTTGCCTGCAAGTTCTGTTTCTCCATTCATTTTTTAAGACTTTTTATTTTGAAGTAACTTACAGAATTGAAGAATAGAAGGAACTCCTTTCTACCCTTTGCCCAACTTCACCAATTAACATTTTGCCATATTTGTTGTATCACTCCCCCTGTCAAAATAAATATCATCTTCCCCTAAAACATTTGAGAGTTCATTGTAGACATCACACCCACTTACCCCTAGTATTTCAGCATGCATTTCCTTAGAAAAGGACATCCTTTTATATAAGATAAAATAGAACTGTATTTAATATCAATGTTTATTTTTCTACTATGTATAATTTACGTTCAGCTAAATATTCAAGTCCTACTTGTGTAATCACCACCCAGATGAAGGTATCAAATCCCAGCACCCCAGATGGCTCTCTCCTACTCTCTCCCCCTCAAAATCAACACCCCCCAAAATGCACTATTCTGACCTGTTATCTAATACATAGTTCATATGTAAATGTCTCCAGCTGTCTCGATAATGTCATTTGTACTACTCCCGCTTCTCCTTACCCAGGGCCAGTCTAGGACCAGGCATTACATTTAGTGTACACGCATGTATTATCTCTTTTAATCTAATACTGTTTTTTAGCCTTTCTTTCTCTTTCATAATATTGGCATTTTGAAGAGTGCAGACCACTGGTTCTATAGAATGCCCTTGAACTTGTCACTGTATATACTCTTACCACCATCAGATTTGCAAATCCTCAGAAATGAAATGTTTTCTCCCCACCACGCTTTTGTTTGCACAAAACCCTCCACCTGGAATCCCCTTTCCTTTCTCTTTCACTGGGCAATTCCTACTCAACTTTCTCTGATACCCTTTCTTATGGCCCCCTAGGACTAAGATGAAAGCCCCTCCTGTAGGCTTTTACCACCCAAGCTTGGCCCATCTGAGCATCTGTCAAACTCTATTGTGCACAGTGGCTCACACCTGGAATCACAGCAACTTGGGAAGCTGAGGCAGGATGACTCCTTGAGCCCAGGAGTTTGAGACCAGCCTGAGCAACATAGCAAGACCTTGTCTCTAAAAAATAAAACATAGCTGTACTCTGCTGTCGTTGACCAGTGTCCCATCCAAGGCTCTCACTTCTGCCCAGTTCTGGCTCCCCCTAACAAGTTCAGCTCTGAAAGCCTGACATCATCTGCTACATGTCCAGGGTCCCTCTTTGAGTCATGGGTAACCTGGGGCATTGTAGAGTAGAGTACACCTGGTCTGTCAGGGGTGGCATGGCCTGTGTCACCAGCCAGTACTGGGGAAGCCCTCTGTAGATGGGGCCACCCTGCAGATGCCTGCAGACCACATGGAATACATGTGATCGTAACAACTACAGCAATAACAGCAATTTTAATAGTGAACGCATAGCACTTACTTGGTGCCATGTCTAAATTATTTACATATATTAAGTCACTACTGCTATGAGGCACACATTTCAATAGTGTGCACCTGGAATAATCTGAAGGCTCCTTCACGCACAAGCCTGGTGATTGATGCTGGCTGTTGCCTGAGGGCCTAGTAATGGCTATCAGCCGGAATGCCCAGATGTACCTCCCCATGTCGCCTCAGCTTCCTTAAAATATGGTGGCTGGGTTCCAAGAGTGAGTGTCCCCAGGTAGAGACAGAGAGCCAGAAAGACCCTAGATCATTTATGACTTAGCTTTGGAAGTCACATAGAATCACCTCTGCCACAGTCCTTTGGTCAGAGGAGTCACAAGCCCCCACTCGTATTCAAGGAGAGGGGACACAGACACCCTCCTCTGGTGGGAGAAGTGGCAGCCACATTGTGAGAAGAGTCCGCGGGATGAGCTGTGACATCTTTGGAAGATGCAGTTGGCCACCACTTGTTAGTGAGGAAGCAGGGATTTGAACCTGCACGGCCAGGCCCCAGAGTCCATACTGTTAACCAGCCTGCTGCACTTGCTCCAGAGCAGGTGAGGCCAGCAGCTGAGAACACTGAGCCTGGGACTAGCGCCCTTGCAGGGCCCCTTCTCTTGTCCACCCATCACTGTTTGAACCCCTTTCATGGACATCCATCCCAGAGCCTCAGGCCCCACTCCAGCCCCTTCTAGAACCTCTCTTTTATCTTCTTTCCCAATAGGCCTTGGGAGCCATTGAAACCAGCGCCCAATCATCAGCTACCAGAAGCACAGTTCTGCTTTCCTTCCTTCTGGCACTCATGAGTTGAGATGATGTTTGCTGCACTTATCAGGGACAGCTTCCTGGAGGAGTGCTCAGTTTCCCAGCGAAAATGGGCTGAGTTTTTTTAATGTAATGAAGAAAGAGAACTTAAAATTATGGTTTCCATCTCAAGGCAGCTTGAGTAGCCATATTCTACACTACCTTCCTCCCTAAGCTCTTCAGGGCTTAGTCCACCCCGTTGCCGCACGACCTGTCAAGCAGTAGGTGTTTTATATATTTTATGAATGAATTAACAAAGAGAGCAAATACGTTTTGAAAGATTACTCTTTGCCAGGTACTATCTTATACACTGTATAGATACTAATTTAATCCTCACAAAGACTCTATGAGGTCGATCTAATTAGTAAACTCATTTTACAGGCAGAGAAATGGAAAGATTAAGTAATTTGTCCAAGATCACAGAGCTAGTAACTGGTAGAGTCAACCATACTACCCCTCTTGACAAGATAGGAAAGAAGGAAGGAAGGAAGGGAGGAAGGGAGCGGGGTAGAGGGAGACAGGAAGAGAAGGGAAGGGGGAAAACAGGAAGGAGGGAGGGAGGGAAGAAGGGAAGGAAGGAAGGAAGGAATGAAGGAAGGAAGGAAGGAACGAAGGAAGGAAAGAAGGAAGGAAGGAAGGAATGAAGGAAGGAAGGAAGGAAAAAAAGCATTATAATTCTTTATCACTAGCCAAGGCATCCTCTGTCAAAATGTGAATGTTGTTTCTTGAAAGGTCACTACAAACTTTTCCCACCACAGTGCCCCATATTCCCACCTTTAAGTTCATGTCTTTGGACTAAGGTCACCAGATTACAAATGTCCTTCAACGAGGACAGCATCAGGTCCCAGGCCAATGCCCATGTATTCCATCTGTAAGTGGGTGCATGCTTTGTCAGAGGTCCGGAACTTTGGACCCTGAAACTGGCAAGTTTTGGGAGGTGGAGGGAAAGTAAAGTTAAAGAATATATGTCAATGCTTTGCAAAGAATATTATTTTTCTTTCTACCAGGAGGAGACATCACCTCAGAGGACAACCTAATAAAAAAAAATTCTTTCCAGGGAGGACTACAAGAAAAAGCAGGGTTTTCAGAGCCAGGTAAAGAGAATCCCCAAAGAAACCCTTCACCTAGATCACAGTATGGCCTGGGGCCTCCTGCATTCAGGCTAAGGCTGCTAAAGATTTTTTGATAAGAAAAAAACAAAGAAGAGATAGCAGAATTGTAGGAGACGATTAACTCAGGGGCAAAGTGACAAGGAGGAAAAGGAGGGTTAGGGTTAGGGTTGGCCATTAGTACTGGCAGTAGGTTACAGGAGGTTGGTCATTACTGATGGCCAAGCACTGGCCATTAGTAACAAGGAGGCCTTGGCGAAAGTCTAGCATAGGATGAGAAACTTGGAGGCCGAAGGTTAAGTTGCCAAACCCGGGTGGTGCACTGAAACGTAGCCTAAGTGAATCAGGAAAGCCCCGACCTCTGAGTAATCCACATTAGGCAAGAGCACTCCTGAAAAGCTGTATGCGAATCCAATGCTGGTCAAGGGAGACATGGTGTACAGTCATGCATCGCTTCGTGAAAAGGCTATGCTCTGAGAAATGCATCATTGGGCAATTTCATCATTGTGCAAGCATTTCAGAGTGCACTTACACAAACCTAGGTGGGAGAGCCTCCTACACACCTAGGCTAGATGGTGTAGCCTGTTGCTCCTAGGCTACCAACCTGTACAGCACGTAACTGTCCTGAACGCTGCAGGCAATTGTAATACTGTGGTAAGTATTTGTGCATCTAAACACAGAAAAGGTACGGTAAAGACACTGTGTAAAAGATAAGAAATGATACACCTGTATAGGGGACTTACCATGAACGGAGCTTGCAGGACTGGAGGTTGCTCTGGGTGAGTCATTGAGTGAGTGGTGAGTGAATGCGAGGGCCTACGACATTACTGTACCCTACAGTAGACTTTATAGACACTGTACACTTAGGCTATACCAAATTTATTTTAAAATACACTTTTCTTTCTTCAATAATTAACCTTAGCTTACTGTAACTTTTTAATGTCATAAACTTTCTAATTTTTTTAAAGCTTTTTGACTCTTTTATAATAAGACTTCAAACACAAACACAGGCCGGGCGTGGTGGCTCACGCCTGTAATCCCAGCACTTTGGGAGGCTGAGGCGGGCAATCACTTGAGCCCAGGAGTTCAAGACCAGCCTGGCCAACATGGCAAAACCTCGTCTCTATTAAAAAATACAAAAATTAGCTGGGTGTGTTGGCGCACACCTGTAGTCCCAGCTACTTGGGAGGCTGAGGCACGAGAATTGCTTGAACCCAGGAGGTGGAGGCAGAGGCTACAGTGAGCAGAGATTGTGCCACTACACTCCAGCCTGGGTGACAGAGTGAGACTCTGTCTCAAAAAACAAAACACAAACACAAACACATTTTTCAACTGTACAAAAATATTTTCTTTCTTTGTATTCTTATTCTATAAGCCTTTTTCTATTTAAAAATTATTTTTTTTTAAACTCTTTAAACAGTTTTTGAGAGGGTGAGGTAGGAGGATCACTTGAGGCCAGGAGTTCAAGATGAGCCTGGGCAACATAGCAAGACCCCACTCCCTGCAAAAGGAAAAAGAGCCAGGCATGGTGGCTCATGCCTGTAATCCCAGCATTTTGAGAAGCCAAGGTGAGAGGATCGCTTGCAGCCAGGAGTTTGAAACCAACTTGTACAATATAGTGAGACCTTGGTCTCTATAAAAAAAAAAATAAAAATTAGCTGGGCATGGTGGCTCCAGTATGTCATTCTAGATACTGGGAAGACTGAGGTGGGAGGATCACTTGGGGCCAGAAGTCTGAGGCTGCAGTGGGCCATGATTGCTGCCCTGCCCTCTACCCTGGGTGACAGAGCAAGACCTTGTCTCAAAAAGACAAACAAACAAAAAACTAAAACCAACCAAACAGACAAAAAAACAAAGACACAAACATACATGTTAGCCTAGGCCTGCACAGGGTCAGGACCATCAAGATGTCACTAGGTGATAGAAATTTTTCAGCTCTATTATAATCTTAGGAGACCACCATCGTATATGCAGTCTATCATTGACTGAAAAGTCGTTGTGTGGCACGTGACTGTATACTCAAAAACAGTAGATAGCTGCATTGGTTTGGGTTTCCTGAGAAGCAGCCCTTGAGACCAGGATCTCAGTGCAGGTGGTTTATTTGGGAGGTGAAACAGAAATGAGTAAGGAAGTGGAGAAATGAGACAGGCAAGAGCAGGCAGTTAATAAAGAGTGAGAAGAGTGAGTTACCACCCCACTACCACTGCCAGCAACTGGGGCTTCATCTCACGGGGATTTTTGCAGGGGCAGGGAGCCTGTAAAGACCCCTAAATTCCTAAACACAGGGAATTCTGTAAACAAATGATAGGATATGCTCTCAACAGAAAATGATGAAAAAACAAAAATAGATAATTTAATAAAAATTATTTATAAGCAATTTTTCACTGTAAACAAAACTTTTACTTATCTGTTCTTCCTCAGATTTCTCCATAGTGAGCACCCACAGATGACTTGTTTGATAAAAATGATAGACATTCCAAAAAACAAAACCAAAAAAGTACAACTCTAAAATATTTTAGGAGAATTTGCTAGGTAAAAAAAATGCTAAGGCAAATCCTGAAAAACAATGCTCCCCTCCAATAAGGGCCTCTTGGTTCCCTAGCTTGTCTTTGATATGAAAATGCAATTTTAAAAGAGGGGTGGAATATTTCCACATAGACAGCTGGCTGAGAGCCAGATGCACCTCTGCCTGATACCAAAGGAAGCCAGGTGTTTGCTGATGCCTGTGGAATCCAGGCACACACCCCCTGGCCACATCTTGTCATCCCAAGATGAGGCACTGCTCCTCAGTGCACCCCAGTCTGCGTGCAGCATCTGAAAAGTCAGGCTGGGGCCATTTGGCCCTGCCCTTCCCATCAGGCCCGCGGCCTTAGCAAGCTGGAGCCTGTTTGCCTAGACCTAGTGGAGTGGAGGCCTCTGCTGAGAGATCTGGAAGATCCTGTTGGGCAGGACCAACTTGATGGATGACCTGCTCATTGCCAAAGGAAGGCGGGGTGAGGGTGCAGATTCTCCTCCCCGAGACACCAAAACGTGCCCCAGGGGACCTTAGAAAATAACTGCTCTTCTCTCATACAGGGGCACAGAGTTGCTTCCTGTCAGATGGCAAATGGTAATCATGGTGGCTTTAAATATTCCCGCACAGCCTGGGGTGCCTGAAAGCATTTCAGAATCATGATGGGCAAAGCTGGAGGATACATTTTCCTTTCTTGTGCACCAGGTACGAAGACTCTCAGCTCCAGGCACAGCAGGAAAGTATGCCAAGTGCCTCTTGGCACTTCTCCTGGAAGCGTAAGGGGTCCCCTCCTTCATTCAGGCACCAACCTCCTTGCTCCCCACCCGCTAACTCTGCTATGGCCAGCCCAAACTTATCTTCTCTCCTGTTCACCCATACATCATCTTCCCTTCCTCTGAAAAACATTCCATCAAAGTTCACATTGCTCATTGCCTAGGGTTCAGCTTAATATTCATGGAGAAAATGATCTAATCAAACTACGTATTAACGAATAAGAACACCTTAATGTACTCAGCCAAAGGTATGAATCTCAAACAGCTGAATTTTACCATTTGGTGGCAGGCCAGTGAGCAGAGGCTTGTTTTGCTGAATGCCTTCCTAAAAAAAATCCCAAACCAGAACACCTAGCAACTGGAAATTGGCACTGCCCACCATAATTTCATAGGGAATATAATCTGTTAGAATGTTAAGGGAACTTGAAGACTACATCATAAAAATAGTAAACATGATTTGAGTAATTTTTATGCTGTACAAATTATCTTTTTTTAATCCATGCAATAGATATTCTCACCCCATTTTATAGATGCAGAAGCTGTGGCTTAGAGAGGTTAAGTAACCTTCCTATGACCACACTGCAACGGAGGAAGTTGAGATCTGAACCCTGAAAGCCTGGCTTTAGTTTGAACTCTTCTATGCATTACTGTCTTCCACTTCTTTTTGCAGCCTAGAACACTGAGATTGTATGAGGATTGGAGATACAGAGACTGATGAGTGAATGAGCAAGGCCAGAATCTTCCTACTTCTTGGCACTAGTTCTCTTTTATCAGAAAACAGGAAGTGCAATTCTATGAGTCACAGAGGTCAGAAGCAGGTAGGGAGAGCCTGACAATTACTTCTAACTAATTGGTATTCAATGTCTTTTAACCATGGCAACCTTTGTTCAAGTGAGATCTTACTTGGAAGTCCAATATATTCTGCAGATAAAAGTGAGTTCCTCGGGTTAAAGGTGCGAGAGGATAGCCCAAACTTTAATCTTGAACCTACAGTGGCCCCTGTGGCTTTTCCATGGAAGCCCTAGGCCTTGAGAAGCAGATCTGGAAAATCACTCCTTGTTGTTGATTGCAAAAATTGCCAAAATGCATTGCAGCTTCTCCCATCAAGAGGCAGAGCTATTTTCTCTACTCCCAGAACTGGGGTGGGCCTTGTGACTTGCTTTGACAGAATGCAGCAAAAGTGACATGGCGCCAGTTCTCAGTTGACGCCTCAAGAGACTTCATGCTCTTCTGTGCTTGCTCTTGGAACCCTTCCACCACCAAGTGAGCAAGCCCAGGTTGGCCTGCTGGACGGTGACAACCTCAGTCATCTCAGCCCAGCTCTCATTGTGCGAGAGCAGGATGGCCTGCTGGATGGCGACAGCCCCAGTCATCTCAGCTGAGACCGTCGCAAGCCAACCTGGCAGCTGATCATGCCCATCTGAGACCAGACCAGCCCAGTACAGACCCAAAGGACTGCCTGGCTGAGGCTGGCCAAATTGCTGACCTACACAATTGTGAGCTAAAGGTGAGTAAATGATGTTTTAAGCTATCAAGTTTTGGAGTCATTTGCTTTGCAGCAATAACTAATGGATATAGTTCCCTAATAGAAGAATCTCAAAATGACACCAAGGTCTTCCCCTCCGGTCTCCAAATGTGGAGGAATGGCACAGCAAGGAGTCCCTCCCCAGACATCCCCTATCCCCAATCCTAACCCAAGGCCCCCAAATCCACCTCTGCCTTAGGATGTAATGGGCAAAGGAGAGGCATCCCCAGCTGCCCTTATTCCAAACAGAATGACAATCACAGAGGGGAAATGAAAGACTCCTTTACATGATCCTACAAGAGCCAAACTTCCATCTAAAGAATTCAGTTGGAAATCCACTTGTGTGCAGCTGTTTCCTGCAAGTGCTTCAAGGCTTGTGGCATCCTCAAAGCCAGGGGTTGGGGGAGAAGCAGAAGGAAGAAGGGGAGAGGGCCTTAAAGGTTAAACCTGGCACATTAAAGCTGCTCAGAAAACACCAAAAAAATGTAAATGAACATTTTTAGCTGCAGTGGGAGAAAGGCAGCCCCGAGGCCGGGGGTTGATCTTTCAGAGTATCGGGCACACCGCAAAGCTGTCTCCATTTATTTACTTCTAATTGAAAGCTGGCGTGCTGAGGGTTACTCCACCCAGGCGTGAAGCGTAGCCATCCGTGAAAGATTTCCCAAGACCTCTCCCTCTGCAGAAGCATCCTTCATGTGCTTGAAAGGGAAAATGTCAAGGGGGCACTAAATTAAAACTCAGTTTTGTCTTTGAAAAATAGATTCAATCCTCAGTAGGACTTGGTTGGAGAGATACTAGCATTAGCATAATTTCTCAATGCATTTTATAGGCCAGTCAGAAAAAAAGGATATTCAGAAAATCTACCAGGAAAAAAAAAAAAGGTTTCATGGGGGGCCACACATGCTATTTTTCACAGAGAGAGACTCCTGGGACTCGTGGTTGACAATGGGTGGTTTTCTCGGTGAAATTTTACCTCTTCAGGGATGGTTTCAACACAATTGGTCAGCTGGTGGTAAATGCCATCCAAGAAAAATAAGTTGGCTGGCTTTCATGACTGTCATCCATATCCAAGTTCATTAGTTCACTCACTCATTCACTCCCTTCATGGATTCAGCAAACACTTATTGAGTCCCTGTGACGTGCGAGGCCCCGTGCTGGCTACTGGGCATACAACGGTGCCCATGACAGCCCACTCAACGCCTACAGTCTACCGGGAACGAGAGACAAGCCAGCGTGTTAAGAGAGTCCTCCATCTATGTGAGAGTACCCTCTGGAAAGCCTTCTGTGAGTCAGTTTTGCACATAAGCCAGATGGATTAAAACTCTGGCCCATTCAGTGGGTGCCCGTCAAGCAGCATTGGAAACATGTGAGCTTGCATGTGGCTGCCTACTTTGCTTCCTGCCTTTCTTCTTAGGCAAACTTTATCAATAGTGAATAAAGACTGGAGTCGGGCAGACATCCATCCAAATGCAGCCTCCATCTTACTATTGATACAGTCTCGGGCAAGACACCTGACTCTCAGAGCCTCATGTTGCTCATTGGTAAAACGAGGACAACAGCAGTCCTATGGCAGAAACCACCTGCCTCATCTTAATTTCCCTTTTTTTTTTAAGGAACAGAACCTTGGCATTACTAAGCACTGCAGTGAGCCTGGCCAAGAGACTACCTTGACCAGCCCACCTCATGGCTAGGTATGGCCATGAGAGCAATCTCTGGCCCATGAGATATAAGCAGAGTTGTTGGGTGGGATTTCTGAGAAAGTGTCATAAGGTGGGATTTGTTAAGCTGGCACTTAAAACAATTTTTTTGGCCTTCCTCCCTTCCTTCATAGTCAGAAATGTAGACATAATGGCTGGAGCTACAGCAGCCACATTGGAGCATGAGGTAACCTTGAAGATGGAACACCTGCACTATAAAACAAAAAGAGCACAAGACTGTGATGACCACAGAGCTACTATTAAGCCCATGGCTACCAAGCTCCCGGCTTTTTGTGTGTGTGAGAAAAATTATCTTTTGAATCATTGTTATTCCTGGTTTCTTTCTAAAAACTAAAGGCAATTCCTAATACAAGTAGTCATACATGTTACTGTGGTCGTTGAATGAGGTCATTCATGTAAAGTGCTTAGCCCAGCACCTGGCCCACAGTGAGCACTTAGGGCAGAAGAGTTCACATTGTTCTTATGCACATGAAATATTTACATCGTCTTAGTCAGCTCGGGCTGCTGTAACAAAATACCATAGACTAGGTGGCTTAGGCAATAGATATTTATTTCTCACAGTTCTTAAGGCTGTGAAGTCCAAGACCAGGGCGCTGGCCCATTTGGTTCCCTGGTGAGAGGTCTCTTCCTAACCTGCAGATAGCCACCTTCTCACTGTGTGCTCACATGGTGGAGAGAAAGGGAAAGAACTCTGCTCCCTTTTCCTATTCGTAAAAGGACACTCATTGCATCAGGGGGACCCCACTCTCATGACCTCATCTAAATCTAATCACAGTCGGGCACAGTGGCTCATGTCTGTAATCCCAGAACTCTGGGAAGCCAAGGCAGGAAGATTGCTTGAGCCCAGGAGTTTGAGACCAGCCTGGGCAACATGGCAAACCCCATCTCTATCAAAAAATTCAAAATTAGCCAGGTGTGGTGGCACCATGCCTGTGGTCCC
This sequence comes from Homo sapiens, assembly GCF_000001405.40. Lineage (NCBI taxonomy): Eukaryota > Metazoa > Chordata > Mammalia > Primates > Hominidae > Homo > Homo sapiens. The sequence continues at coordinate 72,632,833 of NC_000003.12, forward strand.
AGCTACTCAGGAGGCTGAGATGGGAGGATCACCTGAGCCCAGGGAGGTCAAGGCTGCAGTGAGCTATGATTGCACCACTGCACTCCAGCCACAAAATGAGAGACTGTCTCAAAAATCAAACAAATAAATAAAATAAATCTAATCACCTCCCAAAGGCCCCACATCAAAATATCATCATTTTGGAGGTTAGGACTGCAATGTATGAACTTAGGGGAAATACAGACTTTCAATCTACAACATCCATGGACCCTACCAAAAGGGTGTATCTGAGTTTGCTTAATTTACATTAGTACAAGTGGGAAACCTCCTGGGTTATAGTTGAGTCCTGAGGGTTATGATAAGGGGAGATGAGAATCCTGGAGGACTAAGAGTGTAATGTGATGACTGGGCATTGGAGATTGTGCCCATAACCCATTCTTTCTGGCGGCACTTCAATGGGAGGGTCAGTCATTCATCAAAGCCATTCCTAACTCATGAAAGTAAAACCACAACATCTGATTAAGAAAAGAAGACCTCGAACTATGAAATTGATGGTCGAACCACATATCCATGATGCATGTGATTTTTTGCTTTGTAAATAACAAAATAACTACAGTAGGGACTGCATTGAGTGTGTTCCAGGCACTGTCCTGGGTCTTGTCGAGGGAGTGAATCAGTCAGCAGCCAGCAGAAGCAGAGGGGTGCACTCGAATTGGGAGCTTTGAGAACGGCTCAATAGAGAGACCATTTGCAAAGGTGTGGGTGAGACGTAGAGAAAACACAGGTGACAGTGGAGCTGACAGCCTCTGGGACTGAAGCAACAAGGAGACAAAGCCTTTACCAGGGCCTTTGGAGAGGGCTCCCCACCAGGAGCTAGGGCCTTTGGTGACAAGACATGGCCAGCTCACGCTGACCCCAGCAGAGTCACCGCTCTCCTGCTCCAGCCTCATGTTTTTCATAGGCTGAAACCTACCAGAACCAGAGGGCAGTGGAGCCCCGTGACCACAACCCACCTGAGTCAGATCAGCCTCCCAGACACTGAGCAGGGTCAAAAAAAGTGGAGAGTGACTGGGTAGGGGGAGCATAGGGCTTTATTCACTTAATCCTCAACAACTACCTTATGAATTAGGTACCATTATTACCCCCCCTTTTACAAATGGGGAAACTGAGGCCCAGAGAGAGCCATGAAACCATTTACATATTTAAAATATATAAATTTGTAAAGAAGTACTGCTTAGATCCTCTAAAATGAGATGATTTCCTGTTACCCAAATTATTGGAAGTAAGCTATTTCTATTGAGTTGTAAATACAAATCTATATTAGAGTTTAAGATACATGACAGCTCATGCCCCCATGAGGTGCATATTCTGATGATTTCAGTTTTACTGTTGAAGAACCAGAGGTTTAATGAGGTTGAACTAGTTGACTTCTAGGATCCTTTGAAATCAGAATAGACTCTAATGCAGTCACTACTTTAACCATTACTTTTGATTTGTAAAAACAGAACTATAAAAAGTCCCCACCACTAACAACAAAAATTTGTGCTGAAATAACAAAACTCTTTCCATTGAAATTTACCACTGCAGTAAATCCTTCCACTGAGTGACACTAAGGTGATTGACATCAGTGAGAATAGCACCAGCAATCGAAAATCAGGGGCAAATATGTTCTGCCCCTCTTAACTGTATTCCTGGCCATCACGCCTAAAACTCCCACTTTCATCCCTCCTCTGCATTCTAAGACTGAAGTTTCTAGGAGAAAAAGAAAAGGTTTTCCTGAAGCAATGATATCTCACAGGGTTATGGGCCGTGGTATTAGTTGAGATTCTGCCCAGAACAAACTGAAGGAAATCCAACTCAGACTGGCTAAAGCTAAAAAGGCAATCTGTTAGCTCATGTCCTAGGATAAGGCTGGCTTCAGGTATCCATTGATTCAGGGCTCAAAGGGTGTCACCAGGAACCAGCTTCCCTCTCTGTGTCTTGACAGTACTCGCTTGATGTTGGCCTCATTCTAAGCCTCATGTAGTTGCCAAGTGGTTGCCAACAGCTCCTTGGACCACACTCCATCCAGCATCATATCCAGCAGAAAAGCAGGATTGTACTGCTTCAGTAATTCAAATGAAAATCCTAGCATTAAGTCTCTTGGGCCCTGATTGGCATGGTGTGGATCACAGGGCTACTATGGCCAAGGGAATGGAATATCCCAGTGGGGGCAGGGTTTGACCCTCTCCTACACCACAAGGACTGAAACTGGAAAAGGGATGATCCTATAGAAGCACGAGGGCTGCTGCCAAAAGAATGGAGAAAGGATGCTGGGGAAAAAACAGCCCACGTCTGCCATAGTCATCAATATCTTATCAACAGTCATCAATACCAGAAATATGGACCAGGGAACCTCCACAGCCCAGAAACTGGCTACAGGAATCCCAAAGTTCTCCAAGCCACAGAATTTGGGGACTTGTCAGTAATCTCCTCCCACTCACCTCCCCCAGCTGTTTCCACCTATCCCGACCTTTTTAATTTGGAGAAGGGGCTACAAAGGTGGAAAATGTGCCTCCCAACACAATCCCCTTCAGTTTTCCACTCTGTTCTTAGAGGATTCCTCCCCTTGTCCCTTGCATCTGAGCTTGAATATGATGCTTTCCCTGAAGCCATCTCTAATAAAATCCATACCTTCCCACCTTCCCCAAGAGTCAAAAGTCCCTCTTTTATGTACTCACAAAATTTGTACACACATCATATTGAAAGTATTTGCACACCTGTCCCTTATATTCCGTACTCACACATGCTCACTCCACTCACACCTAACCAGATTAGAAGCTGTTTGAGGACAGAGGTTTGCTTTCGTTCTTCTCTGAGCCCCTAATGTGCAGCATAACATCAGGGATAGTATTCAGGAATGAATGACTGAGTGAATGAATGAATGAATGAATGAATGAATGAATGAAAACTTTCTACAGCTCTATACCATTAAACAAACATCACAGCATGCATTAGGACATTTAGTCAATCAACAGTATTTAGTAAACTCCTATTGTGTAGACAACAGACACAAACGATTGAAAATAAAATCAGTAAAAGGAAAAGCAATGGTATATGTATCCTGCGCATTTCAAAATAGCAATGCCCTGAAATAAAAAGAATGTGCTTTTTTTTTTTTTTTTTCTTTTTGAGACAGAGTCTCACTCTGTTGCCCAGGCTAGAGTGCAGTGGCACAATCTCAGCTCACTGCAACCTCCACCTCCCGGGTTCAAGCAATTCTCCTGCCTCAGCCTTAGTAGCTGGGATTACAGGTACACGTCACCATGCTCGGCTAATTTTTGTATTGTTATTTTTGTATTTTTATTTATTTATTTTTCTTTTGGAGACAGAGTCTCACTCTGTCACCCAGGCTGGAGTGCAGCAGCACGATCTCAGCTCACTGCAACCTCCACTCCACGGGTTCAAGTGATTCTTATGCCTCAGCCTCCTGAGTAGCTGGGATTACAGGTGTGCATCACCATGCCTGGTGAATTTTTTTTTTGTATTTTTAGTAGAGAAGGGGTTTCGCCATGTTGCCTAGGCTGGTCTTAACCTCCTGAGCTCAGGCAATTCGCCCACCTCAGCCTCCCAAAGTGCTAGGATTACAGGTGTGAGCCACCATGCCCAGACTAATTTTTATATTCCTAGTAGAGATAGGGTTTCACCAGGTTGGCCAGGCTGGTCTCAAACTCCTGACCTCAAGTGATCCACCCAGCTCAGCCTCCCAAAGTGCTGGGATTACAGGTGTTAGCCACTGTGCCCGGCTGTACATCCATTCTTGTGAGGGAGCTATACCCTCAGGAAGGGGAACGAGGGCCTAAAAGATCCCGAAAAGCCACCGTGATGTCTGGGGGAGGAAATGTGCTGGGTTTGTCCGCCAGGTGCAATGCTCAGCATGGTCTAGGGCGTATCAATGAGTTGTGAAAGCACAATTCAGAAATCAGATTTAAAAGACAGAGTCCTGCACTGGAGTCTTGACTTTGCCCCTTCCTATGGGATCTCAGTCAGGATATTCAACCTCTCTGGGCCTCCATTTTCTTGTTTGGAAAATGGGGACCATCACCCCATGAGCTGCCTCAGGCCTCCATTGACCCGCTATCCTTGATGTCTCTCTTCTTTTTCCCCCACACCTTCAATCTGTCAGCAAGCCCACCTGCTACATCTAGACTCCTACTTCCGAACTTCCATCTGGACCACCACTGTGACAAGAACCCCTTGAAAAATACTCAGTTCCTTAAGTTCTATTACCAAGCAGTGGAGTTGGGTGGGGCAGTGAGCTTCACTTCCAACACTCATCTGAGTCTGCCTGCGTCTGAGCCATGATAGAGAGGGAGAACCATACCCTGAGGTCAGCAGCAGCTTCCTGGACAGTTTCCTTCCTTCTTTATCCTGTCGCGGGTCTTTCAACCTCTTCCCTAGCCAGCCCCCAGAGCAATGGTGTAAACACAGAGTCAGACCCCAGACTCTCCTGCCTAAAACTCCAGGGGCTTTCCCCATGGCCGCAATGCCCTCCATGCTTAACCCAGCTTCCTTCCCCTCCATGTGGACTCCACTCCCCACCCACCTGCTTCCTCTGTTCCAGCTTGCTGGCCTTTATTCACCCCCTGCACGTGCCCAAGATGCTCCTATCTTGGGACTCTGCCCCCTCTTATTCCCTCTGCAGGAGAGCTCGCTCCTCCTGTATCTCTGCAGCTGAATCCTTGGTGTCATTCAGCAATCAGCTCAGCGGGGCCTTCCCTGACCACTCATTCTAAATTGAGCAGAGCACAAGCTCTCTGCCACCTTCCTGTTTTATTTCCTTCATAACACTGATTACTACTTCAAGCCATCTTACTCATTTGCTTAATTGCACGTGAACTAGAATGTAAGCTTCACAAAGGCAGGGATGAAATTTGTCTTGTTCACCACTTTGTCTCCAGACCCTAGAATAGCACCTGACACATAATAAATGCTCAATAAATATTTGATGAATGAAAGGAGGAAGGAAAGAAAGGAGGGAGGGAGGGAAGGAGCACCTCCCTCAAAGGGTGATTATAAAGACTCGAGCATTTACATAAAGCACATAGATCATAAATCCAGGCACAGACCGGGAACTGTGACTCAAGCCTGTAATCCCAGCACTTTGGGAGGCTGAGGTGGGCGGATCACTTGAGGTCAGGAGTTCGAGACCAGCCTAGCCAACATGGTGAAACCCTGTCTCTACTAAAAATACAAAAATTAGCCGGGCGTGGTGGCACATGCCTGTAATCCCAGCTACTTGGGAGGCTGAGGTAGGAGAATTGCTTGAACCTGGGAGGCGGAGGTTCCAGTGAGCTAAGATCGCGCCACTGTACTCCAGCCTGGGCGACAGAGCAAGACACCATCTCAAAAAATCAATCAATCAATCAATCAATCAGTCAATCAGTCAATCAGTCTAGGCACAGAGCCTGGACCCCAGGAAATACTTAATACATGGTCATTATTATTCAGTTTCTGGGATAGAAGAGTGGGTAGAATGCCCACATGCACACGCATGCACACATGCACACACACACGCACACACATGTGCACACACACACAAACACACACGAGAAAGGAAAGCAAAGAAAGTGCCCCCATTTTGCTTAGACTCACCTGGCTTGTGCAGAGAACATTTGAGGCCCCTGACTAAGCAGCATCCCCCTGGGCTCCCCTGGATCTGATGCTTGAACCCAGTTCAGACCCCAAGAGTTTGGAGTTCATTTTCTTTTGGCAAACCATCAGCTTTTCTTTTCTAAGGGAAAAAATAAAATACAAAAAGACACTCACATAACATCTTGGAGATCAAATGGCTCTTGGAAAACTGCATTTTGATGAGTGAGGGAATCAAAACCATATGGATTAAATTCTCCTTAGATCTCCTAGGGGGAAATGGGAGCAGGGAGCGGGGTTAGGGCAGAAGGGATGGTGGTGGAAGTCAGCATTGATTTTTACCAACACAAAGACGGTGTGGGAAGGACCCACCGAGATGTCTCAGGTCCTTCAAAGCAATTTGTTGACCACATTCCAACTGGCTCAACAAGGAGGAAAATGTGAACTTAAAAAAACACAAAACACCCTGTTTCTTTTCTCCTGGTTTCCCCTCCCCACATTGGCCCAAGCACTGGGGTCTTGTTAGTGACCAGTAAAAGGGTAGTGGATGGACATTAAGCTTGTATAATTTATTTCAGAAATCAACCTTTAAGTCTCTCCCCGAGGAAAGGGTCTGAAATATCTGCTGAAGCCAAATATTTGTAAACTAGTACTCAAGGTGAGTGTTTTTGTTTTGTTTTGTTTTTTGAGACAGGGTCTCACTCTGTCACCCAGGCTGGAGTGTGGTGGCATGATCACGGTTCACTGCAGCCTCCACGTCCTGGGCTCAAGCAATCCTCCCACTTCGGCCCCTCAAGAAGCTGGGATTACAGGCCTGTGCCACCGTGCCCGGCTAATTTTTTACAATTTTTTTTGTAGAGATGAAGTCTCACTATGTTGCCCATACTGGAGTGTTTGTTCATTTTTTATTTATTTATTTATTTATTTATTTATTTATTTATTTATTTATTGTTGAGACGAAGTCTCACACACTCTGTCACCCAGGCTGGAGTGCAGTGGCACAATCTCAGCTCACTGCAACCTCTGCCGCCCAGGTTCAAGAGATTCTCCCACCTCAGCCTCCCAAGTAGCTGGGATTACTGGCGCATGCCACCATGCCCAGGTAATTTTTGTATTTTTAGTAGAGATGGAGTTTTACCATGTTGGCCAGGCTGGTCTTCAACTCTTGACCTCAAGTGATCCACTCACCTCAGCCTCCCAAAGTGCTGGGATTACAGGTGTGAGCCACCACGCCTGGCCTTGGAGTATTCATTTTTTAATGGTCATGTTCCTATCTACATTCTACTAATGCTGGCATGTTGCAGAAGGCTGACTAGAAGAGACTGGATAAATAAAGCATGATTCATGCTGTCATTTGCTGCAAGAGGAACAAGTGCTTCCATTTTTTTTTTTACCTAAAGACAGAGAAAACTCAAAAGCTGTTTCCTCTGTTCTTCTCGTCCTGATCTCCTGGGAGCAGGTGACATACAGGTCACCAGTCTGTGTGACGTAGTGAATATAGATGGCATTTCCTGAGTGCTTACACTGTATGAGGTTTTGAGCATCATCTCATTTTATCCTGCCAAACCATTTCAAAGGGGTTGCTGTGTCTCATTGTACAGGCAAGAAAACTAAGGCACAAAGAAGTTAAGCAACTTAACCCAGGTCACACAGCTAGTAGTGGCAGAGCTGGGATTTAAACCAAGGGTTTTGTCAATGCCAGAGCCTATATTCCTAACCACTATTCTCCTCAAAATTTATCCTGTGCTTTGAGAATTTGTGTCTTTGCTTTTGCTGTTCCATGCATCCAAAAAGCCTTTCCCACTATCTCTATATTTCCTCCAGCCACCTGATGAAATATTCCCCACTCTCCAAGCTGGATTTTATGTGTCCATGAAGGCTTTTTGGAAACCCCCAAATCTGTTGAGATTTCTGCCACCTCTGAACTCCAAAATGTCTTGTGCTCCTCTGGGGCTGACCAACCATAATAAAGACAGTTTAGTATGATGGTTAGGAGCCCAAGCTTTAAATGAGACAAATTTGTTGTTGTCGGATTTTGTTTGTTTGTTTGTTTTTATTTTGAGACAGGGTCTCGCTCTGTCACCCAGGCTGGAGTGCAGTGGTGCAATCACAAGTCCCTGCAGCCTTGAACCCCTGGGTTCAAGCAATCCTCCCACCTCAGCCTCCCAAGTATCTGGGACTACAGGCTCACACCACCACACCATGCTAATATTTTTTTCTTATTTTTAGTAGACATGGTTGTGGCAGGGGGCTCTCACTATGTTGCCCTGGCTGGTCTTAAACTGCTGGGCTCAAGCGGTCCTTCCACCTCAGCCTCCCAAATTGCTGGGATTACAGGCATCAGCCACCAAGGCTGGCTGCCAAAGTTGCATTTCATCCTCTGCTGGAACACTATAAATTTACAAATCACTCCAAGACTCAGATTCCTCGTCTATAAATGTGGGAAGAATGAAACAACCCGGTGTGAGCAAGCAACACGCCAACTAACGCATGCAAGGCACAGAGCAAGAGTGCAATCCATGTCGGCTGCTGCTTTCTAGTTATTTGGGTGCTTGTTTGAGCTCCTTCACCTGGGTGTAAATTTTCCCAGGAAATGTAATCCTCACTGATTCAGGCAGTGATTGGATTAGGCATTTCACTGACTGAGTTTGGAGAGGAAGAGAGGAGAAAGGGGACTGGCGGGAGCAGTAGATGGAAGTAGGGCTCAGAGGGAATAAATGCAGCCAATGTGGAGTGAGTGCTTGTCATGTGACAGGGTTTCCAAGATGAATTAACCTCACAACCACACTGAGAAGTAAGTGCTGTTATTATCCCCATTTTACAGATGAAAAAACTGAGGCCCAGGGAGGCGGAGTGACTCGCCCAAAGCCATGTATCAGATAAGTGCAGAGTCAGGAATCGAACCCAGGCATTCTGGGATCCAAAGTCCAAGATCTTACCTGCTTACAGATCTTACAGATTGCCCCCCCCAAAGAGGGGATTTTTAAAGCTTTTAAGTAGTAACAAAACAAAGAGGCTGGGAGTGGCCAGTCTGGATTGACAGGATTTTGTCAGGCACAAATGTTGGGATAAGTTTGCCAGTGCTTTCCTGGGAGTTTATTCAATTCGGGGAAGTGGTAGGGACTCCCCCAAGAAGCCATGGCCACTTTGAGCTTGCACATAGACTTGATAAAAAAAAAAAAACAGGTAAAATGCTGATGGGGTAGGGAGGCTTCCTTGTCGGGAGGCGGGGGGTGGTCTGTGCATGTATTTTACCATGGCCATACATATTTTCCCATTTTTTCTTGAAGGGCTTGATTTAACACATACCTCAAGGTGAGAGTCAGTAAATAACTTCATGACTAAGGAAAACTTCAGAGACCTCTATGATGGTGAAACATCTAAATTAGTCCTAAAAAGGTGAGGGATCAAGGAAGGCTTCCAAGAGGAAGGGACAGCCAAACTGAAACCAGAGGCTGAGTCAGAGTCTGCTTACTAGGGAAGACACTTTGAGGAGGTTCACTCAACAGTCATTTCCAAACCTTTTCTCCCCTGTCCTCCCCTGTGGAGCCTTGAAGAGCTAAATAGCTCCCAGGGCCGGGCATAGTGGCTCACGCCTATAATCCCAGCACTTTGGGAGGCCAAGGTAGGTGGATAACCTGAGGCCAGGAGTTCGAGACCAGCCTGGCCAATATGGTGAAACCCCATCTCTACCACAAAATACAAAAATTAGACGGGCGCAGTGGCTCACACCTGTAATCCCAGCTACTCAGGAGCCTGGGAGGCTGAGGAGACAGCATCGTTTGAACCCAGGAGGTGGAGGTTGCAGTGAGCCAAGATCACACCACTGCACTCCAGCATGGGCTACAGAGTGAGACTCTGTCTATAAATAAATAAATATATATGTAAATAAATAGCTTCCCAATCTTCCTTGAAGCTAGAGGTGTCCAAGTTCAGCCAAGGTAACTCCAACAGAAGCCTGCTAGAGGTGTTTCTGAAAAAAATTTCACTTTTCTCATGAAAGAGACAGAAATGGCTGGCTTGGCCCTTTCTTGTTCTTCCTGCCTTGAAGATGGATGTAATGCCTGGAGCTGCAGCAACCATCTTATGACCATGAGGTAATCAAGGTTGGGACGAAAGATAAGAGAATGGCACAGAATCAGCCCTGGCATCATCATACTGCTGAAGCAATGCTAGTTACTGCCCACTTCTACATTTCTAATGTCATGGGAGGGTCTTATCTGCCAAAGAGCTGCAGGGAAAGAGCTGCTATTTGACTCACTTTAAGTCCGTTTTTCCCCAATCCCTTGCGATTGAAAACATTTCTAACTTATACACTAGGCAAAGTGGAAAATATAGATAGGGAGACACACAAGCTAACATGTTCCAGGCAGAGGGTCTAATGTGTGCAGAAATCTAGATGGTAGAAGACTGCGGCATTTTCAAAGAAAACAGAAGCAATGTAACCAAAGTTCATGTTGCTGGTGTGACTGGTGGCTAGTGGGTGCTGGCTGTGGCGAGCAATATGACTGGACAGTTACACAGGGGCTATGTCAGGCACGGCCTTGTACAACTTTTGAGTTTAGAACTTGGACATTATAACAATGGGGCACTATGGAAAGCTGTGTGTGTGTACACGTGTGTGTGTGTGTGTGTGTCTAATCAGGGTAGTGACTGGGACAAAGTTAAGTCCTTAAAAGATGCTTCTGGCTAGAGTTCACTTATTCAGTAAATACCTTATGAGCATGGGAAAGCAAACTGGTCCAACTACTTTGGAAAGCTGTACTGAAGTATCTAATACTATCTAATACTAAACATCCATTACCCTACAAGCCAACACTCTCACTACCAAGTACACACCCAAGAGAAATGAATGCACATGTCCACCAAGAGAGGAATCCAAGAATGCTCCTAGCAGCTTTATTCATGAGAGCCAAAAACCGGTCACAGCCGAAATGCCCATCAGGTCTAAGAGAGCTAAACTGTGCACATACTCTTGCACTGGAATCCCACACGGCAATAAATGAAAAGGATACATGATTGCTACATGCAACATGAGTGAAAATCATGGGCCTAGTGAAGGCTTCAGAGAAGAGTTCACATTTGTGTCAATCCAAGAAGCAGATGCCAGGATTAAATGTCCAAGAGCTGTATTAAGAGAAACACCTGAGAGGGAAGATGAGGAGGGAGCCAGGAGAAGCAGGAAATCATCAAACTGAGATGCAGGTCTGCCCCTCAGGAAGGAAAGAGGGAAAGAAGGAACATTGGATGGGAACATCTTAGACTACAGTGCAGGGCAGTTCTTTTTCTTTTTTTTTTTTTCCACTCTGTCACCCAGGCTGGAGTGCAGAGGCACGATCTCAGCTTACTGCAACCTCTGCCTCCCACGTTCAAGCAATTCTCCTGCCTCAGCCTCCAGAGCAGCTGGGATTATAGGCACCCACCACCACAGCAGGCTAATTTTTGTATTTTTAGTAGAGATGAGGTTTCACCATGTTGGCCAGGCTAGTCTCGAGCTCCTGATCTCAAGTGATCCTCCCACGTCGACCTCCCAAAGTGCTGGGATTACAGGCGTGAGCTACTGCGCCCGGCCTACAGTGCAGTTCTAAGGAAGGTTGGCAAGGCCCGTTGGGAGTCCTTGAGCCAAAATTGCTGTCAGAGGAGTTCCCTACCTCCTGGGAATGGGCCCGCACTAGCATCCCTGCTATACCCAGTCCAAGGGAGGAGCAGCCTGTGGGAAGATTTCCCTGCCCAAATGTTCTGATGGATTTTAGAGCCCAGCAAAACCGACTGTGGGTCAATCCCAGCAACCAGAAGTCTGGGAGATGCATTTTTATGGCCACCATAGCAGTGAACAGTTCCACACAGAAAGGTCAAGAACAGGCAAAATCAATGTAATGCAATGTGATAAAACCAGAATGGTGGTTATTTCCAGAATGGATTAGGGTTGGGGATTTAACTGAGAGAGGACATGAAGAGGCTCCCTGGGGTTGCTAAGAACATTCTATATTTGAGGCAGGTGGTGATTACATGAGTAAAAAAGTCTTTTGTGATATCACCTAAGGTTTGGACACCTTATTTACCTCCACGTGAAAAAATTTTTTAAAAGTATTTACTGAGCATGTGCTGCATGTCAAATGCTGTGCTCAGCCCTGGGCGCACTGGGGTGAAAGATGCAATCAGGGACACCATCTTCAAGGGACATGCAGCAAAGAGGATGCTCTAGAACATGAGACTAAGACAAGGAGGCTCATTAGGAAGCTGGCACGGCGTTCCCACTGAGCAGGGCAGCACCAGTGAGGCAGGACACAAGAGACTGCAGACATTCAAGTCCAAGACATATTTCTATAAAAATTCTTAAAAAGAGTAAAACAAAATGACTGACTTGCAAGAAATGGCAACTGGAGATATGAAAGAAAGTCAGGAACCATCGGAACTGCTTACAAAGGAAAATGTTTTTGGAGAGATCAATTACAGCAGAATTTCGTGCGGCTGTTCACTGCTGGGACCTCAGGGAGCCCTGAGCCCTGGGAATTACATCTTTCTGGAGTCAGGCTCATCTCCCCGGGCCCAGCAATCAGTTTCATTGGGTATAAAGGGATCCACTGGGAAATTATGTCTGATATTTTTCAAAGCCAGAAAGGGATTTCACACCTTTGTGAGGACTGCTGGAAGGCAGGTACAAGAATGTAGCCTCTCAGGGGAAGAAGTGCCAATTAGGGCCAATTAGAACTAAATTGGCCTGTCATTTGGCAGAAATGTGGAACAGCACCCTGTCCTGGAAAGCTGAGGATTTCTCCTGTGAGTTCATCTGCTCAGAGAAAGTTCTCTTTGGGAAAGTGCTTGAATTGATCACCCCTGAAGAAGGATCACTCATCCCGGACAAGGCTTGTGTTTTTCCAGTGCTTCTATTATCAGTGCTTCATTTCCAACCATTTTCAACTTGAGACTGTGATGTTGACTATCAGGCTCTGAAACAAAGCCTGTAAACATATATATATTTCAAACCAGCATGCTCTAAAATGTGAGTTCTCTGCGGCTTTTCAGAAGGAAGAATTATAAATAGAACATTTTACACTTATCTAACTTTTCCTAGTGTTTTTTTTTCTTTGAACTGTCCTATCTTTTCAGTCTGTGATAAATGGAAAAAAAAACAGTATTTATCTAATAATTTACTGTGTGGAGATGGCAGCATAATTGAGTCCCCCAAGTCAAGTGCTTTAGGAAAATTTCTATCAGGTGTCATCATGCTCCCTGGCCTAAGCTTTATTTAAACTCACTGGATCAATTTGAATCAATTTGACATGTACACACTTCAGGGCATGGTTAGTTTCAAATCAATTAAGCTCCTTATGACTTTATGATTAAGAACCCAAGGTTATAAAACATTAATATAAAAATCACAAATTATCAAGTGAAAAGTAAAATCTCCACCTAAGGTTTTGTACAGATCACCAGAATCATTATGTAAGCTTCATTAAACAAACAAGGTAAGAGTAATTAGGTGGTAAATTAAGTACAGTGGTTTCAAAAGACTCTAATTGGGACAAACTAGAGAAGTCCAGCACAGCCTTCAGCAGGATTCAAATCAACAGGGAACTTCTTAGAAGCCTGCCAGACCCTTGCAGCTCAGGAGCTCCACGTTTCTGTAAGAAGCAGAGAGTGGGGCCCAGACCTTGACTGACCCACCTTCCACCACCAAGAACAACATAAGGACCCATCTCCTTATCCCATCTCCTGCTCTGTGGCTGGAGCCAGCAGGCAGTCACTTGAAGCTATTTTAAAGATAGCAACGAAATGTGATTCTTGCTTTCTGGAATTACATGGAATTTTTCTCTACTGGTTTCTCTCCTGCCTTTGGAGCTCAGGGAAGGGAGATAAGAAGGAGGGAGTAAGTTAGTGTTTGCATTAAAGTAATTAATTAAAATTACGAAATTACAAGGGGGTATCTGCACTCCTGTGTTTATTGCAGCACTGTTCACAATCAGTGACCTAAGTGCCCATCAACAGATGAATTGATAAAGAAAATGTGGTACATATACACAATGGAATACTATTCAGCCATAAAAAAGAATGAAATCCTGCCATGTGCAACAACTTGGAGTAACATTAAGTGAAATAAGCCAGGCATAGAAAGACAATACCACACGATCTCCTTCATATGTGGAGCTCATAGAAGTAGAGAGTAGAATAAAGGTTACCAGAGGCTGGGCAGGGTAGGGGAGATGGAGGGAGGGGAAGATATTGGACAATGGGTACAGTGTTATAGGTAGGTAAGAGGAATGGGTTCTGGTGTTCTAATGCACAGTAAGGTGACTATAGTTAACAATAATGTATTGTATATTTTAAAAAAGGTAGACGGGAGGAATTTGAATGTTTTCACCACAAAGAACTGATGTGTGTGGTGATAAAAATGCTACATATGATTTGATCCCTACAGAACATATCCATGAAAGCTCACATTATACCCTATACATATATATGATTATGTGTCAATTAAAAATAAAATCTAAAAATAAATGATAATAAGGGCTTACCAAGTTCCAGATCATTTGATAAGTTAGATATAGATCATTTTCATTGGTCTTTACAACTCCCCCATGAGGATGAGGTAGGCACTCTTAATTCTCACTCTGTTTTAGAAATTGAAGCACAAAGAAGTTAGATAATGTCCTCAGGGTTACACAGCAAATAATAAGAACCCAGACCTGAGTGATTCCCAGGTTCTTCACTTCCAAATGGTAGAGAGGCCTCTATCATTTATTTATTTCAACACATATTAACTGGGGGCCTCTGCCTGCTCTGTACCAGGTGTTGTAGGGGCTAAAGATAATACAGTGTAAACAAAATAGCCAGGTTCCTGCCATCATGGGGTTTTCATTCCAGGGAAAAGAGACAACTGATAAGCAAATAAACAAACCAACAAACAGAGTGGTAATGCTCTGCAGAGAATATTTAAAGGGTAACATGATAGTAACTGGTGACTTTATTCATTGGATGGTCACCTCTTAAGAGATGGCATGTGAGCTGAGATGTGAATGACGAGACGATGCCGGCAATGCTGAGATCAAGGAGGAGAAAATCCCCGCCAAGGGGCAGCAGGTGCAGGGGTCCCAAGGAAGGAATGAACTGGTCACGAGCAAGGAACAGAAAGAAGGTCAGGCCTGCAGATTCAGGATGGCCACATCTTAGTCTATTTGCCACTCCCCCCACCTCTTTGACTCTGGTTATACCATGTTACTTGCTTTGACCAGTAGAATGCAGATGTAGTAACATTTCAGCTCCACGCTAAGGCCTTAAGAAGTCTGGCAATTCCCAATTTCACTCACCTGGATTCCTGAGCCAGCATGTAAAGGGATCCAGAGACAAGGTGGAGAGAAAGAGATGTCCAGGTGTCCTCCATGTGAGAGAGGTTGCTCCAGTTCCTGCAAAAGTCCAGGCCAAATGAGGCCACGAGTCACCTCCACCAACATCAGAGTAGAACAGAGATGAACCTCCCAGCTGAGCTCCACCAATTCACAGAATCATGAGGAATAATCCACAGTTGCTGTTTCAAGCCACTAGGTTTCAGGATGGTTTGTCTTGCCGCAGTAGATCATTAAAACAGCCAGTGTGGCCGAAGTTCAATGGAGCAAAGGGTGGTGTGGTAGATGATGATGCTGGAGCGGTTGACAGGGGCTGATCAGGCTGGGCCTGTAAGCCAGCATATGCAGTGAGGATGGATTTCTTTTCCTTCCTCCCTCCCTTCCTTCCTTTTTTCCTAACTTTCTTCCTTTCTTTCTTTTTTTTTTTTTTTTTGAGACAGGGTCTCACTTCGTTACCTAGGCTGGCACACTGTAGCTTTGACCTCTTAGGCTCAAGTGGTCCTCCCACCATGGCCTCCCAAGTAGCTGTGACTACAGGTGCATGCCTCCACATCTGGCTAATTTTTAAAAATTTCGTAGAGACAGGGTCTCACTATGTTGCCCAGGCTGGTCTCAAACTCCTGGGCTCAAATGATCCTCCTGCCTTGACCTCCCAAAGTGCCAATGAGCCACTGCACCCAGCCAGCAGTCAGGATTTTATCTGAAGTGTGATTAGGAGCAATCAGGTTTAAGCAGGTGGCCGGGCACCGTGGCTCACGCCTGTAATCCCAGCACTTTGGGAGGCTGAGGTGAGTGGATCACCTGAGGTCAGGAGTTTGAGGCCAGCTGGCCAACATGGTGAAACCCCATCTCTACTAATAATACAAAAGTGAGCCGGGTGTGGGGGTGGGCACCTGTAATCACAGCTACTCAGGAGGCTGAGGCAGGAGAATTGCTTGAACCTGGGAGGCAGAAGTTGCAGTGAGCCAAGATCGCATCACTGCACTCCAGCCTGGGCGACAGAGTGGAAAAAAAAAAAAAGAAAGTTTAAGTAGGAGTGTGACATGATCTTATGATTTCTATATTTTGTAAAGCTTATTCTGGCTGCTGCATGGGGAATGATTCGTAGGATGATCAGAGCAAAAATAAAAGCAAGGAAACTTCAGTCAGGTAGCTGTTGTGGTAATGTCAGCAAGAGATGATGGCTAATTGGACCAAGGTGGTAGCAGTGAAAATTCGGTGAACTGATTCATGTTGTTTTGGAGATAAAGTCGAAGTCAGATCTTGCTAGATGGAATGTGTTAGGGAAGGGAAATGAAGACTGAAAATAATTAAATGATCTTTGGCTTGAGGAACTGAGCTGATGGCACACTATTCTCTAAGATAGAGAAGACTGGGGAGCAGGAGCGGGTTTAGAGAAAAGAAAACAAGAGTGGTTCTAACCATGTCAAGTTTGAGGCATCAGTAAGATATCCAAGCGGAAATATCAAGTGGACAGTCGACTATAAGGATGAGGGACATAAGGCAGGGTCACTGCTGGAGAGATGTGGGAGTTATGGGAAAAGCATGACATTTGAAGCCATGGATTTAAAGAGAAATGTTTAGATAGGGAAGAAAATGGGGCTCTGGACTGAAATCCAGGGTGCTCTGATATTTGGAGATAAGGGGAAGGAAGATTTAGCCACAGAGGCAAAGAAAGAATAGCTAGTAAAGTGGGAAGAAAACCTGGGGTCTATGGGGTCACAGAAACCAGAATAAAGTCAGTAGAGGAGGAAGGAAGGAATCAAATGGAATCAAATAAGATGAGAACAGACATATCCATTGGTTCAGACGACACAGAAATCAATACGAGAGTCCCCCACACAAGGAACCATCCAGAAGGATCACACATTTCAGAAGATAGTGGCATAGATCAGAAATTAGTTCCCACCACTCCCTCACCAATGCCAGAAACCCCGTAAATCTTTGATCAGTACAGGAGGGAAAGAGAATAAAAGGATCCTGAATTGACTTGAGTTTAAACTTAAAAAGAGAGCATTTCCCCACAGATGCCAACAGGAAGAATGAGGGCTCAAAGGGTGATATATATAAATGAGTTATAGAAATGGGGAACAGAAATATAAAGAATGTTGGCCAGGCATGGTGGCTCATGCGTGTGATCCCAGCATTCTGGGAGGCTGAGGCAGGCAGACCACTTGAGTTCAGGAGTTTGAGACCAGTCTTGCCAATACGGCGAAACCCCATCTCTACTGAAAATACAAAAATTAGCCAGGAGTGATGGCGGGCACCTGTAATCCCAGCTACTTGGAAGGCTGAGGCATGAGAATCGCTTGATCCCAGGATGTGGAGGCTACTGTGAGCCAAGATCGTGCCACTGCACTCCAGCCTGGGCCACAGAGCGAGAATCCATCTCAAAACAAAAGAGACAAAACAAAACAAAAAAACCTCATGTGTATATATATATATAGAGAGAGAGAGAGAGAGAGATTGAGAGAGAGAGAGTGAGAGAGTTAAATTTGCTATATGACTTGAATACATGGCTCAAAAACATCAAACCTAGGCTGGCTCATTCCTGTAATCTCAGCACCTTGGGAGGCCGAGATAGGAGGACTGCTTAAGGACAAGAGTTCAAGACTAGCCTGTGCAACAAAATAAGATCCTATCTCTACAAAAAATAAAATAAAATAAAAATCATATCTGCTGCATCAGTACCCAGACCCTTCCCAGAGAAGGGGCAGCCTTGGCCTGGGTAGGATCTACAGTGGCAGTGCTCAAAGGATCCCCTCAAAGGAAATTTGGCAATGTCTGGGAACATGTAAAGTTGTCACAATGTAGGGAGGGTGCTACTTGCATCTAATGGGTAGAGGCCAGGGATGCTGCTAGACATCCTACAATGCACAGCACAGCCCCGCCCCAGCCAATCCCCAACATAGAATTATCTAGCCCCAAATGTCAATAGTGCCAAGGTCAAGAAACCTTGGCCTACAGGAAGTCCTAGCTGTACAGAGAGAAATTAACTCATCATAAGGCACTAGTAAAGAAAACCAGGAGCCTAACTTTCCTCCTCATCTAGGTAACCACCTCCATCTTGCTTCATCCCATTGACCAGACTGTAGAGTTAGCAAGGCCAGAGTTCTTGTTTCAGCCTCTTATTGATCATTTATTCACTTGTGCTCCTTCTGGGACAACAGCTTATACCCCAAGTTCAAAAGACCTCTCACCCAGCCCAAGAAGAGACTGTGAGCAACCCAGTCAGAGCACTAGTTCGAAAGTTTTCAGATATAAAGAACTCTCTTCCAATGCCAAGAACTGTTATAGACCTTTACACTGTAGTAGTTGTACTTCAGCTTCTGTTGGCTGAGGAAATAACAAGAAGCTACCATATTTTCAGTACCACTTTAAAAGAACTGTGGAAGAATTACTTTTATTGGTAGCACTACACCTAATGTAACTGGACTGTGTTAATGGCTGAGTGGGATTTTTCCTGTTGTTCTGAAATTTCTGCTAAGGCCCAGAGCTGAAGACAAAGGATACCCATCTTCCAAATTCAGAGCTCTGACCCTTGAGAATCAAAAGGACCAGCTACCTTCCCTCAGGGCTTTATTTGGGGTAACTGTAGGAGAATCACCACCTCCACCATCACTTCTACCACTCTTACCACAATTACCACCTCTACTACCATCACCTCCGCTATCTTCACCACCATCTCCACCATGGCCACCACCGTCAATGCCTTCACCACCATCACCATCACCATCATCAACATCTCTACCATCACCACCATCTGTATTATCACATCCACCCCTACTACCATCATCTCCACTACCCTCACCACCATCAATGCCTTCATCACCATCACCATCAGCAGCATCTCCACCATCCCTGCCACCTGTGTCATCACATCTACCATCACCATCATTACCACCTCTACCACCACTACCTCCACTACCCTCATCACCATCTCCACCACAGCCACCACAGTCAATGCCTTCAACACCATCACCATCATCAACATCTCTACCATCACCACCATCTATACCATCACATCCACCACCATCACCATCATTACCACCTCTACCACCACCACCTCCACTACCCTCATCGCCATCTCCACCAGCCACCACCGTCAATGCCTTCATCACCATCACCATCATCACTATTTCCACCATCACCTCCAGCACTATCTCCATCACTGTCACCACCACCACCATCAGCACTGTGGAGAGAGGACCTCATATTTTGGGATAGTGCAGTATTTTTGAAGAGAAGCCTTTTCCTTCCTCCTTTCCTTTTGATAACAAAGTGTGTTGTGACCTCCAAAGAAAGGAGAGGAGACCCAGAGAGTATCCTGCTAATGACTAGCAGTATCCATAGGTAAAGAAGATTGGAATTTCACTTCCTAATGGGAGGACCTGCTGACTTTCCTCTGTGTGACCAGAAAGAAGATGATAAAATTGGGGTGGGATGGCATAATGGAGTCCATGAGAAAGAGAGTCCCTAGCTCAGTCTAGTTCCCTAGTTTTTCAGAAGTGTACAGTTGGAGTTCATACAAACCCAGAGGTCCCAAAGTTGGCCATGGAAGATAGAAGAGCAAAGACCCTACATCCTCACAGAGAGGATTATGGTGGGGTCAGCTAGGAGGTGTGGGCAGGTCTAGGAAGGAACCAACAACACCCTGGGAGATGCTGAGAAGTGAGCCCCTTGCAAGGCCAACGACATGAAGCCCACAGAACCCTGGAGCAATGAAAGCTCTAAGCCACCAAAGAGAGGCCCACAGCCTCACCAGCAGGTCCAGGCAAGAGATGTGGGAGGCATTTCCTCTCCTTCCTGCCAGCCCCCACCCTCGAGGAGTCAACAAAAGGAGGAGAGAGGGCAAAGGGTATGAGAGAATCATCCTCACTTCCCCTCCTCACCCCAGGAATCATAGTTCATGCGTGCCCCAGGGCAAGTGCAGGAAAAGGCTTTCTATCCAATGTAAGACTGAAGCGTTCTTTTTCTTTTCTTTTCTTTCTCTTTCTCTTTTTCTTTCTTTCTTTCTTTTTTCTTCTTTTTTCTTTCTTTCTTTCATGGGTTTTTTTTTTAACTACACCCCCATTTCAGCAATATAGACTGAAGTATTAAAATGAGCAGGACAGGGCCTTTAAAAACTAAAGTGATGGTTTTAGTAAAGGAACTGGTAAATTACAGAATCCAGCTGAATTACTACTAAGGATGTTTAGCCATGGAAAATGTTATGGAAGCTGGGTTAGGAGCAATAGTTGGAAACAATAAAACCAGTTCTTGTTATACCACCAATGAATTGAGACACACAGGTTACAATGTACTTGTAACTTGCCCAGAGTCCCATAACTCACCTGACTCCAGAGCCTGGGTGCTTAGCTAATCCCTGGATAGATGAGAAAAGACCAGCTTATCATGGGAGCTGTTGGCTGAGATGGTGGATCAGGGAGTCTAGGTGGAAAGGACCCGAGGAGTCCTAGCGTGGAAGGGAGAGCATGAACCGGGTATGGAAGCCTCAAGGAAGCTGCAACCGCCTTCCTTGTGCCAGGCAGTGAGCTGGGCTTTCATCTCATGCTTATACCACCCTGTTTGGTGGGCACAGTTAGTACTCTCATCCCTACTTTGCTGACAAGAAATTAAGGCTCCCACCAAGGCCACATAGCAACTAACTGACAGAGTTAGGGTTCAAACCTAGGTTACTTTGACTTGAAAATCTAATACTCTAACCAGGACCCTGATTCCTTTAGAATGCCTTATCACAACAGCAGAAACCACATCACACTGTTATGCATGGAGAATCACAGGCTGCAAACTCAACCATGAGTGAACATTTCTCCAGTTTTTTGACAACTAAAGTGAATTTCTTTATCAGGTCCCTGATCCTGGAGGTGGGAGAAACAAAATCACTGTTATTTAAGAATTTCCTTGAGTCTCCCTTAGGTTGAGTCCAAGTTCTGGAGGCCCTCAGGAGCACCCAGGCATGGGAGGCGAGGGTGGTTGCAGCTTCCTTGAGTCTTCCATACCCGGTTCATGCTCTCCCTTCCACACTGGGACTCCTCAGGTCCTTTCCGCCTAGCCTCCCTGATCCACCATCTCAGCCAACAGCTCCCATGATAAGCTGGTCTTCCCTCATCTATCCGGGGATTAGCTAAGCTCTGGAGTCAGGTGAGTTATGGGACTCTGGGCAAGTTACTTAACCAGTTTGTGCCTCGATTTCTCCATCTGTAAAACTGATTATCTCACGGGCTTCTTAGAGGATTTAAAAAGACAATATTTGCGGAATGCTTAGAACAGTGCCTGGCCCATCATAAATGCTTAACTAAAGCTAACTACCATTTTGGGGGAACAGGAGGGAGGGAAAAAATGACTCTCACTAATTAAGTCTTTTTCTTATGCCTGGAGAGTAGCTTTTAACATTCAAAATGCCAAAACTGGCCAGGCATGCTGACTCATGCCTGTAATCCCAGCAGTTTGGGAGGCTGAGGTGGGAGGATCACTTGAGCCCAGGAGTTCAAGACCACCCTGGGCAACACAAGAAAACCCTGTCTCTACGAAAAATTTATTAAACAAAAAGCCAAAACTTTAATCTTTCTATTCTCTGAATTCTGTAGCACCCTTTCTTCCCATATACAATACAGGCAAATTGTCTGGCTTCACAAATTGGGGTTGGAGTATGGTTAATATCTCAAAATTCTACCCTGCCTAGTCATAGGTGGACAGTTCTGTCTGAGACCCTAAGAGCTGCCCTGCAATAACTCTGACCCACACCCCCCCACCCCCGACACACACACTCCCACCACCTCCATCATCATTATCCACAGGTTAGAATTTTCTGGCATATTACTCTCCTACAACATTTCAGAGTTTATCCTGCAGCCACATTCATTCACTCAATCCTTATCATGACCTTTGAAAACAAAAGCAGATTTGCTTTTCAGCCACCATCTTTTTACACTAACAAAAATGTTTGCATTTATAGAAAACGTCAAACATATATATATATATATAAGTAGACAGAACAGGACCGTAAACACTCTCGGACCCATGGCAAATTCGGCTTGGCCCATCCCTACCACATATTTTGAAGCGTATCTCAGAGATCCTATCATTTCATCTGTAAATATCAGTGTGTGTTTCTAAAGGCTAAGAATGGTCTTTTAAAACACAGTACCATGAACGCAACTTAAAAAAAAAATGATTCCTTTATATCATCAAATTGCCTTCAATCCTATCAGAGTTCAAATTTTCAACAGCATCCGTTTTGACAAATCAGGGTTGGGGTTCCTAAACCCATTAGGGAAGAAATACACCTCCAAAATTGTTCTGTGGAACAACCCGAGGCTCTCCGGAAGGGTAATTGGACCCCTCCCATTCCTTCACAGACAGGAATGTATTAGCCAAACCTACCGCGATTTTGCCGGGAGGACGCCAAAAAAGACGATCACGTGTCAAATAACCATGGAAACGGGGTGACAAAAGGAACTTATGCCTTCGCTCCCTTGTTTAGACAGAGCAATCAAGGAGCTGCTGTCCTTGCAGCGGGGAGGCCGGCGCCGCCTGCGGTCGCACACACCTGAATTCCTGCACCGGGGCAGCCCTTGGCCCCCCGTGAGCACCGCCGGGCCTCGTCCATGGCTGTCAGGACCCGGGATTAGCACGTGGGCTCCTGCGGGGACTTGGGCTGACCGCAAGCGCTAGAAGAATTGGAATCACTAGACTTCCATTGTTAGTTTCTTCCAGTGGTTCAGCGGACAATTTTGAACTGAATCCAGCAGAGAACTCATCGGAGGTTTTTTGTTTTTTGTTTTAAGTAGTAGTGATACCATTTCATCCGATTCCAATGCTAGTCATTTACATGATCAGCCTCTGATATAATTAACCCAAGGGCAATTCCAAGCCTGGACCCTTGAAATGACTGCCGTATTAGATTTGTGGTCTAGAATGTCTTTCCTTCAGACACCTTACATAAATCAAGGTGCCAGTAAATCAAAAATGGAGTGATCCTATTTTTATTTTTTTTAAATATATGTACAGAAATACTCTCATAGCAGATGCTACTGGCGCTCTGCCGCTACCCTCTTGGCATTGGTGCTCCTGGGGCTCTCTGCCCAGGCCTCTCTAGGACTGCAGGAGGTGGGCAGGCCTGAAGTCAGGGGGAGCCTGCAACCAGGCAGGGACGCCCTACGGGAGAAAAAGCACCTTGGGGAGGGTGTTCTAGAGCGCCCCCCACAGGTCCCAAACAGGACTGAGCTCAGCTGTGCATGGGGCTAACCTGTTAATCACAGGCTTCCCAGCCCTGTCCATCTCACTTCCCCACTTCTCCATCAGTGCTTCCTGGGATTATCTCCCGACAGAGGGCAAACACCTCATCCTGGGAACCCCCAGCCCCAGGCAAACCAGGACAGTGGTCAGCTTGCCTCCCACATAAAACACTTGCACCGAAATCCTAGTCTCAGGTTGGCTTCTGGGGTACCTCGACCTACGGAATAATCCCTATGCTGGGAAGAGTCTGGAATGAGACATAAATCTTAACTGGGTTTTTTTTCTTTTAATAGACATGGGGTCTCACTATGTTGCCCAGGCTGGTCTCCAACTCCTGGCCTCAAGTGATCCTTCCGAAGTGGATATGAAGGTGCTGGGATTACAAGTGTGGGCCACCACACCTGGCTTAACTGGGTATTCTCTGTGAGCTGAGCCCTCTAAAGGTGGGCAGTGGGGCAGTGCTGGACTCCTTGGGTATTTGGAGGAGGAAGTAAAGGTAGGTTTGTCATCAAATCTGTATCTGACATTTTTACAAAGAACATATATCATTTTTAAAAATATATAATAAAAACCTGAGCTTTTTAAAACTATCAGCAAATATTTGTTTTATAATTTTTAAAGAGTCATTCCATTTAAGTTTTTTAAAAAGAAGGAAAGAAATGGTTTAAAAACATTTTAATGATAATTTAGGGCAATAGTTTACAAATTTTTTAAGTTTCTGATGGAATCCTACATAGTATTCCAGTTACAACCTGATATGAGTGGAACTGCTGTGATGAAAACTGGGCTCTAGGGCCTGGAACTCCCCCCACCCAACTCCTTTCCCCACCCCAGGTAAGCAGTAGGTACATCTAAGGAACCCTGAGGGTTTCGTCCATCCCAGTGTGAAAAACCACTGTTAAAGAGGAATATTTAATTGCATTAAAAAATATTAACTTTTTACTTTAAAACATGTTATGAAATGAAAAGAGCAATTCAAAAAATAGCACTTATGGTACGATCTTGATTTTATGAACAACAACAACAAAATACATGTACTCACATACAAAGAAAAAAGACTGAAAGGAAGGCCAGGCATGGTGGCTTATGCCTGTAATCCCAGCACTTTGGGAGGCCAAGGCAGGCGGATCACTTGAGGTCAGGAATTTGAGACCAGCCTGGCCAACATGGTGAAACCCCGTCTCTACTAAAAAACACAAAAATTAGCTGTGTGTGGTGGTGTACCCCTGTAGTCCCAGCTACTCAGGAGGCTCAGGCAGGAGAATTGCTTGAACTTGGGAGGTGGAGGTTGCAGTGAGCCAAGATTGAGCCACTGCACTCCAGCCTCGGTGACAGAGCTAGACTCTGTCTCAAAAAAAAAAAAAAAAAAAACTGGAAGGAAGTATACCAAATAATATTAATGGTGATTATCTCAGGAGGGCTGGATTACTATTTTTTATTTTCTGTGCCAGTACTATATTACCTGAATTTTCTACTGGTATGTATATATGATATATTATTCTAAGGAGGGGAAGAACAGAAAAAAATGGTTCCTAAGTCACATGCAGACAATAGCAGTCTCCAGACTAGATGTTCATTGTTTTTAGGTGATGATCTGAGGAGCAGAGGCTTTCCAAGTTTAGAGATTTAGCTACTGAAGACTTCATAATTCAAGTTGTAGCCTGTCAATTCGATGCTCAGTGAAGTCTTTGAAGTTTCTGATAATGATGTATGAGCACTGCCTATAAAATAAGCAAGACAAGGGGTAACTCTCTCTGCCCCACCCCCTGCAGTGGAGCGGTTCAGGGTAGGAAGAGGGCAGCACTTCCCATCACTGTGGGTGCAGTCAGTTCAAACTCATGACTGAAGAGCCTTTGAAGGGAGACTGGAGCATTGCCAAACCAAGGCTTCAGTAGAGAATTACAGTGGTTAAGTCAGTGGTTCCCCAACCTGGCCGCCCATTCGATCACCTGCAGAGCTTATTATAAATGGGTTCCTGGCCCCACCCACTTATCCTCAGATTCAGGAGGTCTTGATACTTAGAATCTGCCTTTTTAACAAACACGCCAGGGGGTCCTCGTGTGTCTCCTTAATGAAGTTCATCATCACTGTGAGTTTGTGAGCTCTAGGAATCTATATGCCTTATTTGCTACTATAACCCAGATACTGTGTGCAGAGTCCTAATGCTCTGTAAATATTCCGGGAGGAAATTATTTATTGAAGGCTCACTTTGTGCCTGACGTTTTGCTAAGTGGTTTCAAGGCCAGTTACTTTAATCACAACTCAAGGGAAGTATTCCAATACCCATTTTGTAGATGACAAAGTGGACTCAGAGAACTTAAGAAGCTAGCCTGAGGCCCCTTAGAAAGAAAGAGAGGCAGCATCCGAATCCTGGTCTGAGGTCCAAACTCCAGCTTATCACATTCAGCCACACCACTTCTAGAAGGTTCCATGGCGTTTCTTTTCTTGAGAGAAAAATAGAATTGTAATTCTCCATTCACCTTCCTCTTCTCCTATCATCTACCTGCTCATCTGTTTGTCTACACACACACACACACATTTCAAGATTGACCATCATCTAAAATGGCACCAGAACTCACCCCAGGACATGCTATACAGAGGTTTATACTCATACTTTCCTGACTTCTTGTTGTAACATGTCTTTTCTAAGCTAAAGGAAACCAGTTATTCCTCGTTCCAGTTGTAATTATCTTACTTATTTTAAAGTAGTTGTTGCAAACTAGCCTAAGCAATTTGGCTATTCAAACTACTAGGTGTTTGATCATGATGGCTTCCTGCAATAGGTAAGAAGTCCATGAAGGCTACAAGCTACCTCCCCCGATCACCTAATCAGATAGTATGTTACAAAGACAGTCTGTCTCAGACCAAATTCCACATTTTGCTAACTGGTTTCAAGGCCAGCAAGCAGGCACATAAACAGCCACACCACCCATTCTGTTAACCCGGGGACATGTCAGCCCTCTCACTTTAGACACTTCGACAGCCTCTTTCACAAAAAGTGTAGTCAAGGCACACGTGACACTATTGTCAGCGCAGTATCTAGCCTAGTCAGGCAGGTGATCAAATCAACCCTTTAATATATAGACATAGGACTGTTTGGACTTCCAAGGCTGGAGCCTTTCTAAAAGAATAAGCAACTGGTCTGGCTAGACTTATTTATAATGTCTTCAGGCAAGGCAAACGCACTATGAAACATTTCCAGCCATCTACCATTCTTGAACGCCATTCTTTTCATCAATGAAAAACCATTTTAGAAATCCATTATGCTAATTAACACACCCATGGATGCTGAGCTAGGACAGATAATTGAAGCACTTATGGTACCTTCCTCTGGAGTGTGGGGTTGTGATCTTTCGAATGTTAACAGCCCCTACAATGTAGATGAAAGCTAACACATACACACACACCCCATGCATACATGTGCACAGAGACATGGTGTATGAAATATGCTTTATGTTTAGAAGTAAATTACAGTCAATATATCAGTCATAACCACCACCATCTGATGAGAACTTACCGTACGCCCAGTACTGTGCTAAAGGTTTGACCAAACAAGAAAATGTATCTTCTCTGATCCTCACTGAAGAGACTGAGAGCCCAGAAAAGCCATCGAGGAAGGACAAGCTGGCCTCGCACTCTGGCTGACTTGACAGCCATTCATCTTAGTGACTCCAGGAGGCTGGTTGCCTGTGAGTTCTTCTGGGCCTCCTGGGAATTCCCCCATCATCATCAACAACAATTTTTCACTCTTGGCTCAAAACCTTGAACAATAAATAAAATCCTGATCCCCAGAAAGTATTCCACAGCATGACTCCTGAACATAATTGATTCTGAAGGAGGCTTGGGAACTCCTCCTGGGTGACAACTGTGTTATATCTGGAAACATGCCAGGCAGCCGGCTCTGTGAGCCTACCAAGCCCAAGGGTAGCCAGAACTCAAATGTCTGCTGCTCCCCATTAGGCCTCCACATGGGAGCCCCCTTCTTCTGCCACCCTCTGCTTTGTGTCTGTGTTTGAATTTATCAGCCACCCCAATGGGTTGGGTACAGAAGCTGAAGAGGAGGCCAGCCAACCATCATCCAGGAGTGTCCTTGCCTCCTGCCAGGGAGGGGCAAGGACTTGGCCATTTCAGTAATGAACTACTGTGCTGTCAGGGCAGAAAAGAGAAGGAACAGGTCATCGGGGGTGGTGAGTAGTCAGAGTCTGGAGACAGTATGAAGGGAGAGTGAAAAGAACTTGCTGATGAATTCAACAAAGAGTTACAAGAAGGAGAGGAGGCAAGACCGACTTGAAGATTTGGGGCCTATGCCAAGAAGAATAAAGCTACCACTGACCACCTGGGGAAGACTCAAGTGGGGAATAGCTGGACATGTAGGGTTTGAAATGCCTGTTACATATCTGAAGTACACTCATTTTCTGTGACTGGATAACAGATTACCCCACACTTTGCAGCTAAAACAATGCCCATGTATTAGCTCATAGTTCTGGAAGTCAGTAGTCCAGGTAGACTCAACTGAGTTCTCTGGGCAGGTTATCAGAAGGCTGAAATCAGGTGGTAGCTGGCCTAGGGTCCTGTGTGAACGCTCTGAGGAAGCATCTCATTGCAAATGTATTCTCTGTGTTGGAAGACTCTGTTCCTTGCATGCGTGGGCCCAAGCTCCCTGTTCCCTTGGTGGCTGTCAGCTATGGGCCACTCTTAGCTTCCAGAAGCTTCCCATAGTCCTTACTGCAGGACTCCTTTCAACTTCAAGCCAGAAAGCCTGGGTCAAATTCTTCTCCTGCTTCCAACTTCTCACTTCCTCTTCTGCCACCAGTCAGAGAAAACTCTAGGATTAGATCAGGCCTCCTTGAATAATCTCCCCTTCTTAGGATCAAGTGTGCCATAGGACATCACCTAATCATGGGAGCAAAATCCAGCATATTCACAGGTCTGGGGATTAAGCAGGGTACACACAGTGGGGTGGGGTGAGACGGCAGAAAGTCTTGCGTGCTTCCTTAGAATTTTGCCTGCCACCCAAGGGGAGATGTAGAGGAGACATTCTCTTTCAGAAACTTCCAGGGCTGAAGGATGGGGCAGAAGGAGGAGGGGAGGAACCCATCTGGATCTCTTTAGCCTCTGGAACCTGAAGCACTCAGGAAAGAAGGCCTGGCCCTTTGAAGCTGCCCCTGCCAGGCCCCACAATGGGCCAGCCCTGCCAGCCCTCCTGCACAGGCCCTGAGGCATCTTGGCAGCAGCATCCCCGAGTCTGGCAGGTGAGTCAACATTTGGCTTCTCTCCTGGGCTTTCTTGGAAAGGGCTGTGTTCCAGATTGGCAGCTGTGCTAGCTGGAAAGGAGGCCAGAAAAGAGCCAAGT
The DNA here is from genome assembly GCF_000001405.40 of Homo sapiens. Taxonomy (NCBI): domain Eukaryota; kingdom Metazoa; phylum Chordata; class Mammalia; order Primates; family Hominidae; genus Homo; species Homo sapiens. The sequence goes on from NC_000003.12 coordinate 72,661,381, forward strand.
TCCGGGGGCCCTGCTGCCAGGCAGGACACCTGGACCTTCTCTCCCCTAGTTACTGAAAATGGCAGAAGGAAACCCAGGGAAGCCAGAGCAGTAGTAAAGCAGAGTGGCCAAAAAATTTCAGGCTATGGAGTCAGATGGATGACTTAGCCTCTCAATTTCCCCATCTGTAAAATGGGAATCGTCATTAGTAGCTGCAATGAAGGGGCCTGTGACAATTGAACAGCGTGCTACCTGCAAATCATTTTGCACAATGGCTGGCATATCGAAAACATGAGTAAAGCCTGCACAATGGATACTATTAACTGAAGGGGAAATGCCTGGCAAATAGAGGTGGTTCAACCAGGTGGAATTAAAAAGGAGAAAGGGATTAGGTGAAGGGGACAAAGGGATAGCCAACCCCTTTTATAAGAAACTCTCATAATAGTGGAATGTAAGTTGGTTGTTTCTCTAATGACTTATGAATATACAAAGCCCCATTGCTAAACCCCTAGGCATGATGGATTTTGATTGGGCCGCAGTGTAAATTTGGATATGATATTCCCAGGACTCCTGGGTAGTAAGATTGGATTTCTGCTACCTATAGAAATTCAAGAGGGAAGGGAGGGAAAGCAATAGAAGACTATTGTGTTGATGTGTTGTAGGCCACGTTTGGTTGCAAAGAATAGAACCGCCTAAGATAATGGGGTAGAGTAACATTTGGGGCATTTAATGGTGGGTTCACACCATACTTCTGTACTCATCAAATTTCTCTGCTGCATCCTAAAAACCTCTCTCCCCCAACTGCTATCCCCAGCCTGCTCAGCAAGAAACGAGTCAGTTACTCCGTAGGGAAATAAAGCAAGGACTGCATTTACTCCCGGGCAGCACAGTGGGAGAATGAAAATCACAGGCTCCACTAGGTTTGCTCCAAGGAGCTTGGGATTTCTTCAGTCACAACCAAATCATCTCTCTTGTCTGGCAAGGACCACCAGACCTCAATAATCATCCAGTTTGCAGTGACATGTCCCATGGCTAACACCCTCCCCCCATCATGCCCACCCCACAACAATGGGCAGGACAAAAGCCTTCTTGGACAGGTGACCAGCTGAGACCACTGAACCCACTGAGAGTAGTGAGTGGAATAAAAATAAGGTCTTATTCCTGATCAAGGTGGATAAGTTGAGATCAGTTTGAAATCCTCATTGACTGGGGCTCCAGACGTGCTTATTCAAAGTATATAGTAGGCAATCCGGTGGGCACCCAGCAACGGGAGATCAAGATAGCCAGGCCCGCCACTGCATGTCAACTCAGTCCCCTTTTCCCTTTACAGACTAGCATGCCTTCTCTCTGCCTTCCTAAGAGACAGTACACAGCATTAAAGTCACTGCCCCAACCCGGCTGTACATGATCTTTCAGGTCAAATGCCAAGCACTATCTAAGTGTAGTTATGTGTCTCTTAGTTCACACATTTGACAGACAAGTTGGTTGGCTCACAGACTGGGCCTATGGATTGGTTCCTGGTGAGGAGTTTACTTTTGATACAGTCAGTAGTGGGAGATGGGGGGATGGAGTTAGGTGGCATAGACATGACGGCTTAGACATACCTCCTCCTTCCATTAGGTGGTGAGGGACTAGACTCTCAGAGGTCGGACAGGGCCTTGGCAGGCACCCCAAATATATCCACCATAAACAACCCCCAACCCAATTCAGATTTCACAAGTTCCCTCTGAAGCATCATTACAGAGTTCTTGAAATCTAATCTATTCCAGAACATTCCCAGATGGACCAAAAAAGAACTGACACATTTTTGTATCCTCCCTTTCTCCCAGAATCAAAATTTTCAGTATTATTTTGAAACTAGCTATCCAGAAATCCCATTTTTCAGAGCAAAGTCTTTTGTGGTTAATTAAATAATTAACTCCCATTTATCTTTTCAACAAGTCTCGGTTTTCATAGAGCGGGCTTCTTTAATGTGGGGTACACCCATATGGGTGTTTCTGGGGCAACAGTGTGTCACAGAACAAGCCAATTAAGTACAGGCGAGTTAATGGCCTTGTCCAGGTTAATAGTGAAGCCAAGCGCCTGTTGCTGAGTCTTCAACTCTTCGTTAGCTCAAATCCCAGTTGTAACTTTCCACTAGGGCTGTGAGTTGTGACTTTCCTTAATCCACCAGATAGAAGCAGAGCAACAGCAGAGGCTGTAAATACTCTGTCAGGGCATGAAGAATAACAACAATAAGGCATTCATATTAGGAGAGGAGATTCATTCATCACGGTTTGTTTACCCTCTCAACAACCCAGAAGAGTTGGTGTCACTGTCTCTGGGGAAGCAGCTGGCATAAGGAAATCAAATTGCGGTGAAAAGAATGTGAGCTTTGCAGTCATATGAGCCTCATTTCAAATCCTGACCAAGGCCTTTACTTCTCTGATAAAACAAATCTGTATGGCAGCTCTGATTGGTCAGCCCCCATACCTTAACCCTAATTAAAGAGTTTGAATATCACCCCTGCTTCTCTGGTACTCAACCTTTCTTCCAAAAAAGGGGATAGGGGTGGTGATAATACTACCCACCTCATGGCATGATTGTGAAGGTTACATGAGGTCATGTGTGTGAAAGGACCCTCTCTCTAGTAGGTGCTCTTTATGCTCACTCCTTTCCTAATGTAACTGACTTTTTCCAGGTTTGGGATGATCTTCTAAGGTTTCTCAAATGATTGTCATGACTGATGAATTCAACACAAAGAGAGCTGATGAGGAAAGCCAGGCTTTCTTCACTCTCCTGAGAAAAAAATTCCCTCTTGGGTAAGACCTGCCATCAGGCTGAGATCCCATCCTTCTTTCCAGATCCTTCTTCCATGGTGGCAGAGGCTTCTTGTTGCTAATATTGGTCTTCCCCTAATTCTATAGAAACAGAATTCCTAAGTTTAAACAGAACCTTATGGCTACTGAGACAGAGAGAGACCACATTCTACATTTCCCAACATCCCTTGCAGCCAGACATGACCATGTGACTAAGTCCCCACCAATGGGATGTGAGAGGACATGAACTGTGCAATGACCAGATCTGACCCTTAAAATGATTAAGCTTCTCTTTCTCCTTTCCTATTGGCTGGAATGTGGACAAGAAGTTGGGGAGCCAGTTTTGACCCCCGTGGAGGAAGACAACACTCTGAGCAACAAGATAGAAGAAACCTAGTCCCTGGACAGCCTCATATAGCAGAAATGTCCTGAACCACCCACCAACCTCCAGATTGTTACATGAGAAAGAAACACACTTCTGTCTGGTTACCACCACTGTACTTGGGGGTCCCTTTATTACATCAATGCAGTCTACTCCTGACTAAAACATTCACTTTCCTTTATCAAAATTCATCTTCAGATCTTGTCTGGAGCAAGAACGGTCTGGAGCCAAGATCAGCCTTCAGAGTAGATTGGATTTCATCATCTCGCTGCCTGTAAGCCAGATTCAGTCCACAGACATGCTTTGGTTGGCTCCTATAGTGCATTTTTAAAAATTTGAATTCATTGTCAACATTTACATGTTGAGAAATTTCACATAAAAATCTAAAGGACTAGCTTTTCTTGAGAAAGCTGAAGGTCTGACCACCCTAGGTCCACATCTTCCTTGGTGAAATTCAGCGGATGCTACATTGTCCCTTTAGATGGAGTGAGCGTGCTTCAGCTCACCATCATCAGTGCCTATGGCAAATGCTATTGGGTCCTGGGATCTTGCCATTTGGAGGTCTGATGGCCTGACTTCCAATCCCCAAGGCCTGTAGTCTTTCGCCTGAGGACTTGCCTGCTTGGCACACACGCATTGTAGACCAGAGACACTGGAAAAATTAAAGCATCCTCAGCAACCCCAATGAATGACTGGTGGGAGCTGATGGAGAAATACCCATTTCACAGATGGGCAGCTGAAGGGCACCTTTGACGCTGGCCTCTGGAGTCTGTGTCACAGTTGCCCACAGTGGTTTAACTCACCATAACTCACACCCTTTATTGACTGGCTGCCATTTCCTGGATCACCTTCCAAATCAACTGCTTATATTCAAATCCTGCCCTCGAGGAACCTAAGTCTCAGAGCCTGCCCTAGGGAACCTTAAGTCACCAGTCCCTTTGGTTTTCCACCAAATATTAGCATTTATCATCAGCTGTGCTGTTATTTTTTTTTCTTCTGGTAGAGAAATATTTATATTTCTCATTTAAATACAGCATGTTAGCTGTATTTAATATTTATTAAAAATGAATAGAAAACGAAAAGATAGACTCAAAGGACAATGTGCTTCAGGAAAAAAAAAATAGGTGAGAGTATATCTCTTTGTGCAAGTAAAGAATATTCCTGCATATTTAACATCCAAATACTGGTCTGCTGAGTGCGCTGATGTTATCGGCCTAACCCGTGGGCATCTGTGTTTGTGATTCCTGGTGTTCAGCTCTGAAAGCTCTTGTTAAAACTCAGAAGTCATTACCCCCTGATTTTGAATGAGGTTCTGAGATTAGCGAGATGGCCATCTGGCAGCACGCTGAGAGAAAAAGTGGGAAGACACATACGTTTCAGTTGGAGGGAGGAAGGACCAAAGGAAATCTTATCACTGGGGCCAGGCCAGGGAGCTCAAGGTGGCATCAGAGGAGGGGGCCTCAAGGGAGGTGAGAGCAGAAACCTGATCTTTCTGTGATCTTGTGAAAGTCCCTTCCCCCATAGTGTCTGCAGGGCTTTGGCGGGTACACACCCTCCATTAGAGCATAGCTCTCCTTCTATTGACACAATAGAAGGTGCGTCTATTGTGCGTCTTCTAGGTGCGTCTCTCCTGGCTATGCAAGAATACCTGGAGGGCAGAAGCTATACCTTATTCTACTTTTTACACCCAATGGCTGGCAGAGAGCTCGCCACATAGTAGATGCCCAATAAAGGTTTGTCTTGAATTTTTGCTGGCCAGTGTGACCCTAGAGTGAGCCAATCAGAATTACTATGTAAGCCAGGGGGCGCTGTGGTTCAGTGTTCATTTCTCAACTGGGGCGCTGAAAAGTTTTTTTTGGCTGTATGCTGCAGTGATTAATATTGCACTAGCTGGCACCATGTCACTTAGGAGACAGTGGCATGGGATCTTCGAAAAACTAGCTATCTCTTACCTGGTTTGCAATCAGCCCATATAAGAATGGGGGCTCTGGAATCAGCCTGCCTAGGTTCAAATCCCAATTTCCTTACTTACTAGCTGTGTGCCCTTGGACAAGTCATTTAACCTCTCTGTGCCGCCATTAAAAAAATGAGAATCTAATGAGCTAGTGCATGTAAAGTATTTTGCACCATACCTGCACAGAAAAAGTGCTTAAAGCATGTTAGCTTTTTTTTTTTTTTTTTCCTGAGACAGGGTCTCACTCTGTCGCCCAGACTGGAGTGCAGTGGTGCAATCTCGGCTCACTGCAACCTCCACCTCCAATCAAGCTATTCTCCTGCCTCAGCCTCCCGAGTAGCTGGGATTACAGGCACATGCCACTACCACCTGGCTAATTTTTGTATCTTTAGTAGAGACAGGGTTTCACCATGTTGGCCAGGCTGGTCTTGAACCCCTAATCTCAAATGATCCACCCGCCTCCTAGGCCTCCCAAAGTGCTGGGATTACAGATGTGAGCCACCGTGCTCAGCCAGCATGTTAGCTATTTTGGCTTTGGTTGGAAACAACAGGATCCTGATAAAAAGAAAGCCAGAGTAGAAAAGAATCTAGAAAGATATGCACCAAAATATTAATCAATTATATGACAGTGATCATTTTTTATTGTTTCTTTTCTGCTTATTTGTGATTGCTGATTTGGTTTTCTTTACAATAAAGTTATATGACCTCTATAAGCTTACTCTAAGAGTAATAAAGAAGAGAAGGAAAGCTGGACTGCAGTGGGTTTTCTGTGCCATTCCCCACTAGCACTGCAAGGAAATTGTAGAATCTAGGCTCCCCTGAAAACGCCACACAAACCAGCTTTGCCTGTGCCTTCTGGAATTCCCACACCAAGAAGCTTCCATTCTGTCTCTGATATGGTTTAGCTGTGTCCCCACCCAAATTCGTCTTGAATCTTAGCTCCCATAATCTCCACATGTCATGGGAGGGACATGGTGGGAGGTAACTGAATCATGGGGGTGGCTTTTTCCTCTGCTGTTCTCAAGATAGTGAATAAGTCTCATGAGATGTGATGGTTTTATAAAGGGCAGTTCCCCTGCACACGCTCTCTTGCCTGTCGCCATGTAAGATGTGCCTTTGCTCTTCCTTCACTTTCCACCATGATTGTGAGGACCCCCCAGCCATGTGGAACTGTGAGTCCATTAAACCTCTTTTTCTTTATAAATTACCCAGTCTCGGGTATTTCTTCATTGCAGCATGAAAATGGACTAATATAGCCTTCACATCAACAGAGAAAGGGAACTTGAACATAAGTTTTCTGTGTTCTTGGTGGCCTGTGGGGTCCCAAGGATTCACATTGCAAGGCCATTTGGCATCCACACTCCACACAAAGCAAGTTCATCAGTTCCGTCCAATACCTTCCTCATGGCCAGCCACAGGGTAGATTCAGGCTGCTCTTGGCCCCAACACCTCTCTCTTGGGGTTCACAGTATAGTAAGGAGCTGGCACAGGCACTTCTGTTAGCAGGTAGGAGGTATGCATTCATTCATTCATTTGGTGACTATTTAATGAGACTTTTATGTGCCAGCCCCTGAATGAGGAATGGGGCTATTGCGAGGCTCTAGTGGGCTAATGCTCAGCCATCAGCTACAGGATCACATGTGGGTGGGCTTCTGCTGCCCTTCAGGTCCATGCTCTGCCCTTCTCCACCCTGCTTTGTGCCCAGAAGTCTGACTGGCGAGCGCTATGTTAACGTGCCTTCTTGCCTCTGGCATCCTGTTGGTTGGACCAGTTGAACAGCCCTGGCAGGAAAGTGGAGGGAGGGAGAAGGTTGAGGCTGGGGTACTTATCCCCCTGGTACCTTCCCTGACTTCTGCTGGACCTGTCCCTCCACCAGAAGTCACTGATCGTCTCACAGCAGCCTTCCGTATGGGACCCATCCTCCCATTTCTAGTATCTGCTCCCTCCTGCTGTCCCCTCCTGGCCTAGAAACATGGCTACTGTGGGAGACTGCACCTTCCCTACTCTTCCCCCACACCAGGCTCCTTTGTAAATCAGCCCTCCTGGAAGTATCCTTATATGAGGGGGCATTGGTCTCAGTTGGGACACTCCCCAATGGTTACTATTTACCCCCATTCTACAGATGAGGAAACTGAGGCTCAAAAAGGTACCTCACCCAAGGACACTCGGGAGGAGAGGAGGCAGCACTGGAACCCAGGAGGGCTCGATCAGTGTGATGAGCAAATTGTTCAAGGCCTGGAGGGGTCCCTTTGGGATCTGGGACTTGATCCCTCCTCAGGTGCCTTTCCTGTCTTGGTGCTCCTCCTCTTGCTTGGAAGGGACTGTGGGAAGGATGAGGGTTTGCCAGGAGAGTATCAGGGAGCAATACTGGCTCTTATGAGGGGCTCACATATTACCTGGGCTTTTCTCACCATCAGAGTAAAACCAAGTTCACAGCCAAGCTTAGGCGCCTGCCCAGGGCCAAAAGTCACAAGGTTCATCTGTCTGCTTTGGGTCCGAGGCCAGCCTAGTCTGGGAACTCTCCCTCGGGGACCTCGTGGGGCTGAGAGAGGCCAAACGTCTTCCTCCCATGGATCCCCCTCCCCACTTCGTGGGTTTAACTTTGTCCAGGTCCTCCCCACTATTCAGGAATGCAATCTGAAAAACCAATTCAAACTAGGACTCATGGTATTCACCCATTCCCCCCACACCCACACAAGTGAGTGCACATACACACAATCAATCACACGACTCTGCATTTTAAGCAAGATCCTATTGCAATGCTTAACCCAAAACAATAGTGGGATTTCAGGCACTAGGTAAGCAAGAGATTCTTCCAATCTTACCACAAACGTGTGAATGACCACTCCACCTACTCCAAACCATGGTGACTTTAAGAATGAAAGGGAGCAATGTGAATAATGAAGTCCAGACAGCTGGAGTAAAAGGGACTGTCCCAGGCAAACCATGACATGGAGTCCCTCTGCCTATGGGTGACAGGAAGTTGAAGATGACTTTTCCTTTAGTCCTAGCATTGTGGCCTAAGCCCCAAGCTAGACATTAGGCACAAAGAGCCCACATGCTCCAAAGCACAGTTTCTGATCTTTTCTTGTGCCATGAATCCTGTTGGTATCAGTGAAGCAATCGATCCCTTTTCAAACTAATGGTTTTAAATGCACAAAACAAAATACATAGGATTGCAGAGAACTCACGATACAGCTGTCAAAATATTAAACAAATTTATGGGCCGGGCGCGGTGGCTCACGCCTGTAATCCCAGCACTTTGGGAGGCTGAGGCGGGCGGATCACGAGGTCAGGAGATCGAGACCATCTGGCTAATATGGTGAAACCCTGTCTCTACCAAAAATACAAAAAAAAATTAGCCGGGCGTGGTGGCGGCGCCTGTAGTCCCAGCTACTCAGGAGGCTGAGGCAGGAGAATGGCGTGAACCCGGGAGGCGGAGCTTGAAGTGAGCCGAAATCGCGTCACTGCACTCCAGCCTGGGCGACAGCGAGACTCCGTCTCAAAAAACAACAACAAAAAAACCCAAAAAAACCCCCACAAATTTATGATATAGTAATACTCTTGTTTCTTCTTTATTAATACATTAAATAACAAGATCTAGCAATGAGTCTAATTACTACTGTAATTTTTACATAGAGATGAGTGTAAAATGTTACTTTTAAATATCTGTGACAACTGTAGTGTGATTTCTGATTGTGAAGGGTAACAAAGTCATAGGCACTACTAATACTATGGGGGGGTTGGTGTTTACATTTTGAACAGAAAGAAATGTCAGCTTTTACCTAGAGATGAACAAATATAAAAAATAAATCTTCCCATCCAAGCTTACAGACCCCAGGCAAAAACAAAAACCCCATTCCTAAAGGGAGCCACTAAGAGGCCATGAGTTCATCATCTAGGCTTGTGTGTGTGCACGCGCATGTGTAGAGATGGGGTCTCTCCATCTTGACCAGGCTGGTCTCAAACTTCTGGGCTCAAGCCAGCCTCCCACCTCAGCCTTGTAAAGCGCGGGGATTACAGGCATGAACCACTGCACCTGGCCCACCCAGGCATATTAAGAGGTGCCCAAATTGGCCCAACCACGATCACTTACTTCCCCCCCTCCAACTTTTATTAACAGACTCAGGGATGGAACAGGGTTGGTACTGCTGGTGGGAACTGCTTCTCTTTCCTCCAGTTAAGAGAGGAGAGTAGCTTGTAGAGATTGGGGGTGCTTGCAAGGGAAGCCAGGCATTTCATTCCTGGTTGGACTCCCATGAGAAACAGGATTTTCAAATCCATTCCAGAAAAAGCAGGAGAGAATTGGAGTCTGTGAGGCAGAAAAAGGTTGCAGTCAACCTATGAAATCCACCCAGGATGTTAAGGGACAAGACAGGGGAGATAGATCAATTGGAGGAAAATAATCTAATTCATCTCATCATCTTCAGAATCATCAATACATAAAGTGTGACTTGCATTACAGTTGCATCCAGGACACCACCCAAATGCAGTTATGGACCAAGGAAGTCATGGGGAGACCCATTCCCTCCTATGATCTGAGAGCACCAGCACCTTCCCTCTCAGCAGCCTGATGACCAGAGACAGAACTTACAGAACTGCCTGGTTAGACCTCGCTTTCTTTTTGGGGACTTGACAGTCCTTCTGGTAGGGGTGCCAACTGACTGGAGTCTGCCCCAAAGACAGCAGAAAGCCTTAATAATTGGATGCTTAAACAGAAGACAAAGAAATGTATGCTCAGGGAGTCTGCACCCCAAGTGACAATCCCAAACTCAAGGAGTCCTATGCGTGTGACCAGCCACAGCAGACATCTGCGTGCACCAGATCACATCCTCATGGCCACCTGATTTCACTGAAGCTCTGATGGAGAGTTTGGCAGACATTTCCAGAATCCCACCTCAAGCACACTTGCAGAGGTTTTCCCCAAAGCAGGGAAAAGCCACTTAGTTGATGGGCACAGGTAGAAGCGCAAGGATGTTCATTTTCCCAGGGACAACACCTCAACATTAAGGGAGTGAGAGTCAGTGGATAAATGCCCCAGCCTCTCCTCCCCACAAAAGGACAATGCAAAGGCACATTCTACATCTATGATGCCTTGCAAGTTACCCAGCGGCTAAGCAGTAAAATAAGGCATGGTTAGCAGCCTTTCTCTCTTCCCTCTCTCCTTCTCCCTCACTCTTGCTTTCTGGGTAGCTTTCCAGATAAACAATTGCACCCAACCCTTGTCTCAGGGCCAGCTTTTGGAGGCATCCCAGTTAAGGCTGTGGTTCACCACATAGCTGAATACATCAGGCTTCCTTAAAGGGTCCCCAGAACCCATGGCTTCATTGGCAAGAAGCTGGAAGCCCGCAGGAAAAACGTTGGAGAGTGGAGATGGAGAAGAATCATGAAAGGCGAGGTAAACCATTGTGAAATTATAAAATTCAGTAGGTTGAAAAAGAACAGAAACCTGGCCGAGGAATCACTGGAAGAGCACACATTGAAAAATGTGCCTAGACAGTTGAGAATCTGTCAACTGACAGGAGAGGGCTTTGTGAAGAAAACGAACCAGAGCGCGATGTCAAGCAGACAGATTGGTCCAGTTAAGGACAGGGGAGGCTGGGGAGGCAGAGTGAGTTATGAAGCCCTGGCTTTGGCTTGTGGGCGGTCTAGAAGAGCCATTCCCAGCAGGGATGAGACACCGAGTCCCAGAGGACAAAGAGGAGGGAAAGGACCTTCCAAAGGCTACTGATACTGCTGCCTGCACCTGCGAGGTGTTTTGCGCCACAGGCAAGCTCAGCGTTCCCTAAATGTGCAGTCTGCAGGACACTGATTCTGTAAGGTTCTCTGGATAAAAAGCGGATGGGGTGAGTATGGGTGGGGGGAAGCCCCCTCTTGGAGAGTCATTCATTCAACAAGTGCTCATGGAGTACCTAATCTATTCTAGGCATGGTGCTGGGCACCAGGATCATAGCAGGACACCAGACAGACAGTTCTGCCCCAGGAACATTGCAGACTCTGGGGGAAACAAGGATTAAACAAGAAACACGGTATTAGCTAAAACTCACTGCATGGAGGGCAAGAGTTTACATGTACTACCCGATTGAATCCTCAGAACAAACCTCAAGGTAGGAACTTCACAATCATTATTTTAGAGATGAGAACACAGAGGCCGGCACGGTGGCTCACACCTGTAATCCCAACACTTTGGGAGGCCGAGGTGGATGGATCACTGGAGATCAGGAGTCGAGACCAGCCTGGCCAGCATGGCGAAACCCCATCTCTACTAAAAATACAAAAAAAAAAAAAATTAGCTGGGCGTGGTGGTGGGTGCCTGTAATCTCAGATACTCAGGATACTGAAGCAGGACAAATGCTTGAACCCGGGAGGCAGAGGTTGCAGTGAGCCAAGATCTCGCCACTTCACTCCAGCCTGGGTGACAGAGTGAGATTCTGTGGAAAAGAAAGGGGAGGGGAGGAGAGGTGACAGGATGGGAGGGGATGGGAGGAAAGGGGGAAAGAAGGAAAGAGAGAAAGAGAAAGAAAGAAGAAAGGAAGGAAGGAAGGGAGGGAGGAAGGAAGGAAGGAAGGAAGGAAAAGAAAGGAAAGAAAGAGGGAGGAAATACAGAGGCTCCGAAAAGTCAGGTGACTTAGCCAAGGACAAAACTGCAGTATGTGGTGGAGCCATGACCTGAACCCAGGCAGTTTGGCTCCCATGTCTGCATTCTGACCTGCTACACATTTTTATCAAAGGATCTGACAGGTCCTGCAGGCAGGACCTGCTGCATAATTTGCAGCACCCAATGCAAAGTGAAAATGTACCACCCTGGCTGGCAGTGGGGAAGTCGTTTTCCTCTTCTCATGGGCACCTCAAATCACAGCATACAGACAATCCCCAAGGGGTTGCAACTTCCTCAGTACCGGGGTTAGAGGTAGGTGAGAGGTCCCCACTGAGTTGCCTGCTAAATGTGCAGAGGTGCTGTCAGCTCCACACTGGAATAGCTGCCACCTTGCCCTGACCTGAGACACTGTGCATCGGGCACTGGATCCCAGCCCTCTCCTTACCTACACACAGGCCCCTGAGCGGGGCAGAGGATGACAACAAATGGGGCCTCCTCTCAGGCCAATGGGCCTTGAGCACCATGGTTTGGGGCCCTGGGTGGTATGGTCTCAGGGCACAGCCAGCCAGTGGAGGCCGGTGAAGGGGAGCAGGCCGCTGAGAACCCACCCTAGGGAGCAGTGGGGCAGGGGGCTACATGTGAGTCAAGACCCCAAGCCACTGACACACATTTCATTGTCCCATCAGACTTCACTTAAAAAACACAACTTCAAGGATAAAATTACTAAGAATATCTTGTCTAGGCTGGGCTCTGTGGCTCACACCTGTAATCCCAACACTTTGGGAGGCCAAGGCAGGCAGATCACTTGAGGTTAGGAGTTTGAGACCAGCCTGGCCAACATGTGAAACCCCGTCTCTACTAAAAATACAAAAATTATCTGGGCATGGTGCCAGGCACCTGTAGTCCCAGCTCCTTGGGTGGCTGGGGTGGGAGAATTGCTTGAGCCCAGGAGGCAGAGGTTGCAGTGAGCCCAGATTGCACCACTGCACTCCAGCCTGGGCGACAGAGTGAAGACGCGATCTCTAAATAAATAAATAAAAATATCTTGTCTAACATTGCCACTGCCTGAAATAAAAAGAAAAAAAAGTATTAAGAATTTCAGCGGGGCATGGTGGCTCATGCCTGTAATCCCAGCTGAGGCGGGTGGATGACTTGAACCCAGGAGTCTGAGGCCAGCCCAAGCAACATGGCGAAACCGTATTTCTACCAAAAATACAAAATATTAGCCGGGCATGGTAGTGCATGTCTGTGGTCCCAGCTGCTTGGGAGGCTGAGGCAGGGGATCGCCTGAGCCCGAGAGATGGAAGCTGCAGTGTGCCAAGATCAAGCCACTGTACTCCAGCCTTGGCAACAGAGCAAGACCCTTTCTCCAAAAATAAATAAGTAAATAAATTAATAAAACATTTTCAAGACAGCAACTGCAAAGCATTAAACTCCAAATGCAGGCCCTTCTGAGCACGGGGCCCTGTGCAGATGCACTGGGCCCTCATCCAAGAAGCTGGACCCACCTGTGGCCAGGGAAGGCAAGTGAAGGTTGGACTTCATTTAACACAATTCTCCACGTTCACTTCAGCACAGGACCCCTTTTGGGGTGAACAGTCCATGGTGCTATCATCCCAGGTACCACTCTTTTAGAAACGCTACATCATCTCATTCAAACCTCATCATAGCCCTGCAAGTCAGGAAAGTCCATGGTTATCATCACTTTTCCCAGAGGGAGAAACTTAGGCACAGAGAAGAATGTGTTTCACTTGAAATACGACAGTGGTTAAGAGACAAAGACATCTCTCAAACCCAGGCATCCAATGCTCTTTCTCCTCAATATACCAGCCTTCCCAACCCTCCAAGATGCTTTTACACATCCCTTATTGACAAAAAAAGGAGCCCTCAGGAGAGGGCTGTAATTCTGGCAGGTTTCCAAGCTGCAGCTACTATTTATTAGTAAATCTCCAGATGTGCCAGGAAATTACAGACCAGCAAATTAGTTTCATCATTTCACTAGTTTATTTAAGGAGTTATTTGCAAGCTCTGCTAAAAGCTCTTTCCAGCAAAAGTTGTAGGAAGAGTGGTTTTTTTTTGTTTTTTTTGTGCCTCGGTGATGCTATGTTATCCTGAGCATCCAAAGGACTCCTCAGGGAAGAGAAGTCCCACCAGACTAAGAAGAAACTGCTAACTTTAATGATACTTAATGATAACCACTGCCCCTCATAAGTGCAGTGGCCATCCTCCAAGATGGCCCCGAGTGATTCCTGGGCCTCCTGGGATCATGCCCTTGTGCAACCTCCTCCCACACTGAATGGGGCCCATCTGTGCAATCAGTAGGATATTGCAAAAATAACAGAGTGTGACTCCTCAGATTAGGTCATAAAAAACATGGCAGTTTCTATCTTCCTCTCTCTTAGGTAACTCACTGGGAGGGTAGGGGGGTGAGTGGGAAGCTAGCTGCCATATTGTAAGGACACTCAACAGTCCTATGGAGAAGTTCCCATGTCAAGTACCTGAAGTCTTCTTCCAATAGCCATGAGTGCTCTATTTTGGAAGTGAATCTTCCAGCCCCTATTGAGCCTTCAGATGACCTCAGCCCTGGCCAATGTCATGACTTAAGCCTCATGAGAGACCTTGAGCCAGAACTACTCAACTAAGCTTTTCTGAATTCCGGACCAATAGAAGGTTTGAAATAATAGATCTCTGTTGTTGTAAGTCACCAAGTTTTGGGCTAATTTATTATACAGCAGTAGATAGCTGTTACATTTTGTTAAAAAAAAAAAAAGTTAGTGGGAAATCCACTGGATTGGGAGGGGACTGGTCTTCTGGAATTAGATCTAAACATAGTCACGTCTTTCAGGTCACTCTCTAGTGGCTAACACTGTCACTTCAAGAGAGTCTCAGGGGACACTGGAGTCACGATTAATTTTTTTTTTTTTTTGAGACAGAGTCTTGCTCTGTCACCCAGGCTGGAATACAGTGGCACTATCTCAGCTCACTGCAACCTCTGCCTCCCCAGTTCAAGCAATTCTCCTGCCTCAGCCTCCCAAATAGCTGGGATTACAGGCTCCCCCAACCACACCCAGATAATTATTGTATTTTTAGTAGAGACACGGTTTAGCCATGTTGGCCAGGGTAGTCTCGAACTCCTGACCTCAAGTGATCCGCCTGCCATGGCCTCCCAAAGTGTTAGGATTATAGGCATAAGCCACTGAGCCTGGCCTGGAGTCACAAATTTTGGAGGGAGATGAGGAGGCAGAGAAGGAGAACTCAAGTCATTGTCTAAGGCTTTCAAATAGGAAAGCATCATGGTGGTGGCTAACAGCCTTTTGTGGGGCAACATGAGGCCACACCCCAGGGATGAGAAGCAGCCCATACTTTAGCGATGCATTCTATAGCTATGAATTATCACCAATACAGTAACAATAGTGACTACTGAGCACTCTGCATGCCTAGATTTCATACTGACTTTCAGTGCTTTACTGCCATTAACCCAATGACTTGATGCATCAGGCAGAGCACATCTGTTGTGGGTGACAAACCCCAACTCAAACTGGCTTATGCCAAAATGGGCATTTATGGGTTCCTTAACTGAGAGATTCAAGGGAGTATTCTTGGCTTCAGGAACCACTAAATCCAGGGTCTCAAACAAAGTTTCTCAAACGGGATTCTCTCTCCCTCTCTGTCTCCCTCTCCTCCCCCATCCCCACCAATCTCCCTGTTTCTTTCTTTTTTTTTATTTCCAGGAAAATTGGATACCAGTAGCTCAAGTCTGTGCTCTTACAACTCATAATATAAAAGCAAGATACGCTGTCTTCCAACAGCCCCATGTCATATCTCATGGAGGGACTCTGATTAGGCCACTCCCTTAAATCAGTTTCTGTGGACAGGGACATGGGGCACAATGATTTTCTGGGACTAGATCACATGCTCACTCCCTTCACCCAATAGGGATTGGGGGAACAGGGGTTGCCAGTCCCACCAGACACACATGGGATGGTCATATCCTAATTGAAAAAGGGATGACCAGCAGAGAGAAATAACCCAGATTCATTAGTGTTAATATCCCCATTTTATAGAAAAGGTAATTGAGATTAGAGAAACTGCAAACCCGCCCAAGATCTCCTAACAAAGTCAAATATGTCTGTCTCCAGTTCAAAGGTCTCATCAGTACTCAGTGATGCTTCTTCCACCTGCTAATCTCATAGGATCCTCTAACCCACGCAGGAAGTTTATAGGCAGGATTATCTCCCTTTCCAAAAGCCAGAACAATAACCTGGCACCCTCAATCCAGACCCTGGCACCAATGCCACATCTGACCCAGCACACCCAGGTCACCCAAGGAGCCTCCCGTCCCGACCCAGATTGCAGCAAGAGCCAGGCTGGAGCTTAGGAATGCAGCACTGATTATCCCCACTCACCTCCACTGGCAGGTGAAACTCTGCCATGGCATTCCTTTGCTTTTGGAGTGAAGACCCAAACTCTTACCTAGGGTAAAGGTCCTGAACATCTGGCCCCCGTTCACCCGCTGGCCTCTTCTTCTCCATTCTCTGTCCCAGTAACACTGTTCTTACATTCCATGAAGGTGCTTTGCTTCCTCTCACCCCAGGACCTTTGCATATTCTGTTCCTTCTGCTTGGAATGCTCTTTCCTCTGATCTTCACCTAGAAAACTCACCCTTCAAGCCAGGGGCAGTGGCTCATGCCTGTAATCCTAACACATTAGGAGGCTGAGGCAGGCAGATCACTTGAGGTCAAGAGTTCAAGACCAGCCTGGCCAATATAGTCAAACCCCATTTCTTCTAAAAATACACAAATCAGCCATGCATGGTGGAAGGTGCCTGTAGTCTCAGCTACTTGGGAGACTGAGGTGGGAGAATCGCTTGAACCCGAGAGGCGAAGGTTGCAGTGAGACGAGAACACGCCACTGCACTCCAACCTGGGGGACAGAACGAGATTTCATCCCGCCTCACCCCTCAAAAAAAAGAAAAGCAAACTCATCCTTCAAATCAGCTCCTTGAGGAACCCTCCACACCTCCATAGTCGGGGTCAGTGTCTCTGTAGACCATCGTGGAAACTCAAAGCATTTGCTGAGGTTATGAGAATACATTTACGTGGAATTATCTGGTGAAAACATGTGTCTCCCAATAGATGTAAGATCATCAGAGCAAGGATCATACCCATGTTTCTAGTCACCATTCCTAGCAGTTAGCCCAGGGCCTGCCCCAGAAAAAACCCTCAAAAAACATTTATTAAACAAATGAAAGGAAGAGAGAGAGGGAAGGAAGACGGAGAGAGGGAGAGAGGAGTTTTCTGTGCCTCAATTAAAGATTCCATGTAGTAAACCACAAGCATTTCAAAGATGTTGATTGACCTCTTAAACTAGAATGAACATGAAGAAAATAAAACCATTACAAGCATTAGAGGATTTATTGGCTAAGCCTGGCTGCTTTTCGTATTATTCCCTATGTTTTCCTTTTACTGGAACCACAGGACCAAAGTCCAGGGCATGGGGGGAGACAGGAAGCGACAGAAACGGAAAAAATAAAGGAAGGAAAGAGAGAAGGAAAGACAGACAGGAAGAATAAAATAGAGGGAAGAGGGTGGATGGAGGATAGGAAGAAGAGTTCAAGAAGGGTGGGAGGAACCCACCTAAGCCTGATAATTCTCAATGAGGATGGAAAGTAAATAATGCAGGGTCATTCTGCAAGCCCACACTGAAATACACAAACCCCACTACGCCCAGGAGCTGGCATGGTATGGGCCCATGACAGGCCATTAAATGGAAGCTAGACAGAAAATATGATCCATGGAATTAAAGGCCTTAGAAGGAGGCTTGCTCTGAAGCAAAAAGAAGGAAACAAAGATCAGGGCTGACATAGGGAGGGAGTAGAAAGAGTGCGGAATGTGTCACGCCCTTCCTCTGCCAGGAGACCTCTGTCTTCCCCTGTGGCTATGATGACAATATGAAGGGATGTTTATTGCTAACACAGCAAAATGTGGTCCAGTGGCCAGGAGTTTCCCTGGCATGATTCATTCATGTTCTGAGCAAATGAACAAGAGTTTGCATTGTTGGAGGGGTTGTGGCACACATAAGGTAGTGGGGCGAAAGTGTGGAGATGTGGCCGCTCGTGTCAGCAGTCGCTGGAGGCAGGTACAGATGCTGCACACTGATGGAGTCCCTGCAAAATCCCCACCTCTCAACTCAGGTTCTGGGAGCCCTGGGGAAACACAATGTGGACCTTGGTTTTACTGTAAAGAATAGCAAGCATGTGTATTCTCTTGGGAAGGGCAGACGGCCTCAGGCCAGCATCTCAGATGCTGCTTTTTAAGCAAGGAGGAGTTTACAAAAAGATAGGAATACAAGCAAAAACAATAGGAAGGATGACTGCAAAAAGGAGGGAGAATTGCTAAGGTAGCAACTTGGGGGATGAGATGCCTGGTGAAATGTCTGAGGGGAAATCAAGTAAACCTCCTCCACCAACTCCACTCCTATGCCCCCATCCCTAGGCAGTTTGTTCCTGCTGGGACCATTCGTTCAGTGCTAGAACTCACAAAACCCTTTCTGACAGGCAAACATAGATAATTTACTGACTCATGTAATTGAAAAGCCCAAGGATTAAATGGTATCAGGCATGGCTGGATCCAGGAGCTCATGAAGTGCTATCAAGACTGTTTTTCTCCCTCTGTCTCTTGGATCTGTTTCTGTCTCTGCTGGCAGGATGTCTCCAGTCCTAATAGGGGTGGTGGCAGCCATCCCTGCCTAAGGGGTGCTTCTCTTTCTCAATAGTTTCCAAAAAATCTCAGGCCTGAGTCTTATTGGCCACGGTTGGGACACGTGCCATCCCCAGAGCCAGGGATAAGGAGTGAGTCCCAGCCAGATCGAGGTGTTAATAGCCAAATGATGACAAATGGCTATTGTACAGACAAAAACAACAGATGTAACCACAGAAGCTGTGTGGATAGCCACAAGATAATAGCACCCCTCCCCCACGAATTTAAACACAGATGCTGGTTGCTAGGGAGGGATGCTGAGGTCAACACACACATTGGTTATTTTCTGAAACAGAGAGAGCTTGGTGGAAAAGATTCCTCTCCTGGCTGGTCGTTGGGAGTTTTCTTGGCAAATCCATTCTGAATCTCCAGAATTAGCAGACCTAGAGGAGGCATGTGAAGACTTTGCTGGAATGCTATTCATTCATTCATCACTCTCTCACCTCCTTCTTATTCTTCAACTCTGCCATCTGCCTTCTTCCCATATATCACAAGGGGAACTGTCCTTATGAAAATTGCCAATGACTCCTCTCTTGTGGATCCTATGGAATTTTGCTCCTTTCCTTCCTGGGTCTCTCAGGAGAACCTTCTGGAAACATGCTTTACCCATGGCTCTGCTCCCATTCTTCCCATCCTCCCACTGTGAGTACATTTACTCCTGTGCCTTCAGTTTCCATCTCTGTATTGGGTCCCAGTCCAAATTTATAGCCAGGACTACTCTGTGAGTTTTGGTCTCCTGAATCCAAATGCCTACTAGAACCTTCACTCTTGGATGTCTCTCTGGCATCTGGAACTAAACGTGTCCAAAGCACTGAACTCCTCCTCAGCCCCGTTTCAAAGCTTGCATCTCCTCCAGAGTTCCCTGCTGGATGCCTAGGACCACTGTCCACGTGCTTACCTGAACCAGAGACTGAGGACAGACAGGCCCAGCCCCCGCCTCAGCCCTACACCATTTAGTCACTAGTCACTAAATCCTCCTTGGAAATATCCCCCCACTTCCTGCCAGCCCCACGGCCCTCTAATGCGGCTCTGGCATCATGATCTCTGCCAGCAATGTCCCAACCTGCCTCCCACTTCCCACGATGTCCACCTCCTCACCCCACATCCTACCACCCACCCTGCAGTCAGATCCTTCCAACATAAATGTGATGGTGCCACTTCCTTAGTGGCTTCCCACCACTCTGAGGGATGAGTCAAACTCCTCCAGGTGACATTTAAGTCCTCCTTATAACCCAGGTCCTGCCTGCCCCTCCAGCCTACTGACTTTTTGCTACTCATCTCTCAAATCTCTCAAACTCTGTGCCCACCATGCTGAACGGCTTGACTCCCACCTTTGCACAGGCTATTACCTCTGTTTGGGGTGCTCTTCCTCCTGCCTCTTCATTTGGCTTCCCCTTCTCATCCTCCAGGGCTCCTCTTACATATAACACCCCCCAGGACAACGTCTCTGACTAAGACTAAGCTAAGTATCTCTCCCAATCAATCAACTCTCTAGGGAAGATGGTACTGGTGTTCAAGTTCTTTTCTTTTCTTTTCTTTTTTTTTTTTTTTTTTTGAGATGGAGCCTCGTTCTGCCACCCAGGCTGGAGTGCAGTGGCATGATCTTGGCTCACTGTAACCTCTGCCTCCTGGGTTCAAGCAATTCTCCTGCCTCAGCCGCCTTAGTAACTGGTACTACAGGCGCCCACCACCACACCTCGGTAATTTTTGTATTTTTAGTAGAGACAGGGTTTCACCATGTTGGCTAGGCGGGTCTCAAACTCCTGACCTCAAATGATCCACCCTCCTCGGCCTCCCAAAGTGCTGGGATTAGATGCATGAGCCACCGCACCCGGCTGTCAAGTTCTTGATGAATGGGAAAGTTTACTGAGAAGAGGAGAGGAAAATCTTTGAGTATATTTTTAGCCAATGAAGACTTTCTTTTTGATACTTACTTTCCAAACAAAAATATATTAATTTCTTACTCTGAGTCAGCGGCACCTGTGCTGGACACAGGTTTGCCAGCAAACAAGACAGACACACGCCTTGCCTTTTAGGAAATTATAATCCAATAGGAAAGACAGATACTAAATTAACAGTTCAGCCAAACTTAATGGGTACTAGCCCTAACTCTCTTGTGGCAGATTGTATTTTCCAAAGATGGCTTCAATATGCTCTCTTTCAATGTGACTAACACTATTCCATTGAGATACAGGATCTGCGTTCCCTGTCCTTGAAACCGGTTGGACTGCTATGACCAATAGAATGTTGTGGAAGTGACACTGAGTGACTTTAAGTCAATAAAAGTTTCCACCAATCTTTATTTCTCTCTCTCTCTCTCTTTTTCTCAGGACTCTCTCCTTTGGGATCCAGTCACCATGTTGTGAGGAAGCCCAGACCACATGGAGAGGCCACATATAGAGGTTCTAGCCAATGACTCCAGCTAAAGCCTCAGTCAACAGACAGCATTCACGTGAATGAACAGGTCTTCAGATGAACCCAGCCCCAAGCCTTTGTCCCTTTCAGCTCAGTCCGCAGACACCAAGAAGCATGGAGAAGCATTTGCCCTATCGAATTCCCAATCCACCGAATCCACGAGTGATTGTTTTATGCCACTAGGTTTTGGAACAATTTGTTCTGCAGCCATGGCAACTATATTACCTCTCTAGGTTTCCTTGCACAAAAGAACACTGGACTGGAAATAAAGTGAGTGGAATATTCCCATCCCTTTCTCTTAATAGCTGTTGACACTCAGTAGCTGTGTGAACTTGGGCATGTCATTTCTCATCTCCAGGTTCTTTATCCTCCCTCCTGAAATACAAGGATAGAGTTGGATGATTTCTAAGACCCTAGGAAGCTTGAAAATTGTATCAACAGAGACTCTTTATGGAATGACCCAATTAAAACCATGTCAATTGATATGGCAAGAGGTGAACTTTTTAACTGAAATTCTTGATTTTTTGTTTTATCTTTCTGGGAGGTGAACTCAACTAAAGCCATTAGGAAAGCAAAAGGGCTCCTTTAATGCATAATTCATGAAAGGAGAGTGGGTTTGACCCAACAGGTCATTTGGAATAAAAATGCCATAAAAATAAAATATGTTATCCCTCCCCTTCTGCCCCCCCACCATCCCTCACACTAGCTAATGGAGGGGAAGAGTGAATTAAACTGGAGTTCAGGTCAAAGGTTTAGTTGATTTATTCCAGAATGGTCATTCCCTCCAGCTGCTCAAGTAACAATAGACATTGCAGATGTTCAGGCAGTTTTGTCCCCACCCCAGGGCCCTTGTCCTGAGTGATAAGTCCCCTCCTCCTTCCCTGGGGAGATGAACTCATTTTCTAATGGCCTGCCCAATTAGGAAGCATATGAGTCTAGCGAGAAGACACCTTGTCTGCTTCAAAAGCTTTGGGGAAATTCCCCAAAGGGCCAACCTGTTTCACAGAGGCAAAGGGAAAAAAAGTAGACAGCCTGTAATTAGTATAATAACCTGTTCAGATTCCACCTGCCTGTGATTTCCCCAGCTTGTTCATCCATTCATGTATTCATTCACTCAGGCAACAAATATTTACAGAGCAGCTGTGATGTGTAAGCCCTGGTGATACGACAGGTCCCCCAGAAGAAGCTAACGATTTGTGTGCAAGCGATTGATTAAGGAAGTGCTCCCAGGGGTGTCTGGCAGGGGGTGGGGGTGGGGGGAGCAGGACAGGGAAGGGAAGACTCCAGTCAAAGGTTGATTTCAAGCAAAGTCCAGGCCTCAGCCTGATCCTTCAGCAAGCTCTGGAGTGTAAAGTATGCCTCAGAGGTTGTCCCAATTCAAAGCAAAGGTGCTAGGCTTTCAGACTTCTGCATCAGACAGTTATGGGTAAAGGCTGCCCTGGTAGAAATGTAAATCCCAGGCATTTCTGACACTGCACATGCAGGCAAATGGGTTCCAGGAGCCTGTGTACAGTATTTTTTCTTCTTTGTTTTAAGCCACAGGTACATGCTAGTACAAGTAAAACAACAAAATAGCCAGGGGCAGACCTTTTCCCACTCTGCCAACCTCTATATATTAGCATTATCTTGCTTCATGGTTGCAAGATGGCTGCAGCCGCTCCAAACTTCCATCCTCTTACAACAATATCCAAAGGCAAGAAGGGTTGGGCAGGCAGCTAGCCCCACCCCTACAGACCTGACTTGCCAGAGAAGAACATTTCTCCAGTACACTTTGCATTGTGTCCTCTTTGTCAGAAGTGGGGCAATGCACCCTTTTTTTTTCAGACAGGGTCTCATTCTGTTGCCCAGGCTGGAGTGCAATGGCACGATCTCGGTTCACTGCAACCTCCGCCTTCCGGGTGCAAATGATTCTCCTGCTTCAGCCTCCTGAGTAGCTGGGATTACAGGCGTGTGCCACCATGTCTGGCTAATTTTTGTATTTTTAGTAGAGACAGGGTTTCACCATGTTGGCCAGGCTGGTCTTGAACTCCTGACCTCAAGTGATCAGCCCACCTAGCACTCCCACAGTGTTGGGATTACAGGCATGAGCCACCGTGCACAGCCTACAATGCACCCTTTTAAACCAATTCCCACCAAAAGGGAATGAGATTACCATGAATAGTTTCCTGGATTGGGAAGAGGTCACCTTCTGTGAGGATCTTGCCCAACTCTTGATACCTAATGGGTATCAAGAGGTGGGCAAAAAAAAAAAAAAAAAAAAACAAACAAAAAGATACCTGATGGGTTCTTGTTATCAAGGAAGAAGAGGGGATAGCTTTTGGGTAAACAATGATCCATGTGTGCTACACTGGTCAATCAGGGCACCATGCTGTCTGGGCTATGGTGATTGGTTCAGGATGGACATATTACTCAAGCCAAGCCAATCAGAGTTAGTCTTGGGAATTTTGCTGTACTCACCAGGAAAAGGATCTTAGTCTTTCCTGAAAGCATCTAGGGTAAGAAACAGGACAGCCATAACAGCACCATGGGAACCCTGAGAATAAAGCCAACACAAAGAGAAAAATGAAGTGGATCCAAGAGAGGGAAAGAGATCAAATCTGGCTGGCTAATTCAGAACCCCTAAATCCAACCTAGGCTGAAGCTAACTCTACCCTTGGGCAGAAAAAAAGTTCCTTTTTGCTAGTTCACCTTGGTTTGTATCTTCTGTTTATTGTACCTAAAAGATTCCTAAGGAGTACAAGTGGCAAACAAGGTAGACAAGCCTGTGCCCTTATGGAGTTCACAGTCAAAACAGGGAGACAGGTACCGGACAAAGAATTACAAGAACAATGTGGGTTACAAAGGTCAAGTGCAGGGGACACGAAGACCACATAAATAAACCGGCCAGCCTAGTGTAGGAATCAAGAAGAGTCCCTGAGGAAATGTGGTTCAAGCTGAGCTTGAAAGGGCAATGGCTGTTTCCCAGCATTAGACTCCAATGTTACCCCTGACTTCACAGACGTAGCAGGGGACAGGCACTCACTGGGGAAGCCTGCTCTGTTTCATTAGGACTGTGCAACTGTTCCACACTCCAACATACCCCTCAGTCTTTCATCCATTCTTCCAACACCCTAATTTGTTCAAAAGCTGCCAAGAATGATCAGATTTTTTTCCCCCTGCACTCCTGTAAAAGCCTTTAGTTCCGGAGAAAGACTGTGATTTCTTTCATGTTTAGGAGTGTTTTCTTTTCTTCTTAATTCCTTCCCTCCCTGTGTAAATTGGAGCAGTCAAATCAGGTCTTGAGGTAGGGAAGGGACCAAAAGAACTCCCAGCCAGGTGCAGGTCATCAGTGAGGCTGAGAGACACTGTAAGTGGGGAAGCCCTGCAGGAAATATGGACCTCACACTCCCCAGATAGAAAAGTCTCTCAGGCCACTCTCTTCGAACCTCACCCAGGGATGTTCTCTGGCATCATGCACTGACTCGGAAGGGAGAAAAGCTCTTGGTCCAAATGTCCCAGTGCCGCTGTGAGCTCCAACAAGTCTCTGAGCTTCAATCTCCTAATCTGCAAAATGGAAAAAATACACACTGAGTCGTACCTGCCTCAGAGGGCTTGGGTGCATCAAAGGTGATGTTGTGAATAGGCCAGGAAGCACGCTCCAGCATCCAGTCATGATCCACAGTCTCACACTTCCATTCGACTAGGGTCCTCAGGCCCCATTCTCCAGCCCCAAGCACAGAGACCAAATCTCCCAGTTCTCTTTCTTTGGGTTCCATGCCACCCATACTCCCATCTCATGTCCACCATGACAGCTTCCAGAGCTAGGCCCAGGACACATGTGCTAATTGGAAGGGTCACTGTTGTGGTTTGCCACCTCAGGTTGGAAGACTTGTGCTCACAGGCTGTCACTTTCATGCTGGAGGCTGACTAATCTGCTCCTTCAAGGGCCCGACTTCACCTTAATTCCAAAATCAAGGAACTTCCGTGGGTTCTTGGACCTTCGTCACTTTAGAAGCCACCATATATCTATCTGTAATGTATATGCGTAGCAACCCCCTAAAGCCAACTCCATGGCACATGATGGAAACAGGGCCCATGGAATTGTGCCACCCAGGGTAGGGCACCTGCAAGGCAATATTTCAACATAGTAACTCTGCCAAGCTACCCTTTGGGCCAGTGGGTATCTTTTCTTTTCTTTTTTTTTTTTTTTTTGGAGAAGGAGTCACACTCTTTCGCCAGACTGGAGTGCAGTGGTGTGATCTCAGCTCACTGCAACCTCCACCTCCCGGATTCAAGCGATTCTCTTGCCTCAGCCTCCCAAGTAGCTGGGACTACAGGCACGCATCACCACACCCAGCTAATTTTTGTATTTTTTAGTAGAGACAGGGTTTCACCATGTTGGCCAGGATGGTCTCGATCTCTTAACCTAGTGATCTGCCCACCTTGGCCTCCCAAAGTGCTGGGATTACAGGCATGAGCCACTGCGCCTGGCCACCAGTGGGTATCTTTACACAGCAGGTCAACCTTGTAAAGCAATTTGTGTTAGTCTTTAGTTGGAGATGGGCAGCAGGGTCTGGTCCTGAGACTGAAACCAGCTAGCTGGGTGGCCTTGGGCAGTCATGGCCTCCTCTCCTCAACTGTCCCCACCTTTCAAACTGTTTCCAAAGCCCTTCAGCCTTTGGAAACAGAAAGGAGATCTTCAGGGGCCTATGGAACCCTGCACACACATCTACCCCCACCTCCCAACTTCAGATAGAGCAGCACCACTTTTTAACATTTTACAAGTTGGATTCTGAATAAAAGTTTGCCTGAAAGAAATTTTCCAAAGAAGGGAAGAAGAGGAGGAATAATTAGGCTAGTGAGTTGGCACAGCCCATTCAACTTTTTTTTTTTCTTGAGACAGGGTCTCACTCTGTTGCCAAGGCTGGAGTGCAGTGGTGCGATCACAGCTCACTGAAGCCTTGACCTCCTGGGCTCAAGCAATCCTTACACCTCAGCCTCTGGAGTAGCTGGGATTACAAGTGCATGCCACCATGCCCAGCTATTATTTTTTCTCTCTTGTAGAGATGAGGTCTCACTATGTTGCCTAGGCTGATCTCGAATTCCTGAGCTCAAGCAATCCTTTCACCTTGGCCTCCCAAAGTGCTGGGATTACAGGCATGCGCCACTGTGCCTGGTCCCCGTCCACTTTTTACACATGATGACTTAACCACGGCTGAGAATCTCAGATATATTTTTGTTCTAATGACTTCAAGAAGACAGTTTTTTCGTAGCAGATGTTGAGTAAAATGGATCCGCTACTTTTTTTTTTTTTTTGAGACGGAGTCTCACTGTGTCACCCAGGCTGGAGTGCATGGCATGATCTCTGCTCACTTCAACCTCTGCCTCCCGAGTTCAAGCGATTCTCTTGCCTCAGCCTCCCAAGTAGCTTGAACTACAGGCGTGCGACACCACTTCCAGCTAATTTTTGTATTTTTTTTGTAGATACTGGTCTCGAACTCCTGGCCTCAAGTGATCTGCCCGCCTCGGCCTCCCAAAGTGCTGGGATTACAAGCGTCAGCCACCACGCCCAGCCACTGCTTCTTACCAAAGCACTGAAAGTGGTTCTGAGAGGAAAAGATTCTTTAAAGTGGTGCTACTTCACTTCAGTGTGTGCGTGGACCACCTGAAGAGCTGGTTAGAACTCCAGATTCCTAAGACCCCGCCCTCTCAGGGTAGTGATTTGAGTTCAGACTTGCAGCTGAGAACAAGGACTGGCATCCCCTCTACCGGCCACCAGCTCTCTCACTGGGGCATGCTGGTCAAACAGTCTGTGCCTCAGCTTTCTCATCAGTGAAATGGGTATAATTATGTATATACCTTAGGATTCATGAGGATTACATGAGTTAGTAAGTGTCAAGCACTTAGAACAATGGCTAGTCCATAAAAAATGCTCAGTAGGCCAGGCGCATTGGCTCACATCTGTAATCCCAGCACTTTGGGAGGCCGAGGCGGGTGGATCATGAGGTCAGAGATCGAGACCATCCTGACTAACATGGTGAAACCCCGTCTCTACTAAAAATACAAAAAATTAGCCAGGCGTGGTTCCGGGCACCTGTAGTCCCAGCTACTTGGTGAGGCTGAGGCAGGAGAATGGCGTGAACCCAGGAGGTGGAGCTAGCAGTGAGCCAAGATCGCGCCACTGCACTCCAGCCTGGGCAACAGAACGAGACTCCATCTAAACAACAACAATAATAATAACAAATGCTCAGTAAATGTGAGTTGTTAGTGATATCAGGGTGGAGCCCAGGAAGCTACATTTTAACCAGCAGCCCTGGGTGATTCGAATGCAGATCTATGGCCTGCACTTGAGGACCTCGGTTCTACAGAACACGGACCAGCCTTCATCATCTATAAGTGATTCCTTTACCTTTCATAAGAACAAGGAGCTAGGGTCTTCTGTCCCAGCCATCTGTGTGCCTCAAAAGGCAGCAGCTATTTTCCCCTCAAATGGAAATAGCTGGTTATTCCAATTAGACATGGAATACATGCTAATTACCCCCCTAAATCAGAAAGGTCAGAGAGATGGAAAGAAAAAACTATCTATAAATAATCCCCAAACCCAGAGAAAACTTGTAATGTGTCGTTTCTATGCCTACACACACACACACAAACACACACACAGAATTTTTTTATTGTAATCACCCTTTTCCCTTAAATGTGACAGGAACATCTTTCCATGTCAATAAACACAGCCCTGTGATGTTTATTTTAATGCTGCTCACTATTCCAAAGTGTGGACTTACATAATTTATTTAGCCAAACCCTAATTGTCAGACATTTTGGTTATTTCCTTTCTTTTTTTTTTTTTTTTTTTTTTGAGACACAGTCTTGCTCTGTCACCTGGGCTGGAATGCAGTGGCACAATCTCAGCTCACTGCAAGCTCCGCCTCCCAGGTTCACGCCACTGTCCTGCCTCAGCCTCCTGAGTAGCTGGGACTACAAGCTCCCGCCACCATGCCTGGTTAATTTTTTGTATTTTTAGTAGAGACGGGTTTTCACCTGTTAGCCAGGCTGGTCTTGATCTCCTGACCTTGTGATCTGCCCGCCTCGGCCTCCCAAAGTGCTGGGATTACAGGCGTGAGCCACCGCGCCCGGCCGGTTATTTCCTTTCTTACAGACTGGTAATTGACAATTTCAGGAACATCCAAGTCGCATGTTCCTGTGGCGCCCTGCGTGTTTCCTTAAGTAACCACACATGTAGATTTTGTTCAGTGTTGGTCTCCTTTGGAATGCAGAACGCTCTGAGAGATCAAGGCTGTGCCTGCCTAAGCCCACCCTTTGCACAGAGCCTATGCAACGAAACAGGTTAGAAATGATCCGGAGTTTATGCTGTCGATTCAGAGGCACCAGGTGCAAACCCAGCTCTGCCTGCAATTAGCTCTGGGCTGTGAGCAGTGAATTAACCTTGGAAGGCTTCAGTTTCTCTGTCTGTAAAATGGAGATGGTGACATGGCATCTCATGGGGTCACCCTGAGCAGCCTGCCAGATAATGCATGGGACATCTTACATGGTGCCTACCACCTGTTAAGTCTCAGTTACTTACCAAGCACTTACCAAATATTTAATGAACTAAAATATAAATAAATACATTTGCACATTAGTCAAAATTCCTTAGGATCAATTCCTAAGATAAGAAGGGTTATACTTCTTAAAGACTTTCAATTCATGCTATTAAATTCTCCTCCAGGAATGCTGTGACCTCCACAAAATTCTGGTTTCTCACTGCCCCATAAGCCCAAGGAGGGGGAATCTGTGATAATTGTTCCCTCTCTTCGATGAGGGAAAACACAGGAGGCTGGGGGATGGAGGGAGTTCAGTACAGCAATTGCTTGAGGTCATTTAGGTAAGGCTGACTTGAATCGCATCTTTTTTTTTTTTTTTTTTGAGACAGCTTCTCGCTCTGTCGCCCAGACTGGAGTGCAATGGTGCGATGTCAGCTCACTGCAACCTCCGCCTCCCAGGTTCAAGCGATTCTCCTGCCTCAGCCTCCCGAGTAGCTGGGATTACAGGCACGTACCACCACGCCTGGCTAATTTTTGCATTTTTAGTAGAGACATGGTTTCACCGTGTTGGTCAGGCTGGTCTCCAACTCCTGACCTCAGGTGATCCACCCGCCTCGGCCTCCCAAAGTGTTGGGATTACAGGTGTGAGCCACTGTGCCCGGTCTGAATCCCATCCTTTTAAGGAAGAGTGAGCCAGTGATGTGGCAGAGAGGCAGCCACCATTTCTGTGATACATCACATCAGACTTGCCTGGACATTGAAGTCAAGTCTGCCCAAGTGCATCAGCAGGACCCTTAGGCATCTCTATCCTGGACCCGCAGACCCTGTGCCTGTGGGCAGACAGGCCTGTCTCGCAGAGGGTGAGGGAAATGCCTGGGACCAGCCAGCATCAGCCAGCCCTTTACAGGGAGGACTGAGGTCCCTCACTGCTGATCCTTTGGGCCTCCCCTTGATCTGGAGCCCAGGCTTCCTTCTGAGGCCTTTCTCCTCCCTCAGCTGTGACTAGCTGTGTCTGTTTTTCAGCGGCCAATGGCTAATTCCAGGATTACACTTTCTAAGTTGATGTAATGTGATATCCAGAGTGCAAAAGCTTTGCTTCCAGCCGTGAAGCATGGGGAATTTCTCCAGGGGCTGGAAATCGCATTCAGGCCGTGGAAGGGCATGGGTGAACCACTAAACCTTTTCATGACACACAGCTCCATAAAAAGTGGAGGAAAATCTGGGCTGAGAGGTATAAACTCTATTGCAACATGTTTTCAGCTCCTGAGGAATTGAAAAATCCATCCTTAGTCACGTTCTCTAAATGTGTGGAGAAAGGACGGGGGACATTTCTTCCAAGCGGTGTGACATTCTCTCCCCAAAATTTCAGCCACAGAGCACATATAGGAAAAGGGATTTGGGGAGCATAAAAAATGAGCATTTTCAAAAGAGGGAGCTATTTTCAGCAAAATAATTTCAACCCACAGAGTAGCCTTTTTTAGGGGTGTTTTTTTCTTTCTCACTTGAATAATAATGGCATTTTCCCCAGTTTTTTTTTTTTTTTTAAAAAACACCTTAGGCATTCAGAGACATGTAAGTCTATGAAAAAGATATTATTAGTAATAAAAATCATAATAAGAGTCATTTATTTTTATTTTTGTAAAGACAGAGTCTTACCATGTTGCCCAGGCTGGTCTTGAACTCTTGGCCTCAAGTGATTTGTCTGCCTCGGCCTGCCAAAGTGCTGGGATTATAGGCACGAGCCACCGTGCTTGGCCAATAGTCAAAATTTATGAAGCACCTAACCTGTTTTAGGTAGTTCATGACAGTGTTCATATTAATTAAACCTCTATATAACCTTAGCCCTATGACCAAGGCAACATTATCCATATTTTGTAGAAGAGGAAACCAAGCTTAAAGAGGGAAAGCCATTTGGTCAAGGTAGGATAACAGTTTTCTCCCATCCAAGTACTAACCAGGCCAACCATGCTTAGCTTTGGAGATAAGATGAGATCGAGTGCGTTCTGGGTGGTATGGCCACAGACGGATAACATTTTTCCAACCTTTTATTAAAGTGCACCCCAGAAAAATATACACATTGTCAGGAAACAGCTGGATGGATTTCACCAAGTGAACACATCGTGTAACCAGTATCTCAACCAAGAAACAAGACGTCCCTTCCAGCCTCCAACCAAGAAACAGGACGTCCCTGCCAGCCCCTCTCCTGCGCCCTCCCACCCCTTAATTCCCAAGGGTGACTACCGCCCTCACTTACACCGTCCACTCACTTTGCCTGTTTTAAAATCCACATCTATGGAATCATACCATGTTTACTCTCTTATCCGTAATGTCCTTCCTGCAACATGGTGTTTGCGACAGTCACCAGTGTTGTTGCGCGTAGCACTCGTCTTATTCATTCTCGTTGCAGCATGAATTCTGTGGTGTGGATGCCCGTTCTGGAGCTGTTGGGCCTATGGGTTGTTCCCAGTTGGTGGCTCCTACAAAAGACACAGCTATGAACCTTCTCAGGCATTTCTTCTCATGCATTTAGAAGGGAAACATATGTTCAGCTTTAGGAGATTCTGCTTTCCAAAGGTGGTAGTCCAATTTACACTCCCATCAGCAGCATCTGAGAATCCCAATTGCTTATTTGCCTCCTTAGAATTTGGGATTGAGGCCGGGCGCGGTGGCTCAGGCCTGTAATCCCAGCACGTTGGGAGGCCAAGATGGGAGGATCACGAGGTCAGGAGTTCAAGACCAGCCTGACCAACATGGTGAAACCATGTCTCTACTAACAACACAAAAATCAGCCAGGCATGGTAGCATGTGCCTGTAATCCCAGCTACTTGGGAGGCTGAGGCAGGAGAATCACTTGAACCGGGGAAGCAGAGGTTGCAGTGAGCCGAGATCACCCCACTGCACTCCAGCCTCGGCAAAAGAGCAAGACTCCCATCTCAAAAAAAAAAGGAACTCAGGATTGTCTACCTTTTTGTTTTAGCCATTCTGCTGGATGGATGTTGGATATAACTTTTAAGTTGAGGAATCGGGCATCAAACCCAAATTTTCTAGCTTGGTGCCTGGCCTAGTGCCTGGTACTTGGTGGGTGCTCAGGTGTATTTGCTGAATTAATGAATGAATGACCCCAAAGCTCACAGTTGTTCTTTACATTATTCTGCTGTTGCCTCCACCTCAGTCCCAGGCTCTCCACATCACAGGCCCCAGCCTCTCCTAGAAAACAAACAGCTCAGCAGCCTGATGTAACACCTCCAGTCTCTAAGACTTGCAATCAGTATAAAAGGAAGCCAAGGGGAGCCTGGAGTCGTTGCGGGGGCCAAGGGCTGTGGAACGCAGGCACAGCTGGGAATGGTGAGGTACCAGCCTGCTGACTGAGCAAATTTCCCATGGGCTCCACCAGCAGCCAGGAGATCAGCAGCCCAAGTGTTTCCCTCGGCGCAGGCCTGGCTGCCCCACCACTGGGCGAAGAAAAGCCTGTGAAGCAAAAGGAGAAAGGGAAAACAAGAAGGAGGCTGTGCAAACAGCCTGATCCACCTGCACTAACATCTTCCAGGAGAGAAGGGCGGGGCATGACGTGCAGACGGAGAAGAGGCTCTTAACTCCCTTGCCAGCCCCACAGGTTCACTAGGGCAACTTTTTTCAGAGGAAATCTAATAGATTACCCTTCCAATTTTAAACACCCTCATGAGAACAGGATTAAGTATGATTAAGATAATTCTATTCATTGGGAAACAGAGAGCATTGCCCAGGGCCCACTGCCCCCCAGTGTACGTGGTCTGAGTGCTTCCTTCCTTTTGCTCTTTCATTATCCTGCTGGCAAAGTCTAGGAGAGGAATGATAGCAGTCATAGTTAGCACTTTCAAGTGCTCATGTGTACGAGGCCCTGCCTCAAGCACTTTGCTGGAATTTCTTTTTTTTATTTATTATTATTATTTTTTGAGACAGGGTCTTACTCTGTCACCCAGGCCGGAGTACAGTGGTGTAATCGTAGCTCTCTGCAGCCTCAACCTCCCAGGCTCAAGTGATCCTCCAGCCTCAGCCTCCTGAGTAGCTGGGACTACAGGCATGCACCACCACGTCTGGCTAATTTTTAAATTTTTTGTAGAGATGGGGGTCTCACTATGTTGCTCAGGCTGGTCTCAAACTCCTAGGCTCAAGTGATCCTCCCACCTTGGCCTCCCCAAAGCTCTGGGGTACAGGCGTGAGCCACCGTGCCTGGCCAAGTTACCTCATTTAAACTTTGCTAAGATCCTAGAGGGTGGGGACTATTCTTGTCCCCATTTAAAGGTGAGGAGAGTAGAGCATCCAGTGGTAATCTTTAAAGATCAAACAACTAGTTAGCTATTGGTAAAGGAATAACTCAAACCCTGGTGTTCCAAGTATCTATTGCTGTGTCACAAATTACCCCAAAACTTCATGGTTTAAAACAATGACCACTTGGGAAGGGATCAGCTCTACGGAGGGTCACCCAGGTCATTTGTGGTCTTCAGCGGGCAGAGGGGCTCAGTTGAAGGATCCAAGACAGCTCCTCTCACGGGGCTGGTGCCATGGCAGGGGGTGGCAGGGTGGGCAGCCCAGCTGGGACTGTTGCCTGCAGTGCCCAGGGGTGATCTCCTACAGCAGTCTCAGGGTAGTTAACCTTTTCACAGGGCAGCTCAGGGCTGCAGAGAGGGGCCCAGGGGAGAGCAAGTGGGGACCGCCTCAGGCCCGCATCCACAGTCTAGCAAAGCAACACCTCGAGGCTGTCAGAGCCTGGCCAGATTGAAGGAGACAGGACACTGGCCTCTCAATGGGAGAAGGATCAAAGCGTTTGCAGCCATTTTTACCACGTTTTGTTTTTGTTGGATTCCAGAGCTGTCAGCGGTAACCACAAACAGATACTGCTTCACTGGTCTTTGCTGAGCATCCCCTCTGTGCCAAGCATCTGACACATTTATATATCCTGTTTTACTCATTCCTAAAAGCAAGAAAGAGAGGGAGATAAAGAAGGAAGGACAGGAAAGGAAGGAAGGGAGAGGGGAGGAAACCTAGGAGGCACAGATTTCTGCCCCTTCACAGATGAAGAAACTGCAGCTGGGAGAAGTGAAGTCCCTTGTCCAAGACTGCATGGCTAAGTGAGGGTCAAAGTCAGGACTCCAAGTCCCTGTTCTTCCCTCCTTCCTTCGTCCTTCCTTCTGGGTCTGAAACCCTCCCCCTGGCAAGTCCGTGGCTATACTTTTCCCAGTTCCCAAACACAGCCCTGGTGTATGAAGGGTGTCCCTGGGGCCTTCACCCTTGCTTAAAGAAACCCCAGGCCAGGTGTGGTGGCTCATGCCTGTAATCTCAGCACTTTGGGAGGCGGAGGTGGGCAGATTGCTTGAGCTCACAAGCTTGAGACCAGCCTGGGCAACATGGCCAAACCCTGTCTCTACTAAAAATACAAAAATTAGCCAGGTGTGGTGGCACATGCCTGTAGTCCCAGCTACTCAGGAGGCTGAGGCACAAGAATCGCTTCAACCCAGGAGGCGGAGGTTGCAGTGAGCCAAGATCATGCCACTGCACTCCAGCCTGGGTGACAGAGTGGGACTCTGTCTCCAAAAACATGAAACAAACAAACAAAAGAAACCCCAGTTGCCAGAAAGGGCTGCCCCAAAAAGGGTGCTAAACAGTTTTCTTCTCTCAGGGACAGCTCTGGTTTGTTCAAAGGGAAATGAGTGATTACAGGGGTCAGCTAGGATGGCCGGAGAAGGTTCCCCTCCATCTGTCCACCCTGAAGGCCCAATTTCCTTAAAACGCTCTGCTGGGACATTGAAACTACAGATGCCATTCAGAAACAATAAATATATATGACTCTCAGTGGTTCTCCAATGCAGCGGGCAACTTCGAAGACCTGTATGCAGGACAAGGAAAACAGCTGACTAAAGCAAGGGGCTTTCAGTGCACTATCTCTCATCCTTTCCAAGCTGATATACCATGAGGCACAGCCTTTTCAGGCACTTTTTATTGCTGTAATGTGTCAGCCTGGGTAACAGAAAGCAGGCGAGGAAGGCTTCATTATAAAAAGGAATCTTCTCATGATACTTTAATTCTATCATTTTCTTTCCTGACAAGAACTCACACACGTACACAAAAATGTGAATTTAATTTTGGGCTCTCAAAATTACTGCAAACGTGATTACTTAATCCCCCTTGGTTCAATCTTAGAATGTTGACAATTTCCTGCTAAGATTCTGGAGGCAGCAACAGAAAGTTGACAGTGTGAGTTTTGGAGATAGCCTGTCTGCCTCAGCTCTCAGCCCTCAGCAGCCAGGGGAGGGGGGTGGGAGGAGTGGGTAACTTATGCCCTGTGCCTCGGTTTCCTCATACCTAAAACGGAGAGGGCAGCAGAACCTCCCTCCCAGTGCTGCTGTGAGAGTTAAATGAGGCAAACATGAAGCAAGCTTCACACAGTGCCTGGCATTTACATACTAAGTGTTCATGCCTATTAAACATTAGCTAATTGCACATCATGATTAAAGTAGCCAAAAGAGTTCAGATATCTAAAGTCACATATACCATGTGTATAAGGGCATGTCTCTGTGTAAAAATGACCAAGTATAAATGCCTGTCGATCTTTTTTTTAATTAAAAAATTAATTTTCAGGCTGGTGTTGCTGTAAATTTAAAAATAAAAATAAAAAATAAAAAAAGTATGTATTTATTTAGAGACAGGGTCTTGCTCTGTTGCCCAGGCTGGAGTGCAGTGGTGCAATCACAGCTTACTGCAGCCTCGAACTCCTGGGCTGAAATGATCTTTCCACTTCAGCCTTCGGAGCAGCTGGGACTACAGGTGCACACCACGATGCCCAGCTTGTCAATTATTCTTAAACCTTCTAATTATTACAAAACTAATTTGCTTATTGTGAAAAAATGTTTTAAACATAGAAAAGTAGGAGGAAAAACTAAACACCACCTATCATACAACTACCTTCAGATAAATATTTTTTAACATTTTGGCCCATATACTTCCAATTGTTTTTACTGTGCATAAATATATTTAATTTTTTTCAGTAAGTACTTGCTTTTTTAATAACTTTTTTCTATTCACTAATGACATAAATGTAGTCCCCTGTCATTAAACATTTCTAGGCAGCATCATTTTTAACGGCTGTGTGGTCTTCACCTGAAGCAGGTTAGGTAGTCAAGGAAGTAACCATGTCCTCAGGACACAGCAACAGTGGGGACCTACGGTCAACACAATAAGCCCCAGCATCCTCACTGTAGTCAAGCTCATTCAAGCAAAGCTCCCTCCAGTTGGGAATCTCCCCTGTAGGGAGCATGCGCATTTTGATTTTACCTGTCCTCAGCAAAAGTCTGACCCTTTGCTTGTTATAAGCATAAAAAACACACTTCAGGCGGAGAATTTTTTTTTTTTTTTTTTTTTTTGAGATGGAGTGTCGCTCTTTTGCCCAGGCTGGAGTGCAGTGGGGCAATCTCGGCTCACTGCAACCTCCACCTATCAGGGTCAAGCAATTCTCCCTAGGATAAATTCCTAGAAATAAAGGTCAAAAGTTCTCCACATTTTTAAGCTTATATATAGGTCCACGGCATCCTTCCAAAAGGGTACATCGCTCCCACCAGTGGTGAATCAATATTCTTTTCCAGCCCTGCACATTCCTTGCTCAATTCTTTCGATGATTTTTTATTGAGCACCTACTATTTCAAGCCACTGCTAGAGATGACTAGAATAAGCCTTTTTTCTCTCTATGTTCCATCTCCAAGGATCTCCTATACTCAACTCTGAGGCTATGGCTTCAATCCAGCCCCTTCATCTCCCTATTTTACTGTCAGGGAAATGGGACTGTCTGATAAGTGGAACAGGGTTGGAGACAGAGCTCCAGTCTCTGAGACTGCAAAGGGCCCACTCCTTCTGCCCTTCAGCCAGGAATGTGGCAGTCCGAACGCCCCCTTCCTTACTGCTCTTGTGTCCTCATTGCCTTGATCTGCTTTTCTGGTCCAAGTTTTCTTCCTAAATGTTTGGCAAGAGCTTATAACCCAAACAAGAGGAAGGTTTCAACTCAAACACCAACATGGTGGTTTAGTAGTGATAACCTGGATCACTGGATTGAGGAGGATTCTGAGGCTATTTCTGAGGCCAGCTGGAGGATTGCTGTGATTGACTGGTGATGCCTGCCACAGACATAGGCATGGAGACTAATGATAAGTATGCCTGTCAATTCTGTTATTTACTCCGCTTCCAGCTTCTGCTGTCCTTAGGACAGACCCTCCTAGATTCATGTGCCTTTCTCCTGTACTTCTTTCTTTTGCTCCTTCCTTCTTCATATTCACTCCACGCACTTTCTCTTTTTGTTTCTTTACCTCACACACGTTTGTCATCTCAGTAAATCTTGTTTTCTATAGATTGCACCCTCCTTGTATGAAGCTTGCCAGGAGTGCTCACTCATGCTCTCTGCCTCTCTGCTTCTGCAGTTCATCCATTAAGTTTATCCCCCTCTGTGTTGCCAAAAGCCGTTGGTGGTAAACAACATTCCATGGGCCAGCAATTCCTTCTTGACTGACCCACCACAGGAGGGCTGTTTCCCTCAGGAAGCCCCACTGTTTAGGCAAGAGGGACCTGGCTCCCTGAGAGTCACTAGGAAACCACCCCTACAGGAAACAAAGCACATCATTTATGGTGCCTTGTTCACGTTAGAGCATTCCCTATCTGTACTTCACAAGCTCCCAGAGACTAATAAAAAGTCTGTTTTAGAATTAACTCCATGCTGCCCTAGGCCTGTGGATTGCAACAGAAAAACTTAGCCTTATAGAATTAACAGTCTTTGGGCATAGCATTACATTTCCCATAAACAGTCTTCATGTACTAAGCACTAGCTATCATCAGACATTGTGCTAAGGGCTTGAATGCCTTATCTCATTGAATTTTCCCACTAATCTGAAAGGTGGTACTGTCATTATCCCCATTTTATAGCTGAGAAAACTGAGGGGCAGGGAGTCTAAGTAACTTGCCCAAAATCAGATTCTGCTAGGGAGTGGAGAAGCTTCCAACCATGCAGGCTGCGCAGTTACACATCATATGTTAGTCAATACCATGCCTGGCTCCTTGTGTAGGGGTCATGATGTCCCACCTACCCAACAAGGAACTTAGAAATAATGGAGATAGAGTTGCCATCTGGGAGATAAACCACAGTCAGTACACAATGGATCAGATCAGCAAATTGCAAAGTGGTTCTAAAGACATATCCTGGCTCCCAGGTCTGTGAGAATAAAGATATTAGTGCATTTACAGAAAAAAATTGTGTCCATCTAATGGAGACTTGATCATCAAAAAGGGAATTCAAAGGATGTCTACCCAAGCACCACCCAGGAGAGAGGAGAGTACATCAGAGTCTTCTCTGCCTAATTGGCATATCCTTGTTACACTGTTCATTTATTAAGCTATTATTATTATTGTTTTAGAGACAGAGTCTTACTCTGTTGGCCAGCACAGTGGTGCAATCATAGCTCACTACAGCTTGAACTCCTGGACACACACAATCCTCCTACCTCAGCCTCCCAAGTAGATGGGACTACAGGCACATGTTACCACATCTGGCTAATTTTTTAAGAACTTTTTGTAGAGACAGCACCTTGCTATGTTGCCTAGGCTGGTCTCAAACTCCTGGACTTGAGTGACCCTTCCACCTCGGCCTCCCAAAGTCCAGGGATTACAGGCATGAGCCACTGCACCTATCCTATTAAACTATTATTTATGGAGCAACTACTATGTGTTAGCCCCTGCACTGGGCACTGTCCTGGTACCCACGGAGCCTGCACCCTAGGCAGGGAGGTAGAGGCAGATTTATCCTGCATCAAGACCTGGACCCCTTCCAAAAGCCCTCACAGTATGTGCATGTGTGGTCACATGGTTTTGTAGAATTTGCCCATATAAGATACCTCAATGGCCATCCATTAAGTCCACTGTCTCCATTTTCATTTCCTCTCTGTATTTAAAATAAATATTCACTTTTGT
The DNA here is from genome assembly GCF_000001405.40 of Homo sapiens. Taxonomy (NCBI): domain Eukaryota; kingdom Metazoa; phylum Chordata; class Mammalia; order Primates; family Hominidae; genus Homo; species Homo sapiens. The sequence goes on from NC_000003.12 coordinate 72,699,769, forward strand.
GCTGACTTAATTTTGTTCCTCTGGAAGCAGCCCCTGGGGCAAGGATAGGAATATGGTTGGCTTATTTGGGAGGCACAGGAAACACTGGCAGGGAAGTGGGGAAATGAGAACAGGAAGGGCAGACGGCCAACAAAGGCTGCGTTATCCAGGCAGCTCCCACTGTGGGCAACGGGAGCTTATCCCATGAGGGCCTTTGGGAGACGGCGTGTTTTAAAATGTAGGTTTTATTATTATTTAGCTATGGCAAAGCCAACAGCTCAGGGGATCACTGTCATTGAAAGTTATCTTGTTATACCTCCCAACGGGAGGGGACCCGCCATGCCACAAGGGGCCCCATAGGGAAGCACTGGGGTGGGTCAGGAGGCAGAAAGAGCAGGAGGAAAGCATGAGCCATAGCCTTTATTGGGTCTCCATGAGAATGATCGGCCAAGGCAGGGTTGGCTAGTTTGAATAATTCAGCAGGCTCTGGGGTATAGGGGCTGTCCCTAGTTGTCTGGTCCCTGGCCCCAGGGAGATTGATTGGGCCAGGTAGATAGTGGCTGGGCAGAGCTCAGTAAAGGTGGTTGGGAGTATGGGCTCTGGACGGGCTGGTTGGGTTGAGTTGCTTACCCTCTCTAGGAATTGGCTAGCCCTGGAAAGGGCAGTCCCTCCAGTGTCAGCAAGATCTCAGATGTCAAAGCATCAGAAATACAGAAAATAAAAGACATGGTTAAGACACAGGAGAGAACACACACCTCAGAATGATCCCAAGGAGTCATTGGCTGAGGGCTTCTGCAGGGCAAGAACAGGGAGTAGCAGTCATTCCCAAGCACTTTTTTTTTTTTTTTTTTGAGACTGAGTCTCACTTTGTCACCCAGGCTGGAGTGCAGTGGCATGATCTCGGCTCACCGCAAGCTCCACCTCCCGGGTTCACACCATTCTCCTGCCTCAGCCTCCCTAGTAGCTGAGACTACAGGCGCCCACCATCAAGGCCAGCTAATTTTTTGTAGTTTTAGTAGAGACGGGGTTTCACCATGTTAGCCAGGCTGGTCTCAATCTCCTGACCTCGTGATCCGCCTGCCTCGGCCTCCCAAAGTTCTGGGATTACAGGCGTGAGCCACCGTGCCCGGCCTCCCCAGTACTTTTATGGACAAAAGGCTGGTGATCCTGGCAGCTGAAGTGTCTGGGACATGCTGAAGTGCTAGAATCTCTGGAATATGGGTGGGGCACCAACAGCTCTGCTCCCTATACCTAATTTTACATGCATAATTGCACTTTTTTATAATAAAGAATTTTTATAAAGAATTCCTATAAAGAATTCCTCCAAAACTGCTTCTGATCCTACAAAACTGGCTCTACCCCTATGGGAAGACAATCAGTAACTGATTGTTAAGGGTTGAATTATGTACCCCTAAGATTTATATCTTGAAGTCCTTAACTGCCAGTACCTCAGAATGTGACTGTATTTGGAGAAAGGGTCTTTAAAGAAGTACTTAAAGTAAAATGAGGTAATTAGGGTGGGCCCTAATCTAGTCTGACTGGTGTCCTTATAAGGAGATTTGGACACAGACACGGAGGAAAGACCTCCTGTGAAAGGCCTTCCTGTGAAGACACAGGAAGAAGGCAAGCCAAAGAGAGAGGCCAAGAAACCAATCCTGCTCACACCTCGATCTTGGACTTCTTGCTGGCAGAACTGCAAGGAAGTGCATTTCTGTTGTGTGAGCCACCCAGTCTATGGTACTTTGCTATAGAAGCCCTAGCAAACACACTGAAGATCTGAGAGGCTGGTACCCTTAACTATTGGTGTCCAAGGACTCCCCTTGGCTGTAATCCAGCCTCCTTCTGCAGCCTTGGGGTCATCTTACTTCCCACTGAACAGGGCCCCAAGTTGATGGGGGCTTTGTCACTCTAGGGGGCTCATGTACCTTTTATTTATTTATTTATTTATTTATTTATTTATTTATTTATTTATTTATTGAGATGGAGTCTAACTCTATTGCCCAGGCTAGAGTGCAATGCTGTGATCTTGGCTCAATGCAACCTCCACCTCCCAGGTTCAAGCGATTCTCCTCCCTCAGCTCCCTGAGTAGCTGTGATTACAGGCACACACCACCACGTCCGGCTAATTTTTTGTATTTTTTAGTAGAGACGGGGTTTCACCATGTTGGCCAGGCTGGTCTCGAACTCCTGACCTCGTGATCCGCTTGCCTAGGCCTCCCAAAGTGCTGGAATTACGGGGGTGAGCCACTGCGCCCGGCTGTGTCTCTTCTAAAGGAGGCTGTCACCCTCAGCTCCAGCTGGCTTTTCCCAGATCTCCTGGTTTCCCAAGACTAGCCAGAAATCTGCATTCTTTATGAACACTCCATAGTTTTAAAAGTTGATAATGAATTTAAACATTTTTTTAAACTTTCTTTAGGCCAAACAAAACATTTCTGCAGGTGGGATTGGACTATAAATCTGCAGTTTGTAACCTGCAACTGTATTTCTTCCTTATGAGGAGCTACAACAGTCCTGCCCAAAGGACATTTCTATTTCTTGTGGTCAATGAATCCCTTAGCATTAACTGGGAGCCAGATCAACCTAGGTTAAAAATTCCACTTCTGCCACGTACTAGCTGTATGAACCAGAGGAGGTCACTTTGCCTCTAGTGACTCAGTTTCCTCATCTGGAAAGCCGTTGTCAGATAAGTTGAGGGGCAGAGGCATGGCCTGCAAAGGCCAGGCATGCCGTGGGCGTCCCAGAGCAACAGCTCTTCATGCCACCCTCATCTGTCGTCTGTTCTCTGTTGGCTGGTGTCGGGCTGCCAAGAACACTGTGACAGTTGGGACTGTGTGGGCCTCACCCTGTGATAACTAAATCACAAGCAAATATCTCCTGGCCATGACCTTGTTCAGCTGCAGGCCTCTCCTGGGGATGACCTGACCTTGGCGCACTCCTCTCTGAAGTCTGCAGGCTGAAATAAACCACTGTTGGATGGCTGAAGGGGTTCTACATGCTGCGGGTTAAAATTCCTTCCCTGGGAAGGGGAGGTGCTTGTTTCTATCTATCAGGGTCACCCTTAGAAACATGCCCTGACATTCACTTCCCCAGCATTGGTTCACAACACCAGTGAGCTCCAAAAGGAGGTCTGCTCCAAAGGCACCCCAGGTTCTGCCATTAGACTCACTGTTCCACACACATTCATTTGAAGTTCCCATCCAGTGCATAAGGATGGGAAGACACTCTGCTAAATATCTGTCCCGGGAAATATGGAGTGTTCATAAAGAATGCAGATTTCTGGCTTGTCTTGGGAAACCAGGAGATCTGGGAAAACCAAGTTAATTCTACCCAGAAAGGATGAGGGGGAGGTTGCATCCTCCTTTTTGGTACCTTTCATTAAGTAAAACTGACTTTTAGCCTGGGGATCAATCTGAGAACGCAGGTAACAGCGTAGCTGTGATGACCACATTTTTGCATATGCATCTGGGGGACATGTGGCCATTAGACTTCCTGCAAGCATTCTGTCTGGTCGAAGAGAGCACAGCCAGGTTTTGGAAGCAAAAGGCTCAGTCCTAGCTTGGTTATTTCCTTGCTGTGTGAGGACCTTGATCAACCTCCTTAACTCTCCAAGCCTCGGTTTTCTTATCTGCAAAATGGGCAAACAGTAATGCCTGCCTCATTGAGAAGGTAAGAGGAATAAAGGAAAGAATGTCAAATTCTTAGCACAGGGCCGCACTTAGTTGCTAAAACCTGCCACCCCCAAGCTAAGCACTTTACATGAATTAACTAATTTACTCCTCCCAACATCCTATGCATCATGAGGAATAAAGAGCAAGACAGGGCTGGGCGTGGTGGCTCACGACTGTAATCCCAGCACTTTGGGAGGCCGAGGTGGGCGGATCACAAGGTCAGGAGATCGAGACCACAGTGAAACCCCATCTCTATTAAAAATACAAAAAATTAGCTGGGCGCGGTGGCGGGTGCCTGTAGTCCCAGCTACTCGGGAGGCTGAGGCAGGAGAATGGCCTGAACTTGGGAGGCAGAGCTTGCAGTGAGCCGAGATTGCGCCACTGCACTCCAGCCTGGGCGACAGAGCAAGACTCCATCTCAAAAAAAAAAAAAAAAAAAAAAAAAAAAAGAGCAAGACAAATCCAACAGCAGTGTTTAGGAGGAACTGACTTTCAAGGAAAGATAGGGGCATGGATGATACTGCTCTTTCATCCCTGCTGCCCTTCAAGTCTAAGCGTCCACAGAGGAGCCCAGTGGTATTAAAATCATTACAACAATTCAAAACATTCAAAAACAAAACAAGACAAGACAAAGTATTTACAGCATGATTAGATAACCTAATCCACTACTGGGTGGCCCAGGGAGTTCACGGGTCACCGTGTAAATATTTTTGGGCAATAAAATAGTTACTGTTTTTGAGCATTTCCTAGATGCTGCACTGAATATTTTTTACTTATTGTCTTGCTTAAACCGCACAACGGTCCACAGGGATGGATGCATTGTTATCCCCATTATATAGAGGAAGAAACTGAGACTCCAAAGGATCAAGTAATTTAGCCACAGATGCCACCCATAAGGACGGACCATGCTTCCGACACACATAGGATGACTCCAACATCCTTGCTTTAGTTTCCCAAAGCTGCAGTTGGCTTGGACCAAGTGATGAGCTTTAAATCTGAGCTGGAGATAGCACCACCTCCTAGGGACATCTGCTGACAGCGGGGAGAGGAGTAGGGTTGTGGTGGGGGGAAATTAAGAAACAACTATTCAAAATCTGAATAGATCTTCCAAAGTTGCTCTCCTTTTATACAACATCCTTCTTTCTTCCTTCTCCCCTAGAGCTAAATACCTAAAAGAGTGAGCACAGTAGAATCAACTTTGGCTTGAATATGGTGTCCCTGAGTAAATACCAGCTGTGCGACAACCTTGAGTACATCTTTTTGGCTTAAGCAAAAAAAGGAGGGTGCAGGGGGAGGGGTGAGGCTAATGGCATGTATAATTGAAGAGTCCAGGGATACCCTAACTTCAGGTCAGTTTGACATAGGGGCTCAAACCTGTTTTCTCCCTCTCCATCTCTAATAGCTCTACTTCCAGAGGGTCGGCTCCACCTTAGAGGGGTTTTCCCTGCATGGTGGCAACATAGCTGCTGCAGCTCCTGCCCTACATCCTCCTAGATTCCTGTCTATCAGGAAAGTGCCGCAGTTCCAGCAGTCCCAGCAGAAGTTGTATTATGTTTTAGTGGCACGAATGGGGCCACTGCCCAGCCCTGAACCAATCCTTGGGGTCAGAGGATCATGATGAGCTGATCGGCTTCGACCAAGTGATGAGCTTTAAATCTCAGTTGGAGATAGCACCACCTCCTAGGGGCATTTGCTGAATATGGGGAGAGGAGTGGTTTTGGGGTGGGGGGAAATTAAGAAACAATTATTCAAAGTCTGAATGGATTCCAGACATGCTTGACAAAAGGGCAATCTCTCCATGCTTAAATTCCCACTTTGGTAAAATGGGAATTATGATAGTGCCTTAGTCAGTGTGGGCTGCCATAACAAAATACTATAATCCAGGTGACTTAAACAACAGTAACCAGCCGGGCACAGTGGCTCTTGCCTATAACCCTATACTTTGGGAGGCCAAGGTGGGAGGATCACTTGAGCTCAGGATTTCAAGACCAGCCTGGGCAACATAGCGAGACCCCATCTCTACAAAACATTTTAAAAATCAGCCAGGTGTTGTGGCGCATGCCTGTGGTCCCAGCTACTCAGGAGCTGAGGTGGGAGGATTGCTTATGCCCAGCAGGTCAAGGCTGCAGCAAGCCATGATTATGCCACTGCATTCTAGCCTGGGCAACAGAGAAAGACCCTGTCCCAAAACAAAAAACAAAAAAAACAAAAAAAACCACAACAATAATCTACAGTTGACCCTTGAACAACATGGGTTTGAAGTGCATGAGTCCACTTACACATGGATTTTCTTTTGTCTTACCACCCCTGAGACAGCAAGACCAAGCCCTCCTCTTCTTCCTCCTCCTCAGCCTACTCAACATGAAGATGATGAGGATGAAGACCTTCATGATGATCCACTTCCACTTAATGAATAGTAAATATATTTTCTTTTCTTTTTTTTTGAGACGCAGTTTCGCTGTAGTTGCCCAGGCTGGAGTGCAATGGCGCAATCTCAGCTCACCACAACCTCCACCTCCAGGGTTCAAGCGATTCTCCTGCCTCAGCCTCCCGAGTAGCTGGGATTACAGGCATGTGCCACCACACCTGGCTAATTTTGTATTTTTAGTAGAGATGGGGTTCCTCCATGTTGGTCAGGCTGGTCTTGAACTCCTGACCTTAGGTGAGCCACCACACCTGGCCATGATTTTCTTAATAACATTTTCTTTTCTCTAGCTTACTTTATTGTAAGAATATAGAATATAATACATGTAACATATAAAATATGTGTCAATCGACCATTTATGTTATTGGTAAGGCTTCCTGTAAACAGTAGGCTATTAGGAGTTAAGTTTCTGGGGAGTCTCAAGCTATACATAGATTTTTTACTACATGGGGGGTCAGTGTCCCAACCTCTGAATTGTTCAAGCATTAACTGTATTTTCTCACAGTCCTAGAGGCTGAAAGTCCAAGACCAGGGTTCCAGCGTGGTCAGGTTCTGGTGATGGTTTTCCTCCTGACTGCAGACAGGAGGCCTTCTCACTGTGTCCTCACATGGCCTTTCCTTAGTGCATGTACAGAGAGACGGAGAGAGAGTTCTTCATCTTCTTCTACAGGCACTAATCCCATCACCAAGGCCTTACCCCACGACCTCATGTAATCCTAATGACCTCCCAAAAGCCCCGTCTCTAAATACCATCACATTGAGAGTTAGGGCTACAACATTTGAATTTTGTGGGAAGACACAATTTAGTCAATAACAGACAGCATCTACCTTAGTTGATGTGGGAATTAAAAGGGATAATACTACAAAGTTCTAGGAGTATTTGGCTTTTAGTAAGTACCAGTTAATAAACAGGAGCACAAAAAGTATGTTTTTGTGGGGCATGGCAGCTCACACCTGTAATCCCAGCAATTTGAGAGGCTCAGGTGGGAGGATTGTTTGAGCCCAGGAATTCAAGACCAGCCTGGGCAACACAGTGAGACCCCATCTCTACAAAAAAAAATAAAAAATTAGCCCGGTGTGGTGGCGCATGCCTGTAGTGCTAGTGCAAAAACCTATGTTTTTATTTTTTTGACTGATATACAGTAAAATCTATCCATTTTAACTATATAGTTTGATGGATTTTGGTAATTGTATACATCGGTATAATCGCCTGTATAGAGAGCAGCTCCGTCACCTTAGAAGTTCCCCCAGGCCCCTCTGCAGCTGAGCCCCTCCTCTGGTGCCCCAGCCCCAGGGGCAACCACTAGCCTTTCTGTCAACATCGCTTCACCTTTTTTAGAATTTCATATATCTGGAACCACACAGCATCTTTTGTCTTTTGTGTTTGACTTCTTGAAGTTAACATACTGATTCTGAGATTCATTCATGTTGGGGGCTATTAGTATTTTCTTCGTTGATATTCCCCAGTAGTATTCTATTGTATGAATGTACCACAATTTGCTTTTCCATTCACAGTTCATGGACATTAGGGCTGCTTCTAATTTTTTGACTAAGCTGCTCTGAACAATCACGGACAGTTCTTTGTGTACACGTGTGTTCTAGACTATAAGCATTTTACACAGGTTCTCTCTGGTTTATCTCATGGTGTGCAGCAGACGTTTAAAAGTTATTTGTTCTACTAATACATGCTACAATATGGATGATCTTTGAAAACACTGCGCTAAATGAAAGAAGCCACCCATTAAAAAACACATATAGTACAATCCCGCTTACAAAAAACATCCAGAATAGGCAAATCTATACAGACAGAAAGTAGATCAGTGTTTGCCCAGGCCTGGTGGATTTGGGGGGAAATGAAGAATGACTGCTAATGAATGCGGAGTTTCTTTTCAGGGTGAGACAATGTTCTAAAATTCATTGTGTGATCATGTTTTCACAACTCTGTGAATACACAAAAAACCATGGAATTGGGCCGGGCACGGTGGCTCATGCCTGTAATCCCAGCACTTTGGGAGGCTGAGGCGGGCAGATCACGAAGTCAAGAGATCAAGACCATCCTGGCCAAAATGGTGACACCCCGTTTCTACTAAAAATACACAAAAAATTAGCTGGGCATGGTGGTGCATGCCTGTAGTCCCAGCTACTTGGGAGGCTGAGGCAGGAGAATCACTTGAACCCGGGAGGTGGAGGTTGCAGTGAGCCGAGATCCCGCCACTGCACTCCAGCCTGGGGACAGAGCGAGACTCGGTCTCAAAAAGAAAAAAAACCACTAAATTGTACATTTTCAATGGGTGAATTGTATGATGTGTGAATTATATTTCAATAAAGCTGTAACAATTATTCATTAAATCAATTAATGATTAAATCATTAGATGATTCCATGTATGAATGAATATTCTTGTTTCCTGGCTGTTTAATCACTCTGATACCCTTTGGTACATATTTTTAATTCAATTTAATCCAACACATTTATTGGACATCTATTAAGTTTCAGATATAGTAATTGGGACTGGAGGTTTTCAAAGACATAGGAGACAAGCAGTTGATCTTCTCAAAGACACACACTTGAGAGAAGGAAACAGATAATAATTGCAGCTGCAATAGCTAACACTTATACTTCACTTACAATTGTGCCAGGCACAAAGAATGATCTCCAGTCTAATTATAAATATGCATGCCTATATATTTGTATATACATTTTGTTCATGTAATCTTCACAGCAACCCTTGAGGGAGGTACTGGCATATTTTCATTCTTTAGGTGGGAACACTGATGCACAGAGTGGGTCAGTAACTTGCCTGAGGTCACACAGCTAGTAAATGGCATGCTGAGACTTGAAGCCCAGGAAGCCTGGCTCTGGGGTCCACGGCTTTGACCACTATGCTCAATTGCCCATTCAGGGCGATACTGCTCCAATGTCATGGAGTTCTGGAATGGCAGGAGCATAAGAACTGAGGGTACTCTCATGTCTCCCCTTGCACAACTTGAGTTCTGTCATCATACCTTCCCCTTGCCAGCCTCTGTCCATGATCACAACCTGGAGACCCCAGGAAAAGATGCCCCAGCTCTGGCTCCAGAATCAAGTTCTGCGTCGTGACCTCTCTGCTTCTCTTTCTCTCCTGCAGCAAAGTAGAAACACCACAGTGTGTTGTGGATTAAAGTGTGTCCCTCCCCAACTCATCTGTTAAAACCCTAACCCCCAATGTGACTGCATTTGTAGATAGGGCCTTTAAAGAGATAATTAAAGGTAAATGAGGTCATGAGAGTGGGACCCTAATCTAATAGGACTGTGCCCTTATGAGAATAAGGACAGACACCAGGGAAGCACCTGCACTGGGAAAAGGCCACAAGAGGACACAGCAAGAAAGTGGCCATAGGCAAGCCGAAAGGAGAAGAGAAAAACAAACCTGCTCACACTTGATCTTGGCCTTCCAGTCTCCAGAACTGTGAGACATAAATTCTGTTGTTTAAGCCACCTAGTGTGTGATATTTTATTATTACAATCTAGGAAGCTAACACACTGCTAGACATCTGCTCCTTTTAGGGACGAAGCTGACCTGGCCCTGGCTGGGAGAGACAGTGACTCAGAGAGGAAAGGTCTGAAATGTGGGCCCTTCTTGAAAATCTTGCCTGGAGGTGGGCACTGGGTTGGGCCTCTGGAAGAATCTCATCAAACCAGGGGTGTGCATCAGCCAGCTCACATGCTCCCAAGAGCTGATTTGAAAATTTCCAGGAATTTTGCAAGCTGCTTATTAAACACAGCCATTATTAAAAATAACAGAAACCTTCACTAAACAAAGTATGTTAAAAATAAAGGTAATATAGACCAGTTTACTAAAGTGAAAAAAGAAAAAAAAAATAAAAAATAAAGGTAATAATACTACGAACCATCCCTTCCTAAGTATTTTGCTATATTTTACTATTATGTGTGATTGAGATTATTTATATCTACTGTTATCTGTAGTGGATACACCACATAATGGTGTGCTATTATGCATCTCTTCCCACATCCACATTCAGTGACACCACACATCAAGGTAGGAGCATTTACACCACAGACAGTGGCAAACACTGTGAATCAGAGGTTAAGCTACCATCGTCAACTGTCTAGACTTAGGAAAGTGATAAAGAAAATGTTGATACCAAGTGTCTTGTGTATGCAGCTGTTACATTATGAATAGCACAAAGAATTAGAAAATACTCTTCCAATACTGAAGAACTATTAACCAATTAAGCAAAGAAGTCTCTATGCCATTGATAAATGCATATTTCTTTGTTGTTTCACTGTCATCTTACTCTTTTTTTTTTTTTTTTTTTTGAGACGAAGCTTCGTTCTTATTCCCCAGGCTGGAGTGCAATGGCATGTGATCTCGGCTCACTGCAACCTGCACTTCCCAGGTTCAAGTGAGTCTTCTGCCTCAGCCTCCTGAGTAGCTGGGATTACAGGCTCCCACCACCACACTCAGCTAAATTTTTGTATTTTTAGTAGAGATGGGGTTTCTTTTATTATTATTATTATACTTTAAGTTCTAGGGTACATGTACACAATGTGCAGGTTTGTTACATATGTATACATGTGCCATGTTGGTGTGCTGCACCCATTAACTTGCCATTTATATTAGGTATATCTCCTAATGCTTTCCCTCCCCCCTTCCCCCACCCCACAACAGGCCCCGGTGTATGATGTTCCCCTTCCTGCGTCCAAGTGTTCTCCTTGTTCAATTCCCACCTATGAGTGAGAACATGCAGTGTTTGGTTTTTTGTCCTTGCGATAGTTTGCTCAGAATGATGGTTTCCAGCTTCAACCATATCCCTACAAAGGACATGAACTCATCCTTTTTTATGGCTGCATACTATTCCATGGTGTATATGTGCCACATTTTCTTAATCCAGTCTATCATTGATGGACATTTGGGTTGGTTCCAAGTCTTTGCTATTGTGAATAGTGCCGCAATAAACATATGTATTCATGTGTCTTTATAGCAGCATGATTTGTAATCCTTTGGGTATATACCCAGTAATGGGATGGCTGGGTCAAATGGTATTTCTAGTTCTAGATCCTTGAGGAATCACCACAGTGTCTTCCACAATGGTTGAACTAGTTTACAGTCCCACCAACAGTGTAAAAGTGTTCCTACTTCTCCACATCCTCTCCAGCACCTGTTGTTTCCTGACTTTTTAATGATTGCCATTCTAACTGGTGTGAGATGATATCTCATTGTGGTTTTAATTGGCATTTCTCTGATGGCCAGTGATGATGAGCATTTTTTCATGTGTCTGTTGGCTGCATAAATGTCTTCTTTTGAGAAGTGTCTGTTCATACCCTTCGCCCACTTATTGATGGGTTGTTTGTGTTTTTCTTGTAAATTTGTTTGAGTTCTTTGTAGATTCTGGATATTAGCCCTTTGTCAGATGAGCAGATTGCAAAAATTTTCTCCCATTTTGTAGGTTGCCTGTTCACTCTGATGGTAGTTTCTTTGCTGTGCAGAAGCTCCTTAGTAAATTAGATCCCATTTGTCAATTTTGGCTTTTGTTGCCATTGCTTTTGGTGTTTTAGACATGAAGTCCTTGCCCATGCCTATGTCCTGAATGGTATCGCCTAGGTTTTCTTCTAAGGTTTTTATGGTTTTAGGTCTAACATTTAAGTCTTTGATCCATCTTGAATTAATTTTTGTATAAGGTGTAAGGAAGGGATCCAGTTTCAGCTTTCTACATATGGCTAGCCAGTTTTCCCAGCACCATTTATTAAATAGGGAATCCTTTCCCCATTGCTTGTTTTTGTCAGGTTTGTCAAAGATCAGATGGTTGTAGATGTGTGGTATTATTTCTGAGGGCTCTGTTCTGTTTCATTGGTCTATATCTCTGTTTTGGTACCAGTACCATGCTGTTTTGGTTACTGTAGTCTTGTAGTATAGTTTGAAGTCAGGTAGCGTGATGCCTCCAGCTTTGTTCTTTTGGCTTAGGATTGTCTTGGAAATGTGGGCTCTTTTTTGGTTCCATATGAACTTTAAAGTAGTTTTTTCCAATTCTGTGAAGAAAGTCATTGGTAGCTTGATGGGGATGGCATTGAATCTATAAATTACCTTGGGTAGTATGGCCATTTTCATGATATTGATTCTTCCTACCCATGAGCATGGAATGTTCTTCCATTTGTTTGTATCCTCTTTTATTTCCTTGAGCAGTGGTTTGTAGTTCTCCTTGAAGAGGTCCTTCACATCCCTTGGAAGTTGGATTCCTAGGTATTTTCTTCTCTTTGAAGCAATTGTGAATGGGAGTTCACTCATGATTTGGCTTTCTGTCTGTTATTGGTGTATAAGAATGCTTGTGATTTTTGCACATTGATTTTGTATCCTGAGACTTTGCTAAAGTTGCTTATCAGCTTACGGAGATTTTGGGCTGAGACGATGGGGTTTTCTAAATATATAATCACGTCATCTGCAAACAGGGACAATTTGACTTCCTCTTTTCCTAACTGAATACTCTTTATTTCTTTCTCCTGCCTGATTGTCCTGGCCAGAACTTCCAACACTATGTTGAATAGGAGTGGTGAGAGAGGGCATCCCTGTCTTGTGCCAGTTTTCAAAGGGAATGCTCCCAGTTTTTGCCCATTCAGTATGATATTGGCTGTGGGTTTGTCATAAATAGTTCTTATTATTTTGAGATATGTCCCATCAATACCTAATTTATTGAGAGTTTTTAGCATGAAGGGCTGTTGAATTTTGTCAAAGGTCTTTTCTGCATCTATTGAGATAATCATGCAGTTTTTGTCTTTGGTTCTGTTTATATGCTGGATTACGTTTATTGATTTGCGTATGTTGAACCAGCCTTGCATCCCAGGGATGAAGCCCACGTCATCATGGTGGATAAGCTTTTAGAGGTACTTCTGGATTCAGTTTGCCAGTATTTTATTGAGGATTTTTGCATCGATCTTCATCAGGGATATTGGTCTAAAATTCTCTTTTTTTGTTGTGTCTCTGCCAGCCTTTGGTATCAGGATGATACTGGCCTCATAAAATGAGTTAGGGAGGATTCCCTCTTTTTCTATTGATTGGAATAGTTTCAGAAGGAACGGTACCAGCTCCTTCTTGTACCTCTGGTAGAATTTGGCTGTGAATCCGTCTGGTCCTGGACTTTTTTTGGTTGGTAGGCTATTAATTATTGCCTCAAATTCAGAGCCTGTTATTGGTCTATTCAGGGATTCAACTTCTTCCTGGTTTAGTCTCGGGAGGGTGTATGTGACCAGGAATTTATCCATTTCTTCTAGATTTTCTAATTTATTTGTGTAGAGGTGTTTATAGTATTCTCTGATGGTAGTTTGTATTTCTGTGGGATCAGTGGTGATATCCCCTTTATCATTTTTTATTGCATCTATTTGATTCTTCTCTCTTTTCTTCTTTATTAGTCTTGCTAGTGGTCTATCAATTTTGTTGATCTTTTCAAAAAACCAGATCCTGGATTCATTGATTTTCTGAAGGGTTTTTTTGTGTCTCTATCTCCTTCAGTTCTTCTCTGATCTTAGTTCTTTCTTGCCTTCTGCTAGCTTTTGAATGTGTTTGCTCTTGCTTCTCTAGTTCTTTTAATTGTGATGTTAGGGTGTCAATTTTAGATCTTTCCTGCTTTCTCTTGTGGGCATTTAGTGCTATAAATTTCCCTCTACACACTGCTTTGAATGTGTCCCAGCGATTCTGGTATGTTGTCTTTGTTCTCATTGGTTTCAAAGAACATCTTTATTTCTGCCTTCATTTCGTTATGTACCCAGTAGTCACTCAGGAGCAGGTTGTTCAGTTTCCATGTAGTTGAGCGGTTTTGAGTGAGTTTCTTAATCATGAGTTCTAGTTTGATTGCACTGTGGTCTGAGAGACAGTTGATTATAATTTCTGTTCTTTTACATTTGCTGAGGAGTGCTTTACTTCTAACTATGTGGTCAATTTTGGAATAAGTGCGATGTGGTGCTGAGAAGAATGTATATTCTGTTGATTTGGGGTGGAGAGTTCTGTAGATGTCTATTAGGTCTGCTTGGTGCAGAGCTGAGTTCAATTCCTGGATATCCTTGTTAACTTTCTGTCTCATTGATCTGTCTAATGTTGACAGTGGGGTGTTAAATTCTCCCATTATTATTGTGTGTGAGTCTAAGTCTCTTTATAGGTCTCTAAGGACTTGCTTTATGAATGTGGGTGTCCCTGTATTGGGTGCATATATATTTAAGATAGTTAGCTCTTCTTGTTGAATTGATCCCTTTACCATTATGTAATGGCCTTCTTTGTCTCTTTTGATCTTTGTTGGTTTAAAGCCTGTTTTATCAGAGACTAGGATTGCAACCCCTGCCTTTTTTTGTTTTCCATTTGCTTGGTAGATCTTCCTCCATCCCTTTATTTTGAGCCTATGTGTGTCTCTGCATGTGAGATGGGTCTCCTGAATACAGCAATCTGATGGGTCTTGACTCTTTATCCAATTTGCCAGTCAGTGTCTTTTAATTGGAGGATTTAGCCCATTTACATTTAAGGTTAATATTGTTATATGTGAATTTGATCCTCTCATTATGATGTTAGCTGGTTATTTTGCTCGTTAGTTGATGCAGTTTCTTCCTAGCATCGATGGTCTTTACAATTTGGCATGTTTTTGCAGTGGCTGGTACCGGTTGTTCCTTTCCATGTTTAGTGCTTCCTTCAGGAGCTCTTGTAGGGCAGGCCTGGCGGTGACAAAATCTCTCAGCATTTGCTTGTCTGTAAAGGATTTTATTTCTCCTTCACTTATGAAGCTTAGTTTGGCTGGATATGAAATTCTGGGTTGAAAATTCTTTTCTTTATGAATATTGAATATTGGCCCAACTCTCTTCTGGCTTGTAGAGTTTCTGCCAAGAGATCCACTGTTAGTCTGATGGGTTTCCCTTTCTGGGTAACCTGACCTTTCCCTCTGGCTGCCCTTAACATTTTTTCCCTCATTTCAACTTTGGTGAATCTGACGATTATGTGTCTTGGAGGTGCTCTTCTCAAGGAGTATCTTTGGGGTGTTCTCTCTATTTCCTTAATTTGAATGTTGGCCTGCCTTGCTAGGTTGGGGAAGTTCTCCTGCATAATATCCTGAAGAGTGTTTTCCAACTTGGTTCCATTCTCCCCATCACTTTCAGGTACACCAATCAGACGTAGAGTTGTCTTTTCACATAGTCCCATATTTCTTGGAGGCTTTGTTCATTTCTTTTTATTCTTTTTTCTCTACACTTCTGTTCTCACTTCATTTCATTCATTTGATCTTCAATCACTGATACCCTTTCTTCCAGTTGATCAAATTGGCTACTGAAGCTTGTGCATTCGTCACGTAGTTCTCGTGCCATGGTTTTCAGCTCAATCAGGTCATTTAAGGACTTCTCCACACTGGTTATTCTAGTTAGCCATTCATCTAATCTTTTTCCAAGGTTTTTAACTTCTTTGCGTTGGGTTGGAGCTTCCTCCTTTAGCTCAGAGAAGTTCGAGTGTCTGAAGACTTCTTCTCTCAACTCGTCAAAGTCATTGTCCATCCAGTTTTGTTGCGTTGCTGGTGAGGAGCTGTGTTCCTTTGGAGGGGGAGACGTGCTCTGATTTTTAGAATTTTCAGCTTTTCTGCTCTGTTTTTTCCCCATCTTTGTGGTTTTATCTACTTTTGGACTTTGATGATGGTGACCGACAGATGGGGTTTTGGTGTGGATGTCCTTTCTGTTTGTTAGTTTTCCTTCTAACAGTCAGGACCCTCAGCTGCAGGTCTGTTGGAGTTTGCTAGAGGTCCACTCCAGACCCTGTTTGCCTGGGTATCAGCAGCGGAGCCTGCAGAACAGCACATATTGCTGTACAGCAAATGTTGCTGCCTGATCATTCCTCTGGAAGCTTCATCTCAGAGGGGTACCCAGCCATGTGAGGCGTCAGTCTGCCCCTACTGCGGTGTGCCTCCCAGTTAGGCTACTTGCAGGCTACTCAGAGGTCAGGGACCCACTTGAGGAAGCAGTCTGTCCGTTCTCAGATCTCAAACTCCATGCTGGGAGAACCACTACTCTCTTCAAGTCCCTGTCAGACAGGGACATTTAAGTCTGCAGAGGTTTCTGCTGTCTTTTGTTCGGCTATGCCCTGCCCCCAGAGGTGGAGTCTACAGAGGCAGGCAGGCCTCCTTGAGCTGCGGTGGGCTCCACCCAGTTCGAGCTTCCTGGCCACTTTGTTTACCTACTCAAGCCTCAGCAATAGTGGGCGCCCCTCCCCAAGCCTCACTGCCGCCTTGCAGTTCGAACTCAGACTGCTGTGCTAGCAATGAGCAAGGCTCCATGGGCGTGGGACCCTCCAAGCCAGGCGCGGGATATAATCTCCTGGTGTGCCATTTGCTGAGACCATTGGAAAAGTGCAGTATTAGGGTGAGAGTGACCCGATTTTCCAGGTGCCGTCTGTAACCCCTTCCCTTGGCTAGGAAAGGGAATTCCCTGACCCCTTGCACTTCCTGGGTGAGGCGATGCCTCACCCTGCTTTGGCTCACACTCAGTGGGCTGCACCCACTGTCCTGCCCCCACTGTCCAATGAGACCCAGTGAGATGAACCCAGTACCTCAGTTGGAAATGCAGAAATCACCCGTCTTCTGCGTTGCTCATGCTGGGAGCTATAGACTGGAGCTGTTCCTATTCGGCCATCTTGGAACCGCAGAGATGGGGTTTCACCACGTTGCCCAGGCTGGTCTCAAACTCCTGACCTCAGGTGATCTGCCTGCCTTGGCCTCCCAAAGTACTGGGATTACAGGTATGAGCCACTGCGCCTGGCCTCTTACTCTTTAACATAAGCAAAAATATCAACCAACATTCGTATCCAAACTGCACTCACTCATGATTTGCAACTATTGGTTGGCTACTGATATGGGAGTTGAGCAAAGTCTATAAAAGTATTTTGTGAAAATCAACTGGCTGTGTGGAATTTATAAGAAAGACTTTTGCACATTTTATTATTCTCAAATTGTTTACTCAGTAAAATTTCTTAAAAATATATGCAAGAGCATATGTAGCTTTTCTGAAGCAGCATTTATTAAACATTTACTGGCACACCATTGCATTAAACTCTCCCCATTTGAGGAGATTGGGCCCCAGAGGGTAGACATGCCCGCCCAAGACATGGGCGGATCCATGACCCCCACCCTGCTCCTCCCACCCCATCAAGGCTACTTCTGCCATCTAATACCAGCCCTTCCAGGGGGGATTGTAAAAGGATGGCCCAGTGAGACAGGAAAATTCTCTGGGGTTCAACCATTTACAATTATTCCTGAAACCGTCTGGGTGCCATACAAATAGCTAAGCCATAAATCATAAGAGGTGCATAAAATCATATGAAGTTAAACATACAGCTAAACAAAATCCAGCAATTTCATTTCTAGGTATTTACCCAAGAGAAATAAAAACATATGTGCCCACAAAACTTACATATGAATGCTCATAGCAGATTTATTCCCAATATCCCCAAACTGGAAACAACCCAAATGTCCATCAAAAGGCACTGGATAAACAAACTGTGATATATTCCACATAATAGAATACTACTCAGCAATAAAAATGAATGGACCATTGATCCACAGAAAAATATGGATGAATTTCAAATAATTATGCTGAGTAAAAGAGCCAAACATAAATGAGTGCATGCTGTGTGATTCCACTTTATATAACATTCTAGAAAAGCCAAACATTGAAGGACAGAAACCAGGTTAGTATTTGCTGGGTACTGGAAGGGACAGACTGCTAAGTGGCAGAGGGGAGGGAATTGTTGGAGGATGGAAAGGCTACATATCTTGAGTTTGGTGAGGATTCCACAGGTGTACCCACTTGCCAAAACTGTGCTTGAACATGAGTGCATTTTATTATATGAAAGCTATACCTCACCAAAGCTGATTTTAAAAGTACTAGGTATGTAACCTTGGTCAAGTTATTCTGCTTTCCTGGGCCTCAGTTTCCTCATCTGTAAAATGTAATAATAGTTGCTATACTGTGAAGATTAAAGAAGAGACTATGGGTAAACCCTTAGAACAATGCCTCACACACAGGTGTGTACAATTAATACAGCAGTGCCCCCTTATCCAGGAGAATATGTTCCAAGACCCTCAGTGCATGCCTGAAACTTCAGATAGTTCTTTTTTCTTTTCTTTTCTTTTCTTTTCTTTTCTTTTCTTTTTTTTTTTTTTTTTTGAGACGGAGTCTCACTCTGTCACCCAGGCTGGAGTGCAGTGGCACAATCTTGGCTCACTGCAACCTCCGCCTCCCAGGTTCAAGTGATTCTCCTGCCTCAGCCTCGTAGATAGGATTACAGCTGTGTGCCATCACACCCAGCTAACTTTTGTATTTTTAGTAGAGATGGCGTTTTACCATGTTGCCTAAGCTGGTCTCAAACTCCTGACCTCAGGTATCCACCTGCCTCAGCCTCCCAAAGTACTGGGTTTACAGGTGTGCGTCACTGTGCCCATCCAACTTCAGTTAGTTCTTTTTTTTTTTTTTTTTTTTTTGTATTTTTAGTAGAGACAGGGTTTCACCGTGTTAACAAGGATGGTCTCGATCTCCTGACCTCTTGATCCATCTGCCTCGGCCTCCCAAAGTGCTGGGATTAAAGACTTGAGCCACTGCGCCCGGCCTAACTTCAGTTAGTTCTAAACCCTGCATATACACTATGTTCTTTCCCTTATATATATATATACCTATGATTAAGTTTATAAATTAGGCACAGTAAGAGATTAGCAACAATAATAATAAATAAATAATAAAATAAATAATAATAAAATCAAACGATTATAGCAATATGCTATAATAAAAGTTATGTGAATGTGGTCTTTCTATCTCAAATATCTTATTTTACTGTAGTCACCTGTTTTCAGACTGCAGTCGATTGAAAGTAACTAAAATCTCCGAAAGCAAAACCATGGATAAAAGGAAACTATTGTACTAGTTTACGTTGCTTGTTGGTTTTTGTTAAACTATAACTAATCCAGTAACAGGTATTCATTCATGCAATAAATCAACAAATATTTATTAAGCACCTACTACATTCTAGGCATTGTTCTAAACACTTGAAATGCAAAAGTGGGCTAAGTGCAGTGGCTCACGCCTATAATCCCAGCACTTTGCGAGGCCTTGGATCAGGAGTTCAAGATCAGCCTGGGCAACATAGCAAAATCCTGTCTCTACAAAAAATACAACAAAGCCAGGCATGGTGACACGTGCCTGTTGTCTCAGCTTCTTGGGAGGCTGAGATGGGAGGATTACCTGGGCCTGGGAAGGTGAGGCTGCAGTGAGCTGTGATTGTACCTCTGCACTCCAACCTGGGTGACAGACTGAGACCCAGTCTCAAAAATAGAAAGGAAGGAAGGAAGGAAGGAAGGAAGGAAGGAAGGAAGGAAGGAAGGAAGGAAGGAAGGAAGGGTAAGGGTAGGGAAGGGAAGGGAAAGAAAGGAAAGGAAAGGAAAGGAAAAGAGAGAGAGAGAGAAGAAAAGGAAGAAGCAAAGAGAAAGAGAGGAAGGAAGCAAGGAAGGAAGGCAGGAAGGCAGGAAGGAAGGAAGGAAAGAAGGAAGGAAGGGGAGGGGAGGGAGGAAGGAAGGAGGGAGGGAGGGAGCAAGGAAGGAAGAAAGGAAAGAAGGAAAGACACTAGTGAACAAAATAGATGAAGATTCTTGCTTAGTGTCTCCATGCTGTTAAAGGAAGACAAACAATAAATAATAAGAAAATAAATAAGTAGATTATGTAGCATATTAGAAGATACATGATATGGGGGAAAAGCAATAGAATAGGGTAACAGAAAAGAGGGTTGAGGGCTCATGTAGGCTGCAATTTTAAGGAAGGTGGCCATGGGAGGCTTTACTGAATAGATGATATTTGAGCAAAACCTTTTTTTTTTTTTTTTTTTTTTTTTGAGATGGAGTCTCACTCTGTCACCCAGGCTGAAATGCCTTGGTACTATCTCAGCTCACTGCAACCTCCCTCCTGGGTTCAAGCGATTCTCCTGCCTCAGCCTCCCAAGTAGCTGGGACTACAGATGCCCACCACCACGCCCAGCTAATTTTTGTATTTTTAGTAGAGACGGGGTTTCACCATGTTGGCCAGGCTGGTCTCGAACTTCCAATCTGAAGTGACTCACCCTCCTCCGACTCCCAAAGTGCTGGGATTACAGGCGTAAGCCACCACGCTCAGCCTTGAGCAAAAACTTGAAGGAGGTATTCAACAGAATTATGAAAGAAGGAAGAGAGGCCGGCAGGGAGGGAAGAAATGAGGATCATAATTTCCCAATTATCTGTCAATTGCCTAAAGCTGAGCATTAATTCTCTGGGGGCATGTTGGGGGGTGGTCATGCTCTTTCTGCTATATCAGTTTGAATGATATCATTGGAGCATAAACACTGAGAAAATGACAACTGAGGTGAAGAATGTCTGCAAATTACAGAAAGGCATATTGACACACTGAATCTGAAACACCTGGATTCAGAAGTCACCTCAGCCACCTACTAGCTGAGTGACCTCTGGCAAGTCACTCGACCTCTGAGGGGCTCAGTTTCCTACCTGCAGGAAGGCAACAACGGTCCCCTTGCCAATACCTTAGGGATTAGAGGAGATAGCAGAGAGGTCGGGCTCTAGCATAATTCCCGGTGCACGAAGTGCTGCCTTTCTACTTGGGACTCCATTTAGATCCTGTGGCTGCCCAGGGTGCTGTCACCTTCATTCTGACCACCAAAAGCTCGGGAACAATTACTGGCCTCCTCGCTGCAGTCCCAATGCTGTTTCTCTGGCTCTTCAATTAGCACGTGCAATTTCAACACTTCTCCAAATAGGTGATTTTAAATCCATATTCAATAATTTATAGAAATGGATGCTTCCCCCCTCCCCCTTTTTAAGCACTTTAAAGAGATGGCCCATCTCCTGACACTTGACAGAGCTGATGAGCAATCTATCCCACAGCAGAGTGGTTCTACTTTTGTCAGAGCTGGGCCTCCTGGGGAGACCCAGGAGAAAAGAAAGCTTTCTAAAACATTTTAATTGTAAGTGGAGTTCATTAGTTTAGATCCCATTACAATAAATTATCATCTGATGCTTTAAGTCTTAACAAAATGGACACTGCAATGATTAGAGGCCCCTATGTTTGCAGAAAGACCCTATAATAAACCCACACTTGGTGATAACAACAGAAGATTGGTCCTCAACCAAACCAGTTATTTTTCCCTAGAGGTAAAGCCTCCACTTGAAGGTAAAAATAGAAGCCTGCATTTCTTAATTTTCACAGAAGAACCTTAACATTGGCGTCCACTGGCAAATTTAATCGTGGCAGCTGCCTGCTTAAAACCCTCCAGCTTTCATCACACTTTGGAGAGAGTTCCGTCAAAGAATAATGTTGAGAAGATAAAAACCTGGCTTTGAAACTAATATAGAACAAGCATGTGTCAAATATTTAACTGATTAATATATAGAACAAGCATGTGTCAAATATTTAACTGATTAATAAGAGAGCCAGCAGCACGGTAGAGCTGCTTCAAAAAGCATTTGATGACAGGGGTTTCTACAGTCCCCCAGAGAGGGGGTACTGATGTAAAGTTTAATTTATTTGTTCATTTTTTAAGTTAGGAACAAAAATGACTAATGTCCTTCAGGGTGATAAAGCCAAAACCTTTAGGGTTGCCTCCTCTATCACACATAAACCATTTGCATCTCAACAGGACAGCTATTCACAAATTTACATGTAACTTAATAGAGATCAAGTTCAATCAGTAAATAGCAAAATCAAACCAAGGTACAATTCCCATATAGAATTAACTAATCCTTGGGCAGGCCTGGCAAATAATGCTCTAAGCCGACGTGGAAAGAAACTGCAGTCTTCCTTTCTGCCATATTTCTAAGTTTTGGATAAGTTTGCTTGAGTTCTAAATCTTCAACATGGCTAACAAAATCTGCCTGGCTCCTTCCTCGGTCCCCAGCCCCATCTGGTAACTCTGCCCTCCGGTGACAAGTGACAAGTGACAAGTTCCTTCCCAATTCACAGCAGTCACAGCAGCCTGCTTTGTCTGGAATCACAACCCTCCCTTATTCTCCTTAAGATCTCGGCTTAAGTCATTTCCTCGGGGAATTTTCCTAAACATAGACTTGATCAGATTCCCTTGTAAGCACTCTAAGGTGGCTTTCGGCAGGCTCCCCTCCTGGCACATCTTACAACTTGGATGAACCACTTCACTGTGTAATTAGTTGTGAAAGTCTGGCTCCCTAACTGGAATGTAAACTCCCTGAGAGAATGGAGGGCCTGTTTTACTCATCATTGGATACCTGGGGCCCAACAGGAAGGAAGGAAGGAGGAAGGAAGGAAGGAAGGAAGGAAGGAAGGAAGGAAGGAAGGAGAGAGAGAAGGGAGAAAGGAGAAGGGAGGGAAGGAGGGAGGGAGGAAGAAAGAGAGAGGAAGGGAGGAAGGGAGGAAGGGAGGGAGGGTGCTGTCACCCATGCCACCTGTAATCCCAGCACTTTGGGAGGCCAAAACGGGAGGATTGCTTGAGCTCCGGAGTTCAAGACTGGCTTGGTCAACATAGGGAGAGGCCTCATCTCTACTAAAGATTTTTTTAAAAATTTGGCCGGGCGTGGTGGCTCACACCTGTAATCTCAGTACTTTGGGAGGCCGAGGTGGGCGGATCACGAGGTCAAGAGATCGAGACCATCCTGGCCAACATGGTGAAACCCCGTCTCTACTAAAAAATACAAAAAATTAGCCAAGCATGGTGGCATGTGCCTGTATTCCCAGCTACTCAGGAGGCTGAGGCAGGGGAATCTCTTGAACCCGGGAGGCAGAGGTTGCAGTGAGCTGGGATCGCACCACTGCACTCTAGCCTGGCAACAGAGGGAGACTCTGTCTCAAAAAATATATATATATATATTAGCCAGGCATGGTGGCACATGCCTGTTGCCCCAGCTACTCATGAGGTTAAGGTGGGAGGATCGCTTAAGCCTGGGAGGTCCAGGCTGCAGTGGGCTGTGATCATGCACTGCACCCCAGAGTGAGATCCTGTCTGGAAAAAAAAAATAGAAAAAGAAAAAGAAGGAAAGGAGTAAGAGGTGTGGCATTCTTGGCTCTACAGGACACAGAATTTCTGCACTTGGGGCTCTCACTGTGCCCAGTTCTGGCCAAGAGCCTGGCAGAGCCATCTGTGTTCCAGGAAGCTCATATGAACACAGGCTACCCAGTCCTTGCAACGCCAGAGGGGTGGGGCCTGCACGCCCATGGCCGAGGGCTACATTCACCCTCACCACGTTTTGTTTGGCTCTTGGAATTTAAATTCATTGTCAACAGTCATGTTTTAATAGTCCAGACTTTCCAGTTCCTGGTAGAATATCATTAGGCCCAAGAGGCACCACTTGGCTACCACCAAGGAGCAGCTATTTCTCAAGTTCCCCCTGCTGACAGAGATGGATTGTCAGCTGCCCTTTATCCTGATGTTTTCCTCACACCCAACCCACTCCACACCCCTCTCCCCAGTCCTGTAGGTAAACCCTGAGTTTTTTACCACGGCACTGAGGTCTCCAAGAGCCAATGAGGTCATCGAAAGAAAACATAATGAGCATGACTTTGGTTCCCCCTCAAACACACCCTGCCTACCCTTGCACTGAAATTTAATAATGTCCCCTCTACTTTCAGAATTCACCAGGAGGGACTCCCCACACATTGTGAAAAACTTAATCATCTCAGAAATCTAAATTCAACTGTTGCTGAATGAGTCATTTATTGTATTTCTTAGTCCCCTTCCACATAGAAACCTAAAGAATGTCCTCTCAGCTTTCATGGAAGAAAATGCTTCTCTCTCCTCGTGATCTGCTGTGCCTTATTTTATTAGCCAATCAGAACTCAGATGCTTATTCGTTGTTTTCTTTCTTTCCTTTTTTTTCTTTTTTTTAAAGCTTTGGCTACCACAAAGCTCAGAGCTAAATTCTGAGCTTGCTTCTAGGTACATTCATTCTTTAGTTTCTGGTTTTCTGGCAACTTAGATCCTTTGTTTACTCTTCCCTCATTCCCCTCTTTGAGAATTATTTCTCCCTGCCCAGAGCCCCATCCTTACTTTTTTTTTTTTTTTTTTTTTGAGACAACATCTCACTCCGTCACACAGGCTGGAGTGCAGTGGCATGATCTCGGCTCTCTGCAAGCTTCGCCTCCTGGGTTCAAGTGATTCTCCTGCCTCAGCCTCCCGAGTAGCTGGGACTACAGGCGCCTGCCACCACACTCGGCTAATTTTTATATTTTTATTAGAGAAGGGGTTTCACCACGTTGGCCAGGCTGGTCTCGAACTCCTGATCTCACGTGATCCGCCCACCTCGGACTCCCAAAGTGCTGGCATTGAAGGCCTGAGCCACCGTGCCCAGCCCCCATCCTTACTTAAGAACAACTAGGAGGTGGAGTGTGACTCAATTCCACCCTGGCCATAGCTGATTGGTCCAGGAGTGGACTCCTGGCTCAAGCCAGTTCCTGAGTCCTTACCTGAGGCGTGTTGGCACTGAGAGATGAGTCACCCTTGAGATGCCAGACTACAGAAGTCAATTTCACAAATTTCAGGAGTAGTCGGCAGCTGTGTTCCACAACATGGACTGGGTCACAAACAGTATAAAGAAAACCGGCAATGGGGATGGAGAAATCGCCCTCCCAGTTTCAAGCCCAGCTCTGTTCCTCCCCCTGGCTTCCCTGAGACACTGTTGCTGTTCTTTAATATATCCCTCCTTTTGTTTAAGCTACCTTGAGTTGGGTTTCTAAACTTGTTTTTTTTTTTGAGACGGCGTCTCACTCTGTTGCCCAGGCTGGAGTGCAGTGGCGCGATCTCGGCTCACTGCAAGCTCCGCCTCCCGGGTTCACGCCATTCTCCTGCCTCAGCCTCCCGAGTAGCTGGGACTACAGGCGCTTACCACCATGCCCAGCTAATTTTTTTTGTATTTTTAGTAGAGACAGGGTTTCACCTTGTTAGCCAGGATGGTTTCGGTCTCCTGACCTCGTGATCCGCCCGCCTTGGCCTCCCAAAGTGCTGGGATTACAGGCGTGAGCCACCGCACCCAGCTGGGTTTCTAAACTTTTTAACTGGTAACGGAAACTATGTTGTTTGCTGTTTGAAGTCCTCAAAAAACCGGGTGCGGTGGCTCACGCCTGTAATCCCAGCATGGTGGGAGGCCAAGGTGGGCGGATTGCTTGACTTCAGGAGTTCAAGACCAGCCTGGGCAACATAGCAAAAAGCCATCTCTACAAAAAATACAAAAATTGGCAGAGCAAGATGGCATGCACCTGTGTTCTCAGTTACTCAGGAGGCTAAGGTGGAAGGATTAGTTGCACCCAGGGAGGTCGAGGCGGTAGTGAGCCGTGATGGTACCACTGCCCTCTAGCCTGGTGGCAGAGCAAGACCTCTGTCTCAAGTAAATACATAAATAAATCCTCAAAAATAAAAATTGAACACTGCACCACGCACACTCAGGCTTTATTCAGCCTCTCCAAACTGGCCTCTGCACTCTCTTCCCTCATTCTCCTCCAGCATGGCAGCCTCCTTGCTATCCTCCTGATTCTCTGAGCTCCCATGCAGCCCAGGGCCTTTGCACTTGCTGCTCGCTCTGTGGAAAGTTCTCATCCTGGGGCCTCACAGGGCTGCTTCTTTCTTGTCCCCTCATCTCCTCAGAGAGGCCTTTCCCAACCGCACATCCTGGAGTTGCCCCCACCCCACTCCTCCGTTTCACTTCGTCCTGCTCATTTTCTTCACCATCTTTATCACTCTGAAATTATCTTAATGACTTGCTTGTTTACCTATGCCAGGTGTACACGCACACACTCAAATCTAACCTCTATGAAGTCACAGCTGTAAGCCCAGCCACGAGCACAGTGCCTGGGACACCGGAGGTACTCAGTAGATGCTTGTTGAATGAATAAATGTTCTTTGCAGTACAGAGTCCAAGTAATACCTCAGGTGTCAACCTCACATGGTTCTTGAGTTCCTCAGTATTTGTTTTACTGCTCTTTGTCTGTCCTGGCTGTTAGACTCCCCAGAGCCTTTCTGGAATGGGCAGAAGAAAAAAATAAGAGAATTTACTTAACAAATACTATGTACTAGGTATGTTTCTAAGCACTTTACGCATATTATTTAACCCTCCCAACAATCGTGTGAGGGCTAATAACGTAATATGATAGCTGGGTGGGGTGATGCAGCTATAGTCCCAGCTACTCAGGAGGCCAAGGCAGGAGGATTGCTTGAGCCCCAGAGTTTGAGACCAGCCTGAGAAAAACATTAAGATCCAGTCTCTACCAAAAAGAAATGTAGTACTATTATCACCATATGTTACAGATAAAGAAACTGAGGCACCAGGAGTGAAGTCACTGTTCCAAGGCCACCAGCCTATAAAGGCATAGCAAAGACTCCCGCCCAGGGAGTCAGATTTTAAGCCTGGGCCTGTGACCTCTCAGCCAGGCCGCCTCCCAGGCAAGTGGGAAAAGCACGTCCTCACTTCTTGGGCAGGGCAGTAAGATATGTATCTCTCATGCTTACGTTAGGCCCTTTCTTTTTTTTTTGGAGACAGAGACCAGCTCTGTCGCCCAGGTTGAGATCAGCAATGGCGTGATCTTGGCTCACTGCAACCTCTGCCTCCCAGGCTCAAGCAATTCTCCTGCCTCAGCCTCTGGAGTAGCTGAGATTACAGGTGCATGCCACCACGTCAGCTAATTTTTGTATTTTTAGTAGCAACGGGGTTTTGCCATGTTGGCCAGGCTGGTCTCGAACTCCTGACCTCAGGTGATCTGCCCACCTCTGCCTCCCAAAGTGCTGGGATTACAGGTGTGAGCCACCACGCCGGGCCACATTTGGGCTTTTGGGCTGAATACAGGAAAGCGGTGCTCATTCCAGCACAAGCTCAGGGCGAAGCTCATCTGATGAGGACCATGACAGATTGCAGTGAGACACCTCGGGATGATTGAGGGCTTTCTCTAATCACACCAATTGATATCAATTACTGCGTCGGCCCCCTGAGAGCATCCCTGGGATTTCCACCTCATTAGATCATTGGTGCCAAATGAAGCAACAGGGTTCTGCGCCTCCTTCGGAGCTATTTGTGTTATAGGCAAAAATCGTAAAGGGTAACTGGAAAGGCACATCAGAAAGCCTCCAAGGAGCAGCAGCAGTCTAGTCAGAGGAACAGAGACTAAAACAGTCACAATTTAGTGCTGGAGGTTTCTGATTTCAGTCAACTCTTGACATCTCTGCCAAACTCCTGCTCCAGTTCTTACTGAAGTCTGCTATGTAGCCCCAGAACAAGCAAAACCATGGAACCAGGGGGTCCACGAAGGGCCATGGAGGCGGGGCTGTGAGTTCTGGGGCTTGGGGATTCAGCAATAGCAAGAATTCAGCTTTGTTGGGGACAATGCCAAGGGGGGTTTGAGGCTCCCCGTAGTTTCCACCCGTCACCCCCAATCAGTAAACCATACACAAACATGGCTTCAAAGCAGCCCCACCCCATGCGGCTGCCCCCTCCCAAGCCTCACCACCCAACCTCGTGCAGTTCCAAGGCAGCCACTCCTGCTCTTGCCAAACAACCCTCCGGAGGTCTACAGGATAAAAACAGGAAGGCAAGAAGCCAGGACACGTGGATTTCCTTATTGGCTTCTAAAGACAAAGGGGAGGAAGAGAAAGAGGCAGAAAGTGAAGAGAAGCCAAAGGAAATGGCCACACATCAGAGCTAGGAACAGATCCCAGACTTGATTATAAAGTCCTGAGGTTTCCTGGGATGGTGTTTGAGCAGAATGCGTTTTTGTTTTGTTTTCAGAAGCGTTTTGTTTTGTTTTCAATCGCAAGTCAGCCTTTGGGAGGGCAACGGTACAGGTGGATGCCTAAATTCATACCTCAGCTAATGAAACAGTGGAGAAGAGGCACAGACAATCTCTTGAGCCTGTTGAATCCAGAAGGACAGAAGTCTTGGTAACGGTGTCAGGCTCACCTTGTGGGTAGTGGGATGGGTGCTGTTGCCATTCTGACCAGATCACCTCCGCTCACACCTGCAACCAACACGGCTCATCAGCACACACATGCCACCCAAGCAGTTCATCAGGCACAACCCTGATCCTTCAGGAGGGCATTACTCTGGCCATGAGAGTGCACTCAGCCTGCGTGAAGAGCAAGCCGTGGAGTCCCTGGAAGCAGCCATCACCAAAGATGGGGCACTGGGATAATTTAGGGGCATGTTCCCTACTGTTCCCCAGGGCTCTCCAGTGGGACTGTGGTCTAGTTGTCCACGATGGCAACACACGGTGAATGCTTTGCTTCCCCTCCCTGTCTTACTTCCCTACTCTCTTACCAGTACTTCCTGGAGTCACCTCCCAAACAAAAGGATTTGCACTGCAATATCTGCCTCGGAGTCTGCTTCCAGGAAAACCCAAAGCAAGGCGGTGCTTTTGTGCAATTTATTAAGAGGAACCCCTCTGGGTTGATGGGGCTTCAGGGGTGCAGAGCCTGGCAAGCAACCCTTTCCTGTCAGTCTGACGAATTCCCACACCACGTACCAACAGGTAGGTGACATGTGGGCTCGATTTCAGCCTCACCTGACTCCTCTGAGGGGCATCTTTGCCCTGCACTAGAGGCCCGAGGCAGCTATAGACACATCCACCACTTCTGTCTTCTTGGCTTTGGACAGAAACAGTTAATCTGAAAGGAGCAACAAGTCTACATCTGAGGCATACCAGAAATTCCACCAACAGACTCTGAACCCTCCTGAAAATTCAGGGAGGGAGAAGAGCATGGAAGCCAACAGTGCAGAGTTTGGGGTGCGGCTGCTCTGAAGTCAAATCTGCCTCTACCACTTCCTTGCCGTGTGACTTGGGGTAAAGTATTTCACCTGTCTGGAGCTTCCATTGCCTCACCTGGAAAAGGGATGCAATTGCTTGAGGCACAAGTTAGGAAGCAAATCAACAGCATAGATGCAGTGCCTGGAGATCAGAAGGTGCCCTTTCAGTGTAAGTCCCTCCTCATTCTTCCCCCAAATGGCCTGAGGGGTTCACTACAGGGCCACGCCCAAGTGGGACCCAGAAGCAGAAGCCTCTGAGGCTCCTTGACGCTCAGAACCAGGTCAGTGCCATGCTGTTGTTGGATTCTCGCTGCTACTGAGAGCCCAGATATAAAATGTTAATGTGCAAGGAAGCCAGCCGACCAGGTGACGGTGACAAACCTCACGTCCCATCTGTTCTTCCCCTCCCTCCACTCCAGGTTGGGCACGAAAAACAACTCCGTGATTCCTCTTTGCTGAGTAAACTGATGCGTGAATGAACAAATAAACCTCTGAGAGATTCCAATGCCAGGGGAGGCCCCGAGCTTTTATCTTGTGACTTGTGTGCCAGGAGCATAAATAGTCACGGTTGCCCCTGGATTCGTTAGTGGCTCCTATTGGGTTTTGAGCCACCCCAGGCTTTCCTCACCTGGAGGTGCTGATTTCAACGTGAGTCACAGGCCTCCGAACTTAAGCACAGACCCTGCTGAGCTGATTATTCCACCCTAGAGAAATCGCCAATGTGACCTGTGAGAATGAAGATTCTTGGAGCCTGGGGCCGCTGCTCGTGCTGCCTCCAGCCTCCTGATCGACCAGTCCAGATAAGGCTGCATTACCCACCAGGAAACACACGCCTATAGCCACAAATTCCAGGTCTTGCAAACACATTGAGGACCAGGAAAAAAATAAAAGGCATTGGCTCGAAATAAAGAAAAAGATGCAAAATTGAAATGAAGAAATGCTTAATTAAATGTCTAAAAAACACTAGGTCCACTTTGTTCATTAAGTTTGTTTTCATTAAAATCTTATTACATCTAAACACAATTTATGGGTTGGTTCCCTCACTTTGTAATAACTCCTGAGTTTGCATGAGAAAGCACAGCCAATAGCATTATACAGTGAAGGAATTACTACTCATAGCCAAGTAAGTTCAAAAGCAAAATTCCACAAATTATTTTTTTATTTTTAATTTTCAAATTAAATTTTATTTTATTTTATTTATTTATTTTTGAGACGGAGTCTCACTGTCGCCCAGGCTGGAGTGCAGTGGCGCGATCTCGTCTCACTGCAGGCTCTGCCCCCCGGGGTTCACGCCATTCTCCTGCCTCGGCCTCCCGAGTAGCTGGGACTACAGGCGCCCGCCACCTCACCAGGCTAATTTTTTGTATTTTTAGTAGAGACGGGGTTTCACCGTGTTAGCCAGGATGGTCTCGATCTCCTGACCTCGTGATCCGCCTGCCTCGGCTTCCCAAAGTGCTGGAATTACAGGCGTGAGCCACCGTGCCCGGCCCTAAATTTTATTTTTTTAGAGACAGGGTCTCACTGTTGCCCAGGCTGGGGCACAGTGATGCAATCATAACTCACTGTAGCCCTGAACTCCTGGGTTCAAGTGATCCTCCCACCTCAGCCTCCCGAGTAGCTGGGACTACAGACATGTGTCACCACACCTGGATAATTTTTTATTTTGTGTAGAGATGGGGTATCACTATGTTGTGCAGGCTGATCTTGAATTCCTGGCCTCAAGTGATCCCCTGCCTCAGCCTCCCAAAGTGCTGAGATTACAGGCATAAGCCACTGTGCCAGGTTTAAAAATTCTTTAAAATGTATTTACATTAACAAACATATGATATAGGTACACTGGATACTTGATATATAATGTGGGAGAGGCTTCTAAAAGGAACCAGAGCCAACGGACATCTTAAAATGCCTCTGCTGTAGGGCCATGTGACTGTTATTGGTTCTTGGGGAACTCTTTACTAGGAAGTCCCTACTTTTCTCTCCTGGAGATGCCGATTTCTCCTGGGAAGTCAGTCACTGGCCACTACAGATACATACAAATAATGCCTATTATTTCAGTGGACGAAAATGGCCCTTTCATCTCTTAGAATTAAGACACTTCATGACCAGCAGTACACACACCTTCATCCAGCCTCTTGTCAATGTCAAATGTGTCAATCTCTCTCTCTCTCTCTCTCTTCCTCCCTTCTTCCTTCCATGTCTGCTTTCTGGTATATGCAATTTCTTTTCCAGAAAGGTTTTCCTCACATAGATACAAAGATAATCATCCTCTGAAAAATGGCTTCCTTCCAGCTTACCAACTCAGAAAAAGTATCATTTCTAGTAGCTCTGGCCAAAGCCCCAAGAGGACTTTGATTGACTAGGCTTGAGACACCTGCTTATTGCTGAACCAATCACTGTGGCCAGAAGAACAGGGTACTCTGATTGGCCAGACCTGAGCCATGGGACCACCCCTGTGGTGGGATTCGGGGTAGTATCAGCCTCATTCCTCTTGTCCCAGCTTTCTGCACAGCCTCCCCCAGGAGGGCATGGAAACCCCAGAAGCCATGGGCCAGGCATCCAAAATGCTACTGGATAGGTATTCACAAACCCCTTCTCTTAAACCAGGGATTGGCAACCTTTTTCTGTAAAGGTCCAGATGGTACAATATTCTAAGTTTTATGGACCAAGGGGCAGAATCAAGGCTATTAGGTAAGTACCTACATAACAAAAGAGAAAAGACATTTCCATAAATTCTTTTCAATCATTAAAAAGTTTTTTTAAAAAATCCTCAGTTTGGGCTGGGCGCGGTGGCACATGCCTGTAATCCTAGCACTTTGGGAGGCCGAGACAGATGGATCACTTGAGGTCAGGAGTTTGAAACCAGCCTGGCCAACATGGTGAAACCCCATCTATACTAAAATTACAAGAAAACTAGGCAGGAATGGTGGCAGGCACCTGTAATCCCAGCTACTTGGGAGGCTGAGGCAAGAGAATTGCTTGAACCCAGGAGGCAGAGGTTGTAGTGAGCCGAGATTGTGCCACTGCACTCCAGCCTGGGTGACAGAGTGAGACTCCGTTTCAAAAAAAAAAAAAAGAAATTAAAAGATCCTCAGTTTGCAGGCTATACAAAAACAGGCAGTGGGATGGATATGGCCTCAGTGCCCTGGTTTGCTGACTCCTGCACTAATCTCTTTCCACTTTCCAAAGTGCAAAAAGCCACAGGGAAAGCATCATCCTCCCAGAGCATCCACTACCAATGTGCCAGTTATGGGGGCTACTTACATCTTCTGATCCTGATTCTCAAAGGCTGCGTCCTGTGAGCACAGCCACCTCAGAAAGGCCCTTCTTCCCTGGAAGCCACTTCCCACCCCCATTCAGGCTTCGGAGGGCCTCTCCAGAGCAAGAGGTAGGCAAAGGCCATTAGCCACAGGTCACCAGGGAAATCCCCTCACTGAGCGCTTTCCTTGGATTTTTGTTTTCATGCCACTTCAAGGAGCAAGCAGATTGTAAATACACACTTTAAAATCTCCCGGGCTCACTGCATCATCTCTCCAATTAAGGCTCAGGGCAGCCATGTCTTCACTGGGAGGAAGCCCCGTGCAGGCCTGGCTTGGAGGTGCCCTGGGCAGCTTCCAGGCCTAGGGAGATGCCAGCAGTGCCGGCATTGTTTGAGACTCAGCACCCAGCCACCCCTAAAGCTCCTTCCACCCTGGACCTTCAGTCATGCAAGCCAGTAAAATGCCTGCCTGCCTGCCTGCCTGCCTGCCTGCCTGCCTGCCTGCCTTCCTTCCTTCCTTCCTTCCTTCCTTCCTTCCTTCCTCTCTCTCTCTCTTTAGCTGAATTGGGCAGAGTTCAGTTACTTGTATCCAAACACATTCTGAGCAATATATGGGCTTTACCAGGTACTTTGGAACCTTGGATTTCTCCCCTTGGTACCCACAACCCCTGCCATGTAACTTTCAGTGCCCTCTCACTCTGACTCTGGACTCCAAGTGACTTGCTTTGGCCAATAGCATGTTTGCAAACATTATGTAGACACAGTGGGACTTGTATTGTCTTTAGTAGCTCTTGGAGCTCCTCCAAGCCCATATAACAGTCCCAGTCTGGGCCACTACATGATGATAGACATATAGAGCCAAGATGAGCCTTCCCATCCTCTTGACCAACAAGCCTCGAGCTAGGATGGCTGGAAGCCAACTGTAGGCACATGAATGATCACAGCAGAGGCCAGCGGAAGAACCGCCCCCACTGAGCCCAGCCCACAGAATTATGAGATAAACAAATGGTAGGTGTTTTAAAGGGGACAGATGGGTGCTGGGTTTGTCGGGGAATAATTCACACCCTCAGAAAGCCCTGCTGATACTTGGCACCAAGGAAGGATTCTTTCTAAGCCTGGCCACGGTGCAGATGGGTGGGGGTGCTGAGCAGAGGCCAGGAGAGCTTGAAAGGAGGAGGAGGAGAGAGGTGGGGTGGAGCCCAGTGCACAGACTGTGCTCCCAGTACACTCAACGGGCATCTCTAGCAACCCCTGAGCTGCCCTCCCAGGCTGGGCAGCAATGGATGAGACATTATCAACATGGCAAGCCATGCAGCCCAGCTCCCAGGGCACTGTTGACTGGGACATCTCTCCCTTC
Source organism: Homo sapiens (assembly GCF_000001405.40). NCBI lineage: Eukaryota > Metazoa > Chordata > Mammalia > Primates > Hominidae > Homo > Homo sapiens. The sequence continues at coordinate 72,733,242 of NC_000003.12, forward strand.
CTTCTCACAAAGCTTTGTTCCTGGATCCCTTCCACCTCCCATTCCAACCAGCACCTAGGAAACCACTGCCAGTCCCATCTCACAGAATCACAGTCACAGAAATACAGAACTCAATTCAAAAAGCATGGATTGAGTCTCTATGATGTGCTAGGCACCACTCTGGTGCAGGGGATACAACCTAAACAAAATAATGAAAAAAAACCAAATTCTCATGAGGTTTACATTCTATCAGATAGAGTCACTAGAAACCAGTATGGTCTAGTCTCCCCTGGAGGAAGAAAAAGTATAAGGGCTCGAGCTCCAGCCCCAAGCCTAGCACTGTGCTGAGAGCTTTAGGTGTCTCACTTTATTCCCTCCCCCTTGAGAATCCTTGAAAGAAAGGATTATCACCCACATTTCACAGACATATAAATTGAAGCCCGGGAACATTTAATAAGACACCCAAGGTCACAGAGCTGGTAGGCGGTAAATCCCAACCTGCCTTCAAAGCAGGCGAAGTGTGTCCTTCATGAAGCCTCCCCATTTCTGTAGGCCACAGTAATAGTCTCCCTTTAAAATAAAATGTAAGTTTAGTTGCCAATGCCAACACTTAATGACGTGGTGCACTTAGGCAAGGGACTCAGTTTTCTCATCTGCAAAATGGGATTGATAGTACCCATCTTCCTGGGTTGTAGTCAGGACTAGATATCAGGCCTGAATGGGCTGATCACTTGAGCCCAGGAGTTCAACCAGCCTAGGCAACATGGCAAAACCCAATCTCTACCAAAAATACAAAAATTAGGCACAGTGTGTGCCTGTAGTCCTAGCTACTCAGAAGGCTGAGGTGGGAGGATGATTTGAGCCCAGGAACAGAGGTTGCAGTGAGCCGAGATCTTGCCACTGCACTCCAGCCTGGGTGACACAGCGAGACTCTGTCTCAAAAAACAAAAAAAGATATCAGGCCTGTAAAGCCCCTTGTCCAGAGCCTGGTGCTAAGTGTGTGTTCACAAATGCAAGCCATCATTTTTATTTTATTTATTTATTTATTTATATTGAGATGGAGTCTCGCTCTGTTGCCCAGGCTGGAGTGCAGTGATGTGATCTCGACTCACTACAACCTCTGTCTCCCAGGTTCGGTGATTCTCCTGCTTCAGCCTCCCAAGCAGCTGGGATTACAGGAGCATGCCACCATGCCCAGCTAATTTTTGTATTTTTAGTAGAGACAGGGTTTCATCATGTTGGCCAGGCTGGTCTCTATTTCCTGACCTGAAGTGATCCGCCCACCTCAGCCTCCCAAAGTGCTGGGATTGCAGGCGTGAGCCACTGAGCCCGGCCTACAGTAAGCCATCATTAATAGTAGTAGTAGTCATACCTTTAGTATTTGACATGAACAACCTCACATAAAGAGAAAATGGTACATTGCATCTAGCAATTCACCCCTAATAAATGAGAATGAAAGTGTACTAAGTCAGACCTATAGAAGAAAAACATGGTTGCTGTGAACATTATGAATACAGTAGGTGCTCAATATGCTATTGCATTTTGAGAGCACTGAATCCTAACCAGTAGACCACCAGGGATCGTCGCACTATTGCATTTTAACTCTTACTGTCATGCCTTTACGACACAAGTAAGAGGAATTCTACATTTTCACAGATGTACCTGATCCCCTCATCCTAGAGACAACATTTGTGCCGGCCATGATCCCTGCAGTAGGAGCTGCCCAGTATGGCTGTGGAATGGGAGTGCCAGGCGTGGATTTCTCAGTGGGGTTCCTGCCAAGGAATTCAGTATGTGTTCCAGACTGCTTGTTTAAGTGTTGGTGTTCTAGAACTGTGGTTGTTTTAAGCTTGGGCAATATTTCAATACTACGGTGCTTTGTTTTTCTTATACACTAAAAGTGCCAGCAAGTGATAAGCTGCTCTCCTTTAGAGCCTTTCATAATCCTTTTTTCACCTTTTGCCTATGGATCAGCTTTTGCTGCCTAACATATCACCCCAAAACTTAGTGCTTTAAAACACCTACCATTTGTTTATCTCATAATTCTGTGGGCTGGGCTCAGTGGGGGCGGTTCTTCCGCTGGCCTCTGCTGTGATCATTCATGTGCCTACAGTTGGCTTCCAGCCATCCTAGCTCGAGGCTTGTTGGTCAAGAGGATGGGAAGGCTCATCTTGGCTCTATATGTCTATCATCATGTAGTGGCCCAGACTGGGACTGTTATATGGGCTTGGAGGAGCTCCAAGGGCTACTAAAGACAATACAAGTCCCACTGTGTCTACATAATGTTTGCAAACATGCTATTGGCCAAAGCAAGTCACTTGGAGTCCAGAGTCAGAGTGAGAGGGCACTGAAAGTTACATGGCAGGGGTTGTGGGTACCAAGGGGAGAAATCCAAGGTTCCAAAGTACCTGGTAAAGCCCATATATTGCTCAGAATGTGTTTGGATACAAGTAACTGAACTCTGCCCAATTCAGCTAAAGAGAGAGAGAGAGGAAGGAAGGAAGGAAGGAAGGAAGGAAGGAAGGAAGGAAGGCAGGCAGGCAGGCAGGCAGGCAGGCAGGCAGGCAGGCAGGCAGGCATTTTACTGGCTTGCATGACTGAAGGTCCAGGGTGGAAGGAGCTTTAGGGGTGGCTGGGTGCTGAGTCTCAAACAATGTCAAATGTGTCAATCTCTCTCTCTCTCTCTCTTCCTCCCTTCTTCCTTCCATGTCTGCTTTCTGGTATATGCAATTTCTTTTCCAGAAAGGTTTTCCTCACATAGATACAAAGATAATCATCCTCTGAATAATGGCTTCCTTCCAGCTTACCAACTCAGAAAAAGTATCATTTCTAGTAGCTCTGGCCAAAGCCCCAAGAGGACTTTGATTGACTAGGCTTGAGACACCTGCTTATTGCTGAACCAATCACTGTGGCCAGAAGAACAGGGTACTCTGATTGGCCAGACCTGAGCCATGGGACCACCCCTGTGGTGGGATTCGGGGTAGTATCAGCCTCATTCCTCTTGTCCCAGCTTTCTGCACAGCCTCCCCCAGGAGGGCATGGAAACCCCAGAAGCCATGGGCCAGGCATCCAAAATGCTACTGGATAGGTATTCACAAACCCCTTCTCTTAAACCAGGGATTGGCAACCTTTTTCTGTAAAGGTCCAGATGGTACAATATTCTAAGTTTTATGGACCAAGGGGCAGAATCAAGGCTATTAGGTAAGTACCTACATAACAAAAGAGAAAAGACATCTCCATAAATTCTTTTCAATCATTAAAAATTTTTTTAAAAAAATCCTCAGTTTGGGCTGGGCACGGTGGCACATGCCTGTAATCCTAGCACTTTGGGAGGCCGAGACAGATGGATCACTTGAGGTCAGGAGTTTGAAACCAGCCTGGCCAACATGGTGAAACCCCATCTATACTAAAATTACAAGAAAACTAGGCAGGAATGGTGGCAGGCACCTGTAATCCCAGCTACTTGGGAGGCTGAGGCAAGAGAATTGCTTGAACCCAGGAGGCAGAAGTTGTAGTGAGCCGAGATTGTGCCACTGCACTCCAGCCTGGGTGACAGAGTGAGACTCCGTTTCAAAAAAAAAAAAAAAAAGAAATTAAAAGATCCTCAGTTTGCAGGCTATACAAAAACAGGCAGTGGGATGGATATGGCCTCAGTGCCCTGGTTTGCTGACTCCTGCACTAATCTCTTTCCACTTTCCGAAGTGCAAAAAGCCACAGGGAAAGCAGAGTTTATACTGGGAAGGAAATCTAAGGGTACTGTAGGGTTAGGCCGGGGGTGGTGGCTCATGCCTGTAATCCTAGCACTTTGGGAGGCTGAGGTGGGTGGATTGCCTAAGCTCAGGAGTTCGAGACCAGCTGGCCTAACATAATGAAACCCCATCTCTACTAAAAATAAAAAAATAAAAATATTAGCCGGGTGTGCTGGGGTGCATCTGTAGTCCTAGCTACTCAGGAGACTGAGGCATGAGAATTGCTTGAACCCAGGAGGTAGAGGTTGCAGTGAGCTGAGATCGTGCCACTGTACTCCAGCCTGGGCGACAAAGCAAGATTCTGTCTCCCAAAAAAGAAAAAATAATAATTAATTAATTAAAAAGGTACTGTAGGGTTAAAACCACAGCCACGGAAGGGGAGAAGGAGAGGAGAGGCAGGAACCCTCTGAAGGCAGAGTCTGAAGGAGAACTGGGGAAATTTGGAAGGGGAAAGATGCATCTTTGGGGGCAGTGGCTAGGATAAGAGAGTAAGAGAATGAAAGAAAGAAAAAGAAGATTTTTACAATGCAGCTGTCCCTCAATATCTGCAAGCGATTGGTTCCAGGACCCCCAGGATACCAAAATTTGCCAATGCTCAAGTCCCTGATAAAAATTGGCATAGAAGTTGCATATAACCTATGTGCATCCTCCTATATACTTCCAGTCATCGCTAGATTACTTATAATACCTAATACAATGTAAGTGCTATGGAAATAGTTGTTACACGGTACTGTTTAGGGAATAATGACACGAAAAAAAGTCTGTGAATGTTCAGTATGGAATTATCCTTTTTATTTTTTCTGAGTGGTTTTCCACCCACAGCTGGCTGAATCCAGGAACGTGGAACCCATGGATATGGAGGGCCAGCTGTATTGGCTGTGCCTTACAAATGAAGTGCACCAGAGGCTACAATAAATATTCAATTGCTTTTCAATTACTATGGATAGTGAATTGAGTTCTCCCTTTTTCTTAATGTGACACAATGCTGATCTGGGCCCACAAGTGGATGTGTCTTTCCGTGGGTTGCCCCCCAATTCCCCAGCTCTGCTAACCCTCCCGTGTTCAGCCACCCTGAGCAATCTTGTTCCCTCACCCACCACATCTCTCCACCTGAGACATGAACACCCCACCCTAACGTCCCTCTGCTCATCCAACTCCTGTTCATCCTTTCTTTGGGAGATCTTCCATGGCTCCCTGGGTGACCCCTACTCACTGAGTCCTTAGTTCCCACTGCACCCTGTGCCCAACCTGGGAAAAGCCTGAGCTCTCTCGGGTTCCTCGCTTTAAAATGGGATCACTTGCCTGCCCCTGCTGAAAACGAGGCAAGGTAGAAGAAAGCCCTTTGCAATCTGTAAAGGGCTAGCTAGGCACCTGAGGGCTGTTATTGGCATTTGGTTCCAGGAAGGCCCTGTTTTTGATCGTCTTCTCTGTTCCATCCTCTCCAGGTGAAGCTTCAATGTGCCCCGAGAGCCAGGTATCCGCAGAAACAGAAATACTGTGTTATTGGCAGGAATTAGATAAGCTTGTGAATTTAGGGATCTGCTTCGCGCCAATTTCATCAGCTTGGGGATGGGGGTGGGATGGGAGTGGGCAATCTGACTCTTCTAGGACAGCCTCCTCGTATTCCAGGTTATTGTTTCCCCATCCCAGGAAATCCTGCGGGTGCCTTCCCCCAACGAAAGCCACTGATGTCGCCCCTCTCCTCCCAGCAGCTTCCAGACCGCGACCTTCTGTAGCTCTGCTCAGAACTTCACCTGGAACAGCTTCTTACAATTCTTAAACAGCCCCTCAGTCGACTGTGATTAAGCATACACTCCAGCCTCAGCAAGCTTGGCGTCTGCCCCTGCCGCTGGGAGACCCTCCTCCAGGCACCTGCCCTGGGCCCCGCCCCGCCCGGTCCGCGCGCACGCGCAGTGGCCCCACCCCGCCCCGCCCCGCGACGCCCGAGGACCCGACGGAGCTACACCCGCTAGTTCAGCCAGGAGGCCCTGCGCGGCTCCGGGGAGAGCTGGGTGGTTATGCCACCTCATTAGACACATTGGTGGACGATGCCGCGGATTAGCGGGTTGGCTCTCAGGGCGGGGCGCAGGCTTTCTCACTGATCCGGGAGCGTGGGAGCAGGGGCAACGCGGGGCCATCCGGGAGCTGCCCGCCTGCTTCGCAGTTGGCTTTCCGGGCCCTCGAGCAACGTCTGACTTTGCCCTTTGTTTTTAAACACCATGCAGGATGGTTTGTGTACAAACGAAGCCGTGTCACTTCTCAAGTGTCGGTGCTCAACGTGGCAACGCCCCTCCCGCCCCCAGTACAGAGATCCTGCCCATCCACCGACAATCCCCCTCCTCATCTTCCTTCCCCCAGGTGCGAGTGATTCAAGGAAATCCGACTGGAGGGAACACACGCTGCGATGCACCCTCTCCTCTTCCATTGAGCCAGGGGTGACCTTGAGAGACTCAGGCCACCTCACCAGGCTCTACCAGGAACAGCGTCTACAGCTGGTAGAGAGCACGGGCTGCAGAGAGGTAAAGATGGGGTTCGGAAGCCAAGGCTCCCCTTGTTGCATGGGTGACATCAGGCAAGCTACTCAACCTCTAACCCTGGCTTCCCCTTCTGTATACTGGAGACAGTATCGGCCCCACAGGCACTTGTGGAGCAAGTGGGTTTGAGCTGAGCTCCTCTGAAAATCAGAGGCACACTCAGAGAGTAGCTCAGAAAACCAGGATGTGTCAGTTTCATTTGCTGGGAAGCAGAAGCCAAGATAGAATTAGAAGTGCAATGTCTGTGAAGGAAGAATAAAGGGAAAAGGAAACAGGAGTGGGGCAGGGGGCAGACCAAAAGGAAGACAGACAAGTGTGAGAAGGAGCCCCACAGTGCAGTGTAAGCTTAAGAAGGTGTGGAGAGGATGGGAGTCACTCACTGGGCAGGAATGGCCCAGCTCCAGCACCTTGCTATGACCAGCCAGCTGCTGGGAACAGGCCAGGAAGAGTGTGGCCTTAGCGCAAACACTGGGGTGGATCTCGAGATGAAGGTGTGGCCGCTGGAAGCTGTCACTTCACCACTCCTCTTCTGAAGAGAGAGCTGAGCCCTGCACATGGGAGCATTGGTGAAAAGGGTGGTAGACGTTTATCAGTAACCTTACTGGTTTTGTGCTCCATCCTCCATCTCCCAAAGTCCCCCTGACCTTGCCTTCAGCTCCAGGAATGGCCACATGACTCAGACAAAGCCAACCAGCCATCCCATTTCAGTGGCCAGTGATGAATGATTCAGTGTTTACCCAAACGCATCCAATCAGGGTGAATCTGAGGACATTTGCTGGGGAGGCTGGGACACAGATAATCTCTTTTCTGACAGATGGTAACAAGAAAGTAGGTAGCTGCAGGGGCTGCTGGCAGCCATCTTGAGACATGAAAGGTGTCCAAATTGGGATGAATTCAGCACTGAAGATGGTGGTACAGAGAAACAGGAGATAGGGCCTTTGATCACATTGTTGGATGGCTGGTTAAGCCTCTCCTGAAATCCATTCTACTGCTGGACTTTACAGTTCATAAACTAATAAATCCTCTTTACTGTTTGAAGCAGTTGTGTCAGGTGTCCTGTTACGTATAAGAAAGGCCTCTGATTTGATCAGCAATAGGGAACTGGATGTCCTCTGAGCTCCAAAAGTCAGCACAGGCCTAATGCTCAGGCGTTATGGAGCCTCGGACTGATGAAAGGGTGGTATGGGCATCCATGACTGCTTTTGGGACCTCAGGGGAGCAGTGTGTGAATGTTCATTTCAGAGTAATGACAGCAACTCCACGTGTCTGCATCCTTTTACGCCCAGCCACTCCCTTTCCTATGACCAGCTGCTGTCTTCACCCTCTCGCCTGTATCTTTTCTCCATTACATAGATCCTCCTAACTCACACTTCCTCCTTCCTGAGTCGAGTTTGCAAGACTGATTCCAGATTCACCTTGTGATTATCCTAACGCATCTCTTACCTTCAATAACTTCCAAGGGCCTTATCCTCTCTTCATTTCCCAATTCAAATTTCCGGGAGCAGGACTTGGATTATCCCAGCTCTTGCCTATTTAGACAACCTCAGAGATTCTATTTCCACTGTATGTGGAGGGGACTGAGTATTGGTACTTTTGAAAAGTTTCTTGGATGGTTCAAGTGTGCAGCCAGAGTCAAGAACCCCTGGATTAGTAGAGCTTTCCAGGCCAGCTGACCCCACAGTCGGCCCTTGGGTCAAGTTCAAGCTCAATCCAGTCAGCTAAGAGCAGAGCCACAGGGTCTCACTATGCCCAAAGTCCCTTCCATTGGCAGAATCTGTGGCTACAGAAGGAGTGAGAGGAGGCCAGGCACAGTGGCTCATGCCTGTAATCCTAGCATCTTGGGAGGCCAAGGCAGGTGGATCACCTGAGGTCAGGAGTTCGAGACTAGCCTGGCCAACAAGGCAAAACCCCATCTCGACTAAAAATACAAAAATTAGCCAGATGTGGTGGCAGACGCCTGTAATCCCAGCTACTCAGGAGGCTGAGGCAGTAGAATTGCTTGAACCCAGGAGGCGGAGGTTGCAGTGAGCTGAGATCGTGCCACTGCATTCTAGCCTGGCAACAGAGTGAGACTCTGTCTCAAATAAAAAAAAAAAGAAGGAGTGAGAGGAGATAGGCCCCTGCTTGACATGCTGAGGACAAACAAGCCTAGCACAGCGCTTGGCTTCATGCAGTCGCTCAACAAATGACAGATGTTATTACATTCCTGTCTCTTCTGTAATTCAAGGGGATGCAGTTGGCCCTCCGTATCCTGGGGTTTCACATCCATGACTTCAACCAACCACAGACTGAAAATATTCAGATAAATAATAAAATACAATAAAAAATGCATATTTTAAAAATAATATAGTATACTAACAATTTCCAAAGCATTTACATTGTATTAGGTATTATAAGTAATCTAGAGATGATTTAAAGCATACAAGAGAATGGAGGTAGGTTATACACAACTATTATGCCATTTTATATAAGGGACTTGCACATCGCTGGATTTTGGTATCTGAGGAAGTCCTGGAACCAATCTCCCACAGATACCGAGGGACGACTGTATTGTCTTTAAAATAAACTATGCATCTGGGTGTGGTGGCATGCATCTGTAGTCCCAGCTACTCGGGAGACTGAGGTGGGAAGATCCCTTGAGTTCTGATCACATTACTGCACTCCAGCCTGGGCAACAGAGTGAGACCCTATCTCTTAAAAAAAAAAAAAAACGTAAAAAATAATAACGTAAAACGAAATAAACTATGCTGCTATAACACAACAGAGGAAGAGCTGCTGAGGAAGCACCTAGAGGATCTAGGCATCCATGCTTAGCAAATTTACTACAAAAACAGGAAAATCCTCGCTAATCAGATTTACATTTGAGAGCAATTGCTGCCAGTGCAATAGGAATAAATGCAGTTATGAGTGTTATATTTCAGGAGGTTATTTGATGACATGGGAAACAGGACCTCATGTTAAGAGAAAGAAGGATATAAATTTATGTAGTATATGATTCAAATTTTGTTTAAAAACTACATGTGTTTACTCATGTTTCTACAAAGAAAAATAGAGAAACTGAAAAGGTATCTGTGGTTTCTCAGGAGAAAGAGTTGTTCTTTTTTTTTCTTTTTTTCTTTTTTTTTTTTTTTGAGATGGAGTCTCACTCTGTTGTCCAGGCTGGAGTGCAGTGGCATAATCTCGGCTCACTGCAACCTCTGCCTCCCAACTTCAAGCGTTCAAGCGATTCTCCTGCCTCAGCCTCCCAAGTAGCTGGGACTACAGGCATGCACCACCATGTCCGGCTAATTTTTTTGTATTTTTAGTAGAGATGGGGTTTTGCCATGTTGGCCAGGCTGGTCTCGAACTGCTGAGCTCAGTCCTCGGCTTCGATCCACCTGCCTCGGCCTCCCAAAGTGCCGGGATTACAGGCGTGAGCCACTGCACCCAGCCGAGAGTTTTTCTTAAAGCTAATTATGTCCAATTTAGAGGGCTAATCTTTATTCTAAATACTATCCTTCTACTTTTTGGCATTAACAGGCTTTTATGAAAGGATTGTTTCAGTAGAATACTGCCTGGGTTGGGTTAGAGATGCACATCCAGAATGAAAAGTCGGCAGCCTTATGTCAGCACCCTCTGCACGCTACCCTGTTTGGTTTTGTTTCTAATTTTAATTTTGTAGAAATCAATACAGAACTCTGGAACCCACTGCTTTAGAAGATAAGAATCTCTTTCCTGCTCCGATCATTCTGGCTTGCCTTGGATTTAAGGCTCTTCCAGAAGGACCTGGCCCTGATTCACTGGGATAATGTCCACCATGTCCAGGGGCACTGCCCAGAGGGGGTACTTTTCATATTCTCTACCAACTAATCTTCCACCTGCCAGCCTAGGGGGCAGTGAGTGGAGAACGCTGGGAATTCAGGGTTGGGGAGGAGGGACAGCAACAGGAAAAGATTGAACATATGTGCCAATTAGGCCAGGAGATGAGGACCCCAGACCCGGAAGAAGGAGGAAGAAGAAAGACACACTTGATCTTCCTGCTTAGAATGTTGGCAGAAGTCATATTCAAAAGATAAGAGAATCAAGACTTATGAAACAAAAGAAAACCAAAGAAAGGCAACACGGCCGATGCTAGGTGGGGATTACTAGCTAGTAAAGAGCTGTCGAGTGTTTGATGCCATTTATTCATTTGAGCTCTCCAGTTGCCTAGTTTTTCATTCAACAAGTGTCGTCTGAAGGTGTTGTGTGGACAGAACGTTGTGTGGGATCCAAAGCTGAAACAGATACTTAAGTCTGTGCTCTAGTAAATAAGATAGGACACGCATATTTACCCCACAGGGAGCAATAAATACTCTAAGACCATTACAAATTGTTCTGGGAGTTCAGAGGAGGGAATTTATTTCTAGTCCAGAGCAATGAAGGGTGACCTCCTGGAGGAAGTGGCAGTTGAATGGGGGCCTTGAAGGATGGGTGAGATTTAAACATGCAAACTATCAGCAAGGGAAACGGGAGAGCAACGCAGGAGCAAACATCAAGATGGGAAAACACAAAGCATGTAGGGGAAACACAAATGCAATATTTTGTATTATGGGCGAGGCTCTACAAGAGGCACTGGATTGCAATGGGACTATTGTTTCCAGGGGCCCTCTGGGCTGGTGGTCAAACTACTGGAACTATCACTATTTCAGACCAAGCCGGGCTCACAAGTCTTAGCTGTTCTTGCCAATTCTTCTCCTGAATACTCACTCCAATAAGAGCAGTCAGGAAATGTTTCTTGGGAAATAGCTTCAAAGACACCAACATACCACTATGAACACTTAAAATATGGAGACAGAGCATTTGGAGTACTGCTCCCAGCATGTTGGAGGGAAAAGAAGCAAGACCCTTCCCAGAGGTAAATCCTGTTGTTTTCTTCCCAGTGCTTGGGCATCCAATCCCACATTCATCCTTTTCCTCTAACTTATCTTTTCATGACTTTGGAAAGCAGTCTTCCTTATCTAAGAAACAAATGGCCTCCCCGGAGAGCTCAAAACAGCAAAGTCATTTATCTGTTTGACATGTGTTTGCCTGTTTGTTTTCTCCAGCCTTGAGACAAGAGTTGTGTCAACTGTGGATGGCTGTGCCCCAGTCACTTGAGAGACATGAATCAATTTCCAGCTGCATTTATCACTTGCTGCCTTAAATCAAGTCTAATCAATGCTTCCTTCATTTGGTATGGATTGAAACTATATATAACACACTCAGAAAACAGGAGAGAAAAGCAGCAGATCACAAAAATTCCATCAGGGATTTAGATGGAATGATGTTAGAGAAACATTTGCAATCTTTCATTTGCTCTAATGGAGACCCCTGACCAAACAATCAGAGATTTGCGTTTATGAAGCTTCATTTGAATTTACCTGACATGCAATGACATTCCATGACAGGTCATTTGATACATTGGGGGGGGGGGGTGGTTTCTGCATCTTTAAGGATTTTATAATTAATACACTCTTAGGATCTGATGTATATTTATAATTTTATTCCTATACTAAGTTTTAAACTCATTTCCATTTATTTTAGAGATATCTGTTTTGTCATCATTGACTATATAAGTCAATTTCCAGTTATAACATATAAAGTAATAAAAATCCCTTTGTAACAAAGTAGATATCCAGGAGTCTGGTTTTTTTTTTTAAATAATTTTATAAAGTCTTAAATATGGCCCTCTCTCTACTCCTCCCAATTCTTGGTATTAATAATAGAATTTGATCCACGTAACCAAAGTGGATTTTTCATTAGCAGGTGTGAAAACCGCTCCCCAGCTGTCAACCAATTTAGAATGTGGTAGGGAGCACTCTTGTCTCATTTGCAGATTAATCTTGTGCCAGTGAAAGGTGATACCAGCTTAGTTACCGGCACCTAAAACCTGGCCATGCCCACAGCAAGGCCTCCGATTATTCTTCAAGGATAATGGGACAAGAGAGACAGAACATAGAAAAATAGGTCAATGATAATGCAAGCCTAGAAGATGAGGCAGTGCTGTGATTCATTGGCATAATTAATATTTCTATCTAATCTGCTGAACTGTGTAGACTTTTACCACTAGCCGGCCTCTGTAGAGATTAACAGGGCTGACTCATTTTCACAGTGCCGGCTCCCCCAGCGACCTGTTGTTAGGTAGCTAAATAGAGCCCTGTTCAGCTCTGGGAAGTCAGACAATAATAATAAACCCTTACGTTGGTTTAACACTTTCCAGTTTATAAAAGTGCTTTGAACATACAGTCTCCTAGCACTGGAAGGCCAGCAATAAAAGCAGTTCTATTTCCATTTCTGTCTACGGCCATACCACCCTGAACGCGCCTGATCTCATCTATTCCTTTTTTTTTTTTTTCCTTTGAGACAGAGCCTCACTCTGTCGCCCAGGCTGGAGTGCAGTGGCACAATCTCGGCTCACTGCAATCTCCGCCTCCCAGGTTCAAGTGATTCTCCTGCCTCAGCCTCGAGTAGCTGGGATTACACGGGCCCGCCACCACCCCCAGGTAAGTTGTTTGTATTTTTAGTAGACACAGGGTTTCACCATGTTGGCCAGGCTGGTCTCGAACTCCTGACCTCAAGTGATCTGTCTGCCTCGGCCTCCCAAAGTGCTGAGATTACAGACATGAGCCATCGCGCCCAGCCCCGTTTCTAAGATGAAGGGAAAGGTGTCGTTTGGAGTCCCCCCCTCGTGAGCCAGCTACAGTGGAGCTGGGTTGAATTGGAGGCTGCCTCTTGTCAACTGCAAAGTCTTGGTTTTTCCCACTGAGCTGCGACTAGGCAGTCACTGGGTCTCTTCCCTATTCTTGCCCCAACTTATTTTTTTCTCCCATCATCTAGGAGTTTTGGGAAACCCATATGGTTATAGGAGATCCCTAAAGTTGCCTGGCAGGTTGTCTAGTTTAAAAAAATAAATGAAAGGCAGCACCTCTGGAGGTGTTTTGGGTTACTGAGCTAGTGTAGTATAGTGTTCTCAGCCCATCTTAAACAAAGACAGAGTAACGTGATATAACAAAGCTTCAACCTCCATGAACAAAGAAAGGGTAGGAGAAACACTGCCGACACGGACTCTGAAATTAAGGAGCTCACTCACGTTGTCTTTAATACTCATGAGGGTTGTTTAATGAGCTGCCTGGCTTTGAGGATGTCCGGGAAGGATCATGTTTGCTCATTCTTTGAGGAAGGGAATAACAGGTTTTTCTACCCAAGACAAGTCTCACTGAAGTAGATCCTGTCAAGATTCCTAAGAACAAAAATTGATGGAAGGAAGAAAACTTCCATGGCGTTAAATTTTTAGACGAGAGGATTTGCTTAACTGGCTTGACTTCAGTGGAAGTAAATGAGGGGAGTTACAGATAATACTTTTTCAAACTGGCTTCAGATAATGTACTAGTGAGAAGAAATGCATTTTCAATGGTCATAAGGATTTGGAAGCTCTCCAGGGAAGCTGAGAGAAGTCTTGTGAACACATTCCAACAAAGCAGTTATAGTGTTCAGGAGTTCACAAGCATTTTAAGTGCCGTAGTCACCCCAGGATCATGTTAATACAACCTGGAAAAGTACAAACATTCACAACCTTCACAAACCCTAAGTAAAAAGCATCATACCCTTTCTTGAAATTAATGATGCTACTGAGATTAATAGATGAGATTTCATTTCCTCCTCAAAGCAAATTGGTTTATCTTATTTGTTCATTCATTCAACAAATATTTATGGAGTGCTTGAGAATACGGACACTGATGATTCAGTGTTAACAAGACCCTACCTCCCCAGCAGCTTAAACTCAAGTGGGAAAACCCATATTTAAACTATTAATGGAGAATTACACTTCCAATCCCGATGGATTAACAGGGACCAGATTTACTCTCCCGTCAGACATAACCAAAGCAGAAAAATGGGAGCAATACACAAAACCATGGCTTTCCAAACTCTGAACTTCAGGCAATGAAAGACAGTGATCCTGAGAGACAGAAAACAAGGTGAGATCTACTGCTTTGAAAGACTTTCCATGCTATGTAGGGAAGGACAATCAAGGCAGAACCCAGGGGGTTATGGAGTTCAAAGACAGGGCTGAGGACTTGGGGTGACCAAGGCAGCTAACATTTGCAGCACAGAGCTCCAGAGAGGAGAGAGCTGCACAGAGAACGCTGGATATCTGGAGAGAGAGAGGAGAGCCCTCTTCTAGAACCATCTGAAAAGATGAGAGGGGGCTGGGTGCGGTGGCTCATGCCTGTAATCCCAGCACTTTGGGAGTCTAAGGCGGGTGGATCACCTGAGGTCAGGAGTTCGAGACCAGCCTGGCCAACATGGCGAAAACCCATCTCTACTAAAAATACAAAAAATTAGCCAGGTGTGGTGGTGCATGCCTGTAATCCCAGGTGTTCGGGAGGCTGAGGCAGGAGAATCACTTGAACCCGAGAGACAGAGGTTGCAGTGAGCTGAGATCATATCACTGCACTCCAGCCTGAGTGACAGAACAAGACTGTCTCAAGGAAAAAAAAAAACACACACTCACATTAGAGAGAAGAGTCCTCAGTACGCACACTGGGAACAGTGTGAGTTCAATCAGCCAGGCTGAAAAACTCATAATTCATAAGGCATGGTGGAGCACTCAGGAATATCAGCACTGGGGAATAATTTGCCCTAGACTGAGCACCACTCCAGACCTGCCTAACAAATTACAAAGCAAGACCCATAAGGATCAAACTACTTCCATGTCACTGGACTGCATCCCTAAACAAAGATCAAGAGTATATATAAGAATGCATATCTAGCACCTAAGAAGGTAAAATTCACAAAGTGTGGCATCCAATCAAAGACTATGAGGCATGCAAAAAAAAAAAAAAAAAAAAAAAAAAAAAAAAGACTCATATGAGGACTTGTATCCAGAATTTATAAAGAACTCTCAAACTGCCGGGCGTGGTCGCTCATGCCTGTAATCCCAGCACTTTGGGAGACCGAGGTGGACAGATTGCTTGAGCTCAGGAGTTCAAGACCAGTCTGGGCAACATGGCAAAACCCCGTCTCTACCAAAAATACAAAAATTAGCCCAGCACGGTGGCACACATCTGTAGTCCCAGGTACTTGGGGGGCTGAGGCATGAGAATCGCTTCAGCCTGGAAGGCAGATGTTGCAGTGAGCTGAGATCACGCCACTGCATGCCAGCCTGGGTGACAAAGTGAGATTCCAGCTCAAACAAAACAAAACAAAACAAGGCAAAAAAACACACAAAACAAAACCAACCAAACAAAAGAACTCTAAAAAATCACATCCCAGCCTGGGCAATATGACGAAACCCCATCTCTATAAAAACTACAAAGATTAGCTGGGTGTGGTGGAGCAAGCCTGTGGTCAGGAGGAGGTGCGAGGATTGCTTGAACCTGGGAGGGTGAGGCTGCAGCAAGCGGAGATTGCACCATTGCACTCCACTCTGGGAGACAGCGTAAGACCCTGTCTCAAACACACACGCACACGCACACACACACACACACACACACACACAGGCAGAAGATTTGAACAGACACTTCCACAACAAAACACCACTATCCATCTATAAAAATGGTAAAAGTTTAAGAGACTGACCATATCAATAACCATCATGTGGAAGACTGGAACTCGCATAAACTATCACTTTTGGTGGGAATGTAAAATGGTACAGCCATGCTGGAGAACAGTTCAGCATTTTCTTAAAACATTAAACATATACCTACCATATGGCTTGGTCATTCCACTCTCAGGTATTTGACTAAAGAAAGGAAAGCATACGTCCACATGAAGACTTGTACACAAATGTTCATAACAGCTTTATTTATAACAGCCCCAAACTGGAAACAACCCAGGTGTCCATCGATAGGTCAATGAACAAATCTATTCAATGAAGCAGTACTCAGCAATGAAAAACATAAAAACAAAAACTCGTGACACATGCTACCACATGGATGAATCTCAAAATAACTATACTGAGTAAAATATGCCTGACCAAAAAAGGGATACATATTGTATGATTCAATTTACATAGAATTCTAGGACATGCAAACTAATAACAGGGCACAAGGGCACTTGGGAATGATGGGTCCGTTCCTCACTTCAGTTGTGGTGATAGTTTTACGCAGGGTATACATACGCCAACACATTGTACACTTTTGATACGTGCAGTTTATTGGGTGTCAAGTACACCTCCTAAAATAAAAATATTGATGGGCTCTACATTCTGGAGACACGGGCAGTAGAACTATTATTTTCAGCTTGAAATATTAGCTACACTTTGGTAAAAATACTTTTGAACTTTATCTTCACAGTCGCGGCAAGGAAAACAAAAGGTATAAACATTCATTGGTTGAAAAACAATGTCATAAAGTTGTCCCCGTATCTGTGGGGGGTTGGTTCCAGGACTCCTGAGGATACTAAAATCCTCAGATGCTCAAGCCCCTGATAAAAAATGGTGCAGTATTTGCATATAACCTACCCACATCCTCCTGCACAGTTTAAATCATCACTAGATTACTTATATTACCCAATACAATGTAAATGCTGTGGAAATAGTTGTCATACTGTATTATTTAGAGAATAATAACAAGAAAAAAGTCTGTACATGTTTGGTACAGATGCGATTTTTTCTTCAATATTTTTGATCTGCAGTTGGTTGAATCCACAGATGTGGAACACACAAATACAGTGGGCTGACTATATACTAAGAAAAATTACAAAGTGAAAATGAAGAATTCTCATTCGGTAAATGAAACCCAATCTACCATATTTCTCAACAATGAATAAAACCACCTAAGAGTCAATTATTTGGTGTCTGACAGCCGTCTCTCTCCTGAATATTGCTGCGGTTTACAGCAGTGGTGCCCTTGGGTTCAGAAACCTGAACTGTAGTCTTCAGTTGTTCCCCAAGCTCCTCTATCAGAGGCCCAGACACTCCAAGAGGCCAGGAAGAGGCAAGTGGCTTTCCCTGACTGGCATCAGACTCCTGGATGGCTGTGTTTCTGCGTACTCCACCATCAACAATAAGAAAGGCACTGCTTTCTTCAAGAAAGGGACCTTGCAAAGAACTGACTGTCTCAGATGGACTATCTTTGAGTTCATCTTGTTCTGAATCTGAGCCTGAGTCTTCGTTTCCAGATGACACGCTGCTGTCTGAGTCCTCCGAATCACTTGCCTCAGAGCTGGAGCAAAGTGTCTGCTGCCCAGAAACTGAATGGGCTGCTTTTAATGCAGTTTCTTCCTCCTGGACAAGCAGTGCTGCTGCTTCTAGTTCTTCCAGTTCTAACCCCAGCTGGGCCTTTGTAAGGGAGACTTCCTTTAAGGCTTCTGCAAGAGCTGCCAACTTTTTGGATCTTGAAAACATTTTAAAAAGAAAGATTAGAATTATTTATTAATTGGCCTGGGGATAACAGGTTATACAGCTTCCAAAAAAATAAAGTTGAATCCATATTTTAAATGGCACACCAGGATATATATCATAACAGATCCAAGATATTTATGTAAAAAATGAAGCTATTAAAAGTATTACAGGGAAACACAGATTTCTTTTATGACCCTAAGAAGGAGGAAGACTTTTCTAACTATGACTCAAAATTCAGAAGCCACAAAAGACTGATAAATTCAACTAAATAAAATCAATTTCTTGGCCAGGCACAGTGGCTCACGCCTGTAACCCCAGCACTTTGGGAGGCTGAGGCGGGTGGATCACCTGAGGTCAGGAGTTCAAGACCAGCCTGGCCAACATGGTGAAACCCTGTCTCTACTAAAAATACAAAAAATTAGCTGGGCACAGTGGCAGGCACCTGTAATCCCAGCCACTTGGGTGGAGGGGGGGCTGAGGCAGGAGAATCACTTGAATTCAGGAGGTGGAGGTTGCAGTGAGCCAAGATCACACCACTGCACTCCAGCTAGACAACACAGTGAGACTCCATCTCAAAAAGAAAAATAGAAATATCAATTTCTTCTGGGTAATATATCTATAATAAGCACATATGTGTGTGTGTGTGTGTGTGTGTGTGTGTGTGTATATATATATATATATATATACATATACATACACTAATAAAGCCTAACTCTCCTAACAGAGTTCCTAATAATGGATATATAACAATCCAACAGAAAAATGGACAGAAGATACAAGCAGACAATTTTCAAAAAAGGAAATATAAGTAACTCTTAAATATATTAGATGTTCAACTCCAGTCAAATAAGAGACATACAAATTAAAGTCATATGTCAGATATATTTTTTATTGGCAAATACCCAAACATTTGATATTATTCTGTTAACAAGACTGCAGGAGAAAAGGCACTTTCATATACTGATGCAGGGAGATTAAATAGCTACAATCCCCATGAAGGAGAACTTGGCAATAACTTTCAAAATGGAAAATGTATATACCCTGGACCCAGCAAGCCCCATGTCTGAATAACTTTCAAAATGGAAAATGTATATACCCTGGACCCAGAAAGCCCCATGTCTGAAAATTAAACACATGTAGTAAACCTATGTCATGTATGACATAGGTCTGAGGTTATTTACTATGACATCGTTTTTTAATACCTAAAAATGGGAAACAGCCAAATGTCCTTGTTATAAGACTGGTTGACTGGTGAAATAAGTTATGACATATCCATACAACGGAATAGCCTACAGCTGTACAATGAATGAAGCTCTCCATGGGCCAATCCAGACTTACTGCTTAGCAACACAAAAGGCTCACCATATGTATATGCTACATATATATAAAAAGGGAAAATAACAGGAAAGATATCAAAACAGATATTTCTATTTGCTTGTATACTTCTTAATAAACTCTCCAAAGTCACAGAAAACAGTAACTTCTGTAAAGGAGATAAGGTGGGAACTGGAAATATGGGGGATGACACAGGATGATGGCGTGACGGAGCCTTTTCACTGCCTATTGTTTTATTTTTTAAACCTATATAAATGTTCATAATCTTAAAATGTACAAGGAGGAAAAGCAATATCAGCAGCATGGAGTGCTTTTTCTTTTTATGAGAAAACCATTTCATATTATTTCAGAAGATTTTTTTTTTTTGAGACAGAGTCTCACTGTGTCGCCAGGCTGGAGTGCAGTGGTGTGATCTCGGCTCACTGCAACCTCCGCCTCCCAGGTTCAAGTGATTCTCCTGCCTCAGCATCCCGAGTAGCTTGGACTACAGGCGCGTACCACCATGCCCAGCTAATTTTTTTGTATTTTTAGTAGAGACAGGGTTTCACCATGTTGGCCAGGATGGTCTTCATCTCCTGACCTCGTGATCTGCCAGCCTCGGCCTCCCAAAGTGCTGGGATTACAGGCATGAGTCACCAGGCCCAGCTAATTTTTTTTGTATTTTTAGTAGAGATGAGGTTTCACCATGTTGGCCGAGATGGTCTTGATCTCCTGACCTCGTGATCCACCTACCTCGGCCTCCCAAAGTGCTGGGATTACAGGCGTGAGCCACCATGACCAGCCGAAGACGCTTTTCCTCTAAATTACCTGCTAGATTTATAATATTACATTGTATCGAGTAAATAAACTTTTCCATTATTAACTTGGATGCATTTAGTTGTTTTTTGTTTCTAAAAGAACCAACATGACACAAACTGGCATTCTCCAAAGATGACTACTATTCTTAAGGGGAAATCTGATGTGACAACTGAAGAAAGGTGACAGTGAGTGAAAGTGGTAAACATGCTGACATGGTTTCTATGTTTCCCTGACTCCAAAGATTAAATGAACATACAAAACATTGAGTGGCTTTGAGACAAACTGGATGACGGTGAGTTTACAAGATAAATTCATTTGTAAAAGTATAGTCCATCCCATAATATCAGGAAAATGAGGCTTCATTTCAGTGGAGCTGATGGTACAATGGGAAATACCGAACAAAGATGGTATTTTAATCTGGGTGCCTGCATGTACCTGAAATGCTATTTCTCAAAGTACTCAGCACAATAATGAGATTGTGCAGGGATTGCCCCCCACCCCCCACAACCCCTGCTGCCTCTTCACATGTGTAATCAGGCCACAGAAGCACCACTGCAGTGTCCAAGGGTGAGCGGGAGGCACAGTGCGGTGAGTGGGACAAGGGCAGTCACCATCGTTGATGGGTAGCTTTCTCTTAGCCCTGGGTTTCAGTGCCAGAACTTCCAGAGCGCTTAGAGAAAGGGAGGGGTTTAGGGTAAAGAGGAAAACCAAGGTGAGATCCACTAGAGTCAGTTAATGATTCACCAAAGCATTATAACCCCTGGCTAATCTTTTATCAGTCTGAGGCATTTTTAAAAGCATAGCTATGGAATATGACGGCTGCAACATAATTTGCATTTATACCCAAGACAGTTGTAGATAATGTCCACCATATATTTTGAAACCTTGACTACCAGTGGTAAAGGATTCAGTCTGAGCTGCTGCAAAGTTCAGTCAAAGAACTAGTACACCACTCTGTTTCTCCATGAAGGGGAGTTCTCTCTGGGTAGTGACACACAACTTAAGAAATAAAGAGTAATAAATTTGGGAAAGTGGATACTGCCTCTAACTCTAATACTAGAAATAAAAAATATAAAATAAAAGCTTTTACTTTACTGACTATATATCTCATTTTAATTGTCATGACAAATACTTCTCAACAATATACAAAGGATGATGCTCCACTAACATCACTGCACTTGCTCCATTAACCACCTTGTGAATCAGTGCCATTGTTATCCCTACATTACAGATGAGGGAACTAGAGCTTGCAGGGGTAGGAGAGCCGCTGAGGTTCACTCAGCCAACAAGGGGCGGTCACGACTGGAAACCCAAGCCTCAAAACTCCAGCCCTCTTCCCGTTCCACCAAAGGGCCTCCCATGAATATACAGGCTCTGCAAAGTGTTCTTCTCTTCTTTTTCTTCTTCTTTTTTTTTTTTTTGAGATGGATTTTCACTCTCGTTGCCCAGGCTGGAGTGCAACAGCACGATCTCGGCTCACCACAACCTTCACTTCCTGGGTTCAAGAGATTCTCCTGCCTCCGCCTCCCGAGTAGCTGGAATTACAGACATGAGCCACCATGCCCGACTAATTTTATATTTTTAGTAGAGACAGGGTTTTTCCATGTTGGTCAGGCTGGTCTTGAACTCCCGACCTCAGGTGATCTGCCCGCCTAGGCCTTCCAAAGTGCTGGGATTACAGGCATGAGCCACTGCACCTGGCCAAAGTGTCCTTTCTTAAGGCCACATTCTTTACTTCTTCCTAACTTGAGCTCCACTCAGCATCTTCCAACTGAGCAAGTTCTGACTTGCACAAAGCCCAGAATCCTCCAAAGGAACTGTGACTAATATATTTAGCTTAACAATGTTAAATGAAGTATACATATAAGCATCATCTATGGAGGTTTAGAAAACAAGGGTAAAATTTGAATCATTTTTGTGAATATTGCTGAATATATTAAACATGCCAATTCTCAAGTTGATATTATTTGGATCTTTGTTATTGTCTACTATACAGATATTGTGTCCTGTCTTTTATAACAGTAGAAATGTGGAATTCCAAAGCTCCTCCCCTAGAATCCTGGCTCTTCTCAGAAAGCATACCCCACACACAGGGGGACTGAAAGTAACAAGTGTAACAGGCAGAAAAGTGGTGAAGCTGAGTCCAGGGGCCCAAACAGGAACTCCTGCCTGTAACCAGCTGATGCGAACTTTTATCCTTCAGGAAAAAGTTTTTCACTTTCGGCATTATATTATGTTTAAAATTACCAGGTTATACAATAAGTTGATGGATGGATGGATGGATGGATAGATGGATAGATGGATGGATGGATGGATGGATGGATAGATGGATGGATGATAGATAGATAGACAGATAAATTGATTTTTGATCCTTTGCCAAGCTTCATTTCTATTTTATTATCCCACCTTTAATACCTCAAGCTGGCTAGCTTCCTAAATTAATACTAAAGTTCTGAAAGAAACTTTAATAAAAGAAACATTCTGAACTCTCTCCCATTCTTAAAGAATGCTAGGATAAAAACTGATTAAAATTTCAAAATAGCATTGGTGTAGAATGTGCCCCAGTAGTCTGAGGAATTAAAGTTGGGTTTGTTTTTATTCAATTACTTAGCACAGATAACCTAGCAATCACTGTTCACAAAAAGGGAAATTATTCCTGTAGGGAAAAAAAATTAAGCCATGAAAGAGTAGCTGTTTTGTTTTTTTCAACCACTAGTACAATTAGAGTTGGTTCTAATCTGCCACTCCTTGTCAATTACACAATCTACTTTTGTAACAGACTTACCTTTTCAGAAAGCAGCTCACTTAAGGTAGGTAGTAGTTTTTCTCTGTCGTACTCAAAACTGACTAGGCTAGTTCATGTCCAAAAGCTTGGTCAAATGGCATTATTAGATAACCACTCTTACAAACATCAGGTACTATTTATTTCTTTATTTAGAGACAGGTTCTCGCTTTATTGCCTGGGCTCTGGAGTGCAGTGGTGCAATCAGCGCTCCCTGTAGCTTTGACCTCCTGGGCAAAAGTGATCCTCCCACCTCAGCCTCCTGAGTAGCTGGGACTACAGGCACATGCCACCACACCCAGCTAATTTTTATATTTTTTGTAAAGACAGGTTCTCCCTATGTTGCCCAGGCTGGTCTCCAACTCCTGGGCTCAAGTGATCCTCCCACCTTGGCTTTCCCAGAGTTCTGTGATTACAGGCATGAGCGGCAGCCCTGGGCATGGTACATTTTGATACTCTCAACAAACACATAGGCTGAGTTACTAGTTATAGTATATGTTTTTTGTTTGTCTGGTTAGGTTTTTCTTGAGACAGACTCTCACTCTGCCTTCCAGTCTGGAGTGTGGAGTGCAGTGGAGCGATCTCAGCTCACTGCAACCTCCACCTCCCTGGTTCAAGTGATTCTCCTGCATCAGCCTCCCGAGTAGCTGGGATTACAGGCATGCGCCACCACGCCCGGCTAATTTTTGTTATTTTTAGTAGAGATGGGGTTTTGCCATGTTGGCCAGGCTGGTCTCAAACTCCTGACCTCACAGTGATCCACCCACCTTGGTCTCTCAAAGTGCTGGGGATTACAGGAGTAAGCCACCATGCCTGGCTAGTTACATGTTTTATATCTAAGTGAGGATCACCTACCTGTTAAGAATATATTTATTATAGAATGAAGAGACGCTGCATTTAAAAGAGACAATTGGATACCACTGCTGTCATATTTTAATAAAACCACACTCAAAATAGATTTTTCTTAGAAAGTTACTGGAAATGTAATCCTACAATGTAACTTAAAAAAGACCTTTCATTCTTTCTGCATATGTGAAATAATATCCTATTTGGAGAATTTCTCTTTAAAGACTGCAGACAAGTTATGCTACATGTAACTACCACGAAAGAGTAATTGCAACAGCAGAAAGTACTTGCCTTTACTATGGCTAAGCTGATACAAAATTTCCTCAATTATTTTACATTTGGTGACTGTAGGAGGGGGAAAGCCTCCGCAGCCTTATGAAGCAACCAAAACAAAATGCAAAAGGAGCCTGAAATGTAGGGGCAGGGGGAACTGGGTATAAATGGAAAGCATACATCCTGTTTTTTTGCTGTAGAGTTTTGTCTCAAACTATCAATCAACTTTTCACCACTTCCTGCAATAGCAGGTCTACTATAAATCTCAGAGTAACCGACTAGGTTTCATTTCCTCTGCCCAAACCTAGAAGCCTGCCAGGCATGACATACTGAGACTAGAGCCCACAATTGATCACAGAGGACAAGACTCCAGTGAGGCAATTCCAGACAGTTCAAACTGGATGCTTACTGGCTAACTCGGCCTTTTAATTTCATAGCATACAAAACACACAATCTCAGGTTCTATCTGGGACCAAACAGTAGATCAAATTTCTTCTCTTTCCTTTTTTTTTTTTTTTTTTGAAAGATGGGGTCTCACTGCATTGCCCAGGCTGGAGACCAGTAGTCAAAGGAGCAGTAATACCACAATACAATGTTGAACTACTGGCCTCAGCAGCCCTCCTGCCTCAGCTTCCCAAGTAGGTGGAACTACGGGTACGTGCCACTGAGCCCGGCTTCAACTTTCTGAAGGGCATTTACTGCACATCAATGGTAGACTGGATAAAGAAAATGTGGTACATATACACCATGGAATACCATGCAGCCATAAAAGGAACAGGATCATGTCCTTTGTAGCAACATGGATGGAGCTGGAGGCCATTTTCCTTAGCAAACTAATGCAGGAACAGAAAACCAATTACCGCATGTTGTCACTTGTAAGTGGGAGCTAAATGATAAGAACACATGGACACATAGAGGGGAACAACACACACCAGGGCCTATCAGAGGGTGGAGGATAGGTAGAGGGAGATGATCAGGAAAAACAACTAATAAGTACTAGGCTTAATACCTGGGTGGTGAAAATAATCTGTACATCAAACTCCCATGACACAAGTTTACCTATATAACAAACCTGCACGTGTCCCTGAACTTAAAAGTTAAATTTTTTTAAAAGGGCTTTTATGATAATGACATATCATAATTCCTCTCTATTGAAAAGAACCAGTTCCATACTTTAGGTTCCTTGGCCCAAAACACATGTATGTAGCCTGATCTAAAGGTAATGCACTGGCTTTAAGTAGAAGTTGCTGGTGAAATTCCTATCTTGAATCTGAGAGCCGCCAAGAAAAACAAATACCAATGGATGCACAGAGGAACCTGAAGCTGTCTCTTCTTATTCTATAACAGTGAGAAGCACTTCCAGCGCAGCCATTAACAAAAACATTCAATCTCTAAGAACAAGAAACGACTAACTTAACACAAGGAAGGCTGCAAGCTAAAGAGTTATTTAAACCATATCTAGTTTGGGCCAATAACACAACTTCTCATACAAATTTCAACTGGTTTTTATGCCATTTCGTGGGCATAGGCTCTGAGAAACATCATCTAGTCCATGGATCAGCAGAATCATTTTCTGAAAACTCCCTGTATTAGTTTCCTAAGGCTGCCATAACAAACCACCAAAAACTGGTAGCAGAAAACAAAATATATAAATTTATTTTTCACAGCTCCTGAGGCTACTATTTTTTCTTTTTTTTTTTTTTTTTTCCGAGATGGAGTCTCATTCTATTGCCCAAGCTGGAATGCAATGGCACGATCTCGGCTCACTGCAACCTCCACCTCCTGGGTTCAAGCAGTTCTCCTGCCTCAGCCTCCTGAGTAGCTGGGATTACAGGCACTCACCACCACGCCCGGCTAATTTTTGTATTTTGGTAGAGACAGGGTTTCACCATGTTGGCCAGGCTGGTCTCAAACTCCTGACCTCATGATCTGCCTGCCTTGGCCTTCCAAAGAGCTGGGATTACAGGCGTGAGCCACCGCACCTGGCCAAGGCTACTATTAATAGTCCAGAATTAAGGAGTCAGCAGGTTTGGCTCCTTCTCAGGGCAGAATCCCTTCCATGCCCTTCTCTTAGCTTTTGGTGTTGCTGGCAATCCTTGGAGTTCCTTGGCTTGTAAATGCATCACTCCAAGCTCTGCCTCTGTTGTTCAGGGTGTTCTCCCTATGTGTTTGTGACTTCACATGGCCATCTTCACTCTGTTTGTGTCTTAGTGTCTCTTCTTTTCTTATGAGGTTACCAGTTATGGTGGATTAAAGGCCCACCCTACTCTAGCATGACCTCATCTTAACTAATTACATATGCAATGACTCTATTTCTAAATAAGGTCACATTGTGAGGTTCTGCAAGGACATGAAGTTTGGAGGGACATCACAGGGCATCACTATAACACAGTACACCCTGTAGAGCTGAAATCAATAGTGGAGATGCTCATTAATAGAGGATAATAGACCAGAAAAAAGTAAATCAACTTAAAATGGAGACCAAAATTTAATAGTAAATAATGATGATAAGGTTAAAACTTCACCTTGAGGCTGGAGGCAGCAGCTCACACCTGTAATCCCAGCACTTTGGGAGGCCAAGGTGGGCGGATCACTTGAGGTCAGGAGTTCGAGACCAGCCTGGCCAACATGGGGAAATCCTGTCTCTACTAAAAATATAAAAATTAGCCGGGTGTGGTAGCAGGTGCCTGTAATCCCAGCTACTCAGGAGGCTGAGGCAGGAGAATCACTTGTACCTGGGAGGCGGAGGTTGTAGTGAGCAGAGACTGCAGCACTACACTCCAGCCTCAGCAACAGAGGGAGACTCTTGTGTCAAAAAAACAACAACAAAAACCAAATACTTCACCTTGAAACAAAACTACAAACTACAAAAATAAATTGATGAAATATTTAACAATGTTAACAATATGTAGGTTAAAACTGCAACCATGTACTAATTCTCAAAAACAGCAAAGAATGAACCAAATATTAATTGTATTTGTAATTGTTCTAACAAAATTATATTACAGCACCATCTAACATTCATCACTTCATGTTGGTCTTTTTGTAGCAGAATCAGAGAAGGTAATTCTTACAGAAAAAAATCAAGGGTATCATCAGTTTCCTCAAGGGCCTCTCAATCATGTGATGCTCAAATCAATCTTTTAATCAATCCTTTAATATTCAAAATAAGGACTTTCCACTAATTTCACTATTATTGTAGAGTTTTCTTCTTCAATTGTTTACTATGGTGAGTGGTTCCATGTGGTTCAAGCACATCCCCCATATCACTTCCAATGTTTTCGTGAAATCCTTGATCTTTTGGTTGACTTGCAATTTATTTGCACTGTACAATATCAATGATCAACAGTAAGTCAAACAATAAAAATACTGGCAAGATGGATGGGAAAGATGCTGGGAAGGAAATGATATACTAGAATGTGGATGAAATTTATTAAGAGGCTTGCTCATTAGTGAATTTTTGTGAGGTTTGACTACCATCGCGTTTCTTTGTAACTTTCTAAGTGCAGAAACTCAATGAATATTCAGAAAGGACTTCCTGCATGACACATATAAGTGGCTATGCTAGAGAGATCCACTGAAATTTCATTCTTTAAGGGAGCACAGAAGTCATCTACTCCAATTCTTCCACTTTATAAACGTAGTTGACATGACTGGGTACTTTGATGCAGCTTGAAAGTTTGTGTGACTTAAACTGGAAGAGTTGCTACAAGATATTAATCCCAAAGTTCCAAGCTTAAAGGGCTCTTCTCTCTCATCTGCTCTCTTTCAACTGCTTACAGGGTAGTTGTTATGAGAGTAATATAAATTATTTAATCTTTGAAAATGACTGTTGAAAACTTCAATGCTACTTAATTCCTATGGAGAAGTCAGCTTGACTGTGATGTACTAAGCTTAGGAAAAATACAATGTGGAGCTAGAAAATAATCAGTATCAAATCATTCCTTAAGGAAATGACAGTGACCACTTTCCAAAAGTCCCTGGCAGAAAATAACTCTGTCTTCTTGAAATATTACAAAATATATCAAGGTTTTAAAAATCACAAAATAGACCTTCATATCCTTTTATGAAAAGCCAATTGTAGGTTTCTTATAATTAGATCGATAAAAGCTCTCAAGACGATTCCAACGATTCAACAACTATGCCACTTTTCAAAAAAGTTTATGAGCTCTAGTCCTTAGTGCTTTAGTAGAGAATACAAATATTCATGAACGCATTAATATATATCTGACACAGACTACAGATCCCAAGAAGGTGGGGGAAATAAAATTTTTATTTTTACTTATTTTTAAAATTTTTTTTATTCTTTTAGAGATGGAGTCTTGTTCCATCGCCCAGGCTGGAGTGCAGTGGCTCAATCACAGCTCACTGCAGCCTCAACCTACTGTGTTCAAGCAATCCTCCCACTTCAGCCTACCAAGTAGCCAGGATTAGAAGCACACACCACCACGCCTGGCTAATTTATAAATTTTTTGTAGTGACAGCGTCTTGCTACATTGTCCAGGCTTGTCTCAAACTCCTGGGCTCAAGCGACCCTCCTGCCCCAGCCTCCCAAAGAGCTGAGATTATAGGCATAAGCTACTGCGCCGGGCCAAGGAATAAAATTTTTAGATGTATTTGAATAATATAGTCAAATCACTATGGCAAACAGCAATAATAAAGACTCAACCACCTCTTGGATGCTATGCAAAAGGACAAAGGTTCCTTGACAGTATCCGTTAATACAAAAGGCTTGCACTTCCTGTGCAGTAACTCTGTGCAGGCTTTCTAAGTATTTCACATGGTAAACTCATGAAGTACTTACAGCAACCCTGTGAGATAGGTACTATTATTATCCCTACTGGTAAAATAAGAAAATAATGTGGCACCTTCTTTGAGCCATGGAGGACCAAAGATGTCATATTATCACAGAAAGACAACTCTAAAGACCTCAAGTAGAACACTTCTTACTTTTTATGTTAATTATGTGTGAACTCACATACAGTTTCCCCTGGTTCACAATTATATAGAGAGTCATTTACTTTAATCGTCAAACGATAAACAGGTGGGCTACATGTTTAAAA
The DNA here is from genome assembly GCF_000001405.40 of Homo sapiens. NCBI lineage: Eukaryota > Metazoa > Chordata > Mammalia > Primates > Hominidae > Homo > Homo sapiens. The sequence goes on from NC_000003.12 coordinate 72,761,942, forward strand.
AGTCCTCCATCAGAATGACTCTCGCACAGAAGGGGTGAAAGCAGGGGAGCTAAAGGCAAGGAGACAGGCTCTAGCTCCAGCAGTTTTTTTGAGGACAGTCTGCACATAAACATGTACATACATACATGTGCCCACAAACATGTACATACATACATGTGCACACACATGCCTATACATACATCTGCCCACACACATTAGTACACACATACACACACATCCATTTTTTGAGAAAAATAAATGACTTAGAAAAAAACACTCGCTATGGCAACGCTAAATGCTGAAAAGAATGGCTCTCATAAGGTTTATCCAAATGCAGAGAAGCCACCATTTGGCTCAACCCCAACCTCCACTTAAGAAATTCAAGGGTGAGGGTGACAAATAGGTTAAGAAAGGTACAATGTCCATAAAGAACTGTGTGAAAGAAATGCAGTTCACCCCAGCTTTGCAACTGTTTTACATTTTTGCCAGGCCAGATCAAATTCACAGAGATGGAAATGTGGGTCTCATAAATTTGCCACATTTCTCTCTACTCCCTAGCAGAAATGCTATTGCTGAAATGTGCTTCGCTGTGATCCCAAAAGCTGATTTAAATAACAGTCCCATGAACCTCTTGGAATTGTATACCTCACTTGAATTGTGTACCTCGCAAGGTCTCCCGTTCCATACGGGCTGCTGGTGAATTCAAATCTGTGACTCACTCAACATGACAGAATGTACCTGCAGCTCCTTCTTGCCTCCAGTTTTTTTTCTTGAGACAGAGTCTCGCTCTGTCACCCAGGCTGGAGTGCAGTGGCGTAATCTTGGCTCACTGCAACCTCTGCCTCCTAGGTTAGAGCAATTCTCCTGCCTCAGCCTCCCGAATAATGGGGATTACAGGCACGCACCACCACGCCTGGCTAATTTTTGTATTTTTAGTAGAGACAGGGTTTCACCATGTTGGCCAGGCTGCTCTTGAACCCCTTACCTCCGGTGATCCATCTGCCTCAGCCTCCCAAAGTGCTGGGATGAGCCACCAAGCCCGGCCTGTTTCTACTTTTAATTTTCTTCTTTTACCTTCACCTTTATTATGCCATCTTGTTTTACACACACACACACACACACACACACACACACACACACACAGAGAGAGAGAGAGAGAGAGAGAGAAATGCTTTAAATAATTTCTAGTACAAGGCAGAGAATAAATTATTAATGAAACCAATTATCTGGTTAAGTAAAAAACACCTTTGTAGGATAGGAAAGGACAGAAGAAATGGGGACTGCAAGTCGCAGGCTGAAGCAGAGCTCTCCAATCCATTTTCTTCTCTATGACTATTCCATGAAGCATGGTATTTGGGCACATAAGACTTGAACAATTCTGACAACATTCCTACATTTCATCTGTGTGAAAAAAGGGCAAATAGTGTTGTTTAATGATGTAGATTTTGACCTGTTAACTGTCCAAATGAAACGGCTGTTTGGATTCAATTCAACTAAGTGGAGGTCAGCCAACTAAATGGAGAAGGTATCACTATAAAGTTGGTGGTAGAAGGAAGATACTATGGGTTGAACTGTGTCCCTGACAAAGATGTGTTGATGTCCTAAGCCCTGGAAGCTGTGAATGTCACCTGTTTTGGAAACAGGGTCTTTGCAGATGTAATCAAGATTAGGTCACACCGGATTAGGGAAGGACCTCAGTCCACCAACTGGTGTCCTTATAAAAAACACAATGTAAAGACACAGGGACACAGAGAATGCCATGTGAAGACAGAGGCAGAGATTGGTGTGATGTGTTCATATGCCAGGGGATGTCTAGGGTTGCCAGCACTGCTGAAGCCAGCAGAGAGGCACGGAACAGATTCTCCTGCAGAGTTCACAGGAGGAACCAACCCAAATGACACCTTGATTTTGGAATTCTAGCCTCTAGGAATGCAAGGAATAAAGGTCTGTGGTTTTAAGCCACCCAGTCTGTGGTAATTTGTTACAGCAGCCTTAGGAAATGAATATAGAAGAACATCAGTGATGAAGATCCTTACAGCAGAACAGAAATTAGAAAGCATTGCATAGTATGTTCCTGAGTTTACAAATGGAAAAAAAAAAAAGACACCACTAAAAATAGCAACAGCAAGGCACAGAAAAGTTTTCTTTGCGTAATAACATGAGGGGAATAGATTAGTTTGTTTCTAATTCCCCTCCAAGCCCAAAATGCTATGCTTTTACACTATGATCACAATGTACCCCTGTTACAAACCCTACCCAGTGCCCACATACCACACTAGGCAGAACCACTTACTTACAAGTAGAAGAGGTGGAGTGCAGTGGCGCAATCACAGCTGATGGCAGCCTAGAACTCCTAGGCTCAAGCGATCCTCCCGCCTTGGCCTTCCAGAGTGCTAGATTATTTGCATGAGCCACGGTGCCCAGACTACTAAGGTTTGAAGTATTCAACGACTGCCTCAGGAAACATGGGATCTGAAAGCCAGACTTGACAACAGTTCTGACAAGTGGTCGTCTATAGAAAATCAAACTTGGGAAAGTGTATTTTATGCTTGCTTATACTCTCAAAAACTAAACCGAAGTGAAAAGCATCTGTCTACCAGAATACCCTTAAATGACAGCCCCTAGACTATCTAAGGAGAATTTTAAAATACTTTTAATAAAGGCAATTGACTTCAATGGCTAATATTTAGTTTCTTTCTTTGATAAAGCCTTGCTTCTGAAAGCATAACCCTGGACCAGGAGCAGCAGCATCATCTTGGAACTTCTTAGAAATGCAGAATCTCAGCCCCCAACCCAGGTCTCTGAACAGGAGTCTTTTTAACAAGACTCCCAGGTAATACATATGCACCATGATGTTTGGAACACCCCAAAGAGTTCTGACTATGTTGAAGTCATCATTACCAGCTGACACTTTTCATTCACTCTCAATATTGTGGATTCTTGGATCTGATCAAACAGTGGGATGGGAATGGTGGGAGGTTCCCCCTGTTCCTGGGTCAACTGTTGTGGTGAGGCATTGCTGACTTCACACATTGTGTACAGGGCAGCCTGACTCTGTCCCATCCCTCTTACACCCAGAGCATGAGGATGAATCTCCACCTTGCATTTACTCACCAATCTTGGCTTTAAGTAAAAAGATGCATGGGGCCCTACTCTAATGGTTCCATTGCTCAAGAGTTCTTTCCTTAGCCCCCCTTCTAGGTCAGACTGGTCCTGAGGCCCAGACTCAGAAACATTTTATCTCAAAACCCTGACTCTGCAAAGCTGGGCTTTCTGCCCATTAGCTGCCTTCTTGTACAAGATCTTCAACTTTCACAGGGACCTTGCCTGAAGTTACGGTCCACATGCCTGCCCCTGAACCCATTTCTGTCCATTCAGATGCCACCACTTGCCTGTCTCCTCAGACCTCTACCTGTTACTTCCTTCTATGGCACTAGCCTCCCAAGAGTAGCTCTACCTCCAGACTGCACTGAAACAGTGCATCAGGGCTGCATTTTTCACTGATTCATTTTTTTTTTTTTTTAAAGACAGTTTCCTTCTGTCGCCCAGGCTGGAATGCAGTGGCACGATCTCAGCACACTGCAACCTCTGCCTCCCAGATTCACATGACATATATATATATATATATATATATATATTTTTTTTTTTTTTTTGAGACAGTCTCACTCTGTCACCCAGGCTGGCGTGCAGTGGTGCAATCTCGGCTCACTGCAACCTCCGCCTCCCAGATTCAAGCAGTTCTTGTGCCCCAGCCTCCTGAGTGGCTGGGATTACAGGCACGTGCCACTACACCCAGCTAATTTTTGTATTTTAGTAGAGACGGGGTTTCGCCATGTTGGCCAGGTTGGTCTCGAACTCCTGACCTCAGGTGATCTGCCTGCCTTGGCCTCCCAAAGTTCTAGGATTACAGGCATGAGCCACTGTGCCTGGCCAAATAAATACTTGAAAGTACTATGTGTTCAAGCCCCGAACAAAACAGACCAATTCCTGTGCTCATGGAGCTTATATTCTTGTGTAAGAAAAGATAATAAATACTAAAATAATAACAGATCATAAAAAGTAAGTAAAATATAGTGTGCTAGATGATATAAGTGCCATGAAAAAACAACACAGAACTCAAAAGGTAGCCAGGGTGCACTTGGGCCAGGGGGTGTTCAATTTTTTGTGAGTATTTAGGGAAGGCCTCACTGAAAGGTGACCTTGGGGACCCTATACATCACTGAACAGCCTAAACTGTGGGACCTAGCTTATTCCTGTTTTCAGCTATTCCACCTCTTCTCAGCTTGAACCTCCAGTCTATCAAGCTTAGTGTAAGACACTCACAACAATCCCCTGCTCCCAGTTCTACAAGCCATCTGGATGCCGATTCTGACATAGCTAATTGCTAGTCTCCAGATCATGTATCCATCTCTAAACCATAGTTCTTGTACCATCCATCCACCTCTGTGGGCCAACCTGCACCTCCAAACCCTCATCTGCTGCCCAAGTTCATACTACACCACTGCTGCCTGAGCCCGACCCTGAACCTAAGCTGTCCCATGTACACAGAAAATGACCACAGGTCATCTTGTTCTTGAAAAGTAAGACATAGAGGTTTAATAAAAGAGAAGGAAAATTCTGTCCAAGTCAGAATTTTATGTAAACAAGATAAAACTATTTGAGGGCTCAGGAATGTGTCATTCTACAACTTACCTCTTCTAAGAAACTCACTGGAGAAGGTATCACAGGAAGGGCTCATGCCTCAGACACCAGGCAAACAAGGAGGAAAGATTTCAGCACATCCAAGCCCCTGGTGCAGGTCTGCCGGTGAAGGGAGGGGGGAACTGAAAGCACAGGCCTCTTTTAAGGACTTCATGAGCCATTTTATTGAAGTCTAATCAATCCCCAGCTGGAGGAAACCTGCTAGATAACTGAGTCCAGGTTGTCCAGCGGGCTTCACATAATGATGGAAACGTGCTGTCCAATATGGGCCACTAACCCCATGTGGCTGTCGGGCATTCAGAATGTCAGCTTGACTGAAGAACTATACCTTAAATTGTATTTAATTTGAACTAATTTAAATGAAAATAGCCACATGTGGCAATGAATACCAAATCAGACCACACAGATCTAATCTAAAGCCCTAATTTGTTTGACAAAGATGAAGCCTAGAGACTTTAGCGGCATAGGTACACCACAGGGCTAGCCACAAACCCAAGCACTAATCCTCCACACGGCCATCAGACTTGAGGGCTTCCAAATTGCTTTCATATGTACGAACCCATCTGATCCTTTCATCAGAAACATAAGCAGGTTGAATTCTCCATATTCCACCAATGTTCAGAAGCAAAAACCTGCCCCATGCCAGAGGGTTCATCCCTGATTAGCCAGAGCTCCTCATGTGCAGACCCACTATGCACTATGCTGTGCTGGCTCACGCTCTGAAGCAGGGACACCATCTGGGTAACTAAAGAGTTGATTACCGACATACAAGTTGAACAAGATGCTGGAAGATGACATTTGCCAGCAGAACCACTGGAGAATCTGTCCTATATCACTGGGCCCAGTCCTTGACAAAACGTTTATGCAAATTAAGTCTCCTAGAATAGTTTTACGAGGTAGGGAGCTACAATTAATCTCATATATTCTATTATAGTGATCACAACCCTCAACAATTAGGACTCAACTAATTTGCTGGATACCTTTTTAAAATCCTACGTTCACTCTGTCCTCAAGACTTACTGGCAAAAACTCTTCTATAATTAGAACTGAAGAGTTGCCAACATGTCCCAATCAGACCCAAATTACTATCTACAAAAATTACTGATTACTAAAAATAAGAATGAAAAAGGGTCTCTGAGATACTACTTTACTAAATATAGGAATACACAGTACAACTTAATCCTCCATGGTTAGGTGGTTGCCAGAACCAAACCTGTTGGCTGCCTAGCATTTCATGTTCCTACAAGAACTGGATGCAAAAGCCTAATTATGGTTTGATTCAAACGATGCTATCAAAATGCTTCCTGCGTGGGGCGGGAGATATAAGTGCTTTGCTCCTTTCATTCCTTGTCAGGGAGTCTGGGTGGTTTTTTTTCTTGCAGCCACTTCATTCCACTGAGACAAATCCAGCCCTAGAAGGAGCAGTTTACAAAAAAGCAGGGAATGCTGTCAGCAGGGAGCACAGAGCTTGGCTGTGATCACAGCTGCAGATCCCACCTGCTTAAAAAGGCAGCAGCAATGATACAACTCTTCATTCCCTTGCTCAAAAACAGAAGAAATCAGCAGAGATAAGCCGACAGGGAAAACATTACACAAATCGCTGACCCTGCTGCAGGCAGAGAAGAGCTGCCTCTGCTAGCTTTGATTTTCCAAAGCCTGAGCCTGAGGGAGAGGCAGTTTGACTTTCTTCTTTCCTAGTGCTCCCGATGGCAAGGCACATTCAGATGGAGCCTGAGGAATACCAAGTGCAGAAGAAAGGGAAATAAATAAATAAACAAAACAAGAACACAGGCTAAACCGCGGAGAAGAGCTGCCATCAGCATCTAGGAAGAAAGATCATATCCCTAGTCGAAAGCAACTCGGTTTTACAGGTTTTTACTAAAACACACAGAGCGCAGAGCTGTGGCTGTGATCTTTGTGATTCTGTTGTCCTGCTGAGTGAGGCAAATAAGTATGTGCCATAAGCCTTACTTATGCATTTTCTATTCCTATTGTTTAGTACGTGTCCAAAGAAGAAAACAACAACAGGGCTGCTATCCATGTCAGTGAGAGGAGTTGGAAACAGAGCACTGCATGGCCAGCAGTTTTTTCCTCGACACAAACACAGATTGTTCTCTGCTTTATAAGCAGCCTATTTGCTGCTTAATGGTCATCCATAGTGTGCCTTTACAACAGCGTTCAACATGAGCCACCAGGTCAAATGCTGTGTGCCCCCAGTATGTTTTTCCCTAAGCATTCTAGAACCCCGCTGCAGCTTCCAAAATTGATTGCACTATAATACGGTCACTGCTGCCATCCAGGTGCCACATTTATTGAGTGGCCAGTATTTGCTGGGCATTTTGCTAGGACCCAGCTATACAGCAGTGCACAAGAAAAACATGGCTCCTGCTTGAATGGGACCTGCAGTTTGGCAGGAAAAAAGTGCAGGTCCTTTGATCAAGTAACAGAGCCCTTATACATTAGGCCAAGGCCACAAACTGCTGCCCCTAGAAGCCAAACAGATGGAGTCTAGCAGGCAGGTGGGGGTCTGTGGCAGAATGGAGAGCACTTGTCCCACATAATGGAGACAGCTGGCCCCAGCTCTAGCCAATTGTTACCATGTGGGGATGTGGGCCCAGCAACTGCCAGAACTTCCGTTATTTCAAGAGCAGCTATAAATCCAGACTTTTACACAAAATCTTCCAATTTTTAAGTGTTGACAACCAATTTAAAGTCTTTAAAAACTCACTGAGAGCCAAAAGTGACCCAAGGGTCACTAGCTTGCAACTTCTACGTCTGCAGACTTAGTTCCATCTCCCCAGTTCCCTAACATAGTCTGTATATCTCAATACGTACCTGCTACACTAATGTGACTGGTACCACTGCTTCCAGACCCAGAACAATTATTTTTACTTTGGGATTTGCCTCAAGTTGCATCCCTGCCTAGCACATCTTCCCCCTTTCTTTCTGTGCCTGGTCAGATCCCACCCATCTTTAGTTCCCTGTTCAAGACTTCTACTCCACTAGGCCTTGCAGACCAGCCTGGCCTCCTCTTCTTTGAATCACTATGTCTCTTGCAACGGGGCCAGGGTTTGCTCAGCAGTCCTCTAATTCTGCCCTCTGCAAATCTTGTCTTGTCTCTACAACCAGTCTAAATGCTCCATAACAGAGACCACATGGGCTACTTCACCAAGAAAATGTCCTGTGTTTATCAGGGGTCATGTGTTCTGAAGTCGGCAAACAACTGACTGACCACAGCAAGGAGGTTAAGAGCTCAGGCTCTGAAGTCACACAGCTCTGGGTTAACTTAATCTCTCTGAGCCTCAATTTCCCTAATTGTAACCTGGGGTGATAACAAAATGAGGACATAACCCAAATTCATATGGGGCTTGTGAGATCATCAAGAGAGATAATCTCTATAAAGCACTTAGCACAATGCCTGGTATGCAGTAAGCCCTTGATAAATGCTAGCTATTATTGTTATGGACTGATTGCCTGATTCAGCCAATGCTATTGTTAAACAAGCAGTGCATCAATGGAGCTTTGTTCTTAGCAAATATTATTGACCACTTACTCTGTGTTAACATGTTCTAAACAAATTGCATGTGTTAGCTCATCTAATTTTCCTAATTCTCCCCCATTTTATGGATAGCAGAAGCACAGAGAGTTTAAATGGCTTGTCCAAGGCCATACAGACAGAGAAGAGATCTGAAGCTGCCAGCTGGCTCCAGAGCCCATACTCTTAACCATAATACTCTATGGCCTCACTACATTTCTAATGACAGGGGACAGCTTTCTGACCTCAGCCTTCCCAAATCAGAAACAGGATTTGGCTTTGTGGACCATGGCTTAAGATGACAGAATGATCAGGGCCTGGTTTGAGCCAGACTACATCTCAGAAGTTCCAGGAAGGAGTTTGCTTTTGCCAGTTTCACCAAGGGCTGTCAGTTTGTTCAATAAACTAAGAATGATAAGGAAAGAAGAAAAATGCCCAGAAAGTACAAGATGATATCTAGTATTATAGAAGGCAAAAACTGTGATATAGATGAATACTAAAGACAAAGGTGTTCTGCTAATCACAGAATAAAAGAAGAGGGAATCAGAACAATACACCTAGCCTCGAATATCCACATAGAAGACAGGAAAGAGGCAAATGTGTCTTCCTTAACTTTTGAAAAGAAGGAGGAAAGTGATGAAACCATAGACCATGAACTCAAAATATGTGAACTGCATATAGGCAGATAAGAGACGAAGTAGGTGATCCCCAGAAGTTACTATGGATTCACAAACTGATGCCATCCCTTGGACTAGCCCGCACCTGGGAACCCTGTGCAAAGATTGTGTCTGGATTTTAACAAAACATATAACAATCTCCTGTAGTCTCTTTATGGGCAAAATACAGAGTATGAGTGTATGATTATACAGTTGTCTAGACTCATATTTGACCTTAGAGGTCAGACTGATTTCAACCTGAAGGAAGGTATCTAGTGGAAGAGTACAAAGTTCTGACCTCAGCCTTCCTCATTTTACATTCTACTCACTGTCTTAGGTGAAAACAGAGAATGCTCACTCTAATTCCTTAAGGCCAGAAGCCGTATCTAATTCTTCTTTAGTTCCACAGCGCCTAACCTTGTGCTTGCTCCAAAAAATGACTGCTCATTAGATTTCAAGAGTCAAGTTTATAAACAGTGTTACAAAGGTGACAAAGATCAGGAAATAACCTAGGTGACAGATTCCAGTTCCAAAAAGTTAGTAACAGGTGGATGGGATATGCCAAATCTAACAAGGTGAAACTAAACAGGGACAAATGCAAAGATTGTGAACTAGCTAGCAAAGAAGAGGAATTATACTTAAAGACGAATATGAAGAATTTCAGCTAGTCATAAACTAAGAATATAGTGAGTTAAGGTTTCCAGTGATAAGCAGATGACTGACAAAGTAATATTCACAAAAACCAAAAGCAATTGCTTCTCTCTGGTCAAACCTGAAGCATTTTATTTAAACTGGAGGATACTTTAAAAGGGTCTGGACCAAAAAATAAAGGGAGGGGTTGAGGGACACTGACAAAGTAGTCTGCCCAAAAAGAGACCAAGATGGACAAAGGTTGGAAATTTGGACCTATAAGAATAATTTAAGGCAGAAGAGGTTGATCGGGAAGACTGAGAAGGGATACAATAGTAATCCTCCAGATAGCTGAAGGCAGACATTTGAAAAGAGAACTTACTCTATATGGGTCCAGAATTGAAATTAACGTGAAGAAAGCAGATTTCAATCAGATTTAAAGGACAACTTTTAAGCCCTCTAGCCTGCTTAAGAGTAGGAGGGTTCTCATTTATAAGTGAATTTGCGGGTATCAGAGTCAGCCATGCCAAGACTAAGCAATCACACAGCAGCGACAGTGCAGGGGGAATTAATCCACAAAATAAAGGCTTACGAAAGAGAAGAGTTTGCAAGACTTTTCAGTTCTGTGACTGGCTGCATTACAGATAGTCATCATCAAGAGGAGTGATGTCAGTGTTAACTTTAAGCCTTACAATGCAGAGATGATTTAGTTGGGTTCGTCAGAAAAAGCTTAAAGCAAAATGTAACAAATATGGTAGAGAAAATGGAATGTGCCAAAGCGAAAAAAAAAAAAAGCTCCAGTTTATGGCAAATTTGGGAAATAGTGAGTTCATCTACTTGGCAGGAGAGGGAGGGTGCCTGATCAGCAAGAATGAGGGATTAAGCTTAGAAGATGAGGAGAAAGATGCAGACGGTGTGGAATCCAACTCAGCCCAGGCATTTAGGCTTTTGTCCTGCAGGCAAACCATCAAGAACTTCTGAGGAGACCAGTTCAAAGATGAGATTGTCAGATGTTCACTCATCTGGATCTTCAAATGCACATACAGATGCATCTGGACCCTCAGACAGTGATATGACAAGTCGTACACAACCTAAGCTTTAGAGCATGGGAAGATTGGGCAATTTATCCAGAACCATTTTTGATTAAACTAAAAAACATTTTCTTAGGACTTGCATATATTATTGTACAAAAGGAAACAGAAGATGTACTAGACAATCTTGATGGTGCTTCCATCAAGTAAGAGCTTGATGGTGCACCTCTGGAAGATGTAGATGGAATTCCTATTGATGCTACTCCCGTGGATGATCTTCATGGAATCCCTATAAAAAGTCCTGATGATGATCTTGATGGAGTGCCTTTGGATGCAACTGAAAACTCAGAGAAGAATGAGCCTATATCTAAAGTTGCCCCATCAAAATGGGAAGCTGTGGACAAATCTGAATTGGAAGCACAGGCTGTTACAACTTCTAAATGGGAGTTATTTGACCAGCATGAAGAATCGGAAGAAAAACAAAATCAAGAAGAAGAAAGTGAAGATGAAGAAGATACTCAAAGTTCCAAATCTGAAGAACATCATCTGTACTCTAATCCAATCAAAGAAGAAATGACTGAGTCCATGTTCTCTAAGTACTCGGAAATGAGTGAGGAAAAACAGGCCAAACTTCGTGAAATTGAGCTCAAAGTCATGAAGTTTCAGGATGAGTTGGAATTTTGGAAAAAGACATAAAAAACCAGTCCAGAGTTTTCAGGAGCAAGTAGAACACTACAGAGATAAACATCTTCAACGAGAGAAAGAGTTAGAAGGAGAATGAGAAAGAGACAAGAAAGAGAAAGGGACAAGAAAGATAAAGAAAAATTGGAATCTAGCTCCAAAGACAAGAAGGAAAAAAATGAGTATACTCCAACAAGGAAGGAAAGGAAAAGATGACACAGTACATCCCTCAGCCTATCTCACAGTAGCAGTGGTGGTAGATGAGTGAAATCCCCATCACCAAAATCGGAGTGATCAGAGTGTTCAGAAAGACCTCATAAAGACAGCTTAAAAAAAAAAAAAAGAAAAAAAAGAACTTCCACGAAGACAGCCATATCCAAAATGGCATTTCAGAACTGTCAGACTGGCACTACTATAGGAAAGAAACAAGATGGGGAGTGAGACTGTGGTGGCAAGGACAACAGGGAGGACACTGTGGCAAGAGAAGAGGAAATTAAGGCCTGAATTCAAAGAAAGGTGGTGAGACCAAAAAGAGGGATTTATATGAAAGGGATTGTATAGGAAGAATTAAAAAGATCTGCTGACTGAGTCAATGTGGAGTAGGGAATCAAAGACAGAAACACATGACTTACAGAACCCAAACATGTCAACCTGCATAACGACAAGACCAAAAACCCAAAAACATCTGAAGTCACAACTGGTTCCCAAATTACTGATTCATCACAGCTTTACATCATATGTTCAGAGCATATTTCTCACACATACAAAATGTAAGATTTTTGTAGTTAGGTTTGAATTTACTGGAAGCCAGTCATCAAAGGTTTATTGAAGAGATGTTCACAAAAATTAAATCCTCCGAGGACAAGAAGATATTCCAGGCCAATACTAATCAAAAGAAAGCTGGGATAGCCATATTACTATCAGACAAAATAGATGGTAAGGCAAAAAGCATTATTAGTGATACATTTTAACCTACCAAGAAGATATAACAATTATAAACTAATAACACCAAATAACATGCCTCAAAATATAAAGTAAAAACTGACAGGTCTACAGGAAGAAACTGACAAGACTGACAACATAGGAGATTTTCACACACCTCTTTCAATTCAAAACGGACAGATTAAATAGACAAAATATATCAGTAAAGATACAAAAAACAAACAGCCCAACCAACAAGTTTCATCCAATGCACAGACATGCAACACAGCAGCTAACAATTCGAAGATCAACATTACTTTTAAGAATAAAACCAAAAGTGTATGAAAACTGACACCATTCTAGACATAAAATTAATCTCAACAAATTTCTAAACAATGATATAATTCTCTGGCAGAAATGCAATTAAGTTAGAAATCAACAACAAAAACTTTTCTATAAAAATCCATATGCTTGGAAAGGAGAAAAATATTTCCAAAATTTCATGAGTAAAATCAGAAAATATGTGGAATGAAACAGTAATGAAAATTCAGTACATTTCCAAACCTGTGAGAAGAATATAAAGCATATATTTGAAAATTTAGTTTTACATGAAGAAAGAGTCAATGTTAGCAAGTTACTAACATCTACATGCAGAATCTAACAAACTTCCAAAATGTAGAAGAAATAAAATGATACAGATAAAAGCAAAAGTAATGAAATAGAAGACAGACAAAGAGAGGATCAAGAGCGTGAAATGGGCTGGGCACAGTGGCTCATGCCTGTAATCCCAGCACTTTGGGAGGCTGAGGCAGGTGGATCACCTGAAATAAGGAGTTCAAGACCAGCCTGACCATCATGGTGAAACCCCATCTCTACTAAAAATAGAAAAATTAGCTGGGCATGGTGGTGGGCACCTGTAATCCCAGCTACTCGGGAAGCTGAGACAGGAGAATCGCTTGAACCAGGGAAGCAGAGGTTGCAGTGAGCAGAGATCATGCCACTGCAGTCCAGCCTGGGCACCAGAATGAGACTCCGTCTCCAAAAATAAAAAATAAAATAAAATAATTTTTTAAAAATTAGCTAATCAAATATACCCTCTTACAAAAATAATTTAAAAACAAAAAAACAAAGAGAGAGACAGCATGATTATCAGAAATGTAAAAGACAACAATTACAGATGCTGTGGATAAAACAGATAAGAGCAAATAAAAACAACTCTATGCCAGAAAGTTTGAAAATTTAGAAGAAATGGACAAAGTTTTAGAAAAATAAAACCTATCAAAACTGACTCAGAGAAATAAAGAACCGGAATAGTCCTATAACAATTAGAAAATCTGAATAAATAGTTAAGAATTTTCCCATAAAGAAAGAAAGACACAATGGCTTTTTTTTTTTTTTTTTTGGTGAATGCTACTGAAGGTTCAAGGAATGTATCATTTCAATATTACGTGCACTGTTTCAGAGAACAGAAAAGGCAATGTTAAGTCATTTTATCAGGAAAGGACAGTACAATAATGGGAAATTATAGGCCAATTTCTCTTCCCATACATACCCTCTTCCTGATTGTAGGCACCCACAGAGTTTGCAAGCCAAATCCAGCATCATGTTTAAATAATACATCATAATCAAGATAGGTTTATCCCAGGAATGCAAGGCCGAATTTGTTCGAAATTTTACACATGCCATTCATTACATTAACAAATTAAAGGAAAAAATTTTTAAGATCATCCCAAGGATGAGGAAAAAATGCAATAAAATTCAAAACTATTTAGAATAAAAAACTCCATGCAAAATAAGAATAACATGAATCTTTCTTGATAAAGCCTATCTACAAAAGCAAATATCATATTTAATGATAAAATGTTGAAAGCATTTTCTTAAAGATAAAGAATAAGATAAATATATTACCACCATATCTATTCGGGATTGTACTGAAGGGCCTAGGCCAGTGCAATAAAATGAAAAAGAAAAAGAAATGAAGAATATAAAGACTGAAAAGGAAGAAACCAAACTGTCATTACTTGCATTACTACTGCCTATATAGAAAACTGGACAGAAATGATACATAAGAGTTAATAGTAGAGTCTGACAACGTAGCTGGATATGAAATCAATTTTTAAAAGTGAATTACATTTCTATACACATTAATGTGCCACATAACAACGTTGTGGTCAATGATGAACTACATATGGTGGTCCCATAAGAGTATAATACTCTGATTTTACTGTACCTTTTCCATATTTAGATATGTTGAGATATACAAATACCACTGTGTTACAACTGTCTACAGTATTCAGGATGGTCACATGCTGTACAGGTTTGTAGCCTAGAAGCAATAGGCTACACCATAGAGCCTAGGTGTGTAGTAGGCTATGCCATCTAGGTTTGTGTAAGTGCAATCTATGATGCTCACACAACAAAACTGCCTAATGATACACTTCTTAGAACGTATCCCTATCATTAAGCAATGCATGACTGTACTTTAAACAGGCAGTTTGTAAGTAATTTTTTTAAAAAAGTATTTACATCAGCAATAAATCGAACAAAAAAATGAGTAAACCTTTAATGGAAAAAAATTATAAAATTTTATTGAAAGACATTAAAGAAAACTTAAGAGAGTCATACCATATTATTGGAAAGAGACACAAAATGTTTTAGTCTCTCCAAACTGATTAACAGATTCAAAGCAATTCCAATCAAAATGTTTTTCATGGAACTTGACAAGCTGATTCTAAGATATAAAGCTACAGTAATTAAGAAAGTATGGCACTCTCGCATGACAGACAAGTAAATCAGTGGGGCTGAACAGACAACCTAGAAACAGATCCACACATACATGTTAACTTGATTTATAAGAGTGAGCACTGCAGGATGTATGAGGAAAGGATAGACTATTTAATAAATGAAGCCAGGATATGGTTATCCATATGGGAAAAAAGAAACTGGATCCCCTATTGCATAACATACAAAAAATCTATTCCAGGTGGACTAAGGACTTAAATGCAAAATGCAAAAGAATAAAAAATTTAGAAGATACTATAGGAGAATATCTCTATAACATCCAAATCATAAAAACTTTCTTAAACGAGAACCAAAAGCACACCCATAAAGGAACACATTGAGAAATTCTACAGCATTGAGATTAAAAACTTCTGTTTATGAAAACACTACAAGGAGACTGAAACATAAACTATAAACTGGAAGAAAATATTTGCAACATATTTAACCCATAAAGGACTAGTATCCAGAATACTGGAAGGAATCCTATAAATCAAAAAGAAAGGAAGTCCTATTGAAAAACAGGGGATACAATAGACAGACATTTCATAGTAGAGGAAACACCAATGGCTCATAAACACATGAAAAGATGCTCAGCTTCACTAGTAATTAGGAAAATGCAAATTAAAATTACAACAGAAACTATTTCATACCCCTTCAGATTGTCAAATCGTAAAATCTGAACCATGTAAGTGTTGGCATGAAGGTGGAATCAGGAAAATTATTATACATTGCTGGTTAAAGTATAAGTTGAAATAAACTGGTATGGCCACTTTGGAAAACAGTTTGACACTGCCCATTAAAGGCTAACATATCATTGTCCCTAATCCCAGAAATTCCATTCCTAGGTATAGGGCTTAACCAAAAAGTTGCACAAGTACACCATGAAACACGTATAGTGATATCTGCAGCAGCATTTTCTGAATAGCCCAAACTGGAAACCATTTATTAGTGGTTCCACAGAATAACAGACAGACAAACAGCACTATATTCAGACAATGGGATAGTACACTGCAGGACAGAAAAGAACCATCTACAACTCTATGCATCATCATGGATAAATCTTTTTAAAATCAAAAGAAACAAGTAATAGAAGAACCATACATATAGCATGATTCCATTACATAAAGTCCAAAAGAAAGCAAAGCTAAAAACTAAACTTGAGATATATGCACAAATGGTAAAACTATATGGAAAAGTAAAGTAATGATTGACATAAAATTTAGAGTTGTGGTTACCAGAAGTTAATACAATTGGGAATGGTCCCATAGGGAATCTCTAGGAAATTGGTGATATTCTATTTCTTAAGATTGGAGGCCAGGCATGGTGGCTCACACCTATAATCGATCCACTTTGAGCACTTTTGAGAGGTTGAAATGGGAGGATCATTTGAGCCCAGTTGTTCAACCAGCCTGGGGTAACAAAGCAAGACTCTATCTCTACAAAAAATAAAAAATTAGCTGGGCATGCCTGTAGTCCTAACTACTCGGGAGGATGAGATGGCAGGATCACTTGAGCTCAGGAGTTTGAGGCTGCAGTGACCTATGATCATATCACTGCACTCCAGCCTGGGTGACAGAAACCCTGTCTCTTTAAAAAAAGAAAAGAAAAGAAAAGAAAAGAAAAAAAAGAAATCAGTGGTAGTTACATGAATATTCAGTTCATTACTATTCTTTCATTTGTGTAATTGTATACACTTAATTTGCATAATTTGTATACACTTCAAATATTATTGTATTTTATATTTCATAAGAAAACATTTTAAGAAAATAACTAAACTCTACAAACATTCAAAAAACACATACAAACGGCAAACCTCCATAGATAACTGAACCCAGTAGTTCATTAAATAATAAAGGCAACAATAACAGAGGCAAATAAAGAAAACTGGCCATTATCCAGAATTATGATTAAAGTACAGATCACCACAAAAGAGTTTAAGTTCTGTATAGAAAAGATTCCTCTAACAAAAGCCAAAACCCTGAGATTCCTTTTCCAAAATTAGGTTTTATCATTCATTCAGCTGTGCAGGCTACAAACCCAGGCATCATCCTCCATGTTGCCTTCTTCCTCATTCTCTAAATCCATTTGAGTTCCTAAAAATCCTAATTCCCTAGTCAGGCTACACTCACGCCTCATAAGGGCATTATTAATAGTCTTGAAACTGGCCTAAAAAGCTCTTTACACTACACCAGTCATCTCCCATCATATGCTGAAAATCCTTCGCTGGCTTCTCGCTACTCTTAGAATAAGGATAAAAATTCTTAACATTACTTAAAAGGCACTATACTGTCTGGGCTCTGACTAAATCATCAGCCTTTTCTTGACCCCTCCCCCAACACATATACCCTTTCTCTAGGTTACAGCCACCTTGACCTTCTTGCAATTTCTTGAAAACATATAAAATTCCCTCCTCCTGCCACAGAGCCTTTGCACATGATGGAACTACTATGTATTCCTGAAGTCCACCACCTTTTTTAGGTTAACTCCTACTTGTACTTCAGTACTCAAACCAAACATTTCCCCAGGGGATCCTCCTTCTCCTCCTAATCCCCTCACCAGGCGAGGTCAGCCATCTCTCGTGGCAGTATGAATCTTTTCTTTTGCACCACTTTCCAAGGTTTTAATTTTACTTTTTGTGTATGCAAGTATTTGATTAATACTTCTCTCCTCATCAGACCACAAATTCTAGAAGGGCAGAAGCCAAGTCAAGTTTTGTTTACCATTGGCAGGCCCCTGGCAGAGAACCCTGCACACAGTAGGAACTCATAAACTATTTGTTGAATGAATGGACTGATGAACAGATACTCAAGTCTAAAGCAGTCACAATTAAACAACCACCATTTCCACCTAGGATAACAAGACCCCAAAAGATAGAAAACGAAGTCAGTATCTGGCTTAACTCTCATGCCCAAGCCTCAAGAGGAGAGCCCACCTTAAAATGGCAGGGGACTTTGAAATAGTATGATTAACAGAAACAAGTAACACTGACCTATACAGAAGATGGAAAGATCTATGTGGCTCTGGTTTAAAAACAAAGCAAAACTGTTTTCACACAAACCTGGAGCAAGGTTGGATCTTTCTGATAAAAAGGTACAAGGCCAGGCGAGGTGGCTCATGCCTATAATCCTAGCACTTTTGGGAGGCCAAGGCAGGAGGACTGCTTGAGGCCAGGAGTTCGAGACCAGCCTGAGCAACACAGCAAGACCCTGCCTCTACTATTTAAAAAATATTTAATTTTTTAAAAAAGGTATGATAAGCCTTACTTACCAGGCAAAATTTCTGGATTTGAAATATGCATCTGAAACCATGGATCACAATAAAGCTTCTGAAACATAAGGATATGTAGTGCTGCCACATTCAGAACACAAGCTTCACAACTAGAATTGTGAAAGCTTGACCTGTATGATTAATCCAGTATTTAATACAGAGTGGAGATCCTTTGCCAATAGTTTTATTCAGATCACTAACTTATACAGCATTAAGTGAAGTCCTTTTAACTGTTATGTCCCTTAAACAAGCAGACAGGACAAATGCTGACAACTGTAATTTTAAATATCAAGTTGAAAGTGAAGTCAATTTCTTCTAGTAAGAACTAAACCCTTATTTTTCTGAAGCATTAGGATAATCTAAGGATAGAAATAAAATCTAAATTGGCTGGCAAGCTTATTTGGAATGGCACAAAGGTACTTAATACCATATGCGAGAAGGTGTTTTATTCTTTGCCAAAAGAATGTGTCTTTGGGTTCTTAAGGTGTCAAAAGTGACATCCACAAAGAACATCTTTGGGGGTGTAAATGCTCTGGGTTTATAGGATACATACACACCGAAAGTGGCAAGAGTCAGGAGAAGAGATGATCATCAAAAGAGACATCACTTTTCACCTTTCACTCTGTCACTTAAAGTATACCACATAATTACAAATCTGGGATGTAAAGTAATATCTCATCCATCACAAGACTAAAATCAGGCAAACCAAACAAAAGACAAACATGCCATGATATTAGAGGTGTATTCCATCACTTGATGTGCTACACAACTCAGAGAACAAGCAATTCTCCTGCCTCAGCCTTCTGAGTAACTGGGATTACAGGTGCCCACCACTACACCCGGCTAATTTTGTATTTTTAGTAGAGGCAGAATATAGAAGCAAATAAAGTAAAAAGTATGGTGGTGTGCACTCAAGGCAATTTTCTTCTCTTTTTTTTTTTCTTTTTTTTTTTTTTGAGACAGTCTCACTCTGTCACCCAGGCTAGAGTGCAGTGACGCAATCTTGGCTCACTGCAACCTCTACCTCCCAGGTTCCAGCGATTCTCGTGCCTCAGCCTCCCAAGTAGCTGGGATTACAGGCACGTGCCACCATGCTAATTTTTGTATTCTTAAGTAGAGATGGGGTTTCACCATGTTGACCAGGCTGGTCTTGAACTCTCGACCCCAGGTGATCCGCTCACCTTGGTCTCCCAAAGTGCTGGGATTATGGGCGTGAGACACCATGCACAGCCTCAGGTGAGATTTTCAAGAAGGGCTCGCATTTCAGAAAAAGACGGCCCTTATACCCTACATGAAATGAAATAAACACAATAATTAGATAATTCTTCAGTGCTTGAGTTTTCCCAAATATGAACTTAGCATTTAAGTCAGGTAGTTAATTTGACACTACAAATGCAGTTTTTCTCATTGTTTTGGTGCACCATTTTATTATTTACATAAAATTACAGAGCAGAAAGAAGAGACCATATCATCAGGAGTCTTTAATTGGCAGAGACTGACTAGAGTCCCCGAACCCCAACACTAATTTCCTGGCAGAGGCAATCCCAGCCCTGCCATAACTTAGGCTTTGAGAAAAAAGGTGTATGACTCTCTTTGAAAATAGGAATGGCTGTTCCATGAAGCAGTGGCCTTTTAAGCTTCTAATCAAATATCACATCACTAAAAAAAAAGGTATGGTAAGTAGCCACTAAAAATCATTTTTGCCATCAATCCCTGTATAAAATATTTATGAAGCTTAATTTCATTCTCAAAAAATAATTATAGGTAGAAGGTCTATTACAGTTTTCCTATACCCCAAAAAGATTGTTTTATGTACTCCCTGGAAAAAGTGGACCTCCATAGGAAGCCACAGCAATAGAAAATTTAGAGAATAAATAAATACTCTAAATCACAATTTCAGGATATTATAAAACTCTCCAGGAAAAGACAGTAAGACAAGCACAAAACAGAAAACATGATCCACTTCATGAAAGTCCTAATTTATCACTTTAAGCTTAACAGAAGTATAAAGCTCTTATGTGAAAAGGACAATAGAAACATGTAATAGCTAATATTTCCTTTAGTTTAAACCTTCCATAATGCCACACTAAATGAAAACATCTAAAATTGGATCAGAAATTTGCTTATATCCAACCATTAAAATAGAATTTATCAATTTCTCTCAATGCTCTGCTAATATCTATGTTTTCTTAAGCAAAAACAATTTCCTTGAAAGCTGTTTAAATTGAAACAGTACAAGAATAATCAATGAAAAAAACTGTAAAATGTCATATAAATCACTTAAAATCCAGAAATATACCTCAAGAAGGTCCTTTTCCAACACTCCATGCCCAAAGATATGTTCCACAGCTCTGTTTATTATTTTCCCAGCTTCTATTTATTAAAGAAAGTAGTCAGAGCAGGAAATGGGACAAGTCAAATGATCACAATCAATCTCATCACCTTTGCAACATGCTGGGAATGTAATTAATCCTCTATTTATTTAGGGGACTTCACACCCCTTACATTAAGGCAGCAACTCCCTGTTGGCTTCAGCTGAGATAATTATGTTATAACAAAGATTGGGTTTCAATCATAATAGACAGAAGAAAAAGGAAATTGTACTTGAAGTTGTCAGCTTTTTTAAAAAGCTTTCTCGTGACTCCATTGAAAGAATGCTCTTGACAAAGCTCTCCTTAAACAGAGCACTTTCTAAGTATGATAACCACACATATGCCACATTAATCAATGTAAGCCTTTTCTCTGAATAAGATGTTAAGACTATTCAAGCACAGTGAAAATTCTACGTGAAGTAGAGAATACTGGTTTATAAAACCTGACTAAATCAATCACCACCCTAACTCACTTGATCCTGTGGGTCTCCCTCCAAAGAGAATCCTCCAAAGAGCTTTGAGGTACAAAAATACACAAGAACAAGGAGATGAAGGAAAATAGCAATTTGCTTACTCTGTAAAAAGCCATGGCTCCACCAAGCCAAAACCAAGGACTTGGGCAGTCTACAGCCAAGTATCAGGGACTAAAACAAGAAAGAACAGAGACTTCTAACACAGCCACCCAGCCACAGCTATAAAATGGGCTTGATATACATACTACTCCCTAGATAAAGGTAGAGTATTTTCCACGCTTATTCACCTCTGAAAATGGTTCATATGTATCTCCACATCTTCTCCTCTAACCTCCTCCACCTTAAGAAAATTAACATGAAACTATAAAGGCCTTGCCCAATTTATTTTTATACACTTTTTTTTTTTTTTTTTTTGAGATGGGGTCTCCCTCTGTCACTCAGGCTGGAGTGCTGTGGCATGATCTTGGCTCACTACAGCCTTGAACTCCTGGGTTCAAGCACATGCCATCATGCCCAGTTTTGCTTTGTTGAGACACGGTCTCATTATGGTGCCCAAGCTGGTCTCGAACTCCTGTCCTCAACTGATCCTCCCACTTCAGCCTCCCAAAGTGATGGGATTATAGGCATGAGCCAGCATGCCCAGCCCTAAGCTTTCTCTATTTTTATCAATGTATCATAATCATGATGTCCATGGTACATATGTAAGTAAAAATGATAAATGAATTATGTTTCTATTTCTAAAAATTCTCAAATACGTCAAACCCATTTTTTCCAAGTCTGGATTCATGATGATTAGAATGTTTGTATGTATTAAGCTCCTCAGGTATCTGAGTATCTCAACAATATTTCACTTACCTTTCATAGCATTTAAGCTCTTGAATAACCAAAATGTCCAAGAAATTGAGCACTACTCAATTTCCAGTTCTTTAGTAAAAGCAAAACAAAATGTGGTCTCATAGAAGAGAAAAAGGACATTAGGTAAAAACTAAGAAAATCTAAATAAACTTTAGTTAATAATAACATCAATATTCGTTCATTAATTGTGACAAATATATCATTCCAATATAAGAGGTTAACAGAGAAACCTGGGTAGGGTACATGGGAACTCTGTACTATCTCTGCAATTTTTCTGCAAATCTAAAACTATTCTAAAATAAAAAGTCTACCTAAAAAAAAAAAAGATACAAATTACAAATTAAAAAAAAAAAGAACAACAAAAATATCCCATAAACCTTTAACATTCAAATATATAATTCTTTTGTTAGTTTTTTCAATACACTTAGTTACAGGAAGCATTCATATCTTTATAAAAGGTTATTTTAGTCTTAGATCTGTAGGAACATTTGTAATCCTGTGATTTATTGGCACATTTCTTGTAAGAGAAGTCTAATGAAGAGCAACAGTCCCCAGTGGGCACTGCTGAGCTACTGGTGATAAGGTACAGAACCATTAAGTAAATCCTTTCTATATGAAACCACGCTGAATGGATCCAAGTGAATGGATACTGCCTTGTACTAATCTTTTCTTATGGAGATAAAAACCCACTTCCATCCAGGATGAATTTGTGGATTTAATTAAAAATAAACAGTAAAACTAAAGAGCAACTTGACATGCCAGAATAAGCACCTTACCAAGAATGATTTTAATCCAAGGTTTAACTTGCTTGAAATTACGCACAATTGTTTCTTGAAACTTCTACATGCTAATCATTAGCAGCTAATTTAACACTTAGCATTTCACCATTTGTCAGAAGTAACTTCCCATACCAATGTAAAACCACCTAGAGTGTCTGATTATCGCTCTGCGTGCCTGAATTTAACAGATCCCCAAAATCACCTTCCACTCTGTAGATTTATTATAAACATCAGTGACTTGGGGGGTGGTAGGTGTCATGGCTTTCCTCCAGCTATGGCTCAAAATGGTACTGTGAAATTACAGCAGTGTCTTCTTGAGGTGGCTGTATGTCCTCCAGCTTCACTTTCTTAGAAATGCCACTCACTACTTCTGATCCCAGTGTGACCAAGGCAACTGGACCAGGAAAACACACTTACCCTTGCTGAGCCAATCACATTCTTCCTCCCCTGGAATTACAAACAAGGGAATCTATCCCCACTGAAAGTAAAGACATGTAAACTCAGATCTGTGGAGTGGCCATCCTCCATGTGCAGTGAGAGAGAAGAGTGGCAGTGCCTTGCAGAAAGCAGCATCATGCAAGACCATATGCAAGAGCAAGCCGAATGCCTCACTTTCTCATCATCTGACCTCCTGGTATCCAGCTGTACTCTTGAATGTACAGTTCCAGGGGATAACCTATAGTCACCAATAAAGCTCCCCAGTTTTGCTGTAAAAGTCTGAGTGAGTTTCTCTTATGGGAACAATTGACAAGAAGTAGTCATGAGCCGTGCTCCTGTATTCCCAGCTACTCCAGAGGCAGAGGCAAGAGGTTCACTTGAGCTCTGGAGCTGGAGGTCACATAGCGAAATTCCACCTCTTAAAAAACAAAAAGAATTAGTTAAGAATACTGGCAGGCTCCGGCACACAGACTAGAGAGATAGGATTTCTTATCTGACCCTATTACTATAACATCGTGACCCCTGAAATGTTAACAGTAGACCCTCTTGTTCAACAATAAAGGGAGACAGCAAGGATAAACTATGATCCAAATGCAAAAAGCCTCACATCCACTCTTGTCCTACCTATACACTGTAGCTAGAACAAGAAAATTTGTTCACCATGTTGCATACATGTTCTCCTTGTCTACTCATCTGCATGATGTTATTTTCCCAGCTTGAAATGCATCCACTCCGATTATTATTATACTTATAGGTAACACAGTACCATGTAACCAGAGAACATTTTTTATGTTTTGTGACTTAATTCATTTCCCTTCTTGTCTAAACTCTTCTTTATACATCTGTCCCAGCTGTGCTCCAAATGTTCCTGGCTCCCTCTTTACTGATATTCCTTAGAGGCATTAAATCAACATTTCCAAAACTGAACTCCTCACCTTCTCTCCCAAACTACACCTTCTTCATTACTATTTAATCTTGGCATATGCCACCTTTAACAGCCCAGTTAGATGCCCAAGTCAAAACCCACATCTCATCTTGGCTCCTCCCCTTCTCTCTCTCCCAGCAGCATCCAATCAATTACTAAGTCTGTCTCACCTGCCTCTCAAATCTGATGACTAGTCTCCTTCCCCATTCTCACTCACCTGGCTCAGGCTATTTTTCCTGGATTACCCTGCTTCTTAACTGGCCTTTAAGTCTGGAGCTCTGAGCTCTGCCCCACCACAATTCATTCCCCACAATCACCTGATGGATCTTCCCAGAATGTCAGTCTCATACCCTCACTCACACAGGCAGTTCATCGCTTAAAACTCTTCAGATGCTCCATATTCTCCCAGGACAAAGGCCAAGCATCTTTAGGTGGCCAAGCCTCTACATGAACCTCTAGCCTCACTTCTTTCCTATCCCTTCTGTACTATAACCTATGCATCCTGGGTTTTCAGGCTGTTCAAATGGGCCATATTCTTTTGTCTACTGTCTGAAATACTCTTCATCCCCACTTCCCCACCTGCATCTGACCAATTCTTACAAACCTTTCAGCTCTCAGCTTAAACTCTTCCTCTGGAAGCCTTTTCCTACAGCCCTGTGTCCTCTTAGATGCTTCCACAGCTCCCATACTTGCCCACTGTAGCCGCTATTGGGTATAATACATTACATCTGCATTTCCCACTAGAAGACCAACTTCACAACGACGTGTCTCTCTTGTTCACCACAGTATTCCCAGCACCTATCTCACCACCTGGCACATAATAGAGCTCAATAACTACTGGTTGAAAAAAAATACATGACTCCACTTTTACATGCAATTCTGATGTTGCACCTCTGCATATGAGTCTCTCTCACTACCTCATTTTGGCAGAGGAACCAGGAACAACAGAGAGCCAGAAGGAAGAGATGTATGTTATCTACCCTGTTCTTAGCATAATCCTATCCCCTTCAAAAGCACATGCACATAGAAAGCAACTCAAGAATCTAAAGCAATCATAAGGTCTTAAGCTTTCTAAAATTTTAGAACTTCAGTGCTGAAATGACTTAGGTTTACTTACAACTGAGGAAATTAAGGTTCATGACTTATGAAATGACAGATAACTATCTTGTGATATAGCTGTTTCCCTCTACAAACTTCCCACATTAGTGTCCAAAAGGTCAGAAGATTTCAGCAAAAAAAGTTAATTGCACTATTAGAGTTAATTAACCATTAATCAGTTTAATGCAAAGAGGGTTTAGAATTTCAAAAACACTTTTTTTCTTTTTCCCCAGAACTACCTACTTAAAAAAACTATACTAGAGAGGAAAAGTGTGATTTAACATCTTAATTACAGGTTCACATTTGTACTGATAAGAGTCAGGATTTTAGATTTTAGTTTCATTTAAAAACAATAAAATTTTTCCATGTAGCAAAAACAAAAGAACACCGTTCTTGATCCCTTGTCATTTCAAAATGTGCTATGTATTAAAACCATACAGTTTTAATGTGAAATTTTCTCAGTGAGCATATATGTACTCTTTTTATAATGAGGAATAAATTAGTTACTTAAAAAAAACTCTGTAATGGATATTATGTTATAAAGGGAAATGGTTTATAAGGTATTATCATGAGTATAAAACAGGCTACAGAATGGTATGTGCAGTATTGCTTCCACTGGTTTAAAAATGCATTGGGGCTCTCCCTCTCCCCCTCCCCCTCCCTCTCCCCTCTCCCTTTGCACGGTCTCCCTCTGATGCCGAGCGGAGGCTGGACTGTACTGCCGCCATCTCGACTCACTGCAACCTCCCTGCCTGATTCTCCTGCCTCAGCCTGCCAAGTGCCTGGGATTGCAGGCGTGCGCCGCCACGCCTGACTGGTTTTCATATTTTTTGGTGCAGACGGGGTTTCGCCGTGCTGGCCGGGCTGGTCTCCAGCTCCTGACCGCGAGTGATCTGCCAGCCTCAGCCTCCCGAGGTGCCGGGATTGCAGACGGAGTCTCGCTCACTCAGTGCTCAATGTTGCCCAGGCTGGAGTGCAGTGGCGTGATCTCGGCTCGCTACAACCTCAACCTCCCAGCTGCCTGCCTTGGCCTCCCAAAGTGCCAAGTTTGCAGCCTCTGCCCGGCCGCCACCCCGTCTAGTAAGTGAGGAGCGTCTCTGCCTGGCCGCCCATCGTCTGGGATGTGAGGAGCCCCTCTGCCCGGCCGCCCAGTCTGGGAAGTGAGGAGTGTCTCTGTCTGGCCGCCCATCGTCTGGGATGTGAGGAGCCCCTCTGCCCAGCCGCCCAGTCTGGGAAGTGAGGAGCGCCTCTGCCCGGCTGCGACCCCATCTGGGAACTGAGGAGTGTCTCTGCCCCGCCGCCACCCCATCTGGGAGGTGAGGAGCATCTCTGACCAGCCGCCCCGTCTGAGAAGTGAGGAGCCTCTCTGCCCGGCAGCCGCCCTGTCAGGGAAGTGAGGAGCGTCTCCGCCCGGCAGCCGCCGCGTCCGGGAGGTAGGGGGGGCGCCTCTGCCCTGCCGCCCCGTCGGGGAAGTGAGGACCTCCTCTGCCCAGCCGCCACCCCGTCTGGGAGGTGTACCCAATAGCTCATTGAGAACAGGCCATGATGACGATGGCAGTTTTGTCGAACAGAAAAGGGGGAAATGTGGAGAAAAGAAAGAGAGATCAGATTGTTACTGTGTCTGTGTAGAAAGAAGTAGACATAGGAGACTCCATTTTGTTCTGTACTAAGAAAAATTCTTCTGCCTTGGGATGCTGTTAATCTATAACCTTACCCCCAACCCCGTGCTCTCTGAAACATGTACTGTGTCCACTAAGGGTTAAATGGATTAAGGGCGGTGCAAGATGTGCTTTGTTAAACAGATGCTTGAAGGCAGCATACTCGTTAAGAGTCATCACCACTCCCTAATCTCAAGTACCCAGGGACACAAACACTGCAGAAGGTGGCAGGGCCCTCTGCCTAGGAAAACCAGAGACCTTTGTTCACATGTTTATCTGCTGACCTTCCCTCCACTATTGTCCTATGACCCTGCCAAATCCCCCTCTCCGAGAAACACTCAAGAATGATCAATAAACACTAAAAAAAAAAAAAAAAAGAAAAATAAACTTGTTACATATTTAAAAAATGCATTGGGAAACAAATACAGGAAATATCAAAATACTAATATTGGTTGAATTAGATTAAGTGACAAAGTGACTTGCTAAGGTCATACGGTCAATGAGAAGTAGAGCTGGAATGTATTACAGTTCATTATTTTCTATCCCACCTTATATAAAAAGGTGCCAACTATTTGAATGCAAGGACTTTTTTGCTTATCTGTAGTGATGGATATCATAAAAATTATGCATGGATCTTTTTTTTGGTCCATGCTATCATTAGTGTTAGTGTATTTTATGCGTGGCCCAAGACAATTCTTCCAGTATGGCCCATGGAAGCCAAAGGGTTGGATACCATGGAACTGTTAAATTTCAGAGGGTCAGAACTATCACTGCTACTGATGGCAGCCCACCAGCAAAGAATGGGGCAACTTGTATATGTAGCTGAAATACCAATAAAAATAAGTTAGAATTGATTTATATTTTTAAAGTGCTACATTTAAAACAAAAATGAAAAACGTTCCTTTAATCCGGTCTAATAGGTATCATTCAATTTGAGTAAAACTGATTGTGCTCACAAACTGTGATGGGTCCAGACAGGTGCTTATTCACATAGACCTTAGCATTTTAGAGGGGAAAGAGATACACATCTAGATTCCTACAATATAAGGCAGGCATGAGAGGTGCCCAATGATCTCTCAACCAAGTGCTATGGGAACATCCATGAGAAAGACAGATGTTTCATTCATTCCTTTTCCTATAGGAAAATCTCTCTGAAGAAAGGGCTTTTATCTTTTTTCTTCCACATGGTATGGGTGGAGACAACTGGTTGCATAAGTGGCATATCTTGAAAAATATGAAATCTGGAACCAGAAGACCTGACCTATCTCTTATAAGACATATAACCTCAAACAAATCACTTTCTAAGGCTGCCAACCACAGAACATTTGCTGTAGTGAGCACCACACTCAAAACTTCCAGTGAAGCTTATAGTGAAGGGTGGTAGGGAGCGTTCTTTTCAGAAAAACAATTGGTAAAATCTGTAACTCAGAATGAGAGGCCAGGAGCTTCAGTTTCTCAGCTTTGCAAATATGCATTACAAGACACAGATATCATAGGGAAAAATAACATAGGGAAACCTAGTACGAAAGCAGAAGTAACAATAGATGTTGTTATAACTTCATCGATTCAATGTAAGAATGACTTTGCTACCTACGTTTCAATAGGTTTTTGCCAAAGCATATATCTGACTGTAAAAATGGAATGCTGTTTTTGTGCTAGTCAGAATTTAGCAATTACCTGGTATTTCAAACAAAACCTTACATAGTTTTTATTATTATAATCAAAAACATCAAACTAAACTAAGAAAAATACATGGCTCTTTTCAAACATAAAAATAAGGTGCTAGATTTCACTGATAAACTATATGTAGAAGAAATAAACCAGAAGGTAAAAGTGAGGAAAAAATTCCTTACGAAAATCATGGATCTACACTGCAGTAGAATTATTTAGACCTAAGAAGTTCACAGTAAAGAAAATACTAGAAAGCTCAATCATGTTGTGCTTGTAAAATTAAGAATAAAACTAGAAATTTTTATAAAAATTAGATAAACAAATGTTTTATTTCAAAAGAGAGAAAAAAATAGCTGGGCTACAGTTAAAATTTAACATACAAACTGAAAGCAACACGCCTGTTTAGGGAAAAGAAAGTTATGTTCAAATTGGTAAAGTTGAAAAAACAACTTTTGCAAAGTAATTTGAAGAGTTCCTGCTGGTTTCTCTCTCCTACCTCACTCCCCAATACATTATCCCATTTTTTAAAAGTACTATTAGCACAACAATTACAAAGAACCTAAGAATTTCACTTCATTTCCCACAACATAAAACCAAGAGAAAAAGTTTTTTCAGGGAAGGTCTGATAATCCCTACATCTACTTGGCAGCCTATATCTTTCTTCTTTAATGAAAAATAAACTTCTCTCTAGCTAATAAAGAATATCACAAAGAGAGAAACAGGCACTCACAGAAATGAGATCCTGGTACATACCTCAATATTCATTACATGTTTACAAAATCATCATTCCTAAAAAAAAGAAAAACCAAAACCCACACAAATAGACTATCCCCATTTAATTTTATTATGAAAATGAAAGTAACAACAGGAAATGGCAGCAGGGTATTTGATAAGCTCAATTAGCAGGAGGATCAAATGAAGTGATGACATGCCATTATGACCTCAGGGGTTAAACATTCAATTTTCCATCTGGCGAAATCTAGATTTCCAACACAAATGCTGACACCACCTGCTGTATGTTATTAGGCATTATCTTGAGCAATCCCTAAGCATTTTCTGTACAACAGGTATAGCCTCAAGTTTTTTCATATTTCATTCTGCAATATAATTGCTCCCCCATGAAGAGAAATAAAAAATAAATCCCATATAATGGCTCATTCAAAACAGACATTAAAATCCACACTAAAGCATTTATTTATCAATCATGGCGGTAGCAAAAATATCAAGACTATTTTTCTTCTAAGTCACAATTGACATTGTAGCTATCATTTTCTATAGCACCTAGGAGTCATTCCAATTAAGAGTTCCCTTTATAGGTTTTTTGTTTTGTTTTTTTTTTAATACAGACAGGGTCTCACTATGTTGCCCAGGCTGGTCTTGAACTCCTGAACTCAAGCGATCCTCCTGCCTCAGCCTCCCAAAGTGCTGGGATTACAGGCATGAACCAACATGCCTGGCCCATTTATAGATTCTTAATTAATAGCCTCTTGCTACTGAAATGGAATTTTGTCATGTCTAATAAGAATCAGATCTACAGAACTTCACGAAATAAAAATTCACTGCATTTTAAAATGTAATCGTTAATCTACTATGTTTCTTTGATTGACGCAATGGTAAACACTTTTAAAAATTTTTATATACCAAGTGCTGGAGCTCATTTGTGAGTGTTCAGACCCTTCCATACATGCATTATCAAGAATCATGCTATTAGGCTCTGCAGGTGGTAAGCCAGTGGCTAGCCAATAAATGCAGAGCTCTCATCTGGATTCAACTGATGCAGTTTGCATACTAAAATGTTTGCACACACAAACATGAATGCACATACATCTACACACACTCACACTCTACTGTAAGTGAAATACAGATACAAGTTCAGATACCCAGTCTTGAGATTTCATACTGGACAGTCAATAGCAAGGCAATCAATATCACAACTGTTTTAATACCTGTTTTCCAGGACATACCAATACCAATTTTTTCTAATAAAATTAACTTTTTACCATCTGTGTACCTCCTTCCCTAAGCAAATTCACCAAGCTCCCCATGTTAATCCAGTTGCTTTTTAGTGTTTGGTAGGTCTATGGGTTTCCTTCTCATTAAAACTTATTCCTGGCCAGGCACAGTGGCTCACACCTGTAATCCCAGCACTCTGGGAGGCCGAGGTGGGTGGATCACCTGAGGTCAGGAGTTCAAGACCAGCCTGGTCAATGTGGTGAAACCCCGTCTCTACTAAAAATAAAAAATTAGCTAGGCGTGGTGGCACACGCCTGTAATCCCAGCTACTCGGGAGGCAGAGGCACAAGAATCACTTGAACTTGGGAGACGGAGGTTGCAGTAGCTGAGATCACACCAATGCACTCCAGCCTGGGTGACAAGGGCAAACCTCCATCTCAAAAAAAAAAAAAAAAAAAAAAAAAAACACAACTTACTCCTCAGGTTATTTCGTTTTCTTCCTCCTGGGTAAATAGGTATTTCAGCAATGTGAACATCTAAAAATTCGTAAGTAACTCTATGAAAACTTACTTGACTTTCTGAATCCACACACAGTAGTCTGAGATGTAGAGATCATTCAGTATGTACGCTGGGTCATTTTCCTGAAAAATTTTGTGAATATCCAGGAGACACTTTAAAACTGCACTTTTACCTAAAGAAAATTGAAAAAACATAAAATTATCCTTAAGAAAAAGAAATTCAGACCCTGAGAGGTAATATATCTAAAGCAGCTCAGAATCCTGATCATTTCTTAAGAACATTTTTAAATGCAAAAAAATTTATGAGTCCTATTAGGTCCAAACCCCTTTACTGATTTCCTTAAGAATTACATACAATCTTTGGCCAGGCACAGTGGCTCACACCTGTAATTCCAGCACTTTGGGAGGCCGAGGCGGGCAGATCACGAGGTCAGGAGATCGAGACCATCCTGGCTAACACGGTGAAACCCTGTCTCTACTAAAAATACAAAAAATTAGCCAGGCGTGGTGACAGGCACCTATAGTCCCAGCTACTCGGGAGGCTGAGGCAGGAGAACGGCGTGAACTGGGGAGGTGGAGCTTGCCGTGAGCCAAGATCGCGCCACTGCACTCCAGCCTGGGCGACAGAGAAAGACTCCATCTCGAAAAAAAAAAAAAAAAAAGAATTACATATAATCTTTATATTCTGTTGTTACAGCTGACTAGTTGTGGTTATCATTAAAATGCTATGAAATACAACTAGGTCAATTAAATGAAAGGCAGGAAAGTTTTCTAAACCAAATGAATATCTAAATGCATCATAATTTTTATTAGATAATGTTCTTCCAATTCAAGCTTTCAACATAACATGGAAAACTGTATTCTAAATTTCAAACTTCTTTATTTCTTATGTCAACATTTTCTGTCAAGGAGTTATCTACTAATAACAAATTATTTTACCTTAAAGAATTGAAGAAAACTGAACACTAAAACATCATAGCACTACTTCAGAAATAAGCTGACAAAACTCACATGAACAAAAGCCATCAAGTATTAAAGCCTTGTTCAACCTAACTACTTCCTCCTGGTTTTTAAATGAACCTAGTTTTAACCCAACCAAAGTCTACAAAAGGAGCCTTTTACAACTCAGCAATTCCCTAGGTGTTCCAAACTTCATGATATTTCCTGAAATTTATTAATTATAAGGTGAACTATTAATTCTACATCTAGAGTAGTACCATTTTCTTTGATCTGTGAAATTCAGTATTTTCAGTTTAACAGTTTCATTCTTATCTTTACAGTTCTGAAACGCGGAAATACTGTATACTGAGTTCATGAAGATACTGGATGCACTTTCATTGACATTTCCCATTTAACTTTTAGATCATAAAAGAATCATGAGCTAGATGATGACATCTCAAGATCCTAAAATTGCTGACACTAAATTTTTTAACATAATTAACACTAGAAAGTAAGTTTCAAAAGAGCAGGGGCTTCTGTTTTATTTAGTGGTTAATCCCCAATACCTAGAACAGAACACCGCAACAGCAGGTTTTCCATTTAAGTGTTCTAAGAATGAATGAATACATGATAGACACAGTAATCACCCAGCTTAAACCTTGAAAATTTCTTTCATTCTACGGTCTCACCCGTCAAATCCTGATGATTTTTCCTTGGAGATGCTCCTTGTATCTGCCCTTTCTATGCCATTGCCTGAGCTCCTATGTTCACTCATATTCTCATCTCATGCCTCGATTTTAAGAATCCTCTTTCCCATCTTTCAGATTCCAGACTCTACCCCTTCAAACACACATTTTTTAATGCACTGCTTTCATGGAGTCTCTTCCCTGCATATGTTCTCAATGCTCTTTCTACAGACTTGTTTCCATGCCTTTTTCCCTTCTCCATGTGACCTAGCCCACTATCAAGGTCTAGCTCCAGTCTTCATTCCTTCGGGAAGTTCTGGGCTGACTTTCCTAGTCTTCACGGTCCTTTACTATAATGCTGCCAAGAAGTGGAAAGGAAACTCAAAATGGGGAAAGTCCTCCCCATAACCTCTCCTGTTCAATTCCCAGAAGGAAAACTGGAGGCTTCAGGATGGGTAAGATACAGGGCCACTGAGTTGAGGGACCAAGATCTAAATTCCAATCTTAATGGCTCCAGAGGCTACCCACTGTGCCATGCTACCTGTATGTTCTTGCCTCATCCAGTCTATATCACAACGTTTTTATTACTCAAGGACTTATTACTGACTTTAACCCCTAAGTAGGTAGTAAGTCTGAAAACAGAGTCCATACCTTTTTAAAAAATATTAACTTTGTGGCTTCCTCATATGCAGATACAATAAAGAATGAATGAAGAATGTCAATGAAAGCTCCACTGCTAGACTGACTGTGAAGAGAAACTAACACTTAGAAGGCCTAAAGCTACAAGATGTCAAGTTCATTTGGTTAAGGCAAGGTCAGTGCTATGGCTTATCAAAGTGGCACAGGTTAACTATGTCAAATGATTAGTGTGGATCACCCCAGCACAAGCCTATTTTAATTACAAACTAGGTAATGTTGAGAGCAGGGTTTGATGAAAGGAGGAGGAAATATAATCAAAATTTGCAGGCATGATGAAACCATGTTTGCCACACTAGCCATGTTACCCAAAGAATCAAGGAACAACTGACCTGTAAGAATGTTTTGAAGTTTTAATTGCCACAGAGAAGACAAATGTCACAGTAAGCATAGGCCAACTAATTTCTTTCTTGCTTTCCTTCTCTCTCTCTTTTTAGAGGAAGGAGGGTGCAGAGGGAAGGAGTTAGTTTTAGAACTACTAAAAGTTTTAAATGTCAATCGTAAGTCTTTACTGGAAAAACGAACTATTCTCTTGTAACTTGAATAAGCTTCTCTGCTGTGTGACACCTCCAGAATACTCTCTCTCAAGATCCCACACTTTACTAATATAAACAGGTTAACAGAAAATGCAGGATTGGGGCTAGGCGTGGTGGCTCACGCCTGTAATCCCAGCACTTTGGGAGGCCAAGGCAGGCGGATTACGAGGTCAGAAGTTCGAGACCAGCTTGGCCAGCATGGTGAAACCCCATCTCTACTAAAAATACAAAAATGAGCCAGGCGTGGTAGTGCACGCCTGTAGTCCCAGCTACTCGGGAGGCTGAGGCAGGAGAATCACTGGACCCGGGGAGGCAGAGGTTGCAGTGAGCCAAGATTGCGCCACTCACTCCAGTCTAGGTGACAGAGTGAGACTCCATCTCAAAAAAAAAAAAAAAAAAAAAAAGAAAGAGAAAAAGAAAATGCAGGATTTGGAGAAAACCATTTGGCTAGAGCAAAGAGTTCATGTAAGGAAAAAAAGGAGAATAAGCAGATGAGTTTGGTAGAAATCAGACACTAACAAGGAGGAAGAGAAGAATGCACTTGGACAGACTGAGTGAGAACGTCTCTAAACTTAGGTGTGGGCAGTAGGAATAAAGGACCCTACTCCCGAGATCATAATGTAAAAAGGTATGGAGTTAAGGTCACATATTTAATGAGGATCCACAGCAGCCATTACCTGATAAAATTATACACAGCTTCACTTACCAGACATGCCTAAAGTGAGGCTGCCCTCTTGCTAAAGGCCACAGGCAAATTTAAATCTTCCAGCTATCACAAAAAAAATAAGAATAACAATGAAAAGAAATGTCAAATAACAGGCAGGGCATGGTGGCTCATGCCTCTAATCCCAGCACTTTGGAAAGCCGAGGTGGGCAGATCACCTGAGGTCAGGAGTCCGAGACCAGCCTGGTCAACATGGTGAAACCCCATCTCTACAACAATAAAAAAATTAGTCGGGCATGGTGGCATACGTCTGTAATCCCTGCTACTCGGGAGGCTGAGGCAGGAGAATCGCTTGAACCCAGGAGGTGGACGTTGCAGTGAGCAGAGATCACACCACTGCACTCCAGCCTGAGCAACAGAGTGAGACTCTGTCTCAAAAACAAAAGAAATGTCAAATAACAAAAAATAAGAAATGTCAAAATATTTTTTTAATTTAAAGAGAAGAAATTACATTGTATTTGCATGTTCTGATCCCTATTTTCTTAAAAAAAAAAAAAAAAAAAAAGACTAATACTCATTTAAAAAATGCTGGGCCAGGCACAGTGGCTCATGCTTGTAATCCCAGCACTCTGGGAGGCCGAGGCGGGCAGATCACCTGAAGTCAGGAGTTCAAGACCAGCCTGGCCAACATGGTGAAACCCTGTCTCTACTAAAAATACAAAAATTAGCCGGGCATGATAGCAGGTGCCTGTAGCCCCAGCTACTTGGGAGGCTGAGGCGAGAGAATCACTTAAACCCAGGAGGCGGAGGCTGCAGTGAGCTAAGATCACGCCATTGCACTCAAGCCTGCACGACTTGAGAGCGAGACTCCATCTCAAAAAATAAATAAATAAAATAAAAAATAAAAAAACCTAGACATATATACCCAAATGATATTAACAGTATCTGTCTCTACATCCACTGAGCAAATATGTGAGAGCCCATCATGCACCTGGCATTGTTCTACATGTGGGAGTACAGTTGTTTATTCTTTTCTATACTTTCCTCTATTTTCAAAATTGTCCACAAGAAACATTATTTGTTTAACAAAAATTAAGACATGTTCAACTACACAGCCAAACCCTGAAAAATTGACAAATGAAGGTTACAAATTTGAATTCACATTTTAAATTATATTTTTAAACAACTGAGAAGCAATATTTAGATTAATATTTAAAAATTATATTGCAAGGCAGTTTTGAAAGGGAAAGTTACATGCTCTCTTCACAAGCTGTGTTTTAACTGTAAGCCTTAAACTACTTTCATAGTATGTGATGTGACAAATATGGTAAAGATAACCAGGCTACTTGCAGTTGACAATCTAGAATAAAAAGTACATGAAAACTATTCTCCTCCCAACAATATGCATTGTTACTCTGAGGTCGTACTTGATCTCTTTTGTTCCGACTATGTCACCGTAGATGACTACAGCATCACAGCCAGGAGACTCACCAAGCATGTGGCTGGGCTTTTTTTTTCAGTCTCTTTTGTACTGACTGCTCTTTCTATCAGACCCTCAGCCACTTATCTAGCAGCTATGAGCAAAGGAAAAATCTGGCCCTCTTCCAGGCTGTCACATGGCCGGTGGCCAGAAGCCTATGGGGACTCAAAGTACACGGTTCCTGTGGGGATCTATCCAGTCGTGGGCTCATCATACACGATATGGGCATAAAAAAATGCTAAGGCCTAAGTCCAAGATAATCATTTCTGCTCAAAGGCACTGCAGGAAAGTGACCATTTTTAGGCAGTTCACTGCCTGGTTCAAAGCAGAAAAAAAAAACAGTGCCTTGCACAGTAACCACGGTAACTATTTGCACCACAAAATGGCACTAACAGCTCTCTCCAGGACGTTAAATCCCAAGAGTTAGGGATTCTCTAGGATGGACTTGGCTGAGTAAGCCAACCCTATCCATGGAAGAATGACTCGAAGACCAAGAACTCTTGTTCACTCATGAAAGCAGTTTAACACTGTATCCTGGTATTACAAATGACAAGTGCCATGAATGTTTTACTTCGGGGAAAGACTAATGACAACACAGAGAAACGTAATGACAAGATAAAGAAAATATGGATGACAGTAATAAGTAGGTGGGTAGTAAATAGGATTTAACATATTCCCCAGCTTTCCTTTAAAGGGAAGGTAAACTAAGAACAATGTGATTTCCTGTCTGGACAGAAGTGGCATCTCAGGTTAATACATCTTAATACAAAGACAAGATTGAGCTGTTTTAAATAGAATCCCTTGGCTTCCTGAAATCCTCCTATTAGTAGAGCAGGGTTGGGAATAATCTTTCACTGACAGACCAGCTCATGGCTGGAGGCACTTAAGAAATGGTTTCCATCTCTAGGAGATGATCAGGGTAGTGGATGTTTTTGCTGGCTAAAAGCCAGCATCGGAAAAACAATGTAAGTTGCTAATTCTATACAATAAGAGCTAAATTTCTTTTCAACTGCTGGTACATTACAGCTATGTGGCTGTGGTTTTCTGGGTATCTATTCTGCCCTTTGAAGTTTTGAGTTACCCAAGACAAGAAGCCAATTGCTTCTTGGCCTTCTGGCTAAGATCAAATGTCATATCTGTCCTTATCAAGACAAGAGGCCAAAATAAGTAAAGGGACCAGGCCTGGTGGCTCACACCTATAATCCCAACACTATAGGAGGCGCCAATACAGGAGGATCACTTGAACCTGGGAGTCTGAGACCGGGCAACACAGTGGGACTCCATCTCTACAAAAAAAAAAATAATAATAATTTTAAAACAATAAGTAAAGAAAAAAAGAGTGGTTATTCAAAACACCTGAGGGAAAGCACTGCTTGGTCTTTATTTGTAAAATCATCTGAAAATAACAGCCAACATTACTATCATTTAAAATACAAAACTTAGTATAATAGATACCTGGCTAGAAAATGGCTAGAATTCTGGGATTCTGATGAGACCATATTATCAAAACAGATATGAAGTATTTTAACACTAATTTTCATATGTCATTTGACCATAAAAAGAGAGAAGGAAGAAAAATTCTGTCAAATTAATCTAAATTAAGAGAACCAAAGTGGGGTAATTTGCTTTAATACCAGGCCCTATCGGGAAGTAGAATAAAGTCAAATCCCTAGCAATTAACACAAACACGCACATTAAATTTAGCATTAAGAAGGCTTCTAGGTCTATGTGATTTTTTTATCCTCAAATTTCTCAGATGCCATTTAAGCTTCAATTTTTGACTTATATTAAGAAACACACCCTTGAAGCAATGAATTACTATTTTGAGCACAAACTTATAGTCCTATCCATTTAAAAAGTATTGTTATTAAAATTACATATATTATCTGTATACTCGCAAACAAAATTAACATGAAGCAAACATGTACTTTTTATATGTCCCCTTTGCCTGGAATGTACAACCCTCAATTCAACTCATGTACAACCCTCAATTCAACTCATAATTTACCATCTATCCAAGTCTCAAATCAGGCATTACTTTTTCTGGAAACAGGGTTCTAACTCTTCCCCCAGCTGGTTTAAGGTTCCCTCATATACCTGACATACCCCTCTATTACAGTAGTGCTACCATTTGAATGCACCCCACAAAAAGCATCTGTTGGAAAGTTAATCCCCAATGCAACAGTGTTGGAAGATGGGGCCTAATGAGAGGTATTTAGGTCATGAGGGCTCTACCCTCATGAATGTTAACGACAATTAGGACTTCAAGCTGCCAGTTCAACCTCTTGCCTGCCTTCTCACCATGTGATACCCTCTGCCACGTTCTGATACAGCAAGAAGGCCCTCACCAGCCCCTTGATCTTGGATTTCACAGCCTCCAGAACCATGAGCCAATAATTTATGTTCTTTATAAACTACCCAGTCTGTGGTATTCTGTTACAGCAGCACGAAACAGACGTTAAGTAATTAGGAGCTACCCACTTGCTCTGCACCAGATACTTCATATAATTACATGATTTAACCCTACGAGTTAGGTACTTTCTTCCTTGTTTCATAAATGAGAAAACTGAGGCTCAAGGATATGAAGCAGTTGGCCAAGATCACAGCTAGGAAGCAAGAATCAGAACTGGAAATAAGTTGTCTGACCCTCAACCACTATGCAATAAATCCACTGTCAGTATTTATCACCATGTGTGATGAAGTCCTTGACAGGAAAGGACATGACTTTTCATCTTTCTTCCTTGGCCTAGAACAATGTCCAGCAAATTGTATGATCCTGTTTAATAAACGCTGGTTGTTAATCCAGTCTGGAGTACAAAGAATCTAACTTTAAACACACCTAGTCAAATTGCTCAGTTAGCATGTACTAGTTATAACATCTCTGTGGTCTACAGATTTAAAGTTATTTGCATCATGACAAATGTGGCATATACAATTTGTTTACTCCTTCCCTAATTATATATTTCCCTGACAAGAAAAGAATGTAGCTGTACAAACTTTATTACATCACTGTACCACCATAAGTTCAAATAATAAATTTAACCCAAGGCTGCTTTTTGCCTTTTCTGCTCTAACAATCCCTGCAAGATGTGCCAGTTTGAAAGGACAGCCTTGACATTAACTCTGTCCTCTTTCTTAAGTAACTTGTCAAAACAGTGATTGTTTCAGTTTAGAAATACATGACCAGATGTCATCAAAACTACATAATGGTAACATGACTAATTTCAATTTCTTCAGACAACTAAGAATGAGGCATCCAAGTTCAAGGTAGAACATTAAAAAAAAAAATCTCTGTCTACACAGTAAGGAGAAAAGTAGATTAAGAAGCTGAAGATGCATGGAAAAAAGCTCTTTGAAACAGCTGCAACCTAAACCTGAACTTTTAAAAAACCCATAGGCATAGAAAACTTCAAAATTTTGTGGGTAAAATTTTTATTCAATTTTTCCATCTTAAGAATTACAGTATGTATTTCAATGCCCTTTGTGGTTTTAATTAAAACAATTACACTTCATTTTTTTCCAACAGATACCACTTAATAGAGTTCTAATTCTTTGAAATTAGTTTTATTTCAAAATGAAAAAAACTAAAATTGCATGAGGTTGGAAAGAAGAAATAGGAGTATATAGGAAGAAAGACAACTGGATATCTCAAATGGCTCATAAAAGGAAAAAACAAACCTAAACCTAATCCTACCACTGATGAATTTATTTTGGTGATCTCAAGTACTGATAAGTATGTCAAGGTAAAAAAGGAGAAAAACCAAACCATTTTGAAACCCTCACTGTGTTTCAGTGAATATGTTTGCTTTCTGCTAAATGGTCTGCACACTGGTAGAACTGAGCTATGCTTCTTTATATTTTAATCAATGGATAATAAATATAATTTAGTAAAGCTGATTAGATATTTATCTCTACATATAAGTTTAATTTATATGAAAAGGATGCATGAAAATTTTGACTATGAAATTAAGATCTTAGAACTGTGTTCCCCAATTCTAAAAAGCCAAGGAAAGATCATTAAAAAGCTACACATAAATAATCTTATGCAGTTCTTAGCTAATTTCTCACGAAGTAAAAATGGTAACAATCCCAACAGTTCCACTGTGGACCAGCTGTGCAGCCCAGAGTTTGCTTTGCTTCTGGTACCACTTCTTAACCGTTCGGTACTTAATCTGAATCTGTTTCCACAGGGATAAATTGGAAGAAAAATTCTTAAGAATTGCTATGGAAATTAAATGAGACAACAAACATGTAAGTACTTTACATATGAAAAGGGAAGGAGGACAACGGGTAGTATGGATCAGCCCTGGCACTCCCATTACTGGTCCCTGCCCCACTACCTGTGAAGCACCTGCCCACATATTCCTTCCTCCTCGGTGCCGTGGCTAGCACTCTAGTTCAGACCATACTGTCTGTCCCCAGACTTCCTTGGGTCTAGGCAAGAATAGGTCTCCTCTCTTCTCCATGCCCACTAACCTCACCCTTCTCAATGACTCTATCCTAAGTGCTGCTGCCAGATGAATCTAATTTCATAAGCCTCTCACCGGCTCCAATGCCAAACTCTTCAGTGGTTCCTCCCTGAATAAGACCCAAACTCATCAGCAAGCCATTGCAGGCTCCTTTCAGCCCGGTCCCAGCACACTGTTTCTACCTTTATCCTACCATTCCCCTTCACACCTCTGGCCTCCAGACAGATGGGAATTTGCCCTTTCTTGGACATGGAACTCTTTTATATTCCTTTTTCTGATTTTTTTGCCTTCTACTTTCTCAGGGAATACCGCTCCTCCACATCTTCTTTTCTAAATCCTACACATTCTTTAGTAACTACCATTATATATCACTCATTAGGTCTATGCTGTTTGCTCCTTCCCTATTAATCCCTCCTCCCACTACTAACAAGCACTCTATCAGGGTCAGAGTGAGGTGTGGTACTGGAGGTACTGAAATCCTATCACTCATCTC
Source organism: Homo sapiens (assembly GCF_000001405.40). Lineage (NCBI taxonomy): Eukaryota > Metazoa > Chordata > Mammalia > Primates > Hominidae > Homo > Homo sapiens. Next base: position 72,802,827 of record NC_000003.12, read on the forward strand.
CTCCACCCTGACCAGGCTCTGGCTGACAAGAGTAACAATACAAAGTAGTCAAAAGAGAGGCAGGGGATCCACTTTTTTAAAAAAGCTTTCTGGTATTAACTACATTAGACAATGCGGGACATCTCTTACCTCCTTTGCCTGCCCCAATCTTAGAACCTGTATCAGGTTGAGACTCAGTCTCAAGCTAGGACTGAAGGAGCAAAGACCTGGTGCAAGCCTTCACTGCAGCTAAAACTGGCAGGTCCAAGAGGGTATGAGAAAGACACGCTGGCACTTAGCTTGCTTTAGAGCAGAGACTGAAAACTGGGGGCCTCCCAGGCTGACCTGGGCTCTCAGACATGCTATGGCTCTTACAGTGTGATTTTACATTACTTTACTTCTTTGTTCATACTTAAGCTTTAAAAAAATTTTAAAGATCATTTTACTTTCTACTTCTTTTTAAAACTGGCAATACTATATATTCACACAGCAACAGTAGGCTACAGTCGAGCCATGTATCTCTTCAGTTCACACAGGCCTCATTAGTCTCTATTTCCTTAAACCCTAGCATCCTTATTCATTTACCTGCTTGGCGAAGTAGGCATCTCAGTTTGCTTCTCCTAATGTACAGAAGCCTACTCTAATGTGAGCCAACTATATCAGCTAAGTCTCACCTTGTGGGAAGGCGAGAGAAAATAGCTGAAATGATCTACTTCAATGCTGGCCACTATTTGGAATGGCAAGCAGCCAAAGACCTCGGCTCCCTACAAAAGGGCTCCCCTCCAACCTCCATGTACATACCTAAGGCAGAGGTGGTAAATTTTCTCTGTAAAGAGATAGAAAGTAAATATTTTGGCTTTGCAGGACAATCTCTGATGCACTTACTCAATTCTGTCATCTTACCGCAAAAGCAGCCATAGACAATATGTAAGTGAATGAGCCTGTGTTTCAATAAAACTTTATTTATGGACTCTAAAATGAGAATTTCAAATAATTTTCCCAAGTAACAAAATATTATTTTTTTTCAACGATTTAAAAATGTAAAAAGCATTGTTAGCTCAAGGGCAATACAAGATGGATTTGGCCTGTGGATGGCCATTAAGGTAATTTCTTTTTTCTTTTCTTGTTAGAGACAAGGTCTTACCCTGTCACCCAAGCTGCAGCGCAGTGGCATGATCATAGCTCACTGTAACCTCGAACTCCTGGGCTCAAGCAATCCTCCTGCCTCGGGATCCCAAGTAGTTAGGACTATAGGCACACACAACTACGCCCTGCTAATTTAAAAAACATTTTTTTTTTCTAGAAACAAGGTCTCACTATGTTGCCCAGGCTGGTCTCAAACTCCTGGCTTCAAGAGATCTTCCCACTTTTACCTCCCAAAGTGCTGAGTTTACAGGCATGAGCCACCATACCTGTCCATTAAGGTATGTTTTTAAGGGAGTCTCCCCTTTGTATCTTATATTATAAACACTTATATTTTGTTTTTGTTTTGAACTTTTAAGTTCAGAGGTATGTGTGTCATGGTGGTTTACTGCACAGATCATCCCATCACCCAGGTATTAAGCCCAGTATCCACTAGCTGTTCTTCCTGATCCTCTCCCTCCTCCGGCACCACCCCCCCACCCCGCCACCCTCCGAAAGGCCCCAATGGGTGTTGTTGCCCGTGTCCATGTGTTCTCATCATAAATACTTACATTTTGTACCTTATCTTTTGACCTATCATTCCTATTACACAATAAACTCCCTAAGAGCTAAGACCAAGTCATAAATATCCTTGTAACTCTTCACCAATTCTGTTATACTCCCTTGCACGGAGAATAGATTTGATTCATGTCTGCTGAATAAATAAATATCTGCCACTTGTTATTTTCCAACATTAACTTCTTACTTAAAGAAACTTTAAGTTGGGATATGGTGGCTCACACCTGTCAACCAGCACTTTGGGAGGCTGAGGCAGGAGGATAGCTTGAGCCCAAGAGTTTGAAGTTGCAATGAGCCATGATTATGCCATACTGTACCCCAGGCTGAGTGACAGAGTGAGACCTTGTCCCTAAAAAATAAATGAAACTCTAAATTACCTAAATATATACATAATCAGGTGTTGCTTAATGATTTGGATATGTTCTGAGAAATGCGTCATTAGGTAATTCTGTCATGTGAACGTCACAGAATGTACTTACACAAACCTAGATGGTAGAGTCCACTACACACCTAGGCTATGGTATAGCCAGTATAGCATATGACTGTCCTGAATGCTGTAAGCAATTGTAACACAATGCTAAGTATTTTTGTATCTAAACATATCTAAGCATAGAAAAGATACAGTATACTTCAGCTCTTTTCTGATTAAAAGAAAAACAAAAAAAAATTAATAAGAAAATAAAGACACAGTAATATCACAGTATTACAATGTTATGGGACCACTGTTGTACATGTGGTCCATCACTGACTGAAAGTCGTTATGTGGTACATAATTGTAATTCTTACATGTATTCCTGGTAAAACATAAAGTATTATTCAATTCACTTCATCAAGGCCTCAGTATTAATATACAATAGGACTTTGATTCACTAGGGTCAAATAGAAGGTTTTCTCTTTGTTCCCCCAAAGTTGTCTTAAATACATACAATTTTCTGCTGCTATTTTCTTATAGAAAGTTACTTCCATAAAAATTCAGATCCATAAAAATAATCTCAAAACTGACTTTAAATTTATTTAAAGAGGCACTAATTATAGAAGTTTTTTTTAAGCCATACATTCAAACCATGTAACTAAGTTCTAGGGATTTCTACACTGCTCAGCTCAGAAACTGCTGAAATTAACAAAAATAAATAGTACAGAAAATATAGTGTAGATTTAAATTGTATGTAATATTTAAGAGGTCAGCTGACTTGAAGCCATCACCCATCAGTAAGCATTTCTATATAACTCCAGTTTTCAAAGAATACTAACATTTTAAAATATTTTAAGTGATATTTTTGAAGCCAAATAACCACAAGCTATTCATCATTTGTGGCAATTAAAAGGCAATTTATTATTTGTAAGCCATATGGGAAATGCTTCCCTCTATGGTGTATTTTAAGAGAACCAAGAATGTTTTATACAAATGTAACCCAGAAATTACCATGAGAGCAATCTAAACATTTTCGGTGATTAACAATATTTAGAAGTATTAGGGGGAAAGAGATTCTATGGAGATGACTAGAACTTGATATTCTTTCCTTTAATGTTTACGTTTATATATAATATCCTTCTATACAGAGTTATAAGTATAAACCCGCAAATGCTCTGAGGTTAAATAATACATATGAATGGGAAGAATGTACTAATTTAGGAGACTGGGAACATAGACTTGTACTCCAAGGAAGAGACAAGAGTAAAAAGAATTCACTTTGCCTCATGGAAGGAGAATCCGGAGTTCTCCCTTTCAAACATTCAGCAGCAGTTCATGATTTCCAGGAGTTAACTCCTGCTGTACTCTGAAGTTCTCTCCTTTCTTCGATAAGTTGGTATGTAAAATGGTCAGCAAAAACAGGTACAAATGCTACTTCAGTATCTGACTTTAATTCCATGCTAGTTTCTGAGAGCACTATGATTGTTCTATTCTTAGAAACATTAACTGGTATGGGGAATTAAGCCAGAAAAAAAAAGTTCAAGAACAATTTAGAATAGGAGGAAGAAAACACAAGGAATTACAATCTCCCGGGTGAGGAGCAGGGAATTAAGCAATAATATTTAAAAAGTAGAGACATAAATTCCAGTGACCAGTTAACTCAGATAGGAAAGAAACTATCAACTAGTTTTAGAGGCTGTAGAGCAAATCTCAGCATCAGATAGCATATCGATTTTCCATCATCTAATTCCAACAAACACATTTTCATAGCAGAAACTACACTATCCCATGAACCTCCTCACATGGTTTACTCACAATGTTTACAACATTCCCTCCATCCTTCAAGTCCCAATTCAAATCTCACAGCCTCTATGAAAATTTCCCTGACCCCTAGTGAAATGTGTCGTCTCTCTCTTTTTTGAACTACTTAATCCACATTTCTTGTAAGGCACTTACCACGGCTGACTATATATTTTATGTTACTGATGGACATCTTAGCTCCCTAGGTAGTGAACACGCTCCCCGGCTAGTGAACACGTCCCCAAATACAGCCCACACATCTAAATTATTTTTCTAGTGCTCTTTATATTTACAGGGTGCTTTGTATGGACTGGCTCCTGAGTAGGCATACATTCAAAATATGTGTTGAACAAATCAATGAATAAATGAACTCATCAAGCAATTAACAAGTACTTGAGGGTGTTAGGAAACTAGTAGGAGCTGAGAATTAGAGGTCAAATAAGGCAGAGGCTCCCACAGTAGGAAGTTACATGTCTTCAGTGACTTAAATGTAGGTCAGTTTCCCTGGCTTATATTTTCACTCTCCATATTTCTCTTTTGAGCTACTTATTACAAATGCAATTTTTCAAAAACCCTGGTAGTTGTGTAATTCTGTGCCCTGTGCCCCCATTAGAACTATTATATCTTCAGGATCCAGCTCAGCAGCCTCACATGGCAGGTTCTCAACAAATACTTGTTGAATAAATCTCAAAATAGTTTCATACAATGTATTTAAAGAGTAAAAATTAAAAGGCCTAACAATTCTTTAAAATGTCCAGAACTGGGAACTTACAGAAGTTAAATATAGATAAATGTCAACACTGGAAAATGGCAGTGATTTCATCTTTTAGTTTTCGAGTTTGCAATATCTCCTCTACAATTCAATTTTTTTAAAAGTCATTTGCTAAACTGACTCTGGAATAAATAAAATGTAAATATTAAAAAGAAATTCACCTTTAAAGTCTCCTCCAAACTTGGAGCTCATACAATACACTTGCCAAACCTCAATGTTTTAAACATCCATTATTCTTTTAAAAAATTGATCAGTCACAAGCCCTGTGCTTGGTACCATAGCTCTTCTTTCCTTTCTCATTGATTGTGTTATTTTATCTATGGAAGAGGTTAGTAAAGCAGTAATTTCTGAAAATTTGTTTATTGAGCCCAATTAATAATTGATAAGTAAGGGCTATTAATTACCTGAAGTAATACCTGGTTTTAATTGGGGACAACAACTAAACTCCTGAAGGCTGTTTCTTGGGTTACTACCTGCTAGGTAGCTACTATTCATCAGACTTCACATGTTATTAGAAAGTAGGTTTCTATTAACCTTAAAAACAAAACAGCAAATAGAAAGAACAATTGTATACGTTTTTCTTAGCCAAAAAAATTTAGAAAACTGTCCAAATATTAATAGAAATCATGTTTTCCACAAAATGGTGGATAAATTCAAATTTGAAACTTGGTAGTATGGTGGTTAAGAGTCCAGACTTAAGGAAAAAAAAAGACTTTGTCTAAAGGAAAATCACAACATGTACAAAAATAGGGAAGACAGTATCATGAATCCCACATACTCATCACCCAGGCAGCAATCAACTTGTAGCCAACCTTGTTTCAGCTACACCCCACCCACTTTCCCACAACCCACTCTGGACTATTTTGAAGCAAATTCCAGGCTTCATATAATTTCATTTATAACTATTTCAATATATGTAAGTGCACAGACTCTAAGTTACACAGATCTGGAGTCAAATCTAGGCTCTCCCACCTACTAGCTGTAAGACCCTGGGCCACTGACTTCACTTCTTTGAGCCTGTCTTCTATTTGCAAAATGGGGATAGTAATGCCTGCTTCACAGGACTGCAATATGAGCAAAATGAGATATGGTATCTAAAGAACTGAACCTAGCGCTGGCACACAGAAGGTAGCTAACACACGCAGCTGTGGTTATTATTAACAAACTAGCCAAACCAGAGCTACCTCTATTTAAATTATGGGGTGTCCGAACAAACGAGCCTCTTCAGTGGCAATAATGGCATCCCTGTGCCATCCACCTGTATGTATTATTAACACATCAGGACAGAACTCTGACTCTTTTCTAATGAGGCTCACAAAGAAAATAACTGGTATCAAGTATCCCTTTATTTTAAAGAGATGCTAACCTCTCTATGCTGAACTTGTAGAGAGAGAAACTAAAAATGATTTGTAATTCATTCACTGAATATTCACCTTCAGGAGCTTAAGAGTAAAGAGGTCCAGAAAAAATGTCCATGGATAAAGGTGGTGTGGGTGCAGGAAGGAGGTGCTTTTCTGTTACCTTAAACCAAGAGAAAGGGGGTTTTAAGAGGCCCTAAGAGAGTACAACCTGCTTACCCTGGAAATTTTAACCGTAGATACCAACTGGAGAGTACAAAGATTGGTGTCTGGCTTCCATTAAGAAGCAGGACAGAGCAACATGGGGTGGCCAAGTGGAGGTAAGTGGTATGTCCTGCCAAAGTGAAAGGGGTCCTCCTCCCTGCCGCTGGTCACCCACCCTCAGGCAGGTCCCAGCTGGGGAAGGGAAGAATTTCTTTTGTAATGAAGTTCAAAGTGGACATTTTAAGCACTGAAATTAGACTCCTCTTGTGACTAGAAGTGGTAAAAGAACTTTTTTAAAATCTAAAGTGATAGAAAAAGTTATAGGATATATATTATAGGAGACAAATATATGATATGATATATATAGGATATATATTCCATCCAAGAAGAAGGAAAAAAAAAGAACCCACAGAATGAGCTCAAAGGCGGAAGTGAAAGCAAAAATTAAGTTGATGTTTCTCTTCCATCCCATCCCATCCTACCCTTCTAATGGAAGTAAAGTAAGGAATACCTTCTATACATTAATAAGATGTAGACAATACACTCACTAAATTACATAAATAACGTATGATCAAGTATTAAACTATGACTTGTCACTTCTAAAATGAATAACTCTTCTGAGTGGGCCAGGTGCGGTGGCTCACACCTGTAATCCCAGCACTTTGGGAAGCCAAGGCAGGCAGATCACTTGAGGCCAGGAGTTCCAGACCAGCCTGGTCAACACGGCAAAACCCCGCCTCTCCTAAACATACAAATATTAGCCAGGCGTGGTGGTGCATGTCTGTAATCCCAGCTACTTGGGAGGCTGGGGCATGAGAATTTCTTGAACCCAGGAAGCGGAGGTTGCAGTGAGTCAAGATCGCGCCACTGTACTCCAGCCTTGGGCAACAGAGCAAAATTCTGTCCAAAGGAAAAAAAAAAAAAAAGAATAACTCTTCTGAAGATACATTAGAAAATCTGCTTTTTCTCTTTTACTTTTATTTTTAATTGACTAACAGCAACTAAGTGATGCTCCCATGAAAAACTTTACCCATTCTTCCAAAAAGAATGGAACAGAGGCAATAAAAGTTGAAGAGACAGAGACAGGGGAAAAAAAAGGAGTCATGTGCCCCAAGATGACTGATCCAAGGAGAGCAAGGTCCTTTGTTAAGCACTAAAACAGTACTTAAGGGGCAAAGCAGGATTTCCTGCCCTTAAAGAGTTTGGATTAAACAGAACAGCAACCTCCAGAGATAAACATACAGTCTTCTGGAGGAGGGGAGGGAATGAGAAGAAATGCAAACCTGAAAAGAGCCAAAGGCCTAGTAAAGAATCCTTGTAAAGGCTACTGTGAAGTCACATGAGGCAAATTCCTGGCTCTTTGAAAACTCAGATCTTAGTCAATCAGTTATAATGAAATATTCTGTAGTTTCTGAAGCATTCCTACATTGGTTTTGAAAGCTCATTCCATTTAAGATCAATCCTTCTTTGGAGCCAGGGTTATTCATTACTTTCAACTATGGAACACTATACTGACCTTTATAATAAAAAGTGTGAACACTGACTGCATTTTGAATTATAAGTAGGCATGAATTCATTCTTGGAAAACACTAAATGCCAAACCAGAGCTACCTTTATTTAAATTATGGGGTGTTCAAACAAATGAGCCTCTTCAGCGGCAATAATGGCATCCCCGTGCCATCCACCTGTACAAAGACAGGTGACGATTCTCATCCAGAACATGTCATCTCTACAGCTTCTGGCACAAATTCTAGACAACCCAGCCCTCAGTTTTAGCACTAACTAGCCACAACCCAAATTAGTCACAGAACACACTGTACATGGTACATAGAGGGTTCAGGTTCATTTTTAGCAGAGGCCTCCAGTGTGTTACTTCAAGTTTTATGTTACTATCATAACACAGCTGATAAAACTATTTCTTGTCAGAGTGATAATGAATAAAAATTAAGTCTCAATTTCAATTCTGACCTACTAAAACTGGGTAATTGATTCCTGTGTAAGTCAAGGCAATCGAATTTATTTTTGGTTATGCAATCATAGTACTGATTACTTTTCCAATGAAAGTCAAAAGAACTAGATTACTTCCCAGAATAAAAAGTAACAAGCAATAGTCTGTATATGTGAGTGAGAGTGAGAGTGTGTGAGTGTGTGTGCAAACAGGCATGTGGAGGTTTTGCCAATTCTCCATCTGGAAGCCATGATATAACAGGATAATCGCAAACTGCATTCTCACTGGTTTAAGTCCATGAATAATGCCCAGATAATCTAGCATGACTTAAAAAAGAAATGAATTGTGACGTGTAACTGAGGCTCACACAGTCATTTATAGTAGATTGATTTTCCAAGGTACTTTTAGCAATTCAAAAAATATCTTAGATGGAAGGCAAGAAGAAATAACACATGAAAAAACAAAGCAGTTTGTTTCCCACTGTTAAGTTAAAGAAGATAGATTTCTCAATGATAGCTCTTTCATCCTATAATCAACAATCCTTCAAAATAAAATACAGCTAGTCTAAACCAACTGGATGAATAAAAAGGCATCTTTCATCTAACCATGATTCATTTTTACAATTACTGTCTACTTTAAAATAATCTATTTCAAACATGATTTTCTTCCCCCATCCCCACCACCAGGGCAAGAAGACTACAGGTTACACAGAAAGCGAAGTACACTTCCAGGTGAGACAAAACATTTGAGATGTGATTCTCTTCTTTAGGCCAGTGAAGTCACCTGGAGGTAGAAGGAAGAACTTCCTTTCTTTCCCCTTCTTATTCTGAAGTCTGAAAACCAAGCTCCCAGAAACACTTTTATCTAAGGGCAAAGGAATGATGAGTCTCCCCAGGGGGAGAATATAAGAAATGACCATAAAGTACTAAAAGTGACTTTTAAATAAATGTGCCAGAACTAATACATACAAATGGATGTTGCCCCCTTCAAAGTCATTATCTTGGAAATTATATACTTATTCTAATGATGATACTATGGGCACTTTGGAATTTGTTTCAGAGCCCAGAATTTTCCACATCCTTAAAGCTAACGAGTGTTTGTCTTTTCAGGTTGAATTTAGCAAGTCAAAAGTGCTCAGAGTAGCTGAGCTTTTTGTTGGAAAATCTTTCTTGACATGCCGAATCTAGGTTACATGTCCCCTCCTAAACGATCCCTGGACTTCTCCCAGCAGAGTACTTTTCACTCTCTTTGGAATTGCTAACTTACCCATCATCTGTCTGACAAAACTGTAAACTTCAACAGAGCAGGGAACTTTTCTGCCTTCTTTATTATTAGACCCACAGTCCCACCATAGAGCCTAGAAGATTATAGGCAGCCAAGAAATACTGAATGATGCAGCTATTATAATGTAAAACGGTTTGCAATACTATGTGTGCCTTCTCTGTTTACCTTCCTTACTCCTCTCGGAAAAGAGTCTTTATTATGCCTCTATGCAATTACTTATCTACATATGTCTTATACACAGGAATTCTATACTTTAAAAGTGGTTGGATTCATTTTTCATTACTTATTTATATACAGTAAAAAAGCAAAAATCATTATTATATCTTCACAGACTAAAAACTTACAACTTTTTCCCTCCCAAATTTGCAAGTACAGTAATATCTTACCCAGTTGCAATATCTTTATAGTGTCCCTGTAGGCCTTCATCACCAGCTTGAAATGGCGATAGAGTGGGTAACACAACACCCTTCTTCCAAAAGACACCATGATATCATGAACGTTAGTCCAAGTCTGTGAAGTGTCATTTTAATAAGCAGTCATTTCCACAAAATGTTACACAAACAAAAGTACACAATGAAATAGGAAGCTTTTCTCATTTAAAAGCTGCAAGTTCGGATCATTGTGAAGCCAAGTAGAAGAGAAACATAAAACCATGAAATAAGATTCTTTTTGTATACTTTACAATAAAACAGAATCTTAGTTTTTGTAATTTCTCACACTATCAATACATCACAAATGTCACAAGAAAGCTTTTAAATAAAGTCCTAAAGATTACAAATAAGAATCTAAAACACATGGCATTAACAAAATACAGATGCACATAAAGGACATTTTAATATAATTTACATTTCATGTTTTTGTCAGCTAAGGCTATTCAAGATGGCACAGATCAAAAATGTAGAACTCACCGGGAGTGGTGGCTCATGCCTGTAAAGCACTTTGGGACTCCAGGCGGGTGGATCACCTGAGGTCAGGAGTTCGAGACCTCCCTGGCCAACATGGCAAAACCCCGTCTCTACTAAAAATACAAAAATTAGCCAGGTGTGGTGACAGGCACCTGTAATCCCAGCTACTCAAGAGGGTGAAGCAGAGAATAGCTCGATCCTGGGAGGCAGAGGCTGCAGTGAGTCAAGATGGCGCTACTGCACTCCAGCCTGGACAATAGAGTGAGACTCCATCTCAAAAAAAAAAAAAAAAAAGGCCGGGTGCGGTGGCTCATGCCTGTGATCTCAGCACTTTGGGAGGCCGACGGGCGGACCACAAGGCCAGGAGATCGAGACCACCCTGGCTAACACGATGAAACCCCGTCTCTACTAAAACTACAAAATTAGCCGGGCGTGGTGGCAGGTGCCTGTAGTCCCAGCTACTCGGGAAGCTGAGGCAGGAGAATGGCGTGAACCCAGGAGGCGGAGCTTGCAGTGAGCCAAGATCGCGCCACTGCACTCCAGCCTAGGTGACAGAGCGAGACACCATCTCAAAAAAAAAAAAAAAAAAAAATACATAGAACTCTTTAGTAAAGTATGTTCAGTTTCCTCTCCTCTTTTTCTTTTTTTTTTTTTTTTTGCACTGGACATGGGTAATACAAGACATTTACTTGAGTAATTTGCTTTTGCTTATCAAACTGATTTCTAGGAAAAAAGGTGTTGTATCTTGAACGGTATCAAACTGATAACATTAGCAATTCAAAACTTACTAAAAACACTAAACAAAAGAAAATTTCCACAAAATTGTTTTTTGATAAACAAAGTATAAAAAATGTAAACCATATGTAAAATTTAAAATTAAAACCAAGGGAGAAAGATAATTTACATGTACATTAATCCTTAAAACTATGAGGAATCTGATTAAGAACACTTAGTATTTGACATAATTTAAAGAGAATTAGGAACTTAAAAATCATAAATAGGTGAATTTTCATGTAGATTTTTAATAACTATACTACAAAATTATCCAGTCACCAACTACTTTCAACATATTAATAAATGCTAACACAGAAACCGATTCCTCTATTATATGCTGATCATGGCAACATGAGGAACTCCAATGAAGCCTAGAGAGCAGCACTTTTTGTCTTCAATATGCATACAAACTCCGTAGAGATCTTGCTACAAATCCTGGTTCTGATTCAGTGAGTGTGAGGTGGGACTGAAATTCTGTCTTTCTAATGAGCTCCCAGCTGAAGCTGCTGGTCAGGTTGTTGGTCCTTGAATCATTTTTGGAGTAGTAAGATTCTATATGAAGTAAGTGTTTCAGTTCCTGTTTACATCTTACCTATTATTTCAACAAAGTGACGTCAATGAAATAACCTTGATTTTACAGCTTAAAAAATACTGGTTGTTTTAACTGATGATATAATCTCGATACTTTTTTAAAGTTTCTGCTTTTAATTACTGTTTTGATGCACAAGTTTGTTAAAAACTCACAAATTTAAAGATATTATCTTTGGTATTTTTGGTGAGACCTGCACAACTATTTTTCAGAAACCAGAAACATTATTACTATACTAAAAGAGTTATCAAATGTAACCAGACTACATTTGAATTGTAGGACCTAAGATAAGAGATTTAAGCTATATGATCTAAGGATCCTCACCTGTAAAACCTGCAATACTTACCTCACAGACATACTGAGAATAGGTGAAGTTTTTTTACATATACACATATATATAAAAAATCATATAAAAAACATTATTTTTCGTGTGTGTGTGTGTGTTCTTAGCATAGACCCTGACAGTCACTTATCACCTAGGTTTGCTTCCATCTCTGAGTTTCAAGCTCCAATACATGCCAACTTACAAACACACCTCTCACTCTGCCCCCACATTCTTTCCCAACAAACCATGTCTCCATCCTCTCTCCAAAGTGTGTTTCCCTCCCCCAGCTTCCAAAGTACTCTACCTGGTTCATTATCAGAATTTTATTAAAAAGATGGAAAACATACTTGTACAATAGAGCTTCTACTTTTAAAAATTCAAGGAATTGCTTGAATTACCCCAAATGATGTAAAAACAACAAAAATAACTTCCTGAACAACAAATTCTAAACAATTGCAACTGGAAATCATACCTCAAACCAGCATAGTGTTGGACTCAGTTTCCTGATATTCCATGCAGATTCAACCTTTATTTGTTTTGGAGAAAAGAATACCATCACATTAGAGGTGAAGTCATTTAAATAGACCAAACAAATCCATTTATTCAACCAGTGTCTGAGGATCACTGACATATGAGAACTAAGAAGTGTTCACGACTATAGAAAAATAATTATTTTGCTGATACAGAGACTACCAGTGGGAAGTTTCTGTTTACTCTCCTTGGGATTTTCGAAAATAAAACTTTTCTACTGATAAGAGTACCAGAACACAAGAGCAAACAACCAGGGGTTTTGAAACTAAAAGTTAAAGCAAAGTAATCCCTGCTCAATTTCTGTCCTTTTTCCACTAAGTTACATGCCTCCCAAACAATCCATAAATAATCTATCAAAGGAATCAAAGATAATGTTGAAGTATTACCTGTGGCACTTAAGAAGCTGCTAGAAAATTTGATCTTTCAGAGAATGCTGGTGAGAATAAGTAAATGCTAGAGAAGGTCTCAAGTTGTAAGACTTCATGATTTCAAATACACAAATACAAGAATAAAAAATGGTAAATTTTTTCAAATATACCTAAACACTCATCTTTTCAAGATTTAATATGAAGCATTTTTTGGTCAAAGAAAACATTTTCTCCAATTACAGTATCTTTAAAAGACGAGTGAAAACAAAAAGTATTTTCAGATATATTATGCCCTTAACACACTAAATTAATAGTCATCTTGGAGTCAGACACAAATGTCAAGAGGCACCCTAGAAATTTTCAGAATCATGACAACAAAAAAAATTGGTACATAGAAAATTCTAACTCTAATACCATCCTAGTGCTATAATGTCAAGTGAAAAAAGCAGGTTAAATAGTATACACGTTAGGACCTAAGGTAAATACACACAATATAGACACACGCGCACACTGAAAGAAGATTGGAAATAGATACATCACCATGTAACAGCGGTTATATTTCTGATGACTGAAATTACAGGAAATCTTAATTATTTTCTTCATGTGTATATTTTCCTTCATATGTGAATTATTTGTGTAATTCAAAAAAGGAAAGCTATGCTCAGATCAAAAATAACCTTTTGAGCAAGGACAATTATAAACAGCTGCAGGGCCACACTAACTAGAAAGGCTGTTTTTTTTGGTTTCCAGCCTTTTTAAATATACAATCAATGGTACAGGTGAAAAGGAAGTTTAGCTCTTCATTTACAAAATCAAATATGGTTTAAGAAGAGATACAACAAAGTCTATATTATTTTTTAAAAGATGAAGAAATAATTTACAAAAGGATTTACTTTTATAATATGATCCCTTTAAATAGCAAAAAAAGATATAATTCAGGTTTTAAAAAATCTGATTTACATATAATTTTTCAGAGTACACATACTCTATGAATTGAGGGACACTTGCAGGTAAATACTAAGATTTCTCTATTTTGTAAAATGCCATATTTTGCATCTGCTGACTTCTGGCTGAGAGAAAGAATATAAATGGGTATGGCAGTTTACCCCCTTGCCAATGTGAAGTGTCATGTGACAGAGCACTTCTCTGGCCTAAAAGAGATGAGAGCTCAGAGTAGCCTTCCTCTCTACTCTCAGTTTCACTCCCTTAAACTTCCCTACTCTGCTATTTTTGCAGAGACTAATGCCAAGAGAAAAGTGAAAAAGACCAACTAAGTAATGTATGATTGCATGTGGGTACCCACCACCACCACCACACACATGCAACTCTGCTGGGGGCATCCCCTGAATAACTGATCACCACCAGTTCTACTCTAGACAAGAAAGACTGATGCTTTAATGCAGTTTACTCAGCACAGTCATCTATGGCAACATGCACACATACATGCACTTACATTCTTCTCTCCTTCAGTGACACGGGTTTCATAGCAATATGCCAGAAGGATATCAATCAAACTGTAGCACACTTGACGACAGGCTCTCTTGTCCAGCAGATAAGATTTATTGACAAATTTTCGTAGCTGATACTTCTCTTCTTCAGAAAAAGACACTAGAAGAAAACGCATTTAAAAACTAGATGTTTCATTCAGTTTTGTAAAACTCCCAATGGAAGATTTGTCAAAATTAGAACTTTGATTATAGAAACTGAAATAAAAGTTCTTTCTACTTAACTATGGATATATAAATAACTTAAGTAGACTTCACAGTTTTAGTAAGAGCTATGAGTCTGCTCAAATTCTAATAGGGCTGAATAAAGAAGATTTTTCTAAATAATACCTATTCCTTAATTCCTGACCCTCCCTTTTTTGCTACACTGTTCTGTACTTAAGACGTCTGAATGCCAGTTACTGTCTTTAAAATTAAGATAATACATTTTGACAACAGAAAGTGCTAAATAAAGCACACTGAAAATATTCGTTATCCATTTTGAAAGTTCTATACCAAGAAATAGGAATACTCCCAGATATTAATCAATTAAAATTGTTAAATTTAAATTTAATTTAATTAGATTAAATTTCAATTCAAATTAATCCATTAAAATCTCATATTGTTTACCATATAAATCAAGTTTTACATATGACCACATCACATACGTTAGACTTGTGGGAAAAGATTGTTTCTTTACAACACAGTTCCTTTTTGCTTTTCTTCTTCTGCTTGGCACCTTCTCGCCTCCTGAATATTCGTCAACAGCCTCTCACACACTGAAAATCTAGTATATACCATTCCATAGTTTTCTCTAGACATGTAATCACATACAGACACACAAGCATACCTACTAGGGAGTTTATACTTCCTACACCCTCCCTCAACCCAAATAACTAGGTCATTTTTCTCCATCTAGCCCTTCTCACTCAACAATACCTCTGGCAAATCCCTAAAAGTCAACTGGTGTGTAACTAATTTTTGTAAAGGAGTATAATATTCCAAAATGTACCATGCTCTGTCCAATCACTCCCCCTACTGATGGGCACTCACTTTGCTTCTAGTTTTCTGCCACTGCTAATAATGCTGCAATAAATATCCTTATCCTATGTCCTTGATTATTAGAGGCTTTATTTCCATAAAGTAGACTCTCGAGACTGTATTGACTGGGTTAAAAAAGTATCTGTTTTAGAAAGACACTTTACTTAAAGGCTACAATAACTCTCCTTTCTCACAGTCATGAATAGAA
Organism: Homo sapiens; assembly: GCF_000001405.40. Taxonomy (NCBI): domain Eukaryota; kingdom Metazoa; phylum Chordata; class Mammalia; order Primates; family Hominidae; genus Homo; species Homo sapiens. The sequence continues at coordinate 72,818,510 of NC_000003.12, forward strand.
GTTCCTCTTCCTACACATACCTCCCACCTCCCCCTGGCAAGAAATGTAATAGCTTTTTTACAATCATTTCCAGGTTAATAAATTGAGTATAGTAGGCAGAATTCTAAGATGACTTCCAATGAGTCATATCATTATGTGGGGATGGAGCTTGTGACCTGCTTCTGTCCAACAGAATACGACCAAGGCAATGGGACAGTCATTTCCATGATTATATTCCATTATTAGCAGACCAAAGCCAGGGACTCGCCTGCTAGTTTTGAAGAAATAAGATGTCACATGGTGAAGTGAGAGAGCCTGTGAGAAGGCTATGTGGCAGGGACCTGTAGAGGCCTCTAAGATCTAAGAGTGGCCCCCAGCTAACAGCCAGCAACAAAGTAGGGGCCTCAGTTCTATATCTGCAAGGAACTAAATTCTGCCAACAATCATGTGAGATTGGAAGAAGACCTTGAGCTCCAGGAAAGAACACAGCCTCCAACATCTGTTTTTTAAAAAAATAAGATGGATATCTTTGGCTACAGCCTTGCAAGACCTTACACAGTGGACCCAGCTAAGCCTGGCCCAACTTCTGACTCATGGAAACTGAGATCATGAATGTACACTGTGTGAAGCTTGTGATAATTTGTTATGCAGCAAGAGAAAACTAAAACAGTGACTTATCATTGTTATTTCACTTAGTATTTCTCCAATTGCTCAACTTTAAGCACTAGTTCCTTGGTTTGTAGGCAATCTGGATTTGCACTCTTATGAGTGACCCATTCGAATGTGTTTTGTCCAGTTTTTTTCTATTGGATGGCTTGTCTTGTCAAATTAAGAATCCTGTATATTATAGATATAAACCCTAATCATCTTTCCAAAGCTACCATATCTCTACTGACTTTGTTTATGGTACCTTTTGCCATTGAAACACTTATTTTTCATGTAGTCAAATATGTCCATTTTTTTTTTAAGACAAGATTCTGGATTTATAGCTTTAGTTAAGGTTTCCCCAATCCTTGAATTGTACATGAAGTCTCTTTAAGATTAAATTTATTATCCATTAAGTGGAGGTACAGCATCATAAACAAAGGTCCTCATCCTGGTCTTCATATTGAGTAGGCTGAGGAATAAGAGGAAGAGGAAGGGTTGGTTTTGCTATCTCAGGGGTGGCAGAGGCAAAAGAAAATCCCCATATAAGCAGACCTATGCATTTCAAACATGTTTTGTTCAAGGGTCAACTGTATTTAATTTAAAATTTACTGGATTTAATTAATAAGACAGATAAACTGAGTGTTGACTGCCTCATTGGAGGACGCATCTGAAGTTCCTTAATTTAAATAAAAGCTCTCAGTTCATTTTAAGCAATTTGATTTAAGGAAATGGCATGAAGGCATATACTCACTGCAGGAAGAAAGCATACCTGACAAAATATTTTATGACTCCTTGTATTTAGCAAGAAGGTTAGAGACAGTATTCCCTTAGGTATGGTTTTTGAGATGTTCATTAATTTAGCTAATGGGAAAATGCCAGGTGTTCATGATCTCTGACTAGAGAAAAGTCTTTATATCCTAGTTGACTAATAGACCCCTGCTCCCACATAATTCTCAATCACAAAGTAAGCATGCCCAGAAACTATTTAGCAACATGTCAACTCTCTACATATTTATGCCTTCATTTTTAAGTAATCATACCTATCGACGTTTATCCATTTATAAAAGTTGACCTAGGCAATGTAGGTTCTGACGTTACATTATCCACATGTAAGTATTTCTACATTAGTCATTTTCAATAACTGTGCACAGAAGAAAAACCTACTTGAATTATTCTTCTGAATTCTTGGATACTAGGAGCTGCTAGACTTTCCCTAAAACACTTCCACCTTTTACTGAGCATTTATAAGTTCCACTGTGGCCTACTTCATTAATAACACACAAATGCATTTAAATTCTGAAATTCAAGCAAAGAAATCAGAGATGATAAATAACAATAACAACAAACCAGGAAATCACTAGAGAAACCAAAAGTCTGAGCTCCCTAAGGCCTTTTTTATTAGAGCTGTAAATCATATCACCCAAAGGGGAACTTGGGGGAAGTTTGCACACAATCAAGTCTAACCTAGCAGCAGTACTGGAAATAACTACAGATGCAGTGCCAACAATGCTTGGATGATTGCCACCATGAATAACATTTGTCAAGCATTTGTATGACTTAGCTACACTACAAAGCAGCTTTGCTATATAGTTCACAATGTTTTGGCTAATTATACTTTTAAAAATAATCTCCAGTGAAACAAAAGTCAGCTGAACTCTCAATACATTTGAGGAGGAAACTGGTGCCCTAGCATTGAAGCAAATGGCCAAGGACCACCTCCCAACATCAAAAACCCCACCAATATGTCTGAAGGCTGCAAAGGGACTATCAAAATGAAAGATGTCTGCAAGGTAGTCACTTTTCTCTTCCAAATATTTTCTAATTTTGTTACTTTTAAATCCTCCCTTCCTCTCTAAATCCCCCTCCCAAACATCCCTCTTATCTGGGTCAACAATTAAATCACAAAGGATCTCAATGCTCTCAGAGTAACGCACATCTGTCTATTACATTGTACATTCACTGGAACCAGATCAAGGGAACCAGAAAAAATTGTGCTGCATTCAAACCTTCAGCCTAAATGGGTAGCCCTGCAGTGCTACAACTTTCAAAGTTGACACTGACAGTTATCTCTACAAACACTGAAGGGCTCACTGGTGCCAAACAGGATGTCCCTGCTAGGAAGTTCATTGACTATAAATGTTACGTGGTGTCATAACAAGCAATAACGTGCCAAGACTCTGGAGCTTCAGATTAACCACTGAAAGACAACATGGGAAATGCGGTGAGTTCATCCTCATGAAACCAGAGCTCAGGGGAAGCACGGCGTTTAACACTTCCATTTACAAGCCTTTGGGGAGGAAAATCTGGATCACTACAAAGCTGGAGAAAAGTCTCCCTGTTGTAACTCAGGGCTGTGATGAAAACGACAAGAATTACAACCAAGGGAGAAAAAGAGGGAGCAAAGTTCACCACCTAAGGCTTATCTGGAATTCAAAGCAATCTAGGTTAATATTTTATGATACAGAATGAATCAAAGGTACACCCCTCACCTGCACTGTTGTATCTGCCTGGCGACACCTGATGAGGAGGTGTTAAACAGACAACAGCCCACGCTATGACACAAAGAGGAAGAAGGCCAGAGAGGCAAAGAACAAAGAGGAAGAGGAGAAAAGGTACAGCAGCATGCACCATAGTTCAGCAGAAAACTGTGATGTTTATTTCTTGGTTTATTTCTTTTCCCCCATATTTTATCCTGGCTCAACACACTTCAATTTATTCCTCCAATTCTGAGTGCCCCAAATATTTGAACCAGGATTTTTCAAATGAGAGAGAAATCTTGTTAACAAGGAACTTTCCCTTAAAGCTTTCTAAATGTATAAAAATTGTAATTTCACAGAGAAACCATCCAACTCCTGGCTCTCCTGTGACTGATTTTACTCTACAATAATAATTTCTAACATTTACAGGATTTTAAATACATCGTTTCATTCAATCTCAGGACAACTCTGAGGTAGGTACAGCATTCCACAGCAACCCAAAGGTGCAAGATCATATCGCAGGCATGTGGTGGAACAAGAAGTCCAACCCCAAGCCTACATTTAGTTTATATCTTACATTTGGTATTATTAGAAGAGACACGCTGTTCGACACAAAGCTCAAGTTCGTCTACCTTAGATCACATGTCCTTGCTATTTTTAAAGGTGGTTTTTAGAATGAATCACCATAATGGCTTTGCAGACTATGACTGTTCCTGATGCACCAGCCTGGCTATCAGTCATGGGTCAGATGAAGGGTCAGGAGGGCAGGTGGTTAAAAGGACTGAGTGGCTTGATCTCCTGCTAAAATTACACAAAGAAGACTAAGAGCATTGCTGACACAGAAAACTGGACTGAGAACAAGCTACAGTTTATCAAAGTAGAGCAAGTTAGAATTTAAATCAAAGGGAACGCCTTCTCTTGATTTTTAGGGCAACTAGCTCACCCTGGTGGACAGAAAACTCAACTACGCAACCATCAATTTTCTCCCACACCACCTCATTAAAATACCGTGCTAAAATTAGGGAAACTGACTCAAACCAGTTGACACACTTGATGATTTAAGTTTGTTCAAACTTCATGATCAGATCTACCTAGCATGTACAATTAACTATCTATATTCTGTTAGCAATCCTAAACCTGAAAATTTGTCTATATATACATAATGTGAGAAGTCTCTGAAAGCTGCTTAAACTCAAATATAAAAGTCAGGATTTGTTGAAAACGACAATAAATCTATAACAAAGAGTCACTATAGGCCGGGCGCGGGAGCTCACACCTGTAATCCCAGCACTTTGGGAGGCCGAGGCTGGCGGATCACAAGGTCAGGAGATCGAGACCATCCTGGCTAACAGGGTGAAACCCCGTCTCTAGTAAAAACACAAAAAATTAGCCAGGCGCGGTGGCCGGTGCCTGTAGTCCCAGCTACTTGGGAGGCTGAGGTAGGAGAATGGCGTGAAACCGGGAGGCAGAGCTTGCAGTAAGCCGACATTGTGCCACTGCACTCCAGCCTGGGCGACAGAGCAAGACTCCGTCTCAAAAAAAAAAAAAAAAAAAGAGTCACTATAATGAGCTTCTGTTATGCAATAAAGCTAATCCTCTATTTTCTAAAATATTATAGTAGCAATTTTTTGATCTGGTAGAACTCACCTAAACTTTAATAAAACTTAACCATAAAAACATTTATTACAATATTTATAGATATTTACTGAGTACCTTTATATAACAGGCACTATACTAGACACTGAAAAAATAGCAGATAACAGGCTATTGCATTGATATGCAGAAAATAAAAAACTGTGATGCATTAGAGACCCTGTAGCTACTTCAGAATGAGTGGTCAAAGAAGGCCACTATATATACTATTTGCAACTGCAGAAAACAGGAAGTCACCCAAATGTCCACCAGTAGTAAACAGCCCAAATATCCATCAATCATGAAAAAAATATCCAACCGGATACTATGTAATCATGAAAAGCTTCAGGTAGATCTCTACATACTAATATGGAAGATGTGCAACACACACTACAAATTGAAAACAAGGTACAAACCGGGTATACGTGAGTCTATGTGTAGACATTTCTTAAAGCGACTGTTTAGATGTGGGAATATATATTTTTAAAATATCCCCAAAATTGCTAATAGTGATTACTTCCGGGAAGAAGAACTTGGGGTGGGAAGAGTCTATATTCCATTTAATACTCTTCAGAATGTACATATATATGTATTCTTTCCATTTAAACATTGAAATTTTATTTTTAATATGTAAATAAAAGCCAAATCAGTGTGACAGAAAACATGGGTGTTCTCTTCTTGATCTGTCTGCAAATGTTATATTTCTAATGTATAGTCTTAATATATCAATGCTACACTGCACTTAGAGAAGCTGGTAATAACATGTCCATCTAGGTCTTTTCCCACTTGGGTCTTCCCCCCGCCCGTTACTAATACTCAAATGTCCTTACCAAAGAAGAATGTTCATACCTCTTAAGCAGGTTATTGAGAAACTACAAATGTCCTGTGTGATAATATCCCTAAATTTAGGTTTTAAAAAATAATTAATTATAAAAGAACTCCAATGATTCTAAAGGAAACCATACTTCAAAAGAATTTTCCAACACAAATAAGCCTAATTATTTAGCGGCATTTTCCAGTCAGGGGCAAAGAAGTCATTTCCAAAATTAGCAATTCAAACTCATATTTTAACATTATAAGGCAATTACAACTATACGCTTAATAATATGGAAGGCAGTAAACGTGGTACACCATGAGATTTTAAAATGAAACAAATTAGCCGAATTTGAGTTTCTTACCTAATGTAGCATGATTTTCTTGTTCCTGACTCTTTTCCAAAAAGGCCATCATTTTTGAATATTTGTCAGTCCACCAAGGATTATACTTCAAAATCTGTTCAATCGCCTCATCTTCAAAAAAGTCAGCTCTAGGAAAAAACATTGAAAGAACTTACTATACAGGATTTCACTGGCTTTTACTTTTTAACATTTTATCTTAACTCATATTTGTACTAGAAATACAGATTTTAATTCAAAGTACATTTCAAGGAAAGACTGAACACTATATTTACTTTCTTTGTAGTTACTAACCACAAACATAAGTTATTTACCATAAAACAAAAGTAAGTATCTGCCTAAAGGGATATATAACATTGCTGATCTCTTTTTTTTTTTTTTTTAACTTTTTTTAAAAGAGATGGGTCTCACTCTGTCATTCAGGCTAGAGTACAGTAGTAACATAATCACAGCTCACTGCAGCCTCAAACTCCTGGGGTCAAGCAATCCTCCTGTCTCAGCCTCTCAAGTAGCTATGACTATAGGCACATGCTACTGTGCCTGGCTAATTTCTATTTTTTCATAGAAACAGGGTCTTGCTTCCTTGCCCAGACAGGTCTTAAACTCTCGGCCTCAAGTGACCCTCCCACCGCAGCCTCCCAAAGTGTGATGGGATTACAGGCTTGACCCACTGTGTCCAACCTCTGATCTCTTTAAATAGAAGGTACATAGAAGACTGGTCCTACCCTGAAGTCCCATCCCATATTCGATGATGTGAAATGAAGCAAATCTGAAGACACATTGGACTGAAATCTAGCACTTGTGCTAGGTATGCAAGTACTACAGACTTTAGTAAAATTTCAATAAAGGAAAAAATTTTTGAACTCAACCAGCAAAGAAAAACAAGCAGATGAGTAGGAAATTCAGGATACTGCATCTCCACAAAGAGGCTAAAAGGGGCTACACACACACACACACACACACACACACACACACACACCATTTTTGGCATGTGCACTCATATTTTCTACCAAGATAAAATCTATTTTATTAAGATACTAATTTTAAAGTTCCTTAAACTACTGAAGAAGATAAAAGCAACATTTGTAGAGAACAGAAAGCTAATTTTCCTGCACTCTACATTCCTGTTTTAACTAGAAAAATAACAGCCACATTCAAAATACACCTCTCACTCTTGGAGGACACTTATTCAGAAATGATTCTATCTTGCATTCAAAGTTGGAAATTGGTATTCTTGGGAAAAGCATTAACAAGGTATAACTCATGGTGAAAATTTTATTTATATTTTAGTTAACTAGAAACTCAAGGAATTGGTTGCTTTGATACACTGAATTTTCTAACTGATAGTTTTACAACCTTATAGTTGTAAACTATAATCTTATATCAGTTTCTAACTGATAGTTTTCCACAGCCTTCCCTTTCAACTGAGATACTGAAATCACTTAAAAATTAGAAAGATCACAGACAACTTACGGAGTTCTTTGTATGTTCCAGGCACCGCACTAAAAGCTTTGCATCCATTATTTCCTTGAATCCTCACACCATCACTATAGGCATGGGGTACTATCAATATCCTCATTTTACAAAGGTAGAAACTGAGGCTCAGAAAAGTTTTGTATCTTGGCCAAGTTCAGAGAACAAGTAAAAACCATAGCTAGGATGTAGACATACTGAACTCTTACTTCAGACTCCAAGCTCTTAACCAACATAAATATTCCATTTTTATATATGAGGAAATAAAGTACATATTAGACAAAACTGAACAGCTAATATCTTGAAATAGGAATTCTCAATAACAATTTCCAACAGGTGCACAGACATATGAGACAAGGACAAAATAGCTGCTTCATAAACTAATCCTGCTAAGCCTATTTTCTTATTAGCTATCTCTTTCTCCTTAAAGTGAAGGAACTCTTTTGAATTGAAGTTCTACTATAAACTCATCCACAAATCAGAACGTGAGCTTTTTTCTAGGATATGAATTTCAAAGGGATAAACAATAACAATAAATGGCTAAAATGCTAAATAAGTCATTCATTCAACAGAAAGTACTGACATTGTCCCATGTTCCATGATCCATGTTAGGCACTGGAGTTCCATTCATGACAAGACACAGACAGTCCTGGCCCTCACACAACTTACAATCCCATGGGAGAGTCAAGCAATTACAATATAGCAAAATGCTATGACATATCAGCAGTACAGGATTCTAGGGCAAAATAAATTAGAATGACAGGCAAGGACCCTGGAGGATATAATACCTAAACCAATGGTTGAATGATAATGAACAGTTAACCAGATGAAGGGGGTGGGACAGAGTATTCTGTAATGAAAAACTGGTTGGCGAAGGCTAGAAAACAAGAAGGCACATTTAAGGGAAAAAAAGTTGAAAGAAGCTGAACATAATATAGTGGCAACCACCTTGTAAGCCATGTTTAAAAAATCTCAAAGATTATCCCTACCAACTAAACACTTAAAAGCTTTTTACATAGGGGAATGACATTAGCATGGTTTAGAAACATCACTCTTATTGCAGCCTGGAAAATGATTTAAAGGGAGAAACCTGGAGAAGCAGACATAATGGTGGCCTAGGATAAGAGAGTGGCAGTGGACATGGAGAAAAGTGGATGAATCTGACCTATACGTAGATGACAGAACCCTCAGGTTGTAGGGAATGAAGAGCTCGAGGAGTGAAAAATGACACTGAGAATTCTGGCCTCCACAACTCAGTGGACAACAGTGTCCTTCGTTGAGACAGGGAAGCTAACAGACATGAGTGAGAAATAACGACTCCTGCTTGGGATAGGTTGAGTATGACATGCCTTTTTTTAGGATTTACAAACAGACCCATCCAATAGGTAGGTGGACATACAAGTCTGATGCTCAAGACAGAGATATGAGAGTCATAAGCATTTAAACCAAGAAGAGGATAAAATTGCCCAGGAAGAACTGGCACAGTGAGAGAAAAGGGCCTTGGACACCACAGCGCAGAGGACACCAAAGGCAAGAGTAAAGGAGCCTAACTGAAAAGATGCTGTTTTCCTCCCCAAGGGACCATGATGAAGGGAAAAAGAAAACTGGCTTGGTAACATGGTATTTCTACCACCTCCATCCCCCTCCCCACCAAAAACACCTCCAAAATGTTTGATTATTTTGAGTAAAATTTCACTAATACAGTCCTAGTAATCTGAACTGTGGTCTATGCTTGAATTGTCCATGAATTAAGAGTTTCATGAACAAGCGCTGACGGTGACTAATGTTTTACTTTTCATAATAAATTACTTTCAAGTTTTGTCTGTTTTTTCATCTGAGATCTCAATTTTTTTTCAAGACTTTTTTTTTTTTTTTTTTTGAGACAGAGTCTCACTCTGTTGCCCAGGCTGGAGTGCAGTGGCGCAATCTCGGCTCACTGCAAGCTCCGCCTCCTGGGTTCACGCCATTCTCCTGCCTCAGCCTCCCAAGTAGCGGGGACTACAGGCGCCCGCCACCATGCCCAGCTAATTTTTTTGTATTTTTAGTAGAGATGGGGTTTCACCATGTTAGCCAGGATGGTCTCAATCTCCTGACCTCATGACCCACCCCCTCAGCCTCCCAAAGTGCTGGGATTACAGGCGTGAGCCACCATGCCCCGCCTTTTTCAAGACTTTCAAGGTCACTAATTGAACAAGCATTCACTGAATGCCCTCTACGTGCATCATCAGGAAGATGAAGATCTGTAAAACTCACTTCTGCCCTTAAGGACTCCACAATTTAAGGAGAACCATGTACACAAATACAGAACATTATAAAACAATGCGGTAAAAAACAAGACAAACTGTAACAGGGGAGCACTGAGGTGGGCTTCCTAAGCCAGTCTAACAGGGCAAGTGCATGGAAGAAACAATGAGCCTAGTCTGAGGAGATAAGCAACCACTATTCAGGCAATGTGGGGTCAGGGGAAATAAATGGCAAAGGGATACCATGATAAAAGGAAATATATGAGAAGCAGTGTGGGTTGGGCGTGGTGGCTCATGTCTGTAATCCCAACACTTTGGGAGGCCAAGGCAGGTGGATCACTTGAGGTCAGGAGTTCAAGACCAGCCTGGCCAACATGGTGAAACTCTGGTCTCTATTAAAAATACAAGTTAGCTGGGCATGGTGGTGCACACCTGTAATCTAAGCTACTCAGGAGGCTGAGGCGGGAGAATGACTTGAACCCCGGGAGGCAGAGGCTGTGGTGAGCCAAGATCGCACCACTGCACTCCAGCCTGGGCGACAGAGCAAGACTCTGTCTCAAAAAAAAGAGAGAGAAAAGCCGTGTGGTATAGGTGGGGAAATGCAAACATTCATTATTGCTGTGGTGTAAAACGTGAGCAGGGAGTGGCAAAAGTGAAGCTACAGAGGTAGGCAGGGTCGGGATCACAGAGAAATTGCGATGACACACAAAGGAGTTAGGTACTTTAAGCAGAAGAGCACCAAGGACAGAGTTAAGCAGATTTTCATTTTCAGCACGTAAGACATCATACTAATGGTTCATGGTTGATGGATCTGAAGAAGTCCAGACTAGAAGCAGGGATGCCAGTTAGGCAGTTAGTGAGTGCTGCACTAAACCAGACACAGATGAGGGCCAGAAACTGATGAAGTGAAAAAAAAAAAAAATACTACAGAGAAAAATGGTACAACTTCAGGATTGATTGAATGTGTGGGATAAGAAAGAAGGCAAAGATGAATCCCCGCTTTCTAACCTGGGTGAATAGAGTGAAAAATGGGGCATCAATCAAGTTAGAAAATTCACAAAGACTTTAGAAGTAAAAGGATGAGTTCAATTTTGGACATGTTGAACAGAGGAGTCAAGTCAGTGGGATGCCTAGTCACTCTCTTCAATATGCTTCTTCTTCATAGCACTTGATTACAATAAAACCCCTTTAGTACGCTTCTTCTTCATAGCACTTAATTACAATAAAAATAGTGTCTACTTCCTCCACTACAATGGAAGCCCCATGGACAACACAGAGATTGAGATCTTGCCGTAGGCACCACGGTGTCTTTGGTATCTATGACACTGCTTAGCATGTACTTCATTCAGACAAATATTTGTTGAACAAATAAATACATAAATGAAAGAAGGGATACATAAAATTGTATTCTAATGCTTTTTCTCAAGTTCTGTGTTTTGAATTGAGAGCCACCTCAGAAGCAGGTGATCTTGCTCCCAGCCATCCAATTACTATTTGTTGTCTTAATATCTACTCAATAAACCCAAGAACTTAATTAATATACATCTTTTTTCACAAATTTAGAGTAATGAAAAATTATCACAATTTAAAATGGTACAACAAATGGTATAAGATCATTTTTGTCCCTTTTCTTATCTCACAGATGTTTAGAATACTGACTGAATTCTTTTGTTTTCTCCCAAAGAAATAGGCAAGATTTTATGAACTGGTTAATGTAAAATGTATGCCAACAATTAGAAAACTATTTGGGAAGAAGAAAACCAAACACTCTCAGCAAGAGAAGTATGAATACTTGGCTATAATAATAAGCAGTGAGGAATGACTATTAAGAAATGCTTCAAGATGCTGTCAACATATTTTAGTGTAAAAATAATACCCCAAAGGAATTACAAATAAGAAATGGATAATAAAAAACAATCAACATTTATGGATCATCTGTTACATGCCCAGCACTATAGTGAGCTGCAAAACATGCCAAAAAAAAAAAAACAGATTATACCAAAATAACATCCAGATTTTACAATAAAAGACTTTTAAATAACAATCTAAAATCATATATGTGCCTTTGAAATGTATAAATTTTTCTTTACAATCAACTGACTTCACCGTGTTCTGCTTAGGCTGAAATTAAAATTCATTTTCCTAAAGCCCCCCAAATCCTGACAACATGAGGAAACACTATGACTTGTAAAGACAAGTCAAACAACTTACAAATAGGTAATATTATGCTAATCTTATATACATTATTATGCTAATATTATATACATTATGTATTACATGTGTATATCACAATGTATTATCTGCATGGTGATAGTAATTTAAAGTGAGCCTTTTTTTCTCCACTGTTTTAACCACTAACAACAAGAAAAAAAAGCACTGAGCTAAAAAAAAGAATTTTTAAATAAAAATTAAAAAGAATTTTAGTTGCATTTCATTTAATATTAATACATTTGGGTGAGTCAGTCAGCTAATATAAATAGTGAGTAGTAACACAAAAATTACACTGAGCCAAAGTCTTACTGCTATCAGAAAAGTCACAAAGAATCTTTACCTCATGACTCCCACTCTCCTCACTTAGCCCATAACTAAATTTAAACCATTCTTGTAAGAACAGTTCTTTGAGAAGTGGAAAGAATATTTCATGCATAGTATTAAAGAAAATGAGCTTCTGGATAAAGACACACAGAAGATGGAGAAAAATAAGGGCTGCTTATAATATCACACTGCTAACTATAAATTCCAATTTCCTAATTCTCTCAGGCCATAGTTATTCTTCTAGTTTTAGAAGAGAGGAGATAGGCAGTTCTTCTAATTAAGCTCCCTCCCACTTGAAATTTCAGTCTTGTAAAGTTCATTCTGTTTTTATGCTAGCCTGAGAAATTTGCTGACAATGAAATTTCCACTTTAAATATTCAGCATGATTTTAAATGGGTTTCTTCAAATTGCTCTTCAGTGGACCTTTAAAACCACAATTGGAGAGATAAAGGTAATTAGAAATAGCAGTGTAAATGGAGTTGAATCTCTCAGATGTCCTCCAAAATGTAACATACCCTGCTCTTACCCAGTTTCCCTTAGGATGTTGAACAGTTCAACCATTTATCATTACACATCACTCATTCCATTTGCACATCACAAGATATATCCCTGCCATTCCAATTAGTATCCTACTGTGTCACAGGAGATAGAATGTTAATCACGAGAGCTACAGCAGTTAAACTGAAATAGTGTACATGAAAAGGATATACAAAATGACAAATGGAGAGACTCTTTTCAAGTCTTGGCCAAGCCACTTAGTAGTAGTGTGACCTTGAGCAAGTCCCTTAAACTCCTCTCCTCATCTGTTGTGAAAACTGAATAATCACATGAGTGCACTTTATAAGCTGCAGGTACTATACCAATATAAGGAGATATGATGATTATAGCTATATATGTAACAGTTTGGAAAATCTTGACCCAGAATTAATAATTAAGGTCTACATCAACATAAAACCCTCATTCTCCACGCATCCTAGCAGAGCCACATGTCCAAGAGAGGTCAAGCGACAATCCTTGGAAGAAATGCTGCTATCCTGGCCAGTGGGAGGTATCACAATCTCTCAAGTCATCATGTACCTATCTGTTAATTAGATAAGTTCTTTATGCAAATTTAAGCCTGATGGAGATACATTATAGCCAAAAACACAATTAATGCCAGTGGGAAATAATACAGCAAAACTTCAAATTAGATTCTATTTATTCTCTACCACGAAGAATAATTATTTGTTCATTGGAAACATATCACTGATTACAAGGGCTAGTGGATGAAAGTTATTAGGAAGATCCTGGGATCAGCCAAGAAATGTGGTACAGGTACATTTAAATTCTTAAAGAAATTGAAACATATTTTCATTTATGCATACCATTAATCACAACCAAAAGTTTACTTAAAAGAAGTGTAATAGTCTCATGAATTCAGTATTATATTTTTAAGCCTGGCGAGAAAAAAACTAAAAAGTATGTTAGAAGAGTTCTCTGTTGCTAAGATGAACAACTTGAGATATAAGAGGCAACATCTTACAAAGATTACAGAGGTACAACCATTGTAGGTTAATTCAAATGTCCATTAAGGTCTTCAGTCATCAATAATTTCTGGAATCCGAAATGCACATCCCTAGCAGAGTTTAAAAGACACTCAAAAATTTTAAAATAAATGTCAAGTAAATTATTTAATCCTCAAAAATCTCATTACTCACAGATAATGATCAGGATCAAACTTGGCCAGCTCAGCGGCCAGGCGCTTCTGTCTTCGTTCAGCTGCAGGGGTGAAATCTGGATCCTTAATATCAATAACATCACTCAGTTCATCCTGAGGACACCCAGAAAAGAAAGAATAATTGCTATCTCCTATTTTTAGCATTTAAAACTCAAATTTTATACAAAATGCCAAAGCACAGGAAGAACCTAACTGATCAGTAAACCATGATGCCACCTGTGACATTTAGATTCAAATCCAACAAATGTTTAAGCACCTACTACTTGGTAGGGCCTGTGAGATCTTTCTCATAAATTATCTCATTTAATCCTTACAACAAACAAGCTGACTGACAGATATTAAGGCTATAAAAGTTTAACATAAAAAACAGAATGGAATAAACCCCTACAAGCAAGCAGGAACATTTAACTCAACATCCATTTCCCCATTTACACCTAGAGATTTGAAAGTTATTAAACGTAGAGTGGCTGGATTTTCAGACATCTACACGGTCTCTTCTTTCTTCCTATAGTCTAGCTCAGCTGGTCTAAAGAAGCATTACCGTACAGATTGAATATCCCTTATACAAAATGCTTGGGAAGAGAGTGTTTTGGATCTTGAATATTTCTAAATTTTGGAATACTTGCATTATACCAGTTAAGCAGCCCTATTCCAATAATCCCACATGCGAAATGCTCCAAAGAGTATTTCCTTTGAGTGCCATGTTTGTGCTCAAAAAGTTTTGGATTTTGGACCATTTCAGATTTCAGATCCTGTAAAAGACTACATACAAGCTGGGTGTGGTGGCTCACTCCTGTAACCCCAGCACTTTGGGAGGCCAAGGCAGGCAGACTGCTTGAGCCCAGGAGTTCGAACCACCCTGGGCAACATGGAGAAACCCCATCTCCACAAAAAATACAAAAATTAGCCAGGCATGGTGGCTCATGCTTGTAGTCCCAGCTACAAGGGAGGCTGAGGTGGGAGGATGGCTTGAGCCCAGGAGATGGAGGCTGCAGTGAGCCAAGATCATGCCACTGCACTCTGGCCTGGGCGACAGAGCCAGACTCTATCAGAGATGATAGATAGATAGATAGATAGATAGATAGATAGATAGATAGATAGATAGATAGATAGACAGACAGACAGACAGATAGATGGATGATAGACAGATAGATAGATAGATAGATAGATAGATAGATAGATAGAATTTTTACGGGCAATTTTGATGCACAGTATATGACTTTCCATTGAAAAATGTAAAAGTCGAATCCTAAGAATCAGTTTTCCTGTCATTGCCTTTGCCTAGATGCATACATACTGATATGGAACATGTTTCCCAAGCCAAATCCTACAGAATAAATGGACATTAGGAAAACTGCCTAGGATGCCATATGGTCTTTATTCGTTTCACCAGAATTGCGAAGCAAAGAAACCTTATACAATGTGAAATACTCCTAAAATTGTGTCTTTTTTTCTTTCTTCTGTCTCACTACTCCTGCTACCAACCACAAGTGAGAAGTACAGAAACTGGAAGAAGCTTAAAGAATATTAGCTGAAAAGAAATCAAGGGAAATAACTTAGAGAGTTGAGAAAGCAAACTGTTAAGACATTTATAAACAGACTTATAGGTTGGTGCCTAATAGGCAAGTTTAAAAGTTGATGGCTGTAATGCAAAAACCACTGCAACAAATGTGAGCAATGCTGAATCAGTTAGAGATAGGATAGAGCCTCTCCAATCAAAATTTCCATATAATAATTTTAAAATTCTCTCATCCCTATCACAATCCATTTAGCTTAAGTAGTATCAATAATATTTCATCTAAGCACATACTAATATAATAAAAAGGGTCCAGAGACCTTTTTAGAAGTCACTGGAACAGGCCGGGCCCAGTGGCTCATGCCTGTAATCCCAGCACTTCGGGAGGCCAAGGCGGGCGGATCACCTGAGGTCAGGAGTTCAAGACCAGTCTGGCCAACATGGCGAAACCCCGTCTCTACTAAAAAATACAAAAATTAGCCAGGTGTGGTGGCGTGCACCTGTAATCCCAGCTACTCAGGAGGCTGAGGCAGGAGAATTCTTTGAACCCAGAAGGTGGAGGTTGCAGTGAGATGAGATCGTGCCACTGCACTCCAGCTTGGGCAATAGAGCAAGACTCCATCTCAAAAAAAAAGAAGTCGTCGTCACTGGAACATCCAGAACATCTTAATGTTGTCAAGTACAAACATTCTGGGCAAAAACCAGATTACTGGCTGTCTCCAAACTTACAAAAATTTACATTCCAAAAGTTCCTTTGCAATTTACTTTTTGGAGAATTAGAATATATTATACCATATCCTACTGAAATACTATTATGTAGTATTTTCCTTTGAGTGCCATGCTGGTGCTCAAAAAGTTCTGGATCTACATCTCAGCTCCAGTGGAATCATGCAGACTCTCTGAACCTCAGCTTTCTTACTGTCAAGTCCAGTAACATCTCTATCACAGCACTAGGTATTAGTTTCCTCTTTGCTTCCTGTGCTATAACAAATTTGCACAAACTTGGGCTTAACACAATGCACATTTATTATCTTACAGTTCTGGAAGTCAGAAGACCAAAATCAGTCTCCCTGAGCTAAAATCAAGGGCTACACTCCTTTCTAGAGGTTCTAGGAGAGATTGTTTGTCCATACCATCTTAGAAGCTGTCCTCATTCCTTGGTTTGCAGCCCCACATCATAATACCATTCCTCCATCAGCTTCTTTTTTTTTTTTTTTTTTGAGACAGAGTATCCAGGATACTCTCCCCATCTCAACATCCTCAACATAACCAAATCTGCAAAATACCTTTTGCAACATAATGTAACATATTCTGGGGAGAAGCACAAGGACATTTTTTTGGGGAAGGGGACAGTTTTCTGTACTACAGGCTGTTGTGAGGATTAAATGAGATAATACAAGTAAGGAACAAGCAGAGGCCTCAATACATTCAATAATGTCGGTTTCCTTTCTCTCTGTCTCCCTCTTCCACTGCTGCTCCCTGTTACTCACTGGCAAACTTCCTACTGAGTACAAAGCCTCCCCTCCACTTCCATTTCCTCACTTGCTAATAGCAATTTTAAAACACAGACTTACATGTTCTGCTTCATTATTTCACCTTGACCAGAAATAAAGTCATAAATGGGGTATAACCTGTGAGTCTCTGTAGACAACTCTACATTTCAGAGGGTAAATGGACCGACATAACCCCAGAAATTTAAAAACTCTAACTGCGCTGAGAGTAGCCCCAGACTGTGAGCACAGCTCTGCACAATCTAGCCCATCTTGTTCTTCAACCCCATGTTCACCGTCCTCTTCTGGCTCAAATACGCTCAAGCCACTCACTATTCTTTCCATTTCTAGATAACGTCAATCAATTCCAATCCTGAGCCTTTACGCTTACAGTACCCTTCTCATCATTGAGAACTCAGTGCAAATGTCACTTTCTCAAAGGAGTCTTCTCTGGGCATCCTAGCCAAAGTAGTACCCCCAGTCTTTCACCTCACCCCATCCTTTCCCTTTACCTGTAACTATCTGTCATTATCCTGTTTACTTGTTATGTGTTTACATAATTACTGTCCATCTCCTCACTAGAATGTTCTCTGAGGGTAGAGATCTCATCTATCATCTTCTTCACTGTATCCCCATCACTGTGCCCGGTGTCCAATATTAAATCATCTATTCTGCAAATAGTGCTAGAGGGCCTGCTATGGAGTAGAAACTGTTCTGGGTGCCAAAGTGGAAATCCAGTAATAAACACACAGCACACAGACCAGGTCTCTACTCTCATGGGAAGGAGAACTGACCAATAAGAAAGCAGCTCTTGGACAGGCATTGTGGCTCACGCCTGTAATCCCAGCACTTTGGGAGGCCAAGGCGGGCAGATCACCAGGTCAGGAGATAGAGATCATCCTGGCTAACACGGTGAAACCCCGTCTCTACTAAAAATACAAAAAATTAGCCGGGTGTGGTGGCGGGCACCTGTAGTCCCAGCTACTCGGGAGGCTGAGGCAGGAAAATGGGGTGAACCCGGGAGGCGGAGCTTGCAGTGAGCTGAGATCACGCCACTGCACTCCAGCCTGGGCAACAAAGCAAGACTCCGTCTCAAAAAAAAAAAAGAAAGCAGCTCTTTTTCCTCTTTCCTCTTCCCCCTGGCCTCCAGATTCAGGGCCTCCACTATAGTCATGCAACATGTACACAGCAGAACATGAGTGTTCAGAGCAGTGCAAGCCCCACCCAGGCTTGTTCTATGCACAGTCACATGCAGCAGCCCTGTTCAAACTGGACTCTAAAAAGAAACAGAAACAAACTAAAAGCAAAGGTAGCTTGGGGTTTAGAAGTAGAAGGCATTAATCAACCAAAGGGAAGAAAGAGGATGAGAAGTGTTCAACTACAGTAGGAAAAAAAGGTTCCTTTTTCTTTTAAACAATTGCTATGGCCACTAGTTATTAGAGCTATTTAAAGATAGACATTGCCAAGAAAAGGTCAGGTAGGATTTAAATTAAGTTTATGGAAGTTTAGGCACAGGTTAGGCAGAGACAATCCAGAAAGAAAATAAAGAACAATGAACACATCTGGCTAGTGGGTATCCCGGAAACAATGGCCTCAGGTCCCTGTGTAGCCAAAAGGACAGGGCCAGCAAGCCTGGCGTCCTGCAGCACTGGCAGCAGCAGTCCCAGGAGCTTGCTGGGTTGGCGCCCAGAGACTCTAGGATTGTTGCTGCTGGCAGCCACCACTGCCAGAAGCTTGTTGTGAAGTCCTGACTTTGAGCAGCTAGGGCAGTTTTCCAAAGGCACCCTGGTGGCTGGCAGCAATTTCAGAAAGGAAAAAAAGACTGGGGATAGGAAGAATATATCTCTGGGTATGGGGAGTGGAGGGAGGAATGTTCAAAGAGAATTTGTTTCAGCAAAAATATTTTATTTTCTTATTATCAGTATAAAATATAGATGTTTACAAACAAATCCTGTCTAAAAAGTTGGAGGCAAAAAAATATGAAAGACTTCTGTAAAGGGCTAAATTATTCAATGAAGAAAAGATCCCTCAGTGTTGAAATTATGAATAATTTTTTTACTTTCTTCTTTGTATATTTTTATAATAAATCTGTATTGCTTTTATTATTAGAAACAAAAAAGCCATTTTTCATCTACAGGGGGAGGAAAAAGCTGTAAAAATACTCATATGAGTAGTCAATGAAGCTGTATGGACATCTCTTCATCTATAGGCAGAACTAGAAAAAATAAACTTGTGAGAAAATACTATTTGAGAAAATGGTGAAGTTTTCAAAATCATTTTAAATTAGAAAAGATGTTCTAAAATCTCTTATTTGTGATCATCATTTCAGTTTCTTCTAGCTGCTTTACTCATAGAATTAGGGTCATATTATTAACCTTACATGATCACTCAGTTTTGAACCACTTGTTACGGCTGCCATAAACAGCAGCTGTGAATGAAGAAGAACTCTACAAGTAATTAACCAATTATGCAAGATTTCTGTGGCAATATTTCATAAAACCTATCTACCTTAATATCTTCAAGAGGATACATTTCAATTTTTGGAATCTTGGGCTTACACTTGATTTCTAAGTCTGGTTGCTGCACACGCAGTGCTCAGCACAGTGCTATCCAAATCCCCTGGAGCAAGGTGAGCTTCAGGATTCACTCTTTCAGAGTTTAGAAAGGTAACATGGTGCACACACCATACTTTATGTAATAACCTCTAAGATGTCTGGGGCAGCGCCCATATCCAAACACTACTTCTACAGGAAATTTTTGAATACGTACACTAAGTGGGATTTAAAAATCTGTATCGGTTCAGGTTAAGTTTTGCCACCAAATTAAATATTTTAACTTTTAGTTTTCAGAACTTTGTGTGATCCCAGTATTGCACATATGGGGTTATAAACCTGTACTACAAGTAGTATACTATTTACGTTATAAAACCCTTAGAGTTTTCCCAAATGCTCAGTTGTTTTTCCCCTACATTAGGGAATATTCATTCAAATTGTTTAGAAAAGCAATGCTCTTGCAATTAAAATTTGAAGAAGAGTTTAATGATTTTAGATGATTAAGCCATTTTAAAAGCTTAGAATAATAAACATTAAATTCAGTGGTTCATTTCCTTTTTTATTTTTTTGAGATGTAGTCTCACTCTGTCACCCAGACTGGATGGAGTGCAGTGGCGCAATCTCGGCTCCCTGCAACCTCTGCCTCCTGGGTTCAAGCGATTCTCCTGCCAGCCTCCAAAATGGCTGGGATTACAGGCATGCGCCACCACGCTCAGCTAATTTTTGTATTTTTAAGTAGAGACAGGGTTTTGCCATGTTGGCTAGACTGGTCTCAAACTCCTGACCCGCCTGCCTCAGCCTCCCAAAGTGCTGGAATTACAGGTGTGAGCCACTGCACCCAGCCACAGTGGTTTATTTCTGATGGGAAACAGAGGGATGTAAACAAAAAGGGATTAGACAGGAGTCAACTATATTGGTTAATGTTTAATGTTTTTAACCTAAGTAATAGATGTCTAGGTATTTGATACATTAGTTAAGACATCCAAAAAGAAAGTATAGCAGCTTAAAAAAAAAAAAAAACCTAAATTATTAAGTGAACATTTTCAAGATACAAGAATTTCTGACCTAAAAGGCACTCATTCTAGGCTCACATTATGGCATTCCTACAACATCTCAGCAACCTGTCAGAAATCTTTCAAAAGGATTTTCCGTAAACAGAAGCAACAATTAAGTAACAAATCCCTGGCCTCAAAGAAGCACTTCTAATGTAAATGTAAAATCCATACTTAGCCTGTGTGACATTTATTATCATTCATGTACAGCGTTAGATTGGCAAGCCCAAAACAGCCTGACCACAAACTATCTCTTGGCCAACAATTGAGGGCCATTCACTGTAGTTCCTGCTACAGACAAAACTGACTCTACTCTAATTACCTCTGAGATCACCAGCGATTGTGATCAAGCAGAGAATATGGGCAGACCACAACTCAGCAGAAAAACACCTAAGTTTTTAGAAGGAAGGCTATTTCACCAGCATTTGCTCCTAAGTAAATCTCAATGTTGTTCCCTTTAAGGAATTTTGAGACCATTTTATATTTTTCAAAGGCAGGAGTCTTTACAGCATTCTACACTTTCCAAAGAGTTTTCACATGCATTATCTTTTTAAATTTTCAAGACAGCCTTATAAAGTAGGTGGGCAAATTTATCTCCACTTTCCAAAGAGGAGACAAAACTTACTTGTGGTCAAATAACTGGCCTGGTATCCCAAATCTTAACAGAGGTAGGAGCGGGACCAGAACCCAGGTCTTTTCCCTCTCCTTCGTAAATTCAAATATGTCTTAAGATAATAAACCACATTCTAAACAGGTTTTGTTTTGTTGTGTTTGTTCTTTGAGACAGAGTCTCACACTGTTGCCCAGGCTGGAGTGCAGTGGCGAGATCTCAGCTCACTGCAACCTCTGCTTCCCGGGTTCAAGGGATTCTCCTGCCTCAGCCTCCTGAGTAGCTGGGACTACAGGTGGGTGCCACCATGCCTGGCTAATTTTTTGTATTTTTAGTAGAGATGGGGTTTCACCGTGTTAGCCAAGATGGTCACGAGCTCCTGACCTCGTGATCCACCCGCCTCAGCCTCCCAAACTGCTGGGATTACACGCACCACCACATCCGGCTAATTTGGCCAACATGGCAAAACTCCATCTCTACTAAAAATAGAAAAATTAGCCAGGCGTGGTGATGGGCGCCTGTAATCCCAGCTACTTGGGAGGCTGAGGCAGGACAATCACTTGGACCCGGGAGGCAGAGGTTGCAGTGAGCCAAGATCGTGCCACTGCACTCCAGCAAAGTGAGACTCTGTCTTAAAAAAAAAAAAAAAAAAAAAAAGAATAAATAAACAATAGGCTGGTCACAGTGGCTCATGCCTATAATCCCAGAACTTTGGGAGGCCAAGGCAGGCAAATCACTTGAGTTTGAGACCATCCTGGCCAACATGGTAAAACCCCATCTCCGCAAAAAATACAAAAACTAGCCAGGCGTGGTGGTAGGCACCTGTAATCCCAGCTACTCAGGAGGCTGAGGCAGAAGAATTGCTTGAACCCTAGAGGCAGAGGCTGCCATCAGCCGAGATCGTGCCACTGCACTGCACTCCAGCCTTGGCGACAGGGTAAGACTCCGTCTCAAAAAAAAAAAAAAAAAGAGAATAGAAAATGGTGCCTACTATACACCAAGAATTAGACAATTTGATCAAAACACACAATCTCATTCTCGCCAGGAACATTCTATTTCATTTATATACAGAAAAGAAGAGACATCATGCCGTAAGTACATGATCTCACTTTTCAGAAGTATAAAACATAAAGCTTTGCAGGAAGTATGAGAGAGGAGTTCTGCTTTGTACTTGGGAAACTTCATGTCTAGAATACTGAATAAAGGGGAGAAAAAAGAAAGCCACGGGGTGTCTGTAAGAGCAGTACAGTTAGGCAGAACAGCCAATGAAATGGAAGGGAATGCACATCTATGTACTTTAGCTGTGCTAAGTGCTTTAAATACAATCACCTCCTGTAATATTATTTTTAAAAACTACCAAGTGTAAGCATAACTGAAATTAAAATATCCAAATGGAAAAACCCTATAGATCAAGATCTTTCAGAAAGACAACATACCTGTAACCGTTGCAACACTCCTGATCGTAAGTTTCCAAATCCATAGTGGCACTGCGGATTCAAAGCACTTTCTGATACCTCTTCACAGGGTGTCTGCTCAATTTCCCAATCAAACTCTTCATCGTCAACTACTTCCTCAGGAATCTCAGAAGCACCTGAATGTGTTAAATTTTAATTTTTTTTAAGTATTGGATTTAAGTACAACTAGGGGAAGAAAAAGTATAGGAAAAAATGCCCACAAAGATGTACCAAAAGACATATACCAAATGTACTAAAAGAATATTCATAGCTCCGCTATTCGTGACAGCAAAAAAAAAAAAAGAACCAAAAATGTGGTATGTTCATACAATGGAATATTACAGAGCAATGAAAGCAAACGAATCTCAGCTAGAATATGAATAAATCTCACAAAAATAATGTTAAGTGAAAGCAGCCAGACAAAAAGAACACATACTGTATGATCTACATATGCAACGTAAAAACAGGCAAAACAGAGGATAGTGGTTACCCTGGAGAGAGGGCAAAGTAATGGAAGAATACAGGATGGTATTCTTCGGGTGTTGGAAATGCTCCATTTCTTGACAGAGGTGGTGTTCACTTTACATCAGTGGTTCCCAAACTTTTTGGCACCAGAGACCGGATTTGTGGAAGACAACTTTTCCACAGATCAAAGAGGTAAAGAGATAGTTTTGGGGGATGAAACTGTTCTACCTCAGATCATCAGGCTTTAGATTCTCATAGGGAGCACACAACCTAGACCCTTCGCAGGCACAGTTCACAGTAAGTTCATGCTCCTATGAGAATCTAATCTGATCTGACAGGAGCCAGAGCTCAGGCAGTAATACTCCTGGCCCTCCGCTCACCTCCTGTTGTGCAGCCAGGTTCCTAACGGGCCATGGATCAGTACTGGTCTGCAACCTGAGGGTTGGGGACCCCTGTTTTACGTAACTCACTTAACTGTATACTTCTGATCTTAGCTCAAGATGCTAATATTTTGCCAACCACAAAATGTTGTTTCAATTGGTCCAAAAATGTGAGTGATCTGGTTCAATAGGATTTTTAATGTCTTAATTATATCACCAAAGAAGCTATTTTCATATGGTTTCACATGATCACCTTATACCTGAAGTATTTTCTTCAATTTCCTATTCACTATATCCCATTTCCCCTACAAATACACAGCATTCCAAATATTTCTATTTATCCTAATTTCCTCCCAACTGTAATAAACATACCTATTTCTTCCACAAGTGGTTTTGCTGTCCTGGATTTTCTTGGTGCCAGAAGAGCAGTTAACATGTTCAGCCCCTCAAAATGCTGGCCAGGGGTTTCTTTGGGCAGGCGAATGGTAAAAATTCCTTAAAGATAAATTTGTTTTATGCTTAGATTAAAATATTTAAAAAGCTGGGCACAATAGCTTACACCAGTAATCCCAATACTCTGGCAGTCTGAGGCAGGAGGATCATTTTAGCCCAGGAGTTCAAGACCAGCCTGGGCAACATACCAAGACCCCATCTCTACAGAAAATAATAATAAAATCATTTTAATTAAAAGAAAAAAATAAATAAATAAAATAGTCAAAGACTTCACAAATATATCTGAGAAATACATGTCTTGGTAAAACATAATTCTATTTTACAGGCTCTAAAACTATGCCCTCATAGATTTGGTGAATACAAGTCAAGATAGAAAAAGGTTCTTAACAAGGGTTTTTCAGAAGCTGTCATTTCTATCAAAAATTATTAATCTGGCTGGGTAAGGTGGCTCACGCCTGTAATACCAGCACTTCGGGAGGCCGAGGCAGGCGGATCATGAGGTCAAGAGATCAACACCATCCTGGCCAACATGGTGAAACCCCATCTCTACTAAAAAATACAAAAATTAGCTGGGAGTGGTGGCATGTGCACCTGTAGTCCCAGCTACTTGGGAGGCTGAGGCAGGATAATCGCTTGAACCCAGGAGGAAGAGGTTGCTGTGAGCCGAGATCGCGCCACTGCACTCCAGCCTGGGCAACAGAGCGAGATTCTGTCTCAAAAAAAAAAAAAAAAATTATTTATCTGTGAAAGCTACAGAATACTTTAGTCTTATACAGTATGACCTTTACCTACTGATAATATTAAAAATCCAAGTTAAAACTTATAAAAATCAATGGCCTAAGAAGGTAATAGCTTAGAATTAACCAGGAGTTACTAATTAGACTTCTGGGAAAGGAGGAAAAAATCAGAATACCTAATCCAATGGAGAATGGCAACAGTTTTAAAAATACACAGAATCTTAGATACAACAATTATGGCTTAATAAGGTTTTCTGGCATGTCAGGAGATCTATCCCTAAAGTCTATGGCAGACTCAAATCCCTAAAGTCTATGTACTTCTTTTCTTTCCTTGACTGAGTTTATCTATCTTATTTAGGCTTCCCTGGGAACTTACTACATTATTTAGCACTTTGACATTTTAAAACATTTTGCCTCTTTCAGTGTACTGAACTGAATTCCAACATATCAAATACAACTCAGCCCAAATATCTCCGCATACACAATCTTCCTTAACTCCTGTGTACTTTAAAAATTTAATAATTTTGTTTCAATATGCAACTTACCTATAACTAAAAGCTGGTTTACTACCTAGGAAGGCAGTTTCACTATACTTCATTACACATTAATTACACTGCATTATGGGTTAGATCTCTGTCATTTAACCCACCCCCCCATACCCTACCCTTAGCCTAGTTCACTGAGGTCAATATTCATTGAATAAAGTACACAAGACTACACAAGGTGTTCTAAATCCGATGACAAAGGAAGCCAGTGGCTTCTATAAAGGAAAAATAAATGGGTTCATGGCTAGCTGAAATGAAGGGCTTATCAATCATGAGGAGAAAATTCAATTAGCCTTTAAATGCCACCCATGCATAGTTTCTCTCTCACCTACCTGTTATTAAAGTTCAAGTTTGAAAATTATACCAGAAAGATTCCATTCATAAGCTCATAAGTCATCTACATTTTTTATGATCAATCATTTCACATGTTCTAATTTTTACTTTTAAATGTCTACTAAATGTAGGGGAAGTACTCTAGGAAATAGAACCGGAGCAGTTAACTTTACTTTGAAGAACATTGTGAAATACTTTAAAAGACTTGTGAGGGGTGGGGAACATCAATAACAGGCACTGGACACTAAGAAACAAGAAAGAGTGATAGGAACAGATTGTATTTGAAAGACATCAAAAGGTCCCCATGGTATCTTGTAAGATTATTATGTAAATAATGTGAAAAATCCCAAGAAATAAACTAACAAAAATTCCAAAGACAATACCTTTATCTGCATCATAGGACCCTTGCTCACTTCCATTTTCTACAATTCTTCCAGGAAGGGTTAATCTGCAGATTTAACACAGGTCTCATGAAGTCCTTAAATTATAACGTAACATAAGTGGCCATCAATACTTGCAAACATTTAACCATCAAAATATATCAATCATTTTTTAAGAAGTTCCTCAGTATTTCTTTCACATTTTAATAAACTAAGTTAGATTCTTTCCCCAACCAAGAAAGTAGAAATTAGAGATGACTCATCTTTCTATTTGAATACCCCTAGTCACCAACAAAATAGATACTGAAAAAGAAAAGCCATAATAAATAGTAGTTATCACTATTGTTATAACACAAGTTGAGTATCCCTAATCTGAAAATCTGAAATGCTCCAAAATCTGAAACTTTTTGAGCACCAACATGACACCACAAAGTGGAAAACTCCACACTTGACCTCATGTGATGAGTCACAGTCAAAAAGCAGTCAAAACTTGGCTGCATACACAAAAGTATTAAAAAATTACATAAAACTATCTTCTGGCTATATGTATAAGGTGTATATAAAACAAATAAATTTTGTGTTTAAACTTGAGTTCCATCCTCAAGATATCTCATTATGTATGCAAAAATATTCCAAAACTCTAGAAAATCTGAAATTTCATATAAGGGACACTCAATCTGTACAGATAAGGGATACTCAATGGGAAACAATAAAGAAACACAAAACCAATTGATTTTATCAGGCAAATTACTACTTTAAAAAAAAAGCAGAAAGCAAAAGTGTCAAATCTCATCATTATTATGTAGGGATTTACCCCTCTTTTGTACTAAAAGAAATGAAGTGATTGGCTGGGCGTGGTGGCTTACGCCTGTAATCCTAGCACTTTGGGAGGCCGAGGTGGGTCGATCACCTTAGGTCAGGAGTTCAAGACCAACATGGCCAAAATGGAGAAACCCTATATCTACTAAAAATACAAAATTAGCCAGGCATAGTGGTGCACACCTGTAACCCCAGCCAGTCAGGAGGCTGAGGCAGAAGAATCACTTGAACCCAGGAAGGGGAGGTTGCAGTGAGCCGAGATCATTTGCCACTGCACTCCAGCCTGGGCAACAGAGTGAGATTCTGTGTCCAAAAAAAAAAAAAGAAAAAAGAAATGAAGTGATTTCCCTGCTTCCAGTTTTACCCTAGTTCAATCAGTCTTCCACTGAGGCTCCAAAATAATTTTTCTAAAACAGGAATCTAATTGTCACTTTTCTATTTTAAAAAGTGTCTATGGCTGCCTCATGTTGCCTAGATAATTTAAACTTATCAGAAGGGCATATCAGGCCCACTCCATATCATTCCAAACTTGAAATTTGAGCTTCCTTTCTTCCCATGGCCCTCCCCCTTGTTTCCTACTAAATATGATTAAAAACAAAAACAGCTGACAGTCCCAAAAGGCCCAGGACCTTTAATCCCAAGGTTTCCTCAAGCTTCAATACATTTTCAGAATGAAAATCCCTCTAAGCCAGAATAAGGGGTCAGTTTATGGATGAGTTTGTTATAATGGTTACAAACGCTAACTTTAGTGTCAGAATCTGAATTAACTCCTAGATCTGCCATTTACCAGATGTGTAACAACCTTCTTTGTACAAGTTAATTATTCTTCAAGAATCATAAATCCCTCTTCTGTAAAGGGGGGAAATAACAGTAACTATCCAAGCGTTACTATGAGCATGAAATGATAATGCAAAGAGCTTAGTGGCCGGCACAACAGGTGAGCATTCAGAAAATGTGAGCTATTATTACCAGCTCCCTTCCCCTAAACTCTATAAGCCTAGAGTTAAATTCTTACTGCAGAGAAAATTATATTTGCTTACATGGGGCCTCCGCAGCTACAGTCTCCATTCTTCAAGGAGAGGGACCAGGTTTTATTCATCCTTGGTATAGCAAACTGTATGTTCTTTTTTTTTTTTTTTTTAGACAGTCTCGCTCTGTTACTCAGGCTGGAGTGCGATAGCGCAATCTTGGCTCACTGCAACCTTCGCCCCCCAGGTTCAAGCGATTCTCTCACCTCAAGCTTCCCAAGTAGCTAGGACTACAAGCGCGTGCCATCAAGCCCAGATAATTTTTTTGTATTTTTAGTACAGATGGGGTTTAACCATGTTGGTCAGGCCGGTCTCAAACTCCTGACCTCAAGTGATCTGCCCACCTCGGCATCCCAAAGTGCTGGGATTACAGGAGTGAGCCACCACATCTGGGGGCAAACTGTATTATCAAAGAATGCCCATCTCACAGCACTCTTCCCAACCATGAAGGTCTATGTTCCCTCCCCTTAAAATTCAGCAGGCTCTGGGACTGTTTTGATGAATACAATAAAGCAGAAGTGACACAGGAATTAGACCTTTAACATATGAATTTGGGGACAAGAGTTGGGGGGGTGCCCACAAATAATCCATCCACGGCAACGGGTAAATAATAAAGCCTCGTTGTAACACTGTCCTAATAACAAATGAGATAATCCGTATAAAGCACTAACCTGGAGTAAAAATTCAATAAATATTTGCTACCACCATAATCTTCTTCCTATTCTTCACATCTTGGCTTAAATATCGCCTCCCCAGAAAGGCTTTTCCTGACCACTTTATAAAACATGGGCCCTTTTTCATTCTCTATTAGTGCACTTCTTTCTCCTCATAGCACTCACCACAATTAAGTACACTGTTTATTGTTTTCCTCTCCCCAGTGAAAAGTACATGAGGGCAGGACTTTGTCTTGTTCAGCACAATAATACCAACACTGAAACTCAATAAATAAATTAAAGAAATAAGTGAATTAAAAAACTGGAAAGTGCAATAATTCAAATACGGACGTTATATGGTCTAAGGGAAATCTGAGCAAAACTGGTTCAGCAACAGTGAAAAAACCACCTTGACTGGTGGAGAAGGTTTGTACCACAAAAGTACTTGGGTGGGAAAAGTAGGATGCAGCTACACTTCAGAAAGATTAGGAGGATGGATAAAGAGAAGGACAAGAGATTGGCAATACTTTAGGATGAATATGTAGCAGCGGGTTCTGTGGAATGGGGTTAATAGCAGTGCTTATCCCTAAGGATCACCGTCAAAGTTAAATGAGATACACCATCATAAAGCACTTAACGGAACTGCTTGTCCACCACACTACGAGTTATCAGTGTTAGCTGCTACCAAGGTTACGATTCTGCAAGGAGAATAATTTAAACAGATCAAGTGCTGACAGACCCTCACGGAGACTTGGGGGAAACAACCACACTTCAGGGACAAAACCAAACAGAAGAGCAGCAGACAGCAGGGAAGCAGGAGAACTAGGCTAATTTGGTGTCAAGAGGTCCAAAAAAGGTAAGAATTTCGGTAAGTAGGGAGCGGACAGACAAGAGATAGATCAACAGAAGGCGGCCTGGGCAAAGTTAAAAGGACCGACGGGTTGGGAAGTCACGGAGATGTCAGCGCGCGCCGTTCCCAGGAAGGGAGAGACTGGGAGAGCAAACGCGGAGTGAAAGGAAAGAACAGAACAAGTCAGAACGGGACGAGAACTAGGGCGACAGGGCAGAAACGGGAAAGTGACACGGTCCAAACGTCACTTTTTCAAGTGATTCCGCAATCCTTTGATATGGGATTTAAGAAAGCTCAAGAAGGAAAAGGGCTTCCGCAGCATCTAAAACGCACCCCTGGAAGAGGGCAGTTCCCTGGCACCAAGAGAAGCTGCGGAAACGTCGGGAAAAGGCATTCGCGCAATCGAGCACTGCTCTCTCGACCTTGCATTCTCCCTCTAAAGCAGCTATCTAACGAATGCGCCTTTCCTGCGGCCAGGCACCCCGAACTCGCCTGAGAAAGTATGGCTTGGCGTAGAACTTGAAGTCAGACCCCTCGAAGTAGACGTCGAACTCGGAGACCCGGGCGTAGGGCACGCGGATGGCGATAGTCAGGAAGTCCGGATCCTGGCTGAGGTCGAACGCCGGGGTCAGCATCGCCGCACCGGACGCAAGGGCCGGCGCCGCTCGCTCTCACTGCCGCCGCGTTCCCGCCACGCAAACTCTCCAACTCCCCACGCGCAGGAACTCTCGGTGTGAGGGACGGAGCTTCCGGCTCGAGGCGGAAGTGCTCGCGCGTAAGGCAGGAAGTCTCTCCCCACGCCAATCTCCATGGAGACGGGACGCCGTTCGAGAAGAGGCGGAACTTTCAAAACCCCCGGGCGGAGAAAGGGCGTGGCGAGTGGTGCCTGGGAGCCGGCGTTGAACCGGCGGGATGACTAGCAACCGAGCCTTTTTCGAGGTTCTTAGAGATGATTTTAACAGCACTGGCTTGACAGGTAAACAGACGTGCGTTTGAATCCCTTCCTGGCCACAACTTCTCAGCTGTAAGACCTTGGGAAAGTTACAAAACCTCTCTATATCTTCTGTAAAACGCGGATAATGCGAGAACCTAGCCCCATAGAAATGCTGTGAGGGTAGCATGAAATTGTGCATGTAGAACTCTAATAACGAACTTGGCAAGTTGTCAACGCTTGATGTGCTGAAGTAGTCACCGCAGTAGCCACAGCAGCACCGTTACAGTGGTTTCCCTTAGTTCTCACCTGCCTTGTGAACAATTCCTCTTACACTTTCCCTTTCCTCCCTCTCTCTTTCCACTTCTCTTTTTCTGCAGCTTTCTCTCTCATTCTTAACGGCTTATTTGAAGAGTTTTCTCTTTAACAGAGCGTCCGTCCCGCTAATCTCATCTAATCTACGCTGCAAACTCTAAAGAAAACGGCTCAGAGAGGTTAATCAGTACGTTTTATAACCATGCATTTTACAGTAATTAGAACTCAGAACGTTTGACTCTTAAACCGTGTCGGTGACTGCATTCACAAATTAAGGTCCCTCTGTATTCCCCTTCTTTCCTTTTTCTCACTCTTGTCCTTACACTTGTCTGAGGACATCTTTTCTGTCTTTTTTTCTACTTGTCTTCCTTGTATTTTCTCCCTTTGGAGTGTGCCCCTTACACTCTCTCAGTGCCTCTCCCGCTGGTTTCCCTCTTCCCCCACATATTCCCTTGGCCTTTCCACACATGTTGTTTCCTGTTATTCCACCACTAATTAGAATAATCCAGTTGTGGTATTTATTCCGTGGTTTTAAGTATCAGTGGAAAAGGGATGAAAAGTACTCTCCTAGGACAGTGGAGATAACCAGAAAACTTCAAAAGTCTTTTCAATCTCCAGCTGTTTTATGATTCTAAGGAGACATTCTTGAAACTTCATTAGGACTCAGAAAAAAAATTAATAGTAACAGGGGCTAACATTAACTGAATATTTACTATGTGCCAGCACTGCAGCAAACCCTTTGTAATGATCTCATTCTCCCTCCTGACCGCTCTATGAAGTAGGCATTATATATTCCCTTGGCTTGCACAGGATCTCACAGCTAGTAAGTGGTGCAATGGGAATTGAAACCCAGGTGAGTCTGATTCCTAGGCCCAGGCTCTACACTATTACAGAGTTGACTCCCTCTGTTATTACCACCTACTTTGTTTCACATTCTAAAGCCAAGCCTGCCTGCTTTAGACCATACTGAGCCTTACAAGTAATAGGCACTCAATATTGACAATGAATTGATGCCAACTTTGATTTAATAAAGCTCTCAAAAGGTCCCTTGAGATAGGCCTGTGACTAAACTATTCCAAATTAGCTTCTTTACAAAGAATCTTGGCCGGGAGCGGTGGCTCACACCTGTAATCCCACCACTTTGGGAGGCCGAGGGGGTGGATCACCTGAGGTCAGGAGTTCGAGACTAGCCTGGCCAAGATGGTGAAACTCCGTCTCTACTAAAAATACAAAAATTAGCCAGGCATGGTGGTGTGTGCCTATAATCCCAGCTACTCAGGAGGCTGAGGCAGGAGAATCCCTTGAACCCAGGAGGCGGAAGTTGCAGTAAGCCGAGATTGTGCCATTTCACTCCAGCCTGGGTGACAAGAGTGAAACTCCATCTCAAAAAAAAAAAAAAGAAATAATCTTTACATCTGCCATGGGACCTCATTCCTGTAGGTCACAAGCATTAATATTTTTAAATTATTAATGCCAGAGAATCAACTGAAACAAGCTATGCTATCCATGAGGAAATTCTAATTGAAAGCACTTTGCAAACTAGAGCTGTGCATTTCCTGGGTACTTTATTATGTGTCTGGCAACACACACACACACAGGACTGCAACACAGGAAAACAGACAACATGGTTCAGTGCTGCCGTCATTATAAGAAATATATACTGCATCTGCTAAATCACAAAATACGGATAGTTTCAAGTATATAACAAGGTTTTGTTGTTTTGGGTTTCTGTTGGTTTTTGTTTTCTTGCAGGCAATAGTTCTCTTATTTTTGCATTTCTATTAGTGGTAAATATAAGTTATAGATTCATTCTCACTTAAGAACATAAAGTTCCTTTTGGCTGCCATGCAACTTTGGTTCTTTCTCCTGCTTCCTCAAAGGCAGTCCTAGCTATCACTTCAGACCCTTTTCTATTTCTACATCCATTTCTATGGACCCTGTTGCTTTGTGTTTAGACCCACTTTATATGGGCACATTCTCACACTATGAAAGTAATTCTGCAACATGCTTTTTTTCCTACTTTGGTTCATTTTTGAGACATAGCTATATTGATTCATAGATCAAATTGAGTTTCTATTTCTGAATACAGACATTGCTTGAGAATAAAGACATTATTTTAATGTTTTAAATTAGCTCTGGTTTAGAGGGGAAAACAGGAATGCAATTTTTCATCATTTTTGAGCATTCAAATGTTGCAGTGTTTTTTATCTTTTCATTTTCTGAAAGCTTACTTTTGAATGGCCTTCCACTGTTTTAAAAATAGTTTTTCCTTCTGGCCTATAGAGAACATGAAATAAAATAATAAGATAAAGTTTTTTCCATGACCAACTTATGTAGGACAAGTGTGTAACCTATCATCTTTCATTATATTAAATTGGCCCCTCCTCTGGTCTAACAACCCTGATTGTGATCCATAAGCTTCCAAATTAAATGTTAAATTAAAAATGGTTTTTATAAACAATTCCAATGTCAGCTTTATTACCAAGTTCTATTGTTAGAAGTCTTTTAATGGTGAAATACTCCTTGTTTCCAGAAGGTGGCATGCATATAGGTGATTAAAACAATGTTATCTCAAAGAATGGAGCTTTAACCTATGTTGAAAAATAGCTTCCTGAATAAGTTGTTTATAGCGCTAGTTCATTCTCTGAGCCATTTTGGGGAGGTGGTGGAATCTTACACAGTATTTGCAAACTACGTCTTAACCACTGTTATTATTTTGGCATACATCTTTTCAGACTCCTATTCATAAAAGTATGGGAAGTATTTTCAACAAAAGAATGTCATAATCTATATTTGCTTTCTTCACTTAATATAGGATTACAGGCTGGGCACGGTCGCCCATGCCTGTAATCCCAGCACTTTGGGAGGCCTAGGCGGGTGGATCACTTGAGGTCAAGAATTTGAGACTGCTGTGGCCAACATGGGAAAACTTTGTTTCTACTAAAAATACAAAAAAATTAGCCAGGTGTGGTGGCACCACCTGTAATCCCAGCTACTCGGAAGGCTGTGAGGCAAAAGAATCCTTTGAACCTGGGAGGTGGAGGTTGCAGTGAGCTGAGATTGCACCATTGCACTCCAGCCTGGGTGACAGAGCAAGACTCCATATCTCTCTCTCTCTCTCTCTCTCTCTCTCTCTCTCTCTCTCTCTCTCTCTCTATATATATATATATATATATATATATATATATATATATAATATATAAAATACATATGTGGCATTACAATATTTCCATTTGACTACATTTTTGTCAAGAATAAGTTTATCCACAATTGTACTCTTTGTTTTTTTGTTGTTTTTTTTTTCAGAGACAGGGTCTTGTGCTGTTTCCCAGGTTGGAGTGCAGTGGCAGGATCATAGCTCACTGCAGCCTCAACCTCCTAGGCTCAAGCAATCCTCCCACCTCAGCCTCCCAAATAGCTAGGACTACAGGTATGTTTCACCACACGCAGCTAACTTTTTTTTTTTTTTTAGTAGAGACGGGGTCTTGCTATGTTGTGAAGGCTGGTCTCAAACTCCTGGCCTCAAGCACTCTTCCCACTTCAGCCTCCCAAAGCACTGGAATTATAAGAGTGAGCCACCACTCCTGGCCTAGTGTTAGAACTCTTAAAAACAGAATTGAACACAGTGATGATTCATTTTAAGAAAGGAAAAAAAAAACTAATACTAGGATCATGAAACTAGAGTAAAAATACCTAATGCTAGATGACGAGTTAGTGGGTGCAGCGCACCAGCATGGCACATGTATACATATGTAACTAACCTGCACAATATGCACATGTACCCTAAAACTTAAAGTATAATTTAAAAAAAATTAAAAAAATACAAAAGTTAGAGTACAAACTGGATAACACATTTTGAAGTTTGAAAAAAATCCTTTTGTATAACAGTGGTAATACAATGGCACTCATGAGTTTTTTATTTAAATTTATTTTATTTTAGGTTCGGGGGTTCATGTGCAATTCTGTTACATGGATATATTGCATAATGGTGGGGTTGTCCTTCTAGTTAGCCATCACCCAAATAGTGAACACAGTACCCATTAGGTAATTTTTCAGCCCTTACCCCTCTCACTCTCCCCCCTTTGGAGTCCCCAGTGTCTACTATTTCCATCTTCATGTTCATGTGTACCCATTGTTTAGGCTCCTACTTATAAATGAGAACTTATAGTATTTGATTTTCTATTTCTGAGTTATTTCACTTAAGATAATGGCCTCCAGCTCCATCCATATTGCTGCAAAGGACTTGATTTCATTCTTGTTTATGGCTGCATAGTATTTCATGGTGTAATTATACCACATTTTTTATTTTATTTATTTGGGACAGAGTCTCGCTCTGTCGCCCAGGCTGGAGTGCAGTGGCGCCGTCTCGGCTCACCGCAACCTTTGCCTCTCGGGTTCAAGCAATTCTCCTGCCTCAGCCTCCCGAGTGGCTGGGACTACAGGCGTGTGCCACCACACCCAGCTAATTTTTTGTATTTTTAGTAGAGACGGGTTTCATCATGCTGGCCAGGCTGATTTTGAACTCCTGACCTCAAGTGATCCACCCACGTTGGCCTCCCAAAGTGCTGGGATTATAGGCGTTAGCCACTGCACCCAGCCACCACATTTTCCTTATCCAGTCAACCACTGATGGACACTTAGGTTGATTTCATGACTGCTATCATGAATAGTGCAGCAATACATATATGAGTACAGGTTTCTTTTTTTTTTTTTTTTATGAGATGGAATCTTGCTCTGTTGCCCAGGCTGGAGTACAATGGTGCGATCTTGGTTCACTGAAACCTCTGCCTCCCGGGTTCAAGTGATTCTTCTGCCTCAGCCTCCCGAGTAGCTGGGACTACAGGTGCGCACCTGGCTAAATTTTTTTGTATTTTAGTAGAGATAGGATTTCACCATGTTGCCCAGGCTGGTCTCGAACTCCTGAGCTCAGGCAGTCCGCCCACCTCAGCCTCCCAAAGTACTAGGATTACAGGCATGAGCCACTGCACTCAGCCAAGTGTCTTTTTGTAATACAATGATTTATTTTCCTTTGGGTAGATACCCAGTAGTGGGATTGCAAGTTCAAATTATATTTCTATTTTTATTTATTTGAGAAATCTCCATACCGTTTTCTGTAGAGGTTGTACTAATTTCCATCCCCACCAACAGTGCATAAGCATTCTCTTCTCTCCACATCCATGCCAACATCTGTTGTTGTTTGACTTTCTAATAATGGCCATTCTGACTGGTGTTAAGATAATGTCTTATTGTTGTTTTAATTTACATTTCTCTAATTAGTGATGTTGAACATTTTTTCATGTTTATTGGCTACTTGTATGTCTTCTTTGGAGAAATGTCTGTTCGTGTCCTTTGCCCACTTTTTACTGGGTTTTTTCCCCCTTGTTGAGTTGTTTGAGTTCCTTGTAAATTCTGGATATTAGTCTTTTGTTGGAGGCATAATTTGCAAATATTTCCTGCCATTGATACCCTGAGTTTTGCAATTCCAAGCTATAAACTGCTTCTAAGAGGACACAGATAAATTCGTGGGTAACTGACAGATAAATACAGGACTGTAAAAGAGGTTTAAGGGATGGTCCCAACAGGATGTAGACTAAGAAGACCATGAGTCTGACACTGGTGACCTCCAGTGGTTTTCAAACCCCTCTGGATTTAAGTGCAGCTATTTTTGTTCTTTTCCCCAATCCTTTAGCCCATTCACATTACAGTTGTTAGAGTTAAACTTGCTAAGGAGCACAGTGTTAGCACTAATGTAGCATAGTAATGAGTATTTCAGGGAGGATTCAGCCCAATTCCAATTTTGCACAAGTTCGATAAAGCTCCAAAGAAAATCCAAAATGGCTACAGCTGACATAAGAGTGTTTTTTGACAAGATTTCTGAGCAATGTACCTAAGGGCTTAGTGATATATATATCAAGATGCTAGTCTTATCCCATTAAATGAAATGCAGGATCACAAAAGAATGCTAACTGAACAGCATTTCAAGCCTCCTTCATTGTTTAACATCATATTTTGAAAAAGCATCTGCAAAAGGTACTATTCTGATGCCCTGCCCAGATTCCCTTTATGGAGCCAGGAAGCTCATCTGTCACTAGCAGTGAATGTAATGGCTTGCCACTGATCCCGCCAAAGAATTGCCTTAGCTCAGGGTTTCTTCACTCCAGTATTTTGTGCAGGATCATTCTTTGTTGCAGAAGGCTGTCCTATGCACTGTAGGATGTTTAGCAGCATCCTTATCGTCTAATCTCTCAATACAAGCACGAGTTTTCCTGGTGTAACAATCACAAAACTTCTCCAGACTTTGCCAAATGCCCTTGAGGGGACAAAATTGCCCAGGGCTGAGAACAGCTGCTCTAGATTGATAGAAGAAACCTCCAGGATTTAATTACTACCACGACGACCGCTACCCCCTTGCCCAAGCCTGCAATCATGAAGAGCGATATGGGGTTCAGAAGACCACCTCAAAAGGGAAGGTGACTCTGTGGCATGGCTTATGCTCCAGAGTTTTGTTTTGTTTTTTTTAATGGGATCCAGCCGAGGCTAGATTTTCCCCAAACCCACATCTTTCTTTGGCTGTCTTCCCTTTTCCCATTCCCTTTCACCTCCTCCTTAATAAATTTCTCCAGAGAACCCTTCCTCATAGATCACATGCATCAAAATCTCTCAGGATCTGGCTGGGTACAGTGGCTCACGCCTGTAATCTCAGCACTGTGGGAGGCAGGGGTGGGCAGATCACCAGAGGTCAGGAGTTCAAGACCAGCCTGGCCAACAGGGAGAAACCACGTCTCTATTAAAAATACAAAAATAGGCTGGGCATGGTGGCTCACGCCTGTAATCCCAGCACTTTGGGAGGCCGAGATGGGTGGATCACCTGAGGTCAGGAGTTCGAGACCAGCCTGGCCAACATGGTAAAACCCTATCTCTACTAAAAATACAAAAATTAGCTGGGCATGGTGGTGGGCACCTGTAATCCCAGCTACTCGGGAGGCTGAGGCAGGAGAATCACTTGAACCTGGGAGGCAGAGGTTGCAGTGAGCCGACATCGCACCAGTGCACTCCAGCCTGGGCAACAAGAGTGAAACTCCATCTCAAAAATAAATAAATAACAATAAATAAATAAATAAAAATACAAAAATTAGCCGGGCGTGGTGGCGCATGCCTGTAGTCCCAGCTACTTGGGAGGCTGAGGCAGGAGAATTGCTTGAACCTGGGAGGTATAGGTTGCAGTGAATGGAGATCGCACGACTGCACTCTAGCCTGAGCGACAGAACAAGACTCTGTCTCAAAAAAAAAAAAAATCTGTCAGGATCTGCTTCTAAGGAACCTGACCTATGACCACACTTACGGAACCCCTTAAACATTCTTCACACTCCTGCAAAATTACTGGAGAAAAGTTTCTACAGTACCCATGGAGAACAGCTGATTCAAGTCTTTATCTTACTTATTAAAAAGTTCTTACAGTCTAGTTATCCTTAGCCTAACTAATGTTTTCCTTGATTCAGAGTGAACATATTTTTATTTTTATTATAATTTTTTTTGAGTTGGAGTCTTGCTGTATCGCCCAGGCTGGAGCGCAGTGGCGCGATCTCGGCTCACTGCAATCTCCGCCTCCTGGGGTTCAAGGGATTCTCCCACCTCAGCCTCCCAAGTAGCTGGGATTACAGGCACATGCCACCACACCCGGCTAATTTTTGTATTGTTTAGTACAGATGGGTGTGAACATATTTTTATTCCCTCATGCAGAAATGATTTAAATGTACCTTTTTTGGCTAGAAAGATTGTGGTGGGATTGTAAACTGGTATAACTACCTTAAAAAATTGTTTGGCAGTATCTACTAAGGCTAAACATATGTATACCTTGAAATTCCTCTTTTATACATAACAGAACTGAAGTAATATTCAGTCGAGAGACACGTACCAGAGGGTTCATGGATACATTATTCATAATAGTCAAAACTGGATACAATTCAAGTGCTCATTCAGAGTAGAATGGGCGGAGCCGGGCGCAGTGGCTCACACCTATAATCCCAGTACTTTGGGAGGCTGAGGTGGGCGGATCACGAGGTCAGGAAATCAGGACCATCCTGGCTAACACGGTGAAACCCCGCCTCTACTAAAAATACAAAAAATTAGCTGGGTGTGGTGGCGGGTGCCTGTAGTCCCAGCTACTTGGGAGGCTGAGGCAGGAGAATGGCCTGAACCCGGGAGGCGGAGCTTGCAGTGAGCCGAGATCACTCCACTGCACTCCAGCCTGGGTGACAAAGCGAGACTCTGTCTCAACAAAAAAAAAAAAAAGGAAAAAAAGAAAGAGTAGAATGGTCAAGGGCCAGGTGTAAGGGCCAGGTGTGGTGGCTCACACCTGTAATCCCAGTGCTTTGGGAGGCCAAGGTGGGCAGATCACCTGAGGTCGGGAGTTCAAGACCAGCCTGACCAACATGGAGAAACCCCATCTTTACTAAAAATACAAAATTAGCCAGGCGTGGTGGCATATGCCTCTAATCCCAGCTACTCAGAAGGCTGAGGCAGGAGAATCACTTGAACCCGGAAGGCGGAGGTTGCAGTGAGCCAAGATCCCACCATTGGAATTCAGCCTGGGCAACAAGAGTGAAACTCTGCCTCAAAAAAAAAAAAAAAAAAAAAAAAAAAGAGTAGAATGAGCAAATTGTGGTATATTCACTCAATATTGCCACACAGCAGTAAGAATAAATTACTGCTATGCATGGCAACATACATGAATCACATTAGGCACATTAAGCCAAAAAGGCAAGACCCAAGAGAGTATATATTAGATATTTCCACTTATATGAAATTCAAAAACAGGCAAAACCAGTGTATGCTCATAGATGTGAGAATAGTGATTACATCTGTGTGAATGGTTATTGAGGGGACATGAGACAGCCCGCTGGAGTACTGAAAATTTGGTTTTTATCTTAGTTTGAATGGGAATTATATGAGTCTATTCATACACAAAAATTCATAGAGCCATGGATTTAAGATTTGTGCACATTACTCTGTGTAATATCTCAATAAAAAAGAGAATCTGTGGGTGCCTGGACAACAGTCAGAAGACTCTGGATGCTGGGAAAGGATGCTGCTGCTGTTGGCTTATAGCTGTGTTCCTCACAGGGCACTGCCCTTACCTAGAGAGAACTACCTTATCCAGTTACCCTCCTCCAGAGTGCTGATGTGGATACAAAGTCCTTAACTCCTTGCCCTGATATGAGACAACTCCGAAAAGGCTGTTAAATACTGAAGAAGAAAAAAGTCATCCCAACTCCAGAGCTCCTGGTAGAAATGGTATGGCCGGGCGCGGTGGCTCACGCCTGTAATACCAGCACTTTGGGAGGCCGAGGCGGGTGGGTCACGAGTTCAGGAGATCGAGACCATCCTGGCTAACATGGTGAAACCCCGTCTCTACTAAAAATACAAAAAATTAGCTGGGCTTGGTGGTGGGTGCCTGTAGTCCCAGCTCCTAGGGAGGCTGAGGCAGGAGAGTGGCATGAACCCGGAGGCAGAGCTTGCAGTGAGCCGAGATCACACCACTGCACTCCAGCCTGGGTGACAGAGCAAGACTCCATCTCTTTGTATAGGTGTATCTCCAAAAGCATCCCCCAAAACCATCAGCACTCAACTTTCCTTCTTAGAGTCTTAGACTGGAATGCTGACCTTCCCTTCAATACTGAAATTCCCCAAATTAACTCTGCAGCCTCCTTCTTGATTTTCCTGCAGTGTCCTTTCCCGGCATTTCTTCACTGAGGGGTCTTAAAGCCATGAGTTTGCCTGTACAGTCATGTGCCCCATAATGACTTTCCAGTCAACAACAGACCACATATAAAAGACAGTGGCCCCATAAGATTATAATACTGTATTTTGACTGTACCTTTTCTATGTTTAGATATATTTAGATATACAAATACCTATCATTCTGTTACAATTTCCTACATTATTTAGTACAGCAACATGCTGTGCAGGTTTGTTGCCTAGGAGCAAAAGCCTATACCATGCAGCTCAGGTGTATAGGAGGCTAGGCCATCCAAGTTTGTAAGTATGCTCTGATGTTCACACAATCACTTAAAGACAGAATCACTTAATGACACATTTTCCAGAACGTGTCCCTGTCATTACATGATGCATGACTTTACTTTAAAAATCCATCCAGGCATGGTGGCTCATGCCTGTAATCCCAGCACTTTGGGAGGACAAAGCAGGAGGATCACTTGAGGCCGGGAGTTCAAGACCAACTTGGACAGCAGATCAAGACTCTGTCTCTACAAAAAAATATTTTTAAAAAAATAGCTGGGGCTGGGCGCAGTGGCTCACACCTGTAATCCCAGCACTTTGGGAGGCTGAGGCGGGTGGATCATTTCAGATCAGGAGTTCTAGACCAGCTTGGCCAACATGATGAAACCCCGTCTCTACTAAAAATACAAAAAAATTAGCTGGGTGTGCTGGCACATGCCTGTAATCCCAGCTACTGGGGAGGCTGAGGCAGGAGAATCACTTGAACCCGGGAGACGGAGGTTGCAGTGAGCTGAGATCATGCCACTGCACTCCAGCCTGGGTGACAGAGTGAGACTCCATCTCAAAAAAAGAAAAAAAATTAGCTGGGTGTGGTGGCGTGCACCTGTAGTCATAGCTACTTGGGAGGCTGAGATGGGAGGATCACTTAAGCCCAGGAGGTTGAGGCTTCAGTGAGCTATGATTGCACTGCTGCACTCCAGCCTAGGCAGCACAGCGAGGCCCTGTCTCTAGGGGGAAAAAATCCATTGCCAGGGCGTTCTATCTTCCTGAATGTCTTTTGATTATTGCAGCCTCCCAAAAGAAAGCCAATCTTGTTGAAGGAAAAAAACAAAACAAAACGAGCTCTAAGTAGGAGGAAAATTGGCCCTCCTGCAATTTGAAACTATTTCTGTAGATTATATGTATTGTAAACTCATTACAGGCACTTCTCTGTAAAGTTAAAATAGTATTACTGGCTTGTTTTATATTGTTTTCCCAGAAGAGTTCACATTAGTTGCTTTTTTTCCAAAATAAGGACCAATCCTTTCAACAGGATGTCTTAGTGTTTAAAATGCAGTTAGCAATTTTGGTATTGTCAATTGTACATAATCAAAACATGCCTTCAGATCCTTCTTCTAATCTTCTTCTTTTGATTTGTGCTCCATTCTCTACCCTGCTTTTTGCATATCCTCTGCAAGTGTTCATTCATGCTTCCATTTACTTGAACTTCTTTTCTCTGCGTTGACATTTTCTTTGTTTCACATCAGTTTTTTGATGAATTTTTTTTTTTTTTTTTTTGCCTTACAGGTTTTGTTTATTTACACTTGTTTTTCGTGGTCATCTCAGTATTTAACAGCCTTTTGGTTGTGATTTTTTTTTCTCTTTTTATTTTTTTCCTTTGGTTGTGATTTTTACATTGTAATTTATAGCCAATTAAGCATATACTCTCTTTAGATAAGACATGAAAAAACCGTTTCTGGCCGGGCGCAGTGGCTCATGCCTGTAATCCCAGCACTTTGGGAGACTGAGGCGGGAGGATCACGAGGTCAGGAGATTGAGACCATCCTGGCTAACACGGTGAAGCCCCGTCTCTACTAAAAATACAAAAAAAATTAGCCGGGCATGGTGGCGGGCGCCTGTAGTGCCAGCTACTCGGGAAGCTGAGATAGGAGAATGGCGTCAACCCGGGAGGCAGAGGTTGCAGTGAGCCAAGATCAAGCCACTGCACTCCAACGAGACTCCGTCCCAAAAAAAAAAAAAAAGAAACCATTTCTACTGGGAGCTCTGGAGCTGGGATGGCTTTTTTCCTCTTCAGTTTTTAACAGCTTTTTCAGAGTTGTCCCATATTGAGGCAAGGAGTAAGGCCTTTGTATCCACTTATACTCTCTTATCTAAATATATCTTTAGATAAGACATGAAGAAATAAGAAAATGTAAACATGTCTTCTTGACTTCAGAAGTCTCCAGCCTCTGGGATAGTGTCTGAACAGATGCTGTAGAGCCAGTTGCCTTCATCATCACAGTTTGTGGGATAATTTGTTTTTTTCATTTCAGAAAACAATGGTTAGATTCTTCCTTTTTCCTTTGGGCAACGCTGCCCCCAAATCATGATAAATTGATGGTCTAAATTAAATCAA
Source organism: Homo sapiens (assembly GCF_000001405.40). NCBI lineage: Eukaryota > Metazoa > Chordata > Mammalia > Primates > Hominidae > Homo > Homo sapiens. The sequence continues at coordinate 72,861,085 of NC_000003.12, forward strand.
CAACAATAATAGCTGGTATTCATTGGTTGCTTGTTGTATAGTAGCCTTTTCTTCTAACTGATTTGCTAACAATATCACTATTTCATCCTCCTATCATTTATATGAGAAAAAGTGCTATCATGTCACCACCACCACCACCACCATTGTGTAAATGAGGAAACTTGGATATGGAGAGGTTGAGTGATTGTCCCATGGCTAGTAAATGACACAGCCAGGATTGGGACCCTTGAGCTTATCCAGACTCCTGCCTATATTCTTTTATTTATTTATTTATTTATTTTTTGAGACACAGTTTTACTCTGTCACCTAGGCTGGAGTGCAGTGGGACAATCTTGGCTCACTGTAACCTCCACCTCCCAGGTTCAAGCGATTCTCATGCCTTAGCCTCCCAAGTAGCTGGGACTACAGGTGCACACCACCAAGCCTGGCTAATTTTTGTATTTTTAGTAGAGATGGGGTTTCACCATGTTGGCTAGGCTGGTCTTGAACTTCTGACCTCATGTGGTTTGCCCACCTCGGCCTCCCAAAGTGCTGGGACTACAGGCATGAGCCATAGTGCCCAGCCATCCTGCCTATAGTCTATAAAACATGTGTTTCTCTTCTTTATGCTGTGGGAAGAGAGAAGGAGGAGACAGTGAAGGTAATAAAAGAGGAAAGAAATCTTTCCTAATCTCAAATAATTTAGACTTTAGTTATGAAAATAAAACACAGAAGCATTCACAGTTGTGACAGCCAGTTTCTAAAGATGCCCCCTGCCACCATGAGCACTACACCCAACACTTACCCGCACCTTGTGTAGTACCCTCCCAGAATGAATCTGAGTTGGCCCTGTGAAGCAAACAGAATGCAGCAGAAAAGAACACTGTGTGACTTCCAAAGACCAGGTCATAGAAGGCCTTGCTGCTCCCATCCTCAACTCTTAGAACCTGTGCTCTGATGGAAGCCAGCCATGGTATCAGAAATCCAGTATCCTAAAACCGCAATGCTGTGGGGAAACCCAGCCTAGCCGCATGGAGAGGCTATGTGGCCATCCCAGCTGTCCCAGCCATTTCAGCCCAGGTGCGGTTCACGTGAGTAAAGAAGCCATTTTGGACATTCAAACCCTAGCAGATGCCATGTGGAGAAAATCTAGCTAACAGCCGGAAAGAAGGCTCCAGGCTTAAGGCCCCATCCCAGCTACCTCCAATCATCAGACCCACCCCAGCAGAGGGTCCAGTTATGTCAGATGAGACAGAGCCATCCCCACTGTGCCTGATCTAATTCCTAATTCACAAACTTGTGAGCATAATAAAATAGCTGTTGTTTTAAGTCAGTGGGTTTGGAGGAAGTTTATAATGTAGCAGTTGATAAATGGCACAGCAGCAAGAAACAACAGTGTACAAATTCATGTCTGAGAGATCCAGAGATAGAGAAATGCTTGAGGGTTGAAACAATTAGAAAAATCACATTTCTAGTAAGAAAGTCTGGGGCCCCAGTAAAGGCTCTGGGGAGAAAAAAATGCAGATAAATGGGGTAGAACCAGGTCACCTTATCTGATGTAAAGGATACAGGAACTGAAGCAACAAGCAATGGGATTGGAACGGAGTCTAGGGCAAATTGCTGAGGGTGGTGAATGGCAAGGAGAATAATTCTATAGCTGAACAGAACTATAGAAATCATTTAGTCCAACCTTAAAAATCATTTAGTCCAACCCCCCCCTTTTTTTTTTAACAGACGAAACTGAAAGCTGGAGAAAGTAACCCTGGAAGGTTACCCAGCTGGTTGGTGGGAGGTTTTTTTTTTGTTTGTTTTTTATTTTTTGAGATGGAGTCTTGCCCTGTTACTCAGGCTAGAGTGCAGTAGTGCAATCCCAGCCCACTGCAACCTTCGCCTCCCAAGTTCAAGTGATCTCGTGCCTCAGCCTCCCCAGTAGCTGGGATTACAGACGCATGCCACTACACTCGGCTAATTTTTGTATTTTTTAGTAGAGATAGGGTTTCACCACGTTGGCCAGGCTGGTCTCAAACTCCTCACCTCAAGTGATCCGCCCACCTCAGCCTCCCAAAGTGCTGGGATTATAGGCGTGAGCCACCGCGCCCGGCCAGAGATGTTAATACTTGAGGCCAAGGAGTGGTTTCTTTCCTCCAGGAACCCACAGTTGGTTAGGGAAAGAGCATCACTGTTCTGTGTCTAAATCTAGATAGGCTTTCTCCCCTAGCATTAAAAGTACTGTGGTGTAGCCACTCTAAACATCCGTACAGACGCTATCATGTTGAAAGCAAGATTCTCTAATTTTGTAGTTGTAAAATCTCTATCAGTTTTTCCTCCTCCTCTCCTTCATATTAAAAATAAAACAGAACCAAACCTCTAAACCTTTAGGTCTCTAAACTTTCACCAAATTCTCCATTAAGTTTTTTGAAACAACTTTACTGACGTATAATTTACATTTCATAATAATCACTCTGTTTTAATTGTACTTATTATTCAGTGATTTCTAGTATCAATTTGTGTAATCATCAACATAGTCCAATTTCAGAACATTTCCATCTCCCCAATAAAATCTCTCTGCTCATAACAGTTAACCCTTGGTCCAGCCTCCAGCTGCAGGCTACTAATCTACTTTCTGTCTCTGTAGATTTGTCTTTTCTGGATATTTCATGTAAATGCAATCATACAATATGTGGTATTTTCACATAACAACGTTTTTTAGGGTCCATCCATGCTGTAACGTGTGCCCGTAGTTCATTCCCTTCGATTGAGGAATTGTATTTGTGGATGGGTCTACCATATTTTGTGTGTCCATTTACCCCTTGAGGGATGTTTGGCTCATTCCTAGTTTTTCGTCTCATATTCATAAGTCTGCATCCGTTAAGTGTTTTTTGTTTTTGTTTTTGTTTTTGTTTTTTGTTTTTTTTGTGACAGAGTCTCACTCTGTCCCCCAGGCTGGGAGTGCAGTGGCGTGATCTCGGCTCACTGCAAGCTCCACCTCCCGGGTTCACACCATTCTCCTGCCTCAGCCTCCTGAGTAGCTGGGACTACAGGCGCCTGTCACCACACCTAGCTAATTTTTTTTGTGTGTGTATTTTTAGTAGGGACAGGGTTTCACCATGTGAGCCAGGATGGTCTCGAATTCCTGATCTTGTGATCCGCCTGCCTCAGCCTCCCAAACTGCTGGGATTACAGGCCTAAGCCACCGCACCCAGCCATCCATTAAGTTTTAAAAGTAGTAAGCATTGCTTAGTAAGAGAAGCTACATATAGAAATTTTGGCTGGGCTTGGGGGCTCACAGTTGTAATCCCAGCACTTTGGGAGGCTGAGACAGGAGGATCACTTTAGCCCAGGAGTTCAAGACCAGCCAGGGAAACATAGGGAGACCCCCCCCAATCTCTTAAAGAATTTAGGGTTTTCTGAGGGAATTCCTTATTAAAGAAAAAAAAAGAAACAGGAGAACACAAAGTAAATAAATTCAGCTTTTAGAGATAACCACGTTAACTAACATCTACATTTTTTTCTTTTTTTAAGACGGAGTCTCTCCCTGTCCCCCAGGCTGGAGGGCAGTGGTGCAATCTCGGCTCACTGCAACCCCTGCCTCCCAGGTTCAAGCGATTCTCCTGCCTCAGCCTCCCGAGTAGCTGGGATTATAGGCGCCCACGACCACACCTGGCTAATTTTTATATATTTAGTAGAGACAGGGTTTTGCCATATTGGCCAGGCTGGTCTCCAACTCCTGACCTCAGGTAATTCACCCGCCTCGGCCTCCCAAAATGCTAGGATTATAGGTGTGAGGCACCGTGCCCAGCCCACATCTACATTCTTTTTTCTAAGCCTCTATGCTTTCTTTCTGTATAAGACTAAGTTGTACTTACTTTTTGATAGCTTATTTTTAAATTCACGTCATAAAAAAATCTACGTCAGTAACATTTTATTGAATTGATGTATCATCATCCATTATCTAATTGCAATTATTAGATAATTCAGTTATATCCAATTTGTCATTATAAACAACATTGACTGTTGCTATACTCACAAAATCTATCTAAACTAAACTAACTAAAATCATAAAACTATTTAGTTCTATTTTCTTTCAGTTATGTTATGGTTTATTGTTTACATGCAACTTTTTATTTCATCCTGAGTGCATTTTGGCATCAGTTCACCCCAAAGCTATCCTTCCACACTGATTTGAACAGCATTCTTTATTGTACTGCACAGATTAATATTGGCCAGAATGTTTTCCTGGGGTTTTCTTGGAGGGTTGTTCTTGTTGCTGCTTCTGCTTTTGGAAAGAGAGTCTCACTGTCACCCAGGCTGGAGTGCAGTGGCTCCATGCAATCATGGCTCACTGCATCCTGATACTCCTGGGCTCGAGATCCTCCCACCTGTGCTTCCCAAGTACTTGGAACTACAGGCACACACCACCATGCCCAGCTAATTTTTATTTTTTGTAGAGGCAGGTCTCACTATGTTGCCCAGGCTGGTCTTGAACTCCTGGACCCAAGAGATCCTCCCACCTTGGCCTCCCAAAGTGCTGGGACTACGGTTGTGAGCCACTGCACCTGGCCTGTTTTCTTGGGTTTTATGCTGTTTGATGAAGCTACTTGTGCCAATGGCATCTTGTTTTAATTATTGTAGTGAGCAAGTCCATTACTAACACATAGCAACATCAGTCTTCCTTCACCATTATCCTGTTTCATATTGTCCAGTTCCCCCCCAAAAATAATCCCAAGATGTCTAATTTTAGTTATATGTATGTCCTGGGAATTTGGGATAGAATTTACACATTTTAGGCCAGGCATGGTTGTTCATGCCTGTAATCCCAGCACTTTGGGAGGTCGAAGCGGGTGGATCACTTGAGGTCAGGAGTTTGAGACCAGCCTGGCCAACATGGTGAAACCCTGTCTCTACTAAAACAAAAATTAGCTGGGCATGGTGGCACATGTCTGTAATCCCAGCCACTCAGGAGGCTGAGGCAGGAGAATCACTTGAACCTGGGAGACAGAGGTTGCAGCGAGCTAAGATTGTGCCACTGCACTCCAGCCTGGGAGACAGAGACCCTGTCCCCTCACCCCAAAAAATTACACATTTTAATTGCAAAATCGTGTCTTAGTTCACCATGACAAGAACTGGTGAACTAGTGAACAACTGGGGGCAAAATTGTATTCGGAGTTTACCGTGACAAGAACCAGTGACTGATGAACAACTGAGTTCACCAGTTCACTGATTGAAATACCTCTTGGGTGATCTATGTGTAGCATACATAATCATGGTCTTTTCTCCTCCCTCTTTCTCCATCTTCTAACCAGGCAAAACTGGTGAACTTCTTCCCCTTTCCCTGTGATGAGAGGGACATGAACTATGAGTCAAGGTTTTCTAAAAAGTGGGTAAATCTTTTTTTTTTTTTTTTTTCCTGAGATGGAGTCTCGCTCTGTAGCCCCACGCTGGAGTACAGTGGTGCAATCTCAGCTTACTGCAACCTCTGCCTCGTGGATTCAAGCAATTCTCCTATCTCAGCCTCCCAAGTAGCTGGGACTACAAGCACACACCACCATGTCTGGCTAATTTGTGTATTTTTTAGTGGAGATGGGGTTTCACCATATTGGGCAGGCTGGTCTTGAACTCCTGACCTTAGGTGATCCACCCGCTTCAGCCTCCCAAAGTGCTGGGATTACAGGTGTGAGCCACCATGCCCAGCCTCTAAAAAGTGGATGAATCTTAAAACCATAGTAGACCTAAGCAGCATTGATAAAATGTGTATTAAGTATGAACTTTCAATGCACAAGACTCAGGCGTGCAAAAAAGTAACTTTGATTTTCCATCTCTGAACTTAATTTCTCTCTTTAGCTGCAGTTTGCCAGTAAATTCATAGTAAACTCCATCACTTCAGAATTTTTCCTCAATTTCTTTGGAGAACATTCAAAAAGTTAAGGTTATTTTCTTCCTCCATAATTCCCCTCAAGGTGCCATTTCATTTCTAGGACGTTTTCAAAGAATCACAGAGTTGGGGTAGCCTGAGAGGACATCTGATCCTTGGAGTCCTGTCTTACACAGACATGTGCAGGAATGTCCAGTCCCATATGGTCTCCAGGCATGAAGACTAGTGTTTGCTGACGCATCCAAAGTCCTATTTCATAGCTCTACAGTCTGAGACATTCCCTCATTGGCACAAGGACCTACACTATTCCTTATACCCTAGCTAGAGGGGGGATCTGTATTAGTCTGTTCTCATGCTGCTAATAAAGACATACCAGAGACTGGGTAATTTATAAAGGAAAGAGGTTTAATGGACTCACAGTTCCACATGGCTGGGGAGGCCTCACAATCATGGCAGAAGGCAAGGAGGAGCAAGTCATGTCTTAGATGGATGGCGGCAGGCAAAGAGAGAGAACTTGTGCAGGGGAACTCCTCTTTATAAAACCATCAAATCTCCTGAGACTTATTCACTATCACAAGAACAACATGGGAAAGACCAGCCCCCGTGATTCAGTTACCTCCCACTGTGTTCCTCCCACGCTACAATTCAAGATGAGATTTGGGTGGGGACACAGCCAAACCGTATCAGGGTCCCTAGTGGACCCTATGTTTTACCAGCTCCCAGTTTGGCCTTCCTCAGGCAGTGCCCTCCTGTCTAGAGACCAAGCCCATCCCCACTTCTAGAACACACACTGGATAGCCAAGACCCCATAATTCCCAATATAATTCCCTACATTAATGATCCTGAGTCTGTTTCCAGGGCTGGTATTGACCTCTTTGCCAAGTGGTCCTCCTGAAGGCAAACTGTGCCTCTGGTGTACAGCAGTTGTCTGCAAAGGCACGGATGAAGCTTGGACATGTGGACAGGGGTGTCCATGCATTCCCAGGGTGGAGGGAAAAGGGATAGAGCAAAAGCTGGGAACTGGGGACTGGCCTTCCACCATGGCCATGTACAAGTCTAGAACTCAATGTGCGTTATGGCCTTCAAGGTCATTATAAAAGCATGTTGGTCAAGCAGAAGCATATAACTCATTTGACAGTGGTTAGTTTGACTTATAACTTCTGTGTAAACATATAGTAGGAGGCCTTCATTTGTACTCCTGCCCCAGAGCCTGTGAATACTAGGGGTGAGCCAGATAGGACTCTCTGGCTCAGAAACCTAATATTCTCCCTGGGACATAGAAATTTTGGCCGTGCCATGACCTACTCCAGGGCCATGGGAGGCTACCTCAGGTTTCTCTCCTCTGAAGGTCTCAGCCATCCCACTCCACCTTATTATTCTTGCTCTGTGGAGCCCAGGGAACACCTTTGAGATCAACACCTCCCAGGGCTCCAGCAGCAAAGCAGATTCAAGTGTCCTTTAGCCTCAATTTCCTCAAAATAACTGTATATTGTTCACCACACCTTAGGGATTCACTCTAGAATTTCTTTTCTTTTCTTTTTTTTTTTTTTTTTTTTTTATTTGAGACAGAGTCTCACTCTGTCGCCCAGGCTGGAGTGCAATGGCGTGATCTCGGTTCACTGCAGTCTCCTCCTCCCGGGTTCAAGAGATTCCCCTGCCTCAGCCTCCTGAGTAACTGGGACTACAGGCGCCTGCCACCACACCCAGCTAATTTTTTGTATTTTTAGTAGTAATTTTTGTATTTTTAGTGATTTCGTATTTTGTATTCACCATGTTGTAATTTTTGTATTTTTAGTAATTTTGTATTTTGTATTCACCCTCTTGGCCAGCTGGTCTCGAACTCTTGACCTCAGGTCATCCACCCACCTCAGCCTCCCAAAGTGCTGGGATTAGAGGCGTGAGCCACTATTCTAGTGTTTCTTTTGAAATTACCATAGGCTAATAGACTCAGAAATTATCTTGAAATGTTTAAAACAATAATCTTTTTTAGGTTTAGGAAAGCATATCAAATGTACATATCACAAAGTAAATGTGCTTCCTCTTCCACCTTCCCAGAAAAAACCAATAACCTGACTTCTAATACCAGAGATTCGTTTGACCTGTTTTTGAGCTTTATATGAATAAAATAAGATAGTGTGCACTCTTTTGTCTTTGGCTTTTTACCCTCAATATTAGGTTAATGCAATTCACCCACAGTTGGACATAGCAGCAGCTTTATTTAATCTCATTGACATGTAGTATTTCATCACTTGAATATGCTCATGTATCCACTCTACTTTTGTTGGGCATTTGAATAATTTCCAGTTTTTAGCTATCATAGATAAAGTTGCTCTGAACTTTCTTTTGTGTATCTTTTGATGCACTTAAGTATGATTCCTATTAAATGTATATTACATCTGGGAGTGGAATTTCTAGTCATAGACTATGCATATATTTAGTTTTAATAGATTCTGTCGAAGAGTTTTTCAAATTGGTTGGACCAGTTTACACTCCCACTGGGAGTGTATGAGTTTTCGTTGCTTCACAATCTCACCAATGCTAGATATTATCAGTCTTCTTCATTTTAGCTATTCTGAAAGATATGTCATCATTGGTTATGCCTCCCAATATTTTGTTATGAAATTTTTTGGCCAGCCACAGTGGCTCACACCTGTAATCCCAGCACTTTGGGAGGCCAAGGTGGACGGATCACCCGAGGTTGGGAGTTCAAGACCAGCCTGGCCAACACGGTAAAACCCCATCTCTACTAAAAATACAAAAATTAGCTAGGCGTGGTGGTGCACACGTGTAATCCCAGCTACTCAGGAGGCTGAGGCAGGAGAATCGCTTGAACCCAGAAGGCAGAGGTTATAGCGAGCTGAGATTGCGCCATTGCACTCCAGCCTGGGCGGCAGAGTGAAACTCTGTCTCAAAAAAAACAAATAAATAATTAAAAAGAACTGTTTCAAGCACACAGAGAAGTCTAAAGAAACATTATAATGAATATTGTATATTCACCTATACTCTTATATTTTTAATATTTCCATTTATCATTAGCTATACATTCTGTTAAAAAAACAAACAACTAACTTTAGATTTTGTTAGGAAAAATATAGCTAATATTACTATTTTCCTTCTGAACAAAACAGGAACCTTAACTTTTTGCTTTTCTTCTTCTTCTTCTTCTTTTAAGTAACAGGGTCTCACTCTGTTGCCTAGGCTGGAGTGCAGTGGCATGATCTTAGCACACTGCAGCCTGCAACTCCTGGGCTCAAGTGATCCTCCCACCTCAGCTTCCTGAGTAACTGGAATCACAGATATGTGTCAGCACACCCAACTAATTTTTTTATTTTTTTGTAGAAACAGGGTCTTGCTATGTTGCTCAGGCTGGTCTCAAACTCCTGGCCTCAAATGAGACTCCTGCCTTGGCCTCCCAAAACACTGGGATTACAGGCATGAGTCATTGCACCAGGTCTTAACTTTTTGTTTTTTTTTTTGTTTTTTTTTTGAGACAGAGTCTCGCTCTGTCGCCCAGGCCGGACTGCGGACTGCAGTGGCGCAATCTCGGCTCACTGCAAGCTCCGCTTCCCGGGTTCACGCCATTCTCCTGCCTCAGCCTCCCGAGTAGCTGGGACTACAGGCGCCCGCCACCGCGCCCGGCTAATTTTTTGTATTTTTAGTAGAGACGGGGTTTCACCTTGTTAGCCAGGATGGTCTCGATCTCCTGACCTCATGATCCACCCGCCTCGGCCTCCCAAAGTGCTGGGATTACAGGCGTGAGCCACCGCGCCCGGCCAACTTTTTAAATCTACTCTGAATTATTCCCACCTATCTTCCAAGTTTTTGTTTATAGATGTCCATCACATGTTGATTATAAACCACCTCCAAAATATTTTTTGTGGCTGTTTTTACATTTGTCAAAATATTTTACCATTTTCTTTCTTTCTTTCTTTTTTTGAGACAGAGTCACGCTCTGTTGCCTAGGCTGGAGTGCAGTGGCGCAATCAAAGCTTACTGCAGCCTCAACCTTCTGGGTTCAGGTGAACCTCCTGTCTCAACCTCCCAAGTAGCTGGGACTATAGGCATGCACCACCACATCCAGCTAATTTTTGTATTTTTTGTAGAGACGGTTTTACCGTATACCCCAGGCTGGTCTCAAACTCCTGTGTTCAAGTGATCTGCCCACCGGAGCCTCCCAAAGTGCTGGGATTACAAGTGTGAGCCACCATGCCAGCCTTTGCTTTTTCAATCTAAATATTTGTATCTTTTTCAGTTCTATAGACCTCTCAACCATTTTCACTTTTAATATCACCTCCCTTTCCTCTGACCCTCAGTCTTTCCTTCTAGAACTCTGATTAGAAGTATACTAAATCTTTTCACTCTATCCTGTCTTTAATGTCTTAATTTTTAATTTTTAAAATCTCTTAGTGCTCTATTTTCAGTAACTTTCTTAGATCTATCTTCCAGTTTTTTTAGTTTCCTCCTTAGCTCCTTTTTTTTTTTTTTTTTGAGACGGAGTCTCACTCTGTCGCCCAGGCTGGAGTGCATGGCGTGATTTCAGCTCACTGTAACCTCCACCTCCCAGGTTCAAGTGATCGTCCTGCCTCAGCCTCCTGAGTAGCTGGAATTACAGGCGCGCACCACCAGGCCTGGCTAATTTTTGTATTTTTAGTAGAGACGGGGTTTCCTCATGTTGGTCAGGCTTGTCTCAAACTCCTCACCTCGTGATCCGCCCACCTCGGCCTCCCAAAGTGCTGGGATTACAGGTGTGAGCCACCGTGCCTGGCCCTTAGCTACATTTTATGTACTATTTAGCCCATAAATTGTTTCTAGTTTTAATCATCACATATTCTGTATTTTAGAAGTTATACATTTTTTTCTAATCTTCCTTATCCCTTTTGATAATCTCTTATACCTACATCATAGTTTCCATAACCTTCTAATTTTTTTAGAACTATTGAGCATACTTATTTAATATTCCACACTGGCCATTCCAAGGCCTATACTGGAGGTTATTCTCTGCAGTTTGTTATCTCTGCTCATTCTTGCTTATCATGGCTTATTTCTTTGTGTGTTCTATAGTTTGGGATTACGAAATGAGGGTCCTTGAAATTTTGTATGTGTAAATCCCTTGAAACCTAGTGTAGTAGCTTCCTAGGGCTGCCATAGCAAATTAAACTGGAGGGCTTAAACAACAGAAATTTATTCTCCCACAGTTCAGGAGGCAAAAAGTCTGAAATCAAAATGCCAGCAAGGCTATGCTTCCTCTGACGGCTCTCTGGAGAATCCATCCTTGCCTCTTCCAGGTTCTGTGGCTCGTAGCATTCTTTGGTTTGTGGCAGCATGATGCTAATTTCTCTGTCCGTCTTCACATGGCCTTCTTTCACAGAGAGGACTCTCTGTGTCCTCCTTTCCTCTTCTTGTAAGGATGAGGATATCAGTCATAAGGGCCCACTTTAAATCCGGGATGATTCATCTTGAGATCCTTAATTAATTACATCTGCTAAGAACCTAGTTCCAAATTAGGTCACATTCTGACGGTGCTGGGTAGACATGCATTTTAAGGAGACACTCTTCAACCCACTACAATGAGGATTAGAATATCTGTGGCCAATGAAAATTTGTTTTTGCTTTTGGAAATTGGAGGAACTACCAACCTGGAACTGTTTTAACCTAACATTTTGGCTTGGGGTTTTTTTGCTGTTATTTTTTGTTTTTTGGGGTTTCATTTTTGTTTTTGTTTTTGTTTTGAGACAAAGTCTCACTCTGTCACCCAGGCTGGAGTGCAGTGGTGCAATCACAGCTCACTGAAGCTTTGACCTCCTGGGCTCAAGAGATCCCCCCACTTTAGCCTCCTGAGTAGCTGGGACTACCAGGTGTGTGCCACCATGTCTGGCTAACTTTTAGATTTTTGGTAGAGACGGGGTCTCACTATGTTGCCCTGGCTGGTCTTAAACTCCTAGGCTCAAGCATTCCTCCCACTTTGGCCTCCCAAAATGCTGGGATTACATGTGTGAGCCACCACACCTGGCCGGATTTTTTTTTTTTTTTAACTCATAGAAGACAACCCCATTTGAAGGTGAGTTATTAAGAATTCTCAAATTATTTTTTTTCCCTTTCCCTCCTTTGAGAAACACAGTTGACACAAACAATATTTCTCCCATCTTCTGTGAAGTGTTTTCTAGAGTCTAGTTTTTTTTTTTTTTTTTGAGATGGAGTCTCCCTCTGTCACCCAGGCTGGAGTGCAATGGTGCAATCTCGGCTCACTGCAACCTCCGCCTCCCAGGTTCAAGCAATTCTCCTGCCTCAGCCTCCCAAGTAGCTGGGATTACAGGCGTCCACCACTATGCCTGGGTAATTTTTGTATTTTTAGTAGTTACGGGATTTCACCATGTTAGTCAGGCTGGTCTCAAACTCCTGACCTCAGGTGATCCACCAGCCTCAGCCTCCCAAAGTGCTGGGATTACAGGCGTAAGCCACCACCCCCTAGGTGTTTTCTAGATTCTTAATCAAAATGCTAATCTATGAAGGACCTCATTTTGTTTTAACTATCCCAACTCTAACCTCACACCTTGCTTGGGATCTAAGCTGTCTCCTGTTCAAAGAAAAGAAAAGTTTGATTTTAATGCTGAATAACCGTTCTGGTTTCTGATTTTCTTATAGTGTCTTTGCCTCAGAGATTTTCTTCATTTTCCCACCAGCTCAGTCATGCATATCAAAAGAAGTTTATGCACAATTGAAGGACACCAACTAAAATTTGAACAAATAAGAGGTGTGTAATCATGTTGAATAGAAAAACTCAACATCATGAAGATTTTAATTCTCCCTAATTTAATTTATAAATTTGTCTCAGTACCAATAAAGTTTTTTTTTTTAATTTTAGAATGAGACAAACTAGTTTTGAGTTCAGATGGAAAAATAAAATAGCCTGGAAAGCTTTAAAACTGTGAGACTTATTCTACTAAACATTTAAACACATTAAAAATGTTAAGTACATAAAATTGCATTTGTATCTGGGAAACAGACATAGAATAAGATTGAAAGCCCAAAAATATTCCACATACACATGAGAGGGTCTTACATGACAAAGGTGGCATCTCAAATTGATGTGGCAAAGACAGACTATATGGTATTTGTTTGAGACAACTGAGTAACCACCTGAAAAAAAATTAAGTTGGGCCCATACCTCCATCAGGATGAACTCCAAGTGGATCAAAGATTTAAATTTTAAAATGAAACTATATTTACTGATAAGAGTTATTTATATATATTCTGGATAGTCCTACAAATCAATAAAAGAGAAGTAACTCAAAAGAAAAATGGGCGAAAGACTTGAGCAAATACATCATAAAATAAGATGTCTAGGCCGCACACGGTGGCTCACGTCTGTAATCCCAGCACTTTGAGAGGCTGAGGTGGGTGGCTAACCTGAGTTCAGGAGTTCATGACCAGCCTGATCAACATGGTGAAACTCCGTCTCTACTAAAACTACAAAAAAATTAGCTGGGCATGGTGGCACACACCTGTAATCCCAGCTACTAGGGAGGCTGAGGCAGGAGAATCACTTGAACTTGGGAGGCGGAGGTTGCAGTGAGCCAAGATCACACCGTTGCACTCCAGCTTGGGCGACAGAGCAAGACTGCATCTCAAAAAATAATAATTAAGAAAAAAGACGTCTAATTGGCCAGTAAATAAATGAAAAGATGTTTAACTTCATTAGTCATTGGGGAAGTGCAAATTAAACCCATAATGAAATACTACTACATACCCACCAGAATGGTTAAAAAAAAAAAAAAGCCTAATGATACTAAGTAATGAAAAAGATGTGCATTAACCACAACTCTTATACCCTGCTGATGGGTAGGTAAGTTGATGCAATCACTTGGGGAAAATGTTGCACAGCATCCACAAAAGCTAAATATATGCTTACGTGGAGACACAGTGATTTCCCTCGTAGGTGTATACCCAGCAGAAATGTACACAATTATGTACAAAGAAGGTATACACTGAAGAGATTTCCTTTCACCCCTGTCCTCCATCTGCTCTGGGCTTCTTACTGTATAACATAAAAATGTCTTCATTATTCAAATCCTGCTAATTAAAGTGTTGGACCAGCAGCAGCAGCAGGATCTAACAGGTTACTACAGCTTGTCAGAAGTGCAGAATATCAGGTTATGCCCAGATATACTACATTCATACCTGCAATTTTATGAGATCCTCAGATAATTCATCCACACCATAAAGTTAGAAAGCCCTAGTTTAAGCCATTGTTATTCAAGTATTCTCTTCCGTGCAGTTGAAAACATTCTAACTAATATAGACATAGCCAAAAATATCTTTCCCACCCAAGTTATTCATTGACTACTACCTCATATATGTCAGTTTACAGCCTTCTCTTTGCTCAAGCAAACATACACACACACACACACACACACACACACACACACACACACACACCCCCTGGGAAGTATGTTTAAGAACATAGACACGTGGGAGTCTGAGGCGGGCGGATCACAATGTCAAGAGATCGAGACCATCCTGACCAGCATGGTGGAAACCCTGTCTCTTCTAAAAATACAAAAATTAGCCGGGCGTGGTGGTGCATGCCTGTAGTCCCAGCTACTCGGGAGGCTGAGGCAGGACAATCGCTTGAACCCGGGAGGCAGAGGTTGCAGTGCGCAATACTGCACTCTAGCCTGGCGACAGAGCGAGACTATCGCAAAAGAAAAAAAAAAAAAGCAAAAAGAACATAGACACCTAGCGGCCAGGCATAGACACCTAGAGGCCAGACACAGTGTTGCATGCCGGCAATTCCAGCACTTTGGGAGGCCGAGGCAGGCAGATCACTTGAGTTTAGGAGTTTGAGACCAGCGTGGACAACATGGCAAAACCCTGTCTCTACAAAAAATACAAAAATTAGCCGGGATTGGTAGTGCACACCTGTGGTCCCAGCTACCCTGGAGGCCTAGGTGCAAGGATTGCTTGAGCCTGGGCAATGGAGCCTGCAGTAAGCCAAGATCACACCACTGCACTACTCCAGCCTGGGCAACAAAGTGAGGTGAGACTGCCTCAAAAAAAACAAAAAAATAAAAAAAAAATAAAAAAAAAAAAGCAAAACCATAGACAGTGGAGCCAGAATACCTGAGTGAAAAACCAAAAATAAAAATTGAGTTTTTAATAGAGCAGTTTCAGGTTCACATCAAAATTGAGTAGAAAGGAGAGTTTTCATATGGTCTTTGCCCCCACTCATGCACATATATTTTTCCATATACTATATTCTCCACTGTTTAGTTCATTTTGTGCTGCTACAACAGAATACCACAGACTGAGTTATTTATTTATTTATTTATTCATTCATTCATTCATTTATTCATTTAGAGACAGGGTCTTGCTCTGTTGCCCTGGCTGGAGTAAAGTGGTGCAATCATAGTCCACTGCAGCCTTGACCTTCCGGACTCAAGCAGTCCTCTCACCTGAGCCTCCCAAGTAGCTGAGAGACCACAGGCACAAGCCACCACATCCAGCTAATTTATTTTTATTTTTTTAGAGATACAGCCTTCCTGTGTTGCTCAGTCTGGTCTCAAACTCCTGGGCTCAAGTGATCCTCCTGTCTCAGCCTCCCAAAGTGCTAGGATTACATCCTCCCACCTCAGCCTCCTAATGTTCAGGAATTAACACATGTGAGCCACTACATCCAGCCCATTTTCAAATAACACTGTATCATTTCGCTGGTAATGCAAATGTCTTTTTTTTAAACAGTTTTTTTTAAACAAAAAATGACTTCAAATTTTAACTCTTTTTTAAAAGCATTAAGACCCTTATTGTAGATTATGTATCATCTCCTCTTTAGCTATGAGATGTGTAGTTTTGTTAACTAGAGACATTAATGAGTTCAGTTTCTGAGACCAGTCATTTCATAAATTATTTGGATCCTTGGGTCTCTGGAAGTTGTTAATTCCTGCTAATCTGTCTACTTTAGCAAATATGGTCTTGTTAACTACTAGATTTGAGAGAAAGGCTTCGGACTCATCAACAGATAGATCCAGAAGCTGTACCATCCTTTTCATTGTCATCCGAGTATAATACTTGGCCATTATTCTAATATTATGTTCAACAACTCTGTTATTCAAATCTTTCCACCTTTTTTCGCCTTCCTCTGTAGAACCAAAAGCATCAGTTGCAGGACTGCCAACGGAACCTTTTCTTAATTCCATTCCATAGTCCTCCACAAGTGTGGACCAACGCATCAACTCCATTGTGGTAAAAAGCTTTAGAAGATCCTTGTATTTGGGAATTTCTTCTGACTTCTTGTCACCACTTATTCAGTGAACCAAATCTGACTGTTCATTGTCAAAAGGAGCCAGGGTAACATAGGGTACAACACTCTTCATAGCCTGCTGCCATTTTTCACTTTCTGCCTGTATACAGGGAGTATTATATATTGCTCTGTAGTGCTTACAAATAAACAAATAGGATCCCTCATGTTCATCCAGCTGAGTCATTAAATTATCGTACTTCAACTTTAATTTCGCTGTATTTTCTTCCTGGAAAAACTTGGTATTAATTTTCTTACTGATGATTTATGTTCGAATGTAATCCTTTACAGCTAGGCAGAGCCTCATTTGCTCCAAAATAAATTCCACTTGCTCTTTCTTTTACATTGATCCATAGGTTTCCACCTGTAGCTCCTATAAACGGAGGCTGCCTCTTTCACATCACCATTTTGTTCTTTTATAGTTGCTAATGTTTTAGTCAGTCGAGCACACTCAATTTCAACATAAATCTTGCCTTCGGTAACCATTCATAGAGTATCAGTTAATTGAAGTTTGATAGGAAGGTCTGTGATTTCCTCAACATAAATACAGTACTATTGAACCATTTTGGCAACAGCTTGTATTAACTGACTCCGCCTTTTGGACAAAAGTGTAATATTTTCATTAAGTAAATCCCATTCTTTAGCCTCATAGCACATCTTCACTACTGCAACTAAGATTTGGGATGTTGACCCCATATCAGAAGCAGTACGAGTCTGTTTTTCCAAAGAGAGAAGGGTTTCCATGACTTCTTGAAGTCTTCCTTCCTTGGCCAGCTTCTCACACTCGGGTAGGCACTGATCTACCGTGGCGTTGTAGTCCACTTCCATTTTGAATATGCGCCCGTCAGCCTGCTGCAAGTGGCCGTCTGCCATGGTCTCTGCCTGAGTGTCCCTTGCTGTCCCCCTGCTTTGGCCACCACTCATCACCCACACCGGAAGCTGCCCGCGCACCTGCTCCGCAAATGTCTTATAATAACAAAATATTCCTAATACTTCCCTCCCATCCCTTGTGTTATTACTGTCATTCCTTCCACTTATACATAAGCTTTAATCATCAAATACATTGTTATTATTTTGAACAAACCTTTTGTTATATCAATTAAGAATTTTTAAAAATATGTGTTGTATTTTATCTTCACTTATTCATTCTCTTAAGCTCTTCCTTTCTTTATGTAGATCCGAGGTTTGGACCTACATCATTTTCCTTCTCTCTGAAGAATTTCTTTTCACGATTCCTGCAAAGCAATTATACTGGCAACAAATTCCCTCAATTTTTGTTTGTCTAAGAAATTCTTTATTTCTCCTTCACTTTTGAAGGATAATTTATCAGGATACAGAGTTCTAGACTCGTGTTTTTTTTTTCTTCAACACTTCATGTATTTCCTTACTCTGTTCTCGCTTGCATGATTTCTGAGGAGAAGTCAGATGTAATTCTCATCTTTACTCCTTTACAGTTAAGATTTTATTTTCTGACTTCTTTCAAGTTTTTTTCTTTACCTTTGATTTTATGCAGTTTAAATATGATATGCCTAGGTATAGTCTCTTTCTTTCTTTTTCTCTTTCACACTTACATTGCTTAGTTTTCTGAGCTTCTTGGATCTGTGGCTTAGGGTCTGCTATGGTTTGAATATGGTTTGTTTGTCCCTGCCAAAACTCGTGTTGAAATTTAATCTTCAATGTGGTGGTGTGGGGAGATGGGACCTCCTGGGAGGTGTTTGGGTCAAGGTGGCAGATCCCTCATGAATTGCTTGGTGCTGTTCTTGTGGGTGTAAGTGAGTGCTCACTCTGGCGAGACTAAATTCATTTTTGAGAAAATGGATTTGTTCCCTCAAAAGTGGGTTATTATAAAGCCAGAATGCCCCTTGGGTTTTCTCTCTGGATGTGTCTACTTCCCCTTTTACTTTCTCCGCCATGTTATGACACAGTGCAAAAGCCTTTGCCAGAAGCCACACACCCTTAACTTCCTAGCTTACAGAACATTAAGCTAAGTAGGCTGAGCACAGTGGCTCACGCCTGTAATCCCAGCACTTTGGGAGGCTGAGGCGGATGGCTCACTTAAAGTCAGAGTTCGAGTCCAGCCTGGGCAAGATGGTGAAACCCAGTCTCTATTAAAAATACAAAAATTAGCCAGGCGTGGAAGTATGCTCCTCAGGAGACTGAGGCACAAGAATCACTTTAACCGAGCAGGTAGAGGTTGCAGTGAGCCAAGATCGTGCCTGCACTCCAGCCTGGGCAACAATGTGAGATTCTGTCTCAAAAAAAAAAAAAATTGAGCTAAGTAAATCTCTTTTTAAAATAAATTATCCAGTCTGTTATATCAACACAAAATAAACTAAGACAATGTCTGACATTAACTTGAAGAAATTCTGAGTCATTATTGCTTCAAATATTTCTTCTGTTTCTTTCTTCTCCTTCTGGTATTCTCATTACACATAAATTACATATACCTTTGTAGTTACCCCACACTTTTTGGATATTCTGTTCCATTTCTTTTTCAGCCTGGTTCCTCCCTTTTGCTCTATTGCTTCTTCTCTGGCCATGTGATCTCTGCACATGGCTGGCTCCCCTTAACCTTTCACCATGAGTGGAAGGAGCTTGATGCCCTCACCAGAAGCAGATGCTGATGCCATGCTTCTTCTATAGCCTGCAGAACTGTGAGCCAAATAAACCTCTTTAAAAAAATAGGCAAAGCATGGTGGCTAACACCTGTAATCCCAGCACTTTGGGAGGCCAAGATGGGTGAATCACTTGAGGTCAGGAGTTCGAGACCAGCCTGGCCAACATGGTGAAACGCTGTCTCTACTAAAAAATACAAAACTTAGCTGGGCATGGTGGCAGGTACCTGTAATCCCAGCTACTTGGGAGGCTGAGGCAGAAGAATCGCTTCAACCCAGGAGGTGGAGGTTGCAGTGAGCCGAGCTCTTGCCACTGTACTCCAGCCTGGGCAGCAGAGCGAGACTCCATCTCAAAAAAATAAAAATAAAAAATAAATTATCCAGTTTCAGGCATCATTTTATAGCAACACTAAGTGGACTAAGACAAAGCCCTTAGATTATAAATCATAGTTGTTTTAAATTTCCAGTCTGATCAGTTCTCAAAAGAAGATATACAAATGGCCAACAAGCATATGGAAAAATGCTCAACATCACTAATTATCAGGGAAATGCAAATCAAATCCACAATACAATACCACTTCACTCCTACAAGAATGGCCATAATAAAACAAAATCAAAAAATAATAGATGTTGGCGTGGATGTGGTTAAAAGGGAACACTTTTACGCTGTTGATGGGAATATAAACTAGTACAACCACTATGGAAAACAGTGTGGAGATTTCTTAAAGAAATAAGAGTAGTTCTACTGTTTGATCTAGCAATCCCACTGCTAGGTATCTACCCGAGGAAAAGAAGTCATTGTACGAAAAAGATACTTGCACTTGCATGTTTAGGCAGCAAAATTGCAATTACGAAAATATGGAACCAGCCCAAATGCCCATCGATCAATGAACATGTATACCATGGAACACTACTCAGCCATAAAAAGGAATGAAATAATGGCATTCTCTGCAACATGGATGGAATTGGAGACTATTATTCTAAGTGAAGTAACTCAGGAATGGAAAACCAAACATTGTATGTTCTCACTCATATGTGGGAGCTAAGCTATGAGGTCGCAAAGGCATAAGAATGATACATTGGACTTTGGGGACATGGGGGAAAGGGTGGGGAGTGGCAAGGAATAAAAACTACACATTGGGGGCCAGTCGCAGTGGCTCACAACTGTAATCCCAGCACTTTGGGAGGCCGAGGTGGGCGGATCACGAAGTCAGGAGATCGAGACCATCCTGGCTAACACGGTGAAACCCCGTCTCTACTAAAAATACAAAAAATTAGCCAGGCATGGTGGCAGGTGCCTGTAGTCTCAGCTACTGGGGAGGCTAAGGCAGGAGAATGGGGTGAACCCGGGAGGCGGAGCTTGCAGTGAGCCGAGATTGTGCCACTGCACTCTAGCCTGGGCGACAGAGCAAGACTCCGTCTCAAAACAAACAAACAAACAAAAACTACACATTGGGTACAGTGTACACTGCTCAGGTGATGGGTGCACCAAAAGCTCAGAAATTACCACTAAAGAACTTATTCATGTAACCAAACACCACCAGTTCCTCAAAAACCTATTGAAATAAAAAAAAAAGTAAAATCTATCTACCAAAAAAATTAAATAAATAAATTTCCAGTCTGATAATTCCAACATCTGTGGCATATCTGAGTCTAGTTCTAGTGTTTGCATTGTCTCTTCAAACTGTATTTTTAGTCTTCTAGTATGCCATGCAATTTTTTGTTACATGCTGTATACAATGTAATAGAGAAAATAAACTATGGTAAATAGGCTTTTAGTGATATGGTGGTAAGGTGTCGGGAGGGGAAGCATTCTATAGTCCTATGATTAGGTCGCTGATTTTAATGAGCCTATGCCCCTTGGCTAGAAACTTCACAAGTGCTTCCAGTCCCCCTCTACGTAGGTGGGACAGGATGGTTAAAGGGAGCTGAAGTTGGGTATTTCCCTTCCCCAGTTCACTTAAGCTCCGATAAACCCCAATAGGATGATAAAAAATAGTTTCTCTTGAGGGCAGGAAGAAGACCTGATGTATTTAAAAATGATTACGTTTTCCTCCCCTTGCCAGAGCAGTAGGGGATTTTCCTCTAGTGTTCACTGTGAGAACCTGGCAGAGCTCCTGGAGGTAAACTCACAGAAGTGTGGGTCCTGTAAGACTGAGCCCCACCAACCACCAGGATTTTTAACTTTCTGACTTTTCCACACTAAGCCTTCAGCAATTTGTGAATTATAGTTTAGGTTTTCCTACCCCAGCACTGGTTCCTGCAGAGGTTTCTGCTTGGGTTAAGTTGCACTTAATTCTCTGTATTTCCCTGGCTTTTCAAATTCTGGGACAATGGTTTGCCCTGTGATGTTACTTCTCTGATGGACCTAAAAATAATTGTTAAATTTCAGTTCGTGCAACTTTTCACTTGTTGTTTGACAGACTGGAAACCAGAAGTCGTATCTGCTTTTTCTTTTTAGCTGAGCAAATTAGCTAACTCTTCTGTGTCTTAATCTCCTTATCAATAAATGACATAATAGCATCTACCCCTTAGATTATATGAGTTAACACATGTAAAGTTCTTAGAATGGAACTAGCATTTAGTAAGACATAATGAATGTTAATAATGACTACTACTATTAGTGCATTTGTGATGTAACTTCAAAATAGGAATATATGTATATATATATATACACAGATATAATAAATATTTTATAATATCAATAAATATATATTACTCCTTAATCGCTGCTTTATTAGATCAATGTTTGCTGGATAGGGCTCCAGATTGGGCCAAGTTAGGATGAATAGCTAACAACTAGTAGTTGACAATGAATGCTTTATGGTAACCATTAATTTCACATAGAATTGCTGCACTTAATTCTCACAAGAAATATATAAATGCTATTATTATCCTCATTTGATACATGAGGACATGAAGCTTAGGAAGAGAAAGTAACTTGCCCAGAAGTGTGCAGCTAGTAAGGAATGGAGCTAATATTTGACCCTAAGAAATTTTACTACAGAACGTGAGCTCATATTTTTCTGCCTTCTAATTTATTATTTTTTAAAAGCTGTATAATATTCTACAATGGTATAAATGGTCAGCTGATTTACAACAAATACTAATAATATTCACTGAGAGAAAGATGATCTTTTTAACAAATGGGTTAATTAAATATCCATAGAAAAACATAAATCCTGTCCTCTGCCTTTATACCTTACAGGTAAAAATAATCCACGATCGGTTGTAGATCTACCTGTGAAAAATCAAATAATATAGAGTCTAGAACTATGCTTTCCAACATGGCAGCCATTAGCCCCATGTTACTATTTAAATTAAATAAAATTAAAAATCATTTCCTTAGTTGTACCAGCCACATTTCAAGTGCTCCACAGCCACATGGGGTTGTTGGACTACCATATTGGATGGAAAAGATATTGAACATTACCATTATCACAGAAACTTCTATCTTTTATTTATTATTTTTATTTTTGTAGACATAGGGTCTCACTTTGTTGCCCAGGCTAGTCTTGAACTTCTGGCCTCAAGTGATTCTCCCATCTCCTGTCCCAAAGTACTAGGATTACAGGTGTGAACCACCATGCCCAGCCCAGACAGCTCTATTGTAAAAGAAGATAAAAGAATTTCTTGAGACCAAGAGGTAGGCAAAGATTTCTTAGACAAAACACCAAACCTACTAACCCTGAGAGAAAAGACTGATAAGCTGAATTTCAAAAAAAAAAAAGAAACTGGATCCTTCCAACAATCATGTGAGTGAAACCAGGAGCAGATCTTTCCCCAGCTGAGCCTTCAGATGAGACCACAGACCTGGGCCAACAATTGATTATAGCCTTGTGAGAGACTGTGAAGCAGAGGGCTCAACTAAGCTATCCCTAGATTCCTGACTGACAGAAACTATGAGATTATGCATATTATCTTAAGCCACTAAATGTTGGGGTCATTTTTTTTGCAACAATAGATCAGTAATATAAGAGGTGAGGGAAAGAGGATGGTTTCCACCTAATTTCTGGCTTGAGCAACTAGGTAACTAGAGGTGTCAAGATTCTAGGAGAAAAAATAGATTTCAGAGCTTCCAAATTATTAAATATTCCCACATCCAGAACTTTTAATACAGTGGATTCTCAACGAATTAAAATAAAATGCTAATATGACAATGATTTAGAATATAATTGAATTTTAGATGATTTATAAAGCATTAAAATTAAGCATTTTTTTTCTATCAGACATCTAAGTGAGACATTGGGTAAGCCATGGGTAAGGGAGTCTAGAAGCCTTTTCTATAACATTAGAGGATGTAGCTCATTCTGTCTTGTCACCACCAGGTAAGAAGTGCCTTTCACCCTCTGCCATGATTCTGAGGCCTCCCCAGCCATGTGGAACTACATGTGCATTGCCATTGTGATTTCTCTTCTCATGATCCTGATATGTGCTATTGGCTACTTACAGAGCATACAAGCAACACATAGCCTAGATCCTCCCATTCTTCTGTTACCAGATCTTTAATTTTGCCCTGAATACCTTGGTTGCAATCACTGTGCTTGTTTATCCAAACGGCATTCAGGAATACATACGACAACTGCCTCCGAATTTTCCCTACAGAGATGATGTCATGTCAGTGAATCCTACCTGTTTGGTCCTTATTATTCTTCTGTTTATTAGCATTATCTTGACTTTTAAGGGTTACTTGATTAGCTGTTTTGGAACTGCTATCAATGCCAGGAACTCCTCTGATGTCCTGACTTACATTACCAGCAATGACACTGCCCCTGTATGATGATACCACTGTGAATGGTGCTGCCAAGGAGCCACCACCACCTTCCATGTCTGCCTAAGCCTTCAAGTGGGCAGAGCTGAGGGCAGCAGCTTGACTTTTAGGACATCTGCGAAATAGTTCTGTTATTTCACTTCTGCAATGAGCTCTCTGAGCTTGTTTGTTGCTGAAATGCTACTTTTAAAAGTTTAGATGTTAGGTTGAAGCCTGTAGTTTTTAACGTATGCTTTGCTAGAACACTGTGATAGATTAGCTATAGAATTCTTTCTGTAGGATTGGGGGTGTAACGGGCTTCACTAACCTTCCCTAGGCACTGAAACTTCCCCCAAATCTGATGGACCTAGAGTCAGAGAAGTCCACTTTTGTACCTGCTGGGACCCAAAGTTGAGCAGTTAGTCACATTTTTTCTCTCTGTTCCCTCTCTTTTGAAAGTGTAAAATAAAATCAAAAATAGACAACTTTTTCTTAAGCCATTCCAGTGTAGAAAACAAAACCTTATGAAAACAGGAATGTCAATTATGTAATCATTATTCTAATTAGTTAAATAGAAGTCCTTATGTATGTGTTACAAGAATTTCCCCCATAACATCCTTTATGATTTAAGTTCGATGACAGTTTGCGCTTGGTGGTAAAGGATTTTCTCCATGGCCTGAATTAAGACCATTAGAAAACACCAGGCCATGGGAGCAGTAACCATCTGATGACTGTTCTTGTGCATCTGGTGTCCAGGGACATGGGCGACGTGCCTCATCTGTGTTAGAGGGTGGAACAGATGTGTTTGGCACTGCATGGGATCTGGTGTTCCTCTTCTCCTGGATTCACATCCCCACCCAAGGCCCTCTTAAGTGTTCTGCCCTAGCCTGGTTCAAGGAGGTCATCCAACTGACTTTATCAAGTGGAATTGGGATATATTTGATATACATTTGCCTAACAACACGGAAAAGGGTTTTCCTCCTTCTTTCCCTGCAAGGGACATCCTACTGCTTTGAACGTCCAAGTATGCCTAGTCATCTTTTAAAATGTAAACGTTTTCAGAGAAATGAGGTTTGCTTTCCTTGTATGTGCTTATTATCTTGACTACCTGAATTGCGAGGGATTTTTATATATTCATATGTTCCAAAGTCAGCAACTCTCCTGTTGGTTCATTATTGAATGTGCTGTAAATGAAGTCTTTTGCAACTAAAATGAGATTTGACCACATCCAAAGAAAAAAAAATTAGAGGATGTAGTTTTCCACCAATCAGAGCAATCCAAACAAATCCAAAAGTTGAGTTTGGACTCAGTGGAAGGAGGCAGATTAGGCTTTTTTTTTTGGCTTCAGTGAGGTTCAAGAAAACTGAGTCCTCTCTTTGGTCCATGATTCTTTGGTGTTTGAGGCTAAAACCCTGGCTACTAATCAAGTGTTACTTTGACTCACTCTGCCTTTGTTTATCCTTGTTGCATCTGTCCTCCTAGAGGTAGAAGGGAGGGGGCAAGACAGAGTTGGGAATGCCTGCTTCTCTGGGCCACATGTCAACAGAGTGGTGGCCATTTCTAAACCTGAAAGATCTAAACATCATGCCTTAGCCTGGCCTAGTGTTTCTCAACAGGGTCCCACATTGGGCCAGGATAGTTTTCGTTGTTGGTATGTCCTGAGCATTGCAGGAGGTTTTGCATATGCTAGTAGAACCTGTCAGCCTTCCCACAATTCCAGATGCTTCCTGGTAGGATGGAACCTTCTCCCTCATCTTTGAGAACTAATGGATTCTTTGCGCTTACTCACCTACAACATGTCCCCCACACTGAACTTGCACCCTGCCATTTCCTAGATGTCTGCTTGGCAAGAGCTTCCAAATTACTAAATATTCTCATCTCTAGAACTTTTAATACAATGGGTTCTCAAGGAATTAAAATAAAATGCTAATATGAGAATAATTCAGAATATAACTAAATTTTAGATTATTTATAAAGCAACATGGAATCTTGTAGAAACTCAGGGACGGGCTGGGCGCGGTGGCTCATGCCTGTAATCCCAGCACTTTGGAAGAACGAGACGGGCGGATCACTTGAGGTCAGGTGTTCAAGACCAGCCTGGCCAACGTGGTGAAACCCCGTCTCTACTAAATATACAAAAATCAGCCGGGTGTGGTGGCGCAGCCTGTAATCCCAGCTACTTGGGAGGCTGAGGCAGGAGAATGGCTTGAACCCGGGAGGCGGAGGCTGCGGTGAGTTAAGATTGCACCATTGCACTCCTGCCTGGGCTACAGAGTGATCCAAAAAAAAAAAAAAAAAAAAAACTGAAAAACTCAGGGACGTTGTTATAACTTAACTAGTGTTCTTTGTTCTGTGGTGTGCTGAAAAGAGAGTTAATGGAGTCCTGGCTGTCAGTTCACCGTGAGTCATAAGAGGATGTGTCCTAATGTTTCAGATTTGTAACTGGGGATCCCCTGGAAGAATCGTCTGGAAATTACGACCTTCATCTGGCGATTGCAGCTGTTAAAGTCTCCAAAGAAGCCATTCTTACATTGTGTTGTGAAATTATTACTCTATCTCAAATCTGTGCCAGAAAGAAAATAAAATGTGTGTTTATGTGTATATTATAAGCTATGTTTTATTGAACTAATCATTACAGAACTTTTATTGGGCACCGACTGTGAGCCAGGCACTGTGCTAGTTTCTTTGAAGGCATTATTTAATTTAATGCTCACAAAACGCCTCTGTAGTGAGCAGTATTGTCATTCCCATTTTGCACGTAAGGAAGTTAAGGCTTAAGAAAGTTGTGCAGCTTCCTCAGGATCACCAAGCCAGTTAAGCACAGTGTCAGATTTCAAATCCAAACTTTGAAATTCATTCTCTAATTTCTTCAGACTACATGGATCGGTTCGGTCCAGTCTAGCTGTCCCAAGTTCTACTTTGGTGTTTTGAGTCTGAAACCCCAACTACTAATCACGTGTTACTTTTACTCGCTTTGCCTTATTTTGCATGTGTCCTTGTTGAATATGTCCTCCTCCAGGAAAAAGGGAGGTGGCAAGACAGAGGCGGCAATAGGGGTTTATTCAACAGATATTTATTGGGCACCACCACCCGCAGATCCCTGCACTGGGCAAACAGGACAGAGATGTTCCTGCCTGAAAGGATGTGTGGATAAGTGCACAAATGTGTGGATAGATGGATAAAATAAATAAGGAGGAAGCACATGGAATACATCAACAAATAAGTGAATCATGGTATGAGAGAATCAGCGGGAACAGTGGATGGCATGGGTGTGTGAGTGAATGGGGAAGTAAACGAACGAACGAACGAATGAATGAATGAAGTGGTTTTGAGTCTGAGCTACCAGAAGCCCGAGAGCCTGGCTGCGGGCGGGCGGAGGGGCGGCTACTCCACACAGTACGGTAGGCGCAGGCTGCTCCTCCTGTAACCCAGCTCTCACCGCCTCCCCCTCCTCTCCTCTCTCTCCTCCTCCTTCGCCGTCGCCGCCGCCGCCGGCCGCCCGCCGGCCGCCACGACCCCAGTCCCCGGCGGGCGGGCGGAGGAGGCGACCGCCGCGCGCTGCTGCACTCATCCTGCCGCCGCCGCGATGCGCAGAGGGGCCGAGCCGCCTGGGGGCCGCCGCCGCCGCCGCGCCGCACCATGAAGCTCCGCAGCAAGGCGGCGGCGCTGCTCTTGCTCGCGCTGGCCGCGCTGCTGCTGGCGCTGCTGTCCCTGCGCGCTGGCCGCGCTGAGCCCCCAGCGCTGCCCGCGCGCCCCGCGTCCGCCCCGCAGCGCCACCCCGCGCCTGTCCCCGCGCGCTGGCCGGGGCCGGGCGCCCTCCCCGGGGCCAGCCCGGGAGTTCGGAGGCGCCGGCCCCCGCGTCCGCGCCCCCGAGCGGGCCGCCGGGGCGCTGCGAGACTGGAGAAGTTGGCGAGGTGAGTCGTGGCAACCCCAGAATCCCATCTGCGGACCCGTGTCTCGCTCCCTACACCCGTGCCAAGTCCAAGGGAGGCTTTGCGCTGGAGAGACAGATTTCCAAGTTTCACCCACGGGCTGCCCACTTCTGTTTCTTAACCCGATAGAAAAGAAGACCCACCTTGGTGGAGTCCCCCTAACAGCTCGGTGTTGATAATCACGTACATTTTTTGAAGTGTCAAGGAAAGTGGTTTCGTACATTACATTTTTTAACTGTCAAGGCAAGGCGTATTTTTGCACTCTTGCAAACATGCACCCTTTGTTTAATTTGTCAAAAGCCATCACGGTGCAAGAATGTTTTATCTAATTCTCATGTTTCACTGGAGAATTTTACCGAAACCTTAGATATGGTTGAGTTGGAAAAGTTAGATGTTTACCAAGGACTGGCAGCCTCTCATTTAACCTCGAGTACCCCCATGCTTAGAACAGAAGGGACACTTGACCTAAGTTTATTAAAAAGAAGTTTTCTCCTTGAAAGGACTGATGCGTGGCACAGAAAAGACAGAGTGGGGGTTTCCAGATCCTCATTCTGTTTCAGGCTCGAGTGTGGTCAAAGGGTCCTCCTACAAGAAAAACAACTTAACCTTCGACCTTCTGTTTGATACTCTCTTTCCCTACACAAAGCCTAACACGCGGAGGCTTTTCATCAGAGAGCTTTATTTTTGGCCTCAGGGTTGCTGGAACGCCCCGCAGGTTAGGGATTTGAGTTCATTTCCTTTGTTGTGGAGGGCTTTTCAACAATCCCCTTGTCTTGTAGCGAGTCTGTTTCATCTGCCCTTTCAAAACTGTTGTTTCTAACTGCCATTGCAACGTCCTTGTTTGCTGGGCTCCTTAATTTCAACCTGAAAGGAGTTGAAAAATTATTTTTGACCATAATGACTAAATCTCTTTGGTGCCTTTACTGTAACTAAAAGACACGAAACCTCAAGAAGTAGCTGTGTCAGCCTTTGTTTCCCTTCTGTCTCAGTACAAATGGGTACTGACAAGTTTTAGGGGGAAAAAACCCCAACAATCTGTCGCTTTAAAGTACTTATAACACTTTACAGCCCTTTCTGGATGTATACAGTCTTTAAGGATATCTTTGTTAGGAAATTAATAGGATTTCCCCTCTTCTATACTGGAGTTTCTTGTAAGAGATTAATTAGGGTTTAACTGCAAGTTTAATATGATTGCTAAGTTTGATGGGACAACTGGTAAGATAATAATAACTGTCATCCTTAACATCGCTAACCTATTGCCAGGGACAGTGCTAACCGCAGTACATACAAATAGTCACAGTTAACACTTAACATATACAACTACATAATCCACACCATAACCTTCCCCCCCACCGCTGTTTTTCTTTTGGTTTTTTTTTTGTTTTTTTTTTTTTTTTGTGACAAAGTCTTCCTCTGTCGCCCAGGCTGGAGTGCCGTGCTGCGATCTCTGCTCACTGCAACCGCTGCCTCCCGGGTTCAGGCCTCCCAGATTCAAGTGATTCTTGTGCCTCAGCCTGCCAGGTAGCTGGCAAACAGGCGTGTGCCACCATGCCCAGCTGATTTTTGTATTTTTAGTAGAGAGACGGGGTTTCACCATATTGGCCAGGAACTCCTGAGCCCAGTGATCCATCTGCCTCAGCCTTTCCCAAAGTGCTAGGATTACAGGCGTGAGCCACCGCGCCGGGCCCAACCATAACCCTTTGACAGTGGTTCTCAAAGTGTGGACTTCAGACCAGTGGCACAGGCATCATCTGGGAACTTGTTAGAAATGCAGATTCCTGGGCCCCACCCCAACCCTACAGAATCAGAAGCTTTGGGGGGTCAGCAACCGTGTTTTAACACGTCCCTCCCATTGTTTCTCATGCACAACAAAGTTTGAGAACCTGCTCTGCAAAGTAAGCACCAATGGTATCCCCACTTTTCAGATGAGGAAAGTATTGCACAAGGGTTAGCAGTTTGTCCAAGGTTCACAGGTAACCTGGTAGAGAAGGATAAAGATCCAGGCAGTGTGGGCTCAGGTTGAGCACTTACCTGCTATGCTGATGTCAGGCCATAGACTTGCCTGCAATTCGTAATTTTACTGAGATGTCTTTTAAAGAAACACTGTAGATTTTTGGATCTGTCTCATTCTTCAAGGTGTCGAGAACAGTGGCGCAGCATCTTTTTGTGTCTATCTGAACAAAGTGTCTCTGACTAGGAGGAGATCATGAACAGAATCCAAATGGATGTTTTAGGGAAGGAGTGTTTCTATTTCCAGGAGTAACAGTACCCTTGAAGCCATTTTTCTTTTGAACATATCTCTTAGATTATCGTGGAAATTATGGCCAACACCATAGGAATACAGAACAAAATTTTAAAACTGGGGAAGGAGTAAAAAACAAAAGCCACAGGAAGTCTCAGGCTCAAATGCATAAACAGTTGACATTTTCTGGGACTTATTTATTGTTTCTCTTGCTACCTCCACAGAAATGGCAACAGAAGATTCTGAAGTTGTGAGGGAGCAGGAGGAAAGATCTCTGCTCGGTCTCCTTTATTGCTTTCCTAATTCTGCTTGGGTTAAATTTTTGTGGTTTAGGAGGAATTTCATTTAGGGAGGGAAGAGAAAGCCTCGTGTTTTCAGAAAACGAGTGCTTTAATCTCTTTACATGGCTAGAATCCAGAAGAGATGAAGGCTACGTGATCTCATTTCTCTGGCCTGGGGAGGGTCAGGCTTGTGGTTGTAGTTAGCTGAGAGCCTGGAGTTGGATGTGACACAGTCCACCACCTGCTTACCATCCACAGCCTGTGCTGCCTCGCCTCCCACAGGGGGCTGCTGTAAGTGAAATTCTGCCACGTCAACGCAGGAAACATAGCACTCTCCTTCCACATCTTGTTTTCATTTCACAGAAGTTTCCAAGGATTTGCCTCGTTAGTAGGCAGACCCTTCAATTTTGTAACTAGTCATTTGTATGCAATCTGCCCTGTGGTGGCCTCCTTCTCTATAAATATAAAGCCAAGAGGTAAGTAAGGTCTGAGCTTTTCTGTCAAGGGGGGATTTGAAAATGGACACCATTCTGGAAGCAGCAGTCCCAGTGCACAAAACAAATGAAATCTTCCTTCTATTTTGGCTTATTGGTGATTTACAGCTGGCTGACTTCCAAAAAGAGTCTAAGACAACGTATAGTAAAAGACACATATACAATAAGTCCATTGAAATGGTATAAAAAATGAAAAGTCATAAAGAAGAGGGGTAAATAAATACTGTTTGTCAAAAATAAACAGTACCTTTGTTAGTAGGATTAAGTGTTCAATTTAAGCCTGGCAGCCATTTCAAAAAGGGAACCATGATGGGCTGCCTCATTTTCACTGAACAAGAGGAAAGGTTTATCAAGAGAGATTTTTTTTTTTCATGAAACTGAATGATAAAATGAGAATTGTACTTGGGAACAGATTTTAGACATTAGAAGACTCTAGCTTGCTTCTGAAAACTCCTCCTTGAGCCTACATACAGAAAAGGAAGGTTAACTGCTAATCAGTGCAATATTGAAAAGAATTTGGCATGTGGAGTCCAGCAAATTGGGTTCTAGTCCAAAGCCATTTCACCTTATTTTCTTCATCTGTGAAATGAGCAAGTTAATCCAAAAGTTGTCTAAGATATCTTCCAGCTCAGACATTTGATGATCCTATGATGAGATCATCAAGTTTAGCAGCAAAATCCCAACAATGGTTATTGCATGGCCCTTTGTGCTAACTCTTGCAAAATCACTGTTTCTCATTTATGGGCTCCATCCTAGCGCTCTTACTGATTACTCAACCGCAACCCTGTCCTGAACTTTATTCTTTTTTTCTGTGTTGGCCTGGATATTGTTGTTTCTCTTAAAATATGGCTTCTAAGGGAGACTTAAGATACCTCTAAGCCCTGTAGTTTTCCTCTGCCATTTTATTCCATAGTCATTCAGCAAACGTGATTGCACATTTACTCTGCCAGGCACTCCTGGTACAATGGTGAATGGAGTTGCTGCCCTCCCAGAATTTGAGGGAAAGGAGACAATACAGAAACACATTACACTTGGCAGCCTCCCCAGCTGCTCCAATGAAAGGAAGCATGTGTCTCATCAAGAGGCACCATTTCCTGCAGTTCCCTTTAGTGTCTGAGATAAGTCTTCTCAGAGTGTTCAAACCTGAATAAAGGTCTCGCTAAAAAGAGATGGTGTTCTGTAGCAAAATGCTTCATCTATGGCCATCCTATAATTAGCTAATAGCCCCAGAGCACATTAAAGGTGTCTGGATCTTGAGTACCATCTATGATATTATGTAGTGTGAGTCTTGATTCTATCCACAATTCATTTTTGTTGATTGGTCCATGAATCCCCTCGATCACCCTCCACACCTACTCAGTCAGTAAGCCCTATTGGTTCTGTCTCAAAAATATGTCCCCAGTTCCACCATTTCCACTCCATAGTTACTTACTGAGCTCCTAACCACCATCATTCCCTAGCTGGACACCTGCAGGTGCCTACTCTCTGGTTTGTGTGGGTCCACTCTAGCGCCCTCTACAGTCCATTTTCCTTACGGCCGCTTCAATAATCTGATAGGTAGACCAGATGGGGTCCACCTATTTGCTGGTTAAAGCCCTCCAGTGACTGACTTCCTGTCACACTAAGAATAACTTTAAGTTTCCCAGTGTGGCCTTTGAGCCCTTGCCTGATCTCAACTCCATTTAGTTTTCTGGCCTCCTCTCCTACCACTCTCCATTCACTTGCTCTGCTTCAGCCACACTGGGCTTCAAATACACCAAGCCCATTCCTGCTTCAGCAGCATGCATCTCTCTGTGCTGGAATGTTTGTGCACATCCTAACACGGCTAACTCCTCCATTTTTTTCAGGACTATGCTCAAATGTTTTCTCCTGAGAGGGGTCCTGCTAGCCGCTCGAGTACTCCTCTCCATCACTCTCTTCTTCCTTACCCTGTGTAGTCTTTTGTTTTTCACAGCACTCATTGTGTGAATATTGTATGTTATTTGCTCCTGCCCCCTCATGTACACTTAACAGTGATCTCCTTAAATCACTGTTTCACTAACTCCTAAAACAGAGATAGATGATCTCATAGCAGATATTCAATAAATACTTGTTGAATGAACTAATGAATGGGTGCAGGACCTGCCTGTGCCAGCCGTGTTCCAAGATTTACTTATAGTATTAAGTTCCTTATTATCTAATAATATTCAAAATAGTCCCATACCCTTTCGAAGAATAGTGAGGGTCTTTAATAGTAACACCATTAAAAGAGAGGAATGTTTTTCCTTTTAAATAGGTTTTATTTTTTATTACTTTTATTATTTGGGTTTTTTTTTTTGAGATAGTGTCTCACTGTGTCACCCCAAGGGAGTGTCTAAGCCCACCATCATGATCCATGCCTTTCATAGTGTGAGCTTCTTGTATCCAGTACTAAGCCTGTCAATACATTCATTTCTCTGCCAACAGCTATTGGTCCACAGGTATGTCATATGACCCAAACTGGCCCAATCAGCCAGAAGGAAAGAACTTATTTTACATTATTAAACAAAAGACTCCATCTTCTAGATACAACCAAGGAAATAAATAGCCCCAGCTGCCACCATATTCATAAGGGAATCGCCTTTAGGATGAAGCCATCTGTTTGGGCAGTAGAAAAAGAAAATACAGGTCCTTGAGGACACTGCTGAGTCCCAGAATCAAGGCATCCTGAGGTCTAACGTTTCTTGGGCCCTGTGTTGGAGTTGAGGGTTCTGTTACTGCATCCAAAATCATCTTAGCTGAACTAGATGGTTCTTTTAAATCAAAATCTTGGGACTATTGATGGAGAGAAAGGGGAATAGTTGGGTGGGGGCACCCAGGAAGTGAGCATCCACCACACCCTAGAGCAGCCGTTATGTGCACTTGACTTTATCAAAACCTGCGGGTGACTTACCAGAGGTAGGTTCCTGAGCAAAATCAGACTTTTCTTAAGGATTTTTAAAAATTGGGATCAGAGACTATATGGTAAATGTACCTGATAGCAATAGCTTGAGCATACCCTTAGAATGACCCTGCATGCCAGCCGCACCTGAATGTGTGTTCCAACCTAGGGAATCCTGGAGTGGCCAACCCAGAGAGTCAGTCTTACATTCAGTGAGGAACATCTGAGCCCTCGTCCTGCCCCGTGGAACACGGGCTATACAGGGGATTAAGGCCTTGAGTTTTGGGTTGCATGAAGATTGCCAGGTGGAGGTTGTTGAGGGGAGGATGGCAAGTGAAAACGCTATAATATGTAAACTGCACACCTTTTGCAAACAATTGTGGTTCTTCTGCCCAGCCCTTCCCCACTGGGCTGTGCAGTCATCTTGTCCAACCCACTGCCACTGGACTGTATGTAAGGCGGTCCTCCTGCCCAGCCCATTGCCACTGGACTCTCTCCCCTGTATGGAAGCCCCCAGTAAAACGCCAGGTCTCGTTTGCTGGCTCTGGGTCTTTTCTTCAGCCTCTTGAACCTGGTGCTTTCCCCATTGAGGTTAATAGGGGTTTGGCACAACAGAGGGCTAAGGGAACAGCGTAAGGGCAAACTGTTTCTAGTGGCTGAAGCTTTACATTATGCAACTCAGGGATTGCAACTGTATTTCTGCCAGTGGAGAAGGCTGTTCTGCAATAGGAGCTCATGAAAACCAAGATGATATGGAGAGATGAGAAGTGACGCAGAGCAACCCAGATGGGGTAGGGCGGAGTGGGGTCAGGTGGGCTGGTGGCGGGGTTGGGGGGCAGCTCCCAACACTGTTCCCAAGGCCAGCTTCTTGCCTTTCACTGGCTGTGCTGTCTCAACCTTTTCTAGATTCTGTGATGTAATGAGTTCCCCTTTTTTTCTTAATCTAGTTTGACTTGCATTTGTTACTTGCTACCAGAGAGTCCTGACTAATTTGAATATGTAGCACCTGCTTTTAACACCTTTACTAAATTCAGTAAATATTGGCCATATTGACACGGTTCCTTTTAAAACTCACAGGTGAGAGTCTTTGGAAGAGAATTTGAGAACAGATTTGTTTTCCTTAGGAATACTTCATTTATAATTCACTGTAAAGAAAAAAAAGACAAAATTTTATGTTGTATGTATTTTAGCACAATTTTACAAATAATAAAAAGAAAAGAGACTTCTGTTGAAGATAGAATTCATTTATTCATTTTATGTTTCCCTTAAATATTCCCCAGCATTTATTTCAAATTATGAAGTTCCGAAAACTCCTCTTGGAAAAAGAAGTTTTTTGACATGATACCTTCATTGGGAGTTGCTGATTTTGTGCCAGAAAAGAGTAACCTTGATATATTTCAAGTGACTTTTAGATGATCCCCCATCTCTTTTAGCAACATGAGAGACTGTAATCTCATATGGTACAATTTATAATCCAAGCTTTACATAAGACAATAGAGAATACATAATCCAAAATATGGCTCTCTTTTATGAGTCAGAAAACTGAGATCCGAGAGGTGAAATAATAATGTACATAAAGCACCTAGCACAGTAGATTAGCTCATAGGAGTCACCAAATGATTTGCTGTTCTGGGTACTATTATTATCCATCATTGCATTAGGAATTGAGCCATAACTAGACCCAGCTAAGTACCCGCGTGACTTTGAACAAGTCGGTCCTCAGCAAATTGTGGCTTTCTCAGAAATAAGCTCAGTGACAAAATGAGACAATGCAGGTAAAGTGCTGACACCGAACATGCCACACCAGAAACTCCCAGCAAGTGTTAGCAAGGGCTAAGCTACAGATTCAAGGCTGGGCCTGGTGGCTCATGCCTGTAATCCCAGCACTTTGGGAGGCTGAGGCAGGAGGATTGGTTGAGCCCAGGAGTTAGAGACCACCCTAGGCAATATAGTGAGACACCCATCTCTATTTCAGTTTTATATCTTTTAAAAAAGATGCAGATTCAAGCAGCCTTTTCTTGTGGGGGTAGGTATGACTTGAGGAAACTGAGACTCAGCTTCTATATATAATAAAGGATACACCAATCTCAGTCTCCTGGTACTCATTAAAAGCTGAAGGAGTGTGGCCAGGCGCGGTGGCTTAAGACTGTAATCCCAGCACTTTGGGAGGCTGAGGCGGGCAGATCGCTTGAGATCAGGAGTTCGAGACCATCCTGGCCAATATGGTGAAACCTGGTCTCTACCAAAAATACAAAAATTAGCCGGGCATGGTGGCAGGTGCCTGTAATCCCAGCTACTCTGGAGGCTGAGGCAAGAGATATTGCTTGAACCCGGGAGGCAGAGGTTGCAGTGAGCCGAGATAGCGCCACTGCACTCCAGCCTGAGTGACAGAGTGAGACCTTGTCTCACATTAAAAAAAAAAAAATGTTTACTAGCAGTTCAAATCCGTTTTGTAGTAAGGTAGAATGTTGACACATAAAATAACATGCTTTTTGCTGCCCTGCCTAGCCTGGTTTTGGCATGGATATAACATATTTAGAGAAAAATGAAGGCTTTTGATGAATGTCATGTTAATAGTAATAATGATGATGATAACTAATATTGAATGATGACTTAAAATATGCCACGTACCTTATTAAGCACTTCACTGCATTATTTCACTTAATCTTCATAATAACCTAGGAGGTAGGAACTCATATTGGATAGGGCAGAACTCTTTCAGTTGCACGTGATAGAATACCAGCTCATCTGTTTGTATCACTTAGTCATAAAAGGGGTTTTAACTGGCTCATAAAACTGGAAAGTGCAAAGAGATAAAGCTTCAGTCGCAAGTGAAGCCAGGATTTCTAACAATCTTGCCTCCTTTTAGCTCTGCTTCCTTCTGTGTGGGTGACACTCTCAGGTAAATTTTCTCCATGTAACAATTCCCAATAGGTCTGGGTGTGCAACCTCCTCTTCTGGTAGCCCCTAAGGGAAAAATTCCATCCAGCAAAAGTCCCAGGGCTGCCTCTGTTGACCTCACTTGAATAACATGTGTTTCCAATCACCGATGGCTACAAGTGAAATGTGCTTACAGCTGGTGGGGTGAGGGGCAGCTCATTCATCCCCTCCAAGCCTCATGGACTGAGAACAGAAAAAGAGTGGTGTCCCCAAAATAAAATTAAGATGCTTTTACCAAAAAGTCCTAAAAATGGATGCCAGTAAGAAACCCCAAAACCCAAAGCAGATGTCCATTATCAGTGGTATGCCCATTTTACAGATGAGGAAACTGAGGGCTAAAGGTGGTTAAAGCACTTGCCCAAGATAGGACAGTCAAGTGGCAGGCCTAGAATTTGAAGCCAGGTCCATGTGCTTTTACAGCAAAATTGCTAACCACCATGCTGTAGCTGAGAACAAATCTCACAATTTGAACCATTTGATAGCTTTCTAGAACCTCTCTAGTTTTTTGTTAGAACCTCTCTAGTTTTTTGTAATTGTTCAGATTTGTAAGGAAAAAAGCAAGGTATGAAAATTATCCTACTTCAAGTTTAAAAGTTTTTATATATTTACATATTTATATACACACACCCACATATATTGGGTATAACTCTGGAAGACAGTATACCAAAATTTTAACAGTAGTTATGAAATTGGAATTGAGTGCCCCTCATTTTTGCTAGTGGTATTTAAAATTTTTTCTATGATATATGCACTACTTGTATATGCATTAAGCAATTTAAAGTATATAAATTACCATAAAAATTAAAAATCCCTTGATGGCCTGAGGCTTAGGAAGCTGGAAATTAGTTGGGGAGACCATTTTTCTTCGTTTCCCCCCTCTAAGCTTTAAAGTCTTTCATGTTCTTTTTCAGGAAATGAGACAGAAATGCCCCTTTGTGAAATATGTAATCCTCATCTAATTCTTCTCCCTCGTATGTCAACAGCCATTTATTTCAAACTAGCGCTGCAGATTCATATTTTAAAATCTCAATAACATGTTAATTTGGAAAGAAGAAGGAGATGGAGAAATAGAATCTCCTATATGTCAGGAACAATCATAAGGGAAAAAATGAAATGAGAATAGTCCAGGTGCCTTCATAGAATTCTGGAGGGGGAATAAATCAACACAAATGTGAATAACCTCTGCGAATGGCAGATGGGGTGGGTTAGGAAGGTAGAGTTGGCAAAGGTCTGTTGTGGAGATCGTTCCCTGCACCCGAGCACCCGGGGAGGCATGGGAGACTGAAATCCAGTCCATGCCAGGAGCCTTGCGTAGGGGCTTCATCTGCTCAGAGAGGGCTCTTTTTCTTTTCTTTTCTTTTTTTTTCAGATGGAGTTTCATTCTTGTTGCCCACGCTGGAGTGTAATGGTGCGATCTCAGCTCACTGCAACCTCCGCCTTCCGGGTTAAAGTGATTCTCCTGCCTAAGCCTCCTGAGGAGCTAGGACTACAGGCATGTGCCACCATGCCCGGCTAATTTTGTATTTTTAGTAGAGACAGGGTTTCACCATGTTGGTCAGGCTGGTCTTGAACTCCCGACCTCAGGTGATCCGCCTGCCTTGGCCTCCCAAAGTGCTGGGATTACAGACGTGAGCCACCGCGCCCGGCCAGAGAGGGCTCTTTTTCTAACTTACTTGTATGTGGTTCCAAATACAACATAAAGATTAAAGGCATGGCCTCTTAAGTCCCCCTCTCTGGGTTTGAATCCTTGCTGTGACACTTACTAGTTTTAAAGCTTATGTATGTGCACGATGATGTCTAAAAGCAAACACACACACGTATACACATAGCTGTAATTACCAACTTTAGGCTCTGAACACCTCCCATGCGTTAGACCTAGACTTTGTTTAAGAATACAGCCTCATTTCAGATATCATGAGCCAAGCTAAATATGTACTATTAATAACTAAATGCATTTATCAAATAATGTCATGAAGCCCCCTTCATGGAGTTTTTTGGCACTCTCTTGGCATTATTCATGTAACACCATGACTTCAAGGCAAATGCCAGCTCTTCTATCTTGAAAGATTTATGATATTTGATTTAACTCGAAACCATGGGTCATTAAAAGTGATTTAACTGTTAGCAAAGTCCTTAGTGTCATGTGTGGGTTCTGAGCGAAGAGTCTAATCATGACGTCAAGGGAGAAAATTTTTGTCGGGATTCATGCTTTCCAAAGCCTGTGGTTTGCAGGGAACTTTAGTAGTAACTCTCAACTGCCAACACTTGACATGGCTATAATTATCCATCGCCGGACTCTTCTTCTAGGGGCCATATCAAGGTGTTGTTTCTGCTTCCTGAACTGCCACTCTCTCCTCATTTGCAGACTTTCTCCTTGTTAAAATAGCAAAAACGGTTTCATCTTGCAAAATACTCCACTAGGGAGGGGGACATCACTAATCTATTCTTCCCATAAGGTGAGGGTATTCAGCTTCTTAAAATTCATCTTCTACCATTTTTCCCCCACATATTTCTGTTTCCTTCTGTAAGTAAAACTAGTGGCCAACAGCATGGGTTAGGGCTGTATTTGAAAGAAGTGCGATTTTCCATCCAACTTACCCTGCTAGTCTGTATGGCAGCCTCAGGTTCACCTGAGTTAATTTAGCTTGACAGTTCAGGAGAAGCGCTGATAAGAGAAGTAGCAGGAGATGGCAGAAAAGAGGGTCTGAGTAGAACCAATTACTCACTTTAATAATTCAGTGTGTTTTGCAGTAATAGGCTACAAAGTAAATAGCACTACACATAAATGCCGTATTTCATTATTTATACACTCCAGAAATTGAAGTTTAATTAAGTCGCACGTTTGAGACTTTTAAGCGATTAAGGAGACGCTTGTCTCAGGCACCCTGGAGAGGAAGCATGGAAGTTGCTTCTCCCTCCTAGGCTTCTGTGTTATTCTGAATATCATTTTTCATTTGAGCATGGGGAACACTTGAGCCAGGACAACTAGGGCAACGTTTTACAAACTTCACTCATTCCCACATGGCATCACAATTTTATTTTTTTTTTGAGACGGAGTTTCACTCTTGTTGCCCAGGCTGGAATGCAAATGGCACAATCTCGGCTCACTGCAACCTCCACCTCCCCAGTTCAAGCGATTCTCCTGCCTCAGCCTTCCAAGTAGCTGGGATTACAAGCACCCGCAACCACACCCAGCTACTTCTTTTTGTGTTTTTAGTAGAGACCAGGTTTCACCATGTTGGCCAGTCTGGTCTCAAACTCCTGACCTCAGGTGATCCACCCGCCTCGGCCTCCCAAAGTGCTGGGAATACAGGCATGAGTTACCACACCCAGCCCACAATTCTTATAATATTGCTATACTACCATTACCTGCTTTAAAAATTTTTACGACATCTATCCATGTTATAAATGTTAAGTGCATTAATGTATTTATTTATTTAATAACTTTATTGCAGTTTAACTCAAGTACATTTTAAAAGTATACAATTCGGCCCAGGTACGGTGGCTCACGCCTGTAATCCCAGCACTTTGGGAGGCCAAGGTGGGTAGATCATGAGGTCAGGAGTTCAAGACCAGCCTGGCCAACATGGTGCAACCCCATCTCTACTAAAAATACAAAAAATTGGCCGGGTATGGTGGCTCACCCCTGTAATCCCAGCACTTTGGGAGGCTGAGGTGGGCAGATCACCTGAGGTCAGGAGTTCAAGACCAGCCTGATCAATATGATGAAACCCCGTCTCTATTAAAAATACAAAAATTAGCTAGGCGTGGTGGCAGGTGCCTGTAGTCCCAGCTATTCAGGAGGCTGAGACAGGAGAATTGCTTGAACCTGGAAAGCGGAGGTTGCAGTGAGGTGAGATCATGCCACTGTACTCCAGCCTGGGTGACAGATCTAGACTCTGTCTCAAAAAAAAAAAAAAAAACAATTAGCTGGGCATTGTGGCACATGCCTGTAATCTCAGCTAGTCAGGAGGCTGAGGCAGGAGAATTGCTTGAACTGGGACCCGAGAGGCAGAGGTTGCAGTAAGCCAAGATCGCACCACTGCACTCCAGCCTGGGCTACAGAGCAAGACTCTGCATCAAAAGAAAAAAAAAAAGTATACTATTCCATCGTTTTTAGTTTATTCAAATAATTGTTCCATCATCACCATAGAATTTCAGAACATTTTCGCTTTTTTTTTTTTTTTTTTTTTTTTGAGACAGAGTCTCACTCTGTCGCCCAGGCTGGAGTGCAGTGGCATGATCTCAGCTCACTGCAAGCTCCGCCTCCTGGGTTCAAGCAATTCTCCTGCCTCAGCCACACGAGTAGCTGGGATTACAGGCATGCACCACCACACCTAGCTAATTTGTATATTTTTAGTAGAGATGGGGTTTCTCCATGTTGGTCAGGCTGGTCTCAAACTACTGACCTCAAGTGATCCGCCCGCCTCAGCCTCCCAAAGTGCTGGGATTACAGGGGTGAGCCACCGCACCCAGCCTCATTAATCTACTTCCTGTCTCTGTGGCTTTGCCTATTTTGGACTTTTCATATATGTGGAATCATAAAATATGTGGCTTTTTACATTGTCATTATGTTCACAGGTTTACTGTTTTCAAGGTTCATTTATGTTGTAGCATGCATCGTTATCATACTTGATTCCTTTTTATTGCCAAATACTATTCCATTGTATGGATATACCATATTTGATGTATCAGTTTACCAGTTGATGGACATTTAAGTTGGACTTTTTGGCTATTGGGAATAATGCTGCTATTTGAACATTTGTGTACAACCTTTTATGTGGACACATGTTTTCAATTCCTGTAGGTATATAACTAGAAAAGGAACTTCTGGGTCATATGGTACCTTCTATATTTAACATTCTCAGGAACTACCAAACTGTTTTCCAAAGTGGCTGTACCAGTTTCTAATCCCACCAGCAATGTTTGAGGATCCTAGTTTCTCCACATCCTAAGTACATTTATTTTTAAAAGAAACTTTATATCAGAAAGCCAGAAATTGTCAGTGATAACATAAATAGAAGATAATTGTCAAATCAAACACTAAGAACACTGAATGTTGTCATTTTTAGCTTGGTATTCTTTCCTGCTGAAGGTTACAGTGTCTTTTCAATTGAAAGGGAGGATTAGATAATATCAGAAAAGTGTTCAAGACATGTAAGCAGCAAGCTGAGCCGAGTGCAGTGGCTCACGCCTGTAATCCCAATACTTTGATAGGCCAAGGTGGGAGGATCATTTGAGCCCAGGAGTTCAGTCTGGGCAATATAGTGAGATCCCATCTCTACCAAAATAAATAAATAAATAAATAAAATAAATAAGAAAGGCCAGGTGCGGTGGCTCATGCCTGTACTTCCAGGCATGGTGGCTCATGCCTGTAATCCCAGCACTTTGGGAGGCCAAGGCAGGAGGATCACGAGGTCAGGAGTTTGAGACCAGCCTGGCCAAGATGATGAAACCCCATCTCTACTAAAAATACAAAAATTAGCTGGGTGTGGTGGTGGGCACCTGTAATCCCAGCTACTCGGGAGGCTGAGGCAGGAGAATCGTTTGAACCTGGGAGATAGAGTTGCAGTGAGCTGGGATCACACCATTGCACTCCAGCCTTTGCCACAGGGTGAGACTCCGTCTCAAAAAACAAAACAAAACAAAAAATAATAGGAAAATATTAAAATTCTTAAAAAGCATCAAGCTGAGACTTTATTGTTGTTGGTGTTGTTGAAAAAGCACTGAAAATGGAATAGCTTTCTCCCTGTGTGACTCAGTGTTATTTGCTGCATTGGAGTCTCAATGTTTACTAGCACCTATGCATCACCCCATTGGAATACATGGAATTAGGAGGCAATAGGTCTTACGCAAGACCATTTCCACTTACATAATACAAGTAATCCAGAGATGGCTAGGGTAGTGTTTGTTACGCTTTTTGTTTTCTTCTCATAGTCTG
Source organism: Homo sapiens (assembly GCF_000001405.40). Classification (NCBI taxonomy): domain Eukaryota; kingdom Metazoa; phylum Chordata; class Mammalia; order Primates; family Hominidae; genus Homo; species Homo sapiens. Next base: position 72,903,324 of record NC_000003.12, read on the forward strand.
ATGCTTTCCTTTAGAACTTGGGTAAACTTGAGAAACTATCAAAATTGCTACTTTCTTGAAAGGATCATAGATATTAACCCAGTAATTCCATTTCTGGGAATGTAAGTCTTAAGGAAAGGAGGAGAGGTGAGATTTGAGCTCAGATCCCTGGTTCCTGACCATAGCTGAACTATGGGTGGTGTGTAGTACAAGTGTGTTAATATGCAGACTCCAGGGCCTCACCCAAGACCCATGGAATCAGAATCTCTGTGAGTTGGGAGTCTGCAAAATAACAAACACTGCAGATGATTATGATGCATGGCCAGGTAGGGAATCCCCTGCCCTACATGGTGTTTGGCATCTCTTCCAGCCACAAAACTGGAAGAATGGTCAGGATTTGGGTAAGGGTCATAGCAGTGAGCAACAAGGAGGGAATGGGTTCAGTGGGCATTTCAAAGGATAAATCAGGTGAATATGAGCGAGGCAGGAAGAGTCAAAGTTGATTGGGAACATCTTTTTAGGACCTTCGTTACGACTCTTATTTTGATTGCTAAGTTGTAAGTTTGTTTCAAATTGGTTTAAGCAAAAGGGAGTTTATTGGCTTAATAACTAAACTACCTAAGATTAGGGTCAGATGCACCTAGATCCAGGTGGTATCACCAGAGATCTGCCCTGCCATCATCTGACTCTGCTTTTCCACTGTGATAAGCTGACTCCTGTTCAGGCTGTACCAGCATGGTTACCAGGATCGTTGCCATCAGCCCCTGCCTTAGCAACAGGTCCTTAAAATTCCTGGACAGCAAATGTTCACTCCAGTCCCCTTTTATAAAGTAAAAATAAGAACGTTATTAACCATCAGTCACAGCAGTGCTAGAATTCCCTATCACCCATTCCCTGCCCAATCCTAGTCATTCAAGGGGTTAAGAAGTCCTAGGTCCCTAGACTGCACTCCTCCCCTGGATCCTCACAATCTTGATTGACATTTGAGAGTGCCATCAGTAGGAGCTGGTGAAAGGCACACCGTGCCAGTGCCCTTAAACTTTATTATGCATTGTGACTGCACAGCACTAACACTGATTACCTAAAGCCTGAGATTTTTCATGTAATGTGAGAAGTAATAGGGTGAGGCCAGCAAAGGTCTCATTAAATCCCAACCACTGATACTTGAACTGGCACCAGGAGAGGTTTTATTTTTCTTTAGTACCTGTCACCAGACACTGTGAATGATTGTCGTCCCTAGCCCCTGCTTTTTGTACTGTGCAGACCCAAATCACTGAAGCCTGCAAAGAAGAGAAGAGGTGGCCTGCTGTCTTGCAGAACAGTGCATGCTTTTTTTTTAATTAAAAAAAAAAAAAGTCAAATGGTTTGGGGCCACAAAAAATATAGATAATAACAAAATGAAGTGCCCACCACTTGGCTTAAGGAATAAGATTTTAATCAGAAATAACCACTATCCGGCCAGGCATGGTGGCTCACCCCTGTAATCCCAGCAATTTGGGAGGCCAAGGTGGGCGGATCACTTGAGGCGAGGCATTCGAGACCAGCCTGGCAAAACCCCATCTCTACTAAAGATACAAAAAAAAAAAAAAAAAAAAATTAACCAGGTGTGATGGCCTTCGGTTTGTAGTCCCAGCTACTTGGGAGGCTGAGGCATGAGAATTGCTTGAGCCTGGGAAATGGAGGTTGCAGTGAGCTGAGGTTGCAGTGAGCTGAAATTGCACCACTGCACTCCAGCCTGGGCAACAGAGTGAGATTCTGTCTCAAAAAAAAAAAAAAAAAAAAAAAAGGAAAGAAAAGAAAAAGAAAATAACCACTGTCCTGCATTTGTTTTCTTTGAGACAGAGTCTCACTCTCACCCAGGCTGGAGTGCAGTGGCACGATCTCAGCTCATTGTAACCTCAGTCTCCCAGGTTCAAGCAATTCTCCTGCCTCAGCCTCCCAAGTAGCTGGGATTACAGGCACACGCCACCACAACCAGCTAATTTTTGTATTTTTAGTAGAGACGAGGTTTCATCATGATGGCCAGGCTGGTCTCGAACTCCTGACCTCAAGTGGTCTGCCCGCCTCGAACTCCTGCTGGGATTATAGGCATGAGCCACCGCACTGGCCTGTTGTTTTTCATTCTCTTTGGCCTTACGTTGGTACATGCCAGTCTGGTTTATTTTTTTTCACTGCTATATGGTATTCACTTTAAAAACATAGCAAATATATTCACTTTTCTCCTTTGCATAGTCACTGAAGTTTATTTCCTATTTTTCATTTTCAATAAACAGAGCTGCTGTGAACATTCTTGCATAGGTCTTGTGCAAATGTGCAAGAGTTTCTTCAGGTTATATATGCAGGAGTTGGACTGCGGGGGTGGAAGGTGTACATCCATCTTCACCTGTGCTCTATGTTGCCAAATGGCTCTCCAAAGTGTTCAGTCCAACTTACACTGCCCCCACCAGCGCCTGAGCTGTTCCCTGCCCCATATCCACATGAAAGCTCAATATGGTGCAGCTTCTATTTTACTTTGTAGTTTTTGCCAATCTGAAAATAAAAATAAATCTCTTTATTATTTGGATTTGTACTTCCCTGATTACTAAGATTAAAACTTGTTATCCTTGGCAGAAGCCCAATATGTAAAGCTAAACTAGATGGAGTCATTCTGTTTGGGGGCAGGTGAGGGTATTCATATTTAAGATATCTAAGTGATTGCCTTTATGGTGTTAGTCCATTTGAATCATATGCATATCCCTAAATATTGGGCATAATTTTTCGTAGTGTATTTCAGCTAGTGTCTTGACTGATTTTTAGAAATTGACTGTCATTTTAGCATTATCTTTAACATCTCCACATCCCTTTACATGTGACTTGGGAGTTGACTTAAATAGCAAACATGAAAACCCAACCATGAAGCCAAGGAAGAGACCAGGCCTGTGAGTCTTGCAGGCGGGGGTCCTCACTTTGTTCAGGAAGATCCCTGATTTAGTGCCTTTGTTCTGCTGTCCCCTCTGCGTGGCATGCTCCTCCCCCTAGACGTGCACATGGCTCGCTACCTCCCCTCCTGCAGGTCATTTGCAGAGCTCACCTTAGTGCGGCCTTTTCCAACTTGGCACTGTAGGGAATATACTGCCCCAGCCCGCCAGCCACTCCTGGCACCCCCATCCTGCTTCACTATGTATTACCTTCATAGTACTTATTACTGTCTAGCTTTCTATATAAATTATTTAGTTACCATCCACTTTGACTCTTACTTATTTTTGTGTTTCCCTTATTCCCTGCAGAACGTAAGTTCTTCCAGTGCAGGCGTCTTTGTTTTGTTCACTGTCTTCCTAGAATAATGCCTACACATAACAGTACTTAGTAAAGATTTGTTGATTAATAAATGGTCTGAAGTTAGCAAGGAAAAGAGGGCAAAGAAGAGCATTTCTGAAATAAAGAGAGACAGGCAATGTATGTGCCAAGACCTGGAGCCAACACAGTGTGGTCACCTGCACTGGAAGTGAAACAGAATATGACTATGATTATGAATGGCCGTCTCTCCAGGTTGGAGTGCTGTGGGCAGTTGTGAGAGATACAAGTAGGAGCCATAGTCAGCAGCTTGGACTTGATCTTGGGGACAGCGGGGAGCCCTTGCATGATTTTAATCAAGAGAATAACACAATCCTATTTGCACTTTAGAGAAACATCACCCTGGCACCAACCAGGAGAAAGCATAGGCTGGGGGTTAAAGATAAGATTGGAGACAGGTGGACCACCCAGAGGGCTGTCTCAGTGATCCAAGGGAAGGCAGATGGTGGCCTCACCAGATAATGGCAGGGAGAATGGAGAGAAGTGGACAATTTCCAGAGATACTTGGGATGTCTCTACTGTCTTTTCCTGTGATCCCCGAAGTAAATGGAATCCAAGTAACTCTCCGCATCTGGTCTTAGCTGAGCCATGAGGCTGTGCTTCTACTAAGCATGCTCATAAGTAATCAAACTGGGAGCCTTTCCAAAATGCTCCACCCACATCTTCAACTTTCCTCCTGGTGAAAGAAATCTGGAGCAAGACTGCCATTATTCAACCATGCAGTGAATAATGGAGCAGCAAGCTGATTGAACTCGAAGTTTTTGGAAGGAAGGTAGCATTTGACATCCAAGTTCCCCTGGTCTCCAAATCTTTTGTGCAAGTAAATTAGTTTCATTTGTCTCAGGGCACCTTTTCCAGGCCAACTTCTTCCAACTTGACTGCAAATGTTTCTCAGTGGTGTGTTTGAGGCTTGGCTGCATCCCTTCGTCTGGAACAAATCTTTTATTACTAGGAAATAGCTGGATGATGATTCTGGACCCTTGGACCCTATCCCTCTGTCAGCTGTTGACTCAATATTTGATACCTTGATCATTTTCAGATTAACCTACCCCCTCTCCTGCCTGTTTCTCATTAATGTGAATTTCATACTGGAAGATGAATTTCATACCCACCACCTCACCAGTATTGGCGAGACGGTCAGGATTAACACCTGTTTCTTCAAGACTCTCCTGAGATGTCGTCAGGGCGCATATGTTGTTTTCTTTGCTCACCTCCCAGACTTGCATGACTTGCTTTGGTCCAGTGGTCATGCATTCCACCCCAACCTAAAAACATCCAGATGATGGGAATATCATGTTGCTCGTTTCACATGGGAAAGCCACAACCCACACTCCTCTTGTTCAAGTTGCATTCAAATCTAATTTCCACGGCCTGTGCGAGTGGGAGCTCCACAGCCCTTGTGTCAGCTGTCGAAGTTTAGCAATACTATTTCCAAACATGGGCCAGTAGGCAGCCAGCAGGCACCAGACAGCTGAGTGCTGGCAGAAAAAGCCTCAGACACCTATAGCAGTCCAAACAGTGACTCATCCTGCTATTGCCAGGATAAATATGGGAATAAATGGTATTTTTCTCTAAGCAGGAAGAATTGTCAAAATGCTTATCACTTTATAAAATATAACAGATTGTGCCTGATCATGTTTTGAAATGTTCTAACCATTCACTCGCCGGTTTTTTGTTGTTTTTACTTTTTTGAGTTTAGTAATAGCTTTCACTTGTTTTCCCTCTTTCTAGGAGGCCTGGAGAACCCAGGAGTTTCCAAGCTGTGCTGCCACCCGAGCTCTGGATCCACCTGGCTGTGGTGGCCTGTGGCAATCGGCTGGAGGAGACGCTGGTCATGCTCAAATCAGCTGTGCTTTTTAGCCACAGGAAGATCCAATTCCACATCTTCACTGAAGACTCTCTGAAGCCCGAGTTTGATAAGCAGGTGAATTTGCAGAAATCATGGCACAGTGTTTACTAAGTACAAACAGACTACATTTTAGGAACTGCATATTCTGTTAACTAATGTATTTTGCTGCATGTTCAATTGTGTGACTTTGAACACTTGACTCTGAGCCTCAGTTTTTGGTAAAACAGGGATAATTATACCTACCTCATAGAGACATGGTGAGGATTGAATGAGACGAGGGTCTCACTCTATTGCCAAGGGTAGAGTACAGTGGTGCAATCTCGGCTCACTGCAGCCTCAACCTTCCAGGCTCAAGTGATCCTCCCGCCTTAGCCTCCCAAGTAGCTGGGACTACAGGCATGCACCACCATGTCTGGCTAATTTTTGTGTATTTTTTAATAGAGACAGAATTTTGCCGTGTTGCCCAGGTTGGCTTAAGCAGTCTACCCACCTTGGCCTCCCAAAGTGCTGGGGTTATAGGCATGTGCCACCATGCCCAGCCCCCGTTTTTTCCTTTTCTTTCTTTCTTTCTTCCTTTCTTTTTTTTTTTTTTTTTTTTTTTTGAGACAGCGGCTCACTCTGTTGCCCAGGCTGGAGTCCAGTGGTGCGATCTTAGCTCATTGCACCCTCTGTTTCCTGGGTTCAAGCGATTCTTCTGCCTCAGCCTCCCGAGTAGCTGTGATTACAGGACTGTGCCCCCATGCCTGGCTAATTTTTGTATTTTTAGTAGAGATGGGGGTCTCACCATGTTGCCTAGGCTGGTCTTGAACTTCTGACCTCAAATGATCCACCTGCCTGTCCCTCCCAAAGTGCTGGGATTACAGGCATGAGCCACTGCGCCTGGCCGGTTTTTTTTTCCCCATATATAGTTGTCTGTCTATGTTTGTACATATAGACATGCATATGTATAATTACATACATATGTATGTATCCTGATTAAATTGTATTTCTTTTACGAAAATCAGGATTGTACTCTGTATATTGTTGTGGAACTTGCTTTTTGCATTGAAAACTGTATCATCAGCATTGTTCCCAGTCAGTACTCCTACATTCTTACCTCATTCTTTTTGGTGACTACATAGTATTTTATTATGGGGCTGGGTCCTCATTTATTTGACTATTCCCATACTGAAGAACAGGTAATGAGTTTTTTCCAGTACACAAAAAGAGCTTTGGAAAGGTCTCTTCCCCCAGCGTAGGTACACACGTGACCTTTGCAGATCAAGCTTTGTTTTCCTTGAGAGTTTTCTCTTGCTGTAAGTTCTCAAATGGTGGCAGAGCGAGAAGCTGGTTTGCTTTGTGTCTACCAACTTGAGTCAACAGTGCTGTATCCTGTCACCAGGCTAGCTGGACTAATGAGAAATGCCCAAAAAAAGCATGTTGGGCAGAGAAAGGCTAATAATAGAAAGATGGAAAATGTGTTATGTTTGAGTAGGAAAAAAAAAGTACCTTGACATCTTTACCAAGAGAAACCATGGAGGAAATAGTCTTGGGGCTTTGGAATTGATTGGAAAATGCCTTGTAAAGGATCTGAATCAGGGGAAGGGTGAAGGAAAAGGGCTGAAACTCTATATAGTTAGCTCAGAGGGTGAAGTATAAGGGAAATGATAATGAGAATATATAGCATTTGTTAAGGGCTTATGATTTATGAGTTCATCTCATTTAATCCTCATAATCTTCAAAGGTAACCTTTGAAGAAGGTAATTATTATGTCCCAATTTTACAGACTGAGATCATTGAGCTTAGAGAATTTTAGTGATTTGCTCCTCAGGGTTCAGGTCAAGTTTATGGCTCACCCTTCCATGGAATTAATCGATATGCCATACCACCTCCTCAACTAGTAGACAGAAGACTCAAATTCAAAACTCACCTCCACTATGTACTTGCTATATGACCTTGGGTTAGTCTTTTGGCCTTTTTGAGCCTCAGTTTCCCCATCTGCAACTTGAGGCTAGCGGGTTTGCTAAAAGAGATGGTAGATCTGTAATATGGATAGGTCAGGTCAGGCTTCAGTAACAACTCCCCCAAAACTCAGACACTTTTCATGTGCCTGCAGCTTGCTTCCCAGGGGACAGAGCCTCCATTCTGTACAGCCTCTTAGGTTTGGGACGGAAGTAGACTGAGGCTATTCATGTGTTAGCTACACTTGCCAGAGCATTTGACATCTGTAGTTCGTGGGATGCCATGGCAGGAAAGAGACTAGAGAGTCATAACCCCGCCTTTCATTCCCTCAGTGTGGCAGTGACACAGGTCTTTCCATGCATGTTTAACTGGCTAGTAGTCACAAGCCCATCCAACTGCAGGGGACTGAGAAGTGCTCTATGTGGCGGAACAAAGGGAAGCTGGCTATGTGCAAACACTACTCATGTCTTGTACAATATCTGTCTACCCAGTACTTAATGAGTACCTGCTGCATACTAAAAAGCAAGGATGTGGGGATGGAGCAGAACAAAATACAGACTTGGACTTTAAAAGGGGAAGGGAAGGGCCAGGCGTGGTGGCTCACACCTGTAATCCCAGCACTTTGCGAAGCTGAGGCGGGCGGATCACCTGAGGTCAGGAGTTCGAGACCAGCCTGGTCAACATAGTAAAACCCTGTCTCTACTAAAAATACAAAAATTAGCTGGGTGTAGTGGAGTGCGCCATAGTCCCAGCTACTCAGGAGGTTGAGGCAGGAGAATTGCTCAAACCTGGGAGGCGGAGTTGCAGTGAGCTGAGATTGTGCCATTGCACTCTAGCCTGGGCGACAGAGAAAGACTCTGTCTCAAAAAAAATAACGAAAGGGAAGGGAAGGAAGATGTATACGTGCAACCATATCTGTTTAGCAGGTTGTACTTTCCAAGGAGGCCCCCAATGGTCCCACCTTCTGTTATTCTCATGCTGGTATACTTCCCTCCTACATTGTCCCAGGGTCCTCTGTGTAACTAATAGGACAGGGCAGAAGGGATGGTATGTCACTTCTGAGATTAAGTTACAAAAGGCACTTCACCTTCCATCTCGGATCAGTGGGTCTGGGGGAAGCCAGCTACCATGTCAGAGTAGCCCTCTGGAGAGGCCTGCATGGTGAGGAACAGAGGACCCTTGCCAACACTTGTGTGTGAGCTGGATGGAAGATCCTCCAACCCCTTCAAGCCTTCAGATGACCATAGTCCTGTAATCTCATGAGAGGCCCTGAAACAGAACAACCCAGCTTGTACATTCTCAACCCTAAGAAACTATGTAAAATCATACATGTTTGTGGTTTTATTTACTTTTATTTTTATTTTTTTGAGACAGGGTCTCACTCTGTTGCCCATTGCAGTGACACAATCATAGCTTACTGCATCCTTGAACGCCTGGGCTCAAGCAATCCTCCTGCCTCAGTATCCCCTCCATGCCTGGCTAATAAAAATATATATTATATATACTTAAATGTATATAATATATAAGTTGGGTGTGTGTGTGTGTGTGTGCATGTGTGTGTGTGTGTGTATATATATATATATATATATTTTTTTTTTTTTTTGAGACAGCGTCTCGCTCTGTCTCCCAGGCTGAAGTGCAGTGGCATGATCTTAGCTCACAGCATTCTCCGCCTCCTGGATTCAAGAAGTTCTCATGCCTCAGCCTCCCAAGTAGCTGGGACTACAAACTGCGCCACCACGCCCGGCTAATTTTTGTATTTTTAGTAGAGACAGGGTTTCGTCACATTGGCCAGGCTTGTCTCGAACACCTGACCTCAAGTAATCTACCTGCCTCAGTCTCTCAAAGTGCTGGGATTACAGGCATGAGTCACTGTGCCCAGCACTGGCTAATATTTTATTTTTTGTAGAGATGCGGTCTCCCTATGTTGCCCAGGCTGGTTTTGAACTCTGGGCTCAAGTGATTCTCCTGCCTTGGCCTCCCAAAGTACTGGGATTATAGGCACATGCCACCATGCCTTGCCTGTTTGTGATTGTACGTTACTAAGTTTTGAGGTAATTGGTTATAAGGCAACAGTTAATATATTACATATATATGTACATACACATGTACATACACATATACATACACAAACATATATGTATGTATGAAATACATTATGCCAAATGTAATGCTATGTGACAAAAAAAGGATACAGCTTCTGCCTGGCTCTTTGTGAGGATGCCTGCCCCTGAAAAGAACTGAGGCCTCCAGCCAACAGCCAGCCCCAACGTCTAGACATGTGAGTGAATAAGCTTTCAGAAGATTCCAGCCGCCAGCCTTCAAGGCTTCCAGCTGAGGCCCCAGACACTGTGGAGCAGAGTCAACCTGTCCCCTCCTCTGCCTTGTCTGAATTCCTGATCCATGAAATCTGTAAGCATAATAAATGATTGTTTTATACCACTAAGTTTTGGGGTAATTTTTTATGAGCTGTAAGAACTGGAACATTATAAATTAAGAGCTAAATTATATGGGAAAATTATTGCAGATAGTTGTGAAGTTGTGCTAGGTGTTGAATTTTCCTGATGACTTTATCCCTTTGATGGTTCATTTCCTCAGGTTTTTTTTTTGTTTTTTTTTTTGTTTTTTTTGAGACGGAGTCTTGCTCTGTGGCCCAGGTGGGAGTGCAGTGGCGCAATCTCGGCTCACTGCAAGCTCCGCCTCCCAGGTTCACGCCATTCTCCTGCCTCAGCCTCCCGAGTAGCTGGGACTACAGGCGCCCGCCACCACGCCCGGCTAATTTTTTTGTATTTTTAGTAGAGACGGGGTTTCACCGTGTTAGCCAGGATGGTCTCGATCTCCTGACCTCGTGATCCGCCCGCCTCGGCCTCCCAAAGTGCTGGGATTACAAGCGTGAGCCACCGCGCCCGGCCTCCTCAGGTTTTTATTAAACCAGTGAAGCTCATCTAATGAAGGAAATTATGACAGGGTGTTAAAAACTAGGCAGGGGATGGGCATGATGGCTCACGCCTGTAATCCCAGCACTTTGGGAGGCCAAGGCCAGTGGATCACCTGAGGTCCGGAGTTCGAGACCAGTCTGGCCAACGTGTCAAAACCCCATCTCTACTAAAAATACAAAAATTAGCCAGGCTTAGTGGTGTGTGCCTGTAGTCCCAGCTACTCGGGAGTCTGAGGCATGAGAATCACTTGAACCTGGGAGGTGGAGGTTGCAGTGAGCCAAGATTACGCCACTGTACTCCAGCCTGGGTGACAGAGCAAGACTCTGTCTCAAAAAATAAATAAATAAAAATAATTTTTAGAAAAACTAGGCAGGGTGTATACTACCGTCACTTTCTTGTCCATGCAGGGATTATGTTGCCAGTTTAGCTGCATACTGCCTTTGCCCTTACGTAAGCCATAGAATTTCCTCAGCCTCAGTTTGTCATCTGTGTCGTGGGGCAAATGATACCCTGCTTATGGTGGTGAGGCCAAATCAGATAAAGAATTTTTTTTTAATCCCACAAAGATTCTCTGGAACATCTCCTATATTTTGGGCACTTTGTTAGGTCTAAAGAAATAGAACAGCCGTTTTGGGTCCTGCCAAGCCACTGGCACATGCTGAAGGGGTGGGCTCTGTCACCCTTCTCCAGGGCATTGTGGGCAACCCAGGGTTTTTTTTGGGATAACTTCTGGGAAGCTCAGGGCCACATATTTTTTACCTCAGGGTGAAAACAAAACAAAATGCCAGTACCGTCATGATTCCTCCGAAGGCTGCAGTATGGGCGAGTTCTTCTGTATTTAATTAGACTTTTTAAAGTTGCATATGTACAGGATGTCTGGTGGTATTTGCCATCTATGTGGTAGATACTTCATATTTTAAAGTTTCATTTATTTTCGTCATCTCCCAACAGAGAAGTGGGAGATGCCAGCCAGTTGGTTTCCTAGGCTTTTCCGGCAGCTTGGGATCAGGCATGTGGTTGAGATTCGGCTAAACTGTGCTACTGCCCAACTCAGAATCAGGAAGTAGTGGGACACACAAATAAGGAGGCTACCAATCCATTCTGGTGGTAGGGGCGGCCAGTATATATATGTATGTTTTTATATATATATATTTACATATATATGTGTGTGTGTGTGTGTGTGCGCGCGCGCGCTTGCGTGCGCATGTATATGCGCGTATGTGTGCCCATGTGCGTGTGTGTGAGGGGGTGGCAAGAAGAGAGCTGCCATGGGAAGAATTGTCATCAGGAGCTTTCAGTGCCTGGAGTCAGTGGGGCAAACTGTGGCACTTGTGGTGACAGTAGCTGGGGTTTCCTTACCAGACTGGCTTGTGGTAGGCTCTAACAGATTGAAAAGATACCGACGCCATAGAGCCTGGGTCTGTCTCAAGCTGGATCAGGGCATGACCCCTGAGTCTGGTTCTCCAGCCCTCCCACTGGTCTTCTGAGCTACCTAACATCCTTTCATTAAATTCTTTTTGGCTTAAAGAGCCTGAATTGGGCCAGACGCAGTGGCTCACACCTGTAATCCCAACACTTTGGGAGGCCAAGGCAGGCTAAGGCCAGGAGTTTGAGCCCGTCTCTACTAAAAATACAAAAATTAGCTGGGCATGGTGACACACACCTGTAATCCCAGCTACTTAGGAGGCTGAGGCATGAGAATCGCTTGAACCCGGGAGTGGAGGTTGAATGAGCCAAGATGGCACCACTGCACTCCAGCCTGGGCAACAGAGTGAGACTCCATCTCAAAAAGAGCCTGAATTGGTTTTATTGCGAGCAACCTAGCATCCTGAGAGTAACACAAAGTAACTAAAACATGGTGAGGAGTTGTTTTTTTTCCTTTAAAGAAAGAAAAAAAAGCACCAAAGGGCTGCTTTTAAATAGTACCACGTGCTTTTAGAGGACGGGGACCATGCCTCTTCGTTACCCATTTCCTTTTTTTTTTTTTTTTGCGGGGGGGGGGGGGATTTAGGAAAAATAGCCCATAGAAAGAGATGATAAGGTATTCTTCAGTAATTTAAAGACGTATACAATCGGAATTAGATTTTTTCCGTGTTGCTCTGCAGAACAAAACGAGGGGTGATGTGGGGGAGGTCTCAGGCAGCTGGTTCTAATTCCATGCAAGGAGCCCTTTTTAAAGGTATTGAGGGAGCTGGGCGCGGGTGGCTCACGCCTGTAATCCCAGCGCTTTCGGAGGCCAAGGCGGGCGGATCACCTGAGGTTGGGAGTTCGAGACCAGCCTGGCCAACATGGTGAAACCCCGTCTCTACTAAAAATACAAAAATTAGCCCATGTTGTGGCATGCGCCTGTAATCCTAGCTATTCAGGAGGCTGAGGCAGAATTGCTTGAACCTAGGAGGCAGAGGTTGCAGTGAGCCAAGATCGCGCCACTGCACTCTATCCTGGGTGACAGAGGGAGACCCTGTCTCAAAAAAAAAAAAAGAGAGATTGGGTTTCTCATTACTAGAGGAACAAGCTGAGGCTGGCCCAGCAGTGTCAGGGATGTCCATGGAGGACTTGGGAAAGGTAACGGCTGCACTTCACTGTCCCTGTGTGGTCCTTGTTGTCTTACCTTCGTGGTCATTATTAGATGCATGGTCCATGATCCTTTTAGATGCATGGTCATTTGGCACCTCCCTGACTCCTCTGAAGTTGGGTGTGATTGTGTGATTTGCTTTGGCCAATGAAATGTAGGTGACAGTGATGAGCGTCACTTTTAACATGAAATATGTCACTTCCTGGTGGAAACTTAAGATCTAGTATGTGTTTTGCCACACTTCCTTCTCTTGCATCTGCGTTCACTGATGTGAGTTGAGATGGAGCCTCCATGAGTTTGGCCCCTGAGTGAGAATACTGAGCACAGCCCCTTGCCAGTCTGAAGATGTAGCAGGAGCAAGAAACAAACTTTAGGAAAAAAAAAAAAGAAAAGAAAAACACCTTAAAATAAACTTTTTTGGGGGTGGGGGTAGAGATGGGGTCTTGCTATATTGCCCAGGCTGGTCCCTAACTCCTGGTCTCAAGTGATCCTCCAACCTTGACCTCTCAAAGTGTTGAGTTTATAGGTATGAGTCACCACACCTGGCCATAAATTCTTGATAACCCTAGTTTATCCTGACTGATGCAACTGAGTTTGTTTGTTTTTGTTTTTGTTTTTGAGATAGAGTCTCGCTCTGTTGCCCAGGCTGGAGTGTAGTGGCGTGATCTCCACTCACTGCAACCTCTGCCTCCTGGGTTCCAGTGCTTCTTGTGCCTCAGCCCCCCTAGTAGCTGGGATTACAGTCGTGCACTACCACACCCAGCTAATTTTGTATTTTTTAGTAGAGACGGGGGTTTCACCATGTTGGCCAGGCTGGTCCCGAACTCCTGACCTCGGCCTCCCAAATTTTAGGATTACAGATGTGAGCCACCTCGCCCAGCCGCAGTTGAGTTTTAACAGCTTCATTGTATCTAGTGTGTTATTGTAAACCAGCCAAACCCTTGTGAAAGCAATGTAATGGATTTGAGATCCTAAAAGTCTTCTGTTCTATAACATTTGTAGATGCTCAAAAATATTTTTTATAACTTGAAAAGAATGAATGAACCTGCAAGAAAGGAGGAGTTACCTACTGAGGTAAAGGATGAGGTGGGCGGTTAGATTGACAAAGGTAGTTAAACCTTTCGGAAGATAGGATGCTAACAATTAGAGTGGCAAGGATTTTTTTGTTTTTGTGTTTGTTTTTTTGAGACAGGGTCTCACATTGTCATCCAGGTGGAGTGCAGTGGTGCCATCACAGCTCACTGCAGCCCCAACCTCTCAGACTGTTAGAGGATGCCGAGAGCTAAGGGAGCCCGTGAACCATGTGAATTTCCCATACTTTTTCGAGGGCTGATTTTGGGCTGTTGTGCGGTGGTACAATTGTACTGGTATTTGTGCCCAGTATTTGTGCCAGTGTTCATTCTGACTGGTCAGTACTGTCATACTGAGAGTTTATGCCTAGCGTCAGTTCTAATGGGATCTGTGCAATTATACTGGGTAAATACTAGGTAATGCCTGGTGTGGGTTCTAATTGGTCAGTACCCTTCATATATCAAATGTCAAATACTTTGTCTGTCACTCCTTTCCTATTAAGAATTTTAAAGTATTTCCAATCATGTATTTCAAAAAATGTTTATATCCCAGCCTGGGCAACATGGCAAAACCTTGTCTCAGTAAAAAATAGAAAAATTAGCCAGGCATGATGGCATGCATGTGTGGTCCCAGCTACTTGGGAGGCTGAGGTGGGAGGATCACCTGAGCCCAGAGAGATCAAGGCTGCAGTGAGCCATGATCGTGCCACTGTACTCCAGCCTGGGCAACAGAGTGAGGCCCCATCTCAAAAAAAAAAAAAAAAGTTTATATGGTTATATAAACAATATATGTACATTGTAAAAACCAGTAAATTCATAAATAATAAATGGAAAAAAAACCCATTACACTAATGCTCAGGGAGAACAGTTTTGGTGTATATATATAATACTTATTTCCATTCCTTTTCTTTTCATATCACCATCAGAAATGGGATCTCTTTTATATCACTGATGCTTATATTACTGAGTTTCCTCTAAAGTGAGTTGACCAATGTTTCCTGGAAAACGCCAGATAGTAACTATTTTAGGCTTTGCAGGCTGTATGGTCTCTATCCCAACTACTCAATGTGCTATTTAGAGTAGAAGCAGCCACAAACAATATATAAACAAATGGGTGTGGCTGTGTTCTGGTAACATTTTACTTATGGGCACTGAGATTTGAATTTCATATAATTGTCACAAAATATTATTCTTGTTTTGATTTTTTAAAACTATTTTAGAATGCCAAACCATTGTTGGCTTGTGTACTCTTTGTGGCAGGCTAGATTTGGCTCTGGTACTACCATAATTTGCTGACCCCAGTTCTATGACATTATCACTAATGACTACATTGCATTCTGTTATATAGATAGACTCTGGAGCTTACTTAACCAAACTCTTCTTTAGATTGTTTCTAATTTTTCATTGTTACAAACAACACTAAAACAAACAACCTTGTAATAAACAAGTATCCATTTTTGAAATTTTTCCTTAGGAATAATTCTTAGAATTGTTGTAGCAACGGGAAGGCATTAACTCAAAAAAATTGAGAAGGGCCAGCCACGGTGGCTCATGCGTGTAATCCTAGCACTTTGGGAGGATGAGGCGGGCGGATTGCCTGAGCTCAGGAGTTCAAGACCAGCCTGGGAAACATGGCGAAACCCCATCTCTACTGAAAATACAAAAAAATTAGCTGGGCATAGTAGTGCGCGTCTACTCGGGAGGCTACTCGGGTAGGCTGAGGCACAAGAATTGCTTGAACCCGGGAGGCAGAGAGTGCAGTGAGCTGAGATCATGCCACTGCACTCCAGCTTGGGCAACAGAGCAAGGCTCTGTCTCAAAAAGAAAAAAAAAATTAAGATACACAGATGGCAAACAAGCATATGAAAAGATGTTCAGTGTCATATGTGATTAGAGCATTGTAACTTAAGATAACAATGAAACACCACTACACACCTATTTGAATGGCTAAAATCTAGAACCCTGACAACACCAAATGCTGGTGAGGATGTGGAGCAACAGGAACTCTCATTCATTGCTGGTAAGAATGCAAAATCATGCAGCCACTTTGGAAGACGGTTTGGCAGTTTCTTAGGAAGCTGAATATAGGCTTACTATACAATCCAGGAATTGAACTCCTAAGTATTTACCCAAATGAGTTGAAAACTTATGTCCACACAAAAACCGGTACACAGATGTTTGTAGCAGCTGTATTCACAGTTTCCCAAAACTGGAAGCAACCAAGATATCCTTCAGTAGGTGAATGGATAAACAAACTGTGATATATTCATACCATAGCATACAGTATTATTAAATGATTAAAATAAAATGAGCTATCAAGCCACAAAAAGACATGTAGGAGACCTAAATGCATATTGCTAAATGAAAGAAGCCAGTCTGAAAAGGCAAGGTACTATATGATTCTAACTATATCACATTCTGGAAAAGGTAACATGAAGAGACTATATAAAAAGATCAGTAATGGGCTGGGCACGGTGGCTCACGCCTGTAATCCCAACACTTTGGGAGGCCAAGGCATGTAGATCACCTGAGGTCGGGAGTTTGAGACCAGCCTGACCAACATGGTGAAACCTCATCTCTACTAAAAATACAAAAAGTAACTGGGTGTAGTGGCAGTCACCTATAATTCCAGCTACTCAGGAGGCTGAAGCAGGAGAATTGCTGGAACGTGGGAGGCGGCGGTTGCAGTGAGCTGAGATTGCGCCATTGCACTCCAGTCTGGATGACAGCGCGAGACTCTGTCTCAAAAACAAAAAGAAGTTCAGGTGAGAGGGCAGGCAGGAATGTTGAAAAGTTGGAGCAGAGAGGATTTTTACGGTAGTGACACTGTTCTGTATACTGTAATGATAGATACATGATGTGCATTTGCCAAAATCCATAGAAAGAGTGTACAACAGAAAGAATTAACACTAATGTAAACTGTGGACTTTAGTTAGTAATAGCATATTGATATTGACTTATCAGTTGTAACAAATATACCACATGAATGCAAGATATAAATAATAGGGGAAACTGTAGGGGAGGGAGAAGAGAGAGGCTATCTGGAAACTCTGATTTCTGCTCAATTTTTCTTTTTTCTTGTTTGTTTTCATTGTTGTTCTTGTTTTTACTTTTTTTATTTTTTATTTATTTTTTTATTTTTTGAGACAGAGTCTCACTCTGTCACCCAGGCTGGAGTGCAGTGGTCCAATCTTGGCTCACTGCAGCCTCCGCCTTCCGAGTTGATGTGATTCTCCTGCCTCAGCCTCCTGAGTAGCTGGGACTACAGGCGTGCCTCACCGCTCCTGGCTAATTTTTGAATTTTTAGTAGAGACCGGGTTTCACCATGTTGGCCAGGCTGGTCTTGAACTCCTGACCTCAAGTGATCCACCCGCCTTGGCCTCCCAAAGTCATGAGATTACAGGCGTCAGCCACCACTCCTGGCCTTGTTTTTAATTTTTTTAAGAGGCAGGTCTTGTTATACTGCGCTGGCTGGTCTCAAATTCCTGGGCTTAAGCAATCTTCCCACCTTGGCCTCCCAAAGTGTTAGGATTACAGGCGTGAGCCACCAACACCTGGCTGACTTTCTGTAAACATTAAACTGCTCTAAAATCTAAAAGTGTATTTTAAAAATTTTGTTATAAAATTAATATATGCAAAGAAAGTAATATATACTCATTGTAAAAATTCTAAAGAATATGGAAATGTAGCCCGAGGAAATGAAACCACCATCACCAGCTATAGAGTGCCCACTTTTAATAATTTGGTGCATATCCATCTAGGTTTTTCTTTACATATAAAATGTACATGCATATATATATATATATGTATTTTTTTTTTTTTTTAGTCAGAGTCTCACTCTGTCCGTCAGACTGGAGTGCAGTGGCATGATCTCAGCTCACTGCAACCTCCACCTCTGCCTCCCGGATTCAAGTGATTCTCCTGCCTCAGCCTCCTGAAGTAGCTGGGATTACAGGCGCCCACCACCACGCCAGCTAATTTTTGTATTTTTAGTAGAGACGGGGTTTCGCCATGTTGGCCAGGCTGGTCTCAAACTCCTGACCTCAAGTGATCCCCCTGCCTGGGCCTCCCAAAGTGCTGAGATTACAGGTGTGAGCCACCACGCCCGGCCTCATGCATATATTTTTTCCTATAAGACAGAACCATTCATTCAGACAGTAGTGAAGAAATAAAAAAAAAAAAATTTATAGTTTTTTTGCACTTTGCTTTTTCCAAAACCCAACTATATGTTATAACTGTTTTCCATGTCAGTACATATCTACATAACAGAACACAATGCAGTCATTAGTGACAATGATATAGAACTGAGGTCAGCAAACTATGGGAGTACAAGAGCCAAATCCAGCCTGCCACAAATAACACAAAAGACATCTACTTTATTCTAACTGTACATTATTCTATTTTTCTTTTTCAATTTAATTTAATTTAATTTAATTTTTTTGAGACACAGTCTCGCTCTGTCACCCAGGCTGGAGTACTGTGGCACGATCTCACTGCAACCTCCGCCTCCCTGGTTCAAAGCAATTCTCGTGTCTCAGCCTCCCGAGTAGCTGGGACTACAGGCATGTGCCACCATGCCCAGCTAATTTTTGTGTTTTTTAGTAGAGATGGGGTTTTGCTGTGTGGCCAGGCTGGTCTCAAACTTCTGGCCTGAAGAGATCCACCCACTTCAGCCTCCCAAAGTGCTGGGATTACAGGCATGAGCCACCATCCCTGGTCCCTCTAACGGTACATTATTTTATTATATAGTTCTGTCATACTTAATTGTCCCAATTCCTTATTATTGGACATTTTGATTGTTCCCAAGTTTGTTGGGTTTTTTTCCTCTTCCAAGCTGCAAAGTTCTCAAGTCTTGTTATTACAAACTAGGTTGTGGTGAATGTCCTTGTACCTCTGTCTTTTGGGGTGTTGTTACCAGTTTCCAAGTTAACCTTTTGGAAGTTTGTTCAAATCTATACTCCCCTCTGCAGTTTCTCAACACTGTTGCCAACGGTGAATGTTATTTTTTAAAATCTTAGCAATTTTAGTAGGAGCAAATACTCTTTCATTTAGTGAACATTCATAGTGGTGATGAAGTTAGACTTTCTGTGTAAGTTGCCTGAATAATTTCCATTTGACCATCCAGAAGCTTCGCAGGCATTTTCCATATTTCCTAGGGCCTAATCACCCTTCCCTTGCTTCCCATGTTTTTCAGTTACGCCAGTGGCCTGACTCATATACAAAGAAGTTTGAGCACAGAATCTACCCCATCACATTTTCTGTTGGAAACCCTCAGGAGTGGAAGAAATTGTTCAAACCCTGTGCTGCCCAGAGACTCTTTCTTCCGGTAGGAACACCTGTTTTTAATAAGTTGTAGCTTGCTCCTGGAAATAAGGTAAAATTAGCTGAGATGTGTGTAGAAACATTTAACTTAACAGCTGAAAACCTGTGTCTCTTGGATTCTGGAGCTGATGCTCTAAGTCTGCAGCATGTAGAGAGGATCCCTGTGTTCTGGAGGTTGTCATACCGAAAGACTGAGGGACTGTGAGCATTCAAATCCTGTCTTGGATCATTGGTCTTTGTGACTATGGTTCCATTATTTACTGGCTCCTGTGAACCTCGTTAAATCCCCCAACTTTACTAACTTCAGTTTTATCCATAGGCTTGGCACATAGCTGGCCCTCAATAAATATTAGCCTGGATTATTGTTATTTCTCTTATCACAATAACAACTACTAGTTATGGCCATACTAGGCTATCATTCCAAAAGGGTCCAGAATTTTGGTTTAGTCTTTTAGTTTAATGAATTTTTAAATTGCATGTTTTTGGTTGCTTTTTTAAAATCTTGAGGCCGGCATGGCGGCTCACACCTATAATCCCAGTACTTGGGGAGGCCAAGGCAGGCGGATCACTTGAGCACAGGAGTTTGAGACCAGCCTGGGCAACAGGGTGAAATCCCATCTCTACAAAAAATACAAAAATTAGGCGGGGTGTGTTGGCTTAGACCTATAATCCCAGCACTTTGGGAGGCTGAGGCGAGTGAGTCACCTGAGGTTAGGAGTTCAAGACCAGCCTGGCCAACATGGTGAAACCCTGTCTCTACTAAAAATACAAAAATTAGCCAGGCTTGGTGGTGTATGTCTGTAATCCCAGCTACTCAGGAGGCTGAGGCAAGAAAATCGCTTGAACCCAGGAGGCAGAGCTTGCAGTGAGCCAAGATCACGCCACTGCACTCCAGCCTGGGCAACAAGAGCTAAACTACATCTCAAAAAAAAAATTACCTGGGCATGGTGGCGCATGCCTGTAGTCCCAGCTACTTGGGAGGCTGAGGTGGGAGGATCATCTGAGCTCAAGAGGTTGAGGCTGCAGTGAGCCATGATCGCACCATCACACTCCAGCCTACCTGACAGACTGAGACCGTGTCTCAAAAAAGTAAATAAAGAAATAAAATTTTAAAAATCAAATAATAATAAAAATATTCAATAGAAAAAGATATTTCAAAAGTGAGAATAATATTGCACAGGGATAGCAACTTTGAATTGTCAGTTGCTGCCTTAATTTTTGTGAGGGATTCATGCCTTCAGTAGACATTTGTTGAGTGCCCACCAGGGTGCTGGGCCCTGGCTCAGTGATGATGACATGGTAATAAGACAGCCATGGTCCTGTTTCCTTGAAGCTTGAGTCTAGTAGGGCCTTGAACAAATAATTAGAAGTATGACCAGTACTAAGAGGAGATAATCTCATGGATGTATGTAACATGGGGTTCCATCCTGGTCTGAGAGAGATCATAGAAGGTTCTCCTGAGGCAGTGGCATATTTTTTTGTGGAGATGGGGTCTCGCTATATTGCTCAGGCTGATCTTGAACTCCTGTGCTTAAGTGATCCTCTCGCCTTGGCCTCCCAAAGTAGTAGGATTACAGGCATGAGCCACCATGCCTGTCCAGCAGTGGCATTTATGCAGACATGAATGAAGGAGAAGTAAGGGTTACTAGGTGACAAGGGCCTTGGGGGTAATGAGAGAAAAGAGGGGTCCAGGCAGATGGAACAGTATATACAAAGGCCCTAAGGTGGGAAGGGCCATGTTTAAGAAAATAAAAGAAGGTCATAGTAACCAAAAAATAGAAAGTGAGATGAGAATGAAGCAATCAGCAGAGACTGGAGCTTGCAGGCTCAGCAAGCCATCTAGAAGTGTCTGGTCTTTGTCTTTTTTTTTTTTTTTTTAAGAGATAAGGTCACTCTCTGTCGCCCCTGCTGGAGTGCAGTGGTGCAGTCATGGCTTACTGCAGCCTCCAACTCCTGGGCTTAAGTGATCCTCCCACCCGAGCCTCACAAGTAGCTGGGACTACAGGTGTGAGCCACCATGCTTAGCTAATTTTTTTATTTTTTGTAGAGATGATGTCTTGCTATGTTGCCAGCCTGGTCACATACTCCTCACATACTCCTGGGCTCAAGCGGTCCTCCCACCTTGACCTCCCACAGTGCTGGAATTGCAGATGAGAGCCACAGCACTCAGCCCAGTCTTTTTCTTAAGGGCAGTGGGAAGCCACTGGATGATTTTTTGCAGCAAGTGGCATGTTCTAACTTGTGTTTTAGAGAAGACACTCTGGTTTATGGCAGCGCAGACAGGGTTGGTGAAGCCAGGTCACTAACTTGGTTTGGGCTTTGATGGTTGCCTTAGAGATGGATAATGGACCTGCCTGAAACGGAATTTACCAACCTTCATGATTGGCTCGTTGTAAGAGTTGAAGGGGGAGTGACATGAAAAGGATTTTACCAGATTTTTTTTTTAACCTGAACAACTGTTAAGGTTGATCCATTTGAAATTGCCAGTATTCAACCATTAATGACCTACAAAAAGGTAATTTCTTATGGCTCAACGTAAGAAATAAATGGCAGAATCATTTAGGGATAGAAAAGACAGGGAAAAGCAGTTTTGGTAAAGGGGTCAAATGAGTTTAATTTGGGTCATACTTTGATTTTGAGGTGGCTGAGGATACTCAAGCAGAAGGAATCGTCACATCTATCGGTCTGGAAACACTAACTGGGGAGTAGCCCTTTTGGCATTTCCTACGCAGAGACCTGTGAGCAGAATAAACCCTGGATGAATTGTTGGCAGCGATCAGCTGCCCAAGCTCACTTGCTCATTATGTCATCTATTTTTCTTTTTCTTTCTTTTTTTTTTTTTTGAGACAGAGTCTCACTCTGTCGCCCAGGCTGGAGTGCAGTGGCACAATCTCAGCTCACTGCAACCTCCACCTCCTGGGTTCAAACAATTCTCCTGCCTCAATCCCCCAAGTAGCTGGGATTTTGGCGCATACCACCATGCCCCGCTAATTTTTGTATTTTTAGTAGAGACAGGGTTTCACCATGTTGGTCAGGCTGATCTTGAACTCCTGACTTCAGGTGATCCGCCCGCCTCGGCCTCCCAAAGTGCTGAGATTACAGGCATGAGCCACTGCGCCTGGCCACATCGTCTGTTCTTCACATGTCACAGACCTTTATATATAATCGCATAAAAACTGGGGTAGGAAAAGACTCCCTCCAATTGACACGAAAATCTCTAGGTTGGTGATATAAAAACTGATTACTCTTTGAGGTGAGAGAAAATGTTAGGTTTGTTGCTTGTCTCCATTTTTGCAAAAAATAAGTATTAGAAAACCAAAGGTAATGTTGGGAAATGGTCTTCCCATTCTATCCAAAATATTAGCTACCCAATGGAACTACATTTGAATTTTTGTTGACCTTGAATTGTGACTTTATTACCATTATTTAAAAAAAAACAAATTCATCACCTAATGGCCTTAATTCTTTCCCAGCTAAGTAGGTGCTTGGTTTTGAATGACAAATGGGTGCTGGCATTCCTTATCTGCTTCTGATAATGGAAACGAGCCCTCTTTAAAAATAATAAAGAGAGATTGTGGTTGACAGGACATTTACCTTTTCCTAGTTGTATATCACAACAGCAGATTATGAACATGGCATTTTTGGGCATCAGTGAGATGTATTGATCTTGAGGGTAATTTTAAAGTCTAGGTTGTGTTTTCCTTGGAATTCATCTCTTTAAAACCATATCAGGTGTGCTGCCTCAGGAGCACAGAGAAAATGGAGATCCTAAAGTGCAAACATTCTATCAGGTAGTCAGTTGACTGAGGACCATGGTCCCACCCATTTTCCAAGAGGCTGTCATCTACCCAAAACTGTGGAAGAGACCCTTTCTCAACTAAGATTTTACTATCTGAATAATATCAGAGCATAAGTCTTTGCAACTCAAGCCAATTAGATTCTCAGGTACAATTAGTGTGATTCAGATCCCACCAATTCAAAATTTATGAACTCCTACAAATCAGTGGACATTTACTCCTCTACTTCTGTGACTAATGGTCCTATGACATGGGATCATTATGAATGCAAACTAAACTGCAGATGGCTTGGTTAAGCGTTCTAAAATGCATATTTCAGGTAATTCAGAAGCTTAAAATATTTAAAACAATATGCCAATTACAAATAAATCAAATGTGTTCATTAAAATTGATTCTGGAATACTTTTATTTTCTTAGTACAGGCCAGAAATCCTTTACATCTGTAAGAGTAATTGAGTTGTATGAATTCACATCACCTTTCCCCCAATTAATTGGAAGTAGTGAGATTTTATAATAGATCTGTACATTTTGCTACACGCTGTGAGGAGAGAAATTATGAAGATTTCTCTCCTCAATAACTGTGGTCTTCTGGGAATCCTAGAGATAGGTAAAACATGACAGACATCACTGGATTGCAGAACCTTTAGAGACATTATTAGTGAGTGGTACCCAATATGGTAATTTGAGGTAGGGTAAGGTTGTATCCAGGGATAAATGTTTTTGGTTTTGTTTTTACCAAGTTTTAATAAGCTCCAAGGTTATGATAATGTCTGATGTCTTTTTTGCTCCCAACATTCACCATAGATAGCCATATTTAAGGAAGGAGTTAGAGAGGGTCTCACTGTGTTGCCCAGGCTAGAGTGCAGTGGTGCAATCATGGATCACTGCAGCGTCAACCTCCTGGGCTCAAGTGATCCTCCCACCTAAGCCTCCTGAGTAGCTGGGACCACAGGTACACACCACCATGCCCAGCTAATTTTTAAAATTTTTGTAGAGACAAGAGTCTCACCATGTTGCCCAGGCTGGTCTCAAACTCCTGGGCTCAAGTGATCCTCCTTCCTAGGCCTCCTAAAGTGCTGGGATTACAGGTGTGAGCCACCGCACCTGGCCAAATTAGTTATAGCTTTAACCTGTAAATGTATTCTGAAAGTTTTCTGACTCCATATTTCCAAGAAACTTGTCCCACTCCTTAATATTTCAAAGGACTACCATGCCAAATAAAGATAAATCTTTATTTTATGTAGTGAAAGCAACAATGTATAATCTTCTCTTTTCTACTTACGGCTTGTTAAAGAGACCGGTAACTGGTTCTAATGTTTTGAAATCTGCATGCTTACCAATGATGTCTTCATGAGTTAGCTGTAGGCTAATGGAAAAAGGAAGCTTATCATACTTTTTAGAACTTTTTATAATTAAGGTCAGACCTCTATATTATTATTAATATTACACCTCAGTATTTGCAATTAACATTGAGACATCCTTGCAACAAACCCTTTGGATATTAACAAATATTGACACACATATAGGAATATATTAAAAATCCTTATTAAGGGGAACACCAATTAGAATCACCATAAATGATGTTTATACATTTCATCAAGCACCAAGAGGCCATAAATTATTTGGATGAGATTAGCCACCTAAATGATTACATGAAATGACCTTAGATACCAATTTTGTTGAACAAGCTTTCCACAGTACTTATCATTTACTCATACACTATTAAAAGTTTGACATTCAGGATATTAGCTACAACTCTTGGTTATATGTGAGAGAAACTCAACTCCAACTAGCAAAGAAGGAAATTAATTTATTGGCTTATCTAACTGCAAAGTCCACACTGTAGGGCTGATTCCAAGCACAGCTAGATCCAGAGGCTAACATAATGTCATCAGGACTCTGTCTCTCTCTTTCAGTCCCTTGCAAGGCTACTCCATAAGCATAATGATTGCTCAAAGCAGCCTGAAATCCAAATTCTAGCAGCTTAGCAGCTACGGCAGAAAAAGAGCATGGCAAGGTAGCAACTTCCAAAATGGTGACATTAGGAGCCCTGTGGAATTGCTCCCCAGTGAAACAAGCATAACTTGTGAAAATAATTTTTAAAATAACTATCTAAATACTTTGGAAATTGTCCTAAGGACCTAGGCAAATGAAGGAACATTTATTCAAGAAAATCTACTAAAACTTGGTAAGAAGAGTGAGAATCGGTGACATTTGAACCACAGCCTCCCTCCTTCCCCCTTCCAGTTCAGTGTGATAAAAATTCACCTTCTACCTGAAGTTCATTCAAGAACACAGGGATTCCTCTCTCTCCAGCTCCCAGTTGAGGAACATGGTATCTCCTTGGGAGGCACAGGCCATCAGCATTTCTTATTGCTACTAGCTAGCTATGTGTTGCAGAGCCTAAATTCCATGGAGGTGTGGCCTAGAAGCCAGGGTGTTTCTTAATTAAGAGGAGGCTTGCACCTTAATGAGAACAGCAAGCTAAACCATAGGCCAGTTAGTTTACAAGGGAGAGCCAGAGGACAATGCAGGTAAAACGTGCCCTCCTGGAGTCATAACAGATATCACAGACTAGCCTCAAAAATTCAAATGGTCCTTAATTTAATTGGATCAGACTGTGGGGGCAATTTGTGCTCCACTGAGGAAATAACTCCAAAAAAAAACCCCATAAAAAAATAAATTAAAATGCTCTATTAGAAAATATTCACTTTGCCAGACGTTCCTCGCCGGGAGTCGTCGGGGTTTCCTGCTTCAACAGTGCTTGGACGGAACCCGGCGTTCGTCCCCCATCCCGGCCGGCCGCCCATAGCCAGTCCTCCGTCACCACTTCACCGCGCCCTCGGTACCGCCCCAAGGCCCGCCGCCGCTCCAGCGCCGCGCAGCCACCGCCGCCTCTCCTTAGCCGCCGCCGTGACGACCGCGTCCACCTCGCAGGTGCGCCAGAGCTACCACCAGGACTCAGAGGCCGTCATCAACCGCTAGATCAACCTGGAGCTCTACGCCTCCTACGTTTACCTGTCCATGTCTTACTACTTTGACCGCGATGATGTGGCTTTGAAGAACTTTGCCAAATACTTTCTTCACCAATCTCATGAGGAGAGGGAACATGCCGAGAAACTGATGACGTTGCAGAACCAACGAGGTGGCCGAATCTTCCTTCAGGATATCAAGAAACCAGACTGTGACGACTGGGAGAGCGGGCTGAATGCGATGGAGTGTGCATTACATTTGGGGAAAAAAAAATATGAGTCAGTCACTACTGGAACTGCACAAACTGGCCAGTGACAAAAATGACCCCCATTTGTGTGACTTCATTGAGACACATTACCTGAATGAGCAGGTGAAAGCCATCAAAGAATTGGGTGGCCACGTGACCAACTTGTGCAAGATGGGAGCACCCGAATCTGGCTCGGCAGAATATCTCTTTGACAAGCACACGCTGGGAGACAGTGATAACGAAAGCTAAGCCTCAGGCTAATTTCCCCATAGCCATGGGGTGACTTCCCTGGTCACCAAGGCAGTGCATGCATGTTGGGGTTTCCTTTACTTTTTCTATAAGTTGCACCACAACATCCAGAAAAAAGAAAATATTCACTTAATGCAAAATAAAGCAGAAAAGAAAGAATAGAGGAACAACAAAAATATTAGACATATAGAAAACAAATAGTAAAATGGCAGACATAAATTCGACTATATAAATAATAGCATTGAATGTGAATGGATTCGACAATCAAATAAAAACACAGAGTTGCAGGCCCGCTGCAGTGGCTCATGCCTGTAATCCCAGCACTTTGGGAGGCCAAGGCAGGTGGATCACCTGAGGTCAGAAGTTCAAAACCAGCCTGGCCAACATGGTGAAATGGTGTCTCTACTAAAAATACAAAATTAGCTGGGCGTGGTGGCGTGCACCTGTAATCCCAGCTACTCGAGAGGGTGAGCCAGGAGAATCACTTGAACCCAGGAAGCAGAGGGTGCAGTGAGTTGAGATTGCGTCATTGCACTCTAGCTTGGGCAAAAAGGGCGAAACTCCATCTCAAAAAAACAAAAAAAAAAACAGAGTTGCAGTTATAGTTGATAAAGAATACAGTCGAACTGTGTGCTCTCTATAGGAGGTGTTCATGCCTGTAATTCTAGCTGATGCGGGCAGATCACTTGAGCTCAGGAGTTCAAGACCAGCCTGGCCAACATGGTGAAACCTCATCTCTCCTAAAAACACAAAAATTAGCTGGGCGTGGTGGCATGTGCCTATAGTCCCAGCTACTCAGGAGACTGAGGCAGGAGAATTGCTTGAGCCCAGGAGGCGGAGATTGCAGTGAGCCAAGATCATGCCACTGCACTCCAGCCTGGGTAACAGGAGTGAAACCCTGTCTCAAAAAAAAAAAAAAGATATAAATAAGCAATTCATCAACAGTAGTAGGAGATATGAGTGCCCCTCTTTTCTTTTTCTTTTTCTTCTTCTTCTTTTTTTTTTTTTTTTTTTGACACAGGGTTTCACTCTGTCACCCAGGCTAGAGTACAGTGGTATGATCATGGCTCACTGCAGCCTTGACCTCCCAGGCTCAGGTGATCCTCCCACCTCAGCCTCTCAAGTAGCTGGGACTACAGGTGTGCACCACCAAGCCCAACTAATTTTCATACTTTTTGTAGAGATGGGGTTTCACCCTGTTGCCCAGGCTGGTCTCGAACCCCTGGGCTCAAGTGATCCACCTGCCTCAGCCTCCCAAAGTGCTAGGATTACAGGCATGAGCCACTGCACCCAGCTGCCTTACTTTCAATAATGGATTGAACAACTAGGCTGAATGTCAACACGGAAATAGAAGAACAACACCATAAACCAGCTGAACCAACCGACTTCTTTAGGACACTCCACCCAACACCAGTAGAATACGTTCTTGTGAGTGCACATGAAACTTTCTCCAGAATGGACCATATGTTGTACCATAAAAGAAGCTGTAAAAAGCATAAAAGGATTGAAGTTATACAATGTATGTTCTCTGACCACAGTGGAATGGAATTAGAAGTCAATAACAGAAAGAAATTTGGGAAGTTAACAAAAATGTAGAAATTAAGTAACATACTTCTTTATTTTTTTATTTTATTTTCTATTTTTTTTTTGAGACGGAGTCTTGCACTGTCCCCAGGCTGGAGTGCAGTGGCTCCATCTCCGCTCACTGCAAGCTCCGCCTCCCAGGTTCACCCCCCATTCTCCTGCCTCAGCTTGCCGAGTAGCTGGGACTACAGGTGCCCGTCACCACACATGGCTAATTTTTTGTATTTTTAGTAGAGACGGGGTTTCACCATGTTAGCCAGGATGGTCTCGATCTCCTGACCTCGTGATTCACCTGCCTCGGCCTCTCAAAGTGCTAGGATTACAGGCGTGAGCCACCGCGCCCGGCCTAAGTAACATACTTCTTTCTAAATAGCCAATTGCTTTAAGAAGAAACTACAAGGGAAACTACAATGAAAATGAAGATACAACATACCAGTACTTATGGCAGACACCTAACACAGGGTTTAGAGGGAAATTTATAAACTTCAGCAGTACAAATGAGGAAAGGCCTCAAGTCAATAGCCTAACCTTCCACTTTACAGCACCTCAGAAGAGCAAACTAAATCCAAGCAAGCAGAAGGATGGAAATAATAAAGATTCAACTGAAAATTAATGATACAGAGAAGAGAAAAAACAGTAGAGGAGTAACACCAAAACTAAAAATTGGTACTTTGAAAAGATCAACAAAATTGACAAACCTTTAGGTAGACTGAGCTAGAAAACAAGGGAAGACTCAAACTACTAAAATCAGGAAGGAAAGAGGGAACATAACTACCAACATTACCAAAATAAAAGGATTATAAAGCAATACTATGAATAATTGTATTTCAATCAATTAGGTAATTTAGATGAAATGGACAAATTTGAATTCTGTGGATTGTCTTTTAACTTTTTTTTTTTTTTTGAGATGGAGTTTTCTGGAGTGCAATGGCACGATCTTGGCTCACACCAACCTCCGCCTTCTGGGTTCAAGCAATTCTCTTGCCTCAGCCTCCCCAGTAGCTGTGATTACAGGTGCCCACCACCACGCCCAGCTAATTTTTTGTGTGTATTTTTAGTAGAGATGGGGTTTCACCATGTTGGCCAGGCTGGTCTCAAACTCCTAACCTCAGTTGATCCACCTGCCTCAGCCTCCCAAAGTGCTGGGATTACAGACATGAGCCACCGTACGTGGCCCACTTTAATAGTGTCATTGGCAACACAAAAGTATTTAATTTTGTTTAATTCAAAGTTATCTATTTCCATTTTTGTTGTACTTTTGGTGTCATATCTAAGAAACCATTGTTTAATCCAAAGTCATGCTTATTTCTGAACCAATCATTATGTCCAGGAAGACAGGATACTCAGATTGGCTTGACTTGAATCACATTCTCCTCCATGGGCCACAGGGGCCAACAACATTTAAGCCACATGGATTGGGTTTTACCACAAGAGAGTGGCTCTTGTCAGGAGATGGAGAAAGATATGAAGGGGAGGGCAAACAATAAACATCTGTTTGGCTTAACAATGAATAGTTATATAACATTTCTTCTCAGGCCTTCAGAGAGGTCCAGTTACTTTGTTAAGATGAGGAATATGAGATAATATACAAAGTGTGGCCTTTAGAAAATGTAATAGCCACAGTGTTAGGAAGCATTTAATGGAGACAAATTAATTTGAGATATTATTATATAGAGACAGTATGGTATAGTTGTTAAGACCCCAGGCTCTGGAAGCAGCCCAAATACATTTAAATCTTGTTTCTACCACTTACCACTTTGTAACCAGAAGAAATAATTTCAACTTTCCTTGCCTCCATTTACTCATCTGTAAAAAGAGAATAATAATATTGCCTATCTCATAGTGTTGTGAAAATTCAAATTAGTGAATACATTTAACACCCTTGGAAACAATGCCTGGCACATAGAAAGTGTTAGATACTATTTTTATTATTATACCTATTTTTTTAGGACTGATATGTAGCATGAAACTACTGAGACAGTTAATTCTCTTTCCGAAAAGGACTTTATCTTGATTAATAGCAACATCATTTTTTTTGACCCAGTCGGCCAAGCCATAACTAACCATGAACAATTGTAAACATGTCCCAGCAGGTAACGCTCCTATTAAAACATCAGTCACATTGTAGGGAATTGTCTTTTTGACTCCAGCATAATTAGCATCATAGTATTAGATGCTAATAGTTGCAGTAGTTGCTAGTAAATGCTAATAGATGCAATAGTTCTACAACTGAAGAGTCATTATATTTCTTACGAAGCCTAGTGTAAGAATCACAATAATATATGTTGATTACTTACTGTAACGTAGTTCTTTGGTTGAAAGTGATCATATATGATGTTGGCTATAGTAAGTACAAATATTAAGAAAAAAGAAAAATAAATGAACGTGATCATAATTGATTCAGGCTGAGTTAATCAGAAGAGAATTTGATTGAAAGGATGTTGGGGCTGGACACAGTGGCTCGTACCTGTAATCCCAACACTTTAGAAGGCCAAGATGGGAAGATGACTTGAGCCCAGGAGTTCAAGACCAGCCTGAGCAACAAAGTGACACCCTGTCTCTACAAAGAATTAACCGGGTGTGGTGGCACAGGTCTGTAGTCCCAGCAGCCTGGGGGGGCCGAGCTTGGAGGATCACTTGAGCTCCAGGAGATCGAGGCTGCAGATGAGCTGTGATGGCCCCACTGCACTCCAACTCGGGCAACAGAGTGAGATCCTGTCTCAAAAATTAAGAATAATAATAATAAAGAAAGGAAAGGATGTTGGGAGTTCTCAGAATGAAAGAGGAGCTTAGCCAGCTGGACTTGTGTTGGATTAAAGATGGCAAGGAAATTATTTGTATTTGTATTCATTCTTTCCTAAAACTATACAAAAATTGATAGTTAATTTTAATTTTATTCTTTTTTTTTTTTTTTTTTTGAGACAGGGTCTTGCTCTGTCACCCAGGCTAGAGTGTAGTGGTGTGATCACAGCTTATTGAAGCCTCAACCTCCTCCTGGGTTCAAGTGATCCTTCCATCTCAGCCTCTGGAGTAGCTGGGACTGCAGGTGTGCACCACCATGCCAGGCTAATTTTTGTATTTTTTTGTAGAGATAGGGTCTTGCTGTATTGCCCTGGCTGGTCTTAAACTCCTGGGCTCAAGCAGTCTGCCCGCCTCAGTCTCCCAAAGTGCTGGGATTATAGGCACCAGCCACCACACCTAGCTGATAATTAATTTTTTTAATAGCATAAATATATTCTAGGACAACCAGAATAGTATTTACCAACCTTGACTTGAGACAGCTAAATCTTTAACCAGCAGTGGGAAAAACGCAGAAGCAAATGATATATATGGCAAAAAGACCCCCAAAGCCAATGAATTAGCGGCATCCACTATGTCTGGAGATGGCAATGAAGATGAACCTAAAATCAGGAGGTGTAGTTACATTTATGTTTGAAAAGCAGTTACGCCTTCAGATTGCCTGTTTCATACTGTTTAACTTGGAATTTGATTCTCCCTTGGGCAAAATATTGGAAATTCAGTTTCTAAAGAAAGTAAAACAGGGGGTCTCTGGACTAGGAGAATCCAGGCACAGTTAAGGATATTATGTTGAAAACATGAGATTCAGTAAAAAACTTACACATGAATGTTAAGACCCCAGGCCTGTTTCTACCATGTAGAGCCCAGAACCTTGCAAAGAAAATTACAGAGATTTGGAAGCATATCTATGGAGATTTAAGAACACTGACATGGAAGGATTCCCCATTAGAGTGGCCCACAGATCTTCCTCCAATGATGTGCATAGCTGACAGGCTTACTCCACCTACTTCCAAACAGCTGGAATATGAATAGAGATCCAGTGATTGCTAGACATTTGAAGAAACCCTCTAATAGGAAAGACAGGGTTCAAAACAAACAAAGGGAGCTTATCAACCTACAGAAAATCATATATGGAAGATGAATAAAACTTCTAAAGAAATTATTATTAGGATCCTAGAGGAATAAAATAAAACACAATATGTATTAAAGAAGCATGGGATTCTATGTCAAGAATGGAATATTTAGAGGATTAAAAAAACCTCTTGTACATTAAAAGTACAGCAGAATAGAACTCAATAGAAGAACTGGGAAAATTGAACTCTTTCTGAAAGTACAGCAAAAAACAAAAACTAAATAGAAGGAGAATAGCAATAAAATGATCAGAAACTTAGAGGACTGGTTCAACATCTGAACAATAGGAGCTCTGGAAAGAAAAATCAACGCACAGGATAGGGAATCAACCGTGAAATTAATTCAAGAAAATTTCCCAGAACAAGCAGACATAAATTCCCAGATTGAGAGAATCCATCAGAAGACATCACATATAATGGAAAAAACCATACCGTATCAGGCATATTGACTGAACTTTCAGAACAACAGGTGAAATAGAAGATAATATTAGCTATCAGAAAGGGAAGAAAAAGTCACATTCCCCAAACCAGAAATCAAAAGGACTTCAAACTCTTCAACAGTAGTGGGCAAAGTGCCAAAATATTGGAGCAATACCTTTAAAATTCACAGGCAACATTATTTTCAATCTAGAATTCTATACTCAACCAAACTACAAATTAAGTGTCTAGGTCGCAAGACATTTTCAGATGTGCACCGCTTCAAAATATTTACCTCCTGTGAGTCTTCTGTAATTCCTTCTGTGAGTCTAATGTACTCCACTGAAATGGAGTACATTAAGAAATATGAAGATGTGAGATCCTAGAAGCAGGGAATACTACTCAAAGGGGACGTGAAAGGAGTATCAGGGGAAAGGAGATGATAGCTGCACAGCATCCTGGTTGGAGAAAATCAGGAAGCCCGCCGGGCGCGGTGGCTCACGTCTGTAATCCCAGCACTTTGGGAGGCCAAAGTGGGTGGATCACGAGGTCAGGAGATCAAGACCATCCTAGCTAACACAGTGAAACTCCATCTCTACTAAAAATACAAAAAATTAGCCAGGTGTGGTGGCACGCGCCTGTAGTCCCAGCTATTTCCCGAGGCTGAGGCAGGAGAATTGCTTGAACCTGGGAGGCGGAGGTTGCAGTGAGCCAAGATTGCGCCATTGCGCTCCAGCCTGGGTGACAGAGCAAGACTCCATCTCAAAAAAAAGAAAAAAAAAAAAAAAGAAAAAGAAGAGAAAATCAGGAAGTCGTGGAAGAAACTTTAATAAACATAGAAAACTGGCCAGCACAGTGGCTCATGCCTATAATCCCAGCACTTTGGGAGGCCGAGGCAGATGAATCACTTGAGACTAGCCTGGCCAACATGGTGAAACTCTGTCTCTACTAAAAATACAAAAATTAGCCAAGTGTGGTGTAGTATGCCTGTAGTCCCAGCTACTCGGGAGGCTGAGGCAGGAGAATCACCTGAACCCAGGAGGCAGAAGATGTAGTGAGCTGAGATCGCACCATTGCACTCCAGTCTGGGTGACAGAGTGAGACTCCATCTCAAAAAACAACAACAACAAAAAAACAACAAAAAAAAACCGAAACAAATTAACAACAGCAAAAAGAGTCATTAATTCCAGGAAAAACACTTGTACAGAGAGGGAAAGTATTGCTACTCATTTTGTGGCTTCACTGGAAATAATGTTTTCATGGCCATCATAATACTGTGTATTGATCTAAATGATATTTTGATACAATTGTATTGGGGGATGGGAAGGTATATGTGTGGGGTTGGGAATTTGTGTGAAAGAGAGCTAAAACCTATTCTTCCAGGGTAGGAAGTTAATAGATAAGGTATATTATTTAGACACACAGAGGTATATACCTACAGAATCAATTTAAATAATTGGAATTGGTGGTTTTCTCTGGGAAGAAAATAGTAGAGAATATGGTGGAGGACATAGAGGAAGGACCATTTTTACTTCTTTTTCCATATGTCTGCCTACCTATCTATGTATATTATTTACTAAGTTTTGGTTAACTATTTGACTATTCTGAGTTTCCCCTAATTGCGAGGAATAACCCACCAGTGACTCTTGGAACCAGTTTAGTGGATTATTATCAGCTTTTTTTTAAAAAAAGAAATAGAATAGAATAAATATGCATTGCATTTAGTAAAAACAAGTATTCTTTTTGACATTTCTGTCTTATATATTTATGTATGCATAAACTAGAATTGTGATGAAAATGCGTTTTTTACTATGAGGTACAGTTGAAAATAGTTTAAGAAATGCTGCTTTAAAATATGTCTTCAGGACATAACACTGAAAAAAGGGAAATGTATGGTAGGTGGCCAATGACCACCCAATGCCTACTGCACTTAACCCAGGCTGCGATCTTTAGGTTTATGATTTCATTAACTCTTCCCCAACTCTTTGAGGAATATGCTCATTTGCATCCTCTTTACAAATGAGGAAACTGAAATTGAGGAAAACTAAATCCTTTTCCTGGGGTAAATCTTGGAGTCTGGATTGAAGCCCAAGATTCTCCTAAAGAATAGTCATTCTGCCCTACTTCTTAGAATATTAGTGACAGCATTTTCTCCTCTACTTGTAGAAGACATTCCTAAAGTGTTCCCAAAATACCTCCTTAGGAAAATTCCCCTGAACCTTCCATTCTTTAACTGTTAAATGGATAAAGAAAAAAGAAATAGAACATATGTCTTTGCTCAGACTCGCCAGTTTAGTGAGGTGTTTGTATTTATCATTGCTCCCCATCCCTGCTTTAGTTTTCCATATCCTACCATCTTCAAAGTTGGAATACTACACACTTTACTCATTTAT
Source organism: Homo sapiens (assembly GCF_000001405.40). NCBI lineage: Eukaryota > Metazoa > Chordata > Mammalia > Primates > Hominidae > Homo > Homo sapiens. Next base: position 72,937,921 of record NC_000003.12, read on the forward strand.
TTTTTCGCTTTTCTCAGGAGCATGTAAGCCCTCTCAGGGCAAGGATCTTTAATCTTGGCCAGGCATGGTGGTTCATGCCTACAGTCCCAGCATTTTGGGAGGCAGAGGTGGGAGGATGCTTGAGGCCAGGAGTTCAAGACTGGCCTGGGCAACACAGTGAGATCCTCTCTACAAAAATTTAATTTTAAAAAAAGAAAAAAATGTAAAAGGTCTTTGATCTTCTGCACCTACAGAAATATTTGGTACATACTAACAGAAGGCACTCTGTAAAACTCTTTTGATGGATGAATGGGTGGAAGGAAAGATGGATGTATAGATGGATAGGGGGATGGACAATGGATGGAAAGACGGACAAATGGATGGATGGTCTTATAAAAAGGGCTTTAACCACTGCTTCAAAAAGTGACAGAGAGGATTTAAAGATATAACTTATAAAAGTGCTGAGCCCTGAACCCAGTGTCTACTCAGTAAATGTTGGCTATATTAGAGTCTCAAATATAAGAAAAGGGAAAAGCTTCTTTGAAAATCAGTCTAATTTGAGTAAAGAGCTACAGTTCCTTGTGATCCAATGATCCTGTTTTCAGCAACACATTCTCTGGGGAGGCACCATCTGACTAAGAAACTAGACTCTGCTTTAAATGACAGTTGCCATGGCTAACGGAATGTCTACAGCCAACAAGGAAAGATACTGTGTGCTTGCTGGCTGGGATTGCAACACCTGATAAGAGGAGGAAGCAAGCCAAAAGCAAGCATGGAAGCAGATGGAACATCTTAGAGAGCCATTATCTCAGAACATGCCGGAGAAACCAGATACTTTTCAGTTACGCAAGGCCTGTGGAAAACGTCCTGCATGCAGTTCTAACAGTTGGCCACACAGCTGAAATGATGAAATCAAAGACCAAACACAAGTTTAATGAGCCAGAATTTTAGAAGAACCATCTTGAACAAAGCCATCATTGCTTTGCTCAACTCAGAAGCAATCAGAATCTTGTTTGCAAAGACTAAACTGATCAGAAGAGGCTACTTCATTGATTGGTGCATGCCTGAATGCAGCCATGACATTGGTACACCCTGCTCTTTGTTAGAACGTCACAAAAATGAATATGTAAGTTATATGTAATTCCACAAGGGGGCACAATAGAAACAAAAATAAAAATTGATAGGCTTTAATTTTCTCCTGTGCCACCCCATTTTAAGGTAATAATTTAACAAAATGAGCAATCTTAAAATCTCAGATTAAAACAGTGTGGAACACTACTTAAGAATGCATATTTATTTTATTACAAACTCCCAATTATATATATATTTTAAAACAGAAAAGATCATGACCAGCCTGGCCAACATGGTGAAACCCTGTCTCTACTAAAAATACAAAAATTAGCCGGGCGTGGTGGCACCCAGCTACCTGGGAGGCTGAGGCAGGAGAATTATTTGAACCCAGGAGGCAGAGGTTGCAGTGAGCCGAGATCACACCACTGCACTCCAGCCTGGGTGACAGAGCAAGACTTTCAAAAACAACAACAACTACAACAACAAAACAGAAAAGGAAGCATTATATAGCAACATTATTTTCCAAGTATTCATTATTCTCTAAACTATCTTAAACTATTTCAAGAATATCAAAGAGGATACTTGAGAATATGCAGCATCAAACAGAATGTTCTTTGTTGTCTGCACACATAAAATTAAAGGGAAGTATCTCAAAGTAGACAATTAGAAAGTATGGCATGTATAGTATGATTCTATAGGTAGTCTTTTCTTTCCTTTTTTTTTTTTTTAAACATGGGTCTCAGTCTGTCGCCCAGGCTGGAGTGCAGTGGTGCTATCAGAGCTCACTGCAGCCTCAACCTCCCCAGGCTCAGGTGATTCCCTCACCTCAGCCTCCTGAGTAGCTGAGACTACAGGCATGCACCACCACACCTGGCTAATTTTTGTATTTTTTGTAGAGATAAGGTTTTGCCATGTTGCCCAGGCTATTCTTGAACTCCTAGGCTCAAGCAATCCACTCCGCCTGCCTTGGCCTCCCAGAGTGCTAGGATTACAGACTTGAGCCACTGCACTCAGCCAGTATTTTTTAAATGCAAAGAAATGGCCAGGCGCTGTGGCTCACACCTTTAATCCCAGCTACCTGGGAGGCTGAGGCAGGAGGATTGCCTAAGCCCAGGAGGTGGAGGCTGCAATGAGCCATGATTGTGTCACTGTACTCCAGCCTGGGTGACAGAACAAGACCTTACCTCAAAAAAGTAAATAAAATGAAAATGCAAAAATGTATGTGTTCGTGTGTGTTTATAAACATTTACACATACAACCATTTATTCGGTAATATTTATTGAGCCTCAGTTATGTGACTGGCCCTAGAAGTATGACTGTGAATAAGATATCCAAATATCCTAATCTCATGGAGCTTATATCCAAGTCAGAAAAGAATGACAAAAAGCAAGTAAATTAGTTAATTTCAGGCAGTAATAAGAATTACAGAAAAAAGAGTTTAAAGAGTGATGGATTGATTGAGTTGAGATCTGACTTCCTGGCCATATGAAGACCCCATGGAACAGACTGGGATGAGGTTCACTGTTAATGTTGGTTAATTCTGAAGAGAGAGCGGGGGTTGGTTATGGGGGTTTGGAGTGGTGGTGTGGTGAGGATAAGGACAGGTAAAGAGCAACTTGAACTTACTCTGTTGATTGCTGAATTGTTTGTATGTTTTTACAACACACATGCATGAATTTGTGTATTGTGGAATTCAGACAACTCGTGTTTTGTTTGTTTGTTTGTTTCTGAGACAGGGTCTCCCTCTGTCATCCAGGCTAGAGTGCAGTGGTGCAATCATGGCTCATTGCAGCCTCCACCTCCTGAGCTCAGAGGACCCTCCTGTCTCAGCCTCCTGAGTAGCTGGAATTACCCACCCAAACTACCACACCTGACTAATTTTTTAATTTTTTGTAAAGATTGGATCTGTATGTTGCCCAGGCTGGAACTGAACTCCTGGCCTCAAGCAATACTCCCACCTCGGTCTCCCAAAGTGCTGGGATTACAGGCATGAGCCACCGCACTGGCCCAATTTTTAAAAATAGTAAACCAGTAAGAAAGAGAAAAAAGACAAAGAGCATCAGAGCTTTACGTAATGTATGCAAGCTATCTGTTCACATTTGCAAAGACATTCGCATGCACCAGAAGTACAGAGCCGTGAAGGTATAGGCCTCTTTCTGACCATGTGTTCTGGGTCTGCATGTATTTACAATTAAGACAAAAAATAAAGGTGGCAATGATAATAGAGAAAAGGGTTATTATATTATCCTGTTTACTCATCTCCCTGCTACATGTGTCTCTATTCTCCTGTTACTACTCCTGCATTTTTGGTTTTTGAATGCTATCCTCATCAGATGGATTCTGGCCCAGAATCCTCCTAGAGTCCCTGTTGCAGAGTCAAGTCCAGGCCTCTGGGCCTGATGTTGAGGGCCCTTTGCATTCTGAGTTTACATACTAACTTTCAGCATTATTCCAAGTCATGAATTTCCCATTCCAGCCACTCTAGTGTGTGTCACTCTTTCCCAGATGCTGTGCACATTACCCTCTGCCATACTGTTGCCTGGAGACAATAACCTGGCCATTCTACGCCCCTACCTCCAGCCTCACTTATTAAAATCACACCTAGTAATCTTAGCCCAACACCCTAGTAATCTAAGCTCAGAATTCTCTTTGCCTTTAACAAATTATTTCTCACAGGCAGACACACACACACATACACACATGCCCGCACAGTCCTGAGATCAGTGTCAATGTGGACTCATGTTTTTTTAAATAAATATATAGGTACAGATAAGTAAAGAAGTAATTATGGATACTCAACATCTGTGAAAAAAAGGAAAAGATAAAAATAAGAAAAAGAAGTAATTATGGATATGTATGTATACATGGGTTTGTATACATACATGTATTTCCTAGCTCTGTCTACTGTTAGGAGGCTAGAAGCAGTGACACCTGAGTAGCAATGAACACACCTAGCACCTAGATATTGGTTTCTGAATTCCATCCTCCAAAGGAACCCAGGGCTCCTGGGAGAACTGTTCATTCCTGGCTGAAGGCAGGGAAAATGCAAGATGCCCCTGGAGTTAACCTTATGGTGCCAGAAGGTAAGGATGTGCTAAAAAATATTTTTTAATAATAAAAATAATTTTTAAAAGGAGGGGGTTCATATTGGAAGAGGTAGGAGCCAACCTGAAAGAGCTCCAAATGACTTGAGCTGGAACAACTTGAGCAACAAAATAAATAATGATAGTATTTAATTATAACACTTAAAATAATTTTTCATAAGTCCACACCAATCTAAATAAATAACTGAATTAAAAAAATAAATACATAACTGAATAAATAAATAAATAAATGGAGAAAAATCACACCTCTTCCTTATAGAAAATTCCAGTTAATACATGTAGAAAGAAGGAGGCAAATAGAAAATCATTGTTAGAGCACCATAGTAATAATTACTGCGGGTAAGATCTACCTGTGAATGCTAAAATTAAGGAGTGAAAGTTTAACCAGAAACATGATATTTGTATGATTTTTAAAGTATCTCCTCCAAAATATTTAGTAAAGAAAAAGGGGAAATCCTTAGTTGACTGTGGAGAATATTGTCAGACTCCACCTTTGCCAAGCAATCAAGACTGATATCACTTGGCCCGGTCAACATCGTATATGCCCAGGCGTGTTTCACCTCTGTTCTTCCCAATAAAGCATAACCTCAATCTAAACATGCGAAAACATCAGACACCCAAATTGAGGGACTTTGTTCTAAATAACCGGCCAGTGTTTTCAAAGCTGTCCAGGTTATAAAAAAAAAAAAAAAGGAAAGGCTGAGAAATTGTTACAGATTGGAGGAGACTAAGGAGATGTGACAAATAAATTCAGTGTTTGGATCTTGGAACTGAAAGAGGAGATTTGTGGAAAAACTGGTGACATCTGAATAAGTTCTTTAGTTTATTTAGTAGTATTTATACCAGGGTTAATTTCTTAGATTTGATTACTGTTCTCTTGTTATGTAAGATGTTAACACAAGAGAAAGCTGAGTGAAGAATATATGGGAACTCTCTGAACTTTTTACACCTCTTCTGTAAATTTAAAATGATCTCACAATAAAAAATTTAAAAACACAGCCAGACACAGTGGGTGAAAATCAGCACAGTCAAGCAGCTTTGACAACACATTTTACCCAAAGAGATGTGTGTTTCAGAAATGATGGATGCTTCAAAAAGGAAAAGGGGGAAAAAGGAGGACAGGGACCTCATATAATTACAGAAATTAAGTATTATCTTGGAATAACTTCTCAAAATGTATTTGGCTTAAGGAAGTGAAAATTTACAAAGATAAAAATGGGTGAATAAATACAATAGAGTACACATAAAGCAATCTTTATTTTAACTGAAAAAATGCAGTAATGGTATCTGTATTTCTCTTTTTCCTTTTTTTTTTTTTTGGAGACAGGGTCTCCCTCTGTTGCCCAGGCTGGAGTGCAGTGGCATGAACATGCCTCACTCTAGACTTGATCTCCTGAGCTCAAGTGATCCTCCCTCCTCAGCCTCCCGAGTAGCTGGGACCACAGGCACGCCCCACCACGCCTGGCTAACTTTTTATTTTTTTGTAGAGATGGGGTTTCACCATGTTGCCCAGGCTGGTCTGGAACTCCTGGCCTCAAGTGATCCTCCTGCCTTGGCCTCCCAAAGTGCTGGGATTACAGGCGTGATTACAGCACCCAGCCTCTTTTTCCTGTTCTTTATTATGATAAATAGAAATCACATAAAATGTACCATTTTAACCATATCTAAGTGTCCAGTTCTGTGGCATTAAGGACAGACACACTGTTGTGCTAAAATGTTTGCATCTTCCCGAGCTGAAACTAGTGTCTGTATTGCTTGCACCTTTCCATTGAGAGCATCATTTTTTTTTTTTAGAGGTGGAGCCTTGCTATGTTGCCCAGGCTAGTCTCAAACTCCTGGGCTCAAGCTGTCCTCCCATTTTGGCCTTCCAAAGTGCTGGGATTACAGGCGTGAGCCACCATGCCTGGCTGGGAGCATCATTTCTTTAGTTATAATTTGATTTTTTATACATCAAGACTGTGACTTTCTGATTCTGTATAGATTAATAGTTGATATTTTCATTATATTCAAGTCTTTTTGTTTGTTTGTTTAAAGACAGGGTCTCTTTCTCTCACCCAGGCTGGAGTGCAGTAGTGTGATCATAGTTCACTGCAGCCTCAACCTCCTGGGTTCAAGCAATCCTCCTGCCTCAGCCTCCCAAGTAGCTAGGACCACAGGCACATGTCACCACACCTGGCTCTTTTTTTTTCTTTTTTTTTTTGAGACTGTCTGGCTCTGTTGCCCAGGCTGGAGTGCAGTGACACAATCTCAGTTTACTGCAACCTCCAACTCCCAGGTTCAAGTGATTCTCCTGCCTCAGCCTCCCGAGTAGCTGGGATTACAAACGTGTGCCACCATGCCCAGCTAATTTTTGTATTTTTAGTGGAGATGGGGTTTCACCATCTTGGCCAGGCTGGTCTTGAACTCCTGACCTCGAGTGATCCGCCCGCCTCAGCCTCCAAAAGTGCTGGGAGTACACCGCACCCGGCCCCAGCTGTTTGTTTTTTATGTATGTAGGTGATATCTTCTCTTGGCACAAAAAGAGTGTTTCTCTTTTTCTTCTGAAACTGTTGTTTGCTCTTCTCTGTTTCCACCTCCTGAATTAATCCTCTTTAATATTTCCTCTCTCTCCTGATTATCAGCAGGCTCATTTTCCAAAGTTTCCCTCTCTGAAATTCACTTCTGCTTGAATCTGAATGACAACTTTGTCTTTGCTTCTGTTCTTTTCCTCCCCTAGCTCTCTTTCTAGCCCTTTAGTTTGCAGGGCATTTTCGAAATGCATGAGAGGTAAGGAAGTGGAATGATGTGCGTAGCAACCTAGCTGTCTTGTCAACAGAGGCCTAGAGGGTGACGTCCCAGACATGCAAGCAAAAGCAGGATATTCCCGTGATTGGCAATGCAGTGGTTTTCCTTCATGAACTTGAGTCTTCTGCACTTCATTTGTTCACAGATCTTCTCGTCACTTAGAACCTGTCCTTCTCTTCTACAATCAGCCTCAAAGCGTATTTAAAATTATAGTGGTTATCCATCCTGGCTAACACGGTGAAACCCTGTCTCTACTAAAACTACAAAAAAAAAAAAAAAATCAGCCGGGTGTGGTGGCAGGCGCCTGTAGTCCCTGCTACTAAGGAGGCTGAGGCAGGAGAATGGTGTGAACCCGGGAGGCGGAGCTTGCAGCGAGCTGAGATCGCGCCACTGCACTCCAGCCTGGGCGACTGAGCAAGACTCCATCTCAAAAAATAAAAAAATAAAAATAAAATAAAATAATAGTGTTTCTGAGTGAGCTCAACAGTTGAATTCCTTAGCTTGTGTAAATATTTATTGGATGCCTAGCATATATTATGTCAGGCATGGGCCAGGCACACAGACTTTAGATGTTACCTAGATACAGAAGATCCCAGCCCTCAAGGGGTTTCTATTCTAGTTAGAGGAGGCAAGCAACAGATGAGAAAATAATTTAACCAAAGGCCATTGACTGTGAGACATGACGGAAGGAAGGAAGTCGGGTGGTATGATGAAGAGAAAATGGAAGGAAGGAAGGGGGAGCCCTCTGGGAAAATCTTTCTAAGAAGGGATGAGTCAGACCTGAGTGTTCAAGAATAATGAGTGAAGTGCTCTGCCTGGCATTTGGGAAGCATTTGGTGACACTTCACCAGCAGGCCTGGGAAGTTGCTTATCATGAACAGCAGGAGCTCCCTGAAGCTTTACCTGCAGTCTCAGGGAAAGAGGGCAGAATGCGCAGTGACTGCTAATTCACCTACATCAGCAGATATGATTGGGAAGCATTAATTTTCACACTAATCACAGTTTTAATACTGCACTAATCACAGTTTTAGTACTTTAGGCAATGATCAAAAACAAGAGTTCACAAACCTAGAAACTGACTAAAGCATCAGGGGCAATACATGTATTTCATAATCAATAAAGATGCCATTTCTTTTGGCTGGGTGTGGTGGCTCACACCTGTAATACCAGCACTTTTGGAGGCCAAGATGGGAGGGTTGCTTGAGCTCAGGAGTTTGAGATCAATCCGGGCAACATAGCGAGACCTTGTCTCTCCAAAAAATTTAAAAATTAGCTAGGCCTGATGATATATGCCTGCGGTCCCAGCTACTGGAGAGGCTGAGATGGGAGGGTCAGCTGAACCCAGGAAGTTGAGGCTGCAGTGAGCCACGATTGTGACACTGCACTCCAGCCTGGGTGACAGAGCAAGACCCTGTCTGAAAAAAAAAAAAAAAAAAAAAAAAAAAAGGATGTCATTTTAAAGTACATTTGAGGGCCTTATCATCTTAATGAACTTAGGAAATAAAGTGAGAGAGAAGACATCCCAGTCGTAGAGAAGACTAAGTCATTCCAGAAGGCATGTCTTAGTTCAGGCGGCAAGAACACAAGACCATAAGTTAGGTAGCTTATAAACAACAGAAATTTACTTCTCGGTTCCAGAGGCTGGGAAGTCTAAGATAAAGGCACCAAAAGATTGATTCAGCATCTGTCTGGTGAGGACCTGCTTCCTGATTCATAGATGGTGCCTTCTCACCGTGTCCTCCTGTGGTGGAAGGGGTGAGAGAGCTCTCCGAGGCCTTCTTTATAAGGGTGCTAATCCTATTCGTGAGGGCTCCACCCTTATAACCTTATCACCTTTTAGGACTCTACCTCTTAATACCATCACCTTGTGGGTTAAGATTTTAACATATGAACTTGGGGGAAACATAAACATTTAGTCCATGATAAGATGATTCCTTTGTTAAATTAGAAATTTATAGCTTTAATTTTGTTTTTATTTGTTTAAGAGACAGGTCTCCATCTGTTGCCTAGGCCTCTGTGCAGTGGTGTGATCATAGCTCACTGCAGCCTCAAACTCCAGGGCTCAAATGATCCTCCCACTTCAGCCTCCGAAGTAGCTAGGACTACAGGTGCACAGTACCACACCCAGCTACTTTATTACTATTATTGCTATTATTACTATTATTAATATTATTGAAGAGATGAGGCCTTACTACATGGCCCAGGCTGTTTTCAAACTCCTGGCCTCAAGCGATCCTCCCACCTCCTGCTCCCAAAGTGCCCGATGAGCTACCACACCTGGCCTATTGTTTCAATTTTGTGTTTTCTTTCTGACAGAGGGGACTTAAATATTTGTTTCTATCTAAGCAAAGACAAAGATAGAAACAAATATTTAAGCGCATCTCAGATAGAGAAGACCCTGGCTGTAGACGGGGAGAGAATTAGGAGCTCATTGGCTTTCTATTAGGATTATTTAGCTCCCTATCCACTGCTGACTTTGACGGTAATAGAGCAGTAATGAAAGGTGTAAGGCCCTGGAGCCAAAAAAAAATGGATTGTGCTACGCGGTGGAGGAACACTGGTGACAGCAAACTAAGTTGGAGAGGTAGACGGAGTGTGTATATCCTATGGAGCCTTTCATAGACTATGGTACAGGTGTGACTATTTGAAATGCAGTGAAGACCGGGCACAGTGGCTCACACCTGTAATCCCAGCACTTTGGGAGGTGGAGATGGGTGGATCACTTGAGGTCAGGAGTTCTAGACCAGCCTAGCCAACATGGTGAAACCTTGCCTCTACTAAAAATGCAAAAAAGTAGCCAAGTGTGGTGGTGGGCACCTGTGTTCCCAGCTACTCAGGAAGCTGAGGCAGGAGAATCGCTTGAACCCAGGAGGCGGAGGTTGCAGTGAGCCAAGGTCACACCATTGCACTTCCAGCCTGGGCAACAGGAGCAAAACTCCATCTCTAAAAAAAAAGAAAGAAATGCAGTGAAAGGCCTTGGAGGGGTTTGAGGATAAAAGTAGGATGATTTATTGTAGGTTTTTGTTTTTGTTTCAAAGCCCTCTGGACATTGCATAACGATGTAAGGATCAACCCATCAGGAAGGCGTAACCATCTCAAATGAGTGTACACTTCATAACAAAGCTTCCAGTTCCACGAAGCAAAAACATTCCTAGACAAATAGAGAAAAAGATAAATTCACAGAGTTGGAGATTCCAACATTCCTCTTTTAATAACTAACTATCATTAGTGGGAAAATGATTAATGATTCCCTAATTATACCTGTTGATATAAATGAATTTGCAGTAACTCCACATTTCTCCATCCCTTTTTCTTTGTGTCTGGATGTAAAGCTCCATGGAGCTCGTGAAAACCAGTGAGGATATAGAAGACCTTGACAACACTATCAACCAAGTGACCTCATCAACAGCTATAGCATTTATAGACTACTCCTCCCAGCAACTGCAGCATAAACTTTTTTTTATCAAATGTACAGGGAACATTCACCAAGATAGGCCGTATCCTGGGCCATAAAACAAGTCTCAGTCAATTCGAAAAGATGGCAATCCTGCAGTGTGCTCCCTGACTACAAGGGAGTTAACTTAGAAGTGGATAACAAAAAGATATCTGGAAAATTCCAAATATTTGGAAATTAAACAAGACACTTGTACAGAACTGATGGGTTGAAGAACAAGTCACAATGGAAATTAAAAATCCCGGGCCAGGCGCAGTGGCTCACGCCTGTAATCCCAGCACTTTGGGAGGCCAAGGCGGGTGGATCACGAGGTCATGAGATCGAGACCATCCTGGCCAACATGGTGAAACCCCGTCTCTACTGAAAATACAAAAATTAGCTGGGCGTGGTGGTGGGCGCCTGTAATCCCAGCTACTTGGGAGGCTGAGGCAGGAGAATGGCTTGAACCTGGGAGGTGGAGGTTGCAGTGCGCCAAGATCATGCCACTGCACTCCAGCCTGGTGACAGAGCAAGATTCTGTCTCAAAAAAAAAAAAAAAAAAAAATCCCTTTGACTGCTCTGTGAGGAGTGGATTGGAGGGGGCAAGTGCAGACACAGGGAGCCCAGGGAACAGAACTTTACAGAATTCTAGGAGAACTGTCATGGTGCCTTGGACTTCGGGTGAGGAAGCAGAGAAGGAGAGAAATGGACAGACTCAGACATTTTGGAGGTAGAGCCTGTGTGACTTGCTGAGGATTGGATGCGGGCAGTATGGGTAGGCGAGGAAGCAAGGATGACCTAGAGGTGTCTGGGTCAAGTCATTGAACATATCTTCCTGTTGCTCTCAGGATTAAGTCCAAATTTGTCAACATAGTTCCTGATCGGGCACCTGCCCACTTGGACAGCCTGATCTCTCACCCCTCCTCCCACTGTAAACTCCAGCCCTGGAGCAACTGGCAGTCCTCCCTTTGCCATGCCCTCTCTTTTCACATGCTCTTCCATGTTTGCCCTGCTCTCCGCTTATTTATCTCTTAGCTTAGATGTCACTTCTGCTGGGAAGCTTTCCTTACTTTTCCTCCAGCCTGGCTTAAGGGCTCTGCTTTGTGCTTCTGTGCTAACCTTCTCATCATCACTTTGCTTTGCCCCTTTTCTGTCTCCCCCATTAAAGCTCCTGTGAACAGGGAATATGTATCATTCTTTCTTTCTTTTTCTTTTTTTTTTTTTTTTTTTTTTTTTTTTGAGATGGAGTCTTGCTCCATCACCAGGCTGGAGTGCCATGGGGCGATCTCAGCTGACTGCAACCTCCGCCTCCCGGGTTCAGGCGATTCTCCTGCCTCAGCCTCCGGAGTAGCTGAGACCACAGGCACGTGACACCATGCCCAGCCAACTTTTCTTGTATTTTTAGTAGAGATGGGGTCTCACCACGTTGGCCAGGATGGTCTTTATGTCTTGACCTCATGATCCGCTCGCCTTAGCCTCCCAAAGTGCTGGGACTACAGGTGTGAGCCACAGTGCCCGGCCTCATTCTTTCATTACTACTACTACCATAGCCAGTTGCTGGTTACCTGGGCTGTCAGTCAGGAAACCTAGCCCTCATGAGAGTGGGATGAGAATAAGATCACATAGCATTTATTGAGTCCTTGCTGTGTGTGTGCCAGGGGCTTCACACACATCATCTCATTTAATCATCCTGGCAGCATTATGAAATGGGTTATCAATCCCATTTACAGGAAGAGGAAACTGAGACTTAGAATGCTTAAGCAGGCCAGGCATGTAATCCCAGCACTTTGGGAGGCCAAGGCAGGAGGATGACTTGAGCCCAGGAGTTCAAGACCAACCTGGCAACAAACCAAGAGCCTGTCTCTACAAAAAAACAAAAAAATTAGCAGCTGGGCACAGTGGCTTACACCTGTAATCCCAGGACTTTGGGAGGCTGAGGCGGGCGAATCACTTGAGGTCAGGAGTTCAAGACCAGCCTGGCCAACATGGTGAAACCTCGTCTCTAATAAAAATACAAAAATTAGCCAGGTATGGTGTCACAGACCTGTAATCCCAGCTACTCCAGACGTTGAGGCAGGAGAATCGCTTGAACCCAGGAGGCAGAGGTTGCAGTGAGCCGAGATCACGCCATTGCACTCCAGCCCAGGCGACAGTGCGAGACTTCATCTCAAAAAAAGAAAAAAGAAAAAATTAGCTGGCCGCGGTAACTCATGCCTGTGGACCCAGCTACACAGGAGGCTGATATGAGAGGAACACTTGAGCCTAGGAGGTCAAGGCTCAGTGAGCTATGATTGCACCACTGCACTCCAACCTGGGTGACAGAGTGAAACCCTGTCTAAAAAAAAAAAATGGGCCAAAAGAGCTTGTTCAAGATCACATAGTTAGTGGTGGAAATGGAATTTGAACGTAGGTTGCCAGATTTCAAACCTAAAACTTTTAACCACCAAGTCATACTGTCAAACTCAGACTAGAATTACAACAAATTGAAAATGAATTTGAAGGTGCACTGGTGAGCCCCTGATCGTCTTGCTGCCCATGGCCAGTCTTTGGCTCACACTTGGTGCAGATGGCTGAGCAGGGTTCACTGGAGGTGGGTGCCCAGGTTAGGGTGGTGCATGGAGCAGGAGCAGGAAGATCCATTACATTATAGCCAGCAGCATCGGGTACAGAGTACTATTGTGTGCTGCCTTTTAACCCCGCCCCTCACTCTAAAAAAACAAAGGCCTCATTGCTAGTGCTGGCTAATTTCCATAAAGGAATTAGAATGGCTAATTTTATATCCTTTCGATAAATATCCCACATCCCATTATAACATGGCCAACAATGATCCTCTTCAAATTAATACCAGCAGTAATTGCTGCAGAATTAGCCTCTAGAGATGCAATGTTATCAAAAAGTGATTTTTTTTTTGGTCTTTTGTTTTTTCAGATAAAGAGTAAAAAGTCCTTATGTACTTATTTTCAGTCCAGGTACTGAGTGGATCATATTAGGAAGGTTCAAAAACTTCATTGCACTGCTTGACTCTGACTACATAAAAGGCTTTTTGTGGTTGACACGTGTTTTGAAGTGCTGTGAGCATTGATGCGAATGGTAACTAATTATACTTGACATTTTAAAAGCGAAAACACAGAGACTTCTTACAAAACCACTATTTATTGAGTACTTACTATGTGCCAGCCACTGTACTGAGTACTTCGTGGGTTTCATTTCACTGCATCCTTTTAACAACTTGGGTGGGTGGTAAACTGAGGAACTTGTCTGAAGTCACGAGGGTATTACCTCAGGCTGCCAAGACTTGAACTCAGGAATACCAGACTCACGATTCTTAAGTGCTGTTTTCTCACATTTCTCTGAGATGTACCCTTAGGGCTACTTTTGTGTGTTCCTTTGAAATATGATCTACATACCAAAATGAGCATGCTGAAACTTTAAATGCTTAGTTTAAGAAGCAGTCAATATTCAGAATTCTTCCTAATTTTGAAATTAGAATCTTCAAATTCTGTTTTTTTGTTTTGTTTTGTTTTGTTTATTTTTTTGTTTTTTTGTTTTGTTTTATTTGTTTTTGAGACAGAGTCTTACTCACTCTGTCTCCCAGGCTGCAGTGCAGTGGCACAATCTCAGCTCACTGTAACCTCTGCCTCCCGGGTTCAAGGGATTCTCCTGCCTCAGCCTCCTGAGTAGCTGGAATTATAGGCACGTGACACCATGCCCAGCTTTTTTTTTTTTTTTGAGACAGAGTCTCACTCTGTCACCCAGGCTGGAGTGCAGTGTCATCATTTCGGCTCACTGCAACGCTCACCTCCCGGGCTCAAGCAATTCTTGTACCTCAGCCTCTCGAGTATCTTGAATTACAGGCACACACCACAACCCCCGGCTAATTTTTGTATTTTTAGTAGAGACAGGGTTTCAGCATATTGGCCAGGCTGGTCTCAAACTCCTGACCTAAAGTGATCTGCCTGCCTCAGCCTCCCAGGCACCGTGCCTGGCTTAGAATCTTCAAATTCTTAAAATGGATGTTAAGATAATCTTCATTTATGAAATGGTAGATGATCAGTATTTTTAATTTCATTTTATTGGTTTGCAACATCCATTTCTCTAGTAGGTGAAGAACAAAAGATAAATCCTGTGGCTAATTCTGTGGGCTTCAGAATTACTCAGGTCTGAAGTTCCTTTGATACTTGTATCGTGTAGCACCCATGTTCATCAGTTTTAAATATTGGGGATCCCAGTGGCATGTTATACTAGTCTGCTTGGGCTGCCGTAACAAAATACAAGACTGGGTGGCTGAAACAACAGAAATTTATTTTCTCATGGTTCTGGAGGCTGGAAGTCTGAGATCAGGGTGTCAGCATGGTCAGGTTGTGGTGATGGAGCCTCTTCCTGGCTTGCAAATGGCCACCTTCTCCCTCTGTCCTCACATGGCAGAGAGAGAGAGAGCACTCTCTGGTGTCTCTTCTTATAAGGGCACTGATCCCATCTTGAGAGCCCTATCCTTCTGACCTCAGCTAAACCCAATTATCTCCCAAAGGCCCCTTTCCAAAAGCCATCACATTGTGGGTTAGGACTTCAACATATGAATGTTGGGGACACAGACATTCAGTCCATAAGTGTTATGGTGTTGGGATGATGTTAGGCCAAGGATACAGGAAGATTCAAATCCTTCCTTGGTTAAGCTACCCCAAAGTTTGAGGAACAATGGCAAAACAAAGCAAATAATGCTACTACTAGCTAAGGCTTTGAAGTCTCAAATCACCCAGCAAAGCTCTGGAAAGCTAAGCAGTTCGCACAGGAGAACTAATTTACCTAAGGTGGCTTGAATCATCCAAGCAGAGGTTAGCAAACCACAGCCTGTGAGCCAGGAGTGGCTTTTACATTTCATATGGTTGAAAAATCAAAAGAAGGATGTTTTGTGACATCTGAAAATTATATGAAATTCAAACTTCCGTGTCCTGAAATAAACTTTTATTAGGACACACAGCCACTCTCTTAATATTATTATTGTCATTATTATTATTATTTTGAGACAGAGTCTCTGTCGCACAGGCTGGAGTGCAGTGGTGTGATCTTGGCTCACTGCAACCTCTGCCTCCCAGGTTCAAGCAACCCTCCCACCTTAGCTCCCTGAGTAGCTGGGACTATAGACGCATGCCACCATGCCTGGCTAATTTTTCTATTTTTTGATAAAGATGGGGTTTCACCATTTGCCCAGGCTGGTCTTGAACTCCTGGGCTCAAGCTATCTGCCTGCCTCGGCCTCCCAAAGTGCTAGGATTGAAATTAGAATCTTCAAATTCTGTTGTTTTGAAGAAACTGTGCCCGGCCCACTCTCATTGTTTATCTGTTATCAGTGGCTGCTTTCATGTTACAACAGCAGATTTGAGGAGTTGCAACAGAGCCTGAAATATTTACTATCTGGCCCTTTAGAGGAAAAAGGTTGCCGCATGCTGATACACAAACAAAGCTAGCCAATGACTTGCATTGCCTAATCCCAAGACCAAGTCTTAGCTAAAAATACATTTTAGGCGGGTCACAGTGACTCACACCTGTGATCCCAGCACTTTGGGAGGCCAGGGTGGGAGGATCACTTCAGTCCAGGAGTTTAAGACCAGCCCAGACAACATAACAACACCTCGTCTCCACAAATAATTTAAAAAGCCAGGCATGGTGGTGTGTAGCTGTCGTCCTAGCTACTCGGGAGGCTGAGGTGGGACGACCACTTGAGTCCAGGAGATTGAGAGTGCAGTGAGCCAAGAGCATGCCACTGCACTGCAACCCGGACAACAGAGCAAGACCCTCATCTGCAAACTATATATTTTTTTAATTTTTTATTTTGAAATGGAGTCTTGCTCTGTTGCCAGGCTAGAGTGTAGTGGTGCTATCTTGGTTCACTGGAACCTCCGCCCCCTCCCCGGGTTCAAGCGATTCTTCTGCCTCAGCCTCCTGAGTAGGTGGGACTACAGGCGCACACCACCACGCCCAGCTAATTTTTGTATTTTTAGTAGAGACAGGGTTTCAACATGTTGGCCAGGATGGTCTCGATCTCTTGACCTCGTGATCCGCCTGCCTTGGCCTCCCAAAGTGCTGGAATTACAGGCCACTGCTCCCAGCCTGTGTGTGTGTGTGTGTGTGTGTGTGTGTGTGTGTATTTGTATTTATATATATTTATATATATTTTAAAAGATGCAGGGCCCCCCATTAACACTAGAAGAAATGGATCCAAAGATGGAGAGTATTTACCCCCAAGGCTTGGTATGAGCTGCTTTAGAGATTGTCCACTTCAGGTTGCAGTAAGCCAAGATCAGGCCACTGCACTCCAGCCTGGGCGACAGAGTGAGACTCCATCTCAAAAATAAATAAATAAATAAATAAATAAATAAATAAATAAATAGAGATTGTCCACTTCAGGTTTTCTAATGCCACACTGGATGTTCCAAGGAAAACCTAAGAGAGAAAAACAAGTGGCCTTATTGGAAGATGGAAGAAGTGAGAGCCACAATAATTTGCTGATGTTTTCTTTTTTTTGTAAGTTCAACCCTTATCAAATATAGTCCAGGGTCCCAGAATTGGGCTAATCCAGACCAAGATTTATCTTCTTTTAAGTCTCTACCTCTTGATTGACACTCATTCCTCAAGTCAAAGGAGAAGGAAGGAATGGAAGCTAAGAGTGGTACCTTTCCAGAATTTAATACGAATCAACAAAAGTTGGTAGCATTATTTACCTATCAGGCTACTTCCTTTGTTTCTGACCTGTTTTTGTTTTGTTTTCTTCCCTCCTCTCCCCTTTACACCCACTCCTTACACACAAAGGTGATTTTAAAGGATGTGGACTCACTTCTCTACGTGGACACCGATGTCCTCTTTCTGAGACCTGTTGATGACATCTGGAAGCTTCTGAGGCTGTTTAATTCCACCCAGCTTGCAGCCATGGCCCCTGAGCACGAAATCCCCAAGATTGGCTGGTACAGCCGCTTTGCTAGGCATCCTTTCTATGGCTCTGCAGGAGTTAATTCAGGAGTCATGTTAATGAATTTAACTCGGATAAGAAGTACCCAGTTCAAGGTAAACGAGTGCTTTAAAATTCCTTGTTTAAAGACTGGGAGTTGGTCTTGTCAACAGTGGCACTACCAGAGTGTCAATATGCTGATTTTGGAAATTGGGTGGCCTATAGGTGAGGATAAAAGGAACCAGAGAAAAGTATTTAGAAAATTATAGAATATTTGTTTATTCAGGAAAAGCTCAGATGGCAATGGAATTTAAAGCTTCAGCAAAGTCGCCATTCAGGAATACTATGTTGCATTTCTGAATTCCATAATGTTTGAACGCTTCATACCCAATGCTTCAAAGACTATGTAAAATTTCTTCAAATTACCCTAGGGATTATTTATGTAAGTCCGTGACGATATTTGTATAAGGATGTTCGTGATCTCATCTTTTATCCTAGCAAAGAAGTGGAAAGAAGCTAAAAGAACATCAGTAGAGAACTAGTCAAAAAAAATTATCCTCCTGGCCAGGGGTGGTGGCTCACACTTGTAATCCCAGCACTTTGGAAGACCAAGGCAGGTGGATCACTTGAGGCCAGGAGTTTGAGACCAGCCTGACCAACATGGCGAAACCCTGTCTCTATTAAAAACACAAAAATTAGCCAGGAATGATGGCGCACACCTGTAGTCCTAGCTATTCAGGAGCCTAAGGCAGGAGAATCGTGTGAACCCGAACAGCAGAGGTTGCAGTGAGCCAAGATCACGCCACTGTACTCCAGCCTGGCGACAGAGACTGTGATTATTTGTATGCCTTAGAAATTTCCAGAAGAATTAATGGGGCATGGTGTCACGTGGCTGTAGTCTCAGCTACTTGGGAGGCTGAGATGGGAGGATCGCTTGAGCCCAGGAGGTCGAGGCTGCATTATAGCCACTGCACTTCACCCTAAACAACAGAGTGAGACCCTGTCTCTAAAAAAAGAAAGAAAGAAAGAAAAAGACATGTCCAGAAGAATACCTAAGAGACCATTAATTGTTAACTGTGGATACGTCTGGGGAAAATGGGAATGGGATATGGAAGAAGAATATTTTTACTTTTTTATTTTATATTTTTGTGTGCTGTTTGAATAATTCAGTCTGTGAATATGTTACTTTTATTTTAAAAGTAAATCATTGTTTAAGACAAGGAAAGGTGTTTTTCCTTAAGATACCTGAACTCTGTTATCTGTATTTTGTTCCTTCACCTCACAGTGAGGAAATAAGCCTAAGAAAGATGTTCACCTAAGAAAGGTGAAGTAGAGTAGAGAATCCTGAAGTAGAGACTGCTGTTGAGAAAGACTTCGCCTCTTAGGTGTGGGGACTCACGCCTATAATCCCAGCACTTTGGGAGGGAGGTGGGTCACTCGAGGTCAGGAGTTTGATATCAGCCTCGCCAACAGGGGGAAACCCCATCTCTACTAAAAATACAAAAAGTTAGCCGGGCGTGATGGCGTGCACCCGTAGTCTCAGCTGCCTGGGAGGCTGAGGCACGAGAATCGCTTGAACCCGGGAGGTGGAGGTTGCAGTAAGCCAAGATTGTGCCACTGCATGCCAGCCTGGGCGACAGAGCAAGACTCTGTCTCAAAACAAAAACAAAAACAAAAACACAGGAAGGAAGGGAGGGAGGGAGGGAGGGAAGAGAAGAAAGGAAGGGGTTCAATTCCAGGCATGGTTTTCTGAGTAGAAACCATAGGTTCAACTTTCAGTCCCTGGTCTATCTAGTATCCGTGTGTACAGCTGAAAAAAGCGATACAATCAACAGCCCAAATTTTGCTTTGTTCTGTGACCTGAGAATAGCAGGACCCCTCCTGTATTTGTTTCCCTCCTCTGAAGGGAAGAAAACTAGTCCCTTTACATTGTTTCTCAGTGGACAAAATGTATTTGCTTTGCTTCAGCTGTTCTGATGGTTTTCTTTTTTCCAGAACAGCATGATTCCAACAGGCCTGGCTTGGGAGGACATGTTGTACCCTCTGTACCAGAAGTACAAGAATGCCATCACGTGGGGAGACCAGGATTTATTAAATATTATTTTTTATTTCAACCCAGGTAGGTTATCTTTGGAGAATGCCTTTTGTGTAGGAGTACACTCAGCACACCCCACGGAGCACATTCCATGCCCGGGTTGCTATTGACTAGGCTTGAATTGTGCACAGAGGAGCCTGTGTTCCCCAGCGAAGTTTGCCCTTTCATCCGCCCCCCTGGGTATCTGATGGAGGCGGGGCCTTGCACTACTGACACAAAAGGCCAAATGTTGAAACTTCCAACACTGGACTCATTTTTAGAGAGTATCTTTTAGGTTTTGCTATACCATTCTTCTAAGAAGTGCAGTTAAAATTGATGTGAGGCGTGAAACTAAATGGAAATATTATAATCTAGGCGGGAGACCCTGTAGCCTGAACAATTGCTAGATTGAAGGGAATTGATTCTCAGGGTCCTTGGAGTTCAGGAACATATTCAGGGTCAAAACATCCTAGAAAAAGAACTCAGATCCCCAAATCCGTTTTGCTTTTCATCTGAGGCAAAAGAAATTCTTCTTATATTGTTAGGTGGATGATTTGGTGGGGTAGAGGGAAAAAGGGAGATGAACATTTCTGGTCTGTGTGTTTATATTAACACGTAAAGCTAATAAAATTCTTTTTTCCTCTTCCTTGTTAAAACTTTATTCTTATTAAAAATTAAAACTCCCAGGCACAGTGGCTCACACCTGTAATCCCAGCACTTTGGGAGGCCAAGTTGGGCGGATCACTTGAGGTCGAGAGTTTGAGACCAGCCTACCCAACATGGTGAAATCCCATCTCTACTAAAAATACAAAAAAAATTAGCCAGATGTGGTGGTAGGCACCTGTAATCCCAGCTACTGGGAGGCTGAGGCAGGAGAATCACTTGAACCCGGGAAGTGGAGGTTGCAGTGAGCCAAGATTGCTCCACTGCACTCCAGCCTGGGCAACAGAGCGAGACTCTGTCTCAAAAAAAAAAAAAAAAAATTAAAACTATGTTTTCTTCTTGAGAGAGATCTTTGGGCAAAAAAAGCAATCCTTACCCTACCCTTTTCAGGCCTTTCCTTTTGATTTAAAAATCCTGAAGTAGAGACTGCTGTTCAGAAAGACTTTGCCTGTGTTTGTTTGTATGTCACCCTTGGAACACATATTGTGTACCTTTTTAAAAAAAATTCTGGAATAAAACTCAATTTCATATGTCTTTGGATCAAAAAGGATCAAATCCTCGAAAAGAAAAAAAAGCAGGTTGATACAGAGTTTCTTGGAAAGATTCCCAATACCAATTTAGTAGAGGAAAGGGGAATGTCTTAGCTGTTCACTTGTGGCTTTTTTTTTTTTTTTTTTTTGGGACAGAGTCTGGCTCTGTCGCCCAGGCTGGAGTGCAGTGACACAATCTCAGCTCACTGCAATCTCTGCCTCCTGGGTTCCGGTAATTCTTCTGCCTCAGCCTCCCAAGTAGCGGAGATTACAGGAGTGTGCCACTATGCCTGGCTGATTTTTGTATTTTTAGTAGAGATGGGGTTTCCCCATGTTGGCCAGGCTGGTCTCGAGCTCCTGACCTCAGGTGATCTGCCCACCTCCTCCTCCCAAAGTGCTGGGATTGTAGGCATCAGCCACGGTGCCCAGGTATTTTTTTTTCTTTTTTTTTTTTCTTAATGAGATGAAGTTTCACTCTGTCTTGCAGGCTGGTGTGCAGTGGTGCAATTATGGCTCACTGTAGCCTTGACCTCCTGGGCTCAAGTGATCCTCCCACCTCAGCCTCCCAAGTAGCTGGGACTATAGGTGTGCATCACCACACCCAGCTTTTTTTTTTTTTTTTTTTTTTTTTTTTTGAGAGGGAGTCTTGCTCTGTCACCTAGGCTGGAGTGCAGTGGCATGATCTCGGCTCACTGTAACTTCTGCCTCCCAGGTTTGAGCAATTCTTCTGCCTCAGCCTCCCGAGTAGCTGGGATTACAGGCACCCAACACCACACCCAACTAATTTTTGTATATTTAGTAGAGACAGTATTTCACCATGTTGGCCAGGCTGGTCTCAAACTCCTGACCTCATGTGATCCACCTGCCTCGGCCTCCCAAAGTGTTGGGATTACAGGCATCAGCCACTGTACCCAGCCAAATTTTTTTAATTTTTTATAGAGATTGGGGGGCAGTCTCATTATGTTGCCCAAGGTCATCTGGAACTCCTGGGCTCAAGCGATCTTCCGGCCTCGGCCTCCCAAAGTGCTGGGATTTCAGGCATGAGTAACCAGGCCCAGCCTCTTAGTTCATGCCTTAATCCATTTCACTGTGACAGTAGGTCTGCATCTCTTCCTTTTTCTTCTTAGGTAGGTTTCATCTTTTTTTTTTCTTGAGATGGAATCTGGCTCTGTCACCCAGGCTGGAGTGCAATGGCACCATCTCGTCTGACTGCAATCTCTGCCCCCCAGGTTCAAGCAATTCTCCTATCTCAGCCTCCCAAGTAGCTGGGACTACAGGCATGCACCATCACCCCTGGCTAATTTTTGTGCTTTTAGTAGAGACAGGGTTTCGCCATGTTGGCCAGGCTGGTCTCGAACTCCTGACCTCAGGTGATCCACCCTCCTTGGCCTCCTAAAATGCTGGGATTACAGGCATGAGCCACCATGACCGGTTTTGTGTTTGTTTGTTTGTTTGTTTGTTTTGAGACGGAATCTCACTCTGTCACCCAGGCTGGAGTGTGGTGGCACGATCTCGGCTCACTGCAACCTCTGCCTCCTGGGTTCAAGCGATTCTTCTGCCTCAGCCTCCCGAGCAGCTGGGATTACAGGCACCTGCCACCACACCCAGCTAATTTTTGTAATTTTTGTATTATAGGCATCCGCCACCATGCCCAGGTAATTTTTTGATCCTCCTGGTGGATCACTTGAGGGATTATAGGCGTGAGCCACCACACCCGGCCCTTTTCTTTAAATACTGCATTTTCCTCTTTGTCATGTGGCCAAAACGATCTAATTTAAGTCTCCCTGTCCATATTCCCAAATTGAGGAATCCAAAAGATTCACACAGTTGCCTCCCCAGTTCCTCTTAGCCTGTTGCTGATTATTTGAGGATGTGATTAGTGAGTAAATAAATAATACCCGAAGGCAGTCGTAAGCAGCTTTGCAATTAAACAGGAGTCCCTTGTCTTTAACTGGGGCTGAAACCAGAGGAGTTTAATTGCTTCTTCACTCTCCATCTGAGATCCATTGAGTAAAACAGGATATTGGAAAATAATCGTGACGTTGTTCTAAATCCTGGTTCTGCACAGTATCAAGTAAATAACCAAGTTTTCTGGTTTTAGATGAGTGATTGTTAGGTTAACTCCCTGACTGTCCTTCGTACAGCCTGCATTTGATCTTCCTATTTCATACTTTACCCAGGTACTTGATTAAACATGGGATCTTTGAACTGAGATCCAGCAATATCTATCACATTGTAAGGTTTCTCTTCATGTATATTGATTGCAGAGTACTTTCCACAAACCAGAACAAACTGTATTTGAAAAAAAGATTTGTCACCTTTATCCCTGGAAAGGAGAGAGGGAGACAGTATTGGCCACGGCACAGCAGATAAACATGTTTATTGTTATGGTTCTTCAGGTTGCCATGGGTGAACCAATGCACATAAAACCTGTAGCACACATCAGGAAATGTTGTCATTATTATAGTGTCTTGTATCTGATAACACCGCTTTTTAAAATGTGTTTAAAAGTCATTAGCTAGAAAGTGTTTTAAAACTCTTGCTATAATTAGATAGTAAATGCCTGTGGGTGCATAATTGCAGTGCTGGGTAATAGACTGACTTGAGATAGCTGAAACGCGTGGGGGCTTTCAGGACAGTTCACAGGACATTTCCTGGCAGGTGAGCCAACGCAGCTTCATCAAGGGGTGGAAAACTGAGTTCACACTCTTAAAGGTGAGTCTGAGTCAAGAGCAGAGTTCTATAGAAGGGATAAATCTGACAGGAACCAAAAGAGAATTCTATATAGGAAGATGTGTTTAGATGAATGCACTTAGGTTTCAGGGAACACAGCTCCACTCAGGCCAGCTAAGTGAGGGCAGATACTGTAAGAGGCCAGGGGCAGTCTCATGATCACACGAGTCAAATCAAGCCAGGCTTCATGAGAACTGGCCTTGGGAAGTTGCCAAGGACCAAAGTAGTTTCTTCATCTCTCAGAGGCCTCATGGTTTCTGTGATCTTTGCTTCTCTCCGTGCCAGTCTGATTCTATTCTGTCTCTCAGACCACATTCTCTGTTTGCCCATGGCCCAACCTGATTGTCAACCCCAAGTGAATACATTTTCACAAGTCCACAATCAATGATGATGGATCTCCTCTGTTTCCTAATTTGAATTCTTAGCAAAAAAAAAAAAAAAAGAGAGAGAGAGAGACTGGCCCAGCCCAGCTGCGACTGAATTCTCTTTAATTTGGGAGACCACCCTTGATCAGGCTCTAGAAGGGCAAAGTCATGAGGCATTTTCCTCTCTCAAACGTGACCACATAGGTCTGCTCCTTCTACAAGGGCAATTTCTAGAAAACTGAGATGTGGGTAGGGAAGAAAATGAAACCAGCCAAGTATAAGTGATAAGGCAGGGCATCAGGCTAGCGTAGAGGCAGAATTCTGCCTGAGGGAAGAGAGAAGAGCTGAAATGCCCATGGAGTACACGTAGATTGTGAGTCAAGTGTGTGATACTAGGGAGGCAGGAGGAGTTCATGGGAACCTCAAGGAGCAGGACTCACTCACATGGGACAAGTCTCTTCAATGGCTCCAGGAGGGCCTTATTCTCATCCTGCCTGGGGTCACTGGAGCCCTGCCCTTGAGCGTGCAACCACACTGTATATTCACCACACCAAAGCACCCAGCAACAGGCAGTTATGAGTGCTGCATTGTGGGATTGACAAGCCCAGTTATTTCATATTGGGACTGTTCTAGGAAACTGGTAACAAATCACTGTTTCAGGAGTCTAGGAAGTTCATGAGCCCTGATGTAAAACGCAAGAGAAAAGGATAAAAATTGTATGGTCTGTGTGAGAAGGGGTTGTGTCAACTTTGTGTCTTTCACAGTGCAAGGCTCAGTGCTTTAAATGGAGTTGGTGTTCAGAAGTGTTGTTTGGTTGAATGAATGGAATTAAGAGAAGGGAGTGAAGGGGAAAAGTATTAATAAATGGAAGAGAAAGAGCCACAGCAAGGAAAATGAGAGAAAAGAGAAGTTCAGGAGAGAAAGGAGATAGAAAGCTGGAGAAAGGGAAAAGATGCATTTGGTGAAAGGAGGTATAAGTTGCATTTCATTCATTCATTCAGCACTAGTTTTTGAGCACTATGTGCCAGCCACAGGGCTAGGTCCCAGGAATATGGCAACAGATGAGTTAAACAAAGTTACTGGTTTCATGAAGCCTACCTTTTGTTGGAGGAGGTAGAAGGTAGACTCCTAAAGAATAACTAGTTGTTCAAAATCACAAATTGTGATAAATGAGATGGAGGAAACAAATGAGGGGTTGAGAGAGAGACCCTCAAGGCTGGAGAGAGAAGAGCTTCCTTAGATTGTGTGATCAGAAAAGCCTTCTCAAAAAAAGTAATTGCCTTTTTTGGAACAAGGAGCATTCTGAAATAAGGAAAAAGAGAATGCTAGGAAATCTCAGTTCCAGGATGGGACATTAAAAAAAAAAAACAAAAAAACTATTAGCAGAGCAGTTGAACAGCCTCCGTTCTATTGATACAGAGTATTAAGCGAGGCCGGGTGTGGGAGCTTATGCCTGTAATCTCAACGCTTTAGGAGGCTGAGCAGGGAGTATTGCTTGAGGCCAGGAGTCCAAGACCAGCCTGGGCAACGTGGCAAGACCCCATCTCTACTAAAAAATAAAAATACATAAAAAATAAAAATAAAAATGTAGCAAGCCTGTATTACCATGAAGTTAAAATGATCAGGCATAAACTAGTTCATAATCTTAGAGATCCCAAGAGTATGAAATAATCAGAAATATAAGGAGAGGAGTAGGCTGGGCACAGTGGCTGACACCTGTAATCCCAGCACTGGGAGGCTGAGGCGGGCAGATTACTTGAGATAAGGAGTTCGAGACCAGCCTGGCCAACATGGCGAAACCCTGTTTCTACTAAAAATACGAAACTCTGGCTGGGCACAGTAGAGGCCTGTAATACCAGCACTTTGGGAGGCCGAGGCAGGCAGATCACCTGAGGTCCGGAGTTTTTTGTTTTTTTTTTTTTGAGACAGAGTCTCACCCTGTTGCCCAGGCTGGAGTGCAGTGGCACAATCTTGGCTCAATGCAACCTCCACATCCTGGGCTCAAGTGAGTCTCCTGCCTTAGCCTCCTGAGTAGCTGGGATTACAGGTGTGTACCACCATGCCTAGCTAATTTTTTTTTTTTTTTTTTTGAGACAAGAGTTTCACTGTTGTTGCCCAGGCTGGAGGGCAATGGCACGATCTTGGCTCACCGCAACCTCTGCCTCCCAGGTCCAAGCAATTTTCCTGCCTCACCCTCCCAAGTAGCTGCAATTACAGTCATGTGCCACCACGCCCAGCTAATTTTTTTGTATTTTTAGTAGAGACAGGGTTTCTCCATGTTGGTCAGGCTGGTCTCGAACTCCCGACCTCAGGTGATCTACCTGCCTTGGCGTCCCAAAGTGCTGGGATTACAGGCGTGAGCCACCATACCCGGACAAATTTTTTAATTTTGTAGAGACGGGAGTCTCGCTGTGTTGCCCAGGCTGGTCTCAAACTCCTGAGCTAAAGCAATCCTCCCACCTTGGCCTCCCAAAGTGCTGGGATTATAGGCATGAGCCACCATGCCCGGCCTTGGCTTCTCTTTACTGCTGTTAAATCGAGGTGAAATGTTTTTCTAACTTACCACGATTATAGAGCTAGATGGGGGTAGAAGCCAGATTTACACCTCTGCACTTCTGATTCCAGAGTCTTTGCCCTTTCTGTTTGTTTTCTGCCTTGGAGTGCCCCTCACTGGGCTCAGTCCTCTAAGGAGGTTGCAAAGAGAGAAAAGGTTTCTCTCTTTTTTTTTCTTTTCTTTTTTTTGAGACAGAGTCTTGCTTTGTCGTTCGGGCTGGAGTGCAGTGGTGCGATCTCGGCTCACCACAACCTCCACCTCCCAGGTTCAAACAATTCTCCTGCCTCAGCCCCCCGAGTAGCTGGGACTACAGGCACATGCCATCATGCCTGGCTAATTTTTGTATTTTTAGTAGAGGTGGGGTTTCACCATGTTGGCCAGGCTGGTCTCGAACTCCTGACCTCGTGATCCGCCCGCCTTGGCCTCCCAAAGTGCTGGGATTACAGGCGTGAGCCATTGCACCCAGCCGAGAAAAGGTTTCTTTTTGTAAGCCCTAAACTACTTGGAAAGAGGCAAAAACTCTCATCACTAATCTAAACTCCATGAAAGCAGGGACTGGATTTTTCTATTATTTGTCCACAGTGCACACAGCAGACACTCAACAAATAGTCATTGATTCAATCAATCAGTGTGTTTACAAAAACAGACTCAAGCACAGTTTATTCAACTGGAAACTTTAGAAGGTGCTTAAACAAGACAATGTAAATGCTTGGGTGAGCATCATTAATGAGTGATATGACCCATTGGGTGACAAAAGGAAGCAGTTGGGTGTGGCCAGGCACAGTTCAAAAGCACTTTTAGATATTTTCCTTTATTTAATCCTCACATCCAGCCTCTGCATTAAATTGCAGAAAGGTCAGGCAGCTAATAGAGGAGTTGTGATTCAAATCTATATAGGGTGACTTGAGGATGGCCACTACTCCATCCCACTTAGGGACTATGTATGTGCAAATGTTCAGGTAAATGCAAGTAAGGGAATGTCATGGTGGAATGGAGTTCTCCTGAGAAAAGAGAAATGTCACAGTGTGTTATGAGCAATTAGAAATTTGATAAAGGATGCCTAAATGTCACTGTCCTATAAAAGACTGAGCCCTGAAAACATACACAGCCTGCCAGATGGGATGGGTGACAATCACTTCATTATTTGCTTTCCATCTTGAAGCTTTCTGTAAGTAATCACTAAGCAATGATTTTTTTCTGTGAGACAGGAATGCCATCAACCCAATGAACAAGCACATCTTGAAGTTGCTTTTCCAATGGTGGTGGTGTTACTGATTTGCTGTAATCCTCTCTTGTGCTCTCTCACAGGGTCTTTCTCATGATCAGCAACACACATTTGCAGAGAGCTTTGATCCATACTCCTCTGCCCCCAACCCTGAAAAGCATCAAGCCGAGAAGCCAGGAAGCTAGGGGGTCATGAATTTATTGCTAATTGTATAATTCTGGTCACCAAGAGGAAATTTTCTGAATCCAATAGGATTAGGGCAGAGTTTCTCAACATCAGCACTATTGCTATTGTTGGGGACTGTCCTGTTCATTATAGGATGTTCAGAGCACCCACTAGATGCCAGTAGCAGCCTCCCCCATGTATAACAGTCAACAGTGTTTCCCTCCAAATATTGCCAAATGGCCCTGGGGTAGAGGAGTAGGGAGGGGGCAAAATTGCCCCTGGTTGAGAACCAACCAGGGTTTAGAGATACAAACACACCTGTGTACATATGTGCACATATGGCCATGGTGCATATAGTTACCTTGGCACAGGGCTTTTTTTTCTTTGCTTTTTGCTTTGGGGTTTTTCTCTTTCCTGTTGTAGGTGGGGTTTTTTTGTTGTGTTGGTTTTTGTTTTTGAGATGGAGTCTTACTCCGTCACCCAGGCTGGAGTGCAGTGTGTGATCTCAGCTCACTGCAACCCCTGCCTTCCGGGTTCTAGATTCTCGTGCCTCAGCCTCCTGAGTAGCTGGGTTTACAGGCTCCTGCCTCCATGCCTGGCTAATGTTTGTATTTTTAGTAGAGACAGGGTTTCATCATGTTGGTCAGGTTGGTCTCGAACTCCTGACCTCAAGTTATCCACCAACCTCAGCCTTCCAAAGTGCTGGGATTACAGGTGTGAGCCACTGTACCCAGCCGAAGGTGGGGGTTTTTGCTGTTTTTTTTTTTTTCTTTGGTTTTTTGTTTGTTCTTAATCTGAAGCAGAATCTTTACTTTAATCTTGACTCCTCTTTTTTAGTTCTGTCCATTTTATAAAACCTTTCCAAAGAGTTGATTACAACTGCTAACACTATTTTTGACATTTTTTTGTGTGTATCTTTTTTTTTTTTTTTTTTTTTGATACAGGATCTCACTCCGTCACAGGCTAGAGTGCAGTGGCATGATCATAGCTCACTGTAACCTCTAACTCCTGGGCTCAAGGAATCCTGCCAAGTAGCTTCAAGTGTGCCACCATGCCTGGCTAATTTATTTTTGTAATTTTTTTGGTTTGTTCGTTTTTTTTTGTTTTGAGACAGTCTTATTTTGTTGCTCAGGGTGGAGTGTAGTGGTGCGATCTTGGATCACTGCAACCTCTGCCACCTCCTGGCTATTCTCCCGCCTCAGCCTCCCAAGTAGGTGGGATTACAGGTGCGTGCCACCATGGCTGGCTAATTTTTGTATTTTTAGTAGAGACAGGTTTCGCCATGTTGGCCAGACTGATCTCAAACTCCTGACCTCAGGTGATTTGCCTGCCTTGGCCTCCCAAAGTGCTGGGATTACAGGCGTGAGCCACCATGCCTGGCCCAGCTGCTAATTTTTAAAATTTGTATGGAGACAGGGGTCTTGCTATGTTGCCCAAGCTGTTCTCAAACTCCTGACCTCAAGTGATCCTTCCACCTTGGCCTCCCAAACTCTGGGATTACAGGTGTGAGCCACCACACCCAGCCAGTGCAACTGCTAACATTATTGAACCACTACTGTATGTTTGATACCCTGCTAATCATTTTACATGTATGTTTAAAGTTTAATCATCAAAATAAGATAGAGGTTGTATTATTCCCATTTACAGATGAGAAAACAGAAGTACAGGAAGTTAAGTGACTAGACATGGATTTCAGTGGTTTTGAGTGAGAGAGTTGAGATTTGGACCCAGGCTGCCTCGTGCCTGTGTTTGCTTTCTTATTTAAGATGCAACACTCTCTTCTTTTTTTGGATGAAACCTACATCATCACTGTGTGCCCCTTCAATTCTTGATCTCAGAATTTTGACAAATGGGGCAAAATTTGATCTATGAGTAAAAAATCACACTCCTGTACTTTGAAATTACATGCTGTGTACAGTTAGTGGAAACAGTTTAATCGTGCCACATGTGCATGAGAGCTGGCACTAACCGTGGACATATATGTCTTTCTCTTTTTACCACCAGAGTGTCTCTATGTATTCCCCTGCCAGTGGAACTACCGTCCCGATCACTGCATGTACGGAAGCAACTGCAGAGAGGCTGAGCATGAAGGTGTGTCTGTTCTGCATGGAAACCGAGGCGTCTACCATGACGATAAGCAACCAACGTTCAGAGCACTCTATGAAGCAATACGGGATGTAAGTGTGCCCTTGCTGCTGTTAGCAGATGTGCTTATCAGCATGAAGCAATATTGGCGCTTTAGTCACCTGTCCCTTTGAAGGCCAAATATTCCCAAAGCATAGAGTTATACCAGTTATTCCCGACCTCAGTCACGCTCTGTCACTATATCCTCTTGCCACCTTGTACTATGTCATATCTACTTGACTTATTTCCACGTACACCATTCATTATCTTTTACTTAACCAAATTTACTTTAGGAGGAAATTTCTGTTTTTTGTTTTTGTTTTCTGAGATGGAGTCTTGCTCTGTTACCCAGGCTGGAGTGCAGTGGTGGGATCTTGGCTTACTGCAACCTCCACCTCCTGGGTTCAAGTGATTTTCCTGCCTCAGCCTCCCAAGTAGCTGGGACTACAGACACGCGCCGCCATGCCTGGCAAATTTTTGTATTTTTAGTAGAGATGGGGTTTCACCATGTTGGCCAGGCTGGTCTCGAACTCCTGACCTCAAGTGATCCACTTGCCTTAGCCTCCCAAAATGTTGGTATTACAGGTGTGAGCCACCTACTTTAGGAGGAAATTTCATGTCACAAAGACAACTTCTGTGCCTTTTGCCATAGTGTAAGGTAACACATAGGATCAAGATTAGACAATAAAAAGAAAATGATATTACTCAGTTCTAGCTAAATACGTTGCCTGGTTGCCAACTCCAATCTGTTACTCAATCAGGGGTCAAGGTGTTCAGTTACAACAAGGAGCCAAACTAAAAGTAACAATCAAGCCTTTATTTGCTTAACTGCAGAAGTGCATGCAAGCAGCAGAAAGAGGCCCTGACTCCCCAGTCTTCCATTTTTCCCCACCAAAGGGTACAAGATAAGAGTCAAGTGCATACAGCACACATGGCAGGAACCTTCTCACTGCCAAGGGGCACTGAAGAAAAGGTTCTTGGCTGGATGCAGTGGCTCATGCCTGTAATCCCAGCACTTGGGGAGGCCAAGGCAGGTGGATCACGAGGTCAGGAGTTCGAGACCAGCCTGGCCAATATGGTGAAACCCTGTCTCTACTAAAAATACAAAAATTAGGCTTGGCGCAGTGGCTCATGCCTGTAATCCCTGCACTTTGGGAGGGCAAGGTTGGCGGATCACGAGGTCAGGAGATCGAGACTTTCCTAACATGGTGAAACCCCATCTCTACTAAAAAATACAAAAAAAAAATTTTTTTTTGGTGCTGGGTGTGGTGGCGAGCGCCTGTAGTCCCAGCTACTCGGGAGGCTGAGGCAGGAGAATGGCATGAACCCAGGAGGCGGAGCTTGCAGGGAGCTGAGATGGCGCCACTGCACTCCAGCCTGGGTGACAGAGCAAGACTCCATCTCAAAAAAAAAAGAAGGTTCTTGCCTCTTTATGGACTCGTGGGCTAGGGATGGGAAAAGAGAGGAGAAAATAGGGTGGGAATGCAGGTATGTGTATGAACATGGCTGTCTGGAGCCCTTTATGCAACTTTCTCAAGAAAACTACAACATAGTAAGACCCCATCTGTACAAAAAATTTAAAAAATAAGGCAAGCCTCATGCTGTAATCTGAGTGACTTGGGAGGCTGAAGCAGGAGGATCACTTGACCCCAGGAGTTCAAGGCTGCAGTGAGCTATGATTGCACCACTTCACTCCAGCTTGGGCAACAGAGCAAGACCCTGTCTCAAAAAAAAAAAAAAAAATTCACGACAGAAGAAAACTATATGAAATTCAAATGTCAGCACTGGTAAATAAAGTCATATTGGGAACCAGTGACACCTATTCATTTATGTATTGTCATTTTTCTTTTGGTGGAGATGGGATCTTGCTTTGTTGCCCAGGCTGATTTCAAACTCCTGGCCTCAAGTGATCTTTCCATCCCAGCCTCACAAAGTGCTAGGACTACAGGTCTGAGCCATCGTGCCTGGCCATTTATGTATTATCTATGGTTATGTTGGCACTATAATAACAGGATGATTAGTTGTGACAAAGGACATATGGTCTACAGAGTCTAAAATATTTACCATCTACTCCTTTACAGAAAAAGTTAGCCAGCCCCTGACATAAAACATGTAGAATTTATTAGGCTTTGTTGTTAAAGATCGAATTCTCTAAGTTTCATGAACAGGCTTTGGTAGAAGTGAGGTAGGGGGTAAATCCTGTAACATAGTAACAATTTTTTGTGTATGAAAATGTGCATTTGAAAAAAAAAAAACAAAAACATTTAAGGCCCAGCACAGTGACTCATGCCTGTAATCCCAGCACTTCAAGAGGCTAAGAAGTGAGAGGATTGCTTGAGGTCAGGAGTTTGAGGTCAGCGCAGCCAACATAGTGAGACCCCATCTCAAAAAAAAATAAAATCGGCCTGGTGTGGTGGTTTATGCCTGTAATCCTAGCACATTGGGAGGCTGAGACAGGCAGATCACTTGAGGTTAGGAATTCAAGACCAGCCTGGCCAACATGGTAAAACCCCATCTCTACTAAAAATACAAAAATTAGCCGGGTATGGTGGTGCACGCCTATAATCCCAGCTATTAGGGAGGCTGAGACAGGTGAATTGCTTGAACCTGGGAGGCAGAGGTTGCAGTGAGTCTTGATTGCACTACTACACTCCAGCCTGAGTGACAGAGCGACACTCCATCTCAAAAAAACCAATTAATTAATTAATTAAATAGGCCCGGTACAGAAGCTCACGCCTATAATCCCAGCACTTTGGAGGCTGAGGTGAGGAGTTCAAGACCAGCCTGGGCAACATAGTAAGACCCTGTCTCTGAAAAAACAAATTAAAAAAAAGAAAATAAATGAAAAAAAGAAAGTATGCATTTGCTAGGGAGAGTCCTGGAGAATTCTAACTCTGAAATTCGCAGAGTTGGCTGAGCGTGGTGGCTCACATCTGTAATCCCAGCACTTTGGGAGGCCGAGGTGGGTGGATCACCTGAGGTCGGGAGTTCGAGACCAGCCTGACCAACATGGAGAAATCCCCCCGTCTCTACTAAAAATACAAAATTAGCTGGGCGTTGTGGCGCATGCCTGTAATCCCAGCTACTCGGGTGGCTGAGGCAGGAGAATCACTTGAACCTGGGAAGCAGAGGTTGCAGTGAGCCAAGATCATGCCATTGCACTCCAGCCTGGGCAACAAGAGTGAAACTCCATCTCAAAAAAAGAAAAAAGCAATTTCTAGAGTTGACTTCTGTACAGGGAAAGTGTTTAGCATGCATCCAAGCTTTTCCTTCTGCATTTCCTGCTATTTGGTTTTCAAAGGCCAGGTGATTTAATTATGCAGAAAATTTGTTCTGTGCTTAATGATATCCTCACATTTAAATATTCAAACACTGACTCCAGGGGCAAACTCATTCAGGAGTACGAGCAGAAGTTAAATAAGTACACAGCAGCCGTGTGTCTATCAGAGCCACTCTTGGGTTTCTTTTGTGATCTGTCACCCCTGGTTTGGAGTTGAGCAGTTGTGGTTCTTGAGTTGCAACTCATCTTGTTTGTTTTCTGGGGGATCAGAAAGAGGGCTGAACAACTTTGTTTCATAAATGATTCTGCTTAGTACACTCCATGATTTTCCTCAGTTGGGCCTGAAAATATAGTTTTCATTCAGGCATTTCAATCAGAAAAATGACTAACCCTGACCCAAAATGTGAGTAAATGTAAAGAGACTCCATCATAAAAGATGTATTTCCCCATTCTCTACAATGCTGTGAACCATTGTGTAGTGGGTCAGAGCTTGGCTTTGGGCCTGGACAGACAGGTTCAAATCCCAATTTTGCCGCTTTCTGGTGATTTGCCATTAACTGTGCCCTTACCTTGCTGGGCCTCAGTTTTTTCATCAGTCAAGTGTAGATAATAAGATTATCTACCTCAAACAAGTGTTATGAAAATTCAACAAAATGATAGTCTTTATGCTTTTAGTACAGAGCCTGACATACAGTTTGTGCAATAATTAGAAGTTGTTTTGGCCAGGTGCGGTGGCTCACACCTGTAATCCCAGCACTTTGGGAGGCTGAGGCAGGTGGATCACTTGAGGTCGGGAGTTCGAGAACAGCGTGGCCAAAATGGCGAAACCCTGTCTCTACTAAAAACATGAAAATTAGCCGGGCGTGGTGGCGCATGCCTGTAATCCCAGCTACTTGGGAGGCTGAGGTAGGAGAATGGCTTGAAACCGGGAGGCAGAGGTTACAGCAAGCCAGGATCGTGCCACTGCACTCCAGCCTGGGCGACAGAGTGACACTCCATCTAAAAAAAAAAAAAAAAAGATATAAGGAAGTTGTTTTGATGATAACAATTTCACACTTTCTCTAGCTTTTTCACATTTCTCTCTCTCTTCTTGCTTATAAACAGTTTCTCTCTATATACCTTTTTCTTTTTCTCCCTTCATCTGTCTCTGAAAATATTCTCTCTCTTTCTCTCTATTTCTCTCTCTGTTTCAGGTGCTCATAGACATCCTAACCTGTGTGTTTGTGTGTACGTGTTTGTGTGAAAGGGCAGTGCAGCCTCCCCACAAGAAGGCATCTATCATATAGACATTTTTGCAGTAATTCTCTTGACAGTCACTTATGAAGCATCTATTTTATGCAGGAACAATTCTAGTTTCTAGGAATTTGGAAGGTAATAAGATGAACAAAGCCCTAGTCTTTAAGAAGCATATATTCTGAGCTGGGCGCAGTGGGTCACACCTCCCAGCACTTTGGGAGACCGAGGCAGGTGGATCACCTGAGGTCATGAGTTCGAGACCAGCCTGGCCAACATGGTGAAACCCCATCTCTACTAAAAATACAGAAATCAGCCGGGCGTGGTGGCAGGCACCTGTAATCCCAGCTACTCAGGAGGCTGAGGCAGGAGAATTTCTTGAACCCAGGAAGTGGAAGTTGCAGTGAGCCAAGATCGCACCACTGCAGTCCAGCCTGGGTGACAGAGCAAGACTCTGTCTCGGAAAAAAAAAAAAAAAAAAAGAAGCATATATTCTGGTGGGGGAAGCCAGACAATACTGATTGAGAAAAAGAAAGAAAAATTCAGCCTGGGCGACATAGTGAGATGCGTCTCTACAAAAATTAAAAAAAAAAAAAAAAAATTAGCCTGGTGGCACATGCAGGTAGTCCCAGCTACTGGGTGGGGAGGGGTTGGGGCTGGGGTGGGAAGATCTCTTGAGCTTAGGAGGCCAAGGCTACAGTGAGCTAGGATGGCCCCACTGTACTCCAGCCAGAGCAAGACTTTGCCTCTTTAGGAAAAAAAATAGTAACAACTGGGCGTCATGGCAAGTGCCTGTGGTCCCAGCTAATTGTGAGGCTGAGATGGAGGATCACTTGAGCCCAGGAGTTCAAGGCTGCAGTGAGCCGTGATTGCCCCTCTGTACTCCAGCCTGGGTGACACAGCAAGACCCTATCTCAAAAGAAAAAAAAATCCTCTGAGATAGTGAAAGGTGAAAGGAGTTCAAAAGGTGTAAAAAGAGTGGGCTGATGGGTCCAAAGTCCTGGGCTGGAGAGGAGTGTTCTACCAGCTGGGGGAGGGGCACCAGGGAGGCTGCTTGTAAGTCCTAGACTTATCAGATGGAGGCAGCCCAGGGGAAATCTGGGGAAAATCCCGTGAAACAGAAGGAATGACCAGGGGAAAGTCCCGGAGGCAGGAATGAATTTGGTGTGCTGGAAAGACAGGAATGGCCAGATAAGAGGAGAGAGGAGGAACTGAGAGGGGAGAGTTTCCAGGTCACCTTGAACCTTTAGAACAAGGGAGGAGTTGGAATCTCATTCTAATGGCAGTGGAAAGCCCCTTCGGGAAAGTGATAGGCTCTGATTTATGATTTAGAAATATCACCTTGGTAATGTGGTGGAAGGGATGCAAGAGTGAAAACACAAAGGCTATTTATTTGTGAGACTAATCGCAGCCACCTGGGTGAGCAATGGGGCCAGCATGGGCTTGCGTGGTGGCAGGAAATGGGAAGAAGTCGCCATATTTGGGATATGCTGTTGAGATAGAGTTTACAGGACTTGCTGATGAATTGGATGAGGGTTGTGGGGGGAAAGAGAGGAATTGAGGGTGATTCCAAGGTTTTGACCTATCCTGTTCCCATTACTGGAGCTACAGTGGTGAAAAGGACAGATTCAGGACTGGCTTCAAGGGGTTTATCAATGATTTAAATTTCATGATTAAAGAAAAAGTATCCCAAACCAACCTGGTCTGGGAGAGAACCTTCTTGCATTACATAATGCATAATCTCCTTCCGAGAAGAAACTGGCATCTCTGATAAACCTGTGTAAGCAGTATTTCTGATTAATTTTAAAGGATTAACATTTGTTCTAGGAAACCAGACACCCACCTCTCCTGTTAGGCAAGAGTGTACTGATCTTTAACCATTCTTCTTTCATTTCTCACTAGTCTTTCCATATAAAATGTCCTGACCAAGAGTGGATCTTTGACTTGATCTACTACCAGACTTTTCCCTTTCAACAAGATTGTAATAAAACTTTGATACATGTGCGTAACTAAGTGGTCTGAAAGATTTATTTTGGGTTATACTGCTCATAGACGTATTCCATGAAGAAAACAAAAGAATTTTAAAAAATGGCAGTGATGATCTCAAAAGCCCAATATTAAGAGGGAAATAAACAACCACTAATATTTGGTACCTGAATTATTAAAATCTGGTTTATTGCCAATAAATTTTACTAGTAATTGTTAAACCCTGAACTTCACGAGATTACCATAGACATACCCTAAAGTTTCTTCATTAAGGTCAAAAAAGATGAAGAATTCATTGTTTTGTTGTAGTAGATTTCAAGTGAGTATCTTGAGCCTTCCTTCTACTCAGCGTAAACATGCTATGATATATGGACTTTCCTGTCCTTAGAGACATGCATCATTTTTAGATTGTAAGACCCTTAAGGACCCAAATTTTTTTTTAATTTTATTACTATTCTTTTTTAATGAGATGGGGTCTTGCCATGTTGCTCAGGCTGGTCTCAAACTCCTGGGCTCAAGTGGTCCTCCCACCTCGGCCTCTCAAAGTGCTGGGGTTACAGGTGTAAGCCACCATGCCTAGCCTTTTTCTTTTTAAAGAGGTAAAGAAACTGAGGTTCGGAGAGTTTAAATGATTACCTGGGGTTGCACAGCTGAGACAGGATTTTAAGTTAGATCCTCAAAGGTCTTTTCACTTGTCCAAACCTGTGCCTGTGGGCTTATCGTAATTCCTGTGTCATTTCTTAGTAAAAATGATCTGCATTTAAAATGGCATTTCCGTTACTAAATAAACTTTTTTTTTGTCATCTTTCAGTTTCCCTTTCAAGACAATCTCTTTCAATCCATGTATTACCCCCTTCAGCTGAAGTTTTTGGAGACTGTGCACACTTTATGTGGACGAATCCCGCAAGTTTTTCTGAAGCAAATTGAGAAAACAATGAAAAGGGCTTATGAGAAACACGTCATCATCCATGTTGGCCCCAACCAGATGCACTGAATATTTTGTCTTGTTGCAAGTCAATTAGGTGTCTTGTGACCAAGGAAATACTAATCTCTAAGCTGCCTGGGTCTTTTTGTGTGAATATTTAATGGTGCTCCATGACTGTTGAGTTTTAAAAACCTCGTTAAATTTTGCCAAATCAGTTGCCCCCAAAAGGGAATATGCTTTTCCTTATTTTTTTTTCTAAAATGCTATTTATCTCTAAGGAAAAAAAAAAAAGACTATTACTCATTTAACATTGTTTAAGCAGGTTGAGCTAGCTGTGAAAATAGCTTTTGTGAGCCTTCTAATTCCTAAACGTCTGAGACCATTTCAGTGGCACCTGAGGTGTTATATTGATCTAGCATTCCTGAGACTCTTTCTATGCAACTGACTCCCCCACACCCGTGTTATAAAAGTAATACACACTTTTGAAACAGAGAGACACACTTGTAGAGCATATGGGTCAAGGGCTCAACATCAAGATTAGATTAGCCATAATCCTATTGACCAGTGGAAAAGATTGTTTCCATTTTAAAGCAGTTCCTTACAACCTTTTTTCTCTACTTTTGCATTTTCCACTCTAACACACATCTAAAACAGGTAATCTCAGTAAAAGCTGGCCTTTTTGCTGAGATTTTTATGTGGGAGACTAAAATATTAGATGAGATGATTATGTGTACAGAATTTTATTTAAAATACATCTGAGAGAATCATTCAGATACTTGGGTAGTGTTAAAGGATGAAGCATGTATCTGGGGGTATTTCTTCTTTTTCTTTCTTTCTTTTTTTTTTTTTTTTTTTTTTTGAGACGGAATCTCACTCTGTAGCCCAGGCTAGAATGCAGTGGCAGGATCTCGGCTCACTGCAGCTTCCACCTCCTGGGTTCAAGTGATTCTCATGCCTCAGCCTCCCCAGTAGCTGGGATTACAAGTGTGTGCCACCACACCCGGCTAATTTTTGTATTTTTAGTAGAGACACGGTTTTACCATGTTGGCCAGGCTGGTCTTGATCTCCAGACCTCAAGTGATCTGCCTGCCTCAGCCTCCCAAAGTGCTGGGATTACAAGTGTGAGCCACTGCACTCAGCCAATCTGGGAGTATTTCTAAAGAAAAAAATTACTTTGATTTGTGGAGGACTAAATCATAATACATTTCTATGCAACAATAGCTTCTGAGAGGAAATTCAGGAATGTTTGTGTTTACCACAGACAAAAACATTTGATCTGTTAATCATCAGTAGCTGTGGTCATCTCTCTTTCTTAAACTCTTGGGCAATGGGTGGAAATCAGAGACCAACTTCAAATTTAATGTGTAAAAAACAAATAGTTCAGCTGCTTCTATTGGTAAGAAAATTCAACTTCCTACCAGCCTTAGAAAGGTCTCTTTAAACAATTTCTTTCCCCCTAGGGTTACCTAGCTGGTCCATACAGGTTTTATCACCTCACTGCAAGGAGGAAGTTGAATATTCTGTTCCCCACGGGGATCTGGCTTAATCCCTAGTTGCTCATATAGTTGGTATCAGCATAGCAATATTTTGCATAATGCTTTATTTTTCTCAAATGACTATTGCATAGATGATCTTGATATTTGCAACAGCCTAGTGGATTTGGTAGGGTCCTGAATCATCTCTATAAGGCAAACAAGGAAATTGTAACACAAAGAAATAAACATATTGAATATAATTGCTATTCTGTAAGACATACAGTCTGTGTAAGATGTATCTTATTTACAGAGACATTTTTGAAAATTAAAATATTAAATACTTTTTGTTATATAGAGACAATGATCTGGAAGTATAAAAAGAAAAATATTATCTTGTTGATGTAAATATGATATCCTTATATATATTAGAATCCAATAAGATATCATGGGCGCAATATTAGCAAAAAAAAGTCAGTCTTACCCTGAAAAAAAAATAGATATGAAAATCTCAGCACTACACAGAAATGTTTAGATGTCAATCAGTTTTGGTATGCAGCATTATTATAGTAGTAACAAATTTAAATCTAAAATTTTAGAGTAATACTTTCCTTCTGATCAGTTGCCCTGTGGTTATTTTTGTTAAGGAAACTACCATTATGACGGGAAACTCTTATTTTTGCTGTTATATTTTGTTTCCTTATTTCACCACTAGAGGTGACATCATTATTTTGTAACTTTAGTACTAGGCTTTCCATTTGTGGTATGGACACGTATGATATGGAGCAATTTTTGAATTGTCTTTCACATAGGGGAAATTGCATCTTATATACCCATAAATTGGGTTTTAGTGAAAGAGCCAGGATGGAACATAATTTCCTAACTTCCATCCTAGTTTCCTTTCTACTTGTTCAGAATGGCCAGTGAAACACACAAATGGCACTCAGATTTGTTGATGGCTCACCAACTCAAAGAGGTTCCTTCTCTCCTTTGATAAGTCCCACAAAAACATCTACTGTAAAGACTTGAAATACAATGCCTTTCTTTTTTATGAGAGCCAAGTTTACCCACAACTCTCAACTACCAGTACTGGTCTGACTGTGCAGAAAAGGGTTGCCCGCAAAGGTCAATGATATCACCCTAGAACATTCTAGAATGATGAATTTTGAGAATGTGAAACCTTAGAACCTCGTGCGGTTGTCTGCCTTGGAATTCCTGTGCTGTATCCTGAAATTTTAGCTGAATTTGGCAGAGAATTCAGAGAAAATTTGCTTTTCTAATCCTTGCTGCCTGAAAGTGCTAATTATTTTCCATAGCTAGGATATTACCATGGAGCAATATTTTCTCTGCCTTTGATAACTCCCAGCAAATTACTACATTAACCGCCTTTGAAATCCAGGAGCCACAAATTTTAATTCAGTGGCCTGCTAAAACATGCACTCTCTGGTTTAAAGTTTGCCAGAGGTGGTGCTGCCCCATATGCCACATTGAATACTGGGAAGGGCCGGGCACGGTGGCTCACGCCTGTAATCCCAGCACTTTGGGAGGCCGAGGCGGGCGGATCACGAGGTCAGCAGATCAAGACCATCCTTTCGAACACGGTGAAACCCAGTATCTACTAAAAATACAAAAAATTAGCCGGGCGTGGTGGCGCCTGTGGTCCCAGCTACTCGCGAGGCTGAGGCAGGAGAATGGCGTGAACCCGGGAGGCGGAGCTTGCAGGGAGCCGAGATTGCGCCCCTGCACTCCAGCCTGGGCGACAGAGCGAGACTCCGTCTCAAAAAAAAAAAAAGAATACTGGGAAGAAGGTGGGCCAGTTCTCTCCTCTCCTCCTGCCCTGCCTTTTCTCTCTTCCCTCTCTTTTCTTCTTTACTCATTTCTTTTTAATTTCTGTTTAATGCATATAACTATGGACTTCCATTAAAGAAGAAAAGAGCACTTTCTGATAGCAAAAGGTGACAGTATTTTTATATGCATCGAGATTGAGGTTTTTCAACAGCAGTGTCACTGGAAATGCTGCCAATATTTTTCTTGCTGAGTGTTTCTCCAATATAAATCTCAGTAATCATGGCTTACATTGAAAATTCTAATATTTAAACAATTAACTGGCTAGAAAAGCAATTTAAGTTTTTCTTCAACTTCCAAAATGGCAATTTAGCACTTTGGATACAAAGCTCCAAGCTTTACTATTTATGGGATATGTCTAGTTCATATTCAGTGCTTCCATTGCAAATTATTGTGACTTTTACCAAATTTGGTATTGAAATGGGTATTTATATGGACTCAGACGTTTGAGAGTATTTCTTTTATTTGCAGTTATGGTGTTCATGAGCAAAAACAAATAAACCAAATCATACAAAACATTATTATTCACAGTGATTGAAAACAAAATAATGATCCAGTAACAAAATAATCACTCGCAGCCCAGCCTGAAAGCAGGACATTCATACAAATTTAGATTCATGTATAAATATTATCTGATATTTATACATTATTATCTGATATTTATACGTATAAAAGATAAATTACATGTGTTTGATAAACCAACATGAACATGATTTCATCACTGAAATCAGAAATATGTTGAGTTCTATGACAGCACAAATCATATTTCCTTTCTTTCTTTCTTTTTTTTTTTTTTTTTTTTTTTTTTTTTTGAGATGGAGTCTCGCTCTGTCACCCAGCCTGGAGTGCAGTGGTACGATCTCGGCTCACTGCAAGCTCCACCTCCCGGGTTCACGCCATTCTCCTGCTTCAGCCTCCCGAGTAGCTGGGACCACAGGCGCCACCACGCCCAGCTAATTTTTTGTATTTTTAGTAGAGAAGGGGTTTCACCGTGTTAGCCAGGATGGTCTTGATCTCCCGACCTCGTGATCCGCCCGCCTCGGCCTCCCAAAGTGCTGGGATTACAGGCGTGAGCCACTGCGCCCGGCCTCTTTTCTTTCTTTCTTTTTCTTTCTTTCTTACTCTTGCTCTCTTGCTCTCTCTTTCTCTCACTCTCTTTCTCTCTCTCTCTTTCTCTCTTTCCCTCCCTCCCTCTCTCTCTCTCTCTTTATTTCCTAAGCAAGCTAACACAGGACATATTCTCTCTTTTTTTTTTTTTTTTGAGATGGAGTCTCCGTCTGTCACCTAGGCTGGAGTGCAGTGGCACAATCTCAGCTCACTGCAGCCTCCGCCTCCCAGGTTCAAACGATTCTCATGCCTCAGGCTTCCGAGTAGCTGGGACTACAGGTGTGCACCACCATGCCCAGCTAATTTTTGAATGTTTAGTAGAGATGGGATTTCACCATGTTGGCCAGGCTGGTCTCAAACTCCTGAGCTCAAGTGATCCACCTGCCTTGGCCTCCCAAAGTACTGGGACTACAGGCATGAGCCACTGTGCCCAGCTGACATATTCTCACTTAATAGAATTATAGAGAAATTTTTCATGTTTTTCTTTTTCTCTCCCACTTTTTCATATTCCTCTTTTTCATTTTTGCCTTTCCGTTTCTGTCTATGATGTAGGCTTCTGAGGAGAACCAAGAAGCTTGGCTTTAGTGGTAGAATGACAGAACTTAGGGATCCCTTGCAGGCTAGAACAAAGTTCTGACCCTTAGACCAAATCTTTATGTTAAGAGTTTTCCAGAATTCAAAAAAAAAAAAAAAATCAATCAACACAACACACACACACATACATACACACACACTGCCTTTAAAAGGAGGAGCCAATATTTGTTGTACCTGTGAACTGAGGAATTATAGATAAACCTTAGGTCAAATCATTTCACAATTGCATTGGTGGTATTGAAAAATGATGAGATTTCTCTGACAGAGAGCTTTGTCCTAGTTTTTGTTCTTCATAGGTCAAAACTGGCAATATTCTCTTGTCTGCAAGATAAAGTGTTTGTGCTTCTATCACCATATGCATGAACATGTAAGAATCAGATACAATTTCTGCTTCATCAGTTTCACATGTTCATGTTGTCACTGAAAAAATGCATCTACTGTTTATAGCTCCCAAGGAGACCCCAAATCCTTTTTTTTTCTTTTGAGATGGAGTCTTGCTCTTGTTGCCCAGGCTGGAGAGCAGTAGCGCGATCTCAGCTCACTGCAACCCCCACCTCCTGGGTTCAAGTGATTCTCCTGCCTCAGCCTCCCCAGTAGCTGGGATTTACAGGTGCCCGCTACCATGCCTGGCTAATTTTTGTATTTTTAGTAGAGACAGGCTTTCACCATGTTGGCCAGGCTGATCTCAAACTCCTGACCTCAGGTGATCCACCCACCTCGGCCTCCGAAAGTGCTGGGATTACAGGAGTGAGCCACCGCGCCTGGCCCCGTATTCATTTTTTATACTGGAAAACATTTTTTTTGTAATTTTTCTTTGCAAAGAAATGAGCATAAAAATGAATACTCCAAAGAAAAGGAATTATTATGGCAAATTAAAAGGGACACGGTACTATGATTTAATTACTGTCTTGTCTTTTTAAAATGTCATCTCTTGTTTTACCCTTTTTTTAAATAAAAGCTTTAAAAACATGTCTTTGGGTATTATTCTGGAGGTATGTTTCTTTTATATAAGATTTCAAGTTTAAACATTTACAATAAGTAATAATATTTAAATTCTTATAACAAGTAATGAAATATTTGGTTTAGTAATTAGCTTAGTCTATTTTAAAAAATCATTAAAATTTGCTTTGTTTTTAAGAATGCCATACTACAAATGATGTTATTTGGTTTTAATGGTGTTTTGTGTTTAAGATAGAATAAATAGAGTTTGAAGAATGTGAAAATTAGTTATCTATGTTCCTACATTTTATTTAACAAAATTGAGCCTAACTTGCTAGCTAGTACACACATCAAAAATAACTGACTAAGCCAAATACCGTGGCTCATGCCTGTAATCCCAAACTTTGGGAGACTGAGGCTTGAGAATTGCTTGAGGCCAGGAGTTCTAGACCAACCTGAGCAACAAAGCAAGCCCCCATCTCTCAAGA
Source organism: Homo sapiens (assembly GCF_000001405.40). Classification (NCBI taxonomy): domain Eukaryota; kingdom Metazoa; phylum Chordata; class Mammalia; order Primates; family Hominidae; genus Homo; species Homo sapiens. Next base: position 72,981,536 of record NC_000003.12, read on the forward strand.
AAAAAATCTTTTTTTAAAAATTAGGTGGGTGCGGTGGTGCACACCTGTAGTCCAGCTCCTCAGAAAGCTGAGGTGGGAGGATCATGAGCCAGGGGAGTCAAGGCTGCAGTGAGCCATGATCATACCACTACATTCCAGCCTGTGCAACAGAGTGAGACCCTGTCAAAAAAAAAAAAAAAAAAAAAAAGGTCAGGCACGGTAGCCCATGCCTGTAATCCCAGCACTTTGGGAGGCTGAGGCAAGCAGATCATGAGGTCAGGAGTTCGAGACCAGCCTGCCCAACATGGTGAAACCATGTTTAGTCTATACTAAAAATACAAAAATTAGCCAGGCGTGGTAGCAGGCGCTTGTAATCCTAGCTACTCGGTAGGCTGAAGCAGGAGAATTGCTTGAACCCAGAAGGTGGAGGTTGCAGTGAGCCAAGAATGCACTACTGCACTCCAGCCTGGGCGACAGAGCAAGACTCCATCTCAAAAAACAAACAAACAAAAAACTTTCTATATTCAGATAAACTTGGACTCAAATCCTAGCTTATAAATTATTAGTCGTGTAACCTTGTAGAAGTAGCTTAACCTCTCTGTGCCTTAAACAACAGACATTAAAATGTCTACCTTATAAGGGTTATTGTGACAAGAGATATAAAAATAAGACTTTTAGCATAATGCTGATTCAAAGCACTTGCTAATTTTAAAAGCATGCTTTATTATCACATCTACATTGTTACTGTAGAAAAGTAAAGTCTGGGTGCATTTGAGTAAAACATGAGGCCAGGCACACTGGCTTATGCTTGTAATCCTAGCACCTTGGGAGATTGAGGCAGGTGGATCGCTTGAGCTCAGGAGTTCAAGACCAGCCTGGGCAACATGGCGAAACCCCGTCTCTACCGAAAATACAAAAAATTAGCTGGACATGGTGGCATGCGCCTACAGTCCCAGCTACTTGAGGGGATTGATCATTTGAGCCCAGAAGGTTGAGGCTGCAGTGAGCCCTTTCTCAAAAACAATAAATAAAGCAAAACATGAAATTTCAGAATATTAAAAATATCTTATTTGTGCTCCCTGCCTCAACTAAATAAATGGCTAATAGATTTTTTTAAATATCAGATTTAAGGAATGACAATTTACCAGTCTACCATGATGTCCTATGTTTACTTCCCAGGGGGTTCATATGCAGAAGTTCTGCCTTCTTTATCTTTTTAGAGGAACTTAGCTAGAAAAGCGTGACTCTCTGGCTGCACTTTACAATTCTCACTGCAGTCCTGTTTCTGTTTGCTTCCTAATCAAGTCCTTTAGTTGGAACACAGCTCAAAAGCAGCCTCACCCTCTTTCATCACAATCTCATATTTCTCTTCCTTCTCCTTCTTCATTGTTCCATTAAGTCATAAATGTCACTAACACCTACCCCCTGCCTTATCCCAGAAACCTGGGCATTATCCTTGTCTCTTTCCTCCCCCTGGTTTTACATCATTGTCATCACTAAATCATTACTTTGCCACTAAACCACCCCACTCCCAGTACCGATTTCTGTGGTAAGTTAAAGCCCTTTGAATTTCCACTGACAGCAAACACAGCTCAAACTAGCACAGAAAAGAAGAGAATGGACTATGTCTACCTCCTGAATATTAACTGAGTCAGCTTCCTCTTTTTATCTTTACTGCTATCTCTGCTCAGAACCCTTTGAGTCCCTGTCATCTCCAGCCTGCATTGTGCCCTATGTCTCTCTTCACTCTCTACATTCCCTCTGGTTTCCTCTAAACCATAACCCACCCCTACCCCATATTCCCCTTTGCTCTTACGATAATGCCTAAGCTCCTTTCCAAATGTCTCAGAGGCCAGGCATAGTGGCTCACGCCTGTAATCCCAGCACTTTGGGAGGCCAAGGCAGGTGGATCATCTGAGGTCAGGAGTTTGAGACCAGCGTGGCCAACACAGTGAAACCCCATCTCTACTAAAAATACAAAAATTAGCCGGGCATGGTGTGCACACCTGTAGTCCCAGCTACTCAGGAGGCTGAGACAGGAGAATCACTTGAACCCGGGAGATGGAGGCTGCAGTGAGCTGAGATTGTGCCACTACACTCCAGCCTGGGCGACAGGGTGAGACTCTGTCTCAAAAACAAAACTAAAGAAAAACAAATGTTTCAGAAAGTTCCTGTATAATCTATCTCCTATCTCCCTATTCTCATCTTGAGTTATTCTCCCCCACTACACTAATTTCTATTTATGCTGGTTTGTTTTCTCTTTTAAGTATACAAGCTTTTTTCCTCCCACAGGGTTTTCGTATGTACCTGGAATCCTACACCTTGCCTCGCACCTTCTTTCACCTGGCAAATTTCCACTATCTTTCAGGTCTGAATTTAAATGCCATTTCCTCATGGAAGCCTTCTCTTATTATGCCACATAAGGGCAGGTCCTTGTTTTATATTGACTCATATCAACCTGCACTTTTTATTTGCATTATTATAACAATAATAATACTTATTTGTATTAAAATATTAATTTATTGAATACCTGCCCCAGTAGACACATAGTTCCTTGAGGGTATGGTCCTTGCTGATCCTGTTCTCTGCTCTATGCCCATCATCAACTCAATGCTCAAAAAATATTTGAGGGCCAGCCAACACATTTCTCATGCTCAAAAAATATTTGAGGGCCGGGCGCGGTGGCTCATGCCTGTAATCCCAGCACTTTGGGAGGTCAAGGCAGGCGATCACCTGAGGTCAGGAGTTTGAGACTAGTCTGGCTAACATGGCGAAACCCTGCCTCTACTAAAAATACAAAAATTAGGCCAGGCGCGGTGGCTCATGACTATAATCCCAGCACTTTGGGAGGCTGAGGCGGGCGGATCATGAGGTCAGGTGATCGAGATCATCCTGGCTAACACAGTGAAACCCCATCTCTACTAAAAATATAAAAAAATTAGCCAGGCATGGTGGCATGTGCCTGTAATCCCAGCTACTCAGGAGGCTGAGGCAGGAGAATTGCTTGAACCCAGAAGGTGGAGGTTGCAGTAAGCTGAGATTGCGCCACTGCACTCTAGCCTGGGCGACAGAGTGAGACTTGGTCTCAAAAAAAAAAAAAAATTAGCTGGGCATGATGGTTGGCACCTGTAATCCTCGCTACTCAGGAGGCCGAGGCGGGAGTATCGCTTGAACCAGGGAGGCAGAGGTTGCAGTGAGCCGAGATCGTGCTATTGCACTCCAGCCTGAGTGACAAGAACAAAACTCTGTCTCAAAAAAAAAAAAAACTTTAAGGAATAAATAAATGAAGTTATTCATCTGCATCATGAATTGGGACCAATTCCTATTGGCAAAGCTTCACAATACCCTGTATTGATTTTCAGTGTTCTCAGAAACTACTTTTCCTGTAAATGTTGGTGCTGGACTATAATAACCCATCCTATAAAGTCTCAGCCAGCCTTGGTGGCTCACACCTGTAATCCCAGCACTGTGGGAGTGAAACTCCGTCTCTACTAAAAATACAAAAATTACCCGGGCGTGGTACTGCACACCTGTAGTCCTAGCTACTTGGGAAGCTGAGGTGGGAGAATTGCTTGAACCAGGAAGTGGAGGTTGCAGTGAGCCGAGATCGCACCATTGCACTCCAGCTTGGGTAACAGAGCGAGACTCTGTCTTACATAAATAAATAAATAAATAAAGTCTCATTCAGTGGAAGTATGTTGAGGCCAGGTGCACTCCAGCCTGGGCAACAGAGTGAGACGCTGTCTCAAATAAATAAATAAATAAAGTCTCAGTCGGTGAAAGTATATTGAGGCCAGGTGTGGTGCCTGATGCCTGTAATCCCAGCACTTTGGGAGGCTAGGCAGGAGGATCATGAGGCCAGGAGTTCAAGACCAGCCTGGGCAACATGGCAAGACCCCATATCAAAAAAAAAACACACTTCAATTTGCTGGGAGTGATGGCGCATGCTTGTAGTCCTAGGTACTTGGGAGGCTGAGTCAGGAGGATCACTTGAACCCAGGAGGTCAAGGCTGTAATGAGCTGTAATTGTACCACTATACTCCAGCCTGGGTGAGAGAACAAGACCGTGTCCCTAAAAAAAAAAAGAAAGAGAGAGAATGTATTGATTGAGTCAGTTTATTTACTTATTCATAAAATGACATGGTTAGGTCAGATGAGGTTAAAGTTCCTTTTTGTGTAAATGCTCTCTATTTCCATAATCTGTTTTTTATAGCTCTATAATAGATATTTGTGGGATTTTGGCTGCCTGGAAACCACCCCACTCCTGGTACCAATTTCTTTAGTCATTAAAACTCTTTAAATTGTAAGTGACAGCAAACACAACTCAAACAAGTACAGAGAAAAAAAAAGGTCTTGTGTAAGTGAAAAATCTGGAAATAGCTCTATATTCAAAGGCTCAAAAGATGCCAAGGGAAATGTATCATTTTAACAATGCTTTTTTCATTAATATTTTATTGAAAACCACACATCCTTCTAGGATTCCAGCCATAAAATTTTCATGTCATTTTAATAGAATCATTCCATCTTTGGAAAAATACCTTGTCTCCATGTTCAGATGAAAAATGGTATTGCCAACCTGGGTCAAAATATCAAGAAAATTGTTCTCCTGGTGTTTAACTTAAGACAACTATAATATATCTTTTTCCCCTCATTGAAAACTATCATTAACCAAATAAACCCCTCGTACCAGAAACAATTCAATAATCTAAAATGAATGAATGATTTGGGAGGGGGTGGTTCCTTATCATAAATTTGATCTGTTGGACAAGAGCACTTCAACAATTCCTCAGTTCCACAGTCCCCATAGACTCCTAGAGGTGACAGTCAAAATCATAAATGTTGATGTATCCACTATACTTATATAGGCTCTATGTCATGTATATGCATATAGGCTGTAACTATAAAGAGACACCTGGGAACACCTATGCCTGTCTCATTATGGAGCACTTAGAGTTTATCAAAACAATAGCATTTCTTTTTTCAGGATTGCTATTCTGGGTCAAGTGACAATGCAAGTCTAAATATCATATTAGGAAATTGAATTCTTCTAAATTATTGTTATTAGAAAAGATTGCAAGCGGCAAGGCACAGTGGCTCATGCCTGTATCCATCCCAGCATTCTGGGAGGCCAAAGTGGGTGAATCACCTGAAGTCAGGAGTTTAAGAACAGCCTGGCCAGCATGGCAGAATGCCAGTCTCTACTAAAATTACAAAAAAAAAAAAAAAATAGCCAGAAACCATGGCGGGCACCTGTAATCTCAGCTACTCGGGAGGCTGAGGCAGGAGAGTTGCTTTAACCCAGGAGGCGGAGGTTGCAGTGAGCCGAGATCACGCCACTGCACACCAGCCTGGGTGACAGAGCGAAACTCCATCTCAAAAAAAAAAAAAAAAAAGAAAAGAAAAGATTGCAAGCACACAGTTGAAAGAAAAGTAAAAGGACTGATACTAGCTTTTTGTTTGTTTGTTTGTTTTTTGTTTTTTGTTGTTTTTTTTTTTTGAGACGGAGTCTCAGTCTGTCGCCCAAGCTGGAGTGCAGTGGTGTGATCTCGGCTCACTGCAAGCTCCGCCTCCTGGGTTCACGCCATTCTCCTGCCTCAGCCTCCCGAATAGCTGGGACTACAGGCGCCTGCCACCGCGCCAGGCTAAGTTTTCTGTATTTTTAGTAGAGATGGGGTTTCACCGTGTTAGCCAGGATGGTCTCGATCTCCTGACCTCGTGATCCGCCTGCCTCGGCCTCCCAAAGTGCTGGGATTACAGGCTTGAGCCACCGCGCCCGGCCGATAGTAGCGTTTAAAAAAAAATTAAATGTTTAAAACTTGATCACCGTTTATAACAGCTTCTCTGATATTTATTGTTTGTATGTGTATGGAGGTTTTAAAACATAAAACCAATACGTGCTCAAATGAGAGGAAATTCAAATAAAGTCAATAACTAATTAAGAAAATAGTTGGTGTATGGTGTGTCAGAATTTAAGCTTCCTAAGGCTGCCATCTGCCTATTTAGAACCCACAATTTCTGGCACAGAATAGATGACCAGCATAGCATGCCCTGTCTTATTCCCTTAACATACATTATTTCCATGCATGCCAGCTCAAAATTCTGATTCCCAACCTGTGACTCTGCCCGAAGGCTCCCTTCTGCCACTGCAGCCTGCTCCACTTGCCTACAGGCAGGCTCAAAGTATTGGGAAATTAACACCTCTGGGAGTAGTAACAATCACTGACTGACAGGAGTTGGTAGATAAATACCTCAGCTCCTCATCTTCTCTGGAAGGGTAACTCTGGTCTGTTCCAGAATTGCATCCCAGAATTTCCCAGTGTGAAGAAGCTCAAGTTGCCCACAGTAGTAACTTCTTTAATAATATATATTCTTTATTGGCCTTCTTGCCATCCCCATCACACTTCCCCACTCCTGCCAGTGTTTTCTTGGATTTGGCCCCCAAATAGACCACTTGAACTCAAATCTTTGTCTTGTCATTTGCAATTGGTAATTTTTGTTCATGTGAATAAAAAATGGAATTTTGGCCGGGTGCAGATGGCTTACACCTGTAATCCCAGCACTTTGGGATGCCAAGGCAGGAGGATCACCTGAGGTCAGGAGTTTGAGACCAGCCTGGCCAACATGGTGAAACCCCCATCTCTACTAAAAACACAAAAAGTAGCTGAGCGTGGTGGCACGTGCCTGTAATCCCTGCTACTTGGGAGGCTGAGGCAGGAGAATTGCTTGAACCCGGGAGGCAGATGTTGCAGTGAGCCGAGATCCCGCCACTGTACTCCAGCCTGGACAACAGAGTGAAATTCAGTCTCAAAAAAAAAAAAAACTTAAATAATAATACCTATATTGTGTCTAAGTTTACTAACCGTAAGAATAATTATTCTCCTCCCCGCTCTACTCCTTCTTCACGTCTGTTTCTGTTTGTTGTTGTTGTTGTTGTTGTTGTTTTGTTTTTGAGACCAAGTCTCCCTCTGTTGCCCAGGCTGGAGTGCAGTGGTGTGATCTTGGCTCACTGCAACCTCCACCTCCCAGGTTCAAGCGAGTCTCCTGCCTCAGCTTCCCAAGTAGCTGGGACTGCAGGCGTGAGCCACTATGCCCAGCTAATTTTTGTATTTTTAGTAGAGATGGGGTTTCACCATGTTGGCCAGGCTGGTCTTGAACTCCTGACCTCAGGTGATCTGCCCACCTCGGCCTCCCAAAGTGCTGGGACTACAGGCATGAGCTACTGCACCTGGCCCTTCATCTCTGTTTCTATTTTTATTTTTATTTATTTATTTTTTTGAGATGGAGCTTTGGCTGTGCTGCCCAGGCTGGAGTGCAATGGCACGATCTCAGCTCACTGCAACCTCCGTCTCCTGGGTTCAAGTGATTCTCCTGCCTCAGCCTCCCGAGTAGCTGGGATTACATGTGCTTGCCACTAAGCCTGGCTAGTTTTTGTATTTTTAGAAGAGACAGGGTTTTACCATGTTGGCCAGGCTGGTCTCGAACTCCTGACCTCAAGTGATCCATCCGCCTCAGCCTTCCAAAGTGCTGGGATTACAGGCATGAACCACTGTGCCCGGCCAATCTCTGTTTCTATTTTGGAAAGTTTGAATCAACTCTGCACAAAGTATTTAGAATTTAGCATACTTATATATTCTCTTATTTTTCTCTCATCATTGGATTTTACTAGCTATTATGATGTTACATATTCAAGGTTTATAACATTTCTCCTCCAGTTTGTAGCATGGCTATTACTTTAATTTTATTACAAATGATAACATAGTTGGGTGATTTATTTTTAACTCCAAAAATCCCCCAATGCTTTTATTATCCCTATTTCCCCTTTTAAGGTATGTATTTTAAACGCATTGTATTCTAGTTTTTTTTTTTTTAATTTCTGACTTGTGTTTAGGGAGTCAGTATTTTTGTACAACTCTTTTAAGATACAATTGAAATAGAATAAACTACATATATTGCTTTTTTTTTTTTTTTGAGATGGAGTCTCACTCTGTCGTCCAGGCTGGAGTGCAGTGGTGCGATCTCGGCTCACTGCAAGCTCCGCCTCCTGGGTTCACGCCATTCTCCTGCCTCAGCCTCCCGAGTAGCTGGGACCACAGGCACCCGCCACCACGCCCGGCTAATTTTTTGTATTTTTAGTAAAGACAGGGTTTCACCGTGTTAGCCAGGATGGTCTCGATCTCCTGACCTCGTGATCCGCCTGCCTCGACCTCCCAAAGTGCTGGGATTACAGGTGTGAGCCACTGCGCCCGGCCTCAATTGTTGTATAATAATAATTGTTGCACCATTATGTTTAGCAATTATATACTAAAGTTTTCGGGGGGTTGGGAGTATCTCTTCAGCAACTTACTCTCAAATAGTTCAGGAAAAGAAATGTTCGTAGTGTACTTGCAACTTGTTTGTTTGTTGGTTGGGTTTTGAGATGGAGTCTTGCTCCATCACCCAGCCTGGAGTGCAGTGGCAAGATCTTGGCTCACTGCAACCTCCAGCACCTGGGTTCAAGCAATTCTCCTGCCTCAGCCTCCCGAGTAGCTGGGACTACAGGCATGTGCCACTATGCCTGGTGAATTTTTTGTATTTTTAGTAGAGACGGGGTTTCACCATGTTGGCTAGGTTGGTCTTGAATTCCTGAACTCAAGTGATCTGCCCGCCTCAGCCTCCCGAAGTGCTGGGATTACAGGCTTGAGTCACCACGCCTGGCCTGTACTTGCAACTTTTATGTGAGTTTGAAATCATTTCAAAAGAGAAAGAAAAACCATAAATTATTTTTGTAATTCTTAACCTATGTAAGTATGAACAATACCTAATATTGATTGAGTCAGATCACTGGCTTAATTCTCTCAGCAAACCAATGAGTAAGTCACCACTATTAACTTCAATTTATACATAAGGAAACTGAGGCATTTTGATATTAATCATTTACCTGAATTCAAACAGCTAGGAAGTAATAAGCCAGGAATTAAACTAGATATCTGATTTTAGACCTTTTTCTCTTAATACACTATTTGATTTTATTATATTCAATTATCGAATATATATATGTGTGTGTATTTGTGTATATACAGTCATGCACCACATAACAATGTTTCATTCGACAACAGATCACATAAATGACAATGGTCTCATAAGATTATAATACTGTATTTTTACTATGCCTTTCTATGTTTAGGTATGTTTAGATAAACAAACATTTACTGTTGTGTTACAGTTGCTTACAATATTCAGGACAGTAACACGCTGTATTGGTTTGTAGCCTAGAAGCAATAGAAAGTACCATAGCCTAGGTGTGTAGGAGGCTATACCATCTAGGTTTGTGTAAGTACACTCTACGATGCTTGCACAACAATGAAATTGCCCAATAGCACGTTTCTCAGAATCTATCTCTGTTATTAAGTGACACATGACTGTATATGTATAATCAGGGTTCTTCAAAGAAACACAACCTATAGGATGTGTGGGTGTGGGTGTGGAGAAAGGGAAAGAGAGAGAGAGACAGAGAAAGAGACAGAAAGTGTGCAGAGTTGAAGAAGAGAATGGCTGTTGGGTTCAGTGAGCGTCCTTAATCTGTGGAATACCCTACTCTCCTCATATATTCCCATTTTCTTTCACACAACTCGAAGCCAACTTCCACTACTACAGTCAGACCTAATCAAGATGGCCACCTAGGCAGCTTCACTCTGCCAGTTCCCTTCTCTGACACTGCTCTTAAACACCCACCATGGCCACCAGCAGCCATCATGCCTGTGGTGACTCCAGAGAAAACAACCCATGGTTTTTTGCATAGACCCTTTGTCACCCTTGTTTCCACTAAAAAAGTGGAAAGTCTCTGGGAAAAAAGTGAAGCCTGATGGTTTGTGAAACTGCCCTCATACTTGTTTAGAAAAATGTATTCAGTTTAGTTTATCTTCCTATCTCAACTTCATTTGGTACCCATTATATATACAAATAAGGACTTCAGGGCATGAATAAAAAGCCACGAGAATCAAAGAACGTCTAAAGCTTTGTGTAGTGGTATTGTAACCCAGTCTGTCCTCTGTTCTGCAGCTTGTTTAGACTGGATATTGGTTTTTCTAGATTTTTCTTCAGTCTCTTCTTGTCCCTTCCCACAGACCCATCTCAGAAGGACAGCCAAGCTCCAGTACTTTTCCCTGGGGTTAAAAAAAGATCCACCCACATGTTATCTGACATAGTTCTGGCTGTTTTCTCCCTCCCATCTCTTTGTGTCTCCATGTTCTACAGCCTACTCTGTGTCTCCTCCCTGTTCAGGCCTTTTCCCTCTTGTGCACACCCAGAACATGGGCCTTCATCTTGCCAGTCTTCCTGAATGTTCATATTTATTTAAGGTCTACCTCCCCTATTAGACTATGAGCTCCGTGGGGGAAAAGAGACTATGCATCAACTTTCCCGAGCACCTTGGAGACCCTCACAGACTGTTTACCTTGTTAATACCATTCCCTCTGCCAGGAGGGCTCTTCTCTGTCCGTACAAATCTTTTCCAGTCTTTAAGTGAGACCCTTCCATCTCTTCCTGGAAGAAATTTTGCAGGCCTCTGAATATCTGATACACAGCTTTGCCTTCTACCTTGCATGAGGGCCTACACTTACATCTTATCTTTCCTAGTATTTTGCAAACTTCTTGAGGACAAGAAAGTGTTTGGGGGCTCTGAAGCCAGTCTAGGTTTGAATCATGGGTCAGTCACCTGCCTATGTAGTTGTGTGATTTTGTGCAAGCAATTTCACCTCTTTATATTTCCGTTTTCTTTCTTTCCCTTTCTTTCTTTTTCTTTCTTTCTTTTCTTTTCTTTTCCTTCTTTCCTTCCCTCCCTCCCTCCCTTCTCTCTCTCTCTCTCTCTCTCTCTCTCTTTCTTGAGTTTCGCTCTTGTCACCCAGGCTGGAGTGCAGTGGCGTGATCTTGGCTCATTGCAAGCTCTGCCTCTTGGGTTCAAGCAATTCTCCTGCCTCAGCTTCCCGAGTAGCTCGGATTACAGGCGCCCACCACCACGCCCAGCTAATTTTCATATTTTTAGTAGAGATGGGGTTTCATCACGTTGGCCAGGCTGGTCTCCAGCTTCTCACCTCAGGTGATCCACCCGCCTCGGCCTTTCAAAGTGCTGGAATTACAGGCGTGAGCCACTGTGCTGGGCCTCTATATTTCAGTTTTCTTTTCTGTTAAGTGAGGAGGATCCTCATAGGATTTTGTGAGGATTCAATTAAATACTTTTGTAAACTGCTTAGGAGACACTTTTTGATAGTTTTGTAAACTGCTTAGGAGAATGCCAGACACATGAAAGTATTTAATAAATATTAGCTGTTACTATTAAATTTCTTATTTGTTGCATTAGTTTCTAAAATTTAGAGGCTTAGAACAGTTATAGACATTGTCACCTTTTACAGTTTCTGTGGATCAGGTATTGGGAAGTGACTTAGATGGGCTGCTCTAGTGTGGGATGTCTGCTAAGGTTGTGATCCAGATGTCAGCTGGGGCTGCAGTTACCTGAAGGAATTCCTGAGGCTGGAGGATCCACCTTCAAGGACAGTTCTTCTCTCTGTGGGGCCTTTCCACAAGACTGTCTAATGTTCTCATGACATGGCAGCTGGCTTCCCCCATTGAGGCCCCATTTACCAATTCAAGAGGCCAAGGCAGAAGCCCTAGTGCCTTCACACAGACAGCTGTGATTTGGTGTGCCTGATTATACTAGGGCATGAATCTCAGCAAGTGAGGATCATGAGGGGTAATTGTGGGGGCTGGTTGCCACATTTGTATTCTGTTTTCTTCCCAGGAAATCGGCATCAGTAGGAGGCTTATTATTCTATTTTTTATTTTTGAGTCAGGGTCTCACTATGTTTGTGGCCCAGGATGGATTACAGTGGCATGATCCCGGCTCACTGCAGACTTAAATTCCTGGGCTCAAGTAATCCTCCTAGCCTCCCAAGTAGCTAGTACTACAGGTGTGCGCCACTACCCCTGGTAATTTTTTATTTTTTGTAGAGACATGTTGCTGGGCTGGTCTCAAGTGATCCTCCAGCCTTGGCTTCCCAGAGTACCGAGATTACAGGTGTGAGCCACCATGCCCAGCCAGTAGGAGGCTCTAGTAATTGCAGACATTGTGATACAGGCCGGCTGGAGAAGAATTCAAGGAAGAAGGAAGGAATGAACCAAACGAAGTTATTTTTTCAGCCTCATCTTTTGCCTCTTCTCCCCTTGTAATCTTGACTTCCAGACACTGGATAAGGTCTATGACGGGCGACAAAGTGCACACAGCAATGACAGCCTAAGGGAATCGTGGAAAGTGTACCAGAGGAAGTGGTGTTTAAGTAGAGATCTGAATTTGCAGAGGAATGTAGCAAAGTGCATTGGAGAGGAGGAGCTAACCAGAGGGGCACAAGCCTTGATTATCTGAAGACCAGGTGGGATCTGAAAAACCATAAGAAATTCAGTTAAGCTGACAGCAATGAAAGGGACAAAACAGTGTTAGAAATTAGCATAATGTGTTCTCCAACAGAAAGTTCCAATAGAACTTTTTGCAATAATGAAATTTTCTTTATCTGAACTATCCAATACAGGAGCCACTAGCCACATGTAGCTACTGAGCACTTAAAATGTGGCTGGTGTGACCAAAGAATTGGATTTTTAGGCCAGGGGCGGTGGCTCACACCTGTAATCCCAGCACTTTGGGAGGCTGCGGCGGGTGGATCACAAGGTCCAGAGTTCAAGACCAGCCTGGACAATATGGTGAAACCCCGTCTCTACTAAAAATACAAAAATTAGCTGGGCGTGGTGGTGGGAGCCTGTAATCCCAGCTACTCGAGAGGCTGAGGCAGAGAACTGCTTGAACCCGGGAGGCACAGGTTGCAGTGAGCTGAGATCACGCCACTGCACTCCAGCCTGGACGACAGAGCAAGACTCCGTCTCAAAAAAAAAAAAAGGAAAAGAAAAAAGAAAAAAAAAAGAATTGGATTTTTATTGAAGAACTCAGGAACTGAATTTTAAATTTTATTTAATTTTAATTAATTTAAATTTCAATATTCACACATGGCTAATATCTACTGTACAGCAGAGCTCTTACAGTAAGAGACCCTTCTGAATAGTAGAGTGGCAGATAGAAGGAGAGGCTAAGCTTTGCCATGTAGGCAGTAGGCCCTTTCAGACTGGAAGGGACCTGGATAAACTAAACCTGGTGCCTGGCAAGTGCTGGCCAAGTGCTTGATGTGCTACCCTATTCCCTCTCTCTGCAAGGATATTTGTAATTGAGCTAGATGCTCTGAACAACGAAGGTCTAAAGACACAGGGGACTGGTTCTCTGATGGCACAATTTGAGAGAGCTATTTTGGGTGTGAATGTCTTTTGCCTACATCTACCACCTAGGATCAGGGTCAGACCCACTGTCTTTTAAGAGGGTCAACAGTGTAAAGGCTGTGTCCAAACTTGCATCTTCTTAGACCAAACAATAACCTTCCTTCCCTCCCTTGGTCCTTCTCTCCCCTCCTTCCTTCCATGACTTTGTGCTATGCTGGGTTTTGGGAAGAGGAGGTGGAACAACGCAGTACCTTTTCTTTTCTTTCTCTCTCTCTCTTTTTTTTTTTTTTTTTTTTTTTTTTGAGACGGAGTCCCATTCTGTCGTGCCCAGGCTGGAGTACAGTGGCTGGAGTATCTCGGCTCACTGCAACCTCAGCCTCCAGGGTTCAAGGGATTCTCCTGCCTCAGCCTCCCGAGTAGCTGCGATTACAGGTGCCCGCCACCAAGCCCAGCTAATTTTTTTTTTTTTGTATTTTTAGCAGAGACAGGGTTTTGCCATGTTGGCCTGGCTGGTATCAAACTCCTGACCTCAGGTGATCCGCCTGCCTCAGACTCCCGAAGTGTTGGGAATACAGGTGTGAGCCACCGTGCCCGGGCAGTACCTTTTCTTTTAAAAGCTCACAGATGAGTATAAAAATGTCCACGCACTGGCTGGGAGCCAGATGATTTGGGTTCTGGGTTCTAGTTCTGTCTCCCCAGACTTGCTGTCTGTGACACAGCTTTCCCATTTGTAAAATGTCAGGGCTGCAGAGGACTTCTGAGGTTTCCGCCCTCTCCTACCTCCTGGGAGATTATGTCATGTAATAATGCTAACAGTGGTAATAAAAACCCAGCCACGTTGAGTGTTCCAGGTTTCACGCACTGTGCCAAATGTTTCACATTTGCCATTTCACTCAATCCTCGTGGCCGTTTTACAACCCTCATTTTATAAATAAGAACCCTGAAGCTGCCTGAGTTTAGGTAACTACTTCAGGGCCACACAAGGAGTAAGTAGTTGAGTTGGGATTTGAATATTGATTCCAAACCTTGAGCTCTTAATGACTTTGCTGTATACATTACTTCTTGCCACAGGTGGGCCAGTGACGAACGAACGTTGGGTTAAGCAGGGAGGTATTCTTGTTAGGATTATTAGCAATGCTTAGTGTATGTATGTATTGTTAATTTTATTATTATTTTTTTGAAACAGTCTCGCTTTGTCGCCTAGGCTGGAGGCAGTGGCGCGATATCGGCTCACTGCAACCTCCGCCTCCTGGATTCAAGCGATTCTCGTGCCTCAGCCTCCCGAGTAACTGGGATTACAGGCACGAGCGACCACGCCCGACTACATTTTGTATTTTTAGTAGAGACGGGGTTTCGCCATGTTGGCCAGGTTGGTCTTCAACTCCTGACTTCAGGTGCTCCGCCCGCCCCAGCCTCCCAAAGTGCTGGGATTACAGGCTTGAGTCACCGCGCCCGGCCTGTATTTATTTTTATATAGAGAAGGGCGAGGGAGCGGGGTCATTTTGTTACCCAGACTGGTCTCGAACTCCTGGGCTCAAGCGATCCTCTCGCCTCGGCCTCCCTCCCAAAGTGTTGGGATCACCGGCCTGAGCCCCCTGCCCGGCCTCGCTCTACGTTTTTTAGGCGCATTCTGAACGTGAAGTGTATACACTGAATTCTCACAGCAACTGCATAGGGCATCAGTACCAGTGCCCTTACTGTACAGATGGGGAAAATGAGGCTCAGACAGGCGAAGTAAGTAGCTTAAGTTCACACAGAGAGGAAATGGCAGGGATTCAAAGCCTAGGAGTCCGCCTGCAACCCTCTCGCCTGACCGTCCAGTCTTCAGCTCCGCGGAGCCTGGGCCTGGGGCTGGGGCTGGGGCTGAGGCTCTGGAAGCCGCCGGGACGCAGACGCCACTGGGCCCCAGCGTCACACCTCGGCCGCGCACGCGCTCTCGGGTTCCGGGCCGGAGCGCGCGGCGGGAGCGAGGACGGCGGCAGGGAGCGTGCGCGCGGTGACGTACCGGGCGCCATGTTGGAGGGTTGGTGGTAGCGGCTTGGGGAGGTGCTCGCTCTGTCGGTCTTGCTCTCTCGCACGCTTCCCCCGGCTCCCTTCGTTTCCCCCCCCCGGTCGCCTGCGTGCCGGAGTGTGTGCGAGGGAGGGGGAGGGCGTCGGGGGGGTGGGGGGAGGCGTTCCGGTCCCCAAGAGACCCGCGGAGGGAGGCGGAGGCTGTGAGGGACTCCGGGAAGCCATGGACGTCGAGAGGCTCCAGGAGGCGCTGAAAGGTGGGGGTAGCTGCCCCCTCTCCATTCCCCCTCACCTTCTCCGGCTCGCTCTTCTCTCCTTTCAGGGCGGATGGTTCCGAGGACCGGGGCCGGGCGCGGCGTGGGGAGAGTGCTTCCCGGGCTCCCATCCCCCTCCACCTCCCCAGGGGCGGGGAGCCCTGTGGGCAGCTCTCTCCCGCCCCGCTCTGGCTTTGTGTCGGCCGCCGGCGTCTGGGCTGGGGGAGGGGAGCCGGGGAAACTCTTGCGGGGGCCCCAGTCTTTCTCCCACCCGTTCAGGGGACGAGTGGCGGACCCGCAGACCCCTCCCTCCCAGATATCCTCTTTTCTCCACCAGGCTACCCGTACGCTAGGCGTTGGGGTGGGAGAAAAAGTAAACGGTTGGTGGGGGCGGGGGTAGGGGGTAGCATCGCAACTTTTAAGTTGTCTCAGTATGCCTTTTTCAGGGCTTTTGAAGTCATCTTTCCGCGCCCTAATTTCGAGGTGGTTGCCTTCACTGTTCTTGATTGCACGCCTTCCACGCAACAGGCTTGAGAACAGTGGCTTACAAACTTCGAGTAGAGAGATTTCAGCGTTTTGAGAATTATTCTTTGACATTCAGAATCATTTGGGGACGGCAACTTGGGGTAGTTGGTGCTTCTTAGAAAGGCAGATTTATGGACTTAGATGAACAATTGGTGGGAGTCGGGGCCTGGGGATTTTTATTTTCACTGGATTCCCAGCTTAATATAATGCTGGTGTTCCCCCGGACCACACTTCGAGAAGCACTGCGTTAAAAATGGTTTGTGAAGTTGAGTGCCCCCTTTAGGAGGATTCTTGTTATCTGTAAAGAGGGTGACATGTTGGAAGTAGAACTTGGAGGATTGAGGTGGTAATTTGGTTGAGAGGCCTTATTTTTTTAATTTTGTATTTAATTGATTTTTAATAAGGTAAAGGACTAGGAGGAAAGTTTGTTTTTAGAGCGCTTTTGAGAAAACTGATAACGTTTTTTTTTCTTCCTTCATCTAGATTTTGAGAAGAGGGGGAAAAAGGAAGTTTGTCCTGTCCTGGATCAGTTTCTTTGTCATGTAGCCAAGACTGGAGAAACAATGTGAGTTGAAAACATGCATTTGTCGTTATAGACCAGTGCATTATTAAGAATTGCTCAGGAAAGGGAAAAAAGTATATTTTGGGATAATTAAATAATTCATTCTAAATTGTAGAAGTCCTGGTCATTTAAATAATTTATATATTTACATTTAAAGAACGTATACGCTTACTTACTTTATACATGGTCTGTAACGGATTTTAAAAACCTGTGTATGTTAAAATTTTCTTTATAGCTAGGCTTTGGCACGCTTAGAGAATGTATTAGTCTTAACGAGCCAGAGAAAGGAAGAATGCCTATTCCATTATGACCCTTTTTGGCCATAACAAATAGGCTTATTCCTAGAATTTTGTGGCTTTGATTCTGTTTCAGAGTCTTGGTGGTATTTTCTCATATTGTCGTGTGTCCAGCCTTTTTTTGGTCATATTTGCATATGTAGGTGTTTAAAGTGTCACTTCTATTTATCGTCTGGAGGACTCTGTTATTATCTGACAAATTCCAGATGCTACAGTTTTGACTTGTAGACTTTCTAAGATAGCTGACTTGTTACATATGCTCAGCATTTTATTCAGCTCGTTTCCAAATGTTCTGAATCTGAAACTTACGCTATAAAGTTAGGGCTGTGTTCAGAAGGAACATTCCAGGTCATTGTTTTGCAGTTTGTGTGGTAGACACAATCTGGCTAAGTTTATTTGTAGACAACAGTGCATCTTTGATGACTTCTTTTTGTAGTCTTTGGGTGGGGGCTGGGGCAGCAGGAAAGGGGTAGGTTTCTATGGTTTCAATGTTAATAAGTGGGTTATCTGCCCAGTATGAGTGTAGCTTTCAGCAAGAATTGTATAATTTCTCTGGCTTTATTATTAGCAAGTGTTCATTTCTCACAAGATTTGCTTATTTGTAGTCTAGCCTTTTAACAACTAGCCTAATTTTAGAAAGAAAAAAACCTTTGCTGCCTCAGTGCTTGATTTAATGGTCATGCCTGCAAGCTGAGTCTCCTTAGTATTCTATTAAAATACACCAGTCATTTTGAGAACGTCAGTGTGATGTGTTCAATGTTGTATTTCTATTTATTACATTAAAAAATGGGACCCTCTGGGCGGGGGAAGTCATTTTTACCTTCGCATTAGGGTTTCATATAGAACATCTTGATTTAGAACAATGTAAAACTGTTAATTTGTGCTTATATAGATAAGCCTAAAAATGACCACATGCCATCTTTCAAAAATAAATTAATCCCTAAAACATAAATGCTTAGACTGCCACTATTCCTCTTGAATTGCTAGTCGGCACAGACTTAGCCCTGTCAACAATGTCAAGCCAAATAGCATTTTACTTTTGGCTGTTTTTTGATATACAAGATGATATCAAACTATTTGGAGATGAGTACTTAAAACGTCTTACTCAGTTTATCAGGTTTGTACACACTGCTTTCCCTTTTTGATAAAGTACATTGCCTATAAATGTATAAATAATTGAAAGTTTCTAAAAGATAGCTTTTTAATATCCTGTCTTACTGGAACACCAAGTGGCTGGGGAAGTTATCTGATTTTTTTTGGACAGTTATTTTATCCTGGTAGAAGAGGACTTAAAATTCCCAATCCTCCACCCCATATTCGGTGTTTATGTATTCACTAAGCATGTTTTGTACTGAAATGATTGGTGTAGTTAGATTCTTATATTCAATGGAATTTGGAAAATATTTTTTATTTTATTATGTAAATAGCAGCCAGTGTTTATGCATTTAGCTTTAAGCTTTGATTTCTTTTTATCAACATGGCATATCTTTGATACTGACATTTGCAGAGTTTCTGCTACCTATTTATGGCTAAACTAAGCTTTGTCTAGTATGTGAGATTGTAACGAGAGAATGAAAATGAAAATTTAAAGAACAGCAATTTAGACTTTTCTGATGTTTTAGGATGGGTGGATTGCTTAAGATAAGCATTTCCACCGGATGTGGTGGCTCATGCCTGTATCTCAGCACTTTGGGAAACAGTGGGTCACTTGAGCTCAGGACAAAAAATTTAAGTTACCTGAGTGTGTTGGTACATGCCTATAGTCCCAGCTTCTCCAGAGGCTGAGGCAGAAGGATTGTTGGAATGTGGGAGGTTGAGGCTGCAGTGAGCCATGATGGTTGGTGCCACTGTACTGCAGCCTGAGTGACAGAGTGAGACTCTGTCTCAAAAAAAAATTTCATAGTTGTTTTTATTTTCACTGATGCATTATAGCAAGAAAGCATTAACAGAAGTAGTATGTGAAACTGTTTATGGATCAAAATCAGTGACCCCCCAGGCTGCTTAGTTTTCTTTTCAAAAGACAATTGATTTGACACTTGCTTTTAGCTTTAGAGAGGTTTTAGAATTGTAAGTATAGGCTTTTACAATGGAGGAGGTTGTAGGAAAAATGGAGGAGGCCGTAGGAAAAATTTGAACATTTTTACTTCTTAGTCTATTAAAATTACCTGTAAACATCTGATGTAGGAAGTTAGGAAAGATGCCAAGACATACTAAATTGATGTGAAGAGGGAAACTATATATGTATATAACTAAAATAATTAATCCCCAGGTGAATTGTTTCTGGCCACTTCAAAAAATTGTTTTTATGTTGGAAAGAATACACTCTTCTGAAGGTAATGTAGTTTCTGACATCATGCTAAATATATAGTATGCGCTGAATAAACAGGAACATATGGTGTGTTTCAATCATGAATTTAAACACTTGATGCATTTCAGTCATGGATTTAAAGGTATTTGATGGGTTTGAGTTGCAATTATTATCCTTTTTGACGGTCAAGTTGTCTCCCATTTGGTCAGTGGTAGCCTTTTCCAGTTGGCTCCAGAGTCCTTTTGACGTGACCTTAGTAGTTTTTGATAGTATCCTTATTCTCTGGTATAAGAATATGTTCCAAGCTCATTTCCTGCCCCAGATGTGAATCAGATATTTCTCAAGAAGACCTGCCTTTTAGTGGGAAATGGCATTTCAAGACTACAATCTTGGTGGTAGAGAAGTTTATTATTACTCAGCTACATAAAATACTAAGACTTGCAATTCAGAATGAGGAATACAGCGTTTTAAAAAGTTTTTTTTTTGTTTAGGTAAAATATACTTATATAATTTACTGGCCAGGTGCAGTGATTCATGTCTGTAATCCCAGAACTTTGAGAGGCTGAGGCAGGTGGCCCAGGGTCACTTGAGCCCAGGAGTTCGAGACCAGCCTGGGCAACATGGTGAAACCCGTCTTTACAAAAAATATAAAAAATTAGCCTAACGTGGTGGCATGCGCCTGTAGTCCCAGCTACTCCCAGCTACTTGGGAGGAGGAGGTAGGAGGATCACCTGAGCCTGGGAGGTTGAGGCTGCAGTGAGCCGTGATTGTGCCACAGCACTCCAGTCTGGGCAACAGAGTAAGACCTTGTCTCAAACACACACATGCACACTTGCACACTTATGTAATTTACCATCTTTACCATTTTAGTTTTCTTTCTTCTTTTTTTTTATTTTTTTGAGATGGAGTCTCGCCCTATGCCACACTGGATCGTAGTGGCGCGATCTCGGCTCACTTCATCCCCCACCTCCTGAGTTCAAGCGATTCTCCTGCCTCAGCCTCCTGAGTAGCTGGGACTACAGGCACACACAACTAATTATTGTGTTTTTAGTAGAGACAGGGTTTCACCATGTTGGCCAGGATGATCTCTATCTCTTGACCTCGTGATCCACCTGCCTTGGCCTCCCAAACTGCTGGGATTACAGGCGTGAACCAT
This sequence comes from Homo sapiens, assembly GCF_000001405.40. Taxonomy (NCBI): domain Eukaryota; kingdom Metazoa; phylum Chordata; class Mammalia; order Primates; family Hominidae; genus Homo; species Homo sapiens. The sequence goes on from NC_000003.12 coordinate 73,001,916, forward strand.
CGCCCCCGGCCCCATCTTTAGCATTTTAAGTGTACAGTTTGGTGGTAATAAATACATGTATATTCTTTTTTCTCCCCTTTTATCTCTCCTGTTCCTTGCTCAGTCTCTAGTAATCATCAGTCTTTAGACTCTTACCTTTGTGAGATCCACTGTTGTAGCTCCCACATATGTGAAAACGTGATGTTTGTCTTTCTGTGCTTGACTTAACTTCACTTAACATAATGGCCTATAGTTCCATCCATGTTGTTGCAAATGACAGGATCTAATTCTTTTTTATTGCTGAATAATATACCACATTTTCTTTTCCATTGATGGGAACTCAGGTTGGTTCCTTGTTTTAAAAAAATGTATTTTTGAGGCAAGGTCTTGCTGTTGCCCAGGCTTTAGTGCAGCAACTCAGTCATAGCTCACTGCAACCTCAAACTCTTAGGCTCAAGGGATCCTCTTGCCTCAGCCTCCTGAATAGCTAGGACTTACAGATAGGGTACATGCCACGATGCCTGGCTAATTTATAATTTTTTTTGTAGAGACAAAGTCTTGCTATGTTGCCTAGGCTGATCTCCAACTCCTGGCCTTAAGCAATCCTCCCAGAGTGCAAAGATTACAAAGCATGAGCCATTGCACTGAGCTGGTTTCATATTTTGGCTGTTGTGAATAGTGCTGCAGTAAACATGGGAGTGCACAGGGATTTTTCTTTTCTTTTCTTTTCTTTTCTTTTCTTTTTTTTTTTTTTTTTTTTTTTTTGAGACGGAGTCTCGCTCTGTCACCCAGGCTGGAGTGCAGTGGCGCGATCTCGGCTCGCTACAACCTCTGCCTCCTGGGTTCAAGCGATTTTCCTGCCTCAGCCTCGTGAGTAGCTGGGATTACAGGCATGCGCCACCACGCCTGGCTAATTTTTTTGTATTTTTAGTAGAGATGGGGTTTCACTGTGTTAGCCAGGATGGTCTCGATCTCCTGACCTCGTGATCCATCCACCTTGGCCTCCCAAAGTGCTGGGATTACAGGTGTGAACCACTGCGCCTGGCCCAGGGTTTTTATAACTTTTTGCATACCAGGAATCCTGGTTCTCTCAAGAACACAGGCAGGGTATGATAGAATCAGGATGTCTTGTAATTACTGATTGTAACCAACATTACACATCAGAAAGTCTAAAATAATAATGCGAATATTACTGCCACCAATATAATTACTAGGAATGTTAAATTTTTTTTTTTTTACATATTCTCTATTTCTAGCCCCCATTTAAAAGTTTTTCTGTCTCCCTTGTCTGAGCATATTGCTATTACGTAACTTTCCCTTTTGTTTTTTTTTTTTGAGACAGAGTCTCACTCTGTTGCCCAGGCTGGAGTGCAGTGGTGCGATCACAGCTCACCGCAACCTCTGCCTCTTGGGTTCAAGTGATTCTTGTGCCTCAGCCTCCTGAGTAGCTGGGGTTACTGGCACGTGCCACCATTGCCTGGCTAATTTTTGTGTTTTTAGTAGAGACGGGGTTTCGCTGTGTTGAACAGGCTGTTCTCGAACTCCTGGCCTCAAGTGATCCTCCCCCTGCCTTTGCCTCCAAAGGTGCTGGGATTACGGGCATAGTCACTGCCCCGGCTGACTTTCCCTTTTAACTGTCAATCTTAGTTTTACAGTAGGTATATATCTCATGCCTACAACCAGTCCTTATGTCATTGTCATTGTATTCTCTCTGTCTCTCGTCAGTTTGGTTGTCTGAATGAAGCTTATTCTTTAATAGATTATTGAAAAGCGGCTAATTGAAACAATATTTCTGGAGTTTTTTTTTGTTTTGTTTTTTTTTGAGACAGAGTCTTGCTCTGTTGCCCAGGCTGGAGTGCAGTGGTGCGATCTTGACTCACTACAACCTCCACCTCCTGGGTTCAAGCGATTTTTCTGCCACAGCCTCCTGAGTATCTGGGATTACAGGTGCATGCCACCACGCCCGGCTACTTTTTTGTATTTTCAGTTGAGACGGGGTTTCTCTGTGATGGCTGGGCTGGTCTCGAACTCCTGACCTCAGGTGATCTGCCTGTCTTGGCCTCCCAAAGTGCTGGGATTACAGGCGTGAGCCACTGTGCCTGGCCTAACTTTTGTATTTTTAGTAGAGATGGGGTTTCATCGTGTTGGCCAGGTTGGTCTCAATTTCCTGACTTCAAGTGATCTGCCTGTCTCGGCCTCCCAAAGTGTTGGGATTACAGGCATGAGCCACTGCGCCTGGCCTGGAGTTCTTATGTGTATGTCTTGTATGTTGTCTGTGCCTTTTATTCTTTTTTTTTTTTTGCCCCCCTTTTTATTTCCCCTTTTTGTTGAGCATGGGGTCTCGCTATATTGCCCAGGCAGGTCTCAAACTCCTGGGCTCAGGCTATCCTCCCGCCTGTGCCTCCCTAAGAGCTGGAATTATAGGCATGAGCCACCGTGCCTGGCATGTGCCCTTTAATCTTGAAGGTCACTTTGGCTGGAAGTAAAATCTTTGGTTCACATTTTCTATCCTTGAGTGTCTTAAGTTTGTTAATTCTATTGTTTCCCCCCAGTAAAACTGTTAAAATCTATTTATTTTTGAGACAGAGTCTTGCTCTTTTGCCCCGGTTGGAGTGCAGTGATGCAATCTTGGTTCACTGTAAACTCTGTCTTCCCACCTCATCCTTCCCGGTAGCTGGGACTACAGGTATATGCCACCACACCTGGCTAATTTTTGTGTTTTCTGTAGAGATGGGGTTTCACCATGTTTTTAGGCTGGTCTCCTGAGCTTGAACTCCCGAGCTTAAGTGATCTGCCCACTTTGTTGGCCTCTTAAAGTGCAGGGATTACAGAGGTGTCACCATGCCTGGCCAGCTGTTAACATCTGATGATAATTTTTTTTACCTTATAAACTGCCCAATCTTTTTGCCTACCTTCCTAAAAGATTTTTTTCTTTAAAATACAGTGTGGGGTGTGTGTGTGTGTGTGTGTGTGTGTTTGTTTGTTTGTTTGTGTGTGTGTGTTTTGAGTCGGAGTCATGTGTGTGTGTTTGTGTGTTTTGAGTCGGAGTCGTGTGTGTGTGTGTGTGTGTGTGTGTGTGTGTGTGTGTGTGTGTGTTTTGAGTCGGAGTCTTGCTCTGTTGCCCAAGCTGGAGTGCAGTGGCGCCATCTCCGCTAACCGCAATCTCCGCCTCCCAGTAGCTGGCATTACAGGTGCCCACCACTATGCCTGGCTAATTTTTGTATGTTTAGTAGAGACGGGGTTTCACCATATTGGCCAGGCTGGTCTCAAACTCTTGACCTCGTGATCTCCCCGCCTTCGCCTCCCAAAGTGTCAGGATTACAGGTGTGAGCCACTGCGCCCGGCCAAAATACAGTGGTTTTTATAGACTAGATCTTTAAAAGCATTTTGAAAATCAATGTTGGATATTTTGGAGTCATTGTACTCAGGTATATGGTGTGGTCTTTTTTTTTTTTTTTATCCACTTATCTACACACTGGTGGTGTAGTCTTTCAATATGAATTTTTAAATTTTTAAAAAATATTAAATATTTCAAGAAAGTGAATTGTTGTCTTTGGTTTTTTTGTTGGGGAGGGGAGGGAGACTATATTGCTGCATCTTTGCATATCTTCAGTACTTATCATTTTGTCTTGAATTCTTCTTTTGAGTCCTTTTTTAAAAAGCAGTGTTACGGGCCGGGTGCGGTGGCTCACGCCTGTAATCCCAGCAGTTTGGGAGGCTGAGGCCGGCGGATCACCTGAGGTCGGGAGTTCAAGACCAGCCTGACCAACATGGAGAAACCCCATCTCTACTAAAAATACAAAATTTGCTGGGTGCGGTGCATGCTTGTAATCCCAGCTACTCGGGAGAATCACCTGATCCCGGGAGGCAGAGGTTACAGTGAGCCGAGCTCACGTCGTTGCACTCCAGTCTGGGCAACAAGAGTGAAACTCTGTCTGCAAAAAAAAAAAAATCAGTGTTATTGAGGTATAATTGACATACAATACACTGTATTTATTCGAAATGTACAGGTTGCTAAGTTTTCATATCTACACTCAGGAAACCATCACAACAATCAAGATTGTGAACATGTTCATTCATTACTCCCAGAAGTTTGCTCATGCCCCATTGTAATCTTCCCTCCCTGTGTGTGCTGCCTTCCCTCCAAGCAACTTTTTGTCAATGTAGATTAGTTTGTGAGTTCTAGAATTTTATGTAAATGGAACCATACAGTATGTATTCTTTGGCTTCTTCTATTCAACATAGTTTGTATTTCTTTTTATTTCTGAGTAGATGCATCGTATGAATATGCCACAATTTTTTTTTTTTTTTTTTTTTTTTTTTGAGATGGAGTGTCGCCCTGTTGCCCAGGCTGGAATACAGTGGTATGATCTCGGCTCACTGCAACCTCTGCCTCCAGGTTCAAGCTATTCTTCCGTCTCAGCCTCCCTGGTAGCTGGGGCCACAGGCGCGCGCCACCATGCCTGGCTAGTTTTTGTATTTTTAGTAGAGACGGGGTTTTACCACATGGGCCAGGCTGACTCCTGACCTCGTAATCCACCTGCCTCGGCCTCCCAAAGTGCTGGGATTACAGGCGTGAGCCACCACACTTGGCCCAGAGTAGCTTTTCTAACTACATGGAGCACTCTCGTTGGTTTTGTGAAGTGTTTTAAGAACACGGCAGTTTGCATTCTGAAATTCCAGGCTGTGTTCTCCACTTCTGCTTTTTTTTGAACCTTGTCTTCATTTCTCTTGACTCTTTCTCCTCATTGTGGGGCTTACCTCTAGATTGGAGCACTGTTGGGTCACTTTCAAGAGCTCAAGTGAGCAAGACCTGCTTCGTCTTTTCGAACTCAGAGCAGTCTATTCACTCATTGCTAGAGTTGGCAAAATCCATCTCAGTTTCAGCTGCTGTTCTCAAATTGGTCTGCAGTGATTTCCAATGAGTACCTGTTGGCTATTTTATGATTCTCCTGTTCCTAGGCCTTTGAAATACACCTTGACTTCTCTCTGTCACAGATCCCAGTAATGTTGAGGTCATGTGACTATCAGTTTTTCCTCATCCACTTTTTGAGTCTGTGGGAATACTGTGTCAGCTAGTTTTGTTGTAAATATGGTCCACTGGTTTTTGGTTCTGCTCTCTAGTTTGGTCAGCCATAAGGTTTTAGAGAGATGAAAAACTGTAGCACCACTGCCACTTTCTTAGAATTCTGCTTTTTAGGAAAACTTTTACATCCCTGTTAAGTCACTTCCCTCATTTATAAAATGAGATAATAATAGTACCTTGAAGTGTGGGCAGGCAATACATAGGAAACTCAGCACAGTGCTTGGTATGCAGAGTAAATGCTTGATAATAATACTCGTTGTTATGTTGTTGATAATGCATATTTTGATTCTGCTTTTTTTTCCCCCTCTACAGTTTGAAGTTCTTTGTGTTCAGGTATTTTGACAAAACAGTAAGAAAATAAAAGGTGGTTTAAAAGTAGTTATCGACAACTAAGACCCGCATTATTACAAAGAAATTCTCCTTAAGCCCATGAGGCTGTTAGATCCTTTTGTGAGGTTTCTTTTATCTTTTTCTTTTCTGTTTTTTTCTGTTTTTTGTTTTTTGTTTTTTTTTGTGAGACAGAGTCTCACTCTGTCACCCAGGCTGGAGTACAGTGGTGTCTTGGCTCATTTGAACCTCTGGCTCCCGGGTTCAAGCTCCCAGGTTCAAGCGATTCTCCTGCCTCAGCCTCCCAAGTAGCTGGAACTACAGGTGCGCACCACCACGCCCAGTTAATTTTTGTATTTTTAGTAGAGATGGGGTTTCACCATGTTGGCCAGGCTGGTCTCGAACTCTTGACCTCAAGTGATCGACCCGTCTCGGCTTCCCGAAGTGCTGGGATAACAGGTGTGAGCCACCGCGCCCGGCCTCTATGGGGTTTCTTAAGAGGGAATTTTGTTTTATTTTGTCTAACGTAGTATTTCTTGAAACACTTTGAAAATTATTTCTAAAATGTCAGCCAAATACTACCTTTATGAATTTTTCCACATTCTTGTAACATCTGTACAATTACTTCTTTAATGCTTTTTTTCAGGTCAGCTGAGTTTTTTTCCCTCAAAATTTTTTTTAAGTGGAAAGACTATTACAGATAAAGGTCAAACCCTCAACCCCCAGCCCCCACCCCCCCTCCCATAACCACTGTGTTAATTTTTTTCCCTTAATCTTGCTTTGGGAAATAAGATCTGAAGCCATTGGCTTGGTATAGTGGTTACGTTTTCTGAGTCACTTTACAATCTATAAATACTAAAATTACTAAAATATGAATTATCCATGTGTCACCTAAAGTCCTCTCATGTGCTGTCATCACAGTGGTACACAGAGGAAGCACAATAGATTTTCAGTAAATATAAGTTGAATAGATGCCCTTTTGCTTCTGTATATTCCAGTGAGTGAAGTTATTAAGATATGAACATGAATAAAATTATAGTTTTCTTTTTCATCACATCATGTAAACCTGAATGGTACACTGGAAGTTAGGCACGCCAACTTTCTGAGTAGAGTTAATTTTTCTTATCTTCATTCTTTCGGGTGCCCAAATAAGCTCATGTTTTCCATGGTCGGTTTAGTTTTTACTAGTCGTTGGCTAGTTTCCTAATTGCATGTGAGTTAGCATGTGGTGATGGCGGAGTAATGTCATGTCTTGGAGAGAACATTGCTTGAGTTCCAAACTTAGCTTTTCTACTTCTTGGTGAGACTTTGGACAAATTATTTGTGAGCTTGTTTCCTCACTTAAAAAAATGGGGTTTGTACCTTTAGTTGTTTCAACTGTTGTGAGGACTTGAATAATAAAGTATATAGCTATAGATAAGAAAACTTGGGGGACAGTAAAAATTATCTGTATGCTGGGCATAAATAGAATGAATATGGCTAAAGAAACGAGTCTAAAGTACTTAATCTTGTGGAATGAACTCTGATTGGACAGTCAGGAGAGCACAAAACAGATTTAGGTTTGAATTCTGAATTTCATCACGTAGTTACTATATGACCAAGGCTGACTTCTCTCCCTTAATTTCCAGGTGTGTAAATATAGGTAATAAAGTAGGTCTATTTAAAGGGATGTTGTGGGGATTAAATGAGTTTATAAGGTGCTTAATGCAGCGACAGGCAGATAGTGAGTGTCCTGTAAGTGGGAGTTACTGTAACTAATTATTCTACTTTTAGTGATTTTCATCACTTAAGTTACTGTTGGTCACAGTTTCCTCAGATACTAAATGAGAGGCTTGTAATAGATGATCTCCAAGGTTCCTTCCAGCTTGAAAGCTTAGAGGAATCTCTGTGCTGCAGCACTGTTTGTCTGGGGGTGGTATTGTAGCAGTAGCGACTACGAGTGGGGAATGGGACATGGTGATAGTGCTTAGTGTTAAAGTGTCTGATAATAATATGAGATGTTAACTGTTCGGGAGTAATTAGTAATTGGTGAATGGTGTGGAGACATTAAAAAGTTGAGAAGCAGTTGTCTATATTGCATGAGAAAGAGCAGTCACCACTACTACTAAACTCTTTAAAGTCACAAAGAGGTTCTTAAAATATCTGTTAGTTTTACCTGTATGCACATGTGTATCTGTATCTACAGATCCACTTAGTGTCTGCCAGTGAATGTATGGAATCATAATGTTTATGGACTATTACTGTATATGACATTACTGGATACCTGTCAAAAACTTCATGTTGCTTCAAAACATCATTAGTAAGCTTCAGATCTCATTAGTAAGAAGATAAGGAATTTATAGTCCACAGAGCACCTTGCTTTCTCTCTGCTTGTAGACTAAAGGTCTTTTCCCTTTTTGATGTAGAAGTTTGTTATTCAGGATCCATAGCAAAAAACTGAATCGCTGACTAAAACTAACAGTGTAGATAATTGAGAGTGTTTACTGTTTAATTACATGTGCCTATGGAAAACATTATATGTTGAGAAATGTATTTTAGATCTTCATTTTCACCAGCTCTCTGATGTGTTCGTTTGCTTGTCTTCTCTCTGGTTTCACCCATGAGCAGTCCTGTTGATGTGTCAGGCTGCCCAGGTTTTGCATTGCTTGTAATACATGTGTGTGGAAATCTACATGTAACCACTTGCACATTCCATCCCTATCGGATACCTTGGGTAACCTATTACCTGAATATTAAATATTTTTGAGAACTCACACCATTGACTATAAAGTGAATAATAGCTAATTCAAGTCTCAAATTAGTAATGATATGAAACAGTAGTAATAATGCCCTTAGTGGTATTTTTTAAAATGTGGCATGGAAGTAGGGCTTTTTCGTTATCAGTTAACCACTTAACGCAAAAAAATAGAAAACTTTTTTGTTTTGTTTTTTTTGAGACAAGGTCTTGCTCTGTCATCCAGGCTGGAGTACAGTGGTGCCATCATGGCCCACTGCAGCCTTGACCTCCCGGGCTTAAATGATCCTCCTGCCTCAGCCCCCGCCCGCAGTAGCTGCCAGAGGCATGTGCCACCATGCCTGGCTAGAAAAATAAAAAGCTTTATTGAGAGGCTCTGTAGAGTGAAGAGCCATTTGCAGCTATAAGTGTCATAGTATCTCTCTTGTCTCTATGCTTGTAATTTGTTTGACCGTTGCTTAGAAGACAGTCATGGTTAAAACTCTACTTCTTTCAGTATAATTTACTTGTCTCTCTCGCTCTCTTTTTTTTTTTTAAGACAGAGTCTCACTCTGTCTCCCAGGCTGGAGTGCAGTGGTGCAGTCTCAGCTCACTGCAGCCTCTGCCTCCCGGTTTCGAGCGATTCTCTTGCCTCAGCCTCCTAAGTAGCTGGGATTACAGGCGCCCATCACCGCTAATTTTTGTATTTTTAGTACACCATGTTGGCCAGGCTGGCCTTCAACTCCTGACCTCAGATGATCCACCTGCCTCGGCCTCTCAGAGTGCTGGGATTACAGGCATGAGCCACTGGGCTCAGCCTTTCTTTTATTCCTAAATGGCAAATATTTAATGAACATTTATTTTGTGTCAGACATTATCAAATATTTCATATGCATAACCTGATTTAGTCTTTACAACTACTATCTGAAGTAGGTCTTTCTCTTTTTTAAAAATGAGGCTGTTGAGTCTTAGAAGGCTTAAATAATTTGTCCAAGGTTGTACAGCTAAGTAATGGAACTGGGTTTTATACTCAGGCATTCTGGCTCCAAATCCTCTTGTAATTTGCATTTTATTAATATATACCATTTGCCCCTTGTTCAGTTGTCTTACATCCTCCTCCTCTACTGTAACAGTGCCAGAATCTTTTCAAAACCACTGTTAGAATGCGGAGCTTTCAGGCCAGGTGCGGTGGCTCACGCCTGTAATCGCAGCACTTTGGGAGGCCGAGGCGGGTGGATCATCTGAGGTCAGGAGTTCGAGACTAGCCTGGCTAACATGGTGAAACCCTGCCTCTACTGAAAATAGAAAAAATTAGCTGGGCATGGTGGCAGGCGCTTTTAGTCGCAGCTGCTCGGGAGGCTGAGGCAGGAGAATCGCTGGAACGCGGGAGGCAGAGGTTGCAGTGAGCCAAGATTGCACCACCACACTCCAGCTTGGGCGAAAGGGTGAGACAGTGTCTCAGAAAAAAAAAAATTTGGAGCTTTTTGCTTTTGTTAGGACTCTTATAATCGTTATTTCTGTAATTTCTGAGATTTTTCAAGTGGCTTACCTAAGCTTGACCTCATGTACTGTGGGGTATTTTGGGGCAATTATGAGAAGGTTGAGTGTGGGTCAATAAGATAGATGACTGATGTACCCTTAACATTTGTAATTTTGACTATTTTCCAGTCACCTCAAGGAAAAAAACTTTTAAGTAATTGTAATTTTGTAGAGACATAAATTTGAAACATACAGGTGATGAGACTGATACGTGTATTTTAACTTGAAGTGACTCTAAGCTTTCTATTTAATATATGCATCTTGGATTTGTTATTCTCAGTTAAGTAAAAATCTTACCACACCAATATTGGGAGGTAGTTCTAATATTCCCATTTGTAGGTGATGAAACTGGAGAAAAATATATGCTATAGAATTTGAAATTTAAGGAAAGTGCGAGGTCTTAACATTTGTAATTTTTGCACTATTGTGTATATCTGGGAGGAAGGGGGAGAGTGAGGTAGCTTTCTATCAACTAATGGCAAAGTACGGTTGTCCCTTGTTATATGTGGGTGATTGGTTCCAGGACCTCCTTTGGACATAAAATCTGTGGATGCTCAGTCCCTGATGTAAAGTGGTATAATATTTGCATATAACCTTTGCACATCCTTGGTGCATCTCTAGATTACTTATAATACGTAATACAATATAAATGATACGTAAATAGTTTTTATACCTTATATTGTTTAGGAAGTAATGACGAGAAATGTCTCCACATTTCAGTACAATTTTTCTCAAATATTTTCTCCTTCTTTTTTTTTGAGACGGAGTCTTGCTCTGTCACCCAGGCTGGAGTGCAGCGGCGCAATCTCAGCTCACTGCAACCTCTGGCTTCCGGGTTCACGCCATTCTCCTGCCTCAGCCTCCCGCTTAGCTGGGACTACGAGCGCCTGCCACCACACCTGGATAATTTTTTAAATATTTTTAGTAAAGACTGTGTTTCACCATGTTAGCCAGGATGGTCTTGATCTCCTGACCTCATGATCCACCCACCTCTGCCCTCCAAAGTGCTGGGGCTACAGGCGTGAGCCACTGCGCCCAGCCCTTTCTCAAATATTTTCAATCTGAGGTTGGTTGGATTCGCGAATGTGGAACTCGTAGATACAGAGGGCGCACTGTATTTCTATTTAAAATTGTGCAACTAAAGGGAATTTAATATTTTTAGAGATTGTTTTATTAGGGATACTGTTGTCTATGGTGATTTCCAGGGTGGCTTTTGAGGTGGTGGCCGTTTTTGTTTCAAAGAGATTTGTTAACTGGAGACTGGTCCACCTTTTCTAGGGCTTTTGCATACTAGAGTGTGTCTTGCTGTAAGGAGCAATCTTAAATGTAGGTAGAATGTAGGCTTTTTTTTTTTTTTTTTTAAACCACCCTTACCAGTGAATACTAGTGGTGAATTTGAGATTTTCATGTTTGTAGGGTCATTGCAAGACAAGTCGTGTTTCTTTTCCTCTTGTGTAGATACTGATACTTTTCTAGTCTTGCCCTGCCTGCTTGTTCATAGTAGAGAGTTTTTGGGGATGATACCTTGTTAAGTTGTCATTCAGTTTTCTTGTAAATATTGTGTGTGGTCTTTGGTTTTGCTATGTTGCTTTTGGTAGGATATGGCTAAAATCAGTGCCATAGCCAGCATGTGGTTACTTTAAAAATTATTTCTGACAAAATATTAGATGGTTAGATGAACAGGTAAAATTTTAAAAGTAGCTTTAAAAACTTGGATTTAAAATATGGAGAATATCTTGATATATGCTTTTTCTATTTACATCTTCATTTTGGTTAAGGAGGAATTTGGTGAGAATAACTGCATTTTGAGTGTAATGGATCACACAAATTAGGTAATTCTTGTGCCTATAAATGTGGAAAACTCATGTGCAAAGATGATTGAAATTGATACTGCTTTAGATGTTTCTGTCTCATTTTACAAAAATGTAAGAAAAAAAATCAAACTATACTGTTACCTATTTCTTGTATATTCTTAACAGAATGTTCTGTACACATAAGTGTATGTGTGTTAATCCTCTTGTTAAATGCCATGAAACTTCAGTTTGCCTTTTGTTATTTTCTTTATTTAGATACCTTTTTTCTTTTTCTTTTTTTTTTTTGAGACAGTCTTGCTCTGTTGCCTAGGCAGGAGTGCAGTGGCACAACCTCAGCTCACTGCAGCCTCCACCTCCTGGTTTCAAGCAATTTTTCTGCCTCAGCCTCCCGAGTAGGTGGGATTACGGGCACGTGCCACCGTGCCCAGCTAATTTTTTTGTATTTTTAGTAGAGACAGGGTTTTGCCATGTTGGCCAGGCTGGTCTCAAACTCTTGATCCCAGTTGATCCGCCTGCCTTGGCCTCCCAAAATGCTGGGATTTCAGGCATGAACCACCGCGCCCGGGCTTGTATTTGGATATCTTACCAAAACACAAAAATTTACCTCGTTGTCTTCATGGGCTGCATAATATTTTATTGTTTTGGGTGTTCTTTATTTAACCTGTCTTCTTTGATGGTTTTTTGGGCAGTTTACAGTTACCAACCAATTCAAACAGTGCTTAAGTTAATATACTGGCACAGATGTAAGAGTGGGATTTATGGGTTCATGATTATGTACGTTACTATGTTTGACAGATACTGCCAGCTGGCTTTCCAAAAAACTTGTTCAGTATGTGCTTCTACTAGCAGTATATGAAAGTTATCTCTATATCCATGTTAGCACCAAGCATTATTCAGATTTTAAAATTATTTTTATTTTTATATTTATTTTTGAGACCGGGTCTCACTCTGGCCCAGGCTGGAGTGCAGTGGCATGATCATAGCTTACTGCAACCTCAAACTCCTAGGCTCAAGTGATTTTCCCACCTGAGCTTCCCCAGTAGCTAGGACTACAGGTATGCACCACCACACCCAGCTAATTTATTAATTTTTTTGTAGAGATGGGGTCTTGCTCAGGCTGGTTGCCCAGGCTGGTCTCAACTGAGAATTGCTGAACTCAAGCAATTCTCCCACCTTGGCCTCCCAAAGTGCTGGGATTACAGGCATGAGCCATTGTGCAGAGCCCATTATTAGGCTTTTAAATCTGAAAATCTGGTAGGTGAAAAATGCTTTATTTAATTTGCATTGTTTTATTTTGTGCTAACATCTTATAGTTTTTTTTTATTGCCACTTGTAATTTTCTATCTGATGCCTCATTGATAGAGTTGTTCCTTTTTCAGATTTTTTGGCTAGACTAAAAAAATTGCCTGTATCATTTGTTTCATTGGAGATTTGAAAGTGATAATATTCTAAATCTAGCATTGCTTTATCATTTATTAGTTGGAATCCTTGTGTATTTATTTATTCATTTTAATGAGATGGGGTCTTGCTGTGTTGCCCAGGCTGGCCTCGAAACCCTGGCCTCAAGTGATCCACCTGCCTCAACTTCCCAAACTGCGGGGATTGCAGATGTAAGCAGCCTCACCCAGTCGTAATTTTTTTTCCTCGAAATATACTCCTGGCCTGTTTATTAATAAACATGCCAAAGCAAGCCATTTAGGATATAGGAAGAAAATAAATACTGAGAGCACTCTGAGATCTCAGAAATGTCATAAAGTCCTATAAAACAGAAGGAATGAAAACACTACCCACAAGATCTAAGATTGCTCTCTGCTATCTTTTTTTGAGACAGAGTCTCTCTCTGTTGCCCAGGGTGGAGTGCAGTGACTTGATCTCAGCTCACTGCCACCTCTGCCTCCCTGGTTCAAGCAGTTCTCCTGCCTCAGCCTCCTGAGTAGCTGGGATTACAGGTGTGTATCATGCCCAGCTGATTTTTACATTTTTAGTAGAGACAGGGTTTTGCCATGTTGGCCATGCTGGTCTTGAACTCCTGGCCTCAAGTAATCCACCCGCGTTGGCCTCCCAAAGTTGGGATTACAGGCATGAGCCACCGTGCCCAGCCTACTGTCTTTTTTTTTTTTTTTTTAGGGTCTCGCTCTGTCGCCCAGGCTGGAGTGCAGTGGCATGATCTCGGCTCACTGCAACCTCTGCCTCCCTGGTTCGAGCGATTCTTCTACCTCAGCCTCTCGATTAGCTGGCACTACAGGCGTGTGCCACCATGCCCAGCTTTTTTTTTTTTTTTTGAGACGGAGTTTCGCTGTGTCGCCCAGACTGGAGTGCAGTGGCGCCATCTCGGCTCACTGCAAGCTCCACCCCCTGGGTTCATGCCATTGTCCTGCCTTATCCTCCTGAGTAGCTGGGACTACAGGCTCCCGCCACCATGCCCGATTAATTTTTTTGTGTGTTTAGTAGAGACGGGGTTTCACCATGTTAGCCAGGACGGTCTCGATCTCCTGACCTCGTGATCTACCTGCTTTGGCCTCCCAAAGTGCTGGGATTACAGACGTGAACTACTGCACCCGCCCTGTTTTTTTGAGTAGAGACAGGGTTTCACCATGTTATCCAGGCTGGTCTCGAACTCCTGACCTCAAGTATCTGCCTGCTTCGGCCTCCCAAAGTGCTGGGAATACAGGTGTGAGCCACCATGCCTGGCCTCTACTATCTGAAACATAGTTTTAAATGACATATTTTAATCTAAATATAAATAAAACATTTAATTTGACCAATGCTGTTTAATTAAGCTAATAATAACCCTTGACAATAAATTAGATCTGAAATTATTTGAAGATGTGTGAGATTCTTTGAGATGTGGGAGTTTTTTTTCCACATTTTCCTTTAATTCTATAATATTCTCGTTCACTTTTTTTTTTCAATGCCTTATAGCAGTGGTTCTAAACCAGGGCTGACAATGTCTAGAGATGTTTTTGGTTGCTACAGTTTGGGGGCATGCTGCCGGCATCTAGTGGGGTAGAGGGCAGGGATGCCTCCAAACATCCTATATTGCTTAGGACACTCCCCAGCAATGAAGAATTGTCTGGCCCCAAATGTCAGTAGTGTCAAGGTTGAGAGACTGCTTTATAGGAGAAAGCATACCTGAAGATTTTAAAAGTGTCTTGAAGTTTTCTTCTAGGACCTCTGAAATTTAAAAAAATGGTAAGACCACCAATTAAGGTCTTTAACCAAGTCTTAGTTTTACCTATCAGAATTCTATTTGAGACGGTAAAGTATAATTTTGAGAAATAAATAATATGAATGTCCTAGATGTTTTTGTGTTTATTTAAATATGGTGTCTGTTAACTAGCTTTATTGGTTCATTGTTTATTTTTATTATTTTTTTTTTTTAATACAGAGTCTCACTCTGTCACCCATTCTGTTAACTGGCTTTACTGGTTCATTGTTTCTTTTTTTTTTTTTTTTTTTTTTAAATACAGAGTCTCACTCTGTCGCCCAGGCTGGAGTTCAGTGGCTCACTGAAACCTCCACCTCCCACTGAAACCTCCACCTCCCGGGTTCAAGAGATTTTCATGCTTCAGCCACCCGAGTAGCTGGGATTACAGGCATGTGTCACCACATCTAGCTAATTTTTGTATTTTTAGTACAGATAGGGTTTTGTCATGTTGCCCAGGCTGGTCCTGAACTCCTGAGCTCAAGTGATCTGCTTGCTTTGGCCTCCCAGTGCTGGGATTAATAGAGAATGGGATATGGCCTATGTTGCTTAGGCTGGTCCCAAGCTCTGGGCACAAGCTATTTACCACCTCAGCCTCACAAAGTGCTGGGATTACAGACATCAGCCACTGTGCCCAGCCAGGTCATTCTTCATATCTGTGGGGAGAGAGCCTTCAATTCCTCACTTTCTTGATGGATTAGTAGCCTCATGGCTTCATTAACCACAGGTAACCATAGAGGTATACCTAACCTTTAGTTTCCCATAAATTCTGCCTGTTGTAGCCTGGAAGCTGTGTGTATTTTACAGTCCAGGTCACAGGCCACTGCTGATACACCAACCAGTCTTCAGTGACAGCAGTGCTGACCACTTCCCCCACCCCCAATTAGCACCCAAAGGAGCTAGCTGCCCTAGCCACTGGTGGGTCCCCTGCATGCTGTCCTTGAAAGGGAAGAGTTAGATATATTGAGTC
This sequence comes from Homo sapiens, assembly GCF_000001405.40. Classification (NCBI taxonomy): domain Eukaryota; kingdom Metazoa; phylum Chordata; class Mammalia; order Primates; family Hominidae; genus Homo; species Homo sapiens. The sequence continues at coordinate 73,017,549 of NC_000003.12, forward strand.
TAGAAAGAGTGAGAGAGAAAGAGATTGGTTATTTCTGTCATCTTTCAGAATTAAGTGTATGTTAAAGTGAGGACTCTGTTCCTTATGTATGCATCATATATATGCATTTTGGAAACTCTTGACAAAGTTGGAAGAACTTTGGAAGAAGCTGGAAGTGTGGAGAAGTCTACTAAATCCATACCAGCTTTTTTTTTTTGAGATGGAGTCTTGCTCTGTCGCCCAGGCTGGAGTGTAGTGGCTCAGTCTTGGCTTACTATAACCTCCACCTCCTGGGTTCTAGCAATTCTCCCTGCTTCAGCCTTCCGTGTAGCTGGGATTACAGGCGACCACCACCACACCCGGCTAATTTTTGTATTTTTAGTAGAGACAGGGTTTCACCATGTTGGCCAGGCTCATACCAGCATGTTTTAATGCAACTATTAACAATATTTTGTTACTGTATGGTAGAGATGGTAAACTGGCTGGGACACTGGGCGTGCAGATACAGACCAGGTTGGTTTTGGGGAAACTAGGAGGTATGGTCACTCTATTTTGTTTCTTTGATGTCCTTTGTACATCATTCCTAGTTAATATATTTCTTATATTTTTATCCTATCTTTCTTATACTTTTAGCCAGGCAGATATACACTTGACCCTTACACAACACAGGTTTCAACTGTGGGGGTCAACTTAAACATAGATTGAAAGTACAATATTTGTAGGATGTGTGAAACCTGCCTACACAATGGACTGCTTTTTTTGTATTCGTGGGTTCTACAGGGTTGACAGCGGGATTTAAGTATGTGCAGATTTTGGTATACACAGGAGTCTTGGAACCAGTTCCTAAAGTATACCAAGGGATGACTCTGCTGTCATAGTCGTTATGTTATGTTATGTTATGTTATGTTATGTTATGTTATGTTATTTATGTTATGTTAGTATCCGAAACAGGGTCTTGCTCTGTTGCCCAGGCTGGAGTGCAGTGATGTGTCCATGGCTCATGGCAGCCTCAACCACCCGGGCACAAGCAGTTCTCCCACCCCAGCCTCCCATGTAGTGTCTTGGTCTTTAAAATTTTTTCTTCACCTAGGTTCTTCTTACCTTTCCAGTCTTCTCTTTCCACCATTTGTAACTTTTTCACATTACTTGAAGTTCACTGAATATGCAGTGTTCTACTGTGCTGGTGTTAAATTCTCATAGCACTTTGTTGTTAATTGCCTCATATGTTCTTCCTTATGGGATACCTTCAACTTGTCTTTTAAGACTGTTCAGATGGCCCCCATTCAAATATATATTATTTACTGAGAAGTTTTCTTGGATCTCCTTTTCTCAATAAAAACTGCCATATTTCTGACATGTATCAATTGCATTTTCTGTTATAGCTGTTTGCTTACTAGTCTGTTTCTACTTGTGGTTCTGTAAGTTTTGAGGGGGCTGAACTTATGTTACTCAGAATGTGTCACACAGTAGGAGCTGGGTTAGATAAATGAATAGAGATATGTACCATATAATGACATTTTAGTCATCGATGGACCACATATATGATGGTGGTCCTATAATAGTATAATGCCGTATTTTTACTGTACTTTTTCTATTTTACCTATGTTCAGACATACGAATACTTACCATTACAGGTTTGCAGGCTAGGAGCAATAAGCCATATACCATATAGTCTAGGTGTATAGTAGACTATACCATGTGGGTTTGTGTAAGTGCACTCTGTGATGTTCACACATTGGAATCATCTGATGACACATTTCTCAGAACATACCCTCGTCATTAAAAGATACATCACTGTAGATGAAAAACAGAACACTGTCTTCATCTACAAAGGAACTATTATTTTATTTATTTATTTATTTTTGGGACGGAGTCTTACTCTGTTGCCCAGGCTGGAGTGCAGTGGTGTGATCTCAGCTCACTGCAACCTCCTCCTCCTGGGTTCAAGTGATTCTCCTGCCTCAGCCTCCCTAGTAGCTGGGATTATAGGCATGTGCCACCACACCCGGCTAATTTTTGTATTTTTAGTAGAGACGGGGTTTTGCCATGTTGGCTAGGCTGGTCTCGAACTCCTGACCTCAGATGATCTGCTCCCTTTGGCTTCCCAAAGTGCTGGGATTACAGGTGTGAGCAACCATGCCCGGCCCCTAGAAGCTATTATTTGTAACTTTAGAAAATAATAGAAATTATTATTGGGATTGGAGTCATGAGTGTGAGTGGGTGAAAGTGTATTCTGAGTGAAGTATACTTGCTCTCTCTCTTCTCTCCCAATTTCCATATGTCCAGATTCTGTCTATTTGTCCACTTGGCTCTTGTCTGAGAGCTTCCCAGATTTTCCTAGAATATAATAGCCTTGCCATTTACAATTTTGTCTTATTTTCCACTCTATATTAGGGGTATTTTGTTATAAATATTATTCTGCCAAGGTGTAGGCTTCTTCTAGAGGGCATAATTTGGTTGTTTTATCATTATTTCCTTCTGCATCATATGTCACGATTTCTTCAAAATACAAATTTACTGTCTTAGCTTGGGATGCTATAACAAAATACCATTGACTTGGTGACTTAATAGAAATTTATTTCCTCATGGTTTTGGAGGCTGGCAGTCTAAGATAAGTGTGCCAGCATAGTCAGGTTATGTGGTAAGGCTTTCTTCCTGGCCCTGTTTTTTTGTTTCATTTGTTTTTGAGACAGGGTCTTGTTCCATCACCCAGGTTGGAGTGTAGTGGTGGGACAATAGCTCACTGTAGTCCTAGGCTCAAGCAGTCCTCCTGTCCTCAGCCTCCTGAGTAGCTGAGACTACAAGCACACATCCCCACGCCTGGCTTATATTTTAAAAACATTATTTTGGCCAGTTGTGGTGGGTGGCTCACGCCTGTAATCCCAACACTTTGGGAGGCAGAGTCAGGCGGATCGCTTGAGCCCAGGAGTTTTGAGACCAGCCTGGGTAACATAACATGCTGAAACCCTGTCACTACAAAGAAATGCAAAAATATAGCTGGGTGTGGTGGTGTGTGCCTGTAGTCTCAGCTACTCAGGAGGCTGAGGTGGGAGGATCACTTGAGCCTGGGAGGTCAGGGATGCATGGGGCCAAGATGGCACCACTGCACTCCAGCCTGGGCCACAGAGTGAGACCCTGTCTCTTTAAAAAAAAAAAAAAAAAAAGTTAAAAAACTTTTTTTGTAGAGACAGGGTGTTGCTGTGTTGCCCAGGCTGGTCTTGAGCTCTTGTGCTGAAACAGTCCTCTCACCTTGGCCTCCTAAAGTGCTGGGATTATAGGTGTGATCTACCGTGCCTGGTGTTTCTGGCATAATTGGTGTGTCCTCACATGGTGGAGAGAGTATAAGTTCTCAGGTGTCTTCTTATAAGGGTCCTAATCCGATTATGAGGGCTCCTCCTAAAGGCTTGGGCTCCAAGTACTATCATATTAGGAGGTGGGTTTCAACACATGAATTTTAGTGGTGTGGGGCAGGCGGGTAAGGGCACACATTTGGTATGTAACACTTGTCAAAGATTTGTGCATTAGTCTATGTTGCTTAATGTTTACTGGTTAAATTCAGGTATGGATTGCTTTATGCAGATATGTTTTTGAAAATTATGTTAACTAAGTTGTGTGTAGTAAATGTTTTAAGTGAACTCATATAGCTCACTTAAAAAGAGTAGGAAGGAGAAGGGGCTTGGATTCATTTTATTTCATTAAAAAAAAATTTTTTTTTTTTTTTTTGTAACAGGATCTTACTGTTTCACCCAGGCTGGGGGTGCAGTGGCAAGATCACTACTCACTGTAGCCTCAATCTCCCTGGCTCAGGTGATCCTCCCGCCTCAGCCTCCTGAGTAGCTGGGACTACAGATTTGCAACACCATGCCTGGCTAATTTTTATATATTTTTTTGTGGAGATAGGGTTTTGCCCTTTTGCCCAGGCTGGTCTCAAATTCCTGGGCTGAAGCCTTCCTCCCACCTCTGACTCCAGAGTGTTAGGATTACAAGCATAAGCCATCACGCCCAGCCTGGAATTTATTAAATGTATACCATGTGACAGGTTAGATACTTTCAACATAAATTAGGAAAAAAATACTGGTGTGAATTTTCTCAAAGGGGAAGCTCTGTTTATCACAGTATTTGTGTAATTCCTGATTTTACATTGTTTGCTCACATTCCTTCTCATGTTTATTAAGGTATCACTTAAGTCAACAAATATTTATTGAGTATATATTCTGTTCCAAGTACTGCGCTAGGTATTGCGGGTGCTGTGGTGAGCAAACCACAGTATCTGGTAGTAATTTTAAAAATTACTTTAACAGTGAAGTATTACATTTCTATATGTGTGTGTGTGTGTGTGTGTGTGTGTGTGTGTATATATGCATATATATATATTTTTTTTTTTTTTTTGAAACAATCTCGCTCTGTTGTTCAGGTTGGAGTGCAGTGGCACAGTCTTGGCTCACTGTAGCCTCCGCTTCCCAGGTTCAAGTGATTCTCCTGCCTTAGGTTCCCAAGTAGCTGGGTCTAGAGGTGCCTGCCACCACTTCTGGGTAGTTTTTGTATTTTTGGTGGAGATGGAGTTTCACCATGTTGGCCAGGCTGGTCTCGAACTCCTGACTTCAAGTGGTTTGCTCTCCTTGGCCTCCTAAAGTGCTGTGATTACAGGCACGAACCACTGCGCCCAGCCTGTTTCTTTTAATATTTTGCTTATTGCTTTTATCAGCATTGGCCTGTACAAAATACATTAACTTCATTTTAAAAATTAGGCCTGGAGGAAATCTTTTATAAATGTAGCCCTTTAAGAGAGTAATTTTTTTCAGTTGATTTTTAAATAAGCTTAGGTTAGGGGCCTAAGACTGATGAGGTATATAGAAGGTCAACAAACAATTATTACTTTTGTTATGCATTGAAAAGTTTTAGTTACAAGGTGAAAGTTACAGTGTCAAGTGATAGAAGCCTCATAATGTGTGAAGTGCTTAGTTCATAATGTGAGAGAGCTTGGTTAGATTAGATGGGAATAAAATTGAAATTTAAATTTTTTCCTTTAGAATTTTTTCTGTTACATATGTAAATTCCAAAGATTTTGACACAATTACAAACTTCAGTAAAATGAAGTTTAATCCTATAATATCTTTGCTACCAAGTTTAAGAACGTCAATAAATATCATCATTATGTTTTTCTCCACATTTTAATATCTCTGAAATTGGAAAGTCTTTGAAACATCAATAGCGACCTAGAATTGCAGCTTGCCGCATTTCTTTTTTTTTTTTTTTTTTAAACAATGCAGTCTTACAGTTGATGCTGACTTATATTTAATGGATACAATATTAATAACTCTTGGAAGCCTTAGGATATTGGATAGTACAAGCAACTTGGAAGAGACATTCACTCTTGAAGGAAAGACTTCTGAGTATTCAGTGTAAATAGGCTGATTTAAATAATGGTGTGTTTCAGGTAAGAAAATGTTTTAAGAGACAGTTTAGTATGTTGCTTTTATATTTAGTTGGTATTGTTTGCTCAGAAGTTCAGATCATTATGAGGATTTGTGGGTAAAATTGCATCCTTACTTTGTGACTGTTTAAGAGATTTTGCCTTTTTAAAATTGTTAATGGAACAATACAAAAACTTTAAATTATGGAATCATTATGGAGTGAGGTTTCTTTTCTTTTCCTTTTTTTTGTTTTTTTTTTGAGATGGAATTTCGCTCTTGTTGCCCTGACTGGAGTGCAATGGCGCGATCTCAACCTCTGCTCACTGCAACCTCTGCCTCCTGGGTTCAAGCAATTCTGCCTCAGCCTCCCGAGTAGCTCAGATTACGGGCATGCGCCACCATGCCTGGCTAATTTTGTATTTTTAGTAGAGACAGGGTTTCTCCATGTTGGTCAGGCTGGCCTGGAACTGCTGACCTCAGGTGATCCACCCGCCTTGGCCTCACAAAGTGCTGGGATTAGAGGCATGAGCCACAGTGCCTGGCCAGAATAAGATTTCTTTAATGTGCCCTTTTTAAAAATCACTGAATTTGGTATTGAGATGAGGCATAAGGTGTTAAAAAACACAGCTGCATATTTAAAATATGTTTTTTATTACAAAAGTAGGAAACCTTGTTTAAAACAATTTAAACAGTGCAGTAGTTCATCAAAGGAAGACATGACAGTCCCTCCATTTCTATCCGATGTAATATAGCATATTAATTTAGAATATACTTAATATTTATGTGCATTCAGTAAAATAAAAAATGGAAGTGGACCATTTAGTAAGTTGCTTTTTAAAAAGTCACCGTGAAAAATGAAAGTATACTTGAGCAAACCTTTGTATGTTAAGGAATTAAATTCAGATTTTTCAGGTATAATATACTTGGAAGAGAAATGCCAGAAGCCACTTAAAAGAATAATTTGGATTACCTTTGCTTTTTGATATTCAGTTTGAATGTTTTTGTTTCTGAATTACAAAGTTTCATCATTAGTAGCTTAATTTTTCTTAATTTGTATTTTCACTAAGCATTTACCTTTTTAATACTTTTAAAAGGTAAAAAGCTTATATTAAAAATAAAATAGATTTTATAGATATGATTGGCTGAAATGAACAGCCTTTTTCAGACTAGAAACTTAAATTCATAAATATATACATAATAAATTCAGATCTAATTTCTAATGTAGGAAAATCAGTGTTTGGGTCTGATGCAGGAACATTTATATATTTTGAAGATCTATGATACTTATATTGGAAAAAGGTAAAATTCACCAATTTATAATCAAGGGTAGAAAGGAAAATTTATCAAACTAAAATCAAGGGATAAATTTCTAGGAAGAAAGGAAAATAGCAATAAAGTTACTTTATTGGTAGTGATCTGTCTTAGGAGGATTGTCAATGTGTATAACAACATAGAGGATCTTGTACATTCTGTAGGGTTACCTGCGGAGAACCAAACTAAAACCTAAATTCTCTGAATATTTTGGTGGATCTTAAGGTGTTGGGTAGTCTGCTGGACTCAGTGTTTTAAATGGTTCATTTGGGAATGTCCACCCAGATTTGAATTAATTTAGTAGTCTCACAGCATTTTAAATATTAAATGGTAAATAAACTTCTAAATTATAATTTGAAAGCCCAAAGGAGTTTCTTTTCTCTCTCCTTCCTTCCTGCCTCCCTCCCTCCTTCTCCTTTCCTTTCCTTTCCCTTTGTTTTTTTCTTCACAGCTCAGATTTCTGCTTTTAAGCTAAAGCATTTAAGATTTAGTCCCAAAATAATACTTGGCTTTTTGAAAGCATCAAATTCATTTAAAAATTTTTGCTTCCAAGCAGCACAACTGATTGTGGTTCACGTAAGCCCAAAAGAAAACTAGAAAAGAAGGGAAAGAAATATTTATTAGAAGGATATTGAAATAACACTTAGAAACAAGGGTTGAGCTACACTACCAAGCCAAAGGGTATGAGGATGGAGCCCAGGGACCTCAGCAGCAGAAGTTGTTAGACTTGTTCTTCAGGTTCTAGCAAAGGACTGAGTTCCAGTCTTGGTGTCTTCCATATTTCACATTTTTGGAGGAAAATAATCTGATTGGCCTGGCCCTGGTCAGGTGGGGTGATGAGAGAAACAGAGCTGGCTACTGGAGGCCCATCCTTGTGTATTCAGTACCTTTTAAAGAAAATGGGAACCATGAGCTGGGGAGCTGACTCATTAGTATGTGCTATAACCAGCATATATGTGTATACAGTACCTGCAATTCATCATATTGGTAAAATATGTTAAAATTATTATCTTAAAACTGTTGTGAAGGTTATAATGGCAACTTACTGTGTCAGTGGGAATCACCTTCTGACCTTTAAGGGTCCAGATAAATTTAGCACTGACCCTTGTTCTATTATTGTGAGACGTTTATTGTTCTTACTAAGATCTTTGAATTGTTGAAATGCTTATATTTCTTGATACTGTAGCTTCTGTTAGCCTAGTATCATGGAACCTCATCTTTATAAGGAAAAAAAGACGTAGAACTGGTGATTATGGTCTGGGGAAGAATATAATAGTTGCTTTAAGGAAGTTATAAACAAAGTGCTTTGGGAGCAGTAACTTAAAAAGTTTATTTCTGACAAGGAATATTTAGCAGTGCATCATGGTGCAAGGAGGCATTTCAACTTAGTCTGGGCAGAGGGAACAGTGAGCAAAGGAATAGTAAAGTTCAGAGCTGTGGAGGAAGAATTAGGATAGATTAGAAAGGGTCTTGCTAATGCATAGAATTTTGGCTTTAGAAAGACATTAGAAATTAATGAAGGCTTTTGAGCAGAGAAAAGATAAATCAGAGCTTTGCCTTGGAGAAATTGAGTCTAATTCAAAGGAATTAGGGAAATCACTCAGGAGATGATTATGGTATTTAAGCTAGAGGAGATGAGAATTTGTAATGGTGCAGCATTAGTGGGAATGAACATGAGGGTTCACAGACAACATTAGGTTATGGATCTGTAGATAATATCTGTTCATCATTCTCACCTTGCCTGGGTTTTTATAGGTTTCCTAACTTGATTTTGCTTGCCCTTTCTAGTCTTGTCTAATATATGCTATTAGTAGTAGTCATGCTACAATATAAGTATGTTATTCCCATGATTAAAATCTTTCTGCACCTTCTCCCTTGCTCAAGTTAAAGTTCTTATGAGATTTAAGGCATAAATAAATAATTGTAGCTCTATTTAATTTGATATTTTTCTATTTGTTCCCTGTGTTTTTCTTTTCTCCTAAATTACTCAATTCTCTAGTAAATTCGTACTGCCTCGTCCCAGTGACTTTGTACATATTGTTCCCTTTGCTGGAACAAAGACCTTACTTTTCCTTTGTGTACATTTTTTCTCCCTCTTCTGTGTTGCTCTTGACTTTGTGCTCATTTTAAAAGATACATGCAAGGGGTCATCTCTTCTAGAAAACCTCCATTGACCCTGAATTAGATGTGACTCAGCCCACTTCTATCATCATATATAAAATTTGCCGTGCCATTATTTTTTGTTTAGAGTGAGTTCCCTGAGGACAACTAAATTCTTTATATATCTTTTCTTACCACATAATAGCTTAGGGATGCATATTTGCATTAAATGTTTTTTGGCCTATACCGAGCTTATACAGCCCGCAGGCTGCATGCAGCCCAGGGCAGCTTTGAATGTGACCCAACACAAATTCATAAACTTTCTTGAAACATTATGAGATTTTTGCGATTTTTTTTTAAAAAAAGCACATCAGCTATCATTAGTGTTAGTGTTAGTGTATTTTATGTGCAGCCTAAGACAATTTCTCTTCCAGTGTGACCCAGGGAAGCCAAAACATTGGACAATCCTGGCCTATACTGTTCCTGTAACTAGATGTCATGATGTAATTAGAGTATGGATTCTGAAGCCATAAAGCCTGGGTTGAAATCCCAGCCCTGTTACTTATTACCTGTGCAATTATGGGCAGTTTATTTAACCTGTTTCGAAGTTGTCTTATTGATAATAAAATGCGGAGAGTAGTACCACCCAACTCATACATATGCTTCTGAAGATTGAGTTAATATGTCCAAAGTGCTTAGAACAGTACCTGGCATTTGTGATTATGTATGTGCTTGCTATTTTTATTATGCATTACAGTTCAAATATGAATCTATTCCCCTGTTTTTTTGTTTTTGAGACAGAGTCTTGCTCTGTCACCAGGTTGGTGTGCAGTGGCATGATCTCAGCTCACTGAACCTCCACCTCCCAGGTTGAAGCTCTTCCCCTGCCTCAGCCTCCCAAGTAGCTGGGACTACAGGCGTGCGCCACCATTGCCTGGCTAATTTTTTGCATTTTAGTAGAGACGGGGTTTCACCATGTTGGCCAGGGTGATCTCAATCTCCTGACCTCATGATCCGCCAGCCTTGGCCTCCTAAAGTGCTGGGATTACAGGCGTGAGCCCCGCTCCCAGCTATTCCCCTATTAATTGCCAAAGCAGTTCTACACATAATTCCCAGATCTGCTTGGAAGGTGGCATTTTTTCTACCTGATTTGTTTTTTCTACTGTAGATGGTTTGTAGACATTATTCCCACAGAGTGGGCTTCAGGATATTCATTTATTCAATCACCAGATAATTATTGAGTGCCTACTATTTGCCAGACTTTGTATTTGTTTTATATATATGAATAAATTCTTGGTACTTGTGAGGTGTGTGTGTGTGTGTGTGTGTGTGTTTGTGTGTGTGAATAAATATGTGAGCAGACAGTAGATAAATAAATTATATATTATGTTACTGGATAGTAAGGGCAATGCAAAAATAAGAAAAAGGGTAAGGGAAATGAGGGTTAAGAGTGGAGAATGTTACAGCTCTTTTAGAATTTGTCTAGTAGGCTTTCTGGGAGGTCTTTACCAGAAAGCCTCCCCACCGCTCCCCTCAAACTCCCATGTTAAAAAAAACTTTTTTTTTTTTTTATGAGTGAATAGGTAGTTGGATTTTTTTTTTTTTTTTAAGAGACGGGGTGGGCTGGGCACTAGTGAGTCACGCCTCTAATTCCAGCACTTTAGGAGGCTGAGGCAGGTGGATCACCTGAGGTCAGGAGTTTGAGACCAGCCTGGCCAACATGGTGAAACCTCATCTCTACTAAAAATACAAAAATTAGCCAGGCGTGGTGGCACACGCCTGTCATCCTAGCTACTCAGGAAGCTGAGGCAGGAGAATAGCTTGAACCCAGGAGGTGGAGGTTGCAGTGAGCTGAGATCACACCACCATATTCCAGCCTGGGTGTCAGAGCAAGACTCCGTCTCAAAAAAAAAAAAAAAAAAAGACGGGGTCTTACTCAGCCTCCCAAAGGCTGGGATTACAGGTGTGAGCCACCATGCCTGGCCCAGGTAGTTGGAATTTTAAATAAGATGGTCAGGGGAAGTCTCATTTAGAAGGTGACATTTGATCGAGGCCCAAGAATAAGGGAGTCAGCCGTGCAATATATAGAAGATAAATCCAGGTAGAAGACTTTTTTTGTTTTTGAGATGGAGTCTCGCTCTTCCACCAGGCTCGAGTGCAGTGGTGCAATCTGTGCCTCCTGGTTTCAAGCAATTCCCCTGCCTCAGCCTCCCGAGTAGCTGGGACTACAGATGCGCGCCACCATGCCCAGCTAATTGTTGTATTTTTGGTAGAGACGGAGTTTCACCATGTTGACCAGGATGGTTTGATCTCCTGACCTCGTGATCCGCCCGCCTAGGCCTCCCAAAGTGCTGGGATTACAGGCACTTTTGTGAGCCACTGCGCCCGGCCAAGGTAGAAGAATCTTTCAGTGCAAAAGCCTTAAGTAGGACTAGTGTGTCTAGCCCTTTCACAGACTAACAAGGAGGCCACTGTGGCTGAAGTAGACTGATCAAGGAGAGGAGGAGGTAAAGGGAATGGGGGAAATATAATGTAGGGCAATGTGGAGCACTGTAAAGGCTTTGGCCTTTGAGTGAAATCCAGAGCCGTCGCAGTTTTTTGTTGTTGTTTTTTTGAGACAGTCTCACTCTGTCATGCAGTGTGAGTGCAGTGATGTGATCATGGCTCACTGCAGCCTCGAACTCCTGGGCTCAAGCAGTCCTCCTTCCTCAGTCTCCTGAGTAGCTGAGACTACAGGCTTGCACCGCCATGCCTGGCAAATTTTTAATTTTTTTGTAGAGACAGGATCTTGTTGCCCAGGCTGGTTTTGAACCCCTGGATGCAAACAATCCTCCCACCTTGTCCTCCCAAAGTGTTGGGATTACAGGCGTGAGCCACTTCGCCTGGCTAGTATTACAGAGTTTTGAGCAGAGAAGTGACACTATCAGACTTAAGCATTAAAAGAATTGTCCAATGAATGGCTGTGCTGAAAATATATTTGAGGTAAAGTAAGCTAGAGGCAGGGGTATTGAAATCAGGCTAAGAGATGTTTGTGGTTTGAATTAAGTGGTAGCAGGAGGTGTTAAGAATTAGTCACATTGTGTATGTATTTTGAAGGTACAACCAACAGGATTTCCAGGCAAGATAGAGTGTGATGTGAAAAAGAAAGAAAGGAGTCAGTAGTGACTCAGGAGTTTGTCTGAGCATCCGAAGTGTGGAATTTCATCACATCTGAGAGGTGAAAGGCTGTAGGAGGAGCAATATGTGGGAAAGATCAGAAGTTCAGTTTTGGACATGCCAAATATTACTTGGCCAAATGGTTGGGTGGATGATTGGGGATCAGGAGTCATCCTGATAAAATTGGCATGCAGATAGTATTAAAAACTCCAGACTGGATGAGATCACCAAGTGTAGATAGAAAAGAGAGACTGAATTGTGAGTGCTCCAGCATTAAGCAGTTTGGGAAACCAGAAAAGGAAAATGAACAAGAAAGATAAAAGGAAACCCAGGAAAGTAATTAAGGAGGAGTGATCAACTGTAAAATATTGTTAGTGAGACATTTAAGAAAATTGTCCACTAACCAGTGGATTTAGCAATTGGAGTTCGTTGGTGATCTTGATAAATGCAGATTAGGTTTAGTGGTGGGACAGAAAGCTTGGAGTAGATTTGAGAGATAATGGGAGGGAGACAGCTGTTTTAAGGACTTTTATTACAAAGCACAGCAAATTTTTAAATGGTATTGGAACTGGGAGGGTAAGTGGAATAAAGAATAAATTTTAAAAGGGAGAAATATCAGTGTATTTATATTTGTATGCTGGTGGGAATGATCCATTATTAGCAAATAAAAAGTTGATGTAGATGATAGGAGAAAGGGGAGAATTGCTCAAGTGATGCTCTTGAGTAGGTGATCAAATGGCAAATGTGGTATATAAATAGACCAGAGCATGGATAGTTCCATCTATGATAACAGGTGGGAGTTCAGGGTGTGTACATGTACATGACAGTAGGTAACTGGTGGGACCCTGGAAATTCCCTATTGTTTTCAGTTTTATAAGTGCAACAAGAAGCAAGGTCATTGAGTGTGAGGGAGGGAAAACTCAATGTAGGGTTGAGGTGAGAAGATATGAAATAGTTACTGGGAGAGTCAGAGAATGAAATAGACTGGGGATAATGTCTGGTAGCATTTGTAGCGTACTCAAGATCAGCCAGCATGGTTGTGGATTTTTCTTTGTCTTTGCTTTCTTCCCTATGTAGGCACAGATTTGGTGGGGATTACGTTGATTTTTTTTTTTTTTTAATTACAGTGAAGCCAGAGAAGGGCTAGAGAACCAACTATATCTGAGGGAGTGATTATATTTTTTTTTCTCTTTCCTCTTTTTTTCTTTTTTTGAGATGGAGTCTCACTCTGTTGCCCAGGCCGGAGTGCAGTGGCGTGATCTCAGTCACTGCATCCTACGCCTCCCGGATTCAAGCAATTATCCTGCCTCAGCCTCCTGAGTAGCTGGGATTACAAGCACGCGCCACCATGCCTGGCTAATTTTTGTATTTTTAGTAGAGACGGGGTTTCACCATGTTGAGCAGGCTGGTCTCGAACTCCTGAGCTCAGGTGATCTGCCCGCCTCGGCCTCCCAAAATGCTGGGGTTACATGTGTGAGCCACCGCACTGGGCCAGATTATAATTTTTACAGTTGAAGCTGGGTAATGAAGGGAGAGAGGTTGTCAGAGGGTTGAGGGACAGTAAAAAGGTAATAGAATCAATGGATAGGAAATCCTGGTGGAGTCAAAATTTTTGGAGTAAGTATAACATATGTAAATGTCTTTTAGCTCATCAAGAACTATAAAAATGTAGCTAAGGTTTGACAAAGCTAAGTGATACACCTCTTCTCTATACTTTTCTGTTAGTTGACATATTTCATTTATTTTTATGGCTGGGCGCGGTGGTTCACGCTTGTAATCCCGGCACTTTGGGAGGCCAAGGCAGGTGGATCACCTGAGGCCAGGAGTTCGAGACCAGCCTGGCCAACATGGTGAAACCCTGTCTCTGCTAATAATACAAAAAGAATTAGCTGGACATGGTGGCATGCACCTGTAATCCCAGCTACTCGGGAGGCTGAGGCAGGAGAACCACTTGAACCAGGAGGTGGAGGTTGTAGTGAGCCGAGATTGTGTCATGGCACTCCACCCTGGGCAACAGAGTGAAACTGTGTCTCAAAAAAGAAAAGAAAAAAAGAAAGAAATATTTCATTTATTTTTAAAAAACAAGCAGTTTTGTGATGGGTGGAAAAGCAACGTTGGGTGGAGACTTTATCCTCTCTGATGAAAGAGGATATTTAAAGTGCCTTTAGAAGTATTTCTAGGCCAGAGAGAATGCCAATATAAGCCCAAGCATCTTACTGTGGTCTAACACAGGTCTTTCTCACTGTTGCAGTCTTCCTTACTTAATGCCATCTCAGAACACTACCCTCATACCCAAAGCTGTCTGCATATATCTACTGTATTACTCAGATGTTCTCCCCATCCTGAGTTTCTTGAGGAATAACGACCATTGGGTGCTTACTAGGTGTCAGCCATTTTGCTAAGCACTTTGCTTACACTAATGTTAACCCTTACAGCAACAGAACTAAATATTATTATCCCTGTTTCACAGATGGGGGAAACAGAGAGGCTAGGGTTATCTGCCTTAGGCCCTACAAATGAGAAAGTGTTTGAAATACCTGGTCAGGCTTCCAGACTCCAGAGCACCACCTGACTCTTTTTAAATTGATTTTTTTTATTATTTAGTTTTTACTTTTATTAAAGTTATATGCACACACATTAGTGAATTTATTAATACGATAAAGGTCACAAAAAAGTCTGTGTACTTTCTTTTATTTCTTTTTCTCCTGAGAGACACCCACTTTAAATTTTCTTTGTTTTTTATTTTTTGAGCTACAAGTAAAACTGCTTTAAAATTATTTCTTTTTTTTTTTTTGAGACGGAGTCTCGCTCTGCTGCCAGGCTGGAGTGCAGTAGAGTAGCATGATCTCGGCTCATTGCAACCTCCAACTCCCTGGTTCAAGCGATTCTCCTGCCTCAGCCTCCTGAGTAGCTGAGATTACAGGCAGGCACCACCATGCCCAGCTAATTTTTGTATTTTTAGTAGAGGCGGGGTTTTACCATGTTGGCCAGGATGGTCTTGATTTCCTGACCTTGTGATCTGCCCGCCCTGGCCTCCCAAAGTGCTGGGATTACAGGCGTGAGCCACCGTGCCCAGCCTACCTTCCTATTTCTAAGGTACAGTCTTTTTACTAGTTACTTTTTCTCTTAATTTTACAGTCTAGTTACTTTTTCCCTTAATGTCTGATTTCTTAGTAATGAAAGTTAAGATTTAGTTTCTTTTACGTACTCCTTCTCCAAGCATGCACACAAACTTCCCACTTTAACTGCTCATTTTTTCCAGTATAATTACATTGAAATTTTGGTCACATTAGCATTCAATATATACGTTGTCTCTGTTAATGCTATTTTTTTCATTTAATTTTCTGTATGCTTATGACTAATTCAACCCCAAATTTTAGTTGTTTATATATCAATTTCATGTTTTAAAAAAAATCTCTTGTTGAGCCTTCTTAACTGCTCCATTCTGGACTGGTTGCTCTCTAGACCTGCCTGAATCCTACCAAGTTATGATGAAAATGGAAATTCTACCATCTTACGGTGGGAGACCCATTTTTATCATCCTGTAATTAACTTTTTGTGTTGGAGTCTCAGTATTCTAGATACCATATCATGCTCTTTCTTGGTTTACATCATTGTTTTGGTGGAATGAGAGGAGGCACAATAACAATTTTTTTTGTTTTGTACTTTTAGTGTCTGAAAATGTGTTTATTCTACCTACTTATTTGATAGTCTGGTTATTCTAGGTTGAAAATTATTGTCTCTCTGAATTTTGAAGGAATTTTTTCATTGCTTTCTTTGACACCTGTTGATAAATCTGGAGCCCTCTTTGTATGTGACCTGGTTTATGTCCCTGGAGTTTTGTAGAATCTTCTCTTTGATTCCAGAATTACACAGTTTTACTGCAGTGTGCTTTGCTGTGAGACTATTTGTCAACTCTTGTGTTGGTCACTCTTCAGCAACTCTTGTGAGTTCTCTTAATTTGAAAACTAGTATTTTTTAATTCTGGGAATTATTTATGGATTGCTTGGTTGAGGCAAAACATGCATAAAATGAAATTTACCACTTTTTAACCGTTGCTAAATGTACAGTTCAGTGGCATTAAGTACATTCACAGTGTTGTAGAGCCATCATCATTATTCATTTCCAGAACCTTTTTATTGTCCCAAATATAAATTCTGTACCCATTAAACAATAATGACCATTCCTCCTTCCTTCCAATCCCTGTCTAGCTTTTGTGTCTTTGAGTTTGATGGATTTTAGGTACCTCACTTAAGTGACATTATAAAATATTTCGTGTCTGGCTTATTTTACTTCACGTAATGCTTTCAGGGTTCAGGGTTGTTTTCACCTTTTAGCCATTGTGAATAACACTGCCGTGAATGTTGGTGTGCGAGTGTCTAAGTCTGTACTTTTACTTCTTTTGGGTATACACCTAGAAGTAGAATTGCTGGATCATACGGTAGTTCTGTGTTTAACTTTTCGAGGAACTGTATTCCACAATGGCCGCGCCATTTTACGTTCCCATCAGCAGTGCCCATTGGTCCCAGTTTCTCCATATCCTCACCAGTGCTTGTTATTTTTCATTTTAGAAAATGTTTTTGATTTAAAATAATCATTGGTTTCTTCTCCACTTTTCTGTGTGTGGGTGTGTGTATTTTTTTCTTTTTAAACTGGTCATTTAGACTTTGAACCTCTTGTACTACTATTACAGTTTTCTGATTACTTCCCTCCTTTTTATAAATGTCTTTAAACAATGCACCTTTAAAAAAGAGTGTTAAATGGTGCCATCATTGAGTTAGTAGTTTTGTTTTATTTTAACTCCTCCTCTTCCCTCCAAATCTATAGTTTTTGTGTGTGTAGAATTTTCCAGGTAACGCAGAACACTTGCTGACTATTATTACTCAGGCTATGGAGATTCCTACCAGTTAGTGGACACATATTTTCCTCCAATTTCTTAGTCTTCAAGAATCCTAGCTCCATTTGATAACTATGAGTAGTGCTTTTTGAATAACTTCTTTTGGAGGGATGAGACTGCAGCAAGCTATAGTTTTGTTTTGTTTTTTAGAGACTGTTCCTCTTTTGCCCAGGCTGCAGTGCAGTGGCACAGTCATAGCTCACTGCAGCCTTGAACTTCTGGGTTCAAGCAATCCTCCTACCTCAGCCTCCCAGGTAGCTAGGATTATAGGTACATGCCACCATGCCTGGATAATTTTTAAATTTTTTGTAGAGATGGGATCTCGCTATGTTGCCCAGGCTGGACTCAAACTCCTGGGCTCAAGCAGTCTTCCTGCCTCAGCCTTCCAAAGTGTTGGGGTTACAGGCATTGGCTACTCTGCCTGGCCCTAGTTTTGTTCTTAAAAAAAAAAAAACATTTCCAACAGTTCAGATCATTGGTCTGGGCAAAGGTAGGTGAGACCTCAAAAGCACAGGGAACGAAAGCAAAAACAGATGAATGGGATTACATCAAGCTAAAAAGCTTCCGCACAAGGGAAGAGTCAGTAGAGTGAAGAAAATGAAATGGGAGAAAATATTTGCCAACTATCTTTCTGACAAGGGATTAATAACTAGAATATGTAAGGAATTCAACTCAAAAGCAAAAACACCAAATTATCCAATTAAAATGGGCTAATTATCTGAACATTTTCAGAAGACATACAGGTATGTGAAAATATGTTCAACATTAGTAATCATCAGGAAAATGTAAATCGCAACCACGATGAGATGTTATACACCCCAGTTAAATGACCATTATCAAAAAGACAAGCCAGGCATGGTGGCACACACCTGTAGTCCCAGCTACTCGGGAAGCTGAGGTGGGAGCATCACTTGAGCCGAGGAGGCAGAGGTTGCAGTGAGGTGAGATTGCATCACTGCACTCCAGCCTGGGTGACAGAGTGAGACCCTGTCTAAAAAAGGAAAGAAAAAGAAATGGCAGATTCTGGCAAGGGTGCAGAAAAAGGGAAACACTAGTACACTGCTAGTGGAAATGTAGATTGGTACAGCCACTATGGGAAACAGTGTAGAGATTCCTCAGAAACCTAAAAATAGGTCTACCATCTGACCTAGCAATCCCCACTGCTGGATAAATGTCCAAAAGAAAAGAAATCAGTGTGTCAAAGAGATACCTGCACTTTCTTTTTTTTTCCATTTTTGAGATGGAGTTTCGCTCTGTTGCCCAGGCTGGAGTGCAGTGGCACAATCTCGGCTCACTGCAACCTCTGCCTCCTGAGTTCAAGTGATTCTCCTGCTTCGGCCTCCCCAAGTAGCTGGGACTACAGGCACACACCACAACGCCTGGCTAATTTTTATATTTTTAGTAGAGACGGGCTTTCACCATGTTGGCCAGGCTGGTCTTGAACTCCTGATCCGCCCACCTCTGCCTCCCAAAGTGCTGGGATTACAGGCATGAGCCACTGCGCCCGGCCAATACCTGCACTTTAATATTTATTGCAGCATTATTTACAGTAGCCAAGATAGAGAATCAATCTAAGTATCTACAAATGGATGCATGGATAAAGAAAATGGTGTATATATACGCACACACACAGTGAAATACAGTCCAATTCAGATATAAAAAGAATGAATGAAGTCCCATCCTTTGCACCAATGTGGATGGAACTGGAGGTCATTATGTTAAGTGAAATAAGCCAGGCACAGAAAGACAAATATCACATGTTCTCATGCATTATGTTGGAGCTAAAAAAGTTGATCTTAACGGAGGTAGAGAGTAGAATGAGGGTTATCAGAGGCTGAGAAGGGTGGGGGGCCAGGAATGAATAGAAATTGGTTACTGGGTACAAAAGTACAGTCAGATAAAAGGAATAAGTTTTAGTATTTGATAGCACAGTAGGATGACTATAGTTAACAATTTATTGTATATTTCAAAATAGCTAGAGAAGATTTGAAATGTTCCCAGCACAAATGATAAATGTTTGAAATGGATAGCCCAAATATCGATTTGACCAATACACGTTGCAAACATGTATGAAAAGTATCACATGTATCCCATAAATATGTATAATTATGTATCAGTACAAATTTCCAGTTTATCTTTTTAGTTTTGTCATATGTAAATGGAGATTCCCAGGAAGCGTTAATTCATTTAGTAGCGTTGACATGTTCATTTTCCATGTATTCAGTCCTTAAACCAAAGTACAAATTGTTCTTGTGATAGGTACTTTGCTTTTAATGATTTTTTTCTTCTTTTTTTGAAAGTATGAGATACATTCCAGATGCATTCCAGATAATTATTACTTACGTGATTGGCATTTTTAAAGTAGCACATAACTCTGGGATATACTTTAAAGTAGCAGTGAAAGTAATCTGTATATAAAATTACACAAAATAAACGAATACCAAAATATTAGCTAACATAGCAGACATTGTTAAGATACTTTTGTTTTACTGTCAAACTCAAGATTCTTCAGGATAAAACCTTTGTATTAAAATATACAGTAATCTCTCACCACTTGTGGCAGTGCTAACTCATTTTTATATTTCAGTAACAGATATTTTAAGCTTTAATCATTTACATATGTCTTTCAGTCTCCCTAAATTTAAAAATGAAATGATTATTGTCTTCTTTGCTGTATATCACATGGATTGGTCTTTGGGTTGGATAGAAGGGGGATTTTTTTTCCCCCTCCACTTAATACACAGACGACTACACCCAAGAAAAAAATTCTAGATTAGATCTTCATAGCACATTGTCCTGTACAACTGAAAGTGATTCATGAGATTTTAATGCTAATGAGTATATTTTTTTAAATGAATCATCTGTATATTAGGTTTAGATTATTTAGATTTCTCTTTCCCTCTTTCTTTAAAAAGATGTATATACATGTGCTACAAATCTTATTCCTCAAATTTTGTGACTTTGATCTTGGCAGTTCTGATTTCCCCAGCCTTATTATTTTAAGGTAACCAGTTAAGATGTTAACAAAAGGGATTGTGTATTGCAGTGTTCTCCACCAGGAACCACTTCCCTCCCATGGTTCATTTGGCAATGACTAGAGACTTTTTTTTACCACTTGGAGTGAGGATTGCTGCTAGATAGAGGTCAGGGATGCAAATATCCTACAGTGCACACAGACAGCAGCACATCACAAGCTAAAACCCTTTGGCTCAAGATGTCCATAGTGCTGAGTTTGAGAAACTCATTTATTGTTTATATTAAACACCTGCTTCTTGGCTTTACTTTAGTCAATATATTTCCAATTCCTTTTTCTGTAAGGTTCAGCTTAAAGTTCCAACTTTGTCCTGAGGCCCTTCCTTGTTGAGCCCTAAACCTACACTGTGATCTTTAGGTTCTCTTGTACCATCACTGAAATCTCGGCAATTAAGTGTTTATGATGTTTTATTTTCTATTTAATATCTGTAAGTCTGGTTTTCCAAATGAATTTTGTTTTATTGTTTTAAGCACACCTGCTGGCAGTAACAAAGTAATTTTGTTAGTCAAGGATTGTTACATATTTCTTCAGGACTTGCTAACTGCTGTTGACCTTCATGTTAGGGCTGAGTTGGTAGAATGAAAAAAAGGGCCCAGGTCCTACCAACCCGGTCCTGTCTGACACATGTGGGGGTGAAGGGATAGATCAGTCCCTTTTGATGGCAGATTGGAATTGGTTATCAACTAGATTGTAGAGGGGGTGGTAAAAAGCAGGAGCAAAAGTGGTGAGAAAAGTGACACTCTAGTTTCAGGGAGGAAGGTAGATCCACTTCAGCCATTAAGCTAGTACAAGTTAAAAAACTCAACATCTCTTTGTTGGCTGTGGTCATTGTGAGCCGTGCTGTTAGAAGAGTCATCTTTGGTACAGCACTGACATAGAAGGGAGGAGTCTATGTTGGTATAGTAATAGATTCTAGGGACATTTTTTTTTCTTTTTGTTTTTTCTTTTTTTTTGGAGATGGAGTCTCACTCTGTCACCCAGTGGAGTGCAGTGTCACCCAGGCTGGAGTGCAGTGGCATGATCTTGGCTCACAGCAACCTCCACCTCCCAGGTTCAAGCAATTCTCCTGCCTCAGACTCCTGAGTAGCTGGGACTACAGGTGCGTGCCACCAAGCCTGGCTAATTTTTGTATTTTTAGTAGAGACAGGGTTTCACCATTCTGGCCAGGTTGGTTTCAAAATCCTGACCTTGTGATCCGCCCAGCCAGGGACATTTTCTATAAGGGCTCAAAGGCTAAAAATTAAGCACAAGTCAGGCTAACCGGAATATACTGTTGGTTGGACTTTTTGTTTTAATTGGTAGGGAGAGGTGGATGAATAGGTAGTAATTTGAATCTTTAGGCATTTTTAGAATCCTTATCATGAATATGTAAGTTGCCAAGAAAGAAACCCAGGTTTACACTGAGCTATTGTCTGAAAGTTTGTGTTACCTTCTGAAGCTTTCTTTTTCATCTGATTGGATCCTTTATGTGTACAACCATTTAGCACTCTAATTTGAAAAATTTGTCACTTTCAGTGGCAAATACTTTCCCTTCAGAATTTTTGTCAAAACTTTATTGTTTCAAAGCAGGTACTATGCCATCTTCAGATAGAAGTTTATGAGCAAGAAAATATGTAACACTTCAAGGATAATTTCAAAATAGGAAACATGAGAAATATTTTAGTGTCATTTCATTTATATAAAAAACAATACTTTTTTTATGAGACTGAGTTTTGCTTTTGTTGCCCAGGCTGGAGTGCAGTGGCGCCATCTTGGCTCACTGCAACCTCGGCCTCCCAGGTTCAAGTGATTCTCCTGCCTCAGCCTCCTGAGTAGCTGGGATTACAGGCATGCCCCACCATGCCAGCTCATTTTTGTATTTTTAGTAGAAATGGGGTTTCACCATGTTGGCTAGGCTGGTCTCAAACTCCTGACCTCAAGTGATCCATCCACCTGGGCCTCCCAAAGTGCAGGGATTACAGGTGTGAGCCACCATGCCTGGCCAAAAACAATACTTTTTACCTTTGAAGCAGTCAGTACAAAATGAGAATCCAAAAATTCTGTTCATAATTGTATCACATAATTTACCTTTTCCATAACACAAAAATAAGCAAAAGACAGATAATTTTAGAGAGGTGGGGAATGGGCCCATGGTTCTTAACTGGGGACAATTTTTGACTCCCAAGGAACATTTGATAATGTTGGGAGACATTTATGGTTGTCACAACTGGAGTGGGTGGTGTGCTGCAGGTTTCTAGTGGGTAGAGGCCAGGGATGTAGCTCCACATCCTCCAGTACAAAGGACATCCTCCTGTGACAAAGAATTCTATCCAACTTGAAAATGTCAGCAGTGGCCGGGCCTGGTGGCTCACGTCTGTAATCCCAGCACTTTGGGAGGCCAAGGCGGCGAATCACCTGAAGTGTCAGGAGTTTGAGACCAGCCTGGCCAACATGGCGAAACACCGTCTCTACTAAAAATACAAAAATTAGCCAGGCATGGTGGCAGGTGCCTGTAATCCCAGCTACTTAGGAGGCTGAGGCAGGAGAATTGCTTGAACCAGGGAGGCGGAGGTTGTAGTGAGCCGAGATCGCCATTGCACTCCAGCCTGGGCGACAAGAGTGAAACTCTGTCTCCAAAAGAAAAAAGAAAATGTCAGTAGTGCCAAAATTGAAGAAGCCCTGGGATGAGGGATTGCAAAGGACCTGTTAACACATAAAACAAGTGTCTTGTGGTCAAAATCAGGTAAAAATATTCCATTTCACTAGCAATGAAGGAAATGTAAATTAAACTGTTTCTCTACTAGCATATTGACAGAATTTTTGAAAGGTTATCATACTCAAATGTAACATGTTGCTTTATATTACTGATGACACTACAAAGTATGGTACATGGTGTCTGGGGAGTTTCTGAAGGTTGAAACAAAAGTCTTGACGTATGTACTTCATACTTCGGACTCAATAATTTCACTTACAGAAATCTATCCTCAGGTGATAAATAGATGCCTACAGGGTTTATTATTAGGCTGTTAATCACATAACTACATAATTATTTTTAATTGTAATGAAGTAGATGTGACCTAATTTTTTTTTTTTTTTTTTTGGAGACAGTCTTGCTCTGTCACTCAGGCTGGAGTGCAGTGCAGTGGCATAACCTTGGCGCACTGCAACCTCTGCCTCCTGGGTTCAAGCGATTCTTCTGTCTCAGCCTGTCTGTAATTCCAGTAGCTGGAATTATAGGCGCTCACCACCATGCCTGGCTAATTTTTGTATTTTTAGTAGAGGTGGGATTTTACCATGTTGGCCGGGCTGGTCTTGAACTGCTGATCTCAGGTGATCTGCCTGCCTCAGCCCCCGAAAGTGCTTGCATTACAGGCGTGAGCCATCGCACCCAGCCCTAAATATTTTTTTAAACTGTGATTAATAAATTATGGCACAAATACGTGGTGCAGTTAAAAATCTTGCCCTCAAAGACTGTTTGTCCCATGCAAATACCCGTAGTGAGTAAGGAGGAGGGAAAAAGGAATATTAGGATGTCAAATTTGAAAAATATATTAAAATGTTACTTTAGTGATGATGGTTGACTGCAGATTATGGATACATACTTCTATGTCTTTATTATTTCTTATAATGGCTGTACTATTAATGTAATCAGAAAAAACACATTATTTAGTTTTTAAATCCTATTAACATTTTGGAGTAGTCTCAATATTTTTCAGTTTACTGACTAATCTGTCCTTTACCATATATCAGATTTTCATATATGTGTGGGTGTGCTTCTCCGCTCTCTTCTGTTCCACTGATCTATTTTAATGTTCAGTTAGTCGACAAGATGTAATATGATGTGGAATGATAATGTAAAAGAATCTCTTGTTTCGTGCCCCATTTATAGAGAGAGTAATTTGTGTTTTAAAATTAGTCCTTTTAAAAATGTCATAATTTTATGTAAGCAACTCAGTGTTTTCTTACTTTTGCAGATCTTTCACTTATTTAATTCAGTATTCAGATTAAATATACTTGTTTTGTTTGCCTCAGTCATATAATTAAGACTGAATTATTTGACATTTTAAGTCATCTGATTGAAATATCTGCCTTTTAAACATTAAGTGTATTTTAAGCCTGTCACCTTTAATGAATGATCATCTCCATTAGATTTTATTTATTCATTCTTCTCAGATTCCCGTTTGATGTTTATAAATGGTGCAGTATTTGCTATCCTTTGGAGTAGCTAATAGTAGTAGGACTCTCCTGAGCTTTGTTGTGCTCTTAGTGTTCCTCACACTTTGTGTGCAATGCAGATAGGCTGAGTAGAGAGTAATCTTAGTAGAACTGGAAATGTTAGGAACCAGTACGTTAAGGTGGTTGGCCGCTGGCCACTAAATTGTTGTAGCACCACTTGGGAAAAGAAAAGATGGATTTTCTGTCCTTAAGCCTCTGGAAAATACCTTTAGCCTTTAGAGAATTGTGAGAGAAACATGTTTGAATATGAACTTGTGAGTTCCTATGGAGAAAAAAGGTCAATGTAAAATCTAGCACCAGGATATATTTATTAGAGATATGAATTGTACTTTCCTACAGGAGAAACTGCAAAAATGGGAAAATGGAAGGGGAGAAGAAAAAGGAAGTGAAGGGAGGTGAAGCTACTTAGTTAATGGTGATTAATTTCAGTACATTATTGAGTTAATTTCAGTAAAGTAGATTTAAATTTTGAGTATGTATTTTATTGGAGGGGATTTTATGTGGAGAAATTTGTTCTGAAGTTGAAAATGTGTTTATGTCTTATGAGCATCTTTTTAGAATAATTTGATTTTCATATTGAAAGCCAAGGGTTTTTTTGTTCTCATTTCTACTCATCCAGTGAGTGTACATTCCTAAGAAATTGTTTTTGTTGCCAAGTTTTTAGTTGATTTGCGCATGGCCTGTTTTTTGTGCCTGAATATAATTTCTTTTTTTTTTTTTTTTTTTTTGAGATGGAGTCTCGCTGTGTCACCCAGGCTGGAGTGCGGTGCTGCAATCTTGGCTCACTGCAACCTCCGCCTCCTGGGTTCAAACAATTCTCCTGTCTCAGCCTCCCGAGTAGCTGGGAATACAGGTTTGTGCCACCACACCCAGCTAATTTTTGTATTTTTAGTAGAGACAGGATTTCACCATGTTGGCCAGGATGGTCTTGGTCTCTTGACCTTGTGATAAGCCCGCCTCGGCCTCCCAAAGTGCTGGGATTACATCCGTGAGCCACCGCGCCTGGCCCCTGAATTATATAACTTTTAGGGAAGCATTTTCTGTTTTTGTTTTTATCAAATAGTTGTCCTCCATCAAAAAGCTGTATCTTTCACATTTTATGAATGCCCTCCCCATATATATATGTGGAATAGTATCACTTGAATTGCATCGTATTGATCTAATTTAGAGTAACTGCTTGATTTATTTGAAAGTTAAGACTACAGTGTGTTCATAATTCATGTCAATTTATGGGGCTTAATTTCTGTCTCATGAGTTAGTGCCATAGAGTCTTTGAATCTCTTCAGAATTTCCATTACCTGGGATCCCATACCTCTTGTCTGGCTGTTCCCATTAATGTGCTTTTTTTGGACCGCAAACATGTCATGTCAGATGGTTAATGGAAAGATGAGATTAAAACACACCACAAGACTCTGTGCATATGGAAATCTGAACTCACGCTATGAATTGGTGATTATTAAAAGCACAAAAAATTATTAATTTAAGAAATGAAAAGTATAAGCGTCCTATTTCAGTATAACTTGCCCTGGTATGTTTAAGTATGAAGTGCATGTGGAGAGTCTCATAAAATTTAAAGATAAATTTTAGGAACCAAAAGCAATTGTACATTAATAAGGATTAATATTAGGCATATCAAAAATTCTGTGAAATTAAAAATTAAAAATTCTGCTTGTTAAACCTCAAATTCCCCTTTCTAAAATAGGATAGGGAAAGGTGGAAAAAACTAATCATGCAAATAGCTTTTAATTATCCTCACCATTTTTAAAAGTAATAGCATACTTTTAAAATACATAATTCACTCATTTAATAGAATGGAATTGTTGGATTACAAATCTGCATTTACCTTTCTGAGGAACTGCCCAAGTACTTTCCAAAGCAACTACACCATTTTACTTTCCCACCAGTAATGTATGACATTACCAGTTTCCCCACATCAACCCAGCACTCGTTCATTATTCATCTTTTTGATTATAGCCACCCTAGTGGGTGTGAAATGGGTGGTTTTGATTTGCATTTCTCTAATAGATAATAATGCTGAGCATCTTTTCATATGCTTATTGGCCATTTGTGTATCTTCTTTGTGGGGAAATACCTATTGAAATATACCTAATGTAAACCTTACCATTTTAACTATTTGAAGTGTACAATTTATTGCCAGTAAGTACACTCACGATGTATGTTACCATCACTATCATCCATCTGCAGAACTTTTCATTTACACAAACTTGAAACATTGTACACATTAAAGAATAAGTCCCTTCACCTTCCTCCCCACAGTTCCAGACGACTCTAAATTGACTATTCTTGATAGCTCATATAAGTGGAATCATACAATAGTCGTTCTTTTTGTGTCTGGCTTATTTCACTTTGCATAATGCCATCAAGCTTAATCCATGTCAGAATTTCTTTCAGATTAAAGACTGGATAATATTCGTGTGTGTGTGTGTGTTTATCTCTCACATTTTGCTTATCCATTCATGTGCTGTTGGCACATTTGGGTTGTTTTCACCTTTTGGGGATCTATGGAGAAATGGGATTCCTGAATCATAGGGTGGTTTCATAATTTTTGTTGTTGTTGTTGTTGTTGTTTTTGGAGCAACCAAACTGCTTTCCACAGTGACTGCATTGTTCCTACCAGCAATGCACAAGAGTTTTGGTTTCTTGGCTGGGGGCAGTGGCTCACGCACTTTGGGAGGCTGAGGTGGGCTGATCACGAGGTCAGGAGTTCGAGACCAGCCTGGCCAACATGGTGAAACCCCGTCTCTACTAAAAATACAAAAAGTTAGCTGGACGTAGTGGTAGGCACCTGTAATCCTAGCTACTTGGGAGGCTGAAGCAGGAGAATTGCTTGAACCCAGGAGGCAGAGGTTGCAGTGAGCCGAGGTTGCACCACCACTCTCCAGCCCTGGCAACGGAGTGACACTGTCTCAGAAAGGAAAGTTTCAGTTTCTCTACATCCTTGGCCAGCCAATACTTGTTCACTTGTTTTTTAGATAATAGCCAACCCTAATGGGTGTAAAGTGGTATTGTGATTTGGATTTACATTTCCCCAAGATTAATGGTGTTAAGCATCTTGTGTGTTTGCTATTTGTATATCTTCTTTGGAGAAGTGCGTATTTAAGTACTTTGCCCATTTTTAAATTGGGTCATCTTTTTTGTTAAGTTGTAGGTGTTCTTTATATAATCTGGATATTAACCCCTTATCAGATAAAAGATTTGCAAATATTTTCTCCCATTTCACGATTTGACTTTCTGCTCTGTTGATAGTGTCCTTTGATGCACAAAATTTTAAATTTTGATGTAATTCAATTTATCAATTTTGTTGCTTGTGCTTTTGGTATCACACAGTATCTTTAAGAGACAGGGTCTTGCTCTGTCGCTCAGGCTGGATTCCAGTGGTGTGATCTTGGCTTACTGCAGCCTCTACCTCCTGGGCTCAAGCAATCCTGTTGCCTCGGCCTCTTGAGTAGCTGGGACTACAGGTGCATACCACCATGCCTAATTTAAATTAATTAGTAATTAATTATTTTGTAGAGACGGAGTATTGCTGTTTGCCCAGGCTGGCTTCCAACTCCTGGGCCCAAGTGATCTTCCTGTCTCGGCTTCCCAAAGTGCTGGGATTACAGGCGTGAGCCACCACACCTGGCCTCGTATAATATTTTTATGTCGACACTGGTTGCCTTCAGAATATTTTGGGACTATATCAGGAAGCTTTCAAGCTCACAGTGAAGAATAAAAATTGTCCAGACTTTTAGTTTTTTGCTTAGAAGTTCAAATTTTTATCATTGGTAACAAATACTGTCAGTTATTTATCTTGAAATGACAGGTTCACTTTATTTATTTTTGAGAAAATGTCTACCACATTCTCCTAATTTTTTTTTTTTTTTTGGAAATGGAGTCTTGCTCATCGCCCGGGCTGGCGTGCAGTGATGCAATCCTCAGCTCACTACAACCTCCACCTCCTCAGTTCAAGTGATTCTCCTTGCCTCAGCCTCCTGTGTAGCTGGGATTACAGGCATGCACCACCCCGCCTGGCTAATTTTTGTATTTTTAGTAAAGACAGGGTTTCACCATGTTGGCCAGGCTGATCTCGAACTCCTGACCTCAGGTGATCCGCCTGCTGGGTTTACAGGTGTGAGCCATCACACCCAGTCTGCTAATCTAAATAAGCTTTATTTGTGTGGCAGTCCTTTCAGGTTAAAATGCTGTTCTATGAAAAATAGCTAGTTCAGCTGGCAGCGGTCTAAATAAAGGTATTGTTCTTTGAGAATCTCATACCTCTTTGATATGCAGCATAATTTTTTTAATACCTGTTTCTCATTTTGTTACACAGAATATGTAAAAGATGTATTCAAGGGTTGGGATTTAATGAAATTAGTAATTTTTATATCTTTTACACTTTAAGTGGAACAGATTTTTAAAATTACGAGTTTGTGAAAATTCTGGCTTCTGCTACAGCTAGTAATACAGTTTGGTGCTGCTGTCCTGACTCTTGCTACATGGATTATCAGTTTTATCCACCTTGCTTTTATACCATCAGTGCACACATTAACAGTGAACTAGTCAGCCCTTATTCTTTTGACAATAGCTTTGACCTCTTGGACCACAATTTGAAAACTGCTACCCTAGTTTATAGGGTTGCTGCATGGGATGGAAGGTGATTACAGATGGGCTCCCGTTAATTTGTGTAAATTTGTTTAAGTAGTCAACCTGTGTAAAGAGATTGATCTGCTGTCACTAATGGTAGTACTGTCTGCCTGAGGAAATGGTTAGCATTCCTGACTCCCGTGTCTCCTGGAATTTACACTATTCAGGCAGGTATCCTCACAAAATTTCCTTTTATATTACTGGTGAAATGTGAGGAAAGAGGGATAAAAAGGTGTTTATGTTAATTTGATAAATGAATAGATGTGAAAAGTACCTAAGCAAATTATGTATTTTTATTGTGCAAGTACTGGTTGGATAGAACCTGTGATTATGTGCCTTAATCATAGGTACATGCCTTTTGTCTCTTAAGTGACAAAAGAGCCTGAAGATATTAACTGAAAGGGGAAAAAAAAGGAGAAAGTAAAGTTTATTTTGTTATTTAGTAGATAATAGACAAATTTTACTAGTCCATGCAAACATTGTAACTTGGATGATTAAGGTATGGATTCATTCTGACTTAATAGGATAGTGTAACTAATGCCCACCTGGTTAGGTTTGTTATGAGTGAAAGAGTCAAAATATTATTTTAAACATACTAAGAATAGGACCTAACACACCATAGACTTTCAGGCAGAGGTAGTTCATTTAAAAGATCTAAATGAGAGATCTGGGTTTTGTTTGGGTTGGGAGTTGGATAGCATCAGGATGGAGCTTGTGATAAATGAGGCATGATGTGTGCTCTTCAATGACGGCATTCTCATTACTAATTATTCACATCTTAATTTTGTTAGTATTAGTGTCATAGTATATTTTATATTTGTGTTTTGTGTTCAAGAATTGTGAAGCTACATGGTATTATATATTTTTTAATTTTTTGCTTATAGGATTCAGTGGTCCCAATTTAAAGGCTATTTTATTTTCAAACTGGAGAAAGTGATGGATGATTTCAGAACTTCAGCTCCTGAGCCAAGAGGTCCTCCCAACCCTAATGTCGAATATATTCCCTTTGATGAAATGAAGGAAAGAATACTGAAAATTGTCACTGGATTTAATGGGTATGCACTTAATACTGTTTTAAAGATTTAATTTTTAGCAGAAGATGAATAGATTTTTCTTTTAGTTTTGATGTGTCTGGTTGATGATTGATTATCCATTAGAATAAATTCCTTGTTTCTAGTGACATGTAGTAGTTGATGATTTTTAGCTTACAACTATTTAAAATATTTGTAGCCTCTTAAAAAACTTGAACCACCTTTTTATAGGTATCAGTGGAAACAGTCATTTATCAGGAAACATTTTAATGGTTTTTCTTTCCTGTTTTATATTTGGTGTTATGTCTTCATACTTTATATAGAACCTTTATATCATTGAGAAATCACATTTCTTTTAAAACGAAATACTAATTTATGGAAGTATTTTAGTGAGTTTTTGTTTAGACTTTTTTTGGAGTCATCATTTCTCTCCTAAGTAACGGCTTGCTTGTTAGTTACAAGTAACCATTTTTGGCCGCTTGTAAAACA
Source organism: Homo sapiens (assembly GCF_000001405.40). Taxonomy (NCBI): domain Eukaryota; kingdom Metazoa; phylum Chordata; class Mammalia; order Primates; family Hominidae; genus Homo; species Homo sapiens. The sequence continues at coordinate 73,047,822 of NC_000003.12, forward strand.
TTAAAAACACTAAAAAGATATTCTGTACAAAAGTAAAACTCCCCGGTTTTTTTGTTTTGTTTTGTTTGTTTTTGAGAAGGTGTCTCGCTCTGTCACCTAGGCTGGAATACAGTGGCGTGATCTTGGCTCGCTGCAGTCTCTGTCTCCTGGGTTCAAGCAATTCTCCTCCCTCAGCTTCGCGAGTAACTGAGACTGTAGGCGCATGCCACCACACCCGGCTAATTTTTGTATTTTTAGTAGAGACAGGGTTTCACCATGTTAGCCAGGATGGTCTCGATCTCCTGACCTCATGATCCGCCTGCCTCGGCCTCCCAAAGTGCTGGAATTACAGGCGTGAGCCACCACGCCCGGCAGTACTCATTTTTAAAGAAATGTTACTGTGTCTCATACTCTGTCATTTTAAATTCTATTTTTGTAGGACTTTGTTTTTTGTTTTATTTTGTTTTGTTTTGAGACAGAGTCTCGCTGTCACCCAGGGTGGAGTGCAGTGGCATGATCTCGGCTCACCGCAACCTCCGCCTGCCAGGTTCAAGCAATTCTGCCTCAGCCCCCCGGGTAGCTAGGCTAGGACCACAGGTGCGCGCCACGGTGCTCGGCTAATTTTTTTATTTTTTAATAGAGATGGGGTTTCACCATGCTGGCCAGGCTGGTCTCCAACTCCTGACCTTGTGATCCGCCCACCTCAGCCTCCCACAGTGTTGGGATTACAGGCGTGAGCCCCCGCGCCCAGCCAGGACTTTGTATTTTTACGGTTTCCTTTATTGAAGGGAAGAAGTGTTTGTGAAGTTGAATTATTCGATATTTAGTTTGGCGTTAACTTAGGGTGTGGAACAACAATACCAAATATAATGAATTGTGGTTTTTCTAACCAGTGAATTCATAGTTAGAATTAGATAGTATTTGAAGGGTTTCAGTTGTATTTTTAGATGGCATAAATGGCTTGATTCTTTAGGTATTTAATTGCATGGGATTTTGAAATAAGATAGTGTAATCCAGTTAACGGTTTGCTTTATATCATATTCCACTGTTTTTAGGTTTAAGAATTTTGCTTGAAATGTCAAACCCTTAGGCCTTGACTTGGGGTCTGTTACAAAAATATTTTGTGGGGGAGAAATCATAGCTTTTGTCTTTGAGGTTCATCAGTTATAGTTACCCCTGGGGGCCTGGGATGGGAAGGAGACCTATTTTCACTGTGCACCCTGTTGGACTGTTGAAATTATTTAACCAATATGTGTATATTTCCATATCAATATTTTAAAATTTTTCAGAAAAAGGAAAAAAAACATTTTAAAGGCACTTATCCAAGAAATAGCCACATGATACATTTTAGAAGCATGTTGCATAAGATTTACTGTTGAACTAAATGAATACATTCAAGATTAGAATACTTCTCGGGGCCAGGTGTGGTGGCTCACGCCTGTAATCCCAGCACTTTGGGAGGCCGAGGTGGGCAGATCACTAGGTCAGGAGATTGAGACCATCCTGGCTAACACGGTGAAACCCCGTCTCTACTAAAAATACAGAAAAATCAGCTGGGCGTTGTCGCGGACGCCCATAATCCCAGCTACTCGGGAGACTGAGGCAGGAAAATGGGGTGAACCCAGGAGGCAGAGCCTGCAGTGAGCCAAGATCTCGCTACTGCATTTCAGCCTGGGTGACAGAGTGAGACTCCATCTCAAAAAAAAAGAGAATACTTCTCGGGGTTATTTATAAATTGTACATATATATAAATAGTACTTAGACATAGTGAGTCGTCTTTTATTTCAATAAATTATGGCCGTCATTCAAAAATAAAAGTTAAGGTGAAACAGGTCAAATTATACTGCTGCTTTGTAAGCATATTTACTTGTTATTCTGAATTAGTAATAGCAAATACCATTTTCAGTTCATTCACATTAAGTTGGGCTAGAAACAAATACATGTATTATATATTATATATAAATATAATAAAATTAATATTGTGTATTATTTATTACATAAATCTAAATATTTGTAATTTCTTAATCTGTAAAAGAGGTAATTCACCTACTTCAGAAAATGATTTGAACAGTCATTAAATGCCTGAGCATTCTTCTTTTACAACTTTATTTTTGAACCGTATTTTGAAATTTTGTTTTGTTTTGTTTTATTTTATTTATTTAGAGATGGAGTCTTTGTCACCCAGGCTGGAGTGCAGTGGCACCATCTGGGCTCACTGCAACTTCCGCCTCCCAAGTTCAAGCTATTCTCCAGCCTCAACCTCTCGAGTAGCTGGCATTACAGGGTGCATCACCACACCCAGCTATGTTTTTTTTGTTTGTTTGTTTATTTGTTTTGTAGTTTTAGTAGAGACGGGGTTTTACCATGTTGGCCAGGCTGGTCTGGAACTCCTGACCTCAAGTAATCTACCTGCCTCAGCCTCCCAAAGTGCTGGGATTACAAGCTTGAGCCACCGCGCCTGGCCCGAACTTACATTTTTTAAATTTGATTTTTCAGTTTATGAATCACTTTCTCTGAGCAGGCAGAATCTAAGTCTTATTTAATCAGTGATACATCAAGATTTTTCTATTTTTAATTTACTCTTTTTTTGTCTGTATTTTAATATATTGGTATGTTGAAACATGTTTACAAAATGTTCAATTTTTGTGTTTTTTATATATATATAGTTTTTTAAAATATTTACTAAGAAGTAACATTTTGTTGGTTTTCCACCAGTTTGAGGGTTTGTCCATTCTTATACACTCCTCCCCCCATTTGTAATAGATAATCTTTAAATTACAAAAGCGGTGTATGTTCACGCTTTTAAAAAGATCCCCACTGTTACAGAAGTACATAAAGAATGAAAGTAGAATCATGCTATATGCTAGTGGTATTTTCCTTTTAGAGAAGCTTCAACATGTCTATATTAGTACATTTAAAGCTATCTTTTTATTTATTTGAAATGGCTACATTGTTTTCTATTATGTGAATAATAGGTTTTTATTTGCCTGTCCTGATTGATGGTAGGCATTTATTTTTTTGGCTGTTAACAAGCAGTGCTTGTAGTGAGCATCCTTCCACGTATCTTTTGTTGATGAATGTCATGTTTTGAATATACGTATAGATTGTTGCCTTTTTTTTATTTTTTTCTGGAGACAGAGTTTCGCTCTTGCTGCTCAGGCTGGAGTGCAATGGAACGATCTCGGCTCACCACATCCTCCCCCTCCTGGGTTCAGGCGATTCTCCTGCCTCAGCCTCCCGAGTAGCCGCGTTTACTGGCATGCGCCACCACACCCGGCTAATTTTTGTATTTTTAGTAGAGATGGGGTTTCTCCATGTTGGTCAAGCTGGTCTTGAATTCCAGACCTCAGGTGATCCACCCACCTTGGCCTCCCAAAGTGCTGGGATTACAGGCATGAGCCACCGCACCTGGCCAGATTGTTACTTTTTTTAATTTGTAGAAATGTAATTGCTAGGTTAGCTTATGAACACTTAATTTTCAGTTTATCAGTGCTGCAAAATTGACTTAGCAAAATGTGGTTGTTGATGCTTTCTTTTGTAATAAGTGCAGATATTGTAATTCTTCGGTACTGTATATGTGTCTGTATTTGTGTTTCTTTGATTGCAAGTGAAATGGAACATCTTTTTGTGTACTTACAGCCTTTCTGTGAATTGCCCTTTATATCTTCTTTTGACTTTCTTTTGCTAATTTTCTTACTGGTAAGTTTTTGTTGTTTTTGCTTTTAGTTTGTAAAAGTTTTATATTAAATGCTTCCTAGTATTTTGCCGTAAGAAAGATTATCCGCTTTCTAAAATTATTTTAGTATATTACCAAAGTACAAGTTTGTTTGTTTGTTTGGTTTTCGAGATGGAGTCTCGCTCTTTGCCCAGGCTGGAGTGCAATGGCTCAATCTCAGCTCATTGCAACCTCCGCCTCCCGGGTTCATGCCATTCTCCTGCCTCAGCCTCCCCAGTAGCTGGGACTACAGGCACCCGCCACCACGCCCGGCTAATTTTTTGTATTTTTAGTAGAGATGGGGTTTCACCCTGTTAGCCAGGATGGTCTCGATCTCCTGACCTTGTGACCCACCCACCTCGGCCTCCCAAAGTGCTGGGATTACAGGCGTGAACCACTGCGCCCGGCCAAAGTACAGATTTTTCCCTCTTTGAAGTGGAAATTGTCCATGCACTTGTTTACTTGATTTCCTGAACTATAAGCTTCTGGAGAGCTGGGGTAACAGTCTTTTCCAAACAAGGCCTAGAAGAGTGAGTGCCTGAATATAGTAGGTTCTTAAACAGACAAGTATGGAATGACTAGGTGCGTGGATGGATAAATGAATGAATGAGTAAAGAAAAGAATATTGAATAACTGGGGACTAGAAAAAAAAGAATAAAAGTATATTTATATCTATTTTGTCTATTGAGGCATAGAAGAATCACAATGGAATGCTTAATTTCTTTCTTTTCTTTTTTTTTTTGGTCATTTTCTTGTCTTTTAAAATTACTTTGGAACTTTAAAATTTCATAGAAGATGGATTATAACTACTCTCCAAAAGTGAAGTTACAGTTTGTCAGATGAGAAACACCAAAAATTAAAATGAACGAAACTAAAAATTTTAATGAAATGGTCAATTAAAAGACCATTTTATGCCCTCTGGAATTATAATAAAAAAGAGTATATGGGTTTACTCAAACCAGGGCCATTTATGAAAATCCTCCTCCTATTACAGAGACCATGAATATAATTTAGGAATTGCTAATAGGTAATGGTTCATTCCTATAATGGTATACACAAAGAGGCATTTTGTTGAGGGATAGAGAGCATGTAAGTTACATTCCTGGCAGTTTTAAAAGATACCATTTTATGTTCTCTGAATTTTTCAAAATGAAAGAATAATGAATATAAAAGTAAGTTAATCTCTCAAGTCTTGACCCTTTCTTGTCATTGCTGTTACCTCTAAGTCCTCTCTAAAGTAGGCAGTCGGCCTCCTCACTCTGTGAATAGTAAACTAAAATAGTGTTCCTATATATTTATGAGGAGGTCTGGAAAAAGTGGAAAACTTTTGATACCTAATAATCTTTATATCATCTGTTAAGCAGGTACAGTCAGTCACAGCTGAGAGTACTGCTCATGATCTTTTAAAGTTATATATGAGACTTTTATACTCCAAAGTCTGGATTGTAGAATAAAACAACCCACATTTGATTTTCAGTTTGTGTGTTGTTTGCTTTACGGTTAGCTCCAGATGATTCAGGGACTGAGAGAATGGGTCCTTAGCCGTTTATTACTTTGTTCTCTGACACTGTTGATTCACTTTATTGCTTCCTGATTTTTGTGCTCCCCAGTTGCCTGGGGAAAATAGGTTTTTGTGCTGTTAATTATTTGTGTCAGTGTTTGTTGAGTATATTAGTTAAAATGTACTTATTTGTGGCAGATTTCTGTCTCTCTCACATACACAAACCCACACCCACCCACCCCTACTTACTTGTTTTTTCTTTATCCCCTTTCTTTCTCTTAGAATAATTACTTGAGAATTAGCATGACTTTGTAACCATCCCTCCTTACTATTCCCCACCTGGTCTTGTCTAGTGGTAATATGGCTTGATGTGATACTCTCTTTAATAAACTTAAAAATTGAAATTAACAGAAAGCCTAATTAACTTTTTCTTGCTAGTTATATTTGATGCAAATAAAATAACAGTTCAGACTATAGGAACTCCAAGAGATGATTAACTTTATTAAAAGCTTTGACAATTGCTATAGATTAATTTTGGGTCAAGGAGTGGTGCAGACATTAGTTTACTTACATCATTGGGGTTCCTTATCATTATTAAAAGAGGCGAAATTAGCTGGGCGTGGTGGCTCACACCTGTAATCTCAGCACTTTGGGAGGCCCAGGCAGGCGGATCATGAGGTCAGGAGATGGAGACCATCCTGGCTAACACTGTGAAACCCCGTCTCTACTAAAAATACAAAAAATTAGCTGGGCGTGGTGGCAGGCGCCTGTAGTCCCAGCTACTCGGGAGGCTGAGGCAAGAGAATTGCTTGAACCCAGGAGGCAGAGGTTGCAGTGAGCCGAGATGGTGCCACTGCACTCCAGCGTGGGTGACAGAGCGAGACACCATCTCAAAAAAAAAAAAAAAAGCGAAATCTGTCATTTGATTTGAGACATAAGATTATATGTGTATGAATTTTCTTTTGGTGGGGACAGAGTGTTGCTCTATTACCTGGGTTTAAACAATTCTCCTGCCTCAAGCACCTGAGTAGCTGGGATTACAGGCATGCATCAACCATGCCCGGCTAATTTTTGTATTTTTAGTAGAGACAGGGTTTCGCCATGTTGGCCAGGCTGGTCTCGAACTTCTGACCTCAGGTGATCCACCCGCCTCGGTCCCCCAAAATGCTGGGATTACAGGCGTGAGCCGCCGTGCTCAGCTAATTTCGCCTCTTTTAATAATGATAAGGAACCCCAATGATGTAAGTAAACTAGTGTCTGCACCACTCCTTAACCCAAAATTCATAAATATAAATATTTATGAATGTGTATGTTTATGTAAATATTAAAGCCTGAGTAGAGAAAGAACATACTGCTTCAAGTAAAGCTAGTATCACAGGATTCTAATGGTATTTCTGACTTTTGTAAGACTTTGTAGGTGTAAACAAAATTATGAACTTAGTCTTTGGTAACAGAGATATTGTTAGTTTCCATGTTGACAGTTAAGTTTAACTCAGTATTTCTGTTAACTAAGACACCACTAATGTGGTCATTTAGTCAGAAAAGACAGTAAAATCCACATATACATGGGTAAAACAAAAGTGAATGACTGTTTTGACTTTTTTTTTAGTAGGATGTCAGATTTTTATGGTCATTTCTTTAGCTGTTTACTCCAGTAGCCTCTGTGCTACATGTTACATTCCTTTGTCTTTTTCATGTGGAAAAGTTGCTTATATAATTTAAAGTTAAGGTAGTTAAACTGATTTTTTTAGAGTCTGAATGAAGTGCGCACTTATTTTTTGAGTGCCTTGTCAACTTAGTACTTTTATAGAAATTTAGGTTAAAATACATGCTTAAGACATTATTTCTTTAGTGTTTAGCCTTATGACTTAAAATTTATCTTTTAAAAAATAGCATTGAATTGCTACTTTATGTTAAGATGTCTTTCCCTGATATTCAGCAACTTTCTTGGTATTTGAATTTCCATAGCTTTTAGGTGTACAAGACTTCTGCTTTTAAAAAAAAGTAAATAGGGACAGCTTGCATTTAAATTAAGATATATAAGGTAAAATGTGTGGTCCTATTAATTAGGGTAAGTTATTTTCCTTGGAATTAAAGGGAGTATTTTTAAAGACAGACCTATACTTTTGGTTTTGTTGGTCTTTGGACCATGTGTGCCTTCCCACAATCTCTATCAAAGAGTAGATGGAATGATGACAATAAGAACTAAGATTTATTGAACTTTCTGAAATATTTTAGGCACTGTTAGGTGATTTAATATACCATATACATTATGTCGTATTTAGTCGTCATGATAATCTTTGAAGTGTACTTGTAGAACCCTTGTTTTCAGACAAGACCCATGAGACCCATGAAGACTCAGGTAAATTCAGTTTTGAGTAAGGTCTCCTAGTGGGGTAGCGTGTGTGTGTGTGTGTGTGTGTGTGTGTGTGTGTGTGTATTAAAATATATATATATATTTAGCAAAGGTGGATCCTTAATGTGTGGGGCGGGGGGTTTAAAAAATGTTACTGGATGTTGTAGGCACTGTTTTAAAAAATTTGAGATGCTAGCTAGTCATGTCCTTTTTTCAGTTCCTTATATCATCTTAGTTTTCCATTTTACAATATGAATAAATCAGATGATATATCATTGCAGAGTAAACCAAACGCTTTTTTTTTTTTGGAGACAGTCTCACTCTTATCACCCAGGCTGGAGTGCAGTGGCTCAATCTCGACTCACTGCAACTTGCAACCTCCACCGCCCAGGTTCAAGCAATTCTTTTGCCTCAGCCTCCCGAGTAGCTAGGATTACAGGCCAGGCTGGTTCTTGAACTCCTGACCTCAGGGGATCGCCTGCTTCGGCTTCCCAAAGTCCTGGGATTACAGGCGTGAGCCACCGTGCCTGGCCCAGGGTTTTTTATTTTACAGTATAACTTTGCTAATGAACATCTGATCACCACTTCCCCCCAAATTTAAGGATTTCTGAATAGACTTTTCATTGAGAATGAGTGGCATGTGTGTTTAACGCTCCTCTCCCTATATTTGCTTTTCTTAGTATGTGTGGGAAAAGCCTTAATATTTTCAGAAGTTAGAATAAACTATTTTGTATGCTATGTCTAATGGATGAGTATCAGAGAGCAGAGCTTTCATATACTTGTACCAAATGCTTTCATTTTGTACTGGTTTTTCTGGTTTATTCTTGTGCCTCCTTTTAGAGGCCTACCTCACACTAAGTTTTCCCAGTGTCACGCTTACTAAGCTTGGCATACAGTTTATTCTGTCTCCATGGCACTTTTTATACAGTGTTGTTATTTATTACTGTAATTGTAATTATTTACATGTCTTTTGACTGCTGTTGAACAAGGTTGGTATTTCTAGTTTATAATAGGCTCTTATATTTATGGAATAAGTTTAAAAGTACAGTCTGTATGTAAAGAGACCTTTCAATGCTGTTACGTTCATTTATCATACTAATATTTCCAGTGGATCCATTGATTTGCAGAAAGTGTTTGGTTGGGATTTAGCCTGTCGTGTGAGAAAAGGAAGTGTTGTGTGACATTTTAGTGCCATCTATTGGATACTTGGTAAAATGACTTTTAAAGCTTCTTTTACTTTTTGAAATAAGGATCTTTTGAAAAAAGCTTCTGAAATTGTCTAAGAACTTAAACTCGTTTTATCATTGCTGGTATTGCTATGTAAACACATACCCCCCTCCCAAAGCAGTATTAATATTAAACAACACATAAAATATTAATAATTGGCTACAATTTAACTTACATTTCTAAAGAAAATTAGCCAAAGCATTCAGTGTACATGTTGTTAAACAAGAAGTTTTAAAATATTCATCTGTTAAAACTAATTTTAATTAGTGAGAAAACATTAGGTTTTAATGTGGGAAAGAATTTTAGTAGGAAGAAAAAGCATAATGACTAGACAGTATTTTTCAGTTAAGTACTATTTGAATACCCAAACACTTGTTGAATACCCAAACTGTTGGTGCTATTTTGTATATTTTGAATAATAAATTTTAATGACAGTATCACTATGGGGTGATTAATGAGGAAATAGCTTAGGTGTGTTGTGTGTGTAAGGTTTGAAGAGCCATGAACTAGAAGAGGAGCTAAGGTGAGTTATACCACTAATCTGAAATCCACGATAATACTGGGTTTCACGGACAGACAATTGAGAAACTAATACTGTTTGTTATACATGTGGAAAATGCTTAAACATTTTTAAAGTAGAGTTAGTTTTGTGTATTAGCTATAGATTTCTAATGGTTGTCTTTATAGGAATGAAACAAAAGATGTATAAGCTTATTGTTTCATACTTAGTAACGCTGTTGGTGTGCTTTGTACTTCCCCATTTAAAAGGATTCTTCATTTTGACATTGTACTTCACTCTGAGTAGATTTTCAAAAGCAAAAAAGTATTCTTCCTCAGAAACCCAGAGGAATTTCTAGTTGCTTCTGAATGTTTGGAATATCAGGCAAACATTTAATCTTTTATTCTGTGCCTTGTCTTTTGGTAGAACAGTTTTCTCACTTTTAGGTTTGGATTCGATTTTAGGTTTGAGACAAAAGATTGATTCTTGGACTCTCAAATTTATCTAAAAACATTTGTTCTCATATGAATAACATGCACTTTAAGCACTTTCAGAATTTTTTGCACATCTTATACTTTGAACATAAGAATAGTATTGACACAAAGAATATGAGAACCAAATGTAGTTTATCCAGTTAGAAAATAAACAACTATAATTTTGTAAAATACGTGTGGTACAATGGAAAGGACATGAGATTTGAAGTTAGAGAGACTGAGTTTGAGTCCTGGCATTTTAACTCACTAACTACTATACCTTGTGGTGGAAGAAAATTCTGTATCACACTGCCTATAAAAAATGAAGACCTTTGTGAATGTTAACTATTAATTTGAGGCTTTGTAATTCTTTTCATTAAAGAGAATAAATAGATTGGTATGGCAGACACTGAAGTCTGAAGATTTGTTTGTATTTGTTAGCTGCGTTTGTCGTACCTCGTGCTCATAACTTTGCTGTTCTGTTCAGCTTGTAATTCTTATGAATGCTAATAGCTACATGAGCTCAAAACTTAAAAATATTTATAAAATGATTTTAGTTCCAACTTATATCAGTTTTGTATTTACTGTGGTCAAGGAAAAATTGAGGTATAGTGAAATTATTTGGTAAAGTTAAATAAAAGTTGTGTATATTTTAAGTTGGATTAAACTTAGATTATATATGAAATTGCAATAATGGAGCAGAACCACATTTAAAATATTTGTAGTTTTGTTTGAACATTTTAAAGAAACCTTTGAGTGCAGAAGAATACTTGAGGAAAAATACATATATTAAATAACCCCCAACTTGATTATTATTTGTGTTACCTCTCTTGTAAACTTAAAAATCAAATTATCAGGATTTAGAATTTTCTATTATATAAAAATTTTTTCCTCAGTTTTGAAGCTTTCTGTTGATTTTGGGTGTTCTAAGTTGCTTTTTTTTTAAAAAAGAATTTCTGTTGGTAAATAGTAGGTTTACATATTTATGGGGTACATGAGATATTTTGATAGAGCCATACAATGCATTATAATCACATCAGGGTAAATGGGTTATCCATCACCTCAAGCGTTTCTTTATGCTTTGTGTTACAAACAGTACACTTATACTCTTAGTTATTTTAAAATGTACGATAAATTATTGTAGTCAACCTGTTGTGCTATCAAATACTAGATCTTATTCATTCTAACTATATTTTTGTACCCGTTAACCATTCCCCCCTCCCTCCCCCCCCACCTTTATTGCTTTTTAAAGGAAGGGAGAATGGTTTTTTTGTTAAATAGAAAGGTATGCTTATTTTATTGTCTTTTTTTAAATGACTCATCCATTTATTTCCCTATTATAGCATTTTCTTTTGTAGCTTAATACATGGGTGACTAGATACAGCTTTACCTAGCAAAAGAAATAATGTTCCTCGTTTTCTTGATTATCAGTGATCTCACACTGTAAAATTATATTTTTTTGCAGTATCCCTTTTACTATTCAGCGACTATGTGAATTGTTAACAGATCCAAGGAGAAACTATACAGGAACAGACAAATTTCTCAGAGGAGTAGAAAAGGTATTTATTTTATTATTGGAATTATATTATGCTGTGGTGTAATAGCTTTTATTTTAGAAAAGAACATTGAGTAAGATCTGTTTCGGGTACCACTTCTTGAAATATGTTTTTCAGCCTACCTTGAGTTTCCCAAATTGTTTTCCAAATTGCATTCTGTTTTACAGAGAGATTTAATAGGACCGGGTAGAGGAGGGTTTGTGTGTTGGTCATTGAAGTTTGGTGAAAGCAGCTTATTATTTCTTGGAAATTCATAGTGTATATCAACTTATTAAAGGTTCTGTGAAGTTATAATTGCTATTTTAACTTTATAGAGTGTTTTATAAACTTACACATGGAATTCATTTTCTCAATTCTGGAGTTCAAAGGTACATAACTTTGGAAACTTACTGGTGCCAAGCATGTAAATGAGGTATTGAGTAGAAAGATGCAGGTCAGATTTAGAGATAAACATTAGTGTTTGTGTGTGGAGGGGGTTGAGGGAGTGTTAGAATAAGGGAAGGGTATTCTGAATAAAGGAAATGGTGTGGGCTGGGTGTGGTGGCTCATGCCTGTAATTCCAGCACTTTGGGAGGCTGAGGTGGGTGGATCACGGTCAGGAGTTCGAGACCAGGCTGGCCAACATGGTGAAACCCTGTCTCTGCAAAAAATACAAAAACTAGCCGGGCGTGGTGGTGCACGCCTGTAATCCTAGCTACCCAGGAGGCTGAGGCAGGAGAATTGCTAGAACCTGGGAGACGGAGGTTGCAGAGAGCTGAGATGGCACCATTGCACTCCAGCCTGGGCAACAAAGTGAGACTCTGTCTCAGAAAAAAAAAAAAAAAAGGAAATGGTGTGAAGAACAAAGATTCAAGGTGTTTAAGGGAATGAAAAGTAAGAAATTGACTTGTCTTGAGTGAAAAATGAAGGAAGCCCTGTGAGAACCAAGATTGGACTAATGAGTTCTAATTTTCAGTTGATGGTTGGTCCGGAAACACTCCCCTGTTCATTTAAGGATCTGGTTCAAATCCACTTTATTTTACCCTGGGAACAGGAATCAAAAACCATTACATAGTGATTTACAGTAGTTTTTGTGGCCATACTGGATTAATATATTTTGTTGATCCTCTGTACACTCAATTGAATAATATCCCCAAAGGCCAGGAAACTGAGATGGCTCATCAGTACTTACTTTTCAGCTCCAGGAGTTGTAATAATTACATTTTGGAGATTTTCAGATAAAGTAGCAATATGTTACAGTAGTCATACCAGGTGCCCTGCCTTTAAATCAGGGTTGCAGTGTTTCATAGTTGTGTGACCTTGGGCCAGTTAGTTTTCTCCTCTGTAAAATGTGGTTAATAATAGGGCTGGGAGGGGGATTAAATGCAAAACACTTACTGTGACTCATACTAAACTTTCAGTGAACACTGAATATTAGTAAAGTTATTTTTACTGGGAAGATCATAAATATATTACAAAAAAGGTTTGAGTCTCTTTCTGTGGGATATATGATGCAACACAACAAGCCGTGGATTGGGTGTTGCTTTGTAAGGAAAATCAATTACATATGTCTTAAGTACTTCAATCTCTCAACATCTTTGTTGATTCCATCTGAGCTTAGTTACTCTACTACGTATAGTGTATGATGTTACGGGTCTAGAATAACTAGATTAGGGTAAAAAATAAGTATAGGAAAAAAAAAATTAGTGGCTGAGTAGGATATTCTCTTTTGGTCCTTTGTTATTGTTTTAGTTTTTGCTGTTTCACCAGTTTTCATTTTTAACCATTTTCCTTTACTAGCAAAATTAGAATCAATGGGAATTTAACCCACCAGAGTGATTTTAGAAACAAAAATGATGAAACTTTATGTTGTAGTACTTTTCTTCATACTAAATCACTGATTTTTGTTATTGCAGAATGTGATGGTTGTTAGCTGTGTTTATCCTTCTTCAGAGTAAGTATATTTTTTCTATTTCTAGTATATTATTTACTATATTTAATCATTTTATTGCTTCTAATATATTATTCTTAAAATAGACTGAATTTATTTAATATGTAATTAAGTGTGATAACATACTTGTGAACCTACCATTCAGTCCCCAAAGTAGAATATTACTAATAACATTATCTATATGTTTTTTCCATTAAAGAGATTTGGATTAAAGAGATTGGTGATTTACTGTAATTTTAATATTGTTGGATTTACATACTGTGGTGGCACTCATTGCCCTGAGATGCCATTCTAGATGCCTTTCCAGGGTGTCTCTAGGGCATAATTCCCATGTTTGGAATAACTACTTGATGGCTTTTCTCTTTATGATGGAAAATATTTCCAGTTGTCAAGATTTAGATATAGCAAAGTAAGAATTAAATTTGGATACAATTTCTCAACCTTGGAACTATGGACATTTTGTACCAGATAATTCTGTTGTGAGTGGGTGTCCTGGGGATTATAAGAGGTTTAGCACTGTCCTTGACCTCTACCCACTTATGCCAGTAGTGTTCCCCTCTCCAAATATCTTTAGACATTGCCAAATGTCTCTTGGAGATGTGAAAGGCAGGGAGGGGAGGTTGTCCCCTGCTGAGAACCATTGGTTTAAGGTTAATCTGGCTCTGCTTTCATAGACTACTCTGTTACCCAGGCTGGAGTGCGGTGATGAGTGATCATAGCTCACTGCAGCCTTAAACTCTAGTGATCCTCCCGCCTTGGCCTTCCAAAGTGCTGAGATTACAGATGTGAACCACCACACCCAGCCCAGTCAATTTGTTTTTAGAATGTTCCCAAGAATATAGTTATGTTGCTAAATAAGATACTAAAATAATCCCATACTATATTTCTTGACAGAAAAACTATTAAAATGTATACATGATAAAAATTTCTTTTATGAAGCAAAATATGTTTTGTTTTGCTCATGAACGTGAGGTATTTTGGAAAAATGGTAAAGAAGTGCAGAGTCAAGTCATAGCGACTAATAATGGGTTATTTTCTTAAATTGTATGCTTATGTTAATTCTCACAGTCTTTTTGTTTGGGTCTGTGACAGATCTTACAAAAGATCTTTTAGACCTATGATTCTTAACAAAATTAAAGAATTAAGTCGGAACCAATTTTCCACAATGTCTCATCTAAGAAAGGACTCACAGCCCAGCAGCCCAGGAGATGACGCAATGGACAGGAGTGGGCTCCCTGACCTTCAAGGAAGATTTGAGCTATCTGGGAAAAACAGACAGTATCCACTGGATGCATTGGAACCCCAACCCAGCATTGGGGATATTAAGGACATTAAAAAAGCAGCCAAGTCTATGCTAGACCCAGCACATAAATCTCATTTCCACCCTGTGACCCCAAGTTTAGTATTCTTGTGTTTCATATTTGATGGGTTACACCAGGCATTACTGAGTGTTGGTGTGAGCAAGAGGTCTAATACTGTGGTTGGGAATGAGAACGAGGAAAGGGGTACTCCTTATGCTAGCAGATTCAAAGATATGCCTAACTTTATTGCCCTTGAGAAGTCATCAGTTCTCCGCCACTGCTGTGACCTTTTGATAGGCATTGCGGCTGGATCAAGTGATAAGATTTGCACCAGCAGTCTCCAAGTTCAGAGACGATTCAAGGCAATGATGGCATCTATTGGAAGACTTTCACATGGTGAGAGTGCTGATCTGCTAATCAGCTGCAATGCAGAATCAGCCATAGGTTGGATCAGCTCAAGACCATGGGTTGGAGAATTAATGTTCACACTTCTATTTGGAGACTTTGAATCCCCTCTACACAAGCTACGCAAGTCAAGTTAGTTGCCAAGAAAGCACAGATGACAACCTATTAATGCTGTGAGAATGTTTCTAGATCAGTGCATGGATGGCTCCATTGCTCTACGGGCCATTGTGTCTGAGATCCCAGTCTTTGAGGAGAAAAAAAACAATGGTTAAAAAGGCATTGGGGAAATATTTTGAGTTTGGGGGTGTACTTTGCCACCCCATTATTGGGGAGCTGTCACCACGAATGTTCCCAAACTTAGCAACAGCGGCAAACTACTGGGCCAAGATGAGCAACCCCACATTTTTGGGATTTAAAGCTCCTGATGTTATACCAGGATCAACCATCACACTCCCTTTGCTTCAAATGGCATC
The DNA here is from genome assembly GCF_000001405.40 of Homo sapiens. Taxonomy (NCBI): domain Eukaryota; kingdom Metazoa; phylum Chordata; class Mammalia; order Primates; family Hominidae; genus Homo; species Homo sapiens. The sequence goes on from NC_000003.12 coordinate 73,063,237, forward strand.
TACCCCGTAAGATCTTGAGGGGGGAGTGTTGGGTGGAATCATAGATCCATGCACTCCTAACATGAACTAATTCTCATTATTTAAAAAAAAAAAAAAAAAAAAAAGTCCAGGTGTGGTGGCTTAACGCCTGTAATCCCAGCACTTTGGGAGGCCGAGGTGGGCCGATCACTTGAGGTCATGAGTTTGAGGCTAGCCTGGCCAACATGGCAAAACCCCGTCTCTACTAAAAATAAAAAAAATAGCTGCGCATGGCATCACACGTCTGTCATCCCAGCTACTTGGGAGGCTGAGGCATAAGAATTGCTTGAACCTGGGAAGTGGAGGTTGCAGTGAGCTGAGATTGCACCACTGCACTCCATTCCACCTTGGGTGACAGAGCCAGACTCCATCTAAAAAAAAATTAAGTCATCCACAAGTGTATTTTCTTTTCTTATAGGAAAAACAATTCCAATAGTTTAAATCGAATGAATGGTGTTATGTTTCCTGGAAATTCACCAAGCTATACTGAGAGGTGAGATTCTAGATTTTTAATACCTACAGAGTTTGCATTGTCCTGATTTTGAGTAGCAGGCTTAGTGTACTTTTTAAAAATTGGGCATTTTATGGACACCATAGGATGAACTACATAGAATTAGTTAATTTGGTAAGGCATGGGCCTGAAAACAAAGTTGCAGCAAATACTTCTGTGATGTATTCACATCAACATACCTTAAGAGGGATGACTTTTTATAAAAATAGGAAATGATGTTCATTTATCTTATTATAGGTCTAATATAAATGGGCCTGGGACACCCAGGCCACTTAATCGACCAAAGGTTTCTTTGTCAGCCCCCATGACAACAAATGGGTTGCCTGAGAGCACAGACAGCAAAGAGGCAAATTTGCAGCAAAATGAGGAGAAAAATCACAGGTTTGTATGTTTTATATTTAAAAACAGTGTTTTTATTAAAAGTTAAAGTTAACATTTAATCAGTACTTATCACTTACTATTTATAAGTTCTGAGGGACAGAACAAGGTTTTCATGCGGTTTATAGGAGCACTGGCTTCTCTTTGCAGCTGTAGCAAATGTTGAAGGTGGACATAGACAAGACTTAAAACTGCTAATTTGTGGAGACTGTTTATGTAGGGTCTAAAAGTAACGTAGATATGATGATCCATTTCATTTGTTGTTTCTGAAAGTTACTTGAAAAGAAATGATCTTTATAAATAAGTTGATTTTTGTGAGTCGTTTCTCATTGTAGTTCATAAAAGGACACCTTTTGTTTATATCTTCAAATTTTCTGTATCACATTAAGGGAAGGAAGACTAAATGAGGGAGAGGACTTAAGAGAGTATGTCCGTATGGAAGACTTGCGGGTTTATTGTAGGAGAATATTTAACTTACTGGAGAATTGCACAGAAAGGTCATATAGCTTTTCTGAGTCCTACTGGGAATTATTCATCAAACAGTTTAGTTTACCTTGAAATTATTCTCTTGTGTTTTTCTTTGTTCAGGTGTTATAATTTAACTTTGACACTGAAATACAATTTAAAACATTATTTAACCTTAAAAATGGGGATGTAGAAGATGGGGAAAATAATCTTATTAATGACACTTTAAAAAAACATTTACAGTGACTCTTCGACCTCTGAATCAGAAGTTTCCTCAGTGAGCCCTTTGAAAAATAAACATCCAGATGAAGATGCTGTGGAAGCTGAGGGGCATGAGGTAAAAAGACTCAGGTTTGACAAAGAAGGTGAAGTCAGAGAAACAGCCAGTCAAACGACTTCCAGCGAAATTTCTTCAGTTATGGTAGGAGAAACAGAAGCATCATCTTCATCTCAGGATAAAGACAAAGATAGCCGTTGTACCCGGCAGCACTGTACAGAAGAGGATGAAGAAGAGGATGAAGAGGAAGAAGAAGGTATTTAGAGACCATCTGTAAAAGGGTGGAGTAAGGAGATCCTCAAATTCTTGTACTTCATTTTTTTCGTGAAAGAATTTTACGTAATGGAACTCCTTATAATGCTGATGTTGGGCTTTTCTCCCACCTGTATGTAGTTGCTGCTGAATTTCAGGGGATGTGATTTGAACTATAGAATATCAGAATTCATGAAACTTAACTGTGGAGGTATTTTGAAAATACAATTTAACTACAACAACATTTGCTTATTTTTAGAGTCTTTTATGACATCAAGAGAAATGATCCCAGAAAGAAAAAATCAAGAAAAAGAATCTGATGATGCCTTAACTGTGAATGAAGAGACTTCTGAGGAAAATAATCAAATGGAGGAATCTGATGTGTCTCAAGCTGAGAAAGATTTGCTACATTCTGAAGGTAGTGAAAACGAAGGCCCTGTAAGTAGTAGTTCTTCTGACTGCCGTGAAACAGAAGAATTAGTAGGATCCAATTCCAGTAAAACTGGAGAGATTCTTTCAGAATCATCCATGGAAAATGATGACGAAGCCACAGAAGTCACCGATGAACCAATGGAACAAGACTAACTATTTAGAAACATTTAGATGCAGTATTTTACATACAGTTCTGGTTTTAACACTGTATAAAACTTTTGTGTAATAAAATGGACCTTTAGTTTTACAAGAGAAGCAGGTTGTAAAATAAAGTACTTTATGGATAATTCCTGAAAGAGTTGTACATGTAAGAACTGTGAATATCAGCTCCTCTGGGTCCTGCTTACCTTACCGCTGACTTTTCTTTCTTTCTTTTTTTGGTCTGGGCAAATCAGTGGTTTGTGTATAGATTTTTTTTTTTTTTTAATTTAGGATTGAAGTTTTTAAACTGGAAAGTAATTACAATTTTGAAAAGTTTTTTGAGATTATCACATTTAGTTTATACATATGCAAGAAGCTTTTTGTCTTGTCTCTTTCTGATAGCTCTAGCAGTTTTCATATTTTGGTCATAGTTTCAACATTTTAACATGTGAATTATAGGGTTTCATGCTGGTTTCCAGATTTTATTGTTTGGCTACGTACAATGGAACTTTAAGTCATATATACATACATATATATATATATATATATATAATTCTAAGGGGGGAAATGTTATATTTTTCTGTTTCTATAAGAGATGAATACAGTGGATACTTTTTCTATTGGTAATGATTGAGTTCACCTCTTTCAGAAGACATTTTCTTTCTCTTCTGAGTAATTGAAATAAAATCTGGCCCTTGTGAAACCCTGGAAATCTTAAGTCTGTTGAAATACCAGGTTAAACACATTCCAAGAGATCTGTTCAAACTCAAATTCTTTTGTATACTTCTGAGGTGCCTGAGAAAAAGACTTCATTATTTATGAGAAAATATGCTTTATCTTGGAAATTGTGTTCAAATGTTAGCTTACTATTTTGTAGAATGAATGTTTATGAAGCTGATATGAGACCATCTCAGAAGAACCAAGTAGGTTCCTTGACCTTTTGCTTGCTTTTCTGAACATTGTGAATATTACACATGTCTTTCTAAATTATTCTAGGGTATGCAAATGTCAATGGTATGAAACACCACTGTACTGGAAGAATTAATATATTACTTTAGTATGTACCTGAGCTAAATGACTGAAGCTTTAGGGGTGCATAGAAACCACCATAATTTGTATGACATTTTGAAGTGAATTAAATATTTTTGAACATGCTTCTTCGACAGCCAGTGTTATATTTTTCAGATCAACACAAAGCACAATGATTACTCGAAATTCAGTATTTTCAAATTTACATATTTAAAGTCATGCAAGCTGTAACTTCCCTGTCAAAATTACTGGCTGCCAAATTTATACCTGTTTCTTCAGCTGTACCTTTTGATATTTAAAGTTTTTAAATTTCTGTAAAGTAGATTTTGTAGAATGTAATGTGTTCACTGCCTTTGTGAAGCGGTATATAATTGTATAATTTCTGTGTGTAAACTGAATGCTTGGGCTTTCAATACAGTATTCATATAAAGCAATAAATATTAATGTTATGAAATATTTGACTACATTTTTATCAAAATATGAAAGAATCCCCCCTTTTTTAGTTTCAGATACCTGAACTACACAGATGAGCTTCTAAAACTGATGCAAACAGTTTCTGACACTGTATAATATGCTTTTGGGTGATTTGGGGGGCAACCACAAGTTTTGCGTTTTGACTACTTAAATCATCATGGCTATAAATACCAAAACGATTTGGATCCATTTATGTTTGTAGGATAATATACTACTGACTGACTTGACTGTCAGGTTCACAACAGCTAGATGATATATTTATGACTATGTCTAATAGTTGAAATAAAATCTGAATATTGATTTACTATACCCAAGAGGGGAGAAAAATTAACCATTGTAAATTTTTAAAAAATTTTTCAAAAATGTTAAAATGAGGCAAATTTAAGTTTACAAATTTTGAAATTTTCTTTTGAATATTTATGAAATTGTCAGTAAACTTACCTAAGATCCTGTGACCTTTTGATATTTTTTATTTTAATTGTAGTGCCATGGACCATTTGTAAACAAATTGATTTACTTTTGTTGGTTGTAAGTTGAAGATTTAGCATTATGACTTTGAGGTCTGTGGTTTTATTTGTAAACTTGCAATTGCTATATTTGCAAGGGCAAATGTATTTCTTTATTAAATAAAGTACAATAATGGTGAATGTACCAAAATGACATCACTTAACTCTATGAGAGATCTGCATTTTAATCTATAGTTTAATAGTTTTAATATTTATTAGATATTCATATGTTGATCATAGATCAAACTTGTTGCTGTTTATACAGATAATTGTAGAATGCTCATGGAATATCTTTAGGGTAGGTGGAATACTTCTGTAGTTAAATTGGGAAACCTTGTTCAGCTGGTTTTAGATATTGATGGCCATTTGGAAGTAAATTTCCGCAGGTATTCATAGGTGCACTTAACACAGACTTTGCTTAATGAAAATGTCAGTTCTAATAGTAACTGATTCACTTCTGAACAGAAGTGATTTTAGGCATATTTCTTAACATATATCAAGCAAAGTCCTGTTAAAAGATCTAAATGAAGAATGGAGACCTCAGTGATTAAAGATATTTTGTTTCTGACCTTGAGCAGATTGCTTACCTGTTCTCTAGACTATAACCCAACATGTAAAAAAAATTTGAAGATGGTGATGAGGAAAGTGAGATATATATATATATATGTATTATGTTTCTAGCACTTTTCCCTTTTAAAAAGTGAAAATATCCTTGTACATTTTTGAAAAATATATTTTCAGTTCTGAAAAATGTAGCAGAAGTAGTGAAAATGTCATATTTTAAATGTTGATTATTAGATAAATTTAACCTGCTTAGGGTTTATTGTAACTACACCTTTCAGACGTGTGTTTTGGAGTAGTGGAATTGCCAGCCAGGCCCTGTGGCTTGGAAAGGCATCCCAGAAATCCTCGGCCAGAAGGTGTGGCTTGTTAAAGCATTGAGATTCAGAGTATTTTGTTTTGCCGGTGTAGATAGGCATGTATTTATGCATTTTTGCATTTGTAAAATCAACTTTTCAAATAATGTAAATGTAATATACTAGTTTACTTAAAGGTACTTGGGCAGAATCTAAAGCTGCTACAATGTTTGATTATGAAAAAAATGTAACATGGTAAGGATGAAAATGCAACTTACAAAACCAAAGGAATTAAAAATTTTCGGTAGTGTTTCAAATTGTCTTCTGAACAGGAATTTAACATTGGTTTTGATGAAGGTGAGGGTCAGTTCTCAAGATTTGTGCTAATCATAAAATGAATGAATGCAAAACACCTTGTAATTTCATATGGAATTATAAAAATTAGGTTTGCTGGGTTTTGGCCTAATAAGAGTGCTAGTATGTATTGGTTAGACTACATCTTACTATTTCACATTTTAAAAATCAGTACACTCTTCAGGATTTTCTTTTATTTCAACTTGGAGCCTAGATTACTTTGCCAAATGTATTATTTTCATAATGCAATAAAATATAAATTAGAATATTTCTATGTGTGTAATTATTTTATGTGCCATAATGGTTTATTTGCCCTGCTGCCACTCCGACTCCCCCCCAACCCCCCCAACCCCCCCCGACCCTGCGCCACCACCCACCTCAAATCCTTAACTGAGGAAACTCAATGTGTGACTTTGTTACAGCCCTGTTTCTTACATGGTGACAAAGTGTTCCAGCAGGACTTGACAGTTGTGGTTCTTTGCCAGGCAAGTCATGCTGATTGTCAACAAAATCCAGATTTAAATAAGTCTCCACTGGTATAATTTGGCACTAGCTTACATGTATATATTTACAATATTTGTGTTAATCATTTTAAAGGCTGGGCGCAGTGGCTCACGCCTGTAATCCCAGCACTTGAGGCCAAGGCAGGTAGATCTCTTGAGGCCAGAAGTTCGAGACCAGCCTGGCCAACATGATGAAACCCCGTCTCTACTAAAAATAACAAAAATTAGCCAGGTGTGGTGGTGGGCACCTGTAATCCCGGCTACTCAGGAGGCTGAGGCAGGAGAATTGCTTGAACCTGGGAGGCAGAGGTTGCAGTGAGCCGAGATCACACCACTGCACTCCAGCCTGGGCGACAGATCGAGAGTCCGTCTTTAAAAATAAAAAAAATCATTTTTGAAATCCCACCTTCAGGCAACTACATGGTAAGAAGTGTAGAATTACCTGAAGTGGAGAGGAGGGTTCTGTTTTCAACTGTGGGTCTCCTTTCCTATGCTTCTTTTTGTTTTTGTTTTTGGGACGGAATCTTCCTCCGTTGCCCAGGCTGGAGTGCAGTGGTATGATCTCGGTCTCGGCTCACTGGAACCTCTGCCTCCCGGGTTCAAACAATTCTCCTGCCTCAGCCTCCTGAGTAGCTAGGACTACAGGCATGCACCACCATGCCCGTCTCATTTTTGTATATATATGTTTTTCGTAGAGATGGGGTTTCACAGTGTTGGCCAGGGTGGTCTTGAACTCCTGACATCAGGTGATCTGCCCGCCTCAGCCTCCCACAGTGCTGGGATTACAGACATGAGCCACCATGACTGGCCCTCTAGGCATATTATCGCACAGTAGCTACAGTAGAGGGTAAGATCTGTGGCTCTGAACTAAGGAGAGTACTAGTCGGTGTGTTTCTAACCTTAAGAATGTCTTAGTTTTCAGCTTCTCATATTTGATCTCTTACCCCCACTTAATTTTGTTTACTAAATAGTATAACTAGTACGTAGTTCAGGGCTAATGATGGGAAGACTGATTTTTCCACTGGCTAGGAATAAACTGCGTGAACTCTTCCCTATTTAAAATGAAGAGTATGCAATTCCCTTTTATTCTTCAGAACGTTTTAAGTTTAAACTTTAGCAGTAGTTTGTCATCTTTAGGTTTTGTTTGTACATTTTCAGAGTTTTTCTTCCCATAACTAAAAGTAATGAATATTCCAAAATGCCAGCAATTCCCTGTATACTAGTCTGCCATCTCCACTGTTTTACTCATCTTTGTAACCTCACAGGCTAGCCCCATGCTTGACAAGTGATAACAAAATTGAAAGCAAGTGGTAGGTCCACAGCCCACTTTAGATTCCTATGTTTTACCGATTCTGTGTCTACTTTGCCCACTTCAAGTGTGCTAAGGTCACCCCTGCAACTTTGCTACTAGGTTTGTGGGATTGGGAGCAGTACATTCTGTTGAATGCCCTTGCCAGGAAATCAGTGGGCAGTTGGATGGTATCACCAGAAAGTGAGCATCTTAACAAAGGAAATTTCCGTGAATGAGACCAGCTACCCCCTGCCTATAGAAAGCACAATAGCACACCCGCCTCTTACAGGGGATAGGTGCTGCTACAGGAGGATATATCATTAAATTACCCAAGTCCTGCTTTAGACATGGTATAATGGGACTTGATATTCAGTAATACTTGCAGCAAGAAATTTTTGCAGTTGAGTAGGCTTGTGAGACTTTTGATGCTGCCTATAATCGCTGAGAATTTGAAAGATAAATATGGGTTCAGTATTCTGTCTTCATTTTGGATGATAACTGTTTTTCTTTGCATTTCATGCAATGCTACAGAGTGGAAGGGTAAGCTTAGTTGGTGACTAACAATTCCCATGTGTATTTAAGAATGCATGCAGTTTCCCACTTTCAACCTGAAAACGTTACTTGATTGGAATTCAGAATACAGTTTCTCATGTAAATTATTTAAAATGTGGCTAACTTTGAGGCTATTATACAAGAAGCTGTTTAGGCCTTAATGTTGAGTGTATTACTGTGGTTAAATGTAGCAATTGTAACATTTCTATTGAAATATGTGGGTCAGTTTCCACTGTGGGTTTGTCGAAAATGCCTCTCCCACAGCTTTGGCAGTGCAAGTAAAGACTGAAGGTGGAAGTGTGTTAAGATCCAGCAGCTCGCCAAATATGTCAGTTATTTTAAAGTCAGGGATTTAGCATAAACTAAATATATCTCAATATTGGGTGATTCAAACTGCAATAGAATTTGCAGTGTCTTGGGATCATTATGATGGTGGTGTTTTGAATATTAGAAGTGTATCCAGATATAGGAGGTAGGGAATATTTTCCAGTATATTTCATAAGTTCCCTCTAAAAAACAACAGCACAGAAAGATTTCCAGGTGTTTTGAGTATTCATTTGGAATTTCATGAAATGATGACTATCAGATTTCACTTATCCCAACAAAGGGAGTTAAGAAGAGGTAGACAAAACATACAGATGGAGAAAAGCATGTCTGTTGTTAGGTAGCAACTTTCATGAATTGTGTATTTGGGGGGCTAAAAAGAGTAGATTTAGTCCAATTTCATATTTGAGGAATTCAATCACCCTGAAGAAAATAAGCAATGCAAGATTTTAACAAATTGGTGTGTGACTTGCATAGGTGCACAGGAGAACCATATTGGTGCAGCTGTGGCAGTCTGGGAAGGCTTCTCAGTTGAGGCAGGTTCTGCTTGGCCTTAGGTGAGCAGGACCATCAGGTAGCATGGTGTAATGGGCAGAGGAGAGTGGCATGGGAGTTGCACGATATGGGTTAAGTCACAACTTCACCATTCCCAGCTGAGGCATTTTGTGTAAGTTACAATATTTCTTTGAGCCTAGTTTTCTCATCTGGAAAATGGGTATAGTTATATCTACCTGGTAGGATTGTTGGAAACATTAAGTGACTATGGGTATAAACTACATCTGGTCCAGCACCTGATGTTTCTTTTAAGGGAGAAAGGAGAAACATGAAGGGAAGAGGGGAAGATACTGGTTGTCCCTGGGGAAGACAACAGTTTTTTTGGAATCAAAGTTGAGATTTCAATCCTGGTCAATGCTAGGATAATAATAAGCACTAATTGAACACTTACTTTATGCATGACATTATCCTTAGCACATATCACGTATTACCTAATTTAACCATACTATCAACCCTGTGAGGTGCTTAATCTTATGCCCATTTTATGGATGAGATAAGGTGAAGAAAGGCAACTTGCCCAGGGACCCTTTAAAAGTGGAGGGTCAGAATGAGAATCAGTGGCTCTGCCTCCAAAGCCCAGTGGTTGTTATCCATTATGCTTAGGTGCTGGCTAGTCTTGGAGGACTTGTAGAATTAGGGGGAGGGTGACCCTGAGGAGGTGAACCGCAGAGAGGAAGCCATGCCTGGTGGCTGAAGATTCTCAGAGCCACTTCCAGTTAGTTGCCCACATTCAGAACATCAAAAAGCTTCCTCATCATTCACAACAAACCCAAGCTCTTGGTTTCACATTCCATGTATTTCACCATCTGTTTTCACCTGATCCTTCTAAATGGATCACCCATGATTTTCCAGCTAGACATTTTGAATGCATTATCTATTTTAAAAATAAAATTTAAAAATTATTTAAAAATAGGTAATGTTTACACCTGACAAAAATTCAAATAGAACAAAATAGTATATACTATTTCCATCCACCTACCCTTGCTTCCAGATCCCTTGGTTACACCCCTCTCCCCCATGCCCCAGGCCAGTCTTAACAGTGGGGCAGAATGCTCCAGGACTAGGAGCCAGATTCCCTGGGTTTTCATCCCAGCTCTGCCATTTTCTGGCTGTGTGATCTCTGTGCATCTGTAGAAAAGGGGGATGAGGCCCTTACCTCACAGGGCTGTTAAGAGGATTAACCGTTAGAAAAGGATCAATCGTTAACTACTAGAAAAAAACATACTTATGCACTTTCAATTACTAACTGGTAGATAGTAAGCCCTACCTACAAATGAGTTCAAAAAAACAGCATTTTGCAGGCCGGAAGTGGTGGCTAATGCCTGTAATCACATCACTTTGAGAGGCCAAAGTGGGTGGATCATTTGAGGTCAGGAGTTCAAGACCAGCCTGGCCAACATGGTGAAACCTTATCTCTACTAAAAATACAAAAACATGAGCTAGGAATGGTGGTGTGTGCCTGTAATCCCAGCTGCTCATGAGGCTGAGGCACAAAGAATCACTTGAACCCAGGAGGTGGAGGTTGCAGTGAGCTGAGATCACGCCACTGTACTTCAGTCTGGGTGACAGAGTGAGACCCTGTCTCAAAAGAAAAAAAAGCATTTTGCAGAAATGTCCTGTATCCTTCAGCCTGGGTGACAGCAAGACTCCGTCTCACCATAAAAAAAAAAAAAAGAAAAAAGAAAAGAAATGTGCTGTACCTTTCTAGAGATAACTGCATACTCTGGCAAGCACAAGGTGGCCATCACTACCTCTCCCCTACTCCTCTTTTCTTTCTTGTTTTTTTTTTTTTTTTTTTTTTTTTTTTTTTTGAGATGGAGTTTCGTTCTTGTTGCCCAGGCCGGAGTGCATGATCTCGGCTCACTGCAACCTCCGCCTCCGGGGTCCAAGCGATTCTCCTGCCTCAGCCTCCCGAGTACCTGTGACTACAGGCGCCCACCACCACACCCGGCTAATTTTTGTCTTTTTAGTAGAGACAGGTTTCACCATGTTGGTCAGGCTGGTCTCGAACTCCTGATCTCAGGTGATCCACCAGCCTTGGCCTCCCAAAGTGCTGGGATTACAGGTGTAAGCCAATGTGCCCAGCCTATCCCACTCCCCTTTTCATAGTGAGTTCACACTGAACCCATTGAGATGGATGCACCTGGTCTTTTTTTTCCTTCCCCATTTACTGGAGTTTTGTGATATTCCAAATCAGTACCTAGAAAGTGCTCTAGTCACCTTAGCAGCTTCATAGTCTTTCAGTATATAGATGAACCATAATTAATTTAACCAGTCCCCTACTAAGTGATCTCATAGTATTTTGACTTGTGACTATTACTGGCTCGGTTCAAGCAGTTTGAGATGGAGACATTTAAAATCAGCGCCCTCTGGAAAGAAAAAAACAAGTCATTAAACTTTTAAGTGTTCTTTGTCGAATTATTAGGTAATGTGAAATAGACATCCTTGCACCTAGGGATGTGGTTGGAGGTGAGAATGGAACCTTATCTGGCAGGCAAACCACATGCTATATTCCCAGTCATCTAAGATGGTAACATACACCATTATTTTATGTAAAGTAAGGAAATAAGCCACCCACTGAAACAGGACACGTGCCTGCACAATGCATGGACTGGTCACAACAGCCTCTCCTGGCTTGACATTTTCATTTCTTCAGAGGAATTTTGTGGGTATTTTCCTCTCTTAAGCTCTGCAGAGCTCTTAGTTTTGGCTTGGCAAGAAAATGTGGAATTTCAGTCATCCCCACAATGACAAATACATGCTCTTCTAATGTCAAAGTTACTCCTTCCTGCTCTGTTTCCTTGACTTTTGGAAGGACATGCTAACTTTTTGTCTCACTGTGGAGTCAGTATAGTCCTCCTAAAGACATTTCCAGTGGTGATTAATTTCAGTATGTGTGCTACGCCAGCAACGCACATAACTTCGATTGGATCAACCGCGATGACCAACTTTGCATACGTTCTTGCAACAGCAGCAGCCACAGGGATTTATGCATCGAGATTTCTGAGACAACAAAACCAGCGTTCTGGAGTCAAACATCTCAGAAAGAGCCATCAATCAATCCAGGCAGCGATCTGCTCATTTGTTCATCCACAGATGTTTATTAAGGGATTTCTTATGAGTATGGCCCTGGGGTAGTTAATGAAGACAGACAAACAAGATAAGTAAAAATATATGTAAGATGGTGATAAGTTCAATGATCCTAAATAAAGCAAGAAAGAAAGAAGGGTTGTGGGAGGAGGTAGTTCTATTTCAAACATGGTGTCTCTGAAATGACATTTTATGTTGAGTGCAGTGGTTGTCCCCCACAGAGGGGCTCGGTTCCCTTGAAGACAGCAACTGCCATCTCTGAGAACGCACTTGCATCTCGAATAGGGTCTCTAATTCTTCCATCTCTCTTTCTCATACACATGCACTTTCAATTACTAATTAGATTTGGTTTCTTAATCATGTAACTGAATTATTTTCCATTGCACCAAAGCAGATATTCAGAGATATATTTTTAATATGTAGAAGTATACATATTTATGAGCATACTGTCACATTCTCTCTTTTTTTTTTTTGGAGACAGAGTCTTGCTCTGTTGCCTAGGCTGGAGTGCAGTGGCGCGGTCTCTGCTTACTGCACCCTCCGCCTCCTGGGCTCAAGCAATTCTTCTGCCTCAGCCTCCTGAGTAGCTGGGATTACAGGCACCCACCACCACGCCCGGCTAATTTTTTTTTGTATTTTTAGTAGAGATGGGGTTTCACCATGTTGGCCAGGCTGGTTTCAAACTCCTGACCTCAAATGATCCGCCCATCTTGGCCTCCCAACATGCTGGGATTATAGGTATGAGCCACTGCACCTGGCCTACTGTCACATTCTCTGTCTGCATCCACTCCTTGACACCCAGGTATTCATGAGTGCCTGGGGCATTGCTCAATTAAAGTTTGTTAAATAAGTGAACTCATTAAAAGAAAATTAGACAATTTTAAATGGTTAAAATGTCAAAATGACACAAAATTCTCCTTCCCACTCTTGTCCTTATCCCCCTTGCTCCCAATCTATAGGTAACCATTTTTATTAGTTTCTTGCTTTTAGTATTTCCTGATGCAAATACAAGCAAATTAAAATATATAGTGGCTGGGTGCTGTGGCTTATGCCTATAATTCCAGCACTTTGGGAGGCCAAGGCAGGAGGATTGCTTGAGCCCAGGAGATTGAGGTTGCAGTGAGCCATGATTGTGCCATTGGGTGGCTGGGCAAGACCCTGTCTCAAAAAAAAGAATTAAAACCTATTATCTTAGAGCTGAGTTTGGCGGCTCATACCTGTAATCCTAGCACTTTGGGAGGCTGGGGCAGGAGTATCACTTGAGGGCCAACCTGAGCAATATAGCAAGACTCCCATCTCTACCAAAAATAAAAATTAGCTGGGTATGTTGGCATGCACCTGTAGTCCCAGCTACTTGGGAAGCTGAGGTGGGAGGATCACTGGAGCTCAGGAGTTGGAAGCTGTGATGTGCGACAATCTTGCCTGTGAATAGCCACTGCACTCCAGCCTGGGTGACACAGCAAAAACCCTGGTCTCAAAAACACCCAAAACAGTAAAAAGAAAATGTCTAGTCTCTATCTATCTATCTATCTCTATCTATCATCTATCTATATCATCTATATCTCTATCATCTATCTATATCTCTGTCATCTATCTATATCTCTATCTATCTCTATCATCTATTTCTCTGTCTATATCTCTATTATCTATATCTCTAGCATCTGTCTATATCTCTATCATCTATCTATGTCTCTATCTATCTATCTGTAGTCTTATTTCTCTTCCTTACACAAAAGTAGCATACACCTTGCTTTTTACACATTTTTTTTTTTTTTTTTGAGACATTGTCTCACTCTGTCACCCAGGCTGGAGTGCAGTGGCGCGATCTCAGCTCACTGCAACTTCTGCCTCCTGGGTTCAAGCAATTCTTGTGCCTCAGCCTCCCGAGTAGCTGGGATTACAGGTATGTACCACCATGCTCGGCTCATTTTTTTTTGTATTTTTAGTAGAGACAGGGGTTCACCATGTTGGCCAGGCCGGCCTCGAACTCCTGCCCTCAGGTGATCCACCCACCTCAGCCTCCCAAAGTGCTGGGATTACAGGCCTGAGACACCGTGCCTGGCCTTTTTTCACTTAATATATCCTGCTGCTCACACCATACTCCATGTAGAGATCACTCTTGTTCTTTCTTTCCTGTAGTCTCTAGAGTGGATGTACACTCCACTTGTTTCCAATCAGGATTCCCAGAAGTGGGTCCTGTCAAAGGTAACGGCTTCAGTAATTTGGGTAGTTCCTATCAAATTCCCCTTCCTCAGGCTTTATGTTCTGTTCTCCCACCAGCTGTGTATGGGGGTGCCTGTTTCTCATGGCCTCACCAACAGTGTAGGTCTTTCCCCAGGTTGAGGGGCTATTGGTATTTTTCTGTGACCTCTCAGTTCACATCCTTTGCCCATTTTCCAAATTGGGTTGTTGGTCTTTTTCTTTAGAATTTCTAGAACATTTCAGAATTTTCTTTAGAATTTATTTGATAGATTATGGAAATTAATCTTTGTGATGTTACAATCATGTTGTTTTTCCAGTTTGTCTTTTTCCTTTGATCTTTGCATAACAAAAAAATCATAAGCAAATTATTTTTATATATTTGAATTCATGAGTTTTTTCTTTTTAATGGTTCTGGATTTTAAATTAGTTTTAGAATGGCTTTCTCCATTTTATTTTATTTTATTTTATTTTGAGACAGGGTCTCACTCTGTCACCCAGCCTGGACAGGGACAATGTGTGATCACAGCTCATTGTAGCCTTGACTTAGGCGGGGCTCAAGTGATCCTCCCACCTCAGCCTCCTAAAGTGCTGGGATTACAGGCATTAGCCACTGTGCACCATCTGGCTCCTCCCATTTTAACTTATATGGTTTCATTTCTTATATTTAATGTTTGATTTTCTTGCAGTGCTTTTTATCCTGATGCGTACTATGAGGTTTGGATCTGTTTGTCTTTAGGGCCCAGTACCATTTATTAAAAACTTCATCTTTAGCACCCTGATTTGATATGCCACCTTCATCACACAGTAAGTCCTGGGTTCATTTGGATGTATTAATATTTCTGGATGTGTTCTGTCTGTCCATTCGTGTGCTGATACCACACTGGCTTAGTTGCTGATGTGTACAGTGTTTTACATTCTAGTACAGCTGCTTCCTTTTTGTTCTTCTTTTTCTGAATTTTCCAGACCTAATCTTGCTTATTTATCTTGTCATATCCACTTCAGAGTCAGCTGTGTGATTCCAGAAAAAAATGATCTCTTGCTACTTTAATTTGGATCATAATACTTTATTTATTTATTTATTTAAGACAGAGTCTCACTGTGTCACCCATACTGGAGTGCAGTGGTGCGATCTTGGCTCACTGCAACCTCCGCCTCCCAGGTTCCAGCAATTCTCCTGCCTCTGCCTCCCGAGTAGCTGGGATTACAGGCACCTGCCACCATGCCTGGCTAATTTTTTATATTTTTAGTAGAGATGGGATTTTGCCATGTTGGCTAGGCTGGTCTCAAACTCCTGAACTCAGGTGATCCACCTGCCTCGGCCTCCCGAAGTGCTGGGATTACATGCGTGAGCCACCATTTCCGGCCTCATAATACATTTTAAAATTAATTGTGGAAGAATTTGCATCTTCAGGATGTTGAATCTCTCTAACCAAAGACATGGTATACCTTTTTATTCAAGTTAACTTTTGTGACTTCAAAAATGTTTAAATTTCCTCATGGAGGTTTGCATATTTCTTGTTCAATTTGTTCCTGAGTGCTTTATCTATTTTATTTTCTAGTTCAGGGATCATCAGCAAACTACAGCCCGTGGGACCACTGCCTGTTTTCTTATGGCCTGTGAAGTAAGAATAGTTTTTATATTTTAATGATTGGAAAAAACACAAAGAAAAGTAGTATTTTGTGACTTGTGTAAAAATTACTTGAAATTCAAATGTCAGTATCCATAATGACGTTTTATTGGAATGCAGCCACTGCCATTTCTTTATGTATTGTCTGTGGCTCCTTTCTTGCTAGGACTGCAGTAGAGCTGTGACCATGTGGCCCACAGAGCCTGAAATATTTACTATTTGTGCCTTGATGGAAAAGTTTACTGGCCTCTGTTCTTTTTTTATTTTTTATTTATTTTTTATTTTTTGAGATG
Source organism: Homo sapiens (assembly GCF_000001405.40). Classification (NCBI taxonomy): domain Eukaryota; kingdom Metazoa; phylum Chordata; class Mammalia; order Primates; family Hominidae; genus Homo; species Homo sapiens. The sequence continues at coordinate 73,079,369 of NC_000003.12, forward strand.
GCGTCTCTGTCGCCCAGGCTGGAGTGCAGTGGTATGATCTCAGCTCACTGCAACCTCCCACTCCCGGACTCAAGCAATCCTCCCACCTCAGCCTCCCGAGTAGCTGGGACTACAGGAGTGCACCACCACTACTGGCTAATTTTTTATATTTTTAGTAGAGATGGGGTTTCGCCATGTTGCCCAGGCTGGTCTTGAATTCCTGGGCTCATGGGGTCTGCCCACCTCGGCCTTCCAAAGTGCTGGGATTACAAGTGTGAGCCACCGCACCCAGTGATCTCTAAGTAGTGGTTTTTGTTTGTTTGTTTGTTTTTGAGACGGAGTCTTGCTCTATCACCAGGCTGGAGTGTAGTGGCGCGATCTCGGCTCACTGCAACCTCCGACTCCCTGGTTTAAGCGATTCTCCTGCCTCAGCCTCTTGAGTAGCTGGGATTACAGGTATGCACCACCAGGCCCAGATAATTTTTGTATTTTTAGTAGAGATGGGATTTCACCATGTTGGCCAGGATGGTCTCCATCTCCTGACCTCGTGATCTGCCCACCTCGGCCTCCCAAAATGCTGGGATTACAGGTGTGAGCCACTGCGCCTGGCCAGTAGTGGTTATTTTCATGTGTATTTCCGTCCTCCAAATTTACAGTCACTCATAACTAGCTTGGTCCTACTTTTGAAAATTCAGAATGCAACTGAAGAGGTTGAGGGAAAATTAGCAGAAAAACAGTCTTGAAGGGCTGCTGCCAATAATTGAAATGCCTAGAATGTTCTCAATGGAGAAATGACCTTTCATACTCTTAATGACCGATTTCAAGTCTGCTCTTCCAAGGCAAAATTTGCGTTCTTCCTTTAAATGGGATGGTTTGTTTGTGAGAGGTACAAAATCTTCTTTGGGAAAAGGAGGGAAAGATTCAAACTCCCTAGCCACGTGACCTATTCACTGAAGAGAAATGACAGCACGACCCCTTGAAGCTACCATCCCACCACGGTTTGCGTCGGAGTGTGCATGAACCAGATGCCTTGAGTGGAGTCAGCGTTCCCATCCTGGGAGGGCCAGCTGTCTGCGCTTTCTGTCAAGACCTGCCCAACCTGCTGCTGCCTTTGTGAAAGCCTTCTGTGGCTGACAGCTGCTCCTCGTGTATTTATTCCTGAAGACATTTCCTCATGTATCCTACCTGAAGACATTTCCCCTCCCCTCCACCTTCTACTTCTCATTCCATTTATGACAACTCGTGTAAGTTTGTAATAAGACTTACTTCCATGGTCGTTTGTATGAAGAAATCCGAAAAACATTATTTTTCCAGTTTTTGTCTCCGAACGCCATAGGCCCTTCAGTGTTGTGGTTTACGCATCTTGCTGCGAATGCAGGGCCACCATCACTCAGCACCACTCCCAGGACTGACGTTTCACTGAAAATGTCTCAGAAACTAAGAGCAATGGGGGGAATTTTGCACAAAACGAAAGTGATGGTGCAGTGTGTGGGCAGATCATTATTCTGAGATTGTCTTTCCTCCTCTTTTGGCAGGTTTTGTGGGGTTTTTTTTTTTCTTTTTCATTTTGTTTTTTTTTGAGACAAGCTCCCTGTCATCCAGGATGGAATGCAGTGGTGCAATCTTGGCTCACTGCAACCTCCTCCTCCCAGGTTCAAGTGATCCTCCCACCTCAGCCTCCTGAGTAGCTGGGACCACAGGCACCCACCACCACGTCTGGCTAATTTTTTTTTTTGTATTTTTAGTAGAGATGGGGTTTTGCTATGTTGGCCAGGCTGGTCTTGAACTCCTGGCTTCAAGAGATCTGCCTGCCTCGGCCTACCCAAGTGTTGCGATTACAGGCATCTGTGCCCGGCCTTGGCAGTGTTCAAATACCCTTTCTTTTAGGAAATGATAGGGGTAATAGGTGAGAGTTGCTGGTAGTGTTTTAGTGTCTTTAACCGGCAAAGGAAAACACTGAAAACTCTTGGCTGGGTCCCTTGATAGACCAATGATTGATGTCCCAAAGCCATTATCTGTCACTCTCCACTTGCCTAGTTTTTTTTTTTTTTTTTTTTCTGACAGGGTCTCACTCTGTCGTCCAGGCGGGAGTGCAGTGGTGCCATCTTGACTCACTGCAATCTCCGCCTCCCGGGCTCAAATGATTCACCCACCCCAGCCTCCTGGTAGCTGGGATTACAGACATGCACCACCATGCCCAGCTAATTTTTGTATTTTTGATAAAGATGCGATTTTGTCATGTTGGCCAGGCTGGTCTCAAGTGATCCGCCTGCCTCAGCCTCCCAAAGTGCTGGAATTACAGGCGTGAGACACCGCGCCTGGCCATTGCCTACCTTTTCTATAAAGGGTGGAAAGGCGACCTGCTGGCCACCCAGCTTCCTAGGAATAGCCCTGTGATACAGCCCTGGCCGACAAGATGAAAGCAGAAGTCCGGAGTGATGTTTTCTTGCTGGGAGAAAGTTCTGCGCCCTTGGCCCCTTTACCTTTTCCCTTCTCTGACCTCTTCTTCCTACAAGGAACTCAGACTCAGGTCTTGAAGTGAACAGCTGCTTTCTATCTCTGAGGAGACTAGCCTGAGGATGAAAGCATGAAGCTTGGCAGAGCAAAACCCAGAAATGTGCTCGTTAATAAAATCCAGGATCCTTTTATAGTTCATAAGTGTGATGATTGGGTTTTCACGCTCGTATGTGAGATGTGCCTCCCTCAGACTTTGTTACGATGTTGGCACATTCCCCGTTTGATGTGAAAAAAGAAAAGTAAAATGAAGAAGGTATCCAAAATCAAACTGTATATAAAGTGATGAATTTGCCAAAAGGTCTTTTACACGTGTTGGACACAGACTCTTGTGGTCAGTACAAACCCAAAATTAGAATTTGTGGATGTGATTCTTCCAGTGAATGCTTGAGGTATCTGTTATCTTTTTAAAACTCCTGTATTATTTATGGAGAAAGACTTTTTGAAAGCAGGTAGTGGGTCTTGAGTTTCCCTCTTCCACCCTCTCCTTGACCAAACATGGCACTCCAAGCAGGCTTGGATGTTCTGTGCAACTCATGTCATTCAGTTGCTTTATGAAGTATTTTGAAGATGCTTTTATTTCAGCCATTGATCTGACATTGATGTCAACAAAGTCTAAAAGCAGGTCCTTGACAACATCTTGGTCCCTATGGTAGCAATGTCTGGGGCAAATGGCAATGATGGAGGTGTTATAATCATTTTCATAAATTTATTTGAGTTAAAAGCTATTGAAAGCTTTCCTGGTATCTCTTGAGGAACTTCAAAGGGGACCCAATTGGTAATCCTTAATAACACAGAGACATTTCTTTTAAAATTGACACCAGAGAGTGGCACTTCTCAAGTCGTACAGCTGGGGATGTGAAATAAAAGGTCATTAGTGGAGCCATTTTGGCATTTTATGCACCAGGTGATTTAGATTTAATTTCTTGGCCTGGCACAGTGGCTCATGCCTGTAATCCCAGCACTTTGGGAGGCCAAGGCAAGCGGATCACTTGAGGCCAGGAGTTCGAGACCAGCATGGCTAACATGGTGAAACCCTGTCTCTACTAAAAATACAAAAATTAGCCAGGTGTGGTGGTGGGCACCTGTAACCCCAGCTACTTGGGAGGGTGAGGCAGGAGAATCGCTTGAACCCAGGAGCCAGAGGCTGCAGTGAGCCGAGATGGCACCACTGCACTCCAGCCTGGGCGACAGAGTGAGACCCTGTCTCAAAAAAAAAAAAAAAAAAAAGAAAAAAAAAGATTTAATTTCCTAATCCTTACACTCCCAGAAGTAGGGACTGTTATTATCTCCATTGTAGAGATAAGCAAGATGGTGGCTCAGAGAGGGAAATTAATCTCTCTAATGACACACAGCCAGTTAACAGTTGAGTAGGATTCTCTGATGCCAAAGTCTCAGCCTCCCCTTTGCCTGAACCCTGTGTGAGGGCAATTTACAAAGTTTATGTGCAACTTATTTATTTAACTTTCTGTTTTTCATCCCCTTTTATGTGAAAAACTGTCAATAAGTGCATACTGAAAGACTTTTTCTTCTTCTTTTTTTTCTTTTTGAAATGGAGTCTCGTTCTGTCACCCAGGCTGGCATGCAATGGTGCCATCTCTGTTCACTGCAACCTCTGCCTCCCAGGTTCAAGCGATTCTCCTGCCTTAGCCTCCCAAGTAACTGGGATTACAGGCGCATGCCACCACGCCTGGTTAATTTTTTGTATTTTTAGTAGAGATGGTTTTCGCCATGTTGGCCAGCCTGGTCTCGAACTCCTGACCTCAGGTGATCCACCTGCCTCGGCCTCCCAAAGTGCTGAGATTACAGGTGTGAGCCACTGCACCCGGCCTTGAAAGCCTTTTTCTATTCTTGTCTCCCCACTTCTTCCAAATCCATTAGACCATCTCATTTGCAGTATTACTGAAGGTCAAGTGTTCTCTTTGAGGTTGTCATTGATAAAATTGATGGAAAGGCTGGGGGTGGTGGCTCACACCTGTAATCTCAGCACTTTGGAGGCCGAGGCGAGCGGGTCACTTGAGGCCAGGAGTTCCAGACCATCCTGGGCAACCTGGCGACACCCCGTCTCTACTAAAAATACAAAAATTAGCTGGACATGGTGGCACATGCCTGTAGTCCCTTGGGATGCTGAGGCAGGAGAATCGCTTGAACCTGGGAGGTGGAAGTTGCAGTGAGCTGAGATCATGCCATTGCACTCCAGCCTGGGCAACAGAATGAGACTCTGTGTGAAAAAAAAAAAAAATTGACAGAGATGAATGACTTCTTTTTTCAAGGTCTGGCTTGCCCACACTCAAGTTCTCTGCCCTCTGCCTCACACCTGTGCATGTTGCTCTATCATGACTCCTACCTAAGTTTAATTTTGGCCTTACTCTGTTGCAAAATCATTGTTCCAGAAAAGCCACTGTTACAGAGCATGTCAGAGCCAAGATGTCTTTGGGTTTTCTGATTTCATTTCACATCAAGTGAAAAGGTCCTGTAATATAGCAAACAATACACTGCTTCAGGTGAATTGCAGATGACTTACACAGGCTTTGGTCAGATGAAATAGATTGAACCACTATGTGAGTCAGTGATTCTGTGGAAGAAACGTAATGTTGTAAGCCACAAGAGTGCAAGAAAATATTTGGTGAATAATGTTTCATTAGTTAAATTTGCCTATAATATAATGCTTTTCCACGATCTTGTGCATTTGTTCCACTGGAATACAGTATTGCCCAACTGTGGTAGGCATCAGATAATTCACTCACATTATTTAAGTAGATTCTATTTTTTTTTTTTTTTGAGATGGAGTCTCACTCTGTTGTGCCCAGGCTGGAGTACAGTGGCACTGTCTCAGATCACTGCAACCTCCGCCTCCCGGGTTCAAGGGATTCTCCTGCCTCAGCCTCCCGAGTAGCTGGGATTATAGGCGTGCACCACCACGCCCAGCTAATGTTGTATTTTTAGTAGAGATGGGGTTTCACCATTTTGGCCAGGCTTGTCTCGAACACCTGACCTCAAATGATCCACCCACCTCGGCCTCCCAAAGTGCTGGGATTACAGGCATGAGCTACCGTGCCCAGCCTAGATTCTAAATTTTTAATAGCAGGGAGCATATTTTCTATTTGCTTTGCTACCTTTGGTATGTTATATTGAATGGGTGGGTAAAATGTGGGTACTAAGTAAACGTCTTGTTTAGTAGAAGAATGAAATATTTTTAAACTTTGTTTTGAATTCAAGGGAAACTATGACAATAGATAGGCAAGGTAGATAGACTGCTAGATTCCATGAGGCAGTAAAGTGACATGGTTAGGAGTACAAACTGCAAGGCTTTGTCTATGCGACTGCCATTCAATAGAATTCTCCATGATGTTGGAAATGTTCTATATCTGTACTATGCAATAGAAGCCACAGGCGTCATTTCACTGTTGACCTCTTGAACCTGTGGCTAGTGCAACTGAAGAACTGAATTTGTAATTTTATTTATTTATTAATTTATTTGAGATGGAATTCCGATCTTGTTGCCCAGGCTGGAGTGCAATGGCACAATCTCGGCTCACTGCAGCCTCCACCTCCCAGGTTCAAGTGATCCTCCTGTCTCAGCCTCCCAAGTAGGTAGGATTACAGGCATGTGCCACCAAGCCCAGCTAATTTTTTGTATTTAGTACAGATGGGGTTTCACTATGTTGATCAGGCTGGTCTCGAACTCCTGACCTCAGGTGATCCACCCGCCTTGGCATCCCAAAGTGCTGCGATTACAGGTGTGAGCCACCCCGCTCGGCCTAATTTTATTTACTTTTAATTAAGTTAATTTAAAATTTAAATATGTGCACATGTGACTAGTGACTCCCATATGGGGCTGTGCTGAACATGGAGTGTAATAGCAGAACACAGACACTGTATACACAGCCAGGGTTTGCATCCCAATCCTGTCACTTTGCTAATTTTTTTTTTTTTTTACTTCAATAGAGGACATTTTCCTGAAGTCTGTCATTACAGGAGTTTCAGATTTCTTCCATTTTTGCTCATAGCTGTTGATCTATACACTTTTACTCAACCCTGATAAAAATAACTTAGAACAAAGTATATCTGAGTAAATGTGCTTTTATAGTTTCTACGAACTGGAAGACATTCACAGCTTATTATTAATTATTATTATTTGTTAATGTTGTACCAGTATTTGATTTTCTCAGCCTGCTCTCCAAAGGGTGTGTTACCACTGGGCGGTAGATCTTGGAATGAAGAAAGAGATTAAGAATAAAAGTCCCAGAGTTTTGCACTGTCCCCACCGTCAGGTCTCAATTTTCCACCCACTTTGCGTAGAGCAGAAGTGCGGCCTCATGGTGCCCTCCTGTGGCCATACGTTTAGTTGCAAGATGATGGTAGAGTTTTTCCTTTTTTAAAAAAAAGGAAAGAAAGAAAAAGAAGGAAAAAAGGTTCTGCATATGTTTTTAGTCAGCAACACGTTTTGAGATGTGACAGTTCTGTCAAAACAATATAATTCAACAAACTTCAAAGTAACCACAACAGAAGATATGTAGACACAATTTGGAGCGCTGTCTCAGAGCCTTACCGTGAAATGTGCCACAAACATTTTGAGGGACGAACAATGACATCTGCAAGGGAAGCAGGGTAAGTCACACTCAGGTGTGTGAGAATCAGAACAGAGACCCAGAAGAAAACCAGCTTAGAAATGGAGGCAGAGCATTAAAGAAAAGGCAAAAGAGAATTTCAATTTTCTGGTGCTGGAAGCTGTTAGCTGCACATGTTTGAAGAAGGCAAGTTCTGCAATGCCTTCACTTGTATTCATCTAGCAGGTGTGAACCAGACAGTGTCTCTGTCTTCAGGGAGCTTACATTTTAGAGGAAGGGGAGACAGAAAATCGTCACACAAGGAATTGAACAAACAAGATACTTTCAGAAAGCAAAATGCACCGTGGAGAAAATCAAACAATGTCCTGAGATGGCAATAGATAGAAATTAAGAGCCATGAGGAGGAAGGGGAGAGGGAGAGAGAAGCGAGAAGTTCTCATTGAAAGAAGTGGTTAAATTATGGCTACATTAAAAGAAATTATTTCTAAAATTTCTTTCTTTTTTTTTGAGACAGAATCGCTTTCTGTTGCCCAGGCTAGAGTGCAGTGGTGCATTCTCAGCACGCTGAAACCTCTGCCTCCTGGGTTCAAGTGATTCTCCTGCCTCAGCCTTCAGAGTAGCTGGGACTACAGGGCACGTGCAACAACATCTGGCTAATTTTTTTTTTTTTTTTTGTATTTTTAGTAGAGATGGGGTTTTGCCATGTTGGTCAGGCTGGTCTTCAACTCCTGACCTCAAATGACCCACCCGCCTCGGCCTTGCAAAGTGCTAGGATTACAGGCGTGAGTCGCTGCGCCCGGCATTTTTTTTCTCTTTTTTTTGGAAATTGAGGCAGAGTCTATGTTGTCCAGCTGGTCTTGAACTCCTGGGCTCAAGCAGTCTTCCTGCCTCAGTCTCTACCTGGGACTACAGACTCAGCCTCCCAAGTACCTGGGACTACAGACACACCCAGCTAATTTTAATTTTTATGTATACATAATGTTTGCACACACTTATGGTGTAAGTATGATATTTTGATCCATGCACACAATGTGTAATGATCAAATCGGGGTAATTAGCATATCAATCACCTTGAACATTTGTCATTTTTCTGTGTCGGGAACATTCCAAGTTTCTTCCAGCTATTTTGAGATATATAGTACATTATTGGCCAGGTGCAGTTGCTCATGCCTGTAATCCCAGGACTTTGGGAGGCCAAGATGGGAGAACTGCTTGAGCCCAGGAGTTTCAGACCAGCCTGGGCAACATAGTGAGACCCCATCTCTGTATTAAAACACACACACACACTCACAAAATATTATTTTTAACTATAGTAACCCTACTGTGCTATTGAACATTAGATCTTATTCCTTCTTCTTCTTTTTTTTTTTTTTTTTTGAGACAGAGTCTTACTCTGTCACCATATTGGCCAGGATGGTCTCGAACTCCTGACCTCGTGATCCGCCTGCCTTGGCCTCCCAAAGTGTTGGGATTACAGGCGTGAACCACCGCACCTGGCCAGATCTTATTCCTTCTAATTGTATTTTTGTGCCCAGTAGTCAATCTCTCTTCATCCCCTGATTTTCTTCTCAGACTGGTAACCATCATTCTACTCTCTACCTCCATGAAATCCACTTTTTCTTAGTTCCTGCATATGAGTGAGAACATGTGATATTTCTCTTTCTGTGCCCAGCTTACTTGACATAATGACCTCCAGTTCTATCCATGTTGCTGCAAAGGACAGGATTTCATTCTTTTTTATGGCTGAATAATATTCTACAGCATAAAATTCTGGATACATTTTGCAGATGGACCTGACAAGACTTGTTGACCGATTGAATATGGACTATGAAAGAAACATGAGCCAAGAAACATGAGCCAAGCAAGATTTTTGGCCAGAGTCACTGCCCTATATTGAGGTGGGGACGGGTCCACATGGGGCCACCTTTGGGAGCTGGGTCTTGAAAATATCGGAAATGCCTGCTGGACACATATCTGAGCTGTTGCATAGACAGGGGACATACAGGTAACTGACACAAGCAACCTCCTGTCTTTAGGCTTACCTGTTGGCCTGCTACAGGTGGGAGCTCTTCAGTTTAAGGGCGCTGGTGAAGAGGAGAAACAAAGGGAGGAACGTTCTAAACTTGTAAGCGCAAGATTGGGTCAGGGTTCAAGAGAAGACATGGAAACACGCAGAACAGGTGATCGCCGCTCAGAAGGCTGCTGAGAGAAGAGAGAGAAAGTGGATGTGTCAGTCTGGACTGAGACCCCGAGCAACCCCAGGGAAGGAGAAGGAGGCCGAGGGAAACCATATGAATCACTGGATTCAACTCAGAGAGATGCAGAAATCCCCAGAAATCATGGAGGGAATCGGAATGAGATGAGGTTACGTCTTCTTTCAGGTGGCATGGAGGAGTCAGGCTCGGAAGATAAATTTCCCCTCAAAAAATGCAAAGAAAAGAAAAAATTATTACGCACTTGATTGACAGCCCATATAATATATATATATATTTTTGTCTGAGACAGTGTCTCACTGTGTTGCACAGGCTGGAGTGCAGTGGTGCTATCTTGGCTCACCGCAGCCTCGACCTCCTGAGCTCAAGTGATCCTCCCACCTCAGCCTCCCCGGTAGCTGGGACCACAGGTGTGCACCACCACAGCCGGCGAATTTTTGCATTTGTAGTAGAGACGGGATTTTGCCATGTTGCCCATGCTGGTCTCGAACAGCTGGCCTTAAGTGATCCGCCTCCCTTGGCCTCCCAAAGTGTGATTATAGGCGTGAGCCACCATGCCTGGCCATGTATAATTATTAAAGTTTAAAAATTTGCAGGGCCTGGGAGTGAGTTCTTCTCTTGGCTCACCCTTGCTTGGCCCTGCTGAGGAACTCTTTGGTGTAGACTACACCCCACAGAGCTATTCTCCCAGTGGGGACACAACTGGGACATTTACCCACCAACACGGGTGAAGTGCTGCTTCTGAGGGGGGTTAATTCCCTGTGCTTCTGACCTGCCTTGTGGGTGGGCAGAGCAGACAGTGGCAGCCAAGGAAGCTCCCAGGTAAAGAAATGCAGGACGCCCAGGCGCGGTGGCTCACCCCTGTAATCCCAGCACTTTGGGAGGCCAAGGCAGGCGGATCACTTGAGGTCAGGAGTTCGAGACCAGCCTGGTCAACATGGTGAAACCCTGTCGCTAACTAAAAATACAAAAATTAGTCGGGCATGGTGGTGGGAGCCTGTAGTCCCAGCTACTCAGGAGGCTGAGGCTGGAGAATCTCTTGAACCCAGGAGGCAGAGGTTGTAGTGAGCCAAGATCGCGCCACTGCACTCCAGCCTGGGTGACAGAGCGAGAAAAAAAAAAGAAAGAAGAAAGAAAGAAAGAAAGAGAGAGAGAGAGAGAGAGAAAGAGAAAGAAAGAGGGAAAGCAAGCAAGAAAAAAGAAATGCAGGTTCTGGCCGTGGAGGGTGCATGTGCCCTGAGGTGGTGAGGACAGGGATGGGGTGGGGACACCGAGGGCATCCCATCCACTGATCCACTGGTGCCTTAAGTGCATCTTGGTCGCTGCTCCAGGGCTTCCTTCTCCACGGAAGCTCTAGGAATGGTTAATATTTCTCCTTTGGGTGAAGCCCCAAAGCCACCTTGTCCTACCTGGCCACGCTGCATCTGAGACCGGGATCCCCCTCCCGCAGCCCATCACCTATTTGATGGCAGGTTTCATTCCACTTTGCTCTTGCCCTCTAATCCCAAATTTTCTTTCCTCAGGATCTACGGCCCCAAGTTTTTCAACATTCCTCCCATCCTGGCACCAGACTGATGGCATACCAGTTCGCTGGTTAATATTCCTCTTAACACAGGTGCCCCGAGCTGGACACACCCCTAAGCTATAGTGAGATCACTGCAGAAATGAAGAGGCCATCACCACAGACCAGGAGCTGGCCGATTACAGCCCTGTGAGCTAAGAATGGGTTCACATTTTTTAAACAATTGGGGGGAAAATCAAGTGAAGAATGCTTCAAGACATGTGAAACTTACATGAAATTAAAGTTTCAGCATCTTCAATAAAGTTTTCTTGGCACGTGGCCACACCCATTCCTTTACTTACTGTCCATGGCTGCTTTTGAATTTCAAAGACATTGCTGAGGGTGGTGGGGATTGAGCTCTTACTAGCCTGAAAAGCTTAAATATTTACTCTCTGGTGCCTTGGGAAAATATTGGCCAAACCCAGACATGGAGTGATCCTGGATTTCTTTTGCCTGTTCAATTAAAAAAATTGACCTTAGCCGGGCGCGGTGGCTCACGCCTGTAATCCTAGCACTTTGGGAGGCTGAGGCGGGCGGATCACGAGGTCAGGAGATCGGGACCGTCCTGGCTAACACAGTGAAACCCCGTCTCTACTAAAAATACAAAAAATTAGCTGGGCGTGGTGGCGGGTGCCTGTAGTCTCAGCTACTCGGGAGGCTGAGGCAGGAGAATGGCGTGAACCCGGGAGGCGGAGCTTGCAGTGAACCGAGATTGCGCCACTGCACTCCAGCGTGGGCGACAGAGCGAGACTCCGTCTAAAAAAAAACCACAACTGAGCTTAATGTTTATATTGAAAGGCGAATGCAATCATATGATTCAAAATGTTAAAGACACCAAAAAGATTCCATCCCTTGCCCACCCAGTTCTCTTCTGTGAGGGTGTCCGGGGTTCCCAGCTCATACAGGTCCTTCCAGATACATTGTATGCAAATGTAATCAAATACCTGGACCTACGTCTTATCTCACTCTTGTTTACACAGTGGAAGCATCCAATAGAATTGTTCTGAGCTGTGTCTTTTTTTTTTTTTTTTTTTTTTGAGACAGAGTCTTGCTCTATCTCTCAGGCTGGAGTGCAGTGGCATGATCTCTGCTCACTGCAACCTCCACTTCCCGGGTTCAAGCGATTCTCCTGCCTCAGCCTCTCGAGTAGCTGGGATTACAGGCTTGTGCCACCATGCCCAGCTAATTTTTGTATTTTTAGTAGAGATGAGGTTTCACCAGGTTGGCCGGGATGGTCTCGAACTCCTGACCTCAAGTGATCCACCCGCCTTGGGCTCCCAAAGTGGTGGGATTACAGGCGTGAGCCACCAGGCCCGGGCCCTTTTTTTACCCCTTACGTCTAACAGTGTATTTTGAAGATGATTACACAACAGTTAATACGGACCCTCTTTATTCTTTCTTATAGCTGCAGTGTATTCCATTGTACCTGTTTAACTCCTAATAGTACAGATTTAATCTGTAATTAATTTATCCCTTCCAGATGAAATTTTAGGTTCTTGTCAATTTTTATTTTTATTTTTTGCTAATACAAAGAGTCTTTTAATCTTGTACATGTATCATTTCACAAGCGGACAAGTGTGTATGTAAGATGAGTTCCTAGAAATAGGAATCCTGGTTCAATGAGTATATGTTACTTGCTTTTTTTTTTTTAATTATTTTTTATTTTTTATTTTATTATTATTTTTTGAGACAGTGTTTTGCTTTTGTTGTCCAGGCTGGAGTGCAATGGCGCGATCTTGGCTCACCGCAACCCCCGCCTACTGGGTTCAAGCGATTCTCCTGCCTCAGCCTCCCAAGTAGCTGGGATTACAGGCATGTGCCACCATGCCCGGCTAATTTTGTATTTTTGTAGAGACGAGGTTTCTCCCTGTTGGTCAGGCTGGTCGCAAACTCCCGACCTCAGGTGATCCGCCTGCCTTGGCCTCCTAAAGTGTGGGGATTACAAGTGTGAGCCACTGCACCTGGCCTATTTTTTATTTTTAAATGCAGGGGCCATGCTAATCTTGCCTATATTGTTCCAATTTTAGTATATGTACTGCCGAAGCAAGCATGCTATCTGCTTTTTAAATTTATTTTTATTTATTTATTTTTGAGATGAGTTTCATTCTTGTCTCCCAGGTTGGAGTGCAACAGCGCGATCTCGGCTCACTGCAGACTCCATCTCCCAGGTTCAAGAGATTCTCTTGCCTCAGTCTCCCAAGTAGCCGGGATTGCAGGCGGCTGCCTCCACGCCCAACTAATTTTTGTATTTTTAGTAGAGATGGGATTTCACTATGTTGACCAGGCTGGTCTTGACCTCCTGATTTCAGTTGATCCGCCGGCCTTGGCCTCCCAAAGTACTGGGATTACAGGCATGAGCCACCGCACCCAGCCCTGCTTTTGAAGTAACCTAAACTGCTTCTTTCTCCCATTCCCCATTCCCTTCTCTCCCTTCCTCTTTTGTTCCTCCCTCCCTCCCTCCTTCCTGAAGTAGGAACTGAGAGCTCTTATGGGACATTTGGAGGGGGCATAAGGAGTGTGGAGAGTGTAAGATTTAGGTTCATGATTTCAATGATGATTGTAAGTCATGGCCAACTTCCATCTGCTTTTGGAGAAGACAAGCCTTGAACACAGAATTATAATTTAAAGGGCCTGCAGGATCCTGAAAGTTATGTTTCCAAAGGTTTATACCTGGGACAATATTCACCCTCACTGTCTTCAGAAAATAGACAAAACATAAGTACTTCATAGTTTTTTGGAGGAGCCATTCTGTAGGTGAACTGGAAACATACCAGGATATTATCATAAAATGAAAAACATAGAAGAAAACGTAGTTTTGAGACCAGGCGTGGTGGCTCACGATTGTAATCCCAGCACTTTGGGAGGCCAAGGAGGGAGGATTGCTTGAGGCCGGGAGTTCAAGACTAGCCTGAGCAACACGGCAAGAGGCCCCCATCTCTACAATTTTTGTTTTTAATTAGGTGGATATGGTGGTGCAAGCCTGTGTGTGGCACTAGCTATTCAGGAGGCCAAGGTGGGAGGATCATTTGGGTCCAGGAGGTGGAGGCTGCAGTGAGCCGTGATCATGACACTGCATTCCACCCTGGGTGATGGAGCTGGAGTCATCCGTCTCTCTCTCTTTCTCTCTCCTTTAAAAAGCTTATAAAAGCGAAATTTTCAGTGTGCCACAGAATTCTTCAGTGACGAACATAAAAGCAGGACTTGAATTAACTCCATTGTACAGTTTTCCTTGTTACTGAGGGGTACTTTCCCAATTCTACTCTAAAATATTAAAGGATGGGCTTAAAATTTTAAAAAATTAAAATAAAAATGCTCTTATACTCAGTTTTATATTTATGTAAAAATTCCTGGAATTCAGAAAATATTTGGCTTAATCAAAACTTTGCTAACTTTTTCTATGTCTTGTTGGTCAAGGAAATATATGTTTGTCTCCTCTGACAGAGTTCTACTCAGTTCCTGTTGTTTACATTTATGATAAATTTTCAATATGCTACAACATTTTTTTTTGTCCCATATTTTATGACATCAAGACTGGATGAGAAAGAACCCATAGCATAGGCTTACTTTTTTTTTTTTTTTTTTTTTTGAGACGGAGTCTCAACTGGGTTGGCCAGGCTGCAGTGCAGTGGCGTAATCTCGGTTCACTGCAACTTCCGCTTCCCAGGTTCAAGCAATTCTCCTGCCTCAGCCTCCCAAGTTTAAGCAATTCCACTGCCTCAGCCTCCCAAGTAGCTGGGATTAAGGCATGCTGGGCCACGCCCAGCTAATTTTTGTATTTTTAGTAGAGACGGGGTTTTGCCATGTTGGCCAGGCTGGTCTCGAAATCCTGGCCTCAAGTGATCCGCCCACCTCAGCCTCCCAAAGTGCTGGGATTACAGGTGTGAGCCACCATGCCCAGCCAGGCTTACATATTTGGATGTTTAGTCTATGACTGAATGGACCATGTGAATTTGTGCTTGTGTGGACCATTAATGGGATGTGTGCTGATGGTGGCCACACGTGTCGCTGTAGTCTCAGATACGACCCAATGAGGTGCACAGTGAATCTCTTAGAAGCCTTTGTTTTCCATCTGCTGGGGAATTTTGGTATTTCAATTAACAAGGACCCAGGGCAATCATTTTCTCTCTCCCGGTGAAATCCCATTCCCTGCTGCGACGCCCCTGCTGTTGGGGTGCACTCCCTGTCTTCCCCTCCTGGTCACCCCTCCTCTCCACTCAAGTGTGCCCTGCTTCCTCCCAGATGCCCATGAGTCATTTCCTGTGCTTCCTGCCACCACCATGCCTTTCTTTTCTTTTCTTTTTTTTTTTGAGACAGTGTCTTGTTCTGTCACCCAGATCTCGGCTCACTGCAACCTCCACTTGCCTGTGGGGATTCTCCTGCCTGAGCCCCTGAGTGGCTAGGATTACAGGCGCCCACCACCATGCATAGGTAATTTTTGTATTTTTAGTAGAAATGCGGTTTCGCCATGTTGGCCAGACTGGTTTTGAACTCTTGACCCCAAGTGATCCCCCCGCTTTGGCCTCCCAAAGTGCTGGGATTACAGGCATGCACCACCACGCCCGGCTAATTTTTGTATTTTTAGTAGAGACCCTCTACAGTAGAGCACACCCTCGGAAAAGCCACGCTGCACTCACTATCTCAGGACCAGCTTGGGTGTCCCTGAAGGGCAGAACAAAACCTTTCCAAAGGCAAAGCCTCACTATCAAACAGAGAAGAGGCCAGTGAATGACAAGAGCTGATTGAAGAGTTTCGGTGGAAAACACCTCACTGGTTTAGACCAAGTCCCTTCAGGGGACTGGACTGGGAGTAAGCAGAGGCCATGCTTCCTGCCTGGCTTGGCAGGAGTGAGGGGCTGCTGGACGCCCACGGGGTTGCTGGCTCTGGAGAGGGAACTGGTAGTGCTGGAGGGTGATCCAGGGGGAGCAGTCCCCACCTCCACCATTGCTCAACCACCCGCCTGCTTTCTGCTCAGCTTTCCCCAGAGGCCTGCTGGGGGCTTGCTGCGCAGCCGCAAACAAAAAGGCCTCTTTGTAGATCCTCCCCTAGGACGCTCCGGAGGAAACAGCTCCCCTCGAAGCGGTATTCAGCATTCACGGCTGTCACCCAGGAGTCCCTGCTGGGTGCTGGGCCCAGTGCCGGGAGCTACAAAGGTGAGGTGTGGACCGCAGGTACTATTTGTTTCCAGGAGGGGCTGAACGTTTCAGTCTTTGTCATGTTGAGTTGGATTTAATTGCACTGAACTGGATTATTGGAAGACCTACAGCGTGCCCGCCGCTATGCATGGGTCTGGCATTGAGCAAAAATGGTGTGCAAAACCACACTTATACTATATATAAGTTAGTTAGGATAAGTAGCTTATAAGTTGTCTATTAGTATATAAGTTACATATAGAATGGAAGTCGCCCATAGGGAGCTTACATTCTCCAGATGAAGGCAGTACACTGTCCATGTACTGTTTTTTTTTTGGACACAAAGTGTCACTCTGTCACCCAGGCCAGAGCCCGTGATCTTGGCTCATGGCAACCTCTGCCTCCTGGGTTCAACTGATTCTTGTGCCTCAGCCTCCCGGGTAGCTGGGATTACAGGCATGAGCCACCATGCCCAGCTAATTTTTTTTGTGTGTGTGTACTTTTTAGTAGAGATGGGGTTTTACCATGTTGGCCAGGCTGGTCTCAAACTCCCGGCCTCAAGTGATCCGCCCACCTCAGCCTCCCAAAGTGCTGGGATTACAGGTGTGAGCCACTGCACCCATCCCGTCCATATACTATGACGAGAGCATCAAAGCATAGGCGCCTGTGCCATTTAGCAGCTGTGCAAATTTGGTCAAATTACTCACTTCTCCAAACCTTGGTTTCCTGATCTCTAAAATGGGTAGAGCAATGGGCCTTCTGTTGAAATAATTAAATGCTACGAAGAATGACTAGCACCTGACAAAGCACCTGCTGCATAATAGGCCTCAATATATGTTAGTGTCAGTGGATCATGAGTTAAATAGGAATAATAAGAGTATATTTAGTGCAGCATAGATCTCGCACAACCCTAGACTTTGTAAAAGGCTTAAACTGGTGCCTGGGAGGTGAGCTTAGCTATTAGGGAAGTGGAGGCAGCAGTGATGTGGTGACTTAGTTCTATTTGAGCCCAGCTGAAACAGATGTCTTCTCAAGTTCTCTGTGTCCCAATCTGTGAAATGGGCATGATTGTAGTTTTGTCTCTTGGCCTGTAGTGAGGATGAAAATAGGCAACGTGTATGATTGGAACAGCTTGTCCTGCACCAAGGTCTGGTGACCTTTGTGACTCTGTCCTGGAAATTTGCTGTTGCCATTCATTTATGTTAAGCAGCTCAGCCTGATAAACCAACAAGCTCATGGCACACGTTGGAGCAGGGAAAACGTACTTTAAGGAAATCTTAGGGAGGCTGCCGGAGCTGGGGTCCCAGCCTGGCACTGACCTTCTAGGTCACTATGTGGGGGCCACTTGCACCCCTGGTTCTCTGTTTACCAGCTGCATAATGGGCCTCAAACTGGATCATTGGTTTACATCCAGGGTGGTCAATAGAGTCACGTGGGGAGCTTTTAATACGTGCCAGGCCCCAGCCTGCGGATTCTGAAGCTCTGGTTGGGGGTCCCAGGAATTTGTATTTCGAAAAAGGGTTCCCAGGATTCTGATGCCCACAACAGCCCAAGGTCTCTAGGGTCCTGTTAACTTTTCTATCCAGCAATTCAGGGAAGTCTTGAAAATGCTCCGTGCAGGGCCGGCCGGGGTGGCTCACGCCCGTAATCCCAGCACTTTGGGAGGCCAAGGTGTGTGGATCACAAGGTCAGGAGTTCAAGACCAGCCTGGCCAAGATGGTGAAACCTCGTCTCTACTAAAAACTACAAAAATTAGCCAGGTGCAGTGGCAGGTGCCTGTAATCCCAGCTACTCGGGAGGCTGAGGCAGGAGAATCGCTTGAACCCCGGCGGCAGAGATTGCGGTAAGCCAAGATCGCACCACTGCACTCCAGCCTGGGTGACAGAGTGAGACTCCATCTCAAAAAAAAAAAAAAAAAAAGAAAAGAAAATGCTCTGTGCTTGGACTCCAGTGACTTGGATCTCACGTGCTCACGTGGTTGGCGTATTCCTGTGCAGTAGGGAAGGGGAAGGGTAATTATTTCTGCTCTTCAGGTGGAGGAGAAGAGGAGAAAGGCGGGCTCATCTGGTCCTCCTGGGATACAAGTCCCACGACCTCTGGGCCGTCTCCAGGCTGAAAGTCTGAGAGAAGCTCTTTCAGCTGGGCAGGCAGCAGAGGGGAGCTTTGTGTCCTCCCAAGGTCCTGGAAAGTTGATTGATTCTTGCTTGTTAGTTCACCTTCTTTCTCTTAACTGCATTAGGCAGAAATAAAAACTAGCCTTATGCTTGGGAAACATAAAGTAAGAATGTCTCTTTCTGAGAACCCAAAAATACTAGTAGTAGATGAATAAGTTGTGGGAATTACTTTCTGAATATGAAACATTATGATTTTTGTTTTTGCATTTAGCCACTTTAAATTATTTTTAAAAATAAGTTTGAGTATAAATGAATTATATATATGTACACACACACACACACATAACATACACATATAGATTATCTGTCAATCAGTCATGTAATTTAGAGTCAGGGAGACCTAGGATTAAGTCTTCACTTTGCCACTAACTAGCTGAGTGCTCTTGGGCAAGTTACTTAACCTTTCTATGTCTTAGTTCTCATAAATTTAAAATTGAGACCAATAAAATCGATTTCAGAGGGGTGCTGGGGCAGACTGTATTTTCCAATGATGGCTGCAGTACTGTCTCCCCTCCCACATGTTCTTCATATAATGTGACCTTGACAGTCCTGCCATCAAGAGGTGGGGTTCATGTCCCCTCCCCTTGAATGTGGCCTTGGCTGTGGTATGGCAGAGTGATGCTGAGTGGCTTCTGAGGCTAGATCATTAAAAGGCCATGTGCTTTCTCCTGGGATGCTCACTCCTGGACCCCAGCTGCCATGTTGTGAGGAAGCCCAAGCCAACATGTGTCAAAAGACCTCAGGGAGTGACATCCCCACTGCAGTTCCCAGCTGACAGCCAGCATCAACATCACACCCGTGATGAAGACACCTGCAGGCGATCCTGGTCCCTAGCCCTCAGTTGCCCCAGCCTTGGCATTGCCAGGCTGAGGCCCCAGGTACTGTGGAACAGAGATGAGCTGTCCCTACTCTGCTGGACAAGAATTCCTGACCCATAGAATCTGTGAGCATGAGAAAATGGTGGGTTTTTTTGGCCAGGAAATTTGGGGTAATTTACTACATAGTGATAGTAACTGGAACGATTACTATGATAAGAGAGATAATGTATCTAATGTGCCTAATTGTCACACATTTGTCTACTATTAGTCACACAATGTCTACTATTATAGTGGGAGATTTTGCCGCAAACAAGTAGGCAAAAATGTAATAGGAATGTAGAAAGTTTCAATAACATCAGCAATAAGCTTGACTTACAGGGCATTTGTGGAATTCTGTACTCAACAGTTAGCAAAGACACATCCTTATTGATATTCAGGAAACAGTTGTAAAACTGGACCATTACCAAGCCATAAAACAAGACTCAATGAACCCCAAATTACTGATATCATAGTTCATTCTGTCACTCCACAAATTGTTCTTGAGGCTTGGTATGGTCCAGGCACCCAAGGAATAGCAATGAGCCAAAGAGATCAAGTTCTCTACCTCCTGTCATCTTCATTCTAGAGGGAGACAGAAGACAAGCATCAAAGTGGGTAAATACCTAATGTTAGGTGGCAATTACTATTACAGAGACAAAAACTAGAGCAGGGTAGAGAAAACAGGAAGTGCTGGGTCAGGCTGCAATTAGATATGAGGTGATTGGGAAGGCCTCTCAAAGGGTGACATGTGAGCAGAGATTGGAAGGAAGGGAAGGAGTGAGCCGCTCAGGCTTCTATTTTATTCCATGCAAATCCACCCTTGTTTTTCTCTTTATCTTCCATTCTGGTGGTGTTTTCCATTCTCTGAAGTTTGAAATATGTGTAGGTGAATCAGTAGTTCCCAAACCTGGCTGTGACTTAGACTTGCTTGGGGGTATTTGTTTTAAAAATACAGACACCTGGGCTCCACCGTCAGCTTTGGAGGGTGACCTCCTTGGAATCTACGTTTCAGCACGCTGGGTGGGCCTAATTCTGATGGGTAACCAAGTCCCAGAACTGTTGGTCCAATCTCCCTTTTCTGTTTTAATTTATTCCTTTGCTTGAAATGGAGTAAGTTACCCTAAGACCATAGGACAGCGGTTCTCAGCAGATGGTCCCTGGCCTAGGAGCATCAACGTCACCTGGGAAGCGACTGGAAAGAGCACACCTCAGATCCCACCACAGACCTATGCAATCAGAAACTAACAAGCCCTCCTGGTGATGCTGCTGCCTGCTGAAATTTAAGAACCACAGCGATGCACTGAGTATTTGGTTCTCTCTATTTAGTTCTTTAATTCAATTGGAGTTCCATTTGTGGTGTGCTCTAAGTCATTCACTTCTCCCAGTTGCTAGGAAACATTTACTGAATGTTTCTTCTCATTCCAGAGAGTTTGAAAGAATTTATTGAGCATGTATTGTAGGCTAGGCTGGCCTAGTTATAGGGGCTACAAAGACATGTCCATGCCTTACAAAGTTCAAAACCTAGGGCAAATAGGACTGATGTATGAGTGCTAAAATATGCCACGAGCCATGAGCTATGTTCCAGTGAAAGCTGACAACACAGCTCAAAGGGGAAATCAAGGTGGGAGGGAGGGAAAGGCTCCACGGAGGCACATCTGGGACCCACCTGGCAAGAGCTGGGTCCTCTTCTTACCAGACTCATGACACCCAGGTGTAGAAAGGACATCCCAGTCTCCCCTCCCTGTCAAACAACGTGGCTCCCTTGAAGTAGCAAGTGCTGACTATTTGGGGTGTGTCCTCTTGTTCATACAGATAACTTAGAAACCTTGCTGGCCACTTACAGGGTGTCTGACATGGAACTGTACAACTTTTCTGTGTGGTTTTTTCTCACTCAGTATACCTGGCCATCCCTCCAGGCCCGGCGTCGAGGCTTACACACCGTCTTTCCCATCCTGGGCCCATTCCGTGGTGTGGAATGCCGTCACCCTCTCAACTGTCCTCCCATGGACGGGCTTCAGCCTTGTGTCTGGGTTTTGGCCATTTATGGTGAACAAGGGGTAATCTCCATAGGGCAGGAGGGAGGGGGGTTGGAAAGAGCTGTTCAGAAGAGGACAAGAAGGAAAGTCGGGGACTTTTCAATTTAGCAGCAGAAAATCCACTTTTATCAAGAATGACGGGAAGACATTGTTTCTAGCAGGCAACGTCTACAACTAAACGTATGGTTGAAAGGAGTGAGCTTGATGGGGTCTTGCTAGTGATCTCATTTTGGGCCTCATTGGCCCACCCTCCCACCCCTGTATTCGAGTGACCGGGGACCCCCCTCTGCACCCCGGGGAAAGCGTCCGCCTGCTGCCCTCTGTCCCAGGCTTGGCGGCACCCCAGCCCCAGCTTTCTGCCTCAAGCCTCAACTTCCCTGAATTCTCAGCCCGGTGGATTTCCAGGGAAATCACCTCTGTGCAGTTTCATTAATTTGCGCCAAGGCCATCAAAGGGGGTTGTGTAAGAAATGTTGGCAGCCCATGGAGGCTCTGGGAGCTTCAGATCCGGCCTTCTTAGCAACAGGAAGCCCTTTCTTGCTCAGCATAAACAAGCCCAAACACTCCCCCACCGCCCATTCCCCTCAAGGTGCCAGTTTGCTTTGAAATCCACAGCAAAGGATTTCGAGGTGTGGCCTCATTTTGGCAAAAGCCTTAATTCTCATTATCTTAAGAGTCTGCACTCCCACCTCCCATGTATAACTTAATAAAAGTCACATGTGGCAGGGGATTATCTTTCATTCAGTGGAGTAAAAAAGGTCGTCGTGTGTCCCCATTGTCCCTGGTAAAGTAGCAGGCACTCAGGAGGGGGCTGATGTGGATACTGGAGTTGCAGTTTAGGCAATGTCCAGCAGAGGGAGCACGATGCTTTGAGAACAACCTGGCTCCTGGCTGTTCTGAAAGAGGAGTCTCTTTGCTACCAACCCCATGCATGTAGGAGTTGTCTTCTCTGCATGTGCAGCAGCTAATAAAAGAAATCCAAAGTTTTCTTGCTGGGAATTTGAGAATTCAAGGATAGATACATCCAACAATGGTTAAATTCTGTAAAAATTAATCCTGCTGGTCAGCTTGTGGGAGTGGCCCTAGTTGGCTGTAATCATTGGTATTTAAATCTGTAAGTGGACGGTGGAGAGAGGCTTGTTTCCTGCCTTAATGAGTAAGTCAGAACCTGCCTCGGAGGCCCTGTTAATTGTTAAAAACTGATCTTTGAGCAGGGTTGTAAAGAAGAAGAAGAACGGCTTTTTTTTTTTTTTTTTGAGATGGAGTCTCGCTCTGTCTCCCAGGCTGGAGTGCAAAGGAACCATCTTGGCTCACTGCAACCTCCGCCTCCTGGGTTCAAGTGATTCTTGTGTCTCAGCCTCCCAAGTAGCTGGGATTACAGGCACCCACCACCACACCTGTTGGATTTTTGGTCCCCAGAACCTGTTTGATAATTATCTTCAACTGTCTACAGCAGCCATAAAGAGACCTGTGGTGTACCTGTTCCGGGTAGAATTATGGATTTGGAAGCCTAGGGAAGAACTGAATGTGGCACTGGTTCATGAAAAGGCCAGATTTCCTCTGGAAAGACCTCTGTTCCCTGTTGTTCTGCACAAAACACTTCCTGCAGCTGGCACTGGGATTGGGGCATGACAGGCATCATCTTGCTTAATCTTCATGACCATCTAGTGAGGTGGGAGCTTTGATCATACTCATTTTAAAAATAAGGAGCTAGCTTAAAGTCGTTAAATATTTACCCAAGGTCATATAATGGCAGAGCTGGAATGTGAACCCAGGTCCATGTGACTCCATTCATTCATCCTTTCATTCATCAAACATATATTGTGGGCTCCTTGTCCCAGGTAGTGTGCTAGGCAATGGGGAATAAGAAATAAGAAAGACAAGATCCCAGTCCTCACAGAGTCTTCATCCTAGGAAGGGATGGTGGACTCAGAGCAGGTAAAGTAAAAACCAAGATGCTTTTGATGGGTGCTCTAAGGAGAATAAAGAGGGTGATTTGACAGACAGTGTGGGGGTGCTGCAGGGAAGAAGGACGGCTTTTTTTTTTTTTTTTTTTTGAGATAGAGTCTCGCTCTGTCTCCTAGGCTGGAGTGCAAAGGAGACATCTTGGCTCACTGCAACCTCCGCCTCCTGGGTTCAAGTGATTCTTGTGTCTCAGCCTCCCAAGTAACTGGGATTACAGGCACCCGCCACCACACCCGGTGAATTTTTGTATTTTTTAGTAGAGACGGGGTTTCACCATGTTGGCTAGGCTGGTCTCAAACTTGTGACCTCAGATGATCTGCCTGCCTCCGCTTCTCAAAGTGTTGGGATTACAGGCGTGAGCCACCATGCCTGGCCAGAAGGACTGCTTTAAATAGGATGTTTGGTGAAGGCGTCATGGAGATGGGACAGATGAATGAGACCTGAGGATGAGAAGTCTCCATCCATGGAAAGATGTGGAAATAGCAGTCCAGGTGGAGGGCCCAGCCCATGCAAAGGTCCCGAGGTGGGGCAGGCCGGGCAAGGCAGGATAAGAGATTGGAGGGCTGCTGAGGCTGGGGCATGGTGGATGAGGATGGGTGAGATGGGCTGGGCCTCATTGACTCTGTGCCCCTCTCCACTCTACCATGGGCTCCCCTGAAAAGTGTATGTGACAGAGTCCAGCTTCCTCGGACATATGTGCTGCTGTCACATGCAAGACGAGCCCATGGCTGGATTCCAGCTCATTTCACCTTTTTTTTTTTAAACATTTAATTCATCCTCGCTGGCCTCCCTCACTCCCAAAGGAAGACCCAGCTGCCAATTCCCTCTTTATTCTAATCTCTCTCCGGGTCCCTCCATCTGCTTTGGACCAGGGTAGAAACTGCCATCTTCACCCCTGCCAAATAAAGCCATACATCTTGTTTAGCCCCACTGGCACTCAGATGCTAAACCTTCAGATCAAGGGCAGGCCAGGCCTTGGGATGACCACATTGTTGAGGAAAAGGGAATTCAGCCACGCTGAGGTTGAAGAAAAACTGCAGTGGTGCATGTGTGAGGATGGCACTGTTGTGGTGTCCACAAAGGGAGGGAGAACAAGACAACCCCGATGTCCATAGATGGAGGCTGGAGAGCCAAAGTTTGATCCCTTAATGTCATGGAACAATAAGCAGCCATTAAAATAATGACACAGAGCCGCAAGCATTGACCTGAAGTGATGTCCACCATGTATGGCTAAGAGGAAAAAGCAGTCTGGAAAAAAGACTGTGTCGTGTGGGTCTGCATTCGAAAAGGCAATAGCTCTATGCTTGTGAATGCGAGTGCCTGGACCCAAGTTGCAAAGGACACACAGCAAGGCATGTGCAGTTATTATTCTGGGTGGTGGCATTTGGGTGATTCTAAGAGATTCATTCTCTTGCTTGTAACTCTTCAGTGGGGCCCATTGTTCTAAGGATGAAGCCTCGCGGACCACACAAGATATGCTGATGAGGCCTCATGTTGTCTGACCCATGCCTGCCTTGCCAACCTGAGTTGCTCCCTCTCTCTCTGGTCCGACAGGCCATCTCTCCTTTCCTCCAGCCTCGGTCCTGGTAGTCTGAGGACCTTTGCACAGGCTCTTTCCTCCACCGGGAAGCCTCTTCCCTGACAGCCCACTTTCCCTTTGCTGCCTCTCCTTCTGTTTTTTTTTTTTTTTTGAGACAGAGTCTTACTCTGTCACCCAGGCTAGAGTACAGTGGCACAATCTCGGCTCACTACAACCTCTGCCTCCCAGGTTCAAGTGATTCTTCTGCTTCAGCCTCCTGAGTAGCTGGGACTACGGGCATTTGCTACCACGCCCGGCTAATTTTTTGTATTTTTAGTAGAGACGGGGTTTCACCATGTTGGCCAGGCTGGTCTCGAACTCCTGACCTTGTGATCCGCCTGCCTCGGCCTCCCGTAGTGCTGGGATTACAGGCGTGAGCCACTGCACCTGGCTGCCTCTCCTTTTATCAGCTCAGTCTTCACTTCTTTAGAGAACCTGCCCTGACTCCCCAAGGCCAGACTCTCCCAGCCCCAAATGTCTCTCCTGGAGGTCCCCGACCCCATTGAGATGAAATGCCCAGTCCTTCTCCCCTGCCCAGTTCTCAGTTCCAAGAAGGCAGGGACGATGCCAGTCTCCCTCCTCTGTTTCTGCTGTGTGTGCCACCAAACAGCAGCACAGAGCTTTACTGAGTGAATGACATGAATACCTTTCTAGATGGCCTGCATTGTGTGTGTGTGTGTGTGTGTGTGTGTGTGTGTGTGTGTGTGTGTGTGAGATGGAGTCTCACTCTGCTGCCCAGGCTGGAGTGCAGTGGGGCGATCTTGGCTCACTGCAGCCTCCACCTCCCGAGCTCAAGCAAATCCTCCCACTTCAGCCTCCCAAGTAGCTGGGATTACAGGTGCCTGCCACCATGCCCGGCTAATTTTTGTAATTGTAGTAGAGATGGGGTTTCACCATGTTGGCCAGGCTGGTCCTGAACTCCTGACCTCAAGTGATCCACCTGCCAAAGTGCTGGGATTACAGGTGTGAGCCACTGCACCTGGCCTGGCCTGCATTTTTATAACTAGCATTTATCCCTCCTTTGAGGGAAAAAACCAAAAATATTTTTTCTGGCAATGCATGATCATTGCAAGAATGTAAAATAATCCAGAGGATGTTAAATTATCCCTATTATATCTTTTTTTTTTTTTTTTTTTTTTTGGGAATCAGGACACTAAAGCAGAAAAAGGAAAGAAGTGAAGGCAAGACATTTCCATATCTTCTTTTTTCTTGAAAGCTGCGGTGTGGTGGAATGTGGCTCTGGAGTCAAACTATCTAAAGTCAATCAATCCTGGTCCAGCACTGCTCTCCACCAGCTGTGTGATTTTGGGCAAAAGGCTTTAACTCTCTGAGTCTCAATTCATATCTATTAGGTGGAGACACTCATGCCTGCCTAGGGTTATTGTGAAGACTCAGTAAGATAATACACATAAAATGCTTAACAAAAGACCAGTGCATAATAAGCATTTAATAATGAATATTTGCACAACCATCCGCCTATCTCTGTCTGGCTAATACAGAACCCAGAGTCAATCATTTTGACAGTTCCATGTAAGCAGGGACATCATCTGTTTTGCTCCCTACCATAATGCCAGTCGTAGGATGGTGCCTAGCACATAATAAAAGTTCAATAAGTATGTTTTGAATACATTTGAAGACACTGATGAATTTCTTAAGATCCTAGACAGCATTACTCATTTTTCTTTTCTTTTTCTTTTTTCTTGAGACGGAGTCTCGCTCTGTTGCCCAGGCTGGAGTGCAGTGGCACAATCTCGGCTCACTGCAAGCTCCGCCTCCCGGATTCATGTGATTCTCCTGCCTCAGCCTCCCGAGTAGCTGGGACTACAGGTGCCTGCCATCACGCCTGGCTAATTACTCATTTTTCTGAGATGGCAGAATTGGAAAAAAATCACGAACACATCTTTTCTCCTGTTTATTTTATTTTATTATTTATTTATTTATTTGAGATTTGAGATTTATTTATCTTGCTCTGCCACCGAGGCTGGAGTGCAGTGGTGCAATCTTGGCTCACTGCAACCTTCACCTCCTGGGTTCAAGTGATGTTTCTGCTTCAGCCTCCCGAGTAGCTGGGATTACAGGCCCTTGCCACTATGCCCAGCTAATTTTTTTTTGTATTTTTAGTAGAGATGGGGTTTCACCATGTTGGCCAGGCTGGTGTTGAACTCCCGACCTCAGGTGATCCGCCTGCCTTGGCTTCCCAAAGTGCTGGGATTACAGGTGTGAGCCACCATGGCTGGCCTATTTTATTTTATTTTATTTTTGGAGACAGAGTCTTGCTCTGTGACCCAGGCTGGAGTGCAGTAGTGCAATCTCGGCTCACTGCAACCTCTGCCTCCCGGGTTCAAGCAATTCTCCTGCCTCAGCTTCCCCAATAGCTGAGATTACAGGCGCACACCACCATGCCCAGCTAATTTTTGTATTTTTAGTAGAGATGGGGTTTTGCCATGTTGACCAGGCTGGTCTTGAACTCCAGTGATCTGCCCGCCTCGGCCTCCCAAAGTGCTGGGATTACAGGCGTGAGCCACCACGCTCAGCCCCTATCTGTTGTTTCTATCTACATATCTGGAGACCATCCAAAGGGAATCTATATCCAGGGGAAATCTTCTAGGGAAAAAAGGAAGAGCAGGCATATAGGTAGAGGGCTCCCACCAGAATGATGAATCCACACTTGCTGCTCAGTCCGTATCCAGTTAGGCTTTAAAAGGGACAGTTGGTTCTAAACTTTTTCCTTTTTATCAGGAACAGCCCATTGTCCTTTTCTTTGTGTTTCAGACAGAGGTAAGGTCGTATCTCTTACATTTCCAAAAATGTGCTCAGTGGACGAGGGTTGGCAAGATGTTGTAATCAACCGATTAATTTTTTTTTTTTTTTTGAGGCAAAGTCTCACTTTGTCGCCCAAGCTGGAGTGCAGTGGTGCAATCTTGGCTCACTGCAACCTCCACCTCCCAGGTTCAAGCGGTTCTCCTGCCTCAGCCTCCGGAGTAGCTGGGTCTACAGGCATGCACCACCATGCCCGGCTAATGTTCGTAGTTTTAGTAGAGATGGGGTTTCACTATGTTGGCCAGGCTGGTCTCGAACTCCTGACTTCACGATCCACCTGCCTCGGCCTCCCAAAGTGCTGGGATTACAGGTATGAGCCACCACGCCCCACCCCGATTAAGTTGTTTTTAAAAATGTAACACACATCTAACATGGACTGAATATGTGCTAAGTGGTGTAAGGCCTTGTATTTGCTGTATCTGCGTTAACTCAGCTGGTCCTCATAAGGTCCCCCTGAACTTGTTCAGTTTTCATATTCATCTATCAATGAAGAAACTGAAGTACAGAGAGGGTGACTAACTTCCCTGCGGTCACACAGCCAGTGGCTGAGTCAGGATATGAACCCAGATGCTGGTTCCAGAGCTCGCATTTAACTGCTGGGCTCTGCTGCCTCTTAAATAAGTTTGGAGTTTGTGACAGCCTGAGTTGGACACACTTAAGCAGGGTTTTGTGCTGCAGGATCTCTCAGAGCCTTTAATATGCAAATGTGCACTGTGACTCTCCAAAAGGTGGGTCAAGGAAACACCGTTTCTCAACTTCAGTTGTCCACCATGCCCTTTTCCCAGACATTCCTAGTAACATCTTCAGGAACTAATGCTCCATGGAACACTGAAAAGGGAATCCCATGTGCTAGGTTGGGGTATTTTGGCTGTTTCATTGGAATTTGTTTTTAAAATGAACCACTACTTTTCAAGAGTTTTGTCCCTGGAATTGAACTAAAGCTCTAAACCCAGTATAAAAAGGAACATAATTTCAATTCTCTATCTAACTGCTTTTGTTAGTAAATTCACTGGGTACTGAAAAAGGGACAGATTTGGAAGGCAGCGGAGCCTGGGGATATTTAGGAGATTTATTTTTGGCACGGCCCCTGAATCTCCTCCTGTTTTATGGTGGGGAAACATTTGCCGGTTTGGGCTCAGCTGGTCTGGTGAACAGGCGCCCCGCCCCACCCAAGCCTCCTGACAGTCAGGTGAAGATGGATGCATCAGGCCTGCCAAGGCCTCTCCCCTGCCAAGGTGGTGCAGCCCAGCTCTCTGTACTGTGCTTTGGGGGGTGTCCACACACCTTGAAAGAAAGGGCATCCTGATCCCAGCTTGGCTGCTAAACTTGTGTGTGTGTGATGAGTTCAACACACTCAAACTCACACCCACATGAGCCCTTGAAGTCCTAATATCAAGGAACCCACAAATAGTTTATTTTCACGTGAAATGTATGGGTTGAGATTGGCTGAGTGTGACGGAGAATAAGACTCATGTTGATTTCTGGGCAGTCCTCCTCACACTTCAGCTCATCTGAGTCGCCTGGAGGGTCTGTGAAAACACTGATGGCTGAGCCCCACCTCCAGAGCTTCTGATTCTGTAGATCTGAGGTGAGGCCTAAGAATGAGAATTTCTAGCAGCTTCCCAGGTGATGCTGCACTGCTTTCTGGGATTGCACTTTGAGGATCACTGACATCAGAGTTTCTTGGTTGGAGTCACCTAGCTTAAACTCCCAGCTCTGCCATAAAAATATTATTGAGCAGGAAGTTCACATATCGTAAAATTAACCATTTTAAAGTGAACAATTCAGTGGCGTTTAGTGTACTCACAATGGTTTGTAAGCACCACCTCTACTCAGTTCCAAAACATTTCCGTCACCCCAAAGTGAACTCATTCATCAAGCAAGTTCTCCCCATTCCCTCCCTCCCCCAGTCCCTGGCAACTATTTCAGTTTTGTCTCCATCGATTCATCTGTCTGGATACTTCATATAAATGTAACTGTACAACATGTGGCCTCTTGTGTTTGGGTTTTTCACTTAGCATGATGTTCTTGAGGTTCATCCATTTTGTAGCATGTATGAGTACTTCATTCCTTTAAGACTTTAATAATATTCCTGTGTGCGTGTGCGTGTGTGTGTGTGTGTATAAACAATTTGTTTATCCTATCCATTCATCTGTTGATGTCTGCCATTTTTTAGCTGTGTGTAGTTGAACAAATTACTTAACCTCTCTGAACCTCAACTTTTTTTTTTTTTAAAAGACAGAGTCTTGTTCTGTTACCCAGGCTGAAGTGCAGTAACGTGATCATGGCTCACTACAACCTCTGCTTTCCAGATTCAAGTGATCTTCCTACTTCAGCCTCCCAATTAGCTGGGACCACATGCATATACCACCACTTCTGGCTAGTTTTTATACTTTTTTGTAGTGATTTTTTTTTATGCCTTGTTGCCCAGGCTGGTCTCAAACTCCTCATCTCAACTGATCCATCTGCCTCATCCTCCCAAAGTGCTGGGATTACAGGCATGAGCCACTGCACTCAGCCAACCTCAACTTTTTGCCTGACCATAATAACATAGCTACTCCTTTGTGGAATTGTTGTAAATGTGAGTGAGATAATGCATGTGAGCCGCCTGGCACAACACCAGGCCCATATTTAAAGCCTCAATCAATGGAAGTGACTACTGTTAATATGCTTTGTCTTAAATTAGTATTTCTCTTAAATAGATCCTGTGATGCAGATTTGCCTCTACATAGTTTATTTGGGAGGTAATCCCAAAAAACCTTTTTTTTTTTGAGACAGAGTGTCATGCCCTGTCATGCAGGCTGGAGTGCAGAGGCACGATCTTAGCTCGCCGCAGCCTCCACCTTCCGGTATCAAGCGATTCTCCTGCCTCAGTCTCCCGAGTAGCTGGGATTACAGGTGCCCTCCATGACACCAGATTAATTTTTGTATTTTTAGTAGAAATGGGGTTTCGCCATGTTGGCCAGGATGGTCTTGAACTCCTGATCCCAAGTGATCTGCCCTCCTCAGCCTCCCAAAGTGTTGGGATTACAGGCGTCAGCTACCGCGCCCGGCCCCAAGAAACATCTCTGGGGGAGTTAGGAACATCACAGGCGTGCACCACCGCGCCCGGCCCCAAGAAACATCTTTGCGGGAGTTAGGAACATTACAGGGGTGAGCCACCGCGCCGGGCCCCAAGAAACATCTTTGCGGGAGTTAGGAACATTACAGGCGTGAGCCACCGCGCCCAGCCCCAAGAAACATCTTTGCGGGAGTTAGGAACATTACAGGTGTGAGCCACCGCACCCAGCCGAGGGCATCTTAGTCTAAAGGGAGACATTCCAACATCAATGTTGCTCCGTGATTCCGCAAAAGACCCAAGCATTGTCTCTCTTTCCATTCTATTAGTCTTCAATGTTGGCTTGTAGCCTCATGATCACAAAATGGTTGCTGCACCTCTGGGTATAACATCTATATTCAAGGCAGGAAAAAGCTGAAGTACATCTGTCCACTATATCAGGAAAGCAATTTTTCTCAGACTGCCCCCTTCCCCATCAGATTTTTAGCTACTCTTTAGTCAGAAGTGGGTCATAGACATATCCAGCCACGAAGACAGCTTGGGAATTCATGCACTTAGCTTTCCAGCATCTGTAGCAGAAGCAGATCAGGAAGAAAAGGGTGGGAAAAAGGTGTGGAGTTACCCAGTCAACAGTGTCTGCCAAAGAAGAGTGAACCTAAAAGCACTTCAAAGCCATTTAACAGCAAATTTTGTTAGCAAATTTTCTTTCCAAAGCACTTATCTTAGTTTTCTTAAAAATGACCATGTTTGCGTGGACCGCTCTCCGCCAACAGGTGTCTTCCACAGACCCCTCTCGCTTTAGCCCTCAGTCTCTTTCAATTCTGTCTTTTCTCTCGGTCCATAAAAACAAGGAAGTCGACCCCAGTGGAGCCTAGTCTCCCCACGAGGAGGCGGCCCCGGGGGTGGAGTCAACCCTGGAGGCCACGCTCTGTGGGAAAGCACGGGGCATGCAAACTCGAAATGAAAGCCCGGGAACGCCGGAACAAGCACAGGTGTAAGATTTCCCTTTTAAAACGTGGAGAATAAGAAATCAGCCCGAGTGTGTAATGGCGTCAATAGTGGTGTGGACGAGACAAAGGCAATGAGGCAAGGAGCGAGGCTGGGGCTCTCACCGCGACTTTAATATGGATGAGAGTGGGACGGTGACGGCGGGGGCGAAAGCAACGGTAACGCTTCTTGACCTTTGGGCTAAGATCAAGTCTAGTAACTGTTCTTATCAGTTTAATATCTGATATGTTCTCTATCCGAGGACAATATATTAAATGGGTTTTTGGAGCAGGGAGATGGAATAGGAGCTTGCTCTCTCCACTCCACACATCGACCTGGTATTGCAGTAGCTCCACGAACTGTGCACCCCTTTAGAAGGGAAGAACACTGCAGAGTAGCTTGCACACCTAGTATCTGTGATATGCTGGTTTTCCTATTCCTTGAACTACCTTGAAGTTCCTGGTCTGCGGACATAAGGTGGACTTTTCGGCACTCCCATTTTCGCTGTGTCTACAGCACTTTGGGAAGACTAGAACCCAAAACGAGACTACCCGTTTCTGTATCTGCATGCAGAGAGAGCGTGTTCAATGTTTCTTGGAGGTCCTTAGATCTCAGCTTGGCAGTCGAGTGGTGGTGACCTTTTAAAGGAACGGGGTCCACCAGTGTGGCCCAGCCTGGACTTGAACTTCTTCCTCTTTTTTTTTTTTTTCAAGTTCTAGATACATGTGCAGAACGTGCAGGTTTGTTACATAGGTATGCATGTGTCTTGGTGGTTTGCTGCATCTACCAACCAGTCATCTAGGTTTTAAGCCCATATGCATTAGGTATTTGTTCTGATGCTCTCTCTCCCCTTGCCCCCCAACCCCGCCGTCAGGCCCCGGTGTGTGATGTTCCCCTTCCTGTGTGCATGTGTTCTCATTATTCACCTCCCACTTATGAGTGAGAACATGCGGTGTTTGGTTTTCTGTTCCTGTGTTGGTTTGCTGAGAATGATGGCTTCCAGTTTCATCCATGTTCCTGCAAACGACATGAACTCATTCTTTTTTATGGCTGCGTAGTAATTCCACGGTGTATATGTGCCACATTTTCTTTATCCAGCCTATCACTGATGGACATTCGAGTTGGTTCCAAGTCTTTGTTATTGTAAATAGTGCTACAATAAACATACATGTCCATGTGTCAAAAAAAAAAGACCATGTTTGCACTTGTGTCTAATCAGATGACATAATGTTCAATTTAATTCATTTATTATTCAATGCACTTAATTTAGTTGATTTATTGTAAATTATATCACAGCTGACATAAGCAGGTTTAGGCACAAACGCAGGACACTCAAGGGGAGCACCGAGTCAGCAGCAGGGAGGTGTAGGGGGTGCCTGTGCCCTGGGTGAGCGAGGGGCCTCAGGTAGGGGTTTCGCTGAGGGACTGTACATCAGCAGCTAATCGGGAAGTAAGCTAGACGGGGGTCAACTGAGAGAGCTTCTACCCATCAAAGCACTGTGCTAGGCTCTGTGAGAAATACAGATAAGAAGTGAGATTTACGCTGTCCTAACAGCACTACCTGCTGATCAGGGATATGAGTAAAGGAGGGAGTAAGCTTAGATGGGCCTCAATGATTCAAGAAGGTGGGGAGAGAGGAGTGCTGAGTGCTGGACAGAACAGACTGTCCAGGTAAAAAGACTACAGTGGACACTGCCCAGACCCAGCCCACATCCTCTCTGCCTTGCACTGCAGTGCACACAGGCCTGATTCCAACGGCCAACACTGGCATCCTTTTACCTGAGGATTTTCTGACTCAGGTAAACAAACACACCTTACTCTGACCCAAAGTGCTGGAGAATTAGCACCCCCCCTCCCACCCCCAGATCTGCCTCCCAGATGACTGGCAGGAGCCACTGTATAAGTCCCCCAGCCCTTTGCCCTTGGCGTGATGGCTCTGGGGTGTGCTCTGCACTGCTTCCCAGAGCTGCCCAGCAGTGTTAAGCTCCGGGTGCCTACAGTGGTAGCTGGCCTGATAACGCCATCTGGACGGGTTCCTTCCTTCCCCATCTCACTTCCTAACTCCCCTAAAAATGTTTCTTGGGGCCAGGTTCACGCCTGTAATCCCAACACTTTGGGAGGCTGAGGAGGGCAGATCACTTGGGTCAGGAGTTCAAGACCATCCTGGCCAACATGGTGAAACCCTGTCTCTACTAAAAATACAAAAAAAAAAAATTAGTTGGGTGTGGTGGTGCATGCCTGTAATCCCAGCTACTCAGGAGGCTGAGGCAGGAGAATCACTGGAACCCAGGAGGCAGAGGTTGCAGTGAGCCAAGATCACGCCACTGCCCTCCAGCCTGGGCGACAGAGCAAGACTCTGTCTAAAAAAAAAAAAAAAAAAAAAAAAGAGAGAGAGAGGAGAGTATTTGATATATAAGATTATTAAATATCTGCATTGCTTAAGCCATTCTTAATTGCAACCCAAAGCATTCTTAATTGATAAAGCTTCTTCAAAGAACTTGAATCCAGAATTCAGAGATGGTACATTATGGCTGTGGTTCATGCAAGGAAGATGTGCAACTCCAATTAGGGAACCCATCCTTAAAGGTATTCATCGTTCATCAAAATATTGGCTAGTGATGATAATCTATATGTTTGAAGTTAAAACAAAATGTTATGTATGTAGCCCCAGATGAGATGAGAATAGCATCAGTCAAACCCACAATGGGAGATATTCTACAGGATACCTGGCCAGCACTCATTAAGACTGTCAGGGTCATAAAAAAATGAAGAAACCCTGAGAAAATCTCACAGTACATGGGAGACTGTGGGGACATGATGACTCAATGCAATGTGGTAGCTTAGATTGGGTCCTGGAACAAACAAAAGGATATGAATGAAAAAATTGGTGAAATGTACCAATGTCAGTTTAGTTTTGACAAATCATGATAAGATGTTAATAACAGGGGAAACTGGCCTGGGGCAGTGGCTCACACTTGCAATCCTGGCATTTTGGGAGGCCGAGGCGGGTGGATCACTTAAGCTCAAGAGTTAGAGACCAACTTGGGCAACATGGCAAAATCTCATCTCTATAAAAAGATCCAAAAAAATTAGCTGGGGATGGTGGTGTGCACCTGTAGTCCCAGTTACTCAGGAGGCTGAGGTGGGAGGATCACTTGAGCCTAGGAGGTTGAGGTTGCAGTGAGCTATGATTGCACCACTGTACTCCAGCCTGGGTGACAGAGTGAGATCCTGTCTCAAATTAAAAAAAAAAAAAAAAAAAAAAAAGGGGAAACCAAGTGAGGGGTATAAGGAGACCCTCTGTGCTATCACTGAAACTTTTCTGTAAATCTAAAATCACTCTACAATAAAATGTTTATTTTCAAAAATATTGTGTATATATTTTTTTGTTTTTGTATCTCATCTGGACAGATTCTTGATTAATTCACCATTTCCCAGCCATTGGAATAAGAAGTGCCTCTGTAGCATTTGCTGGTGCTCACTCAGACATCTGCCTTTATTTTTGTGGACAAAGAAAAATTTACAGGTAACTTTCTCTCCCTTTCTAGTTTACAGCTCACAGCCAGCCTATCATAAAGCTGCTCGTAGTTTCAAAAAATTATTTCATTCATATATTTAAAATTTTCATTTATATTCTTTATTTACATCTTTTAAATGGAAATAATTTAATTTTTACTATTTAATTTATAACAATTACTTTTACTAACTTAACATTTAATTTTAAAATGTTATTTTATTGTATCAGGCTGGGAGAGAAGCTAAACAAATATGGTGGCCAGAGTTGAATTGTGCTATCTTTGCCTGTTGGTGGCCAGTGCCTTGGGGTTAATCCTTTCCTCTTGAGGTCCATGTCCGCTTGGGGAGATTGATCCACAACTTCATTCACATTGACTGGGGTGGGAAAATGACCCAGGCCAGTCACACACACAGCAGTCTGCTTGGGATAAGAGTCAGACTCAGGACTTTGCTGGAGTTCCCGGGAATGATGCCCTCTTTTTTGGCTGGGGATGCTAAGCTGCAAGATGTGCTCCTGGAGCTGGTGACATCTGTGCCATCATCAGAGCAGACGCCTGCCTGGCAAGGAACCCAGAGGAAAGTGGAACCCAGGCTTAGAGATGAGCCTTCCTGACATTGTTTGAGCATCTGGGATCCAGCTACGTTCAGATGGCTGGGCTTTTCCATGTACTGAGCCAATGAATTTCCTTTCTCTCTTTTTAAAGCCACATTGAGTTGGATTTCCATTTCTGTCACTTGCAACCCTAGCAGTTTTGTTGGAACAGTGGCCCTCACTGCTGTTTGATTATGGTGTGTCCTTCTTGGCCCTCCCATCATCCTGCGTGTGAAACCACACACTGCCAAGTATTGCTCAATATTCCTGATTGTGTTGGGTGGGCATCCTTGCTCTGCCCTCTCTAGCTGACAGCAAGTTAGAACCAAGGCAAATTCCTTAATTGCTCAGAGCTGTAGTTTCCTTGATTGTAAAATTGCGGGTTTGGGTGGGGGTGGGGAAGACACCCTCTATCAAGGGGCTGTTGGGAGAATGAAACGAAGTAATGTATGCGTGGCATTAACACAGTTTCATATTAAACATTTGCATTTGAGTCATTTTTATCACTGTTACTATAAATAAAAGGCAGGTTATCACAGGCAGCAATCCTACCTTTCTTCTCTTTGTATCTTCCACAATGCCTGGCTTATAGCTGGAGGTTGGAAAAAATTTTAAAGTGTTAAGGGCTTTTGTGCCAGTTTCTAGGAATAAAAAGATAAGTGAGACACAGTCTGTCCGTTCCAGTTCCTCAAGGCTGGGGGGAGCCATGGCCTGATTGAAGACCAATCAAGAATAAAGATATGGCGGGGTGAGGTGGCTCATACCTGTAATCCCAGTACTTTGGAAGGCTGAGGAGGGAGGATCACTTGAGTCCAGGCGTTCAAGACTAGCCTGGGCAACATAGTGAGACCCCGTGTCTATAAAAACTAAAAAAATTAGCTAGGTGTGGTAGGACACCCCTGTAGTCCTAGCTACTCAGGAGGCTGAGGCAGAAGAATCATTTGAGCCCAGGAGGTCGAGCTTGCAGTGAGCCATGATTGCATCACTGCACTCCAGCCTGGGTGACAAAGTGAGACTCTGTCTCTAAAAATAAGAAATTAAAAAAAGAATAAAAATAGAACATAACACATGGCAGTTCACTAAGGCAGCACACATTGAGCTGCTCCTGCCTGCCAGGCACCATGCTAAGAGAGCTACAGTGAATAAAGACAGGAGGCTCCTGCTCTCAGCCAGGGCCCATGAGAGAGGTGAGCAACTTGCCCATATAATTTTAGGAACAGGTAAAGAGGTATTGTATAAATGGAGTAAACCCTGTGTTTGAAGACCTCTTATCCAAAAAGCATCCGAATTTTATGAAATATTGGGTGGATGGTCCAAAGCAAAAAGCCTTCCCAAATAATAGAATGGGTCAAATGGCCTCTCTCACCTAGGTAGCCCCTACTTTTTTTTTTTTTTAACGAGACAGAGTCTTGCTCTGTCACTCAGGCTAGAGTGCAGTGGTGCGATCTCAGCTCACTTCAACCTCTGCCTCCTGGGTTGAAGCGATTCTTAGCCTCCGAGTCATGCCTGGCTAATTTTTGTATTTTTAGTAGGGTTGGGGTTTCACTGTGTTGTCCAGGCTGCTCTTGAACTCCTGACCTCAAGTGATCCACCCGCCTCGGCCTCCGAAAGTGCTAGGATTACAGGCATGAACCATTACACCCTACCGCCCCTACTTTTAAATTCAAACAAAAACAAAAGCAATAGTTTAAAAATAATGATTTTTTTGATGCATGATTGTGTGAAAAAATATTGATACAGGAACAAATAAGGTCTCTGTTGTTACTACTTCTAGAACTTGTCTAAAAAAAGTAGATTTTCTTTTGTGTTTATTCTTTATAAAAAAAATCACTTAAGAAGCTAAATGTAAGCCATTTCAGAATTGCAGATGTGCAAAATCTTTATGAGAAATATTTGACCTGATTTGTTTTACTAATTAACAAATAACCCTCCCCTGAATAGTATGTTTCACCCGACAGCACATTT
The DNA here is from genome assembly GCF_000001405.40 of Homo sapiens. Classification (NCBI taxonomy): domain Eukaryota; kingdom Metazoa; phylum Chordata; class Mammalia; order Primates; family Hominidae; genus Homo; species Homo sapiens. The sequence continues at coordinate 73,116,884 of NC_000003.12, forward strand.
TTAATCAAGGCATACATGGTAGCAAACCAAGGTTTCTAGGAAAACCATGAAAAGTCACCTCGACTGGAAGGATGGAGCGCGTCACAACAATAACACAGCGGGGACCTGGATGAGAGGAGCAGAGAGTTAATTTGTGGAGGGGAATGAATAGTCCACTTGATGGAAGAACAACTTTCTGCCCTGTCTGAAGATGTGACAGATGGCCATGAGGAGATTGCCCTGGGATGGCTCCCCGAGGGGCTCAAGGTGAGGCCTGATTGTCGTCCAAGGGCCGAAGGGATCCAGTGGCATGAGGAGTGATCAGAGGAGAAGTAATCTGGAGAGAAAAGATGTCAAAGAAGCCCGTTTCCATTGACCATGATGGTTGGGCCAAATAGTCTGAGTGTCTCTTTCAAGATACAACAGTTGGAAATATCAGGGGTGTAGGGAGAGAATTCGCTGTCATCCCGGCGGGGAGGCGGGAAATGGAAATACTGAAGCCATGTGAGCTCTGCTAGGCCACAGGGCTGCACCGGAACACTGAAAAGTGTGTCTTGACATACACAGGCGGAGCTCAGGAACCTCAGAGAGGTGGGAAAGAGAGGCTATAGGAGGAATCCAATTCCCCCAGGCACTTAGGGAGAGAGGCTGTGTCTGGATATAGGGCCTTTTATATTTCAGGACATTGCTGCATTTCATCTCCAACTTTAAAAAGTTAGCCTTTGATAGTTTTGGTTTATGCAGGTAGTTGAAAATAATCCTAGTGGTTACGATTCTACATTAAAGGAGGAGCTTAATGTAGTCCTTCTCTCTTCCTCCCTGTTTCCTTTCCCCTCCCCTCCCTCCTTCCCTCTCTTCTTTCCCCTCTTCCCTCCTTTCTTTCTGAGGGAGGCCTCAGGTGGAATTTTAAATCTAAATGACACCTCCATTTCTACGAAGTAGATTTTAAAAAATCTTAACCCATTTCTGTTAATAAACATTCAATCATTATAGAAATGTATAACCTTAAAAGTAAACGTCTCTCGTGATCTCACTTCCCATGGATTATGACTTTTTATGGTGGCATATAGTCTTTCACATATTGATTGATTGATTGATTGAGACAGGATCCCACTCTGTCACCCAGGCTGCAGTGGCGCAATCTTGGCTCACTGTAGCCTCTGCTTCTTGGGCTCAAGAATCTTCCAACCTCAGCCTCCTGAGTAGCTGGGACTACAGGTGTGCAACACCATGCCCAGCTATTTTTTAAAAAATTATTATAATGGCCAGGTGCAGTGGTTCATGACTGTAATCCCAGAACTTTGGGAGGCCGAGGCAGGCGGATCACGAGGTCAGGAGTTCGAGACCAGCCTGGCCAACAAGGTGAAACCCCATCTCTACTAAAAATACAAAAATTAGCCAGGCATGGTGGCAGTCACCTGTAATCCCAGTTACTCAGGAGGCTGAGGCAGGAGAATTGCTTGAACCTGAGGTGGAGGTTGCAGTGAGCCAAGATTGCACCACTGCACTCCAGCCTGGGTGACAGAACGAGACTCTGTCTAAAAAAAAAAATTATTACCATTATTACTATTATCTTTTTGTAGAGACTGGGTTTCGCCATGTTACCCAAGCTGGTCTTGAGCTCCTGAGTTCAAACTCATCCGCTCGCCTTGGCCTCCCAACGTGCTGGGATTAGAGGTGTGAGCCACCATGCCTGGCCTTCAGATTTACTTGTAAGATATATGCTAATATATTATTGTCTTATCAGAAATGGGACTGTTCATACATCTTTGCTTTGCTCCCTGTTGGTGGATATTGGTATCTGTGACTGCCCATTATCTTTGAACACCCTTGTTATGTTTTGACAATTTTCCATAGGCCGATTTGCTTTGCTTGCTTAATGACCTATGGTGGAGACTTTTCCATACGAGGACTTGTAGATCCACTGCTTGCTTTGTTTGATGACTGTGGCTGTGTGTTATCCTATTATATGTCTGTATAACTGTTTTTTTCACCCATTTCTCACTAATGGACTGGAGTAGAATGTATAAATTTGGAAGCTTTCTCTCTCTCTCCATACACACACATCCTAAAAAAGTTGGAGTTTATAGCACTTCTTTATAGGGTTTAGGAAGCCATGTATATGTGTGTGTGTGCATCTGGGATCTGCACAGTTGTGCATTTTTCAATGGCAAAGGAATCTCTTTGTATATGCATTACTTATGTATGATTATATTTATTGCATGGGTTATGAGAAAGCTGTGCTGGTGAAGATGGTGAAGACCCTGCTCTTCCTGGAAAGTCTTGATAAATAAGAAAGAGGCTGCAGGCTGCAGATCCATGCTTTGAGCTATGCGGGAGCTAGATGTGCACAGAATAATGTAAGACCCCCACTTGCATAAGAGAAACAGAGTGGCCACAAGGCGCTAAGAATGAAGAGCAAAGTATAGTAACAGGGGATCTTAATAAATGATGTTTTAACCATGGCAGCATTTCAGGAACTCGGGGGTACAGAAAGAAGGATGCTAGGAAAGAAAGTAATGTTATTCCAAAGTATGTTGAAAGGAAAGTTGGATAGCAATAGAAAATAAAAACATCATCTAGAGGTCAAAATAATCAGGGTGATACTCTCTTGTCTAGTAATTTGGGGGTGAAATTAAATTATCTTTCCTTTGCTCATGACAGACATTGTCGATTTATCACAGCATCTTTTTTTTTTTTTTTTTAAATCTTTCAACCCAGAGGCAGCTTCACATGTCTTCTTTCTTTATTGTTTTAGGCCAATTTAAATTAGTCAGAGCTGACTAGCCAGGTAACTGTTTGCTATCCAGGTCTATAGAGATCTCCTCTACATGAGGGGCCGGAGGTCTGGGTGGAGGGGCTTAGCAGAGGCTTTGATGAATTCTGCTGCTGTTTCTAAACCTTCGTCTTTCCAGGGGAAAACAAAACAAAACAAAACAAAACAAAACAAAACAAAACAAAACAGCATGGAATGGTGGCACAAGTGAAGAGTTTAGCATTATCCTTAGTAGAAGCGAAGTCACTTGTCCATTTGGGAACTTTGGGTAAATTACCTAATTTATCTTGGATTTAATTTGCTTGTTTGCAAAGTAGGGAAAAGAATACCCTACAAGACCATAAGAAACATTAAAAAGTAAATGGCACGCTATTTGAAACAACGCAAGTGCCAGATACACATTCTTCCTTTGACCATCATTTAAAAAATTCATTCCTAATAGTTCTTATATATTAAGAAATGCATCCCAGGCATGTCTACACACCTTCAGTGATCAACTCATGCCGGTCTCATCCTCTCCTCCTCCTGCCACACTTTAGCCTTTTTGTTTTATTTGGTTTGGTTTGGTTTTTGTTGTTTTTTTTTTGAGACAGAGTCTCGCACTGTCACCCAGGCTGGACTATAGGAGGGCAGTGGTGCGATCTCAGCCTACTGCAACCTCCGTCCCCTGGGTTCAAGCGATTCTCATGTCTCAGCCTCTTGAGTAGCTGGAATTACAGGCACACACCACCATGCTCAGCTAATTTTTGTATTTTTAGTAGAAATAGAGTTTCTCCATGTTGACCAGACTGGTTTGGAACTCCTGACCTCAAGTGATCCACCTGCCTTGGCCTCTCAAAGTGCTAGGATTATAGGCAAAAGCCACTGCACCTGGCCTGGCCATTTGATCTAAATAACAGAACCATATCTCTCTGACCAGAGTCATGGTTGGAAGGGTTGGTCTGTTACCCAGGTGGGCCGATGAGAATATCCCATTCCCTGGCTGCTGTGATTGGTCCATGAGTGAATGCAATTGGTCACTCAAGCTGGTCCAATCAGAGGTTTTCCTTGGACTTTCTCAAATTGGACTGGGGAGAAAAAGGCCCTGTTTTCTCTGGCCAAGGATATAGGGATGAGAGTCTGGGAGTTGTGTGTCAGGCCTCTGTGATCTCTGGCATTTGACAGATAGTTCTGTGGGAAGAGAGACTGCAGAAGTGCTGCAGAGAAATGCAGAGACAGGAGATGGGTGGGAAGTCGAGAGAGCTCCAGTTCATGGCCTTAGCTATTCCTGGGCCCATGCCTACACTGCTGACACCCTGATTTGGGAATGTGAGCCAGTAAATTCCCCCTTTCTCCTGAGCTGCTTTGAGCAAGGTTTTTTGCCATCCATAACCAAGAGAATGCTGACTAATAGAATACCTAGGCAGCTGGTGTTTCCATTTTAAAAATAAGACTCCTGGGTTTAATGTAAAAGTTGAGGCAGGGCTGGGCCAAGGATTTAGTCCTGAGCCCACTGCCCTGCCTCCTCCTTCTATCCACCCTCAAAGACCTCATCTGTACCATCCCAGGGTAGGACATGAAGGGGAGGTGGAGAGTACTGCTACTGCTCTATTGGGAAATACCAGAGTAAAGAGGAAGAGGGCTCTCTCTCTTCCCTTCATATTAATGTCGTTTACGGTCTGCCTGCTAAAAGAAAATACTCCTATGTATTTTATTGGGAATATGTAGGTTATAAGCAATGCATTCAATTTACTACAAGGAGAAGATTTATTGTAAAGATACAGAGAGAGGAACTAGGCCTCTGAGGCTCTGAGGCAGCTGCTAATAATAATGAGAATAGTAAATACTGTCTAGGGCCCAGCTAAAGTGGTAGCCACTTCTTGATTCCTGTAGAGTGTGGGAATAGATGGCCTTATATGGCCAGTTTTTCAAATATTTCTGTAGAGGCTGAAATTCCAGATTTTTAAACCTTGGCTCTGATGCAGGATAGGCAAGCTCCAGGACTGGGGCTTAGCCTGGGAGGGTTCTTGGCTTTGCCCAGGAAAGAACTCAGGGGTGAGCCAGTGGTGTTAAACAGCGACTTTTATTGAAGTGGCAGTGCAAAGCAGCAGAGACGCTACTTCTTGTGGAGCAGGGCTACCCCACTGGCAGTGTGCCCAGGGTAGCAGCTCAGAGGCAGTTTTATAGTCATATTTATACCTACTTTATTTATATGCAAACTAAGAGGTGGATTATGCAGAAATTTCTAGGAAAAGTGTGGTAATTTCCAGGTTGTTGGGTTGTTGCCATGGAATGGGGTGGCAGCATCTGGGTGTTGCCATGGCAATGGTAAACTGACATGGCCCAGTGGTGGGTGTGTCTTATGGGAAACTTCTTCCACCCCCATCCCTGTTTTAGCTAGTCTTCAATTTGTTCCTGTGTCTGAGCCCTGCCTCTGGAGTTGAGCCCCACTTCCTACCTCAGCTCCATTAAAACAAAGCTACTTTGTGGGCCAACTGAAAGATATACATACCCCAGACTGTGGGTTGAAGGGTTTGTGACTGTTCATAACATCAAGTAGGCAGCCTTTATAGAATTTATGAGTGATTCAAAATTTCCTGTCTTCTTTATGGCTTTGCCACTTAAAAGAAATCCCCAACCAAAAGCACAAGCATCAAAAGAAAAATTAGATCAATTGAACTTCATTTAAAAAAAAAAGTTGGTTCAAAGGATACCATCGAGAAATTGAAAGGACAATTCATAAAATGGAAGAAAATATTTTCAAATTATATATCTGATAAAAAACTAGTATCTGGAATACATAAAGAAATCTTACAACTCAACAATAAAAGACAAATAACCCAGTTTAAAAATGTACAAAAGATTTGAACAGATATTTCTCTAAAGATTATTTATATATATAAAAATATATAATATATATGGCCAGTAAGCACATAAAATATGTTTAACGAGTCAAAACCATAATAAGCTACCACTTCATACTCATAAGGATAGCTATAATAAAAAAGAAAAACAATTACAAGTATTGGTGAGGATGCAGAGAAATTGGAATTTTCATACTCTGCTGTTGGGAATGTAAAATGGTGCACACTGGAAAACTGTCAGTTTCTCAAAAGGTTAAGCATAGAGTTACATATGATCCTGCAATTCCACTTCTGGATATATATACCCAAGAGAATTGAAAACATATGTGCACACAAAAGCTTGTGCATGTGTTTTCATGCTTGTGTATGAAAACTTGCATGCAGCATTATTCATGTGAGCTAAAATGTAGAAACAAAAAAATAAAGCATGCAGCACTATTCATATTAGACAAAATGTAGAAACAAAATGAATGTCCATCTACCAATGAGCAGATAAATAAAATGTGGTGTATCTCTACATTGGAATATTATGTAGCCATAAAAAGGAATGCAGTATTGGTACATACTATGACATGAATGTTTCTTAAAAACATGCTAAGTGAAAGGAGCCAGGCACAGAGGACTACATATTATCTACTTCCATTTATGTGAAATGTCCAGAATGGGCAGCTCTCTAGAGGCAGAAAGTAGGTGACTATCTGCCAGGGGTAGGGAGGAGGGGATGGGGACTGGTAGTATTATTGTCTGTGCCTTTGTCTACTTCTGAGCCTATGTTCTGGAGAAGTTCTTAACAAAAAGAAGCCATTTCTAATTAGGCCAACGATGCCCACTGTAGCTCTTAGCTTCCCTATAACCCATCAATCCTTGACTGTGATGACTTCGTGTTCTTGATTAATGGCCTTCAAGAAGGATTTCATTTCTGCTGGATTTTGACAAATTGTGGGATGGACTGAGACCACAAAACCTGTTTTATCTTGTGGTGTCAGTGAGGTTTGAACCTAGGTCTTCAGAGATGAAAAATTACTTATTTAGCCCACTCTATCAGGAGGCTTCCCTTGATCTAATCCTGTGTGGCCCAATGTGTGATGACCACACAGCCATGGCAACCATTGACTATTAATCCAATGCCCACAAACAGAGAAGAGAGCTGCTCTGTATACTGAAAGACTTGGTTGGCTCAGCTGTGTTGTGTCAGTAAGCCATGTGATCAATGGAGGAATGGCCATAAAGTATCCTTGTGAAACCTTGAAAGGATTTGGACATTTACAATAGTGAAATGGGATGTTAGGTATCAAAGGATCAGTCGCTGTAGCTGTTAAAATCAGGATTTAGGGATTTATGATGCTCTTTAGTTATTCCCTCTCAATTGCCAAGGGATGAAATTTGACATATGGCCTTTCCTCTTGTTAAAACTCACAGGTCAAATGTTGTAAATTCTGTTTTCATCCACCAGGAGGAATGATAAAGCAAAGAATTTCTTTATGCAAGCAAAGGATTAAAGAATTAATAATAATCAGCATGTACTGGAAATTGTTATGCTTCAGACATTGTTCTAAATGCTTTACACACAGAATAACTAAGTTATCACCCTGTGAGATAGGTGCAGTTACTATCACCATTTTACAGATAAGTTCACTGCGGCACAGAGAGGTTAAATGATTTATCCAAGGTTACACAGAGCCAGGATACAAATTGAGCCTGCCCCTAAACCATTCTGTCGTAGTAACCTGAGTGGTATGCTGAGTTAATCCCACATACACAGGTTTCTGCACTTCAGGACTTTTGGAGCTTTAAATGTGGTAATAGACATTGAAAAAATCTCTTCATATCTGGGTGTAGGATATGTCATTTTTCAAATTAATTAATTGCTCAACTCAAGAAGTTTGTAATTTTGCAGAGAAGCTGAGTTCAAACCCACACAGTCTAGTTTTAGGGTCAACATATTTATTATTAACTATTTTGTTACACTGACTCTCAATGTGGTCTACTTTCCCAAAGCTGTTCTCCCTTAAAATGACTTAAAAATGGCAATGGTGAATTCTAAAATCTGTTTTAGAAGTGAATCCCTCACTCTGGCATAAGTAAATACTACGTGTTGGTCTTGGCAGAGGACATCTTTCATTTTTGCCTGGCTAGGGGCTATTATCCCTTCTTTTATTGTATTCCAGTTTTCCTTAGGGGGTCCCATATTCATTGAGGACAGAATCTGAGCTAAGCCAAGCAGACACTTCCTGAGATTTTGAATTTTTTGTACTTGAGCCACAAGACTCAAGTACAAAAAATGGTGGGAGCAGCTGTATCCCTATATGGAAAACCCAGTGATGCTGGTCTGCCTGCCTCCATGGAGCTAACTTGGCTGTGTATTTTCTGAGACTGGGCTGTTGTATCAGTTATTTATTGCCATGATAATGGTATATAACAAACAGCCACAAAACCTTCAGTGGTATTCAGCAGTAAGTATTAGTTGCTTGTGTGTTTGGGGTCGGCTGGTGCTCGGCTCTGCTGATTTTGCATGGGTTTCCACATGACTGAGGATGGGTTTGCTGTTGACAGATCTAAGGTGGCCTCAGCTGGAGCACCTAGGGTGATGGGCTCTGGTGCACATATCTTTTATCCTCCAAGCCGACTAATCCAGGCATGTTTTGCCTCTGCAACGGCAGAGGCAAAAAAGAGAAGGCTCTGATACACAAACCCGTTTAAACAAAAAATGAAATTCTGTTTTTTCCCTTTTCTTAAAAAACTTGAGATGATTATAGATTCACATGAAGTTGTAAGAAATATAGTGAGATCAGCTGGGTGCGGTGGCTCACACCTGTAATCCCAGCACTTTGGGAGGCTGAGGTGGGTGGATTGCTTGAGGTCAGAAGTTCATGACCAGCCTGACCAACATGGTGAAACCCCATCTCTACTAAAAATACAAAAATTAGCCAGGCATGGTGGCACATGCCTGTAATCCCACTCGGGAGGCTGAGGCAGGAGAATTGCTTGAACCCGGGAATCAGAGGTTGCAGTGAGCCGAGATTGTGCCATTGCACTCCAGCCTGGGCAACAGAGTGAGACTCTGTCTCAAAAAAAAAGAAAAAGTAATATATGTATCCTTTACCCAATTTCTGTCAGTGATGATAGCTTGCAAAACTGTAGTACAGTATCACAACCAGGATATTGACATTGGTACAATGCACTGATCTTATTCAGGTCTTCCCAGCTAACTTGTACACATTTGTGTGTGTGTGTGTGTGTGTATGTATGTGTATGAGTGTGTATTTAATTCTATAATTTTATTTCAAGAATGAGTGTGCATTCAATTTTATAATTTTTTTTGAGACAGAGTTTTACTCTGTTGCCCAACCTGGAGTGCAGTGGTGCCATCTCGGCTCATTGCAACCTCCACCTCTCGGGTTCAAGTGATTCTTGTGCCCCAGCCTCCCGAGTAGCTGGGATTACAGGCACACACCACCACACCCAGCTAATTTTTGTATTTTTTAGTAGAGATGGGGTTCGCCATGTTGCCAAGCTGGTCTCAAACTCATGACCTCAGGTGATCCACCCACCTCGACCTCCCAAAGTGCTGGGATTATAGGCGTGAACTTACTGCGCCTGGCCAGATTTTATAATTTTATTTCAAGAATGTTATATATAAAATCATACAGTCTATAACCTTTTGAGATTGGCTTTTTTTTCACAGCATCATTCTCTGGATGCTCATCCAAGTTGCTAATCAGTAGTTTGTTCCTCTTTATTGCTGAGTAATATTCCAACATATGGATGTCCTATAGTTTGTTTAACCATTCACTGATTGAAAAATATCTGGATTATTTCTGGTTTTTAGCTGTTACAAATAAAGCTGTTATGAACAGCTGTTTTCTTGTTGTGTATAGGTTTTTGTGTGAATGTAAATTGTTATTTCTTTGGGATAAATGCCTAAAAGTGCAATTACTGGGTTGTACAGCAGTTGCATGTTTGGTTTTTATAAAAAAACCTGCCAACCTCAGAGTTGCTGTGCCATTCCGCATTCCCACTAGCAATGTATGAATAATCTAGTTTCCCTATCCTTTCCAGTATTTGGTGGTCACTGTTTTTTAAAAATTTTAGCCACTATGATAGGTGTGCAGTATTATCTCATTACAGTTTTAATTTGCATTTTTCTTAATGGCTAGTGAAGTTGAAAATATTTTAATGTCTTTTTAAAATAAATCCAAATGTGGAACAAAAATTTTAATGTCATTATTTGCCATCTGTGTACTTTCTTCAGTGAAACTTATGTTCACGGTTTTGCCCATTTTTGAATTAAATTGTTTGCTTTTTCACTGTTGGGTTTTGAGAGTTCTTTAAATGCTCTATATATCTTTTGTCAGATGTATTGTCTCCTAGTCTGTGAGTTGTCTATCCAGCCTCTAAACAGGGTCTTCTGAAGAGATGTTTTTAATTTTGATGATGTCCAATTTACCAATTTTTCCTTTTACGGATCATACCTTTGGTTTTAAGTCTAAGAACTCTTTGCCTAGCCCCAGATTTCAAAGATTTTCTCCTATGTGTGTTCTGAATGTTTTCCAGTTTTGTATTTTACATTTATGTTCAGGACCCATTTTGAGTTGATTTTCATATAATGTGTAAAATTTAGGTCAAAGTTTATTTTTAGCCTACAGATGTCCATGTGCTCCAGCACCATTTGTTAGAAAGGTCATCCTTCCTCCATTCTTCTGCACTTTTGTGAAAAATCAGTTGGCCATATTTGTGTGGCTATATTTCTGAGTTCTTTATTCTGTTCTGTTGTTCTATGTATCTCTCCGTCCACCAATACCACATTGTCTTATGTAGCTATATAGTAAGCCTTAATATCAAGTACAGTGAATCCTCCTGTTTCATTCTTTTTTTCAAGATTATTTTGGCTGTTCTAGGGCTTATGCCTTTCTGTATAAATTTCAGAATAAGCTTGTCTATGTCTACAAAAAACTTTGCTTAGATGCTTTGATAGGAATGGCATTAAACTTATAGATCAGTTTGGGGAGAATTGATATCTTTAATATGTTGAGTTTGTCAATTCATGAACATGGCATGTATCTCTCCATGTATTTAGGTCTTATTTGATTTCTTTACTAAGAGTTTTGTGATTTTTAGCACACAGATCCTGTATGTATTTTGTTACAGTTGTATCTAGGCATTTCATTTTCTTAGGTGTGATTGTAAATGGTATTGTGTTTTTAATTTCAGCTATCATGTGTTAAGTTTTAATACGGTCATGCATCGCTTAATGGCAGGGATATGTTCTGTAAAATGTGTTACACAATTTTATTGTTGTGGGCACATCACAGAGTGTACTTACACAAACCTAGATGGTCTATCCTCCTACACACCCAGGCTAGATGGTGTAGCCCATTGCTCCTAAGCTACAAACCTATACAGCATGTGACTGTCCTGAATACTGTAGGCAATTATAACACAGTGCTAAGTAAGAAAAGGTACAGCAAAAATATGATATTATAATCTTATGAGACCACGTTTATGTATGTGGTCCACCATTGACTGAAACATTGCTATTCAGCATATGACTGCATATGACAATGCAATTGGGCAAGGCACGGTGGCTCACGCCTGCAATCCCAGCACTTTGGGAGGCCGAGGCAGGAGGATCATGAGGTCAAGAGATCAAGACCCCAGCCTGGCGAACATGGTGAAACCCTGTCTCTACTAAAAATACCAAAAAAATTAGCTGCGTGTGGTGGTGTGTGCCTGTAGTCCCAGCTACTCGGGAGGCTGAGGCAGGAGAATCGCTTGAACCCAGGAGGCGGAGGTTGCAGTGAGCCAAAATCGCACCACTGCACTCCAGCCTGGTGACAGAGTGAGACTCTGTCTCAAAAAAAAAAAAAAAAAAGCAATTGATTTTCTATTTTTGTGTAATCTTGTTTTCTGCAACCATGCTGAATTTAATGATTAGTTCTAGGAATTTTTTTGTTGTTGTTGGAGTCTTGCTCAGTCATCCAGGCTGGAGTGCAGTATCTTGGCTCACTGCAACCTCTGCCTCCTGGGTTCAAGTGATTCTCATGTCTCAGCCTCCCGAGTAGCTGGGATTACAGGCATGTGCCACCACACCTAGCTAATTTTTGTGTTTTTAGTAGAGACGGGGTTTGCCATGTTGGCCAGGCTGGTCTCAAGCTCCTGACTTCAGGTGATCTGTCTGTCTTGGCCTCCCAAAGTGCTGGGATTACAGGCGTGAGCCACCGTGCCCGGCCTAGGAATGTTTTTTTGTTTGCTTGTTTATTTTGGTAGATACCTTGGGGCTTTTTTTTTTTTTAATGTAGAAAGTTCTATCATCTACAAATAGTGACAGTTTTATTCCTTCCTTTACAATCTGTATGTCTTCCCCTATCCCCTTGCTTTGTTGCAGTGGCTAGACCTTCCAGTACAATGTTAAAGAAGAATATGAGGGAGGACATCTTGCCTTGTTTCCAGCATTAGTGGGAATGCATTCAGCTTTTCATTATTAAGTATGGTATTATCCATAGGTTTTTGTAGATGTACTTTATCAAGTTGAGGTAGTTCTCCTTTATTTCTAGCTTGCTGAGAGTTTTTATTATAAATTAGTGTTGGATTTTGTCAAATATTTTGCTGCATCAATTGAACTGATTATATAATTTTTCTTCTTTAGGCTGTTGATATGTTGGATTACATTGATTGGCTTTCAAATGTTGAACCAGCCTTTCATGCCTGGAATAAATCCCACTTGGTTATAGTGTATGATTTTTTTAAATATACCATTGGATTCTATTTGTATTATTTTGTTGAGATTTTTACATCTAGGTAGCATGAGAGCTAATTGGCCTGTGGTATTTTGTTTGCTTGTTTGTTTTCTTTTAGTACTGTAGTTCTCTGGTTTTAGTGTCAAGGTAATACTGGCTTCATAAAATGAGTTGAGACTAATTTCCTCCTCTATTTTCTGGAAGAATAGATTGTGTAAAATTTGAATGAATTCTTCTTTAAATGTTTGCTAAAATTCTCCAGTGAAGCTATATGATCCAGAGGGTTTTTCTTATTTGTAGCTTTTAAATTATATATTCAATTTCTTTAATGATTATAGGAGTATTCAGGCTATCTATTTTAGCTTGGTTAATTTTGGTAGTTTGTAGTCTGCAAGAAATTGGTCCATTTCTTCTTCTTCTTCTTCTTCTTCTTCTTCTTCTTCTTCTTCTTCTTCTTCTTCTTCTTCTTCTTCTTCCTCTTCCTCTTCCTCTTCCTCCTCTTCTCCTTCCTCCTCCTCTTCTTTTCCTCCTCCTCCTCCTTCTTGCTCTTCTTCTTCTTCTTCTTTTCTTCCTTCTTCCTTCTTTTTTTTTTTTTTTTTAGATGGAGTCTCACTCTGTCACCAGGCTGGAGTGCAGTGGTGCGATCTTGGCTCACTGCAACCTCTGCCTCCTGGGTTCAAGTGATTCTCCTGTCTCAGCTTCCCAAGTAGCTGGGATTAGAGGGGTGTGCCACTACACTCGGCTCAGTTTTGTATTTTTTAGTGGAGATGGGGTTTCACCTCATTAGCCAGGCTGGGGTCTTGATCTCCTGACCTCAACTGATCTGCCCACCTCAGACTCCCAAAGGGCTGGGATTACAGGCATGATCCACCACGCCCAGCCCCATTTCTTCTAATTGTTAAATTTATGAGTGTAAAGTTGTATTTAGTATTCCCTGATTAGCCTCCTTTTCTTGGCTTCAGGATCTGTAGTGATAGCTCTTGTGTTTGATTCCTAATATTGGTGATTTGTGTCTCCTTTCTTTTTATTTTTTTAGTCTTGCTAGATGTTTATTACTTTTATTAACGTTTTTCCAATAATCGGTTTTGGTTTCATTGATTTTCTCTACTTTCTTCCTATCTTAAATTTCATTGATTGCTGATTACTATCATTCTTTCTTTACTGTTACTTTGTTTTTCTTTTTTTCTAGTTTTTTGATTTAGTACTTAAATTATTGATTTGAGATCTTTCATCTTTTTAAATGTAAGCACTTGGTGTTATAAATTTTCACCTCAACATTGCTTTAGCTATGCTATGCATATTTTTAAATGTTGTATTTTAATTTTCATTCTGTTTATGTTTTTTTTCAAATTTCCATTGAGGTTTCCTCTTTGACCTTTGGGTTGTTTAAATAGGTGTTATTTAATTTCCAAGTGTTTGAAGATTTTCGTTTTCTCTTTCTGTTATTGATTTTTTGTTTGATTTCATTCTTGCTGGAAAACTCTATGATTTAATTTTTAAAAATTTGTTGGGAGTTGCCTTATGATTCAGAATATGGTTTATTGTGGTATTCTTTTCCACATTTTTATTGAGGAAAATAATGTGTATTCTGGTGTTGTTGAGTATTCTATAAATGCCAATTAGTTCCTGTTAGTTGAAGGTATTGTTCAGTCTTCTATATTTTTGCCTATTTTTTGTCTAGTAACTCTATCAGTTGCTGAGAGTGTGGTGTTGAAGTCCCCAACAGTAATTGTAAACTTGTATATTTCTCCCTTCAGCTCTATCAGTTTTTCTGTTTGAATTGCTATAATAGAATACCTGGTACTTGCCAATTTATGAAGAACAGGAGTTTATTTCTCACAATTCTGGAAGCTGAGAAGTCCAAAATCAAGGCACTAGCATTTGATGAGGTCCTTTTTGCTGTGTCCTCAGATGATGGAAGGCACAAGGGCAAGAGAACAAACCGACTTGTGCCAGCCCTTTTTATAGGGACATTAATCCATTCATGAGAGGGGGGCCCTCATGATTTAAACACCTCCAAAAAGGTCCTACCTCTCAACACTGTTGCACAGGGGATTAAGTTACCAACATGTCAATTTTGAGGCATATATTCAGATGATAGCAATGTGTTTTGAAGCTCTGTTGCTTGGTGCATATGCATTTAGGATTGCTGTGACTTCTTGGTGAATTGTTTTATCTTTATGTAATATCCTTCTTTATTCTTTATAGTTTTATTTGCTCTCAGCTCTGCTTTATTTGACTTACTATAGCCACTCTTGCTTTTTAATTACTATTAATGTTAGCATGATATATTCATTTCCATTTTTTTACTTTCAAACTTTGTCATTGTGTTTGAAGTAAGTTGCTTGTAGACAGTGTACCTTTGGACTATGTGTCTTTATCCACTTTGTCAATCCCTGTCTTTTAGTTGTTACATGTAGATCACTAACATTCATAACTATCAATATGTCAGGCTTCAGTCTACATTTCTTTATTTTTTGTTTGTTCCTCTGTTTCTCATTTCTCTGTTTCTCTTTTCTTGCTTTCCTATGGATTACTTGAACATTTTTTAGGGATTATTTTATTTACGCTGGTTTCGAGTATATTTATATTGTTTGTATTATTTTTTATATAGTATTCATAGATTTTTTAGTGGTTGTTCTAGATATTACAATGTATGTATATACTTTTCCACAACCTACTTATATCAATGTTTTATCACATTGTATGAAGCATTGAAGCCTTACTTCTATTTAGGTCTCTTTACTCTCCATAGTTTTTAAATACAATTGTCTCAAATATTTCCTCTACATACATTAAGTGCCACATCAGTTGGTATTATAAATTTTACTTCAACCATAAAATATGATTTTTAAAACTCAGGAGGGCAAGGGTATAATTTCTGTCTTTTTTTTGAGATGGAGTCTTGCTCTGTTACCCAGGCTGGAGTGCAGTGGCGCAATCTCAGCTCACTGCAACCTCCACCTCCTGGGTTCAAGTGATTCTCCTGCCTCAGCATCCTGAATAACTGGGATTACAGGCATGCACCACCCTGCCCAACTAATTTTTGTATTTTGTTTTTAGCAGAGATGGGGTTTCACCAGGTTGGCCAGGCTGATCTTGAACTCCTGACCTCGTGATCCAACCACCTTGGCCTCCCAAAATGCTGGGATTACAGGCGTGAGCCACCGCGCCCAGCCAATAGTCTATAATTTTAATCCTTATTTTTATCTATTTCATGTAGTCTGTCTTAGTGTGTTGGGACTACTATAACAAAATGCCATAAACCAGGTGGCTTATAAACAACTGAAATTTATTCTTTGCAGTTCTGGAGGCTGGAAAGTCTAAGATCAAGGTGCTGGCAGAGTCAGTGTCTGGTGAGGGCCCACTTCCTTGTTCATAGATGGCTGTCTTCTTGCTGTGTCCTCAAATGGTAGAAAGGGTAAGGGATGTCTCTGGGATCATGTAATATATGCATAAATCCCATTCATGAGGTCTCTGTCCTCATGACCTAAGTACCTCTCAAAGCCTTCCACTTCCTAATACCATCACATTGCAGGTTAGGATTTCAATATATGAATTTTGAGGAGACAAATATTAGGTTTATAGCATCTTCTTTCCTTTATGAAGTTCTAATGCTTTTCTTTTCTCATTCTCATTCTGCTTGAAGAGATTCCTTTAGCTATACTTTAAGGATAGGTCTTTTAGTGAGAAATTCTCATAGTTCTTTTTCACCTGGAGATGTTTTAGTTCTCCTTTATTCTTGAACAATGATTTATCAGATCCAGAACTCATAGTTAACAGTTATTTTCTTTCAGTACTTGAAAAATATTGTGCCTCTTCCTTCTGATCTCTGTGTTTTCATATGACAATCTGTTGTTTAACTTGATGTTCTGTTATAATGCATCATTTCTCTCTGGTTGCTTTTAAGGTTTTTCTTTGTCTTTAGTTTTCAGGAGTTTACTTACAGTGTGTCTTTGCATGGATTTCTTTGGATCTGTCCTACTTGGGATTCCATCAGCTTCTTAAATCTAGAGGTTTTAAATCAAATTTGGGAAGGTATTTTATAAAATTTAGGAAGTTTCACCTATTATTTCTTCACATATTTTTTTCAGCTCCACCTTCTTTCTCCTTTTCCTCAATAACCCCAAAGATACAAGTGTTTATTATTGTCCTATAAGTCCCTGAGGCCCTGCTCGTTTTTTTTTTCAGTCAATTTTCTTTTTTGTTCAGATTGAGCAAATTCTATTGATCTGTCTTCAAATTTTCTGATTCTATATTATGTCATCTTCACTCTACTCTTGAGCCTGTCTGATGAGTTTTTTATTTCAGTTACTGTATTTTTTATTTCTATAATTTTCATTTTAAAAATAAGTTTTATTGATTTGCTGAAGTTCTATATAATTTAATTTGTTCAAGGGAATTCATAATTACCTGTTGAAGCAATTTTATGACAGCTGCTTTAAAATCTTTGTCAGGTTACAATATCTGATTCATCTCAGTATTGGTGCCAGTTGACTGTCTTTTCTTATTCAAGCTGAGATTTTCCTGGTTCTTGATTCTATTTAAATCATCTTTATTTTAGCAGGAAAACTCCCTTTTTAGGTTTAGTGTGTAGGTTCTGGCCTACTTTAATAGGCTTGTGTTCCAATGACAATTTAGTTTTTTAAGTTCCTGCAATGTTATTCTGCTTTGCTTTGTTCTCTTGGCTCCTTTGAGCCTCTGCTGGGTCCTTCCTGGTGCTGCCCAGGAATGGGGAGTAGAATTTAAGAATAGGAGAGGGCAAAAGTGCTTTCCTGTGCCATCTGGTGTTACTAAGTTGGACCTAGGGTTGCTGGACCTAGAGGACAGAGAATGTTTCTCCTGGCCTTTTATTTTGCCACCTGGTACAGGTGAGCTTCTCACTCTATCTCTGTTGGTGCTCCTAGGGAAGAAAAGTGCCTTTGTAGGCCACCTTCTGCAGCTGGGTGGAAAGCTAAGAGCTACAAGGTCTGGTGGTTCCCTGCCACTAGGTGGGAATCAAGAGACCCTGGGCCTGGTTTACCTTCTGCTACTGAGTGGAAGGCTGGGAATGCTAGACCTGGGTTGCCTTTTGAGCAGAGGGCTGGGAGATGCTGGGTCTGCTGGTGCAGCCTGGTGTGGGATGTGGGATGGGGGGTGATTCCCCTGCCCGGGTTACTTTGTTGCTGATGCTGTGGGTAGATTAGGATGGTTGTTTTCTGGAGCTGGTGCTGATGGTAAAGGTAGATCAGGCTGCCAGTCTCACTGGGAATGGTTCTCCTTTCTAAATCCCTGATGGGAACTCTGGCCAGAGTGGGCCTTTTCTGTTTCTTTATTAATTTTTCTCTTTTGATTTTGGTCCATGCCTGTTGGTGGTTTTGGGTTACATGCTCTCTGGTACCCGGTCTGGAATATGTGGGAGATAAAATGAAAACCCAGAGAATTTACTATTCTTTCATTCTTCAAGTCCTGAGGTCCCTAGGTAGTCTAGTTTCTCTCTTCACCTTTTATCATATCTTTTGAATTATTTCCAGGGTATTTAGTTGTATTTAGAGGTGAGGAATAGAAAAACTGAGTCTATGACAGCTTGCTACCCTCAAATCCTTTTTTTAGCCTCTGCTTATGTCATGCCTGCTAATATCCCACTGGCCAAAGCAAGTGACACAGGTAAGCCTCGTGTCCAAGGAGGAACAACTCAGCCCTGCCGTGGTGGGTGGATACTGCAAAATTACATGGCAAAGGGTGTAGAGATTAGGAGGGGTGAGAAATTAGGGCCATCTTTATAAACTACCACAGTGTTATAGTTCTAGTAAAGCCCTCTTTACTTTCTTAGAGTCCATCTCTCTTGCTTATAAGCAAAGAACCTGGATAGTATAGTTTTGTATTCCATAGTTAGGTAAAAAGATAATTCGTTTGTGGGTTATAAGTCTCATGGGGGCTAAGACCATCTTCCCCAGTTAGTTACTATAGCCCTAGTGTCTAGGCAAGGCAATTCAGCAAAATGTGTTGATTGAATAGCTTTGGGTTGCGACCTCTATCTTCTCTTTTCAGATGCTTAGTCAACATGATATAGCTTCAGTTTTCTTCACAGTAGGTCTCTTGCTGGGGTTTCCTAAGCCCAGACTTGAAACCAAATATCCCATCTAGCGCTACTTCAGTGACCTGGCAGTAATTGTGATCCAGATTTATGTTTTCATTTTTACTATGTAATGTGGTTGAGTGAGATGCAAGTAACTCTTGGACTTTGTTAGGATGACCACCACAGACCCCAAACCCCCATGTGGAGGAGTCTAGTAAACTGGACTGGTACATGTGGAGTTCCCTAGTTCTCTTAGGTCATTTGGACCTGGACCAAAGAAGATTCTGTGACTTTATTGTATTTAATCTCCCCAGTACTCAAGACTTGGATTTTACAGCTCTTCAGTCAGCTGCACAGAAAGAAGACAGAAGAGAGCTAGGCATGGTGGTGCATTCCTGTAGTCTCAGCTACTTGGGAGGCTGAGGCAGGAGGATCGCTTGAGCCTGGCCAACATAGTGAGACCCCCATCTCTTAAAAAGAAAGAAGGCAGAAGAGAGAATTGAGGCACAGCCTCCTAATACACAATGACCAAGTGGCTGCAACTGTGGAAAGGGAATGTAGTGGGAGGAAATTTTGCCATGTGTTAGTTTCTTACGTTATTGTTTTATTCTGTATATATATATGTATATTTTTGAGACAGTCTTGCTCTGTCACCCAGGCTGGAGTGCAGTGGCATGATCTCGGCTCGCTGCAAGCTCCGCCTCCCGGGTTCACGCCATTCTCCTGCCTCAGCCTCCTGAGTAGTTGGGACTATAGGCGCCTGCCACCATGCCGGGCTAATTTTTTGTATTTTTAGTAGAGACTGGGTTTCACTGTGTTAGCCAGGATGGTCTGGATCTCCTGACCTCATGATCCACCCGCCTCGGCCTCCCAAAGTGCTGGGATTACAGGCGTGAGCCACCGCACCTGGCCTATTCTGTATATTTTTAAACTTTCATAGTAATGAAGATGATACCGTTATGAGTAGTAATAATAGCAACTAACGCTTATTTATTCATTCATGTAACAAATATGTGTATGAACTTATTAGAGTCTAGCAACCAGCCTAAGGAGTAGGAGGTGTTATGCCTATTTCCACTTTAGAGATGAGGAAACAGGCACAGATCATTTATGTAACTTGAATACAGTCTCATAGCTAGTAAGGAGTGGAACCTGGAAAAATGTTCTAGTTCTCTGCTCTTCTACAGAACCCCAGTCTTTGTCGGGTGCAGTGGCTCACGCCTGTAATCCAGCACTTTTGGAGGCTGAGGCGGGCGGATCATGAGGTCAGCAGTCAGAAACCAGCCTGGCCAACATGGTGAAACTGCATCTCCACTAAAAATAAAAAAATTAGCTGGGCATGGTGGCACACACCTATAATCCCAGCTACTCAGGAGTCTAAGGTGGGAGAATCATTTGAACCCAGGAAGCGGAGGTTGCAGTGAGCCAAGATAGCACCACTGCACTCCAGCCTGGGAGATAGAGTGAGTCTCCATCTCAATAAATAAATAAATAGATAGATAGATAGATAGACAGACAGACAGACAGACAGATAGATAGATAGATAGATAGATAGATAGATAGATAGATAAAACCCCTGTCTTTAGAGAGGAGGATGCAATAGATAACTGAATTCTCAAAGAAATGACTGCTCCTTTAGGCACTAGGGATGTGTGCTAGCTGTAGTCAGCATTTTATCTTTTTCAGCAGTTTAGCCAAATCAGACTATGGCCTCCGATTCGTCTGCTACATCTGAATGCCAATTCACAGCTGCATATTAATTTCCTCATAATTTTTGCTTTTGCCATATACTCTCAGAGCACAGCCTGTCCCCTACAAGTCACTGTCAGCCACCTGTCCCTTCAATCAGACCCACGCTCTGTCCTAATGGGGAAGTGGAGGGAGTCGTGGAGCAGCTGCACTGTAATTGCTGAGAGTGCTGGGGGGAATTAATTGTGAATCAAATATTTGCCTACTCCAGAGTGATTTATCACAATTAAAAGGAATAATTATTTGCCCTTTGGGTCAAGTCGTGGATTTTAAGGGTTTGACTACTGGAACGTGTAAATAAATCAAGCTAGGGAGGAATCTTCCTGGATTTTGGTTTGAGGCAGCAGAACTTTCAGATTAGGATGCCCAGAGGAGTTAATGCTAAAGATGGTGTTTGGGGCCGGGCACGGTGGGTCGTGCCTGTAATCCCAGAACTTTGGGAGTCCAAGGCCGGCGGATCACGCGGTCAGGAGATTGAGACCATCCTGGCTAACATGGTGAAACCCTGTCTCTACTAAAAAGACAAAAAATTAGCCGGGCGTGGTGGCGAGCGCCTGTAGTCCCAGCTACTCGGGAGGCTGAGGCAGGAGAATGGCGTGAGCCCGGGAGGTGGAGGTTGCAGTGAGCCGAGATCGTGCCACTGCACTCCAGCCTGGGTGACAGAGCGAGACTCCGTCTCCAAAAAAAAAAAAAAAAAAAAAGATGGTGTTTGGGAACACATTAGGGGAGCCCAAATTATCCTTGACATTCCCTTAGGAAGCCACTGCTTTTTGGAAGTTAAGGTTCTGTTTGTCAGTGAGTCTAACACAGTTAACTTCTCATGAATTAGAACTCATTGCAGTTTCTTCAGCTGAGCAGCAAGTAGGTGTGAATTGGTACAGAGCTTAGAGCAGCAATGGGGACAGCTGAATCATATTTCCAATCTCATGCCCTCTCCGGGACACGTGCTCATCAAGTGGATGGATGGCACAATCATTTGCACTATTTGAATTATTTCCTTTTTCACCCTCCCCCACTTATTTTTTTGGCCAGTGCATGTAACCGAATTTGCAAAAGTCATACCCACTGCGATACAGCTGCTCTCTAGTGAGATACCCAGAAACCGCCATGACTTTTCAAAGTTAAAAAGCACTTTGGTGGCAGGCCTGGAAAATGTGTCCTATAAACCATGATGACAACTGGAATTGATTAACTTTCACTAATGATTCAAATCAAGCCCAGGACTGGATCATATGATCAAAGCAGATTCTAGGAGTTAAAATGTAACATTGTGTTGGTGGCATAGATATTTATCTCTGGCGAGGCTCTTACAGATCAACTCTTAGATCTGTAAGGAGATTTTTAAGTTAGGAGAAATTGTGTTTAAGCTTTTTCAGTGAGAAGGGGGTTTTCCTGATGTTTGTAAAGGGTCCCCAAATGACCTATTTAGAGGTGATAACTTGCAGCTCCAGGATATTATGGGCTTTTGGAAAGTGAAGAGGGTTTATTTGATTCCAAAGAAAGTGGGTTGTGTACACAACAGTCTGCATGTCTGACTACAGGCTGGCCTGGGCTGTAATAGAGTCTTCCAATTAACTAGACACAAACAGCTCTCACCTGCCTTCTGGCTTCCACGGCCTTTGCCATCCCCAAAACCCACGACCCTGCACTTCTCCCCAGGGAACAACTTGAGGGCCGTTTGCTTTCAGATGGCAGAAAGCGAACTGCTGGGAGCTGCCCTCGATGCCCTAACCCACAGAAGGCCACGGCTCTGTCATTTTCTTCCCGACTTGTTCTGCTTTCTGCTTTAATGACCAGTGCTACCTTTTGGGCCAGCTTGTTCCTAATGCCGCCTGTAATTGAGACTCAAATAGTAAAATACACATAACCGGCCATTTTACCAAGTCATCATTTATGAATATAGCTCGATTAATTTGTTTAGTCAGATGTAGAGGCGCAATAAAAAGTGATTGACTAAAAACAATTAAAAGAGTAAAAGTAAATTGTTTGTGTCCATTAAAACCTGCTGAGGCCATCAGTTGAAAATTGTGGGCCTCAATGTGAAAATTAAAACTATTGATTTTCCCCCATATGTATGTGAATATCAGAGTTCTAATTTGTTTTTTGTTTTTTTTTTTTTTTTTTTTTTTTACTGGCTGAAAGCCCCTGAGGTCAAAGTGAAGGTAGGGCTTCAGTAAGCTCTTTTGGTGGAGTTAATAAAGATTTGGAAAGACAAATATAAGAAATGGCCTCCATGTTTTAAGGGAGAATTATGTGTCTGATCTGTATCCATGTTGCACTGCTACATGCTAATACTTTGTAATTGATTGCATTTTGAGGTGAAAATGGAAAATCAACTGCAGAATATATGGTATTCAGAGGGTTGAATTTTTAGGGCTTTGCCTTAATTTATGTGAGTGAGCTAGATTTTTTTTATTATTATCATTTTATTTTTTTATGGGCTACACTAAATCTTGTATTCCAAGAACTATTATTTTTTAGTGTTCAATTAAAATACCAACATAAAAAGAATCTTACATGGACAGATCTTGACTCACAATAAGAAAACTTGGGGAGAAAACTCTCTGGATCAGATGAGGAAGTTTTCAATCAAGACATAGGATGGAATTAAGCCCCAGAAGGCTGTAAAAATAGTGTAACATGTTTAGAGCTTCCTGTATAAGGCTATTATGGTATCAAGTTGAGCATGAGTTAATATTAAGTTTATGTCATTAATAAATCATATTGAGAATGCAAACTGTTATACTTGGTAATTAAGTGAATGATCAATAAACAAGTCAGACTTTCTTTTAATCTTTAGAAGTCAGGCATGAGTTTTTGAAGAAGGGTTTAAAAGTTATACACTCAGCTGTTTAAATATGGCATTGAAAAAGCTATTACAATTGTGGCATTTTCTGCATTTGACTGTCACACACTGATTTTTAAGGGAAAAACAATTCCAGGGGAAGTTCAAACACACAGCACTTTATTTCCTTTTTGGGGAGATTTTGGTTCATTCCCCATCCCCATGAGTTTTCAAAAGGGGACATATACTACTGTCAACCTAAATAACGGACAGAGAGAGGCTCTCTAAAAGAAAAGATGTGTATCTGGGAATAGCGTATTGCAATGAGAATGCTGTGCCTAGTAAACAATGTGTGCATTCAGAGAGGTAAAGGAAGACAAAGGTTTTTAAAGGAAAAAATGAGGAGGATTACATCAGTGCTTTGAAATAATTATCCTTGCCTTCAGTGATCAATAGCAAGGGTGACACCAATCCAAGGGTGAACAGGCAGATGTCCTCGCGAAGTATTTTTTGTGTGAGGTTGTCATGGCCTTTGCGCAAGGTTGTGGTTTTTGCAGAGTCTTTTTCGTTAATCAGGCCTACAAGCGTGAGAACTCTCTCTCCGCGACCTGCCCTGGCTCTGTTTGTCAGAGTTTTCTTAACCTTAGTAATCTCATTTTCATTCTAGCAACTTACACACTACTCATTGAGTTCACACCGTAGCTTCCGAATGCTTATGAGATCAGTGACTCTCAATCGTTAGTGAAGTGAGTGGGAGAATGGCTTATTTTACAGGTGGATTCCTAGGCCTCCAGATACTCTGAAGGAGGCACTTCCTATTCCTTGCAGGCACAGGGATGTGCGTTTGAGAAAAGTGCTCCAGGTGGTTCTGGATGGGAAGCTGTAGGACCACACATGGAGAAACTGCTCCAAAGCCATGACACTTAAACCTCTAGGGGTCAGAAAGCCTTTTGAGAATCTGCTCAAAAGTATACATCTTTTTTTTTTTTAATGGAGGTGGGTAAGCAGTTTCACCTGGAAGAGGAATTAAGCAGAGACACACCCAGGAGTTTTTTGTTTGGTTCCCATGCGAGGCCTCCTTGTGGGACCTTGAGTGTTCTCTCAGTTTGTTCATTCTGCTGGAGGCCTTTGGGATTTACTTGGTGGCTGCTGGCTAGCGTCTGGATGTAAATGGTGCCAAGTGGGCGGCTTGCTATGTTCCAATCAGATCCTTTTCTTACTATGCAGATTACTTATTTGGCCATAATTTTGGCATTATTTAGGAAAACTAAATCCTGTGCACTTTAAGCTTTGGCGAATGGTGAATAGGGTTTGAGGTGTGCTTGTGATGGAAGTGTTTAACCCCCGTGCCCAGTGGGGAGACCACACCCTGTGAACCAACCCAGCTCTTTGGAACCAGTAGAGGAGACAAATGGGAGTGTTGGTCTGACCCTGCGGAGTCATAGGGCCCCACTGGACTAAGAACAGGCAGATGCAGAAGGTCAACTGCAAACTTGGCAAGTTTAATGCAATCCTTTTTTGAAAACAAAAGCAAGAGTGAATTTAATGATTTAGATCAGCAATTCAGTCTCATGGTTCAAAACTTTAAAAGTATAAAAGATGGTATGGTGAAAAGCCGTCTCTTATCCCAGGGTTCTAGTTTGTTGTATAACTTAGAAGGATTTTTATGCAAATGACAGCAGATAGAGGTATGTATATAGAATTATTCTTTTAACACAAATGGTAGCATACTACATACACTGATTTTTAACGTTTTTAAATAGATGTTTGTGTTGCTTTCTAGGGCAGAATTTAGGAAGGGAATGTGATAATGCCTGTGTCAATTTTATTGCTTTTTCCCTCATACTAAATACTGCATAATCCCAAACAGATGTGTACAAACATCAGCTCCTCCCACGAGATTTGGAGCTGGTTTGGAGCCATGCTCTGGGGTTAGGCTGGAGACATGGGATTGTGTAATATGCTACATTTTTTTTTTTTTTTTTTTGGAGACAGAGTGTCACTCTTGTCACCCAGGCTGGAGTGCAGTGGCACCATGTCAGCTCACTGCAGCCTCTGTCTCCTGGGTTCAAGCAATTATCCTGCCTCAGCCTCCGGAGTAGCTGGGATTATAGGCGCCTGCCCATCACCACACCCGGCTATTTTTAGTAGAGACGGGGTTTTACCATGTTGGCCAGGCTGGTGTCGAACTCCTAACCTCAGGTGATCCGCCTGCCTCGACTTCCCAAAGTGCTGGGATTACAGGCATGAGCCACCGCGCCCGGCCAACATGCTACATTTTGAGTATCTACCAAAGACTCAGTGGTGGGGGGGATTGGCTCATGATTGGCACAAAGTCCCCTCAAACTGATGCTTCTGCTTTCCTTTTCCCAAGGCCAGCCCCTGGGGCAGAGGTGGTTTTCTGCATGGCTAACAGCATCCTTCTGTGGGCACCGGATAGAAATTGAGGGCTCGTGTCTATGGGCATGCTGCTTTCTTTTTCTCATTGGGAGATACAGTTTTTGTGGTTCACAAATGTGATGGTCACCAGAACTGCATGGGGGTTTCTAAAAACCGTGAAGTCCGGGGTCCTGCTCCTGGAAGTTCTGCAGTCATCTTGGCAATGGGGTCCAGGAAAGCATATTATTAACAAGTCATCCAGGCGATTCTGGTGCAGGTGCGCCACGGCCCAGAGGCCGGCAAGAACCAGAGGCTTTCTGAAGTCTTGGCCAACTCTAAATAGAAGTTTCATCCATCTCTATAAGAACCTGTCTCACCTGGACCACTAGGAGTTAATGTCGATTTGACTATTTACCTTCAGGTGGAATGTACAATGGAATAAGTGTTGTCATTTGTCTTAGACTAAACAGAACTCTGCAACGCATGAACCACAGGACCCAAAACATTCCCACCAATTAACTACACCAGCTGTGGATGAGACACCCTCCCGTTCTCATTAGGAATAGGTCTATTCCAAGTAAGCCACTTATAAACACCCCATCACCATCTGGGAATCACATGTTCCTGGCCCCTTGCTATAAAACTTAACACATGCATGTGTGTGTGTGTGTATGTGTAATATATTTAGGAGCAGAGAAGGTTTACTTCTTGCCCAGCTTCACCTTGGTAGTCCTGAGGTCTCTCCTTCAACTGGCTGTGAGTGCACTTCTAACATAAGCACCATTTCCTCTTGATTTCATACTGTAATTAATAAACTGTGTGGAGTTTATTATAGTGTGTTTTGGGACTGTCTGCCTCAGAATCACTTGTGGTGCTGATTCACCCATACAGGTTCCTGGGCCTCGCCATAGCCCATTGAATCAGTGAATTTGAATTTTAACACCTTCTCCACAGTGACCATCACCATGCGCACACCAACATGTTGCTAATGTCCCACACGTGTGTTTGGTCTGTTTTACTGTGTTAAGCCAGCGAATGGAAGCTAGTTAGAAACTTAGCTTTCTGGTCATTTTAATCAAGGGCTCCTTCCAAACCAGATCAATAGCGATTGCCTAACTATAGAACTTGTTTCTGCTTGTACCTTTTCTGTTTGGTAGCTCTCTAGCACGATATTTCTCAAACTTCACTGTGCTTGTGAATCGCCTGGAGAATCTTGTTAAAAGGCAGATTCCGACTCAGTAGGTCTGGCGGGGGCCCTGAGACTCTGCATTTGTAATAGGCTTCCATGTGATGCTGGTGCTGCCAGTCTGGGGACCACACTTTGAGTAGCTCTGTATTGGGTAGATTTCTGTCTCTGACTAAAGGACCCTTCCTATGGCCTGTTTCATGCAGCTGCCTGCCCATGTCTGAGTATCCTTGTGCCAACTCAGAATCCCTCTGCTTTTATTTTTTTTGTAGATGAAAAGGGGAAAAAAAAGCCTGAGACCCCTGGGAGGGAGACCCAGCTCTCTCCCCATCCCCCTGAACCTGTGGTGGAGGAAGGCGACATCACAAGCCAAAGGGTCTATTGATCTGGTGCAATGGAGATTGTATTGAATCGGAAACAGCAGGCTCCCTGCGTTTCAGGGGGAGCCTCAGGAGAGCAGAGACCTTCTTTGCTTTAGTTTATTTTGTAATTAAGGGGAAAGGAACCCAAGCTAAAATGTTGCTTGAGGGCCTGGGCTTTTAAATTTATGTCACTGAGCAGCCTATGAATCAAACCACCCACTGTGAAGCTGTCAGTTCTGATATCGTTTCTCTCTCTCTGTGGCTTTATGCAAATGCTTTCCCTTGTCCAAGTATTACGCTTAATGGGAATGGCAGACCGCATCCGTGTCCTAAGCCAGGGTGTGTGTCATGGTCTGTGTGCTTGTGTCTGATTATGGGGCTCCTCCTGCTTGTCTCAGCTTACAGAATAGAGGTGACATCTGTTATCTCAGAGGCCTGTTTGAGGGGAGAGGACTTGGAAGTTCTTGTAAGTGTGAAGACTGTTGGTGGAAGAAAAAAATGCATACACTTTATTGCATGGGAACCCAGTTTGAGAAGTCTTTCCAGATGAACTTGGTTGGTGACTCTGGGTCTAGTGAAGCCACTTGATCATCCAGGGTTCGGTGTAAATACCTCGCCTTGGGGGACCCCTCTCAGACCACTCCAGAGGAATGAATCTAGGACCCTAGCCTGTGCCCGTATGGCCCCTGGACTATCCTTTGTAGCATGCTTGTTGTGTAATGTGGGTGTGACTGAAGCTCCAGGAGGGGCAGGCCCTATTTTGTTCCTGGTGGTGCGCAGTGCCAGGCATGTGCCTGGTACATCATGAGCTCTTGATACGAGCTTGGATGGATGTGCATGCTGCAGGCAAACAAGTGCTTCTTATGAAATCTAATGGGCATTGTTCCAAATACAGTGGAAGATGAAACTTAAAAAAACACAAACTTTTGATTTCATTCAGAAAGAACTTTTTGCTCTAAACAGGAGAACAAGCTATTAGGAACAGAATGATGATTATGTACAGTAATATCAATCCTGTTGATGGATGGTGTCAAGCTTTGTAGCCACATTGTCCTCATAGCTACTTACAAGTTAATCATATGCCTGTCACAGAGATACTAGATATTACTCTAGTATCTTCATCCCTTAAAAATAGAATTCCAGTTTTTAGCTGGACGTATGGCCACCTAGAATAAAGGCTGTATTTCTCAGTCTTCCTTGCAGCTAGGCATGGTCACATACTGGATATAAATGTGTGATTTCCAGGTACTGTCATTTTATTGTCTTCTTACTTCCTGCTAATGGACTATGGATATGATGCCTGGAGTTCAGCAGCTGTCTTGTGCTGTGAGGATGGTAGACGGCAAGATGGAAGGATCCTGTGTACTTTTCTGAAGCTGTGCTACCAGCCCTGCACTGTCCACCTCTAGGCTTCATTTATGTGAGTTAAGCCCTATTATTTTGGATTTGATATCACTCTCAGCTGAACAGAATCCTACCTAAGACAAGGATAGGAGAATTATAATTCCTACAAAGGGCTTCTTTAAGGCCATTCTTGGAATAAATTCTATAGTTCAAGGTATTGGTAAGGGTGTGTTTGTGATAAGATTTTGGGTAAAGCAATCTAGTGTGAGCATTAAGAGTGTGGGCTTGGAAGCAGTTTGGCTTTCAGTTGCTGTAGGTCCTTGGACAAGCTCTTTAAGCTCTTTAAACTTTAGTCTTCCTGTCTATGAAATGGAAGCTATAATATAGTTCCTGGTACCTGCTGCTTCTCTTCTCAGTACATGGAGTTATTGAAATTCCACAGAGCTAATACTCTAAGGGCCTTAGAGTATACAGATGCCTTCTCTAAGTCATGTTCCTGTACAAAGAAATTTCACTTCAGCAAAATTTCTTGTGCAGTTTTTTTTTTTTTGTTTTAGACAGTCTCACTTCATTGCCCAGGCTGGGGTACAGTGGCACGATCTCGGCTCACTGCAACTTCCGCCTCCCTGGTTCAGGCAATTCTTCTGCCTCAGCCTCCCAAGCAGCTGGGATTAAAGGTGCCCACTACCACACCCGGCTAATTTTTGTATTTTAAGTAGAGACACGGTTTCACCATGTTGGCCAGGCTGGTCTCCAACTCCTGACCTCAAATGATCCACCTACCTCGGCCTCCCAAAGTGCTGGGATTACAGGCGTGAGCCACTGCGCCCAGCCCTTGTGCAGTTTTTCCTTTCTTTTTAGAAATTAACAAAATCAAGTAACCCTAGAAATGTAACTAGTTTCATATATTTTGTGGTTTTAAAGTTCAAGTATAGTTTATTTTTACCATTTTAAAGACAATTAAATCATTTGACCTTGTTAATCTGGCACCTTCCCAAGTACTAGGCATTTTGCTAAGTCCTGGGAACAACAAAAACAACAAAATGGTCAAGACATAATCGCGCCATTACAGAATTTACAGCAATTGTGTGCAGGCCTTTCTGTTTACA
The DNA here is from genome assembly GCF_000001405.40 of Homo sapiens. NCBI lineage: Eukaryota > Metazoa > Chordata > Mammalia > Primates > Hominidae > Homo > Homo sapiens. Next base: position 73,146,191 of record NC_000003.12, read on the forward strand.
AAGCAGTTTTATGATATGCAGATAATATGTTCTGTGGGGATAGAACTTTTTGGAGATTCAGACGCTGTAATTATATTTTTCTGTCCCATCTATGTAAGTATAGGTAAACTGATTCCAAGGAAGCCAGGGGCATCAGATGTGCATTGCAGATGTCAGTTGCGTGCTCCATGGAGATCTGACTAAACTTGATCCAAACTCTTAATTCCTTAGCCTTCTGAGAGTGCAGAGATGCATTCCCTCTTCCCCAGAGTTCTAAAACTTCCCGAACTTTCTGTTTGTGTTACATCTCTCCTGTGTTTTTGTTTTCCAAGTGTGCTGCTATGGTTTATATAGGAGTTTATTTAGCACTTTCCAAAGAGACTAAGGAATTTGAGGGCAGGGACTACGGCTACTTCTTCGTTTTTTTTTTTTTTTTGAGATGGAGTCTTGCTCTGTCGCCAGGCTGGAGTGCAGTGGTGCTATCTCAGCTCACTGCAACCTCCACCTCCCGGGTTCAAGTGATTCTTCTGCCTCAGCCTCCCGAGTAGCTGGGACTTACAGGCATGCACCAGCAGTCCCCTAATTTTTGTGTTTTCAGTAGAGACGGGGTTTCACCATGTTGGATAGGATGGTTTCGATCTCTTGACCTCGTGATCCACCTGCCTCGGCCTCCCAAAGTGGGATTACACGCCTGGGATTACAGGCGTGAGCCACTGCGCCCGGCCTGACTATGACTACTTCTAAGATTTGCTCACCGTTCTCAGGTCAGTGTTTTATTCACAGTCCCTCTGAAGCTTGACCGATTCATAGTGGGCAGGTAGATATTCAGAACACATGCTTTCCATCCCTGCTATTGAGGTAAGACCTGCAAATGGTGTGCTCCAAAGTCAGTAAACCACACAAAGGATCCCGAGTTCTCTGCAGAAACCCAAGTGGGTTGGAGCTCCCATGGCAGAGAACTTGCCTTGTCTTTTAAGGTCAGCACTTTATTTGCTTCATCTTCCTTTTCCTTCTCGGGTTTATTGTACCTAATAAAATGGAGTGGTTATTTTACTATTTAATAATTCCTAAGATCAAAGGAAGTTAAGTAGTCATTTCTGCTCTTATTAATTAGCCTTTTCTTTTTCAAATTAGTTTTTCCTTGATGTTCTCAACAGATAAATGTAAAGTCATTTATTCCTTGCCATGAAGGCCATTTAAAGTCTTAGTGGATTTAGCTTTTGATTTATTCTTGAATTTTAAACAAGGGGAAGAAAAAGAGGAATGTAAGTTAGAACAGATATGTTTAAAAAGACATATAAGCTGCTTTTTCTCCTTGGACTCTCATCTTTTTTTTTTTTGTATTTTTAGTACAGGCAGGGTTTCACCATATTGGCCAGGATGGTCTTGATCTCCTGACCTCGTAATCTGCCTGCCTCGGCCTTCAAAGTGCTGGGATTACCGTGCCCGGCCTTATCTTTTTTGTTTTATTTTTATTTTGAGATAAAGTCTCACTCTGTCACCCAGGCTGGAGTGCAATGGTGCAATCTCGGCTCACTGCACCCTCCACCTCCCAGGTTCAAGTGATTTGCCTGCCTCAGCTTCCTGAGTAGCTGGGGCTACAGGCACGTGCCACGATGCCTGGCTCATTTTTGTATTTTTAGTAGAGACGGGGTTTTGCATGTTGGCCATGCCAGTCTCGAACTCCTGACCTCAAGTGATCTGCCTGCCTGTGCCTCCCAAAGTGCTGGGATTACAGGCATGAGCCCCCATGACTGGCCAGACTCAAATCTTTCTGAACCAAGCATACCATGCAAGCACTTAAAAATCATGCATTACCTGCATCGCACCTGTATGTATTTTCTGTAGTTTGTAGTTGAGTTGGGGGTGAGAAGGGAGCATTGTACCTAGGGAGTAAAATAATAACATCTAATGATTTTCTAATATTGGTGACAAATGTTCTAGCAGTGTTTTCTTTTAATAAATAGTGCTTTATTCCAGATTTTTTTTTCTTTTTAGCAGTCTTAAAATTTGGAATTTTATGTGTTTCCCTTATCAAGCAGGCACTGACTTCCTTGGAAACAAAAATCTCTGTGGAATTTCCTTTAAGTGTCAGACTTCTGAGCGGGAACTGAGACATTCAGTAATTCCTGTTCTGGTGGGAACCATGGAAAGGCACCATCATTGCAAATAAATCAAGCAGCTGTGTTTCTAAATATGATTACGGGCAGTGCCATGCTGGGCACAGTCATTAAAGCAGGAACAAATGTTATCTCTGGTTTAGGAAGAGGATTGTGTTGCTTTGCTTCCTATAAACCAGGCTGTCTGGTGAGCCCATCTATCAAAGGGAAGCTGGTTTGCATGGTTTTTAAATCCTATTAAGTTACCTGCCAATTAGAAATGAGAAGATGTGGAACTACCTTGAAAATGAAGGTAGGGTGAAAAAGTTGACACACTATGTTACATGAAAGTCTTCTTGGGCTGTCTGGAGTTAGGTGTTTCTATAGTTAACACTTGAAAAAATTGAGAATATTCAATGATATCAACATGCAAATATTTGTAGGAAAACAGCAACAGACCATATCTCAAGCACTTCAAAGGATGTTTGGCAGGCATGATCTTCCCAGAAACTAAAGGCTTAGAGCCAACCTGGGCAAAACCTCCCAGTTTGAGACACAAACTTCTCTTGGCAAATGCTCACAGCAACAAATATGTCCAGATCCTCATTTTCCCTTTGATTTTTTTTTTTTTTAAACTGCAGTGTTGACTAATGACAAACATATTGGTGTTTGGCTTGTGAGGTGTGGTGCTTTACTGCTCTTTCTTGGTGAAGGCTGGACCACGGTGGCAAACAAAATCTAATTAGTCCGTTTGAACTACACCCCACTTCTTCTGTTTCCAAGCCCCTCTCTTTTGTTGTCTAACATTAAGTGTGTGGTCTTCTGGCATGTGAAAGTTTTTTTGTTATTTTTATCCATTTAAAAGTGCATTGCATGCTATACATATGGAAATATTTAGGAGGAGGTAAACTCATGTCTGCAACTTTTAAATACATAGAAAAATAAGATGGATCAAGGAACAGAGGGTTGGATAATCATGTCGTAAAGCAAGGATAGTAAAGTATTAATTGTAGAATCGATATAGTGGGCATATAGATGTTCACTGTCAAATTCGGCTTTCATGTATGTATGAAAATTTTTATAATTAGATATTACGAGAGAAAAAGGTCAAGTTTCTATCATATAGGATTCTCACTTATATAAAACCCAAGCTCTAGGAAAGAAATCACTCTTAGACCCACAAAAGTCCTGATTTATAGGCAAACTCAGGAACTCTGAAGTTTGGGAAATTCTCAGTTAACATGAATTTGCTGTCTTTCTTTGTTTTTTAAAATGTATATATTTATAGGCTGGGCGTGGTGGCTCGTGCCTGTAATCTCAGATCTTTGGGAGGCTGAGGCGGGTGGATCACTTACGGTCAGGAGTTCAAGACCAGCCCGACCAACATGGTGAAACCGCATCTCTACTAAAAATACAAAAAATTAGCTGAGTGTGGTGGTGTACACCTGTAATCTCAGCTACTCGGGAGGCTGAGGCAGGAGAATTACTTGAATTTGGGAGGTGGAAATTGCAGTAAGTCGAGGTTGTGCCACTGCACTCCAACCTGGGTGACAGAGCAAGACTCCATCTCAAAATAAATAAATAAATAAAATGTATATATTTATAAATTCATTTGCTATAAAAAACCCATGTTATCTCAAAACGTAAGAATTACAGTTACATATAACTTAAAAAATGAAACCCCTCCCAGTGTCTCTTTCTTCCCATTATTGCTTTTTATCTCCTTGTAGCCACTATCTCTCCAGACTTGAAAAGTCTGCATGAGCCAATATAGCAGTTTGCTTTTCAACAGGATTATGCTATACATGCACTGACAATTTGTTTTTATCATGCGAGATAGTGGAGACATCTTTCTATGGCACTACATGTGAATGTACCATCTTTTTCTTTTCTTTTTTAAGACAGGGTCTTACTCTGTCATCAAAGCTGGGGTGCAATTGCTTGATCATAGCTCTCTATGACCTCAGTCTCCTGGGCTCAAGCAATCCTCTGCCTTGGCCTCCCAAGGTGCTGGGATTGCAGGCATGAGCCACTGCACCCAGCCCCACCTGTTTCTTTAGAAGTCTTCATAGTACTCTAGTTGTATAAATATGGGGCAAATTATATAATCAATCTTTGATTGACAGATGTACAGTCAAGCAGCATATAACAATGTTTTTGATCAAGGACAGACTGCTTATGTCACTCTGGTCCTATGAGATTATAATACTGTATTTTACTGTACCTTTTCTATGTTTAGATACGCAAATACTTACTGTTGTGTTACAGTTGCCTACATATTCAGTACAGATTTATAGCTTAGAAGCAATAGGCTATAAACTTGTAGCCTATTGTACAGGTGAACAGTAAGTTATACCATCTAGGTTTGTGTAAGTACAGGCTATGATGTTCACACAATGGTGAAATTGCCTAACAATGCATTTCTTGGAACATATTTCCATCATCTTTGTCATTAAACAACGTATGGCCGTATTCACCTCCTAGGTCTGCCATAGCAAAATATCACAGACTTGGGTGGCTTAAATAACAATTATTTATTTTTTCACAGTTCTAGAGGCTGGAAGTCCATGATCAAGGTGCCAGCAAATTCAGTTTCTAGTGAGAGCTCTCCTTCTGGCTTGTAGATAAGCTACCTTCTCACTGTGTCCTCAACTGGCCTTTTGTCTGTGCTTGCATATAGAGATCTCTGGTGTCTCTTTGTCTTCAAATATCACTCATACAGGATTGAGGCTCCACCGTTAATTATTAAGTCATTAAAAAAATGACTCAGGGAGTTTTTCTTATATCTTTTTTTTTTTTTTTTGAGATAGAGTCTTGCTGTCTCACCCAGGCTAGAGTGCAGTGGTGCGATCTCAGCTCACTGCAACCTCAGCTTCCCGGGTTCAAGTGATTCTCCTGCCCCACCCTCCTGAGTAGCTGGGATTACAGGCATGCGCCACCATGCCCAGCTAATTTTTGTATTTTTAGTAGAGACAGGGCTTTACCATGTTGGCCAGGCAAGCTGGTCTCCAACTCCTGACCTCAGGTGATCCACCTGCCTCGGCCTCCCAAAGTGCTGAAATTACAGGCGTGAGCCACTGCATCCAGCCAGTTTCCCTTATATCTTTTAAAAATATGACTTGAATTGGCACACATAGTTTCCCTTTACATCCTGTTGGTCAGAAAGCCATATATGACTGTATGAAGCACATGGGAGGCTGGGATATGTAGTTTTGAGACAGGTGGCCTCATGCTGAGCCAAAACTGTTAAAGGATGGTGGGGAGGATAGATACTGAGCAGGTAGCTACTCTGCTACAGGGAATGTAGGAAAATATTACATTTTGAGTGTCAGAACACTGCCATTTATTTATTTATTTCTTTATGAGATGGGGTCTTGCTCTGTGGCCCAGGCTGGAGTGCAGTGGCACGATCTTGGCTCACTGCAGGCTCCACCTCCTGGGTTCATGCCATTCTCCTGCCTCAGCCTCCTGAGTAGGTGGGACTACAGGTGCCTGCCACCACGCCCAGCTAATTTTTTGTATTTTTAGTAGAGACGGGGTTTCACCTTGTTAGCCAGGATAGTCTCGACCTCCTGACCTCGTGATCCACCCCCCTCGGCCTCCCAAAGTGCTGGGATTATAGGCGTGAGCCACTGCGCCCAGCCAAACATGGCCTTTTAAATTTTTTACTTGATTGATTGAGACAGGGTCTCACTCTGATGCCCAGGCTGGAGTGCAGTGGCACAATCTTGGCTCACTGCAGCCTCCATCTCCCAGGCTCAGGTGATCCTCCTGCCTTGGCCTCTCAAAGTGCTGGGATTATAGGTATGAAGCACCACACCCAGCCACATATTTTACTTTAAAAATAAAAGGAATGATAGCAAAAGTTACCTTCCTGTGTGCCTTTACATCTTAGGGGAATGAGAAATTTTACCTATATACTAGAAACGGTATTCTTAAAAAAGTTTAAGTCCATATTCTGTTTTAATATGTGAATTTCTTTTTATGCCTTAAGATGAGAACAAAGTGGCTACATATGGAGAATGAAGAAAATTCAGTAAATTATATGGTGGTGATCACCAGAAGAATGAGAAATGAAATGGCTTTAATTGGTTGCCTCTGGGGGTAAAAGAGATGTTGTGTGGAATTGGTTCCTTCTGGTGGGTTCTTGGTCTCGGTGACTTCAAGAATGAAGCTGCGGACCCTCACGGTGAGTGTTACAGCTCTTAAAGATGGTGTGTCTGGAGTTTGTTCCTTCAGATGTTCAGATGTGTCTGGAGTTTCTTCCTTCCAGTGGGTTCATGGTCTTGCTGACTTCAGGAGTGAAGCCACAGACCTTCGCAGTGAGTGTTACAGCTCTTAAAAGTGGCACGTCCAGAATCGTTTGTTCCTCCCAGTGGGTTCGTGGTCTCGCTGACTTCAGGAGTGAAGCCGCAGACCTTTGCAGTGAGTGTTACAGCTCTTAAAGGTGGCACGTCCGGAATAGTTTGTTCCTCCCAGTGGGTTCGTGGTCGCGCTGACTTCAGGAGTGAAGCCGCAGACCTTCGCAGTGAGTGTTAACAGCTCTTAAAGGTGGCACGTCCGGAATCGTTTGTTCCTCCCAGTGGGTTCGTGGTCTCGCTGACTTCAGGAGTGAAGCCGCAGACCTTCGCAGTGAGTGTTACAGCTCTTAAAGGTGGCACATCCAGAGTTGTTTGTTCCTCCTAGTGCGTTCGTGGTCTCACTGAATTCAGGATTGAAGCTGCAGAACTTCGCAGTGAGTGTTACAGCTCATAAAGGTAGTGCGGACCCAAAGAGTCAGCAGTAGCAAGATTTATTGTGAAGAGCAAAAGAACAAAGCTTCCATAGCTTGGAAGGGGACCTCAGTGGGTTGCCACTGCTGGCTCGGGTAGCTAGCTTTTATTCCGTTATTTGGCCCTGCCCATATCCTGCTGATTGGTCCATTTTACAGAGTGCTGATTGGTCCATTTTACAGAGTGCTGACTGGTGCATTTACAAACCTTTAGCTAGACACAGAGCACTGATTGGTGTGTTTTTACAAAGTGCTGATTGGTGCATTTACAAACCTTTAGCTAGACACAGAGTGCTGATTGGTGTGTTTACAATCCTTTAGCTAGAAAGGAAAGTTCTCCAAGTCCCCACCTGACCCAGAAGCCCAGCTGGCTTCACCTCTCAATCCTCCCTCTAAACAGGACACCCCAACTGCTGTTGGGAATTAGGCAATGACCACTCTAGCTACTTCCTGCTGGATAGGGGTGAAGAAGGGGCCCTGCAGTTTTAGTGTCCTCCAGAGGGGAACTCTATTTAGGCCAGTGAAAGGGCCAGTGGGTCGGTCCAGGGGTCCTCGATAGAAGTTGTTAGTTGAGCTCATTTGGGGTTCCATTTGTAAGACCATCTGTAGCTTGATGGCCTCAATTCTAGAGGAAACAAATTGACAAGGAGGTTGAAAATATAGCGCCCAAAGGTGAGTAATAGCAAGATGGTTGCCACGGGATCTAGAAAGGGTAGAAGCCATGTTGCCCAACTCCAGAGATTGGTATAAGAGTTTGAAAGGCATTGCCTGATTTCAGAAGCCTTTTCCTGTAAACGCTGGGCCGGCATCTTGTACTACCCCTGATTGGTTAGTGTAAAAGCAACACTCTTCCCCTAAGAAGGTGCAGAGTCCTCCTTTCTCAGCAGTGAGGAGGTCTAGGCCTCAGTGGTTTTGGAGAGTCACTGCTGCCAAAGAGTCTATTTGGGATTGTGGAGTAGGGATAGATTTCGTTATTTCTTGCAAACTGTCTGAGAAATCCTTTGAGTGTGTGGTAGTAGGATAACAAAGTAGATAAACTGGCTATTCTGGTTCCTGTAGCAGTAGCCATTCCTAACCCTGTAAGTAGGGGTATTAGTTGTATGGCTCTGCGCTGACGGACTTGGGCTTTGAGAGGTACTGATAGGGTCTGATTTCCACAAGATTAGAAGTTAGGATAATATATGTTTACACTGTTAACTTTTAGCAAACTTTACTTTTGTTGAAAACCTTGTAAGTTTGGGATTTCAATTATTCTTTGCTATTAATAAGACCTCATTCAGTCCCTATTAACTTAGAATTGGTATAGATGGCTCCTTTCTGATTCTGTAAGTACTTTAAGGTTTGGCTGAGTGAAAACAGCTCGCACATTTGAGCAGACCGATTATTGGGCAATTTTCCTAACTCTGCTTCTACAAGAGTTTGCTTATCATTTACTGAATACCCATTGTGTCTTTTTTCCTTAATTGCCCGGGAGGAACCATTTATCTTCCTGTCCTGAAGGGAGTTCCTCCTAGATCTGGTCAGACCTTTGTATGGTAATTAATTAAGATTTAGATCCCCTGTTAGGAAACCTGCTGGGTTAAGGATTTTTGATAGGAAGGCTATGGCTTGTCAGTGGCCTCAGTGCTTTTGGGCTATGCCCTTGTTTACACTGATAACAAGATGGTATTGGAGTGTTATAGGGTTACAGAGAAGACCTTCAATTATCAATTATAGGTTTTAAATTTACCCTGGCTTTTAAAGGAACAGGGTACCCCGTTTTTTCTTTACTACTTCTATCTTTCTTTCTCTTTGACTTCTTTGTCTCTCTGTTTCTGACTCCCTCTTTGTCTCTTCCTCTCTCTCTTTGACTGTCTGTGTCTCTTTCTCTCTCTCTTTGACTCCCTCTTTGTCTCTGTCTCTTCCTCTCTCTGTCTGTTTGGCTTTCTGTCTCTTTCTCTCTTTCCTTTCTGCTGGTCTTTCCCTGCCTCTGCCAGCTGCTTATGCTGCTGTTCTCCCCTCCTCTTCCCCCTTTTTGATGGCTTCGGCAGTGTAAGACTGCCACCTCCTTGGGTTTTTGCACTGTGTGCAATAACTCCATGGTTTCCTTGTGGTATTTAAGGGGGGTTCCCCCAGAGGTTAGGAACTCCCTTTCTTTCCATATTGCAGCATGGGCATGTAGGAGTAGATAAGCATACTTGCTATCTATATATACATTTATTCTTTTTCCCTTTCTCAGTTCTAAGGCTCAGGTAAGTGCCACTAGTTTTCCTAACTGGGTGCTGGTCCCTGGGGGGAGAGGCTTACTTTCAAGTACAGTTACATCACTAACTATGGCATAACCTGCCCTTCATATCCCATTCTCCACAAATGGACTTCCGTTGGTATATAGGTTAAGGTCAGGATTAGCTAAGGGGACTTCTAAGAGATCATCTCAGGTGGCATAAGTCTGGACTATAATTTGTTGGCAGTCATGCTTGATTGGTTCTCCATCCTCTGAGAGAAAAGTAGTTCTCCATCCTCTGAGAGAAAAGTGTCAGGGTTGAGGGCCACACACATATGTATTTGAAGCACCGGTCCCTCAAAGAGTAGCGCCTGGTATCTAAGTAGGCAGCTGTCCAATAGCCATAAACTTCCTTTGGCACCTAGTAAGCCATTACATCATGAGTAGTCCAGACAGTGAGATCCTTTCCTTGTATTATTTTGATAGTCTCTGACACTAAGACAGCCACTGCTGCAACTACCCATAAACAGTGAGGCTAGCCTTTTGCTACTACATCAATTTCCCTACTTAGGTATGCCAGTGATGTGCGGTTGTCCCACGAGTCTGAGTAAGGACTTGAAGAGCTATTCCTCCTCTCCCTGTGACGTATAAAGAGAAGTTTTGTCTTGTGGGAAGGCTTAAGGCTGGAGTTTGAGTTTGTTCCTTCCAATGCCCAGACGTCAGGGTTAATTCCCTCCTCAAGCAGGGGACAACAAATGGGTAACTTGTTCCCTAGATTCATGTGGATAATGGCTCCAGGTTTGGCTAATATATCCCTCCCTAATAAGGGTGTGGGACTTTCAGGCATAACAAGAAAGGCATGTGAGAAGAGCAAAGTCTCCCAATTACAACTGAGGTGGGAGAAATACCTGGTTACAGGCTGTCCCAGGATTCTTCGGATGGTAACAGATCTTGAGGACAGTGGTCCAGGACAGGAGATTAACACTGAGAAGGCCGTGCCAGTGTCCAGGAGGAAGTCAATTTCCTGGCCCTCAATGGTTAAGCATACCCAGGGCTCAGTGAGGGTGGTGACATGAGCTGGCACTTGCCCCAGGCACCCTCAGTCCTGTTGTTGGATCATCTGGTTGGGGGTTTCTGGCCCAGAGAACCATTGCACTCTGGGGCAGTGCACCTTCCAGTGATTGCCTTGGCATAGCAGACAGGGATGAGGGGGCAGCTTGTTTCTCATTGGACAATCTTTTTTGAAGTGTCCTTTAAAAAAGGACACTGTTAACAAGCCCTACCAGCTGATTGGCCTGCTCCATTTTCTCTCCTCTCTGAACCACCAAGGTTTGTTTGTCTGAGGGCCATGACTAAGGCTGCAGCCTTTCTCTGATCTTGCTTTTCCTTTTGGGCCTGTTCCTCTTGGTCCCTATTATAGAACACCAAGGTTGTCAGGTTTAATAATGCCTCCAGATTTTGTTCAGGGCCCAGGGCTTGCTTTTGGAGCTTTCTCCTGATATCTGTGGCTGATTGGGTAATAAACTTACCTTTTAGGATTAACTGTCCCTTGAGTGAGTCAGGTGACAGGGGAGTATATTTTCGTAAGGCCTCCCGTAGCTGCTCAAGGAAGGCAGAAGGATTTTCTTACTTTCCCTGAGTTATGGTGGACATCACTGAAGAATTCATGGGCTTTTTCCTAATCCTCCTCAGTCCTTCTAGAACACAGGTCAACAGATGTTTGCGACTCCAGTCCCCATGATCTGAGTCAAGGTCCCAGTGGGGATCCATACTGGGGATGGCTTGCTGACCAGTAGGGAATTTGTCCCTTTCTTTGGCTGTCATTCTATCATTTACTTGACTAAGATACCAAGTATTTCCAAACTCTTGGGCTGCAGCTAAAGCCACATTCTTTTCATTAAAGGCCAGGGTTTGATCTAACAATAGCATGACATCTCTCCAAGTGAGATCGAAGGTTTGCCCTAGACCCTGTAGGACATCTACGTACCTGTCAGGATCATCTGAAAACTTCCCCAGGTCTGCCTTGATCTGCTTTAAATCAGAGAGGGAGAAAGGGACATGTACCCGAGCTGGGCCAAATTCCCCTCCCCCTACAGCTTGAAAGGGACATAACCGATAGCCCGGGGGTTTTTGTGGTCCTTTGGAGATTTCTTTGCTTATTTCCTTCTGGGCAGGGGAGATTAGAAGAGGCTTATCATTAATAGGAGGGGGAGCTATAGGGAGGCTAGGATATGGGGGTAAGCTGAGAGGTCCTCCTGTGGGATGTAAATTGCAAGCTTTGCTTAGTTGTGGATTCTCCTTCAATGAAAAGAAAGCTTGGACATAAGATATTTCACTCCATTTGCCTTCCCTCTTACAGAAAAGGTCAAGCTGCAGGATAGTATTGTAATTTATACTTCCCTCAGGTGGCCATTTTTCCCCATCAGAGAGAGAATATTGGGGCCAAGCCATAGTGCAGAAAAAAATGAGCCGCCTCTTTTTCAGGGTTTGCGAGTCAAATTGGTCCCAGTGGCTTAGGATGCATTTCAAGGGTGAGCCTGTTGATGGCTGAGTGTTTCCCATCTGAAAGACAAAACTACCCGTGGTTTAGGTTTGTTTGTTTCTCCCCCTGCCCAAGAACCTGCAATGGTCCCTGGACCCTGCTGATTGGAATAGTTGTGCTCACTGACGCAGCAGCAGAAATACCTCTTGCCCAAGAACCTGCAATGGTCCCTGGACCCTGCTGATGGGAATAGTTGCACTCACCGACACAGCAGCAGAAACACCTCTTGCCGAAGAACCTGCAACGGTCCCTGGACCCTGCTGACTGGAATAGTTGCGCTCACCAACACAGCAGCAGAAACACTAGTTTTCCTCCTAGACCACAAGGAGGACTGAGGAATGTTGGATATAGTGGCCCTTACCAACGCATTCTTGAAAACCTGCACCCTTGCCTGTCCTCCTAGACCACAAAGAGGACTGAGAAAAATTGGATTTAGTGGCCCTTACCAATGCATTCTTGAAAACCTGTTAGAGTCCTAAGCATTTTCCTGTTAGTATTGGGACTTTACCTGTGTCCTGTAAAGATGTTATGCCCCAAAAATGAAATGGAGGGCCATACCCTGAGGAGGGGAGGGATCTCCAGAGTTGGAAGAGTGCTGCCTTTTGATCCTCACTTATATGAATAAGAAGGATATCATTTCTGAAGCTCCCCATATCCTAGCTTCCGGAATAGCTTTTGTTAGGCCTGCTAGTCTGAGGAGGGATCCTAAAATTCCAGATAAGATAGTCCCCTGCCCCGATGGGGCTTTGGGCAAAAATTATGTTTTCTGATTGGCCTGGGTGCCTAAAGAAGGTAACAGAGTCCTGAAGTTTATACTAGAAATCATTCTTGTAGGAGAAACTAGAAAAGCACTAGAGACAGGGAGTGGTTTTTAGAAGTGGGACTAGCCTTGGAGAAGAGAGGTGAGAGGAAGTTTGTCTGACAGGCTTTAGTACCCAGGCGGCAAGGGTCAGGATAGATAGGGTAGACGGGTGAGTCTTGCTTGGGTGACATGACTTTGAGAGTTCCGCTCATGGCTCAGGGTCAACCAACTTGTTGTTGGCTCCCCGGAGCTGAATGGCTTTCCTCTCCATCAACCTTTGGCTCAGCCCAGAAGTAAAGGAAAAGTGGAAGCTGGTTCCAGGCAAACCAACGCTCCCAACTCCGAAGAGTCGGGGTATGTTAGAGAGCCCTTTCCCAGAAAGCCTGACACCTGTGTCTTTAGTCCGGTGGCCACGCTAGTTGCTTTTAACTGGTCGACAGGTGCCCGGTATTTAGCCACCGAATTCTAAGGAAAAATAGGACAGAATAGCAAGTGAAAGGGGTCCGATGGTACTCACTGCTTGACGATAGGCGATAGTCCCATCTGGTTCACCAAAATGTATCCGGAATTGGTTCCTTCCAGTGGGTTCTTGGTCTCACTGACTTCACGAGTGAAGCCGCAGACCTTCGCAGTGAGTTTTACAGCTCTTAAAGGTGGCACGTCTGGAATTGTTTGTTCCTCCCAGTGTGTTCGTGGTCTCGCTGACTTCAGGAGCGAAGCCGCAGACCTTCACAGTGAGTGTTACAGCTCATAAAGGTAGTGTGGCCCCAAAGAGTGAGCAGCAGTAAGATTTACTGTGAAGAGAGAAAGAACAAAGCTTCCACAGCGTGGAAGGGGACCTCAGCAGGTTGCCGCTGCTGGCTCAGGTGGCCAGCTTTTATTCCCTTATTTGGCCCCACCCACACCTGCTGATTGGTCCATTTTACAGAGTGCTGATTGGTCTGTTTTTACAGAGTGGATTGGTGTGTTTACAAACCTTTAGCTAGACGCAGAGCACTGATTGGTGCATTTTTACAGAGTGCTAATTGGTGTGTTTACAAACCTTTAGTTAGATACAGAGCGCTGATTGGTGTGTTTACAATCTTTTAGCTAGACAGAAAAGTTCTCCAAGTCCCCACCTGACCTAGAAGCCCAGCCAGCTTCACCTGTCAATGTGACATAAAAGTATTACTTTAACTGTATCTCTGTAGTATGACTTTTCTTTTAAAATAAATTATGTGCTTGAACTATTTTAATACAAATTAAAATATTTTAAGAAAGGGCTTTTATAAAAATAAAGACTGAAAGTATAAATTAAAATCATGCAATGAGTAGAATACTTAAAATCAATAAAATGACACATTCAAGAGGTACATTTTTCACTTTGCTTTTTATATCTTTGGTTTGATTATAAGAAATAAGAGCATAGAGGCAGCTCTAGGAACTAGGGCATTTCATAAAAGACCTGTTATGGGGACTACAGAAGTAATGTTAGCTGGTTTATTCCTGTAGTAGCTAGGCAGAGATGGACTTCCTAGAAGAGCTGGACTTTTGTTTATAGCCATTGTCAAGAGACTTTCTGTCCATCCAATTCCTCCATTTTAATAGTCATTCGTGGACAAATCAATCAATCTGTTACATCTTCCTTTTTGACAAAGCAACTGGATTTAAGGTACACCACATATGAGCACTTGATCTTGCTCACATATTAACATTAAGTAGCAAGTGTTGAGTTGTTATGAACAATGAGATTTATGTAATCATTTGATACCTGAACTGTCTTCTGCCATAGGGTGGCTAAGACGCTTCTTAGAGGGATTCCTGTATGACATCTTTCCTTGCTGACCAAAGTGTGTTTCTTCTGATCCTAAATTCGTGGTGCTGCTGTTATACTGGGTCCTGCCAGAAGATGGGTATCACTGTGCTGTCAAGAGAGAAGATATCAAACCAAAGTTACCTGATTGTCTGCAGAATCACAGCAGGCTTTTCTTTTTGGGGCAGCAACCTCAGGGGAGGAGGCATTGGATTTATAGTTAAGCACAGTTCGAATTTTGTGTTTACGATTTACTTGCTAGGCTGATATGTGCAGCTTATAACCCTTCCAAACCTTGGCTTCCTCACCTGTACACCGAGAACCCTCCTAGGGCTATTGTGGAATTCAAGAGAGAAAATACATTAGCAGGAGGTTGGCACAGGACTTGCCTAGCACATGGGATGGGAATGGTGAGCTACAGTGTTCAATGACAAGTGTGGTTCTCATCCTGGCTGCCCGTTACCTGGGTATCTTTGAAGAAAAACCCCTGCCCAATGCCAGACCAACTAAATAGAACATTATTGAGGTGTGGGGGGGTGGCGGTTGAGGGAAAGTAGCATTAAAAAAACAAAACAAAAAAAGGCCCCACCCCCACCCCACCCCACCGCCCCCCCGACCCCATCTCCCCACAAACTCTTCCCAGGTGATTCTCAGGAGCTGGGATGGGAAACACTGCAATGGAAGATGAAATACAGCTGGGTCTATGGGAAATGGAGGGAAAGATCGAGAGACACAAATCAGCCAGAATTCAAAAGTAGTCAAATACTTGCCTATGCTTCAAATTTCAGGGGTCTCAGATGCTCCCTGATCCTAGTTATGTTTTAGTTATAAAATACACATAACAAAAAATTTCATTTAAAAAATGTAAATTTATAGTTACATCTGCAAGTTTAGTGGTTTTAAGTATATTCACAGTGTTGTATAACCAATCTCCAGAACTTTTTAATCTTGCAAAGCTGAAACTCGATACCCATTAAACAAGGACTCCCCATTCTCTCCTCCCTCCTGCCCTCCTGGCAACCACCATACTACTTTCTGTCTCTATGATTTCAACTACTCTAGATACCTCATATGATGGGAATCATATAGTATTTGTCTTTTTGTGACAAATTAAAAAAACAGCAAAACCCAAACTCTTCCCAGGTGATTCTAAGAAGCTAGGCTGAGAAACACTGCCATAGGAGATGAAATGGGCCAGGCACGGTGGCTCATGTCTATAATCCCATCACTTTGGGAGGCCAAGGTGGGCAGATCACTTGAGCTCAGGAGTTCGAGACCAGTCTGGCTAACATGGTGAAACTCGGCTCTACAAAAAATACAAAAATTTGCAGGATGTGGTGGCGAGTGCCTGTAGTCCCAGCTACTTGGGAGGCTGAGGTGGGAGAATCGCTTGAACCTGGTAGGCAGAGGTTGCAGTGAGCTGAGATCATGCCACTGCACTCCAGGCTGGGTACTGTCTCAGAAAAAAAGAAGGAAAAAGAAGATAAATGCTGCTGGGTGTATGGCAAATGGGTGGAAAGATCGAGAGATGCAAATCAACCAGAATTTAAAATGTCAACATTTCACATAGTATAATGTCTTCAAGGTTTATCTATATTGCAGCATGTGCCAGAATATCCTTTTGTCTTAAAGTTGAATAATATGCCATTGCATGTATAAACCACATTTTGTTTATCTATTCATCTGTCAATGGTTATTTGGATTATTTCCACCTTTTGGCTATTGTAAATAATACTACTGTTGAATATAGGTGTACAAATATCTGTTTGAATCCCTGTTTCCAATTCCTTTTTTTTTTTTTTTTTTTTTGTGAGACAGACTCTCGCTCTGTCTCCAGGCTGTAGTGCAGTGGCATGATCTCGGCTCACTCCAATCTCTGTCTTTTGGGTTCAAGCGATTCTCCTACCTCAGCCTCTCAAGTAGCTGGGACTACAGGCCTGTGCCACCATGGCCAGCTAATTTTTGTATTTTTAGTAGAGACAGGGTTTCACCATGTTGACCAGGATTGTCTCAATCTCTTGACCTCATGATCCTCCCGCCTCGGCCTCCCAAAGTGCTGGGATTACGGGAGTGAGTTACCATGCCTGGCCCCAGTTCTTTTGGGGATATACCCAGAGGTGGAATTGCTGGATCACCTGGTAATTCTGTGTTTAACTCTCTGAGGAACTGTGGGATGGGAGTAGATGATGGGAGGTTGCTCGGGTGCAATGTGCATTGCTCCAGAGATGGATGCACTGAATGTCCTGACTTTACCACAATGCAGTATATCAGTGTAGCAAAACCGTATTTGTATTCCATGAACATATAAACTCAATTAGCTGGGCATGGTGGCTTGTGCCTGTAGTCCCAGCTACTCAGGAGGCTGAGGTGGGAGGACTGCTTGAGCCTGGGAGGTTGAGGCTGCAGTGAGCTGAGATCATGCCACTGCACTCCAGCTGAGGCGATAGAGTGAGACCTTGTCTTAAAAAAAAGAAAAACAGAAAAACCAAACAAAAAACTGTTAGAGGAGCTACTGTTTCCTGCAGTGGCTGCACCAGTTTACATTCTCACCAGCAATGCACAAAGATTGAATTTGTCCACATCGTCTCCAGCACTTGTGATTTTCTGTTTTTGATAATAGCCTTCCTATCTCACGTTAAGAGATACCTCATGGCAGTTTTGATTTGTATTTCCCTCCCTAATCACTAGTGATGTTGAGTGTCTTTTCATGTGCTTTTTGGCCATTTGTATGTCTTCTTTGAAGAACTGTCTATTGAAGTCCTTGGTCCATTTTAAAATTCAGTTGTTTGTCTTTTTGTGATTGACTTGTAGGAGTTCTCCTACATACATTTTAAAATTCTGTTTCCCAAAGCGTGTTCCCTGGAACATTGGTTTGGTAGGATCTTCATGGCTTTTGGAGGAAAAAGAGTTCTGAGACCAAACTTATGGGATGCAGTGGGTTAAATAAAATTTAAACTTGTTTCTTTCCTGTAAAACAGCTTAGAATAGTAATACACTAAATATGTATACTAAATCTCTAAGATGGGAGAGTAGAAAATATTTCTCAAACTTACTTGACCACAGAACCCTTTTACAGTATGATTTTTTGCAAGTCTAGAATTTGGCAGGCCAGGATCTGGGGAATGCTGTCCTTTATTCACTAAATTGGCTGTTGGAAATTTCCTTTTTTACCTTATGGCTTGATTTTGTTGTCTCTTCGTGTCCTCTGTTTACTTATTATGGCCGGTGGCTTTCCCTGGGTCTCCTCTCTTCCTTTTCTCACCTCTCTTAGTGGCCAGCAAATCTTGTTGATTTTTTTTCCTCCCCAGACATATCTTAAATCCATCCCTTTTACTGTTTCCCAGTCCTCAGTATTGGTTGCTTGAACTTCTACGAAAGTATGAACCAGTCTTGCTTGACTCTAAACTACCAGAATAATCTTCTAAATATGGAAATTTCATAACACCTCTATTTAAATTCCATATTAGCAGTTAGCAGTGGTTGTGTCACAAACTTTTGAGCTGTGTTAGAAAATGTTATTCAAGGCCGGATGCGGTGGCTCACACCTGTAATCCCAGCACTTTGGGAGGCTGGGGTGGGCAGATCATGAGGTCAAGAGATCGAGACCATCCTGGCTAACACGGTGAAACCCCGTCTCTACTAAAAATACAAAAAATTAGCTGGGTGGGGTGGTGGGCACCTGTGGTCCCAGCTACTTGGGAGGCTGAGGCAGGAGAATGGTGTGAACCCGGGAGGCAGAAGTTGCAGTGAGCAGAGATTGCACCACTGCACTCCATCGTGGGCGACAGTGTGAGACTCTGTCTTAAAAAAAAAAAAGAATGTTATTCAAGTACTAGACTTAGTGCTGTCTACTTAGAAAAAATACAATAGAGCAGAATCAAAGGCATTCCTAATCCTTTACTCTCAATCACTTGCATTCTTCTTGAAATGAGTGAAAGCAATCCTTTCTTGAGGGGCAGAGTTAGAGGGATGTGATACAAATTACATATAATCTGTAGTCTAGTGTCTCTGTACCATAGTAACCAACTGTTACTGTTGCAGCATTTATTTTGTGGCAATCATTGTTTATTGCAATGATTTATGTCTTATTTGTATTTCTTGAGTTTTCTCAAAATTTGATTATGCTTCATGTGTCTTAGAAAAACAGATTATCCTACTTACCAATTGTTCTCAGTAGGGCACAGTATTCTCCCCCCATCTCTGAGGTTACTTAGGATGGATACGGGGATTGGTAATGTCATAATGGCTGTGGGTACTATGGGTGGTCTGGAGCCCAAGGTGTTAAATATCCTGCAATACATGAGACAGTTCCATAATTGTCCCACTCCAGGTGTCCTCATTGGGAAGCATTGGTAGTCATCAAAGCACAAACTTTGGCAAGGCACGTAGAACCTCATCACACCTGGTCCCTGACTATGTTTTCCGCCTAGCATAATACCCTGTACTTCTGCTCCCTGCTGCTCTCTAGAATGTGAAATATTCTTGTGCAAATGAGCTTTTCGTGTACTGTTTCCTCTATCTGGAATGCTCTTCCATCCTTGACTGGTTAATAAACTCTTCTTTCTTTGTATTCATTCTTCTAGAAGCCATCTCTGACACCTCTCCTCTGGGGAGAATTAGTTTGTCTTTCTTCTGTGTTCTCGTAGCACCCAGCATACATCTGGTCACCACTGGGATGTTCACAAACTTCTTATTTCCCCTTCTCTGGAAACATGGTAGCATATATTTCCCTGCTTTTCCTTAAACTTCAGCACTATCAAATGACTTGCTTTGGACAATGAAATATGAGTGAAATTGACATGCGTAACTTCCAGATGGAAACGTCAATAGGCAGTCACAATTTGCCATTTTTTCTTTATTTCTGCTACGGTAAGCCAGATGATGGCTGCTCTGTGATACCAGGCCTTGGAGTAAGTGGAGCTCCCTGCCAACATGCAACTGGTGTATAACATGAACAAGAGATGAGCTGTGTTGTTTTAAGCCACTGAGATTTTTATTTTTATTTATTTATTTATTTATTTATTTATTTATTTTTTTTTTTTGAGACGGAGTCTCGCTGTGTCACCCAGGCTGGAGTGCAGTGGTGCGATCTTGGCTCACTGCAACATCTGCCTCCTGGGTTCAAGTGATTCTCCTGCCTCAGCCTCCTGAGTAGCTGGGATTACAGGTGCCCGTCACTACGCCCAGCTAATTTTTTTTTATTTTCAGTAGAGATGGGGTTTTACCATGTTGGCCAGGCTGTTCTCAAACTTCTGACCTCAAGTGATCCACCCACCTTGGCCTCTCAAAGTGCTAGGTTTACAGGCATGAGCCACTGCGCCCAACTGCCATTGAGATTTTTAGGTTGCTTGTTAGTACAGTATACTCATGCTCGTCCTGATGGATATACCTCTATTATAGTAGTTATCACATGATTTTTTTTTTTTTTGAGACAGGGTCTTGCTCTGTCACCCAGGTTGGAGTCCAATGGCATGATCTTGGCCCACTACAACCTCCACCTCCCGGGTTCAAGTGATCCTCCTGCCCCAGCCTCTCAAGTAGCTGGGATTACAGGTGTGTGCCACCATGCCTGGCTAATTTTTGTCTTTTCTTTTTTTTTTTTTTGAGACGGAGTCTTGCTCTGTCCCCCAGGCTGGAGTGCAGTGGTGCAATCTCGGCTCACTGCAAGCTCTGCCTCCTGGGTTCACGCCATTCTCCTGCCTCAGCCTCCAGAGTAGTTGGGACTACAGGCACCCGCCACCACACCAGGCTAATTTTTTTGTGTTTTTGGTAGAGACAGGGTTTTGCCATATAAGCCAGGATGGTCTTGATCTCCTGACCTCATGATCCACCCACCTCGGCCTCCCAAACTGCTGGGATTACAGGCGTGAGCCACCGCGCCAGGCCATTTTTGTATTTTTGGTAGAGACGGGGTTCCACCATGTTGCTCAGGCTGGTGTTGAACTCCTGGGCTCAAGTGATCCAGCCACCTTGGCCTCCCAAATTGCCTAGATTACAGGCATGAGCCACTGTGCCCAGCCATGTGGTTTTGTTATTGTTGGCTTTACCAGACTATCTCCACAGTAGGCAATGAGCTTCTTGATGGTTGGGACTATCAGTTTTTTGCTCCTGTGTTGCCAGAACTTTGCACAGTGTCAAACTGTATTAGTTATCTCTCAGTGTGTAACAAATTAGCCCAGAATTTAGTGGCTTAGAGAAATAATAAGCATTTATTATCCTCATGGTTCCTGTTGGTCAGGAATTTGGGAGCAGCTTGTCAGGGGATAGTTCTGCCTCGGTGTCTCTCATGAGGCTGCATTAAAGATGTTGGGTGGGGATGTCGTCATCTGAAGGTTTGACTGGGGCTGGAGGAGGAGGGGCAGCCAACAGTGTCAGAATATGTGAGGGACTGAGAAGCTGTGAAATCATCGTATTTCAGAATGTGAGGTCAGTAATTCTGAGCATAAAAGTAACAGCTGCAATGGAATGCAAGATGAGGCACACAGGTAAGTGCAGAGGGAGAAAAAGGACTTTGCTAAGAAGAAACAAGTGCAGAGCCTCCTGGAGATATTGAGCTATAAAAGATGCAAGAAAAGATGTTTGCTAAAGGAGGTTGCTGACTCACTTGGCTGGCAAGTTGGTGCCAGTTGTTGGTGAGAGACCTCTGTTCTTTCCCACATGGGCCTCTCCACAGGCCGCTTGAGTGTCTTCACAACATGGTGGCTGGCAGCCCCCGGAGCAGGTGATCCAAGAGAGATATGATGGAAGTGGTGATGTCTTTTATGACTTAGCTTTAGAAGTGACACACTGCCATCATGCCATGTTCCATTTGTTACATGTGATTCACTAAGTCCAGCACACATCCAAGATGAAGAGGATTAGGGTCTACTTTCTGAAGGGAGGAATGTAAAAAACAAACCAAAAAAAAATTGTGGCCATACTTTAAAATCACCCCACAGGAACATATTGGGTTCTCCGTAAATACTCCAGAAGGAAATATCGGCTCTTTTTATTCAGTTTGGTGAGAAATGCCTCAGCTGTTATCCTTTTTAACTCCAATAAGTCCCGTTTTTTTTCTCCCCCTTAATTAACCTTTATTTCAAACTTCATCTCTTAGTTTCTTATTCTCAGCTCCAGAGAATGAATTATGTATAACAAGTTCCAGACATTTTTTTTGTATGTGCCTAAGGTGCTTAAAATAGTAAAGAGCTAAGTCTCACCAACCTTGTTAAGTTAGACCCCAAAAAATTGTCCTAGGAAATAGAATGTAATTTAAAATTTTATCCTTTCCACAGATTGACAAAATCATCTTTACCTTGTTATTAGAGGGTTTTTTCCCAAGCTGGCAGTGACATTTGGGATTCTGTCATCACCAACTTGTTACTAGACAGAAGATTATTTTCCTCATCTGTGGTGTTTTGGACAAAGCCCTGGCTGGTCTTCTTAGTCAGGTTGGGCTGTCAGCCTTGAGCTGGTTTCAGATTCTGGGTAGCGATTCTGTCAGCTGCATTGTCTCAGCATGGCCTTCAGTGCTAAAAATTGTCCTTTCTGAGATGCTGAGCTTCTAGGTTTGTTAAAGTGGATCCCTTTAAACATGTTCAATTCCAGGACTTCTTCAATTCCAGGACTACTACGAACCTCTAGTTTTGTTAGGGAGAGTTAAGTTTCCCCTTTGCTAAAGCTTCCTAGCCACAGCCTTCCCACCACAGAACACTTGCTGAGCCACAGCTCAAATCTGTCTTGGCCCATGGCTGTTTCTCTCAGCTTGTCAGAGTAGAAATGGGTTACTTGGAGACCAGAGGTTGCACACAAATTGAGATGAGGACACCCACATTGGAAAAGGAAAGGTGATAGCTAGAGCCACACTCTTGGCTTTACATTGCCTACCCTCTCTGTGGGAAGTTTGGAGGGAAAGGTTATCCAACCTTCAAAAGCCAATCCCTTGTCCTTCCCTACAGGAACTCACATAAAGCCCTGCCACCCCCTGTTCTACAGCTGGTTTCTCTCCTTTGCTTCTCCATTTCTTTCTTTCTTTTTTTTTTTTTTTTTGAGATGGAATTTCATTCTTGTTGCCCAGGCTGGAGTGCAATGGCATGATCTTGGCTCACTGCAACCTCTGCCTCCCGGGTTCAAGCGATACTGCTGCCACAGCCTCTGGAGTAGCTGGGATTACAGGCATGCGCTACCATGCCCAGCTAATTTTTGTATTATTAGTAGAGATGGAGTTTTACCATGTTGGCCAGGCTGGTCTCGAACTCCTGACCTCAGGTGATCCACCTGCCTTGGCCTCCGAAAGTGCTGGGATTACAGGTGTGAGCCACTGCGCCCAGCCACTTCTCCATTTCTGTGGATGCTAGTTTTTTTTATTGTGGGAAGAAACCTCTTTACCCTACTGTCTTCTTTTAGCAAACACCTTCTTTTTCTTGCATCTTTTGTAGCTCACTATCTCCAGGAGGCTCTGCATTTGTTTCTTCTTAGCAAAGTCCTTTTTTATCCCTCTACACTTGCCTGTGTGCCTCATCTTGCATTCCATTGCAGCTTTTATTTTTACCCTCAGAATTACTGACCTCACGTTCTGAAATATGATGATTTCACAGCTTCTCAGTCCCTCACATATTCTGACACTGTCGGCTGCCCCTCTTCCTGGAAACTTGCATTTTTCTCAACTTAGTGATGTTGGACCCTCTTAATCACCTCTCTTACTTTGCTTTTCTCACCTTTTCTACCACCTTCTCTTTCTTGTCTGTTTCTTTTTTCTATCTGCATTCAGAGCGTCCATGCCCTCTACCTCTCTTCAAGGCCCCTTTGGTGGCAGCCCCGGCTCAGTGGCTGTCAGATGCTTATTCTCTTCCTTTCTTTCTCCCCTTCTTTCAGTCTCATTTTAATTGTCTAGCCTATTCCTGGATCCTGATGAAAATGAAGCTTTTCTTTCCTGCAAAGCTGGTGGTGTTTTTCCAGTTTCTCCATCATTATTGGTGGTTACCAATCTCTCCCTGAAGCAAAGAGTCCTTGACTCGTGTGTGAATCGTGACAGTCCTTTTATAATACAGCATAGACTTGGCCAATGCTCCCCATGAATAAAGTTCTGTTCCTGGCTTCTCCCCTTGTTACTCATGACTGGCCTTCTTGCAGTAGCCTCCTGTGAGCATTCTGTGGCTCTGATCACTCCTTATTCTATTAGAACCTTGATTTGGTGCAATGAGTAGGAACCCAAGCCTTTGAGACATCCTGGGTTCAAACCGGGACTCTTAGCAGTTTAAGCTGCACTGTTCTTCTTGTGTACAAATGGTCAATCTTGATACCTTTGATTTCTTGATAGTGCTAGAGAACTCAGCAGCACCTTTTTGAATTTGGAGAGATTTGGATATTGGCTGTTACTTTGACTTGCAGTGGGCTGAATGCAGTTCTGCTATAATCACGCAGTTGCAGCCACCACTAGTGGAACTGAGTTAGGGGCTTAATAACATCATTGATTCCCAGTCTGCTTCCAGGCCAACTTGCTCCTGAGTCCCCCACATCAGAGCCCAGGTTGTGGAGAGCTGAAGGAATTTCCTTTTTCCCAAGGCCATAGGCAGGCTGTTTCCTCCCTAGCATCAACTGCTTCCTGGTACCATAGACCTAGAGATGTGCAAAGCTTCAGAAAAAACCTTACAGCAGAGGTCCTCAGTGGGGCAGTGCTGCCTTCTGGGAGGTGCTTTGGGAATTGGTGGGGTCCTCACAAGGATTGCGGGGCTCTAATGGCATGTGATGGGTGGATACCAGGGATTTTTGATGCCCTGCAATGTGCGGGATAGTTCTACTCAAGAGTGATTGCCAGAAACCCTGTATAGCTCTGAAATGCCCTGTTGGGTGTGCATATGGGAGAAAAACCTGTGTAATTATCTAGACACTAACTCTTTTATTTATTTATTTATTCATTTATTTATTTATTTAGAGACAGAGACTCGCTCTGTCGCCCAGGCTGGAGTGCAGTGGCATGATCTCAGCTCACTGCAAGCTCCGCCTCCTGGGTTCACACCATTCTCCTGCCTCAGCCTCCCAAGTAGCTGGGACTACAGGTGCCCGCCACCATGCCTGGCTAATTTTTTGTAGAAACGGGGTTTCACCATGTTAGCCAGGATGGTCTCGATCTCTTGACCTCGTGATCTGCCCGCCTCGGCTTCCCAAAGTGCTGGGATTACAGGCATGAGCCACCGCGCTGGCCAGACACTAACTCTTTTTTATATAATAAAACCTTTCTTTTTTTTACCATTTGAGTATATGCTGAGCATTCCAATAATGTAACCACCAAGAGTTAGCATTTTAGTAAGTTCCCTGGCTCTTGGAAGCTACTTGTATTTAGATTGTCAATTCTACATGCCCACCTCAGTCTGCACTTTTAACAATGACATTTATTATGATTGTACATATAGGTGCAAGCACGTGTCTGCATCATTATGTCTTTCAGTGTGTCTTGTCTCCATATCTACATATTAAAGTAATATTTTCAATTCCTGTCCTTTTGTTTATTGTGTATATTACAGTTAGGCTATTAATTTTTAAAAAGTACACACATAGGTAGATATTATCTATGAATTTCATTTCAGCCTGGTAAAGAGCTCATGGTTTTATAAGGAGAGCCACGAGTCAACAGGGCCTACGCTTGCTCAGGGAGGTGTGGGTTTGTGACCATGGCTGAAAGGACAGTGACAAAAATACCCTAATTCATCAACTCCAAGAGGGTCATTTCTTCGTATTTCAGTAATTTTACAATCATGTTTTCTAACTGATGTGCATGTTTAGATGCTGTGACAGAAAATTCACATACCACCTAAAACCATGGTGTTAGAATTAGGGATAGATGTGAATATGGACTTTGTGTCATTTTAAAGTTCCTGATAGTTTAGCCTTGTTCATTGTCTTCATCTTTTTTTAAATTTCAGACTCTTTTTTTCCTCTTTCCTGCAAATATGTGTATTTTTAGGGCTCTGTAGATTTGCCAAATTAATCTAAGCTGCAATGGATTTAGGTCGCATGTTGCTTTTAGGTGAAGAGGCAGTATGGCATATGGTTAAGAATATAGAAGCTGCAGCCACATGGCCTGGGTGGACATCCTGGCTCTACCTCTTAGTAGCTGTGTAACTTGGGGACCATTGTCCCCATCAGTGGATAACAAAACCCACTGAAGAAGTTGGAGGAGAGTGAGGGTTAGCTACTTACCTATACTGTCTCTACCAGGGCGTACTGTATGACAAAGTGGCCTCAGATAAAATCCCGTCACTCACACAGAGATTCGGTAACCAAATAGTCACGAGCAGACAGATAACGGTGCGTACCCTTTTTTCTGCAAGTGTGAGATGCTCTCAGCGCTCTGTAATTTTTAGCTGTTTTGGCTAGCACCTTTCATGCAATGCTGACTTGAGACTCTCCTGCGGTTAGCATCAGGCAGCCAGAAATCCTCCTACCACAGTGGACAGACACAGGACCATTTAGGGATTGAGATTTGGGTGCCATTCCAGAGGGTGCAGATCACAGGTCTTGCTAGATTCTTACACCTTGTTGAAGAGAGGAGGATATCCCCCAAATATTTTACTTTAATGTTGCCTGCCAAGAGTACTTCTTGAACATTCATTACACCATTTATTTATTTTTGTTTTTGAGACAGAGTTTTGCTCTTGTTGCCCAGACTGGAGTGCAATGGTATGACCTTGGCTCACTGCAACCTCCACCTCCCAGGTTCAAGTGATTCTCCTGCCTCAGCCTCCTGAGTAACTGCGATTACAGGCATGTGCCACCACGCCCGGCTAATTTTGTATTTTTAGTAGAGATGGGGTTTTGCCAACCATTTCACCAAGAAGAACCTGTTCTGACATTCACTATGCTAATTAGCCCAACCTTGAGTGTTGATGGCAATATGGAAAACAGAAACTTTGTCGCAGACGCCTCTGGGGCAATGGCCTTTCTGATATGACATTAAACCACTTATTTTTTTTTTTTTTTGAGACAAAGTCTCACTCTGTTACCTAGGCTGGAGTGCAATGGCGTGGTCTCGGCTCACTGCAACCTCCGCCTCCTGGGTTCAAGCAATTCTCCAGCCTCAGCCTCCCGAGTAGCTGGGACTACAGGCATGTGCCACCACCATACCCGGCTAATTTTTGTATTTTTAGTAGAGACAGGGTTTCGCTATGTTGGCCAGGCTGGTCTGGAACACCTGACCTTGTGATCTGCCCGCCTCAGATCTCCCAAAGTGCTGGGATTACAGGCATGAGCCACTGTGCCTGGCCACCACTCTTGAGTGTTCTGTTTTGTGAAAACAACCAATTGGCCTTAGAGTTAAAGGTTGGACTAGGCAGCACATGCTTAGCGTCACATTGTGTATATAAAAGCATTTGAAAGTAAATTCCAGACCTTGTACCAGTACCTCTTTGGGCTGTTATGATGTTCCCTCGAGTTACTTTATGTAATGTGTTCATAATATCATCTAATTGTAAGTGCTATATAAGTATATGGTATCATTATTATATCAATATTATATCAATATATCATATCAAAGTAAGTGCTTTGATCTATCTTAAGAGCATGCGGTCTTATATGGTCATGTTATTTTTCCCACCAAATACCTGGTCTCCCATATAACATACCAAAAGGAAGTTGGTGCGATTGATCCTCATTATTTGTGGATTGTGTATTTGTGAACTCTTCTACTTGCTAGATTTTATTCATAATCCCCAAACCAGTACTCAAGGGGTTTTCACAGGCATTTGTGGACATTGCACAGAGTGGCGACATTTGAGTCACCTGATATGTATGTTCCCAGGTGAGGTGGAACGACATGACACTCTCCCTTCTCGCTTCAGCTCTCATACTGTCAACAATGTCCCTCTCATGGTCTGTTTAGAGCTGTTTTTCACACTGTTGTGTTTTTTCTTGGTGACTTCGCTGTTTACAATGGTCCCCAAGCATAGTGCTGAAATGCTGTCCAGTGGTTCCAACTGCAGGAAGGCTACAATGTGTCTTACACAGAAAATATGTGTGTTAGGTAAGTTTCATTCCAGCATGAATTTTAGTGCTCTTGGCTGTGAGTTCAATGTCAATTAATCAACTGTATATATTAAATAACATGTATTGAAACAGAAACCACATTGAAAAAAGGTTATGTATTGATTGGTGGATGAAAACGTTATGAACAGAAGCTTGCATAAACCTAACCCTATATTTTCCCTAGGAGCAATGGTTCAGTATTCACTAATTCAGTGTTTGCAACGGCTTTATAGAACATAACTGTTGTGAATAAGGAGAATCAATTGTACTTACTTCTTAAGGCCTTCTTTTCGATGCTGTCCCTCTGCAATCGTTCAAGAACCTCAAGGGCAGAACTGGCTACATAATTTGTGGGGCTTAGTGCCAAGTGAAAATGCAAGACCCCTTGTTGGAAAATTAAGACTCTTGCTGGGTGCCGTGGCTTACATCTGTAATCTCAGCACTTTGGGAGGCTGAGGCGGACAGATCACCTGAGGTCAAGAGTTTGAGACCAGCCTGGTCTAACATGGTGAAACCCCGTCTGCACTAAAAATACAAAAATTAGCTGGGTGTGGTGGCGGGCGCCTGTAATCCTAGCAACTTGGGAGGGTGAGGCCAGAGAATTGCTTGAATCTGGGAGGCAGAGGTTGCTGTGAGATGAGATTGCGCCAGCCTGGGAGACAGAGCGAGACTCCATCTCAAAAAATAAATAAATAAAAATAATAAATAAATAAATAAAATTAAAATAAAAATTAAGACTTTCAAGGTGAGCATTAAACCAAACCTGTTGGCCCTCTGTGGTTGCACATGTCACATGCCTACAAAGACAGCCCTGAATTCTGGGGTTAGTCAGTCTGAGAGACCACCTGTAAGCACCAGGCTGGGACAGAAGGGAGAATCGGCTGCGCCCACAAAGCTGTTGCTTCTGGTGGCCAGTGATGTTGTAGTTGAAGGTGAATGCTGTACATTTCAATAGATGCTACTTAGCCACAGTGCAGTGGTGCCTTTGCTTTCCCAGGCCCCGCCTAGGTTGCCATGCTCCTATTCCTGGGGCTCCCACAACATGACCAGTGACTTCTCCCCAGATCACAAACAATATGAAAGGGCCAGCTCTTGGTAGAGCGTGGAATGCTCACCCAGATGTCCACCACGGTTTTGAAGCTTCATTCGGGCAACTTTGGTGGCAGAACTCACCTAGTCCATCGAAATTCATCCTGATGAATTGCTCCAACTTTAATTTTGGGAGAATAGAAGTTGGGATCCCCAATATTTTTACCCAGGAGTTTCCTAGAGCTTGATGTTAATTTGACTTTTCTCATTCTAGAGGTCTATGTAGCAAGGCGGAGAACAGCTCTGCTAACTCAGAGGACCAGTAGGCTCATCCCCTCAAAGTGCAAATGCCTATTAACCTTGTTTGCATAATGCACAGGCTACTTACATGACTCTACATAGAATAATGACAGTTTTCTGGGCCTGCCTTTCGAAAAGCAGTAACAATGATAGCATGAAGGTCATGTATGTGGTTTGGCCTGTATCTTATTCCATTCTGGCCATAACAAAATACATAAACAGGGTGGTTTCTAAACAAAAGACATTTATTTTTTTACAGTTCTGGAGGCTGGGAAGTCCAAGATAAGGATGGTCAGGTTCTGGTGAGGACCCTTTTCCAGGCTGCAGATGGCTGCCTTCTGGTTCCTCACTCAGCGAAAGGAGTGAAGGAGCCACCCCACCCACCCTGCCCCCAGCCCCCTTGATAAGGCACTAATGCTATGCGTGAGAGTTCCGCGCTCATGACCTAATCCACCTCTCCAAAGGCCACACCTCTTAATATCATCACCTTGGGGGTGAGAATTTCACCATATGAATTTTGGGAGAATGACACAAACATTCAGACCATAGCAGCTTGCAAAGATATTTTTGTAAATATTCAAAGTAGTTGCTAACATTTAAATCAGGAAATTTCACAAATTTCGTGGCAGCCTCTCTGGGAAAAAAAAAATTCTATTTTTTTTTTTTTTCGATAACATTAGGCTTCCATTCCCATGTCCTCCATTGCCTGGAGCTGGATAGCAGCTTCTTCTTTACATGAAGCGTGAGCTGTCCTCTTCCACAGCCCCCATGTGCCCATTCCTCCCACTTACCTGCCTGGTTTGTATGAGCAGGGCTGATATCTATGGCTGACAGGGCCTGCTCTGAGCCCACTGGGCTCAGGTGGTTCCAGTTGTTAAATATTTTTAATATCTCCCCTGCTTGGAGCCATTTGAGTTGCTAACCTTGCTCTACAAAGAAGCAGCTGTCAGCTTCTTGCTAAAAAATAAATTTAAATTCTGACTCCAGGGTCACTCTGTTACACTGATTAATCTGTTAGATTGTCAGTATTTGCCACCATTTCATTTATGGGAAGCAGAGCTTCTAGATTGAGTCTAAGAGGAATTAAGAAAATCTGGCCATGTCTGTGCTGATGGAGTGGGCACCCTGGAAAGCCAATTTGCATAAGGGCTGAGGCCCCTCCTGGGGGACAATTCATCCTGATGAAATAGGAGAACCAGGTATGGAGAGCCTGGCCTTGTTAGAGAAAGCTCAGTTATCAGATAATGGCATGGTGCCTGACACCTGATTTCTCCCAGCTCCTATTGGCTTCTCTGTAGCCTTAGAGCGCAGAGCAACAGGTAGAGAAGGAAGAGTTTTTCTCTACAAACTCTGGGGTATCTCTCTGACAGAGCTGGACATAAAAGAGATAAAGAGACATTCTTCCCTCATTACCCCACAGGCAACCCACCTGTGTTTTATTCTACACACTATAAGCACACCTGTAATGTTATTGGCAGGGCCTGGCAGACACTTTAGTGCTGTTGGAGAAGATGTGTGGGCCCCTGTTGATGGTTTTGGGTCCTATCTAACCCCCCTCACACCCTTCCATGTCCTTAACTTGTTGGAAACAGACACAGGAGGCAAATGGGCTCAGAATATATAGAGCATGTGGCAGGACAGTTATACTGGCTGTAATTTTCTTAAAATACTTTGGTGTAGATGATGTGCATATGTGTGAAGTTAAGTTTAATATGTACCCTGGGAGTGTAGGTTAATATTTCAAGTATTCGTAGTCTGTTTACCTATTTTTTACATAGAAATCCACCCTAACATTTGGTGAGTTAGAAAGCAATATATGAATCTCTCTCATGGTTCTGTGGTTGAATGGGATCAGCTGGGCAGTTCTCAGAGTCTTTCATGTGCTTGCAGCCTGATGGCAGTGGGGGCTGGAGGCATCTGAAGTCTCATCTGCCTGGACATCCAAGATGATTTATTTCGTGTGTCCAGTGCTTGGGCTGGGATGGCTGGAACAATGAGACTAGCTGGGCATCTCTTTCTCCATGCGGTCTCCCCATGGGGCTAGCTTGGGCTTCCTCACATTATGGTGATCTCAGGGAGCCAGACTTCCAAGAGAGCATTCCAGGAGACCCATGCCAAGGTTTCAAGGCTTCTTATCACTTAGCCCTCGAAGTCATGTTACATCACATCTCCTGCCACCAATGCTGACTGTGATGGTGGACTTTATGTGTCAAATTGGCTAGGCTGCAGTACCCAGATAGTTGTTCAAGCATTATTCTAGATGTTTCTGTGAAGCTATCTTTTAAAGATGAGATTAACATTTACATCAGACTTTCAGAGTAAAGCAGATGGCCCTCTCTAGTGAGGGTGGGAGTCATCCAATTAGTTGAAGGCCTTAAGAGAAAAAGGACTGTTCTCCCTTGAGGAAGAGGGAATTCTGCCCATTGACTGCCTTTGAACATGAATGATAGCATTTCTCCCCTGAGTCTCCAGCCTGCTGGTCTACCCCATAGATTCGACTTGTCAGCCTCCCCAATTTCATGAGCCAATTCCTTAAAATCGCTCCCTGCCTTTCTCTCTCTCTCTCTGTCTCTCTATCTCTATTTCTATTTCTATCTGTCTATATCCTATTGGCCTAGTTTCAGAGGGAGGGGAATTAGATTTCCAAACAGAGGAGCATAAAAAAAAATGTTCAGCCAGCTCCAATCCATCATAATTCTCATCTGAAATTCCCACTCTCTGGGTAATTAGCTGGGATTTGAAAGAGCCTAATGAGGAATCCACCTTTCAGAGGTGGCTTCAAATATCTTGATCTGAAATCTCCAATGAGGGGTTTTTATTTGCATAAGGGATGTGTAGAAATAATAATTTTCACCGGATGAGTGATTGGTTAAAAATATTTGCTTGCCAGAAAGACTCTGCAGGCATCACCACCTTTGAGTCAAGGAGGTTTAAGACCCCGGCCAGGATAATATGACAGCACAAACTGAAGGTTAGAAGGTCACTTAGCTCTGTGTCCTCCAGTTCTCAGAGGCACCTGTTGTTTGATCCAACTAGAAGGGAATTGATTACAAATGAATGAAATTCTCTCGAAGTTTTCTTATTGGAGAGCCCAAGTATAGAAAACAAGATGTCTCTGAGTTTACAGAACAGGTTGCATGATTATTTTGAGCCCACATGCTCTAAGAAATGATTAGACAAACAGAAAATTTGGTCTAAGACTTGTTTTTGTTCTAACATGCTACATAGCAGTGAGCTGTGGGGGAGGAGCCACTTAGCTCCCCGCTACCTTTAAAGTTTGGCTTGACCAATGTTGCCTCCTTGTTCCAAATCTGATAATGTTGAGCAGCCCTATGGGCTTAGGTCAGTTGGCAATGGAGCTTCTCTCTCTCACATGGACCTTGGGATTCACATGACTTTGATTTGCATATTTAGTTGCAGGCTGAAGAACTGGAACTGGTAAATTGGAAGGTTGGCTAGGCTGGCCTGCAGCAGGCCCTACTTCATCTGATTACCAGAAGGAGCAAGAGGCACAAGCAACCACCATTCTTGGCAAGAGTAGGTGGCTCCTGCTGTCCTTGCTTAGTGCAGTGGCCCTGCCCAGGACAAAGGTGGCCCAAGGGATGTCAGCTGGGCCCATCTCACCAATCATATTCATTACTCCTCCTTCCAATGGGAGGAGCAGGTAAGAGCTGAAGGGGGTCACTCTACTGCTGTTCCCTTCCAGGCAATAGGGAAGAAGCCTCCCCTTGGAAATAAGAGAATAGAGGAAGGGATACCCAAGCAAAAGTATTTAAGACTCTTGCTGATACCTAGATACAGCTGCAGAGACAATGATGGAATCCTGCAGGGGCAAGGTGGACATGAACCACTGACATTGAAGCTATTATTGTGATACTGTCCTCACACTGGTGATGGCTGAGGAGAGTGCTATTTTATCCATGTGCATTAGTTGTTTCCTGATGGAGACATGAGGCTCAGGTCTGACATTTCCTATGAACTGCCCTTTCTTCAGCCACTTTGCACCAGTACAGTTCTCTGACCATGGTGGGATATAAATAAGCATTTGTTGAGTTAATGAGCCCAGCAATAAGAGGCCAGGGCAGGCAATGGGTCTGGTATGAACATTAGGAAGGTTCTTGGGATGTAATTTTACAAACTTTAATGATGTGCAGAGAAGCAACCTCCTTTTAAATGAAAGCTGACTTGTGGACTTCTAGGGTTGATTTACCATTTTAATTTAAATTTTTCTTGTATGTTAAAGTATTTATTTTGAATTTCAAAAACTACAGTATTTTTGATTTTTAATTAAGAAAAGACATTTTAGAATTTCTAGATAGGACTTTGAAAATAAACATAACACAATATACACAAAAATAAATGACATGGCATTAAATTTTACATTGTTTTGCAGTTTCAAATTTCATATGAATGTTCTAAAACAAATTTTAAAATTCTTTTCAATGTTTTGCTTCCCTCGGTGTTCATTATTACCTATTTAGAAAGTCATAAAAGGCCTAAAAATAAGTTTTTACTCATATTGAAAACCTGATTTTTTTTTTTTCCTTAAGATGGGGCTCTCTCACTATGTTGCCCAGGCTGGTCTCAAACTCCTGGGCTCAAGGGATTCCCCACCTCAGCCCCCTGAGTAGCTAGGAAATAGGCCTGCATCACCGCACCCAGCTGAAAGCCTGTATTTTTTTTTTTTTCATTGAGACAGAGTCTGGCTCTGTTACCAGGCTGGAGTGCAGTGGTGTGATCTCAGCTCACTGCAGCCTCCGCCTCCTTGGTTCAAGCGATTCTCCTGCCTCAGCCTCCCGAGTAGCTAGGACTACAGGCGCCTGCCACCTTGCCCAGCTAATTTTTGTATTTTTAGTAGAGACAGGGTTTCACCATGTTGACCAGGATGGTCTCGCTGTCTTGACCTCATGATCTGCCTGCCTCAGCCTCCCAAAGTGCTGGGATTATAGGAGTGAGCCTCTGCGCCCGGCCGAAAGCCTATATTTTTATCCTTTGATGGACAAGAACAGAGGGATATCTCCCACTCTCTAAGCTGGTCTAGTTCTAGTCCTAGGCCTGTAAATGTAGACCACAATCCTGGGTTCCATCAGTGTTATTCTACATTCTTAGCATAATTGTCATGAACATATTTAAAATATTTTAGGCCACTGAGCAGGTGTGGGTTGTCCCCATAGTCAGTAAGAGGAGAAAGGGAAGCCAGTTCCTGTCTATCTCGATTCCATCTGAAAATATCCATTTGGCTTTGGGATTTGACTGAATGTTGGTATGTTGGCTGAAGTGACACCAAAATATTGACTGTAATTGCAAGGGTAAAATGTACTCCTCTGTTTTATTAATAGCTACTAATATAATTTTATATATATATTTTTTGAGACAGGGCCTTGCTCTGTCACCCAGGCTAGAGTGCAGTAGCATGATCTCAGCTCACTGCAATCTCTGCCTCTTAGGTTCAAGCAATTCTCATGCCTCAGCCTTCTGAGTAGCTGGATTACAGGTGTGTGCCACCATGCCCAGCTAGTTTTTGTATTTTTAGTAGAGATGGGGTTTCACCATGTTGGCCAGGCTGGTCTCAAACTGCTGGCTTCAAGTGATCTGCCTGCCTTGGCCTCCTCAAGTGCCAGGATTACAGGAGTGAGCTACTGTGCTCAGCCAATTTTATAATTTTTTTAAACCAAAAAATTATTAAACAATAGCATCCAACCATATAAACTTAGATATATATATATATATACACACACACACATATATATATATACACACACACATATATATATATATATATTTACATTCATAAAAATAATGATTAGTTTTCTGGATGAAGAACTGAGGCCCAGAAGTTAACTAGATTAGTGGCTCAAGCTAGGCTGCATTTTAGAATCAAGGCCACTGATGCCCAAGTCATAGTGACCAGTGGCATCAGAATCTCTTGGGGTGGGATCCTTTTATTATTATTTTGTAAAGACCCCTAAGTTAAACTTGAAAAGTGAATTAGCTCATATTAGGTCAGAGATTAATACAAGTTTTACTACTGATTATCTTACCCTAGCAAGTACAGGTTAGTTTTTGTGATTTTCTTATGTATGCTGTTTCTAATAAAAAAAGAGGTTGATCTCTTGCTCAATGCAACTAAAAGGTGGGCTATAAAATGACACAGGTGATCACAACTCTATCCAAAGACTAGTGATGCACCATACTTAATCTCAGCACTAGTTCTTATCCTCAGGTGCTTGTCATTCATTCTTGGGACTTCAAAATAAATACAGATATAGATATCCAGGAACTGCTTTAGACTAGATAAATCAAAATCAGTCACTAAGAGAGACATCTGAGCATATGAACTTTTAAAAAGGTTCATGATTTTGATGCCTCACCCTGGATGGAGCTCTCTCATAGTATGCCACATGGTATGTCCTTAGCTGTATTCAGTAAAATTACAGGGAAGCAGATGCCAGTTTAAGAGAAAACAATGAAAATAATTTAGGGCTACCCAGTAATAATGGATTTTTTTTTTTTTTTTTTTTTGAAATGGAGTCTTGCTTTGTTGCCAGGCTGGAGTGCAGTGGCACGATCTCGGCTCACTGCAACCTGCTTTCCCGGGTTCAAGCAATTCTCCTGCCTCAGCCTCCCTAGTAGCTGGGACAACAGGCATGCGCCACCATGCCCAGCTAATTTTTGTATTTTTAGTAGAGATGGGGTTTCATCATGTTGGCCAGGATGGTCTCAATCTCTTGACCTCATGATCCGCCCGCCTCTGCCTCCAAAAGTGCTGGGATTATAGGTGTGAGCCACCGCGCCCGGCCTGGAATGGTTTTAAAGCAGTGAGCTCTCTGTGGAGGGAAGAATAAAAGCAAAGGTTGAATTACCACTCACTGGGAATGCTATCAAGGGGTTTCCAAATTCAGTAAGTACTTGGATCACATGATATTTGAGTTTCCTCACAATTCTTAAGTTTCTAAAGCCAAAACTTCCAATAGATCACATTTAATGGATGTAGACATTGTCATGAAAACTCATGATTTTACCAGAAATTATCACAGTTATTTTGTCTGTAAAATGGATTAGAATTTAGTAGTACTGGTGGAACATTGCCTCTGACATGAGTCTTATTGCGGGGAATACGTTTCCCCTCCTCTTCATGCTTGGATGGAGGGAAGGGAACTTCTCCTTGCTCCTCCAAAGCGAGAAGTGTAGGAAAAAGCTCTCTGAACCCTCATTCATTCCTTCCCAACAAAGAACTGTCTCATCCCATGGGTGATACAAGAAGGAACTGAGCATGTGTGGTCCAGCCCTTGGTGGACCTTGAAAGCTAACTGGTCTCAGAATGCAAAGATGAGCTCTGCCCCAAGAAGGCAGAGGCCCGCAGTTCTCTCCAATCAGGGAGAAATATTACAGTGTCTGATTGGAGAAAAATTCAACCTTCTCTATTTCAGCTTATTCACTGATAAAGTGGATATTTTTCTCTTCCTCTGACTCCTGTTTCTTATTTCTCAATTTGTTCCAAAGTGAAGAGGGGAGTAAGAGAGTTACCTGTTGGTGTCCTTAAACCCCTCACCTATCACAATACAGCAATAAACTGTAACTGTCCATCTCTATGACACTTGTGTTCTGAAATGGCATTGCATTATTTTTTTCAAGTCAGTGAACTCTCACATTCTAAAGTACAAAAAGAACAAAACATTATATAAAGTCCCTCTTTCTTTACTGGCATAAAAAATTTGGGATTTCTAACTGCTGAATTGTCTATCCCTAGGAAATAATAACATTTTTCAAGTTTCCAGTTTATTGGGAATAATCTTAGTCATGATCTGCGAAGTTGGTCCTGGACAATTTGAAGATAGGTCTTCTTTATCTTCATAGGCTGTTCCACACCAAATACTATACAGAAGTTCTTCTCTTAAATAACTAGTCAATATTTGTAATTTTTCCAGTACACTTAAATCTTCACTCTTATATTCATCTTCATCCTGTTCTTTTTCTTCTTCATCTTCAGTCTCCTTTTCAAGCCTCAACCAGTACCATGCTTCCCTGGGAACCTGAATATTTTTCTGGGTGTCCAATTGTTGACAGACTTGCTGGCTTCTTCTGTGATCTCCTTCTAGCTTCATTTCATCTTGCTTATTTTTAAGTCGCATTCGAAACTGGTCTGCAGCTTTTTCTTCAGCTTGGTTATTCATCATGTGAATCTTTTTTCCGTAGCTTTCTAATTTTTCCTCTGCTTTCCGTTTTAATGATGCCTTATGACCAAATGCCACTTTTCCCTGTTTTGATATTGAGAGGAATGGGTTCAACAATACCACCCCTACCCTTGCCAAGTGCCTGACCACTTTTATAGCCCATCTTTTGGAGCAAGGCAAACCCTTTGTTTTCATAGCCTAGTGCATTCTTCAACCCAATGTTACGTCTTTTTTGTTCTTCTTCTTTTAAACTCTTCTGCCTATGTTTCAAGTTAGCTTCCTGTTGCTTTTCTTCTTTTCCACGGGCTTCCCGGATTTGCCTTAGCATTGGCAAGCCTGGTCTGATATCTTCTTGGACATTAATGAAGGAATCAGACGTTAGTCCTCTTCTTCTGCCATGTTCAACTTCATATGGCTATAGCATCTGACAGCTCTCTACTCACCCTGGTTCAGCTCCGGGGAGTGCGTGCTGCACAAGCGTGCACCGACCGGCGATGGACTTCAGGGCCTCGGCTGCCTACCATTTTTAATCGTTTCTTAAATTCTCAAAATTGGAGAACTAGGTGTGGTGGATGTTTTCTGTTTGCTCCTCTAACCTACACTATGTTCCCTCCCTCCACTCTGCTCTATGCCCTGGGAGGCTGACCTGTCTGAACCTTATCAGTGCGCTCCCTTGTCTTTTGGCACCTGATTGGGTTCAGCTCATGGGGAGCCCAGACTGTGAAGTCAGGGCATTAATGTATCACTTTACCTCTTACCTGCAGGTCTCAGCTTCTAATAGGATGTCCTCTCAATAGGATCTGTGCCCCTATCTCCATCTCTGCACCCCCCTTCTCCTCCTTCCCTCTCTGTCTCTCCCTTGACCCCCAACATGCTTCACCCTTATTTTGCTCCTTTAGGACTTTGGTAATTATCTTTCCTTATACCCTCCCTACACTTTTATAACTAGTATCTATTTTAAATTCTCCTTAAATTATTCAACCTGAGTATGTTATCTCTTTCCTGCCTGGACCCCAACACATATTTTAGGTCAGTGGTTTTAAACTGGGGACAATTTTACCCTCCGGGAAACATTTGGTAGTATCTAGAGACACTATTTTGTTTTGTTGGTTTTAAATTTTATTTTAAGTTCAGGGGTACATGGGCAGGTAAACTACATGTTGCATGGGTTTGGTATACAGATCATTTTGTCACTGATGTAATAAGAATATTATCCTATAGGTAGTTTTTTGGTCCTCTCCCGTCTTCTACCCTCCACCTCAAGTAGTCCCTGGTGTCTGCTGTTCCCTTCTTTGTGTCCATATGCACTCAGTGTTTAGCTCCCACTTATGAGTGAGAACATGTGGTATTTCGTTTTCTATTCCTGTTAGTTCACTTAGTATAATGACTTCCAGCTCCACCTGTGTTGCTGCAAAGGGCATAATCTTGCTCTTTTTTATGACTGCATGGTGTTCCATGGTGTATATGTACCACATTTTCTTTATCTAGTCTACTATTGATGGGCACCCAAGTTGATTCCATATCTTTGCTATTGTGAACAGTGCTGCAATGATCATATGAGTGCAATTGTCTTTATGGTAAAATGATTTATATTCCTTTCAGTATATAACCAATAATGGGATTGCTGAATCGAATGGTAATTCTGCTTTGAGTTCTTTGAGAAATCACCAAACTGCTTTCCACAGTGGTCGAACTAATTTACATTCCCACCAGTAGTGTATAAGCATTCCTTTTTTTCCAAAACCTTGCCAGCGTCTATTATTTTTTGACTTTTTAATACTAACCATTCTGACTGGTGCGAGCTAGTATCTCACTGTGGTTTTGATTTGCATTTCTCTAATGATTGTGATATTGAACATTTTTTCACGTGCTTGTTGGCCACATGTATGTCATCTTTTGCGAAGTGTCTGTTCATGTAGAGACCCTGTTGATGGTCACAACTAGAGGTGGTTTGGGGATGTTTGCTACTGGCATCTAGTGAGTAGAGGGCAGGGATGCTACTAAATCCTGCAATGCACAGAACAGTCCCCTACATCAGACAGTTATCCAGCCCAGATGTCAGTAGTGTTGAGGTTGAGAAACCCCACTTTAGATCTTCACTCACATCTGCTATCACAGCACAACCGTAAAGTCAACACACGTTTACAAACTGCATATAAATAAGAACCACTGAAATTCCAAGTTACAATGTTAACTGAAAGTTAAGGATGGAGTTATTTTGCTGAAATTAAATTGCTGCTCACAATACAAGGGTGGCCCTGACTGCTTTGGTGCTAGTTGTTTTTCAGTTTGTTGTATCTAAACTCCATAAGCTGGAGGATAACTCACTTCTCTTAGTATGTCTCTCTACAAAAGCTACCAGAAAATTACAAAATGGTTGTTCCTAGGGCATGCAGCAGGTTTTGTTGGCTTTTACTTTGCACCAATATAATTTTTTTTGTTTGTTTTTTGTGACGAGGTCTTGCTCTGTCACCCAGGCTGGAGTGCAGTGGCACAATCTTGGCTCACTGCAAGCTCTGCCTCCCGGGTTCACGCCATTCTCCTGCCTCAGCCTCCTGAGTAGCTGGGACTACAGGCACCCACCACCACGCCCCGCTAATTTTGTTTTTGTATTTTTAGTAGAGACGGGGTTTCACTGTGTTAGCCAGGAGAGTCTTGATCTCCTGACCTCGTGATCCACCCGCCTCGGCCTCCCAAAGTGCTGGGATTACAGGCATGAGCCACCGTGCCCAGCCACCAATATAATTTTTAATCTAAAGTCTACCATTATTATTCTTCTCATTAACCCTCATTGATTGAAGCTATGTTCATTGGTGCCAATATGTTCATAAATGCAATTGCAAAGGAGGGAGGGCCCTATGGCCCTATGGTAATACTTAGTCCTTCAGATATTTTTTAAGCTATCATAGAAATTAAGGCAGGATATTTAAATAAAATGTAGAAGACTCATAGAAACTTTAGAATCTATCCCTGGAGTCCTGTGAGAGAAACACTGTTCTGGTGTTTGATGGAAAATAGGAGTAGCCCTAGTTTCTCCCCATGGTTGGTGATGGAAATGCAGAAAGCTTCCACTGTGGACAGAAGGTTTTGATAATGGACAACTACAGCTTTCTTCTTGGCTGTAATTTTTTCAGGTGCTTCAAAGATGAAGAAAGTTCTTTCTAATAAAATCTTTATCCCCAAGTGGTACACAGAAGGGGGTTCTTACGTATTCCAATCAACATGTTTTCCTTTCTCAGCTGTGGCTCTCTAGATGAACTTCCCTTGTAATAGGAAGGAAGATAACAACATGAGGTTTTTCTCTGCATGAGAAAGATTTGTTTAGTTTCCTCCTTTTTCCCCTGGCTGGGGAGGTGTATAAGCTTCTAAAGGCTGAGGAGTTTTTTCTGTACAGACCTGTGTTGCCAAGGGCTGTATTCCAAATTCCATGAGGACAATACAAACCTTATTCCTGTATCTAATAACACATTCAACTGACCATATCTAACACAAAATCTTGTGTTGCTTTTTATTTTGTTTACGTGTTAGCACCTTTTGCAAATCTAAAACAATTATGAAATCATTTAAAAACAATAAGGCTTAAATGCAAATACTCAAATGTTATTAAACTGTTAGCATCTTGCTGAATTATTTCCTTATGGTTAATTACTTCATTTCTTTATAGCCAGCCATGATGGATTGCCAGTTAGGGTTGTTTCCTACTTTGTAAGAAAATATAGTTACATGCTTTGAAACTGCTCAGGATACCCACAACAACTTTCAAAATAGTCTCATAGCAATTTTTTGTTGCTTTTTTTTTGGGGGGGGGGCCCTTCATTTTAATTTGGTTTTTATTTTTAAATAAATATTTAGCTACCATGATTTTGATGAAAAGCTCTTTACTGGCTTAATGAAGGATTTTTATGGATCTATATAACATCAGTGTCTTAATTACTACAAATGGATAATAAACCCTTTCTCATATATGAGAATGGGAAACACACAGAGTGAGCACCATTAGGAACAATTGGATTTTCACTTGATAATTCAGTTAAAAAAAAAAAAAGTAAATACTGCAAATAACAGCCCAAGGGGGAGTCTCTGCAGCTCCACCAGAAACCATAGAGCATAACTAATTCTTACAGAGATTTTCTCCGTGTTTTTCAGGCTGTGTCAAAAGCAAAATATACATTCATGCAGGGAATGAAATAGTTGTTCATTTGGTGGGTGCTAATTAATTTCTCTCTGTTCACTGGAGACATTTAATTCCTCATCATAAAAGGTTCTTGAATTTAGGAAGATACCCAGAGAGGAATATATGGCTCAAGGCAAGTAGCTACAGTATACCAGGAGTATTGAAGATTCTTAAGATGTGTGTATGGCTTTAGGGAATTCACTTGGTTTTAGAAACTCACTTCTTGCTCATTTATACTGGCCTATGTCTGATTAGCAAAAGGCCAATCAGAAAATAGTCTCGGAAAGATAGTGGTTTCACTACTTCACATAAGAAAATGAAGAGCTGTTTGGTAGATCTCGAATGAGTTACCGAAATATCTCACTCTTAATAATTTCCTAAGCAGAGATTTTCAAACTAGAACGTGCCAAAAACGTCCTGAAAATGAGGTAAAATGCAGATTTGGGGGCTTTGCTCTGTGATAGTGATTCAGCAGTTTTGGGTAGAGTCCAGGGATCTTTGATAACTACCACACACAAGGAAACACATTTTGAAAACACTGGTTTCTTTTGGTAGATTAAATGTTCCCCTTGGCATTGCCCCTCTTCTTTTTCTTTTATTGTTTTTCTACTATGTAAAAGTATTTAATTTTTCCCACCCCCTAATCAGGTGGGCCCAAATTTGAAATATTAAAGTCTGCTTATATGTAGAAGCATGTTTTTCCCTCTTCTTGGCCATCCAGTGTGTTCAGAGTCTTTATATTATAGTATCCCAGAGATCATTCTAGAAATGGAATGACAACTGTTTGCAAAACGTGACTCATACATTGAGTACCTAACTGTATCTCTACCTTTTTCATAGCTCTGGCTTGAATTGAGGTAGGGGGCCTAAAGACTCTAGGGCCTAGATTTGAAGAAAGATTGTGTTCCCAGCTCCAAAAACATAATTTGTAGGCTGCTTCTTGTAAGATTTGGGGCCTGTGTTTACAATGATATTTGATTAAAGATAAAGTTTAACGATTTATTTGGGACTTAGCATCTATTTCCAATAGCATAAAGCATTTCCTTTGCCCTGTACTTTGCTCCCCTCTGTACCCTACCCCCATTTAAAAATTCTCAATGTTCTATAGTGCCTCATTTATTTTCAAACAAGCTGATTGCAAAACCAGAACATTTTTTTTTCTACTTCAATTCCAGAATCTATGAAGTTGTCCTATTTTTCCCACCATATCTAACCCAAGGGGACCACTGATGTCATACATAATTCCTATATTGAACTTATGAGGTCAAAAATTAAGGTTTCCATTTTGATTCAAAAAGTAACGCAGTTTTAATTCTTAAAAGATTAAGAAAATACAAAGGAGAAAATGAACATTGCTCAGTTCTACTTCCCTCAGATAATTCAGTTAATATTTTGGCATAGTTGACTCTTAATCTTCCAAACTTAGATTTTATTCAAGAGCTTGCATTTTACAGCACTCCCTGTTAGAACGTTTTTGACAACATCTGATCTATATAGCCACACTTTGCCTTTCTTTTGGAGTACCTCTTAAGAGGAGAAAGAACTGTGGAGTTCTTAGAGATGCGTCCAAGGCCTTATAACAATTCTGTTGCTGACTCCTTTCCTACTTGGTTCTCTCTCCCCACCCTCTTGGAAGTTTTATGAGATCCAATTTGGGACTAGTATAATAAATCATCTCCTCACCCTCCTCTCTCTCCCTCTCTCTTCCCTCCCCCTTTTTTCTTCTCTTTCCTCCCCCTTCTCCTCTTTCCTCTTTTTCCTTCTCCCCCTCCTTCTTCCTCCTCCTCCCCCTCTCCCTCTCCTCTTCTTTTTCCTCCTCTTTCCTCCTCCTTCTCCTGCTTCTTCTCCCCCACCACATCTTTTCTCAGCTGGCCCTGTCTGGATGAAAGCAAACCTTCCCAAGGGACTCTCATCCATCCATACCCATGTGACACACTAGTGATGTGGATTTTTCTCTCTGTTGTGACTGCTGTAATTTGATATTTGCCATGCCAATAGCCACCACATGCTTTCTTTTAGTTAATGACATTTATTTGACATCCTCTGTCACATGAGTAATCTTTAACCTATGCAGTCCATCTGTCTTCTTTTGGTGGCAATTTTTGTTCAAATAATAGCAGTGGCGTATATCCACCACTTTTTGAACACTTCCAGCGTGCCAGGTGCTGGGGTGAATAAATATATTTACTCACATAATCCTTGCATCTCTTTTTGAGGTCAATGGGGGCATCATGATTTGACAAGTGAGACGCTGAGGCTCAGAGGGTTAAGGAATTTGCCTTAGTGTGGCGGAGCTGGGATTCCACCCCTGGTCGCCTGGATGCTAAAGTCAGTGAATTAACAAAATGTCCTCCCCAAAATTGAAGGAGCTTTAGAAAATGGCATTAAGATGTCTGCTGGTTGAGTGACCTCATAGAACAGAAGAGGTTTATTCTGCCAGGAGCGTCAGTGCAATGAAAAGACTCCCATGGAATCTCAAGAGGTCCAAGTTCTAATGCAGTTATTCTCAAGGTCCTACCAACCCAGTCTCTCATGCTCAAGGCATCCCAGACTTTAGGTCCATCCCGGAGGCTTTGTCTATGTTCAGTGATGCCTAG
Source organism: Homo sapiens (assembly GCF_000001405.40). Taxonomy (NCBI): domain Eukaryota; kingdom Metazoa; phylum Chordata; class Mammalia; order Primates; family Hominidae; genus Homo; species Homo sapiens. The sequence continues at coordinate 73,189,652 of NC_000003.12, forward strand.
GGCTCTAGTTTGACATCTTGAACAAAGCTCTTGGAGGACTCAGACAGTGAAGAACTTCTTGTTACAACCACAAGAAGTCTTACTTAGGAACTGTTGTCTGACTGAGCCAGGAAGCAGACAAGACGGTGTAGGTTGTGGAAATACTCCATTTGTTTGGGGTGAGACTGGTCATGGGATGAGAGCTGGTGAAATGGGACCTGCTGTATTTCTTATATAGAAAGAGGATAAATCTTCAGGCAAAGGGAAGGTGGAAATCTGGCTTGGAGTCTGGGAAGCCCATCCTAGAAGAGAGTAGGTGGACACCCTAGTGTAATGGCATCCCAGTGTAAGCTCCACTAAGTGACCCTCGAAACCTGTCAGACCCTGGCCGGGCACGATGGCTCATGCCTGTAATCCCAGCACTTTGGGAGGCAGTGGAGGGGGTGGATCACGAGGTCAGGAGTTCAAGACCAGCCTGGCCAAGGTGGTGAAACCCCATCTCTACTAAAAAAATACGAAAAATTAGCTGGGCTTGGTGGTGGTTGCCTGTAATCCCAGCAATTCAGGAGGCTGAGGCAGGAGAATTGCTTGAACCCGGGAGGCGGAGGTTTCAGTGAGTTGAGATTGCGCCACTGCACTCTAGCCTGGGTGACAGAGCTAGACTCCGTCTCAAAAAACAAACAAACAAACAAACAAACAAACAAACAGAAAAACCTGTCAGACTCGAATTTTATTTTAGTCAAATTTAGGACAGAATTTCTTAAGGAAAATAAAATCAAGAATTTCAACTCTTGTTTTGGTTGTTTGGAGGCTGACGATGAAGGGGAATAAACAAGATGATTTTCCTCTTCAATAAAGATTTACCTGTAGGAGAGACCTCCTATATTTGACCCCTCCCTTCTTTATATGACAAAATTATTTTCAGGAACAATTATGAAATGAAACAAAGGATAGTAATGGACAAAAAGGACACTCAGTCTATATTTTCTTTTATCAACTTTATGTATGGTCATGCTATTAAAAAATAAATGTTACTGCACCAAAATGGAAAAAAAGTAGTGAACTAAAACTTGATTATATTAATGTGTTTTTTTAAATGGGGAGAATCTTTATACAGATATTCTATTGTAGTAATATAGTTTTTTTTTAAAGCTTCTGCCAGTCTGTCAATTACTTTAATAAAGTGGATCTTCACATATGCAGGTTTAGCAGATGGTAGCCAGTTTTGTCAAGCTATCCTTGCTCATGATTGGTCACACAACAGTTATTAATTTTAATTTTAAAACATTTCTTTCATACACAGCAACAGATATACAAATACTGGGGAAAGTCTTAAATATAAGGCTAAATTTGACAGTGATTCCTAAAAATAGTGTTTCACCGCACGTTCTAGAATTCACAACATTGCCCATATCTTTGTTTATTCAGGATGGATTTTAGGGGGTTTCAAACGTCTTTGCACTTGAAAAAATTTAAACATAAACACTCCAATTGATCACACTAAATGACACAATTGAATGAACTGGAATTCTGTTTGTTGGTTTTAGAACCACTGTGTTGTCTTTGTCTTTATTCTGGAGCTTCTGTGTAAACACAGAAATATGTTGTCCTCTGGGGATTGGAAATAGGAACTGTGACCACAGCAAGCTCAAACTATTTGGAATTTTTTTTTTTTTTTTTTTTTTTGAGACAGAGTCTTGCTGTTTCACCCAGCTGGAATGCAGTGGCGAGATCTTGGCTCATTACAACCTCCACTTCCTAGGTTCAAGCAATTCTCGTGCCTCAGCCTCACAAATAGCTGGAATACAGGTGTGCGCCACCATGCCTGGCTAATTTTTGTATATTTAGTAGAGACTGAGTCTCGCCATATTGGCCAGGCTGGTCTTGAACTCCTGAACTCAATTGATCTGCCCTCCTTGGCCTCCCAAAGTGTTGGGATTACAGCCATGAGCCACTGTACCCAGCCTGGGAACTTACTTTTGATACCAACACGAGCAGTTGAGTCCCTGTGTGTTCAGAGATGACTATAATACATTCTCAGAATTTACTTTCATGTAGAATATGATGTTTATTAAAGGATAAATTGGAAAGCCATGCTAATTTGAAGCTTACATATATGTATTATTGAAACTGAACAGAGTAACCACGATTATTTAGACTTGCACCAATGAAAGTTTTTTGTTGTTTTTGTTTTACGGATAATTTTTTCATTAACATTCTTTAGTTGCCAGTGTATGGTGATTATGAAAAGGAGACCAACTCCTAGGTACTGTAGTTTTATTGTCGTTTTTTATTTCCAGGATCATATACCCTGCCTGGCCCTCAGTAATCTCTATTGAAAGGATTGCTTTGGCTTCAGATGTTTTGAGCTATTTCTAGCCCATTTCAAGACTCTCTTTTCCCACCACTTTTCTCCAATGAGAGGTCCTCAAGAACAGAATCTGGGCCAGGGTTAGGATTCTTTGGAAATGCAGTCTTTTGGAGGATGTAGTCCAGTCTGAGTGTATGAGCCATTGCTCTACCCCCATGAAAATAGGAGCTCTAAGTCGCCCACCAGAGGGGGTGAATTTGTCTCAATCACTGTCATGCTCACTCCCAACCCCCAGGTGTCTCACTGTGGTCAGAATGCCCTATAACTCTAGTATAGAGCAAAGGTAAATTGTCGGTATCAAGATTGGATCTCTTTACCAAGGTGCTTAAATATACCAGCCCTCCCCCTTGCTACCTGAGGCAGAAATAGCGCCAACCCAGCTCTTCGAGCCATGCCAGCAAGTTGTTTCGGTCTTTGCTTTTTTTTTGTTTTTCATCAGCTGTACTTATCCCCCCTCCCCCAGTTGCGATTTTTTTCTAAAATGGCTGCTGAATGGCACCATGTATCAGGAGACAATCTTGATCAGCTAATCCCATTAGGAGATGGCCCCTTTGCTGGACAATCTCATCAGAAATTCCCCTGGAGGAAAAATTAGTATTAAATTTGGTTGAGGGAATCCTAATTACATACAAAGACAGCCCCTATAAAATATGTCCTTTGTGTGATAAGACCGAAAAGACCCAGGCATTCATCCTTATTTTGCTAGTGCTCACTTCTTAGAGATTTTATTTTTACCATAGAAACAATAAATACAGCAAGTGTCTTCCATTTTCAGTGTGGGATAGAATCCTTACTGAAATTAGGAGCATTGGGAGCCTCTGAGACTAATAAGTCTACAGAACATCTGGAAGAGGGGCAAATAAAATGTTTCTTGCAGGATTTTTAGGGAGAAACAAATGGGACTTGGGGAGTAGGAGGTAGGTGACTGCAAGTGCTTTGTTTCACATGAAAGATAAAACATGATTAGGCCAGGAGGTTCCCAAGGAACCCTGAATAATACAAACCAAAGCCTATTAGGCATCACGTACTTCATGTGTGAGGGGTTGTTTGCCAGTCCAGGGCCTATTTGCCTCTGATCCGTTCTTTGTTGCTCTACTACTGTGCTCAAGGAAGAGGGGATTGACCCTCGCAGGCTGTGTTTCTCAGGTTCTTTTATCACCTGTCTGGGTTGGGCCAATGGGATGCAGGGGTAGGAGGTTAGAGGCCAGGGGGCAGGAATAAACAAGGGAATCTTCCCCACTAGCCCTACCTTTCTGCCTTGGGCAGTGTTTCTGGCAGCAGCTCTGTCTCCATTGTATGCCTGAAGGCATGTGATGGTTCTAGCTTATGCTGGTGGCCCCAGGTCCCGGGCTTAGATAAAGCCACCCTGAGTTAGTTCATTTTGTGTTGCTGTAAAAGAACATCTGAGACTGGGTAATTTATAAAGAAAAGAGGTTTATTTGACTCACTGTTCTGCAGGCTGTACAAGAAGCACAGTGCTGGCATCTGCTTCTGGTGAGGGCCTCAGGAAGCTTCCGGTAATGGCAGGAGGTGAAGGGGGAGCTGGTGCATCACACGGTGAGAGGTGGGGCAAGAGAGGGGATATCCCAGGTTCTTTTCTAACAACCAGATCTCATGTGAATTTATTACTATGAGGAGGGCACCAAGCCATTCATGAGGGATCTGCCCCCATGACCCAAACACTTTTCACCAGGCCCCAACTCCAGCATTGGGAATCACATTTCAACAGGAGATTTGGAGATGGCAAACATTCAAACCATATCACACTTCTTCTATTTCTTTTTTAAAAATTTTTTCTTTTTTTTATTATTATACTTTAAGTTCTAGGGTACATATGCACAAGTGCAGGCTCGTTACAGAAGTATACATGTGCCATGCTGGCCCGCTGCACCCATCAACCCATCATTTACATTAGGTGTTTCTCCCAGTGCTATCCCTCCCCCATCCCCCCACCCCACGACAGGCCCCAGTGTGTGATGTTCCCCACCCTGTGACCAAGTGTTCTCATTGTTCAATTCCCACCTACGAGTGAGAACATGTGGTGTTTGGTTTTCTGTCCTTGCAATAGTTTGCTCAGAATGATGGTTTCCAGCTTCATCCATGTTCCTGCAAAGGACATGAACTCATCCTTTTTTATGGCTGCATAGTATTCCATAGCGTATATGTGCCACATTTTCTTAATCCAGTCTATCATTGATGGACATCTGGGTTGGTTCCAAGTCTTTGCTATTGTGAATAGTGCCGAAATAAACATACGTGTGCATGTGTCTTTATAGCAGCATGATTTATGATCCTTTGGGTATATACCCAGTAATGGGATTGCTGGGTCAAATGGTATTTCTAGCTCTAGATCCTTGAGGAATCACCACACTGTCTTTCACAGTGGTTGAACTAGTTTATACTCCCACCAACAGTGTCAAAATGTTCCTATTTCTCCACATCCTCTCCAGCATCTGTTGTTTCCTGACTTTTTAATGATCTTCATTCTAACTGGTGTAAGATGCTATCTCATTGTGGTTTTGATTTGCATGTCTCTGATGGCCAGTGATGATGAGCACTTTTTCACATGTCTGTTGGCTGCATAAATGTCTTCTTTTGAGAAGTGTCTGTTCATATCCTTTGCCCACCTTTTGATAGGGTTGTTTGTTTTTTTCTTGTAAATTTGTTTAAGTTATTTGTAGATTCTGGTTATTAGCCCTTTGTCAGATGGGTAGATTGCAGAAATTTTCTCCCATTCTGTAGGCTGCCTGTTCATTCTGATGGTAGTTTCTTTTGCCGTGCAGAAGCTCTTTAGTTTAATTAGATCCCATTTGTCTGTTTTGGCTTTTGTTGCCATTGCTGTTGGTGTTTTAGTCATGAAGTCCTTGCCCATGCCTATGTCCTGAATGGTATTGCCTAGGTTTTCTTCTAGGATTTTTATGGTTTTAGGTCTAATATTTAAGTTTCTACTCCATCTTGAATTAATTTTTTTTTTTTTTTTTTTTTTTTTTTTTTAGATAGGGTCTCGCTCTGTTGCCCAGGCTGGAGTGCAGTGGTATGATCTTGGCTCACTGCAACCTCTGCCTCCTGGGTCCCAGTGATTCTCCTGCCTCAGCCTCCCAGGTGGCTGGGACTATAGGTGCGTGCCACCATGCCTGGCTAATTTTGTATTTTTAGTAGAGGTGGGGTTTCACCATGTTGGCCAGGCTGGTCTCGAACTTCTGACCTCAGTTGATCCACCTGTCTCGGCCTTCCAAAGTGCTGGGATTACAGGCGTGAGCCACCATGCCAGGCTAGAAAATTAAAAAAAAATTTTTTAACTTTTATTTTAGATACAGAGGGTACGTGTGCTGATTCGTTACATGGGTATATTGTACTCAGGTCACAAGCATAGTACCAAAGAGGTAGTTTTTCAACCCACCCCTCTCTTTCTTCCTCCCCTCCAAGTAGTCCACAGTGTGGACTATTCCCATACAACTAGATTATTTATACTAACTTAGAATTAAGATGGTTGACAAAGAACTGTAGCTAACTTTCTTGGGATTTTAATTATTTTTTAACTTTTAAGTTCAGGGGTACAAGTGCAGGTTTGTGACATAGGTAAACTTGTATCATGGTGCTTGTTGTACAGATTATTTCCTCATTCAGGTATTAAGCCTAGTACCCATTGGTTATTTTTCTTGATTCTCTCCTTCCTCCCACTCCCCACCCTGTGAAAGGCACCAGTGTGTGTTGTTTCCCTCTGTGTGTCCATGCGTTGTCATTGTTTAGCTCCCACCTGTTTCTTTTTCTTTTTTCTTTTTTTTTTGAGACAGAGTCTCACTCTGTCGCCCAGGCTGCAGTGCAGTGGTGTCATCTCGGCTCACTGCAAGCTCTGCCTCCCGGGTTCATGCCATTCTCCTGCCTCAGCCTCCTGAGTAGCTGGGACTATAGGTGCCTGCCACCACGCCTGGCAAGTTTTTTGTGTTTTTAGTAGAGACAGGGTTTCTCCATGTTAGCCAGGATGGTCTTGATCTCCTGACCTCGTGATCTGCCTGCCTTGGCCTCCAAAAGTGCTGGGATTACAGGCATGAGCCACCGCGCCTGGCCCCCCACCTGTTTCTTTAACCTCTAGGCTGTGATGGCGTCCTGCTGTTGCTCATCTCTGGACTGCCTCAGTGGCCCCTGGTGGCCTCTTAACTCTTTCTCCATTGGGTGGCCAATTCCCTGCTTTAAATTTCCTGTTTCAAATATAGAGAAGTTTCTGGTTTTCAGGTAGGATCATGAAGGACACACCCCAGTGAGAACCATACATGAGGCTGCTGTTCAGTTTATTCTTCACTTCTAGGAATGTCTATTCCTCTTCTTCTCATCCTCCTCCTTGGATTCCAGCAAGGACCAGACCTAAATTATTCCAGACTTATGTCTCTGCTCCTCTGTGTGCTATTGATAACAAATATTGTTCATGTTTATAAGGTTAATTGATCGGATGGATTTAGGGGGCTTAGTAAATAAACCGGATACTACAGCTGCAGACTTGGGAGTAGGTAGAAAGCCTGGAAGCCCCCTGGGAATAGGGATGCTCCTGCTACCCCCCACATGGCTGACTCTAACCTCATCTTCCAGCATGGTGACCCCCAAAACTCAGAGTCCCAGCAGAGAGAATCCTAGAGGCTGAGCTTGAGTCACATGGCTCCTCTGTCTGTACCAGTGGACATGGATATGGGAAGAAGGAGCTTTGTGATTCGGATTCCATAATGGGCATGAGTCTCTGTAATAACCATCCCACTAAGACTGCACACGAAGAGGTGATTCCCTGGAGGGAATCAGGCCACTGTTGGGAAGGGGACATGGAAGCTGAGCAGCCACCAGGGGACAAGTACTCACCACATGCTCCATGAAAGATGGCTCCTTGTTAATTATTATTCTGGTCTCTCTGGGTAGGGTCTGAGAGTAACTGCTGTTTATTGACACTTGGCTAAGAGCATCATCTCATTTAAGTTGGTTTATAGATGAACTGACTCATCTGTGGCCCAAGGAGCTGCAATACAAAAGTTCACACAGCTGGAAAAGTAGCACAGCTGGGTTTTATTTTTATTTTTTATTTTTACTTTTGAGATGGAGTCTCACTCTGTCACCCAGGCTGGAGTGCAGTGGTGGAATCTCGGCTCACTGCAACCTCCACCTCCTGGGCTCAAGACAGCTGAGTTTTAATTCAGGTGGGTCGGACCCCAAGGCCTGGGATAGCAACCACTGTGCCATTATGAAGCTGAGGGCTAACCCGATGAAGCTGCCAAAAGAAACCTGCCTTGCTTGCTTTTAATTGCCCACCTCTAGTTGATCTTGAAACCTGTATAGTTAAACATCACGTCGCTAAGCAATCCACTAGCTCCTTAGAGAGAACATCTCTGACAGATAGGTCACCATGGTAACAGCTGCTTAAAGTTGTTTTTTAGGAACTAGGGGACAGCTCTTACCCAGTTCAAACTGGTTGAAACCACAGTCCTTCAACTAGGCCCTGCACAGTTGGCTGCGAGGTGATTTTTTGGCATCAGAAAGCTGAAAACTCCTCCCTAAGATCATGCTAATGCCGCTGTTTTCTGAACATGTGTTCTATGAAGATCCATGAATCTCGACTACCTTGTGCAGGTCACCCAGTATCTCACTCTTTCTTATGCCCAATCATCTTTCCCCACACCTTGGCCTGCCTTGAGCCTCTATCTCATAAATATCCCTAAAACTCCATCTTCAGGGAGGCAGATTTGACACCTGTTTTCCCACGTCCTTTCTTGGCTGCCTCATGAATCAACTCTTTCTTTTTTGTAAAACCTGTTGTCAGCCGGGCATGGTGGCTCATGCCTGTAATATCAGCACTTTGGTAGGTCGAGGTGGGCGGATCACGAGGTCAAGAGATTGAGACCATTCTGGCCAACACGGTGAAACCCTGTCTCTACTAAAAATACAAAAATTAGCTGGGTGTGGTGGCACGTGCCTGCAGTCCCAGCTACTTGGGAGGCTGAGGCAGGAGAATCACTTGAACCCGGGAGGCAGAGGTTGCAGTGAGCCAAGATTGCGCCACTGCACTCCAGCCTGGCGACAGAGCAAGACTCCATCTCAAACAACAATAACAACGACAAAAAACCCAACCTGTTGTCATAGTGGCTGGCTTGCTACATGCAGCAGAAGGAACCTGGTTCAATATCAACAAAACCTGCTTCCAGAGGAGCTGGTTATGGTCACTGCTCACCCTCCCCAGATATCCCATTTCACAAGGTTCTGGGAGAGTCACTTGCTCAAGGGTGCACATGGCTGGAAAGTGTTGGGAGCTGTATCCTAGTCTTCGTAGATCCAATGACTCTCCATCATTCTATCATTCCCCAGGGTGTTTTCCTGAGAACTCCAGTCATGTGAGACATTCTGCAAAGAAGAGGCAAACAAAAATACCTGTGGTTGCATCTACCTGGAGAAAGCTACAGGAGATTATCTCCCTCCAGGGACTCACAGCATATAGTGTATTAGAGGATCCGAAAAGCCTTAAGATAATAAACCCTGTTGAGCTTTGTTTAACTCAGAATTTACTAACCTAATTGGACCTTGGAAAACACAATACTCATTAACATCTCTTCCAATGAACATCATTTAGGAAAATTTTACTGTACCAACATTTTCCTACTAGGTAAACTGATGAAGATGTTCATAACCAGAGATGATCTGTCCATGGGCTGTGGCTGCTTTGAGGCATGGGGGAAAATAAACTGGTAATTTGGGCGTGCTGTGCCACAATGGTGGGGGGTGGTCTAGGTCATGCCCTTTTGGTGCTAGTTCAGAATTTCCAGCTCCTCTTTAGACCTGCCTGCATTGCAAGATATAGCTTATGTTTTCCGAGTGACTTTCTCTTTCCTTTCTTCCTCAAATACACAGGCACGCTAACTTGGTGTGCCATCTTCTAAAAATGTTAAAATGCGTTAAAATAGATTTTGGGACTGTTATAACACCAGTCAAGGTAACTAGGGGTGTCTTAAGTATTTCAAAACTACCTTTGGGGTCAGTACTGCTTTCAGTGCTTAGTTAACAGATTATCGTATTCTGGAGTTAGAGGCAAACTAGTGATGTCATCTAGTCTTTTCCCCACAGAAAGGCGTAGAAAAGCGTATTCTCTAATTTGATTGAAGCATTCCCAATTAAAAAAGCAATCACACCTCAAATCTTTTATACCTGACCTCGTTTTAGATATAACATGGCAATCTTTCTAAATGGGATTTTCTAGCTTGCACATGTGTGGATATGTGTGCTAATGGTGGCAGTGGTTGTCATTTAGTGATATCCTCATTACAGCATTAAAGAATAAGGTCTCTGCGGAATTACAGTGACTGTATTTGAACTGTTAGCCATCTTCCCATGATACATTGCAGCTTGCATCTTTTGGCTATAAAGCTGCAATGCTATACATCTAGAAAGAGACAGGGAAATTACAAATTAGGCATATTGTACTATTATCTGCAGATTTCATGGTAAATTCTGTACATAAAAATTTCCCTGCAACGGTTCTATGTATAAGAATTTGTACATACTCCATATAGATCTTTCAAAATGAAGACCGATGAAAAATGGTTTGGCCAAGCAATAAATACATAATGAAACATCACCTTTGATCTTTCCTGCTTTCTATGAGGTCAAAGTTGGGATAGGTTATAAATCATGATTTATGCCCTTAAGTCTCTGATATTTTTTAAAGCAGCTTCCCCCCCACCATTGGTTTGATTTTGAGTTGTTTAATTATTCATCAACCTGCAATACTTCCATTTCTTCAATATTGGGCATATTTGTTTAATTTTGGATGCAATTTGATTTTCAAGATTTAGCTTTGTTTTTCAACCTCAATGCATTATCTTTGTTTTTAATCTATTGCATTATAGTCACATTAATGTGGAGACTTAGTTGTGGCAAATAGAAACCTAAAATATTTCATATACACATACATACATATATACATTATGTATGTGTGTGTGTATTTATGTCATCAACTGCTATCCAAACAATAGTTTTTTAATAGAATTTTCACCTTTTTTCCCCCGATACCTCCTTTTCTATTTTTCTTCAAAACCCAACTGCTAAATGCTCCCAGGAGCTGTGGCGACTTGGAAACATGAGATGTTTCACACGCAATTATAATGATTTTAACAATGCTGCTTGACTTGATGGTGTCGGCATTGATGAGAAAGAACTTTCAACAGTGGCATTTCTTCATAAGATAATTGGTTAATAGAAAAAACCTGATCTGGCTTTGCACTTCCTGAGTGGCAACCTGGTCTTCTCAAGCAAGAGAGACAGCAGCAAATTCCTTATTATCTTAGTGGTTGGTCTTAAATTTTAGGGTTGATGGATGGATGAGACTCTGTAACACACATAGTCCTGAAACTCCGTGCTATTTGATGTTAAAATACATCAATCAACTTTTAAGCATAACTTGATGCTATAATTGGATACTGGCAAAAGCTTATTTCATACATTACTTCTGTTAATTTGTTTTTATGCCCCAGTTAAAGTTCCATGCCACTTAGTACTTCATGGGAAAGAAAGAGTTGGCATCATACTTAAAAAACCCCTGGGGTGCCTCACACACTGGGTAAAATGGCTCCTCCCTCCCCTGCATTGTCTTCATACCTTGAGAGTTAGTTCTCTTAACTATGAAATTGTTGAAACAGCACAGAATATTGTAGCTAAACCAGCGTCACTTCATTAAGCATCCTTAGCAAGGGCTGAATGTGGCCATGTGGCCACTCTAGTGAATATAGTCCCAGCACTAAAAAACATTTATTGCCACCATTAAAAAAAAAGAACTTTTAAAATGAGTTTGAAAGAAAGCCATTACCTCCTTAACTACCAAATAAACTCAGTGGTCTATGTAGATTATGATGAAATATCTTTGGTGCTTCAATTGTATTCTCTTTGTTCCATAAGTTGTAACTCATGCTGGGCTTTTGCTGACAACTTGGTAACTATTCTTGCCTTTCTCTGTCCCTCCTCATTCCCTTCAGCCTGACTTCTCTTGCTAACGACCTATGCTTTGTTTGCTTTATCGCTTGTTTTCATCTTGGAATAAACTTGTTTATTCCCTATTTTCTTTGTGTGTGTGTGTGTGAGTGTGTGTGTGTTTAAGGTATAGAAACTTTAAATAAAACTTAGTTGCTTTTGCAGGGTGGTAATTGGCTATTATAGCGTATATTTGAGATTTCTGTTAGCATTTTTTTTTTGTTGCAAATACTGCAATTTATTGATACGTATAGATTGAAACATACTTAGGAGGCTTAAGATAATCAGGAATAGAGGAAGTGTCCAGTTTCCCCACCATCAAACTGGCCAATATCTATAAATTCAGTTTCTGGAAATCCATGAATCATAAAGGACATTTTTCAGCAGTTTTTCACCCCAAGAGGACAGTTCACAGAGGCTTTTCCTCCACCTATTTTCTCCTGCTTGCTTTGTAGCACATTTCGAATGTGGATGTGCTCTGTCTTTCAACACAACAGTAGGGGTGGGATTTGGCAAAGTCTTTTTAGGAGCAATATAATCACCAGGGCCTCCACTGTCATGCCAGACAGCCATTGTCTTGGCCTTAGTCCTAATACTTCCCCAGTAATTTCAAAAGTGCTTTCGGCAAGAATTAGTTAAATCTCCCTTTTTAGCCAGGCCATAGTTTTAAAACTCATTGCAAATCATAGGTACCATTTCTATAACTGGAGATTTCCTGAAATAACTGGAGGTCTCCTGAAATTAAATGCAGGCATTCCAGTGAAAAGGGACTCAGCAAAGCCAGCATCAAGGTGTGTGATGTTCATGGCTATTTTAAGGCAACAATCTCTCTACTGGGGCACAGGCCCAAACTATTTGCTTTCATTTAAATCCCCAACCACTACTGCTGAGCCTGGCAAGCAGGACAAGGGGCAAGAAGCCTTCCCAGCTGCAGAATGGCAGCCAGGGATGGGGGAACAAGTCAGGATCTCTGGTTCTGATTTTCCTTCCCCTCTGTTCTAGATATCTCCCTTTGTATTTTATTTATTTATTTATTTATTTATTTATTTATTTATTTATTTTTGAAATGGAGTCTCACTCTGTTGCTCAGGCTGGAGAGTGCAGTGGTACAATCTCAGCTCACTGCAACCTCTGCCTCCTGGGTTCAAGTGATTCTCCTGCCTCAGCCTCCTGAGTAGCTGGCATTAAGAGCGTGTGCCACCACGCCTGGCTAATTTTTGTATTTTTAGTAGAGGCAGGGTTTCACCATGTTGGTCAGGCTGGTCTCGAACTCCTGGCCTCAAGTGATCCGCCCACCTTGGCCTCCCAAAGTGCTGGGATTATAGGCGTGAGCCACCCAGCTGGGTCTCCATATGTATTAATACTCCACAAGCTTCACTTTTCTCATCTTGGAAGTCAAGATAAGCCCAGGGTTGTGAAACAAAACCAACGGATGGATATGAAAACACCAGTTAACATAAACTTGATTGATGGCAGGGCTGGCTTCCTGGGCATGTGTTCTAATGCAGTCACACAGGACAGGTGTTCAGAGGGGCCCTGTATTGGTTTAATACTCTGCTGTCACCGTCTTGATATTCTGAATAATTTTTGAATAGTGGACTCTGCATTTTCATCTTACATTGGATCTCCCAAATTATGTATCCAGTCTTGATTGCAGGCCCATGGTTGTTTTGCACAGATGTTTTTGTTACTGGGCCCCTGCTCCAGGCAGGCGTAATTCGAGGTCGAGGGTCATTCTTTGGCCTCACTAATTCTAGTCCAGGATAGAGGTTCTTGCTGCTGATGCTCTCACCTGTAAGACAGAGGTGGATGGACGGAGAAGCCAGTGACCTTAAAGCCTCATGGCTTCTCCTTTGCAGGTTATCTCTCAAGGCTTTGGGTGGACCTCTAGAAATTTAAAAATTATTTTTATGCAAAATTGTCTAAGCTTTGACTCTACCCGTGCTGTTAGGGAGTACTTTCTAGAAGTTAACGGGATGTTTTCAGTGCATGATAATTGGAAGATGGCAATGCTGGCCCTTAGTGGGTAGAGGTAAGAGAGGCTAGACTGCCACAATGCACCCCATGGTCCCACATGTCAGAATTTTCCTGTGTCCCCACATGATGTCCCACATGACATTCAAATGACCCAATCAGATCTTCTTGTAGGTAAACACTGGTTTCATTTACAGAAGCCAGGAACTTGATGCCATTTTCCACATAAGTACAATATACTTTTTGCATGCTTTTAATATGTATGGCATCATTCAGGAATGCAAGTACAGTCAAATTAGAAGGAATATTATAGTTTGTGTCATCTGGAACCAATCTGAGAACTATTTGCTATCTTTGAAATTTTGTCATGGATGGCAACACTGCTAGTGACACTGGACTCTTGATACAGCATGCCTGTATGAATCCACACTGACTGTGGCATCCAGGGTGGTTTGATGCAGTTATACACAAGTGTACTTATTTAGCCCTTATTTCAACGTGTCAACTGCAAACCCACTCATTATACGGAGGTGCCAGCCCCTGACGTCTTGTTATATGGTCTAGCCTAGGGCAGGAATCAGCAAACTAGGGCCTGTAGCCCAAATCCATCCTGTGACCTGCTTTTGCACAACCCATGAGCTAAGGATGGTCTTTACATTTTTAAAGGGTTGTTAAAAAAAAAAAAAGACTATACAATAAAGATCCTATGTGGGCCACAAAGCCTAAAATATTTACCTTCTCGTCCTTTACAGAAAAAGTTTGCTGACTGCCAGCCTACAATAATAATGCTCACACATTTATACACAGCTCATTATGGATTATTTTCTTTTTTATTTCTCCTTTATATTACAGCAAGGACAACTGAGTCAGCAATTTGTCTGCCAATTGGATATTTACTACTTTCTTTCTTTTTTTTTTTTTTTGAGAAGGAGTCTTACTCTGTTGCCCAGGCTGGAGTGTAGTGGCTCAATCTCGGCTCACTGCAGGCTCTGCCTCCCGGGTTCAAATGATTCTCCTGCCTCAGCCTCCTGAGTAGCTGGGATTATAGGTGCATACCACCATACTGGGCTAATTTTTGTATTTTTAGTAGAGACTGGGTTTCGTCATTTTGGCCAGGCTGGTCTCAAACTCCTGGCCTCAATCCATTTGCCTGCCTTGACCTCCCCAAGTGCTGGGATTAAAGGCGTGAGCCTTTAAATGCCCAGCTGAGTAAAAAGGTCTTAAGGAACATTTTAGTGTAGTTACCATTAGGCATCATGATGCTGGGGATGGAAAAAAAACACAGATGGCCACTATACTTCCTTTCTGTCAGCCCATTTTCTCACCTCTTTGGCTCAGTGAACACAGCTTCTAAATTTTCCATGAAACTTTCCCCAGTAACTACAATCAATAGTAATCTATCCCTCACTGAACTCCTTAACATTTACTGTATGAAATTGATCAAATTTTTTATGGTGGTAACACATCCAGGCATGAAAGCATCCTGGAGGTTAAATACATCCTTATAAAGCTAAAATAAAGGAAGAAACATTACTTTTAATGTTGGAGGACTATCCTGTTGGATTAGGGGTTGAGCAGGCTTCTGTGGCCTGGCCCACCAAGATAACTTGCTTTGTCAAAGAGAATTGGTTCTACATTTCAAACTGATAATTTATAAAAACAGTCATCTGGAACAAAAACTGCTTGGCTGAGCAAGTTTTTCTTTCTTTGGAATGAATAAGAAATTCATTTATCATTTGATAGTAATAGACACCAATGTGGTAACAGTGGTCTATCTGTAGTTGATGAGGTCGTTCTAGTTATCTAATGCTGTATGACAAACAACTCTCCAAAACTTAGTTGATTCTTGAGTATGCAGTCTGGATGCAGTCTAGGAGTTGGCAGGGCAGCTTATCTCTGTTTTCCTTGGGGTCATTTGGGATGAATAGAAGGCTGGAATCATCTGAAGGCTCACTCATATGTCTGGTGCCTGAGCTGGGGAGACTAAAACAGCTGAAGGTTGGAATGGCTAGGGCTTTTGAGCATCTTTCCCTATCTAATCTCTCCATGTGATCTCTCCAGCATGGAGACTGCCTACATGTCAGCTCAAGGCTCCCCAAGGCATATGTTTTCAGAGAGTGAGTGAGAAAGAGAGAGAGAGAGAGAGAGAGAGAGAGAGAGGGAGAAGCTTGAAGAAGAGGAGGAGGAGGAAGAGGAAAAAAGAGAGAGAGCAGGCAAGTGTCAAGCTGAAGCCACATCACCTTTCATGACCTAACCTTGGAAGTTACATAGCATCATCTCCACTGAATTTTAATGGGTCAGTGAAGTTACAAAGACCCACATAGTTTCAAGGGAAGAGAACATGGATTCTCAGTGTAGACAAGTGTTAATATCCCATTGTAAGAAGAACTTGAGGATTGGGGTAGGGGTGTGTGTATGTAGCCATCTTTGAGAAAATACAAACTGCCACAAACACTAAAGATGACATTTATAGCCTTTAAAAAATATATAACTTTCTGATTTTCGAAGAGAACATATTCCTTTAAACACCAGAAAAATTGGCTGGGCGTGGTGGCTCATGCCTGTAATGCCAGCAATTTGGGAGGGTGGATGGATCATGAGGTCAGGAGATCGAGATCATCCTGGCCAATATGGTGAAACCCTGTCTCTACTAAAAACAGAAAAATTAGCTAGGCATGGTGGTGCGTGCCTGTAATCCCAGCTACTTGGGAGGCTGAGGCAAGAGAATAGCTTGAACCAGGGAGTCGGAGGTTGCAGTGAGCCTGGATCATGCCACTGCACTCCAGCCTGGCGACAGAGTGAGACTCCATCAAAAACAACACCACCACCACCACCACCACCACCACCACCACTACCAGAAAAATTACAAGAGACTTTGGCTAAAACAACAACGACAATGCTTGTTATAGGATCTTAGAACAAAGCTGTGGCCAGTATACGGTGTGGTTTTTTGCCCTAATCTAGCCACTCTGATCACTGACTATGACTGCAGTAAGCCTGTTCAACATAGAACAAGGCATTGGTAGCATGACTGGCCAAATGACAAACGAACTGATTTCTTCTCAATTCTTCTTGATATTTCAGACCAGCACCAGTGAAAGGCTCAGGATTTTCTAGGTAAAAGAAATAGAGAAACCTCCCTGAAACAATTGTCTGTCCTTTCTGTTCAGTGGGATTATGTAATTGTCAAGACCAGTGTTGGGCTCCGGCGACAACATCCTAGCCCCAGGGCATGGTGGCAGATGGAGTACAGTGTCTAATCAGCGTACACTCCCCCATTGCAGCCTGACCACATAAGGAGAGCAATAATAACGCTCCAAGAATGAAAACATCCGTCAAAGGCTGACAAACCTCTGACATAGATTTTCCTTAATGTTTCTAAAGGAGCTAGTTAAATGTGATGGAGTTGCTAATAAAAATTATTTGGTGGTCCTAGTGAAGCAGCCCTGTATGCCCTGTTCACCTTCCTTGTTAGGCAAGCAGGGAAGCCACATTAGAATTTTTGGTGGCTAATATTGATTGCAGTTTGAAACACAAAAGGCAACCAGACCAATGCAACTAAATTCAGTTGTCTTTAGGAGTTGGAGACGACACAGCAGAGAAGTGTTATAATGGTGGTCTTCGCTGGCTTTGTCGTTTTAGTCAATGAGCAGATGCCCTCAAGCGAGCAGGAGATGACAGAGTCATGGATCCACTTTTCCCTCAGTGAGTCTAATATTTTGCTTTTTTCTTTTCATGAAACATCATCCCTTAAGGCAAGTGAGCTAGTTCTTCTGGGGCTCAGTAGGAGAGAGAATGATGTGTTATGTGCTGAAGGAAAAACTAGTTGCAGAGGAGTTAATGAGTGAGACAGTTTAGTAGCAATGTGGTACCTCAGTTGTTCTTAAGTTGTGTTCCCTCCTGCCACATCTGCACTGAGCATAAAACATCTGGGGTGATAAGGCATGGGTACACACTGATTACTTGTTATTTACGAGTGTCCATTGCATAGAACCCTTGGTTCTGGTGGCTCTGCCCATCTGAGGAGATGGGGCTCTTTGGCCAAGCTAGGACAGCTGAGGCCTGGGCACCTTGTCTTCCTTCCCTTGCTCTACACAGCCATCTCTCCTGAGATCTGGCCACCTGCCAGGGATTAGGCAGCAAGCAGGTTCTGTGTTGCAGCCATTCCAAGGACACAGAGACCCCTGTCTCCTTTCTGGTCTGAGGGAATTACTCCTCCCTTCTCTGCTCTTTTCCCAAAGCTGTCTTTCTCTCCTCTCTTCTTCCTCAGCTCTTCTTGCATTATGTCTTTCATGGCCTTGGACTTTTATAAAACACAGGGCAGGGGGTGATATCAGCCTGCTTCTGCATTTTTCTCTTATTTCTCTGAGTCTGGCACAGCATGCTGATTTTACAGAAGAGGAAACTGAGGCCTGTGGAGATGAAGGGATTTGGGCAAAATTACACTGCTGGAGGCTGGGTTAGGCCTAGGTTCTTCCACCTGAAGTCCAACCTGTTTGTGTACCTCTCCATCAGTGGGAGCCAACTCTTCACCATACAGGGGATGCACTTCTGAATGCCCTCTGCACAGAGCTGTAGAATTAATGTTAGAACATCTGGAAGTCTGGCTTTCATGCTGCTATTGTTGTGTGACCTTGGCCAAATCACTTGACCTCCCTTGATCTAAAATTATTAAAATCTAAAACACTGGCTTGACCAACGGCACTAAGATGATTAGGATTAGATGAAAATACTGGAAGCCTTTAGTGAGTTATAGGCACCACACAGATAACATAATGAACTCTTCTAATTGCTCTGATCTGCCTTTACTTGCTTCAGTCCCTGGGTGATCACATTCTTCACCTCTCCCGGTCCTTAAAAATCTCCACAAACAGAGCCATGACATCACTGCATGGACATTGAAGTCATTTATTTGCTTATTAGTTTCTTGTGGCCTGGGACTATCTCTTTCCTCAGTGGAATTTTACTTCTCCTACATGAAAAGTTTGGGTTGTCATCATGTTGACAGGATTCAGTGAATCATTAATCTGTGTCATTAATAGTTTGTTACCAAACTCATTGCTTTGCTCATAAATGGCCCTGGTCCTCTCAATTAACTATTGTTTCACCCTCGTCTGTTGTGAAAGGATTTGACTGTGCTCTATGGCAGTTCTATCCTGGAGGAAGAAGTTCTCCTTATTGAAAATAAAAGGCTCCTCTCAGATCTGCTTTGCAAACATAGCCCGGTCTCTTGCTCAAGATCGGTAGGTCTTAGATGCCAAGTACAGCAGAATGCTTCTTTTATAGCTGTCTGTTGCCATCTGCATAATGGGAAGTGTTATTTATGTAACTGACTGCTTTCCTTACCAAATTGAGTTGCCAGAGGTCAGGGGCCCCTCTCTTCTTTATACCATTACCAATGCCACCTTGCAAGGTATCCTATTGTAATTACCTAAGAAAGCTTGTTTGAATTGAATTTTGCTACTGATTTTCCTTCACCAGAAAAAATGGCTGGTAGATTTGTGATGAGCTGTTGGTGTTCACATACCAAGTTTATTTTGCAGAAAATTGGTTGCTTAACTAAAGAGGGTGAGTACAACAGACTCATCTTATGCCATGTACAATTGTACCAAATAGTATGTTGAAGTAGGTGAAATCATGCTATTGACAGGTCCAAATGTCTTACTATTGCAGCTGCCAAAATGCTTCTAGGATTATTTTGGAAATTGCCTTGAAAATAAGCAGGCTCAGAATTTAGGAGGGTCATGAAAGCAGAATGTATGTGTGTTGGATATGGTGGGAATGTTTAAAAAATACAGGCTTCTAAGCTGTACCCCTCAAAGAGTATTCAGTGGGTTGAGATGAGGCCCAGGAATCTGCATATTTCACAAACAGTCCCAGGTGTGCAGATGAAGGGGGTCTTCAGAAAGCAGTTTGCAAAACCCTGATATTTCCTCCTAATTCATTAACAAAAGAAAACTGAACATTAGAGTTGTTGGTAGCATCGAGATTTCTGAAGAAGTATTAAAAGGTTACATGACTCAAAATTTCAAGAAAGGGTAAAAACCTTAGGATTTTCAACCTGGGTAGAATGCACATGTATTCCGGGTAAAGTCCAATATGGAAGACAATGTTGAAGTTATCTATTGCTATATAGGAAACTACCTAGTTTGTAGCTTAAGATAACCATTTTGTTCTGCTTTTGATTTAGTGGGTCAGGAATTTGGGAAGAGCTTGGTGGGGCAGTTTGAGTCTGACCTGCAGGCCGTCAGCTGGGCCTATGGGGCTGGATGATCCACTTTAAAGATAGCCTTTACAGTCACATACCTGGTACTGCAGTGTTTCTTGACATTATCTATCTATCTATCTATCTATCTATCTATCTATCTATCTATCTGTCTGTCTGTCTGTCTGTCTGTCTGTCTGTCTGTCCGTCTGTCCGTCCGTCTGTCCGTCCGTCCATCCATCCATCCATCCATCCATCCATTATTTATCTAATTTTTTCTAAAGCCTCTCCATGTGGCTCAGCTTCTCAGAGCAAGATGGTTTCAGGGCAGTGGTACTTTTTGCATGGTGACTGACTTTCAAGAAGCAGGAACTGGAAGCTGCCAGGCCAGTTAAGGATGACATGTGTAACTGGCACAGTGTTACTTCTGCTGTATTACACTGTTCAAAGGAGTCATGGTGCCTGCCCAGATTCAAAGGGGCATAGAAATAAACTCCACTACTTGATGAGGTATTGTAAGG
The DNA here is from genome assembly GCF_000001405.40 of Homo sapiens. NCBI lineage: Eukaryota > Metazoa > Chordata > Mammalia > Primates > Hominidae > Homo > Homo sapiens. The sequence continues at coordinate 73,209,693 of NC_000003.12, forward strand.
TCTCATTTCAAAAAGAGTATGTGGGATGGGGGATGTTTCCAAAGCCATCTTTGGAAAATACAATCTGTCACATGTCACTCACTCAAGATTAGGCAAAGAAACAGTCTCCTAAGGTACATATACCTAGATATGAAGGTCATATTATATGTATCATTTAGGAACAAGTGCATTTATTGGTAATGGAAATGTGGGTGGTAGAATATTATAGAATTCCATCTTTACAGAATGTTTACTCTGTTTCTTTGCATATTTTCTTGGCATTTTTGAGAAAAGCAAACTCATATCACATGCACATTTTAACATTTATTTCATTTGTCCTACACACTTTCTTCATGAGCGAGACTTCAATAATCAGTGCGTCCAATGTATTGCATAGCCTTGGAATGTTTGAATGTACTCATGAGCCAATTTTAGATTTATATATCCTCTGACTTTTCTTGAGTTTTAAAAAATTCATACACTCCTGTCTTAACTCCTCAGTGGTATTTCCTCTTTTCCAATAATACCTAAAAATCCAGTTTCTTTGCTCTATCAGATGTGGGTCTTCCATTTTGATTTCTGCTTTTTCACTGTTTTGCAATTGGTGCTATCATATCAGTGACACTAACTAGTGGTTTTATTATACTACAGCGTAAAACAACTGCATTTCCTCTACATTTTTAAATGTCTTATCCACATTCAGGCTGTGCATACATTTCACGGAAATGCCCTGAACTTGTTAGTTGATCCACAAATAGCTCCTCTATATATTTATGGTAATACTTTATGCTGAACTACAATTTCACACTTAGAACTGTCCCTGTTGGTTTGTCTGTTTTAAATGTCATCTGCTCATATTTATAAATGTGGAATGAGCTTACTTAAATTGGATTTCTTGAGTCCAAGACACTTCTGATTTTCCTAATGACCAAATAACCAAAAAGCAGAACAGATTAAGAAGAAAAAAGAAATCTCGGGCACACACACTTTCCAAGCAGTCAGGGTTTGTTTAAAGCTGCTTTGTTCGGCAGGAATGGTTAATAAAAGAAACATTTCCCCAAAGAATTGTTGTGGTCTTTAATTAAACTCCTTTCCCATAGGTTTGTAATATCACATTGAACAATATTTGGTCAGTTTCTCTGCCTGGCTTTCTTGGTCACATGCTGGACTTTATTGGATCCCGGGTCCTGAGGGAACATTAGGAGCAGAGAGAGGCAGGCCACATCAAATGAAAGTTAATTGTGTTTAAGCTGTGTTGGAAACCAGCCTCCAGTGCGCCTTTGCTGAGAGCCAAGCTAAACACGCAGGTGCCCCAGCTGTCAGGGTGGGCCCAGGGCAGAGCATTTACCTGACATAGAGGATGTGCAGCCACCCAAAGAGGGTGACTGTGGAAGAGGCCAACACAGGGCCTTGCTTTTTGACCTTCTTGGGCTCCTGGACAATGGTCAACCAGGTGATTCATTCTACTGTGGGGGCTGAAAGTTGGGTTTTCTTCAAGAAGGGAGGGCTGCTGGATAGCAGCAGTTCATTAAGACTCAGAACTGTCTGTGGAAAAGCTGTGATGAATTGCTCTAAATGACATGGATGCTAAGCACTGTTGCAGTTGCTGAAGAAATGTTTCATCTGGCTCTCTTCTTGCCCTCGAGTTGAGACTCAAATCAGAGCAGACACATGCCCGGCATATCTGACCTCAAAAGTGGATCGTTTTTCATGGAAATACCCGTTTTCCTTCTTATCTGCTCTGAGGGTGGACCACTGCTGTCTCCCCAGCCCTTGGCACATCCATGGGCACATGTCCTTGTGAAGGGGACGCAGAGGTCTCCTGGGGCACTGTTGACATTCTGTCTCTTTATCCAGATGGGAGTGCCACACCAGTTCATTTCACGATCATTGGTTCAACAGTTCACATGTTATATTTACATTGCTATATTAATTAAGTTAAAACATGAAATTGCTAAGAGTGGGCCACTTTTTAATATATAAAAAATGGCAGTTGTGTATAATTCAATATAATATATTTTACCCAGGAAATGATAAAACAAGATTGTGAAAATACCATCAAATATATCAGTGGTCACAAGATACATATAGGCCCAAAAGAGGCTTCATGATGATGTTGCCATCATGGTGTGGGTGGTGATTTTAGCAGCTATTCCACTAAGTAGTGGTCCTTTTTTCTTTTGCTTTGTGTGACAACACAGTGTGGTGGCTAGTGCCTGGCCCCATAGTCTGTCATGCTTGGGTTTGAGCCTCTGCTCTCCTGTGTACCAGCTGGTTGCCCTAGGGGAAGGTTTTGAGCCTATTTTTCCATCTGAAAATGAGGCCGGTGATGGTACCTACTGCATAGGATCGCTGAAAAGTAGGTGCTCACATTTGGTAACACCTACCTTGCCAGATGTGTCTCCTGCCATGTTGCCTTGGAATTTTCATGCTCTAGATGATTTGGACTTCTTTTGTTTTTATTTGTTTGTTTTTGGACTTCTTTTCACTTCATTGGGTATGCTGTGTTCCTGTATTAGTCCATTCTCATGCTGCTAATAAAGACATACCCAAGAAAAAGACATACCCAAGACTGGGTAATTTTTAGAGGAAATAGGTTTAATTGACTCACAGTTCTGCATGGCTGGGGAGGCCTCAGGAAACTTACAATTATGGTGGAAGGGGAAGCAAACATGTCTTCTTCCACATGGTGGCAGGAAGGAGAAGTGCCAAGCAAAAGGAAAAAAAAGTCCTCTTATAAAACCATCAGATCTCTTGAGAACTCACTATCATGAGAACGGCGTGGAGGTAGCCACCCCCATGATTCAATTTCCTCCCACCAGGTCCCTCCCATGACATGTGGGGATTATGGGAACTATAATTCTAGATGAGATGTGGGTGGGGACACAGCCAAACCATATCAGCTCCCTTCTGCTACTAAATCTCTGCATATGCTGTCTCCCTACTTTCCAGAATATTCTTCTCCCATGCCTTTGCCTACTTGGTTCCTCCTCACACTTGAGATCTCGGCTAGTTTCTTGATTTCTTAGCTGCCCTTGGCATCTCTCACTAGGTTACAACTGTTGAGTCTTTTATACTCTCATAGAACCATGTAACTTCCTTTTGTAATATGGATCACAGCTGTGATTTCAGAGGAAGCTGTCTGATGGTTTGATGCATCTGTCACCCTTATTTAACTGTGGGCTCGGTACGGGCAGGAAATGAGAATGATTTTTCTCATCATTGCCCTCTGGGGGACCTAGCTCACAGTTGGTGCTCCAGAAATATTTAATAAATGAAGTCTTACACAATACCAGTCCTTATATTTTAAGGCTTTAATGAGAGTTCCTGTATTTCTGATAAAATAGTAAAATAGAAAGCCATGTTCATAAGTAGTGTCTATATACGTCTGTATGAGAATAAGAGATAACAGATAAACCCATCAGCTTCCAAAAATTCACCATGGGCATTTTGTGCAAAGTAGTGAGTAGGCAGGATAGCGGACGTTTTAAGAACAAAGAGTCTGTCAGATGTCTGACTTCAAGCTCAGTGCTTCACATGTCTCTGCTCTGTGATCTTGAAAAAGTTACTTTATCTGAAACTCTATTTCTTTCTTTTTTTTTTTGAGATGGAGTCTCGCTCTGTCTCCCAGGCTGGAGTGTGGTGGCGCGATCTCAGCTCACTGCAAGCTCCACCTCCCGGGTTCACGCCATTCTCCTACCTCAGCCTCCTGGGTAGCTGGGACTGCAGGCGCCCGCCACCGTGCCCGCCACCACGCCCGGCTAATTTTTTGTATTTTTAGTAGAGGCAGGGTTTCACCACATTAGCCAGGATGGTCTTGATCTTCTGACCTCGTGATCCACCTGCCTTGGCCTCCCAAAGTGCGGGGATTACAGGCGTGAGCCACCGCGCCCGGCCTGAAACTCAATTTCTACAGAAGTAAACTGGATATTAAAAATAGTACCCGAATGCTATGGGTTGGAATATGTCCCTCCAAAATTTGTATGTTGAAGTCCCAAATCTTAGTACTTCAGAATGTGACCTTATTTGAAAATAAAGACTTTACAGAAACAATCAAGTTAAAGGGAGGTCATTAGGATGGGCCCTAATCAATACTGGTGCCCTTATAAAAAGGGGAAATTTGGACACGGAGACACGTTTTCTGAAGGAAGGAAAGGAAGCCGATGGAAGAGATGCAGGGAGAAGATGACTGTCTACAAACCAAGGAGAGAGGCCCAGAACAGATCCTTCCCCTGCAGCCCTCAGACGAAACCAACCCTGCTGACACTTTGACTTTGGAATTCCAGGCTCCAGAACTGTGGGATAATACATTTCTCTTGTGTGAGCCACCCAGTTTGTGGTACTTTGTTATGGAAGCCCTAGCAAACTAATACACTGAATGAGCCAACTTCATTTATAATGATGCTATGTATTAATCTAAAAATCTCAATGACTTACAGCAGAAAACATTTATTTTTCCTGCTCATGGCCTGTGGGTTGACTGTGGTTTTGTACAGACTCCAGGCCAATTGGCTTCAGATCTACTCCTTGTGCCTTTATCATTCTGGTACTTGGCAGCTACCTGGGGCATTTTCTTGCCATGAAATAAGGCAGAAGAACAAGAGGTCAAGAAAATGTTGCAAACCCACTGGAAGTTTCTTATGACATTATGTCTGCTGGATCTCACTGACCAAAGCAAGTCACCTGGCCAAGCCTGATAGGCAGAAACACACTATCTATTCTAGTGGGAGGCAATGACAATCACATGGAAACAGGAGAGGGTGACAATAACCCAACTGACCCCAATACCTACACATCACAGGGTTGTCTTCAATAAATAAGATTTTGCATATAAAATTTTAGCAGAGGCCAGGCACGGTGGCTCACGCCTGTAATCCCAGCACTTTGGGAGGCCGAGGTGGGCGGATCACAAGATCAAGAGATTGAGACCATCCTGGCCAACATGGTGAAACCCTGTCTCTACTAAAAATACAAAAATTAGCTGGGTGTGGTGGCGCACACCTGTAATCCCAGCTACTCAGGGAGGCTAAGTCAGGAGAATCACTTGAACTTGGGAGGTGGAGGTTGCAGTGAGCCAAGATGGTGCCACTGTACCCCAGCCTGGTGACAGAGTGAGACTCCGTCTCAAAAAAAAAAATAAAAATAAAAAAAATTTAGCCAAGTGTCTGGTACCTAGTCAGTGCTTGATAAGTTGTTGTTGCTGTTATTGTTGTTCTTATTGTTGAACAAATTCTAATGTTTATCTTCTATTGCAAGTCTACATGGATATTTTCCCTCCAAACAAGGAGAATTAGCTGGGTGAATTGCATTAATATTTGGTTAAGTAAAAGTCTCTGTAGACCATATTCTCACAGCTGTGATTAATTCTTTTAAATTCTTTAAAATTGCATGTCTGCTTCACTGGAATGAAACAGAGATATGATTTCAAGCTTATGTTTCTTGTTAGGACATTAAGGCCACAATTAAATGTCTTTTTTTTTTCCTCTGAAAAAAATCAAAGACTCTTAAAATGGATTGTTATGAAAGGACGCATAAATATGTTTTAATCGATAGTTGAATTCTCCAAAGCACCATCAAGACAAAGTGTTAAATGTTCTGATTAGATTTGTGATTGGTTAGGCTAGAAATCTATACAGTTGCATGTCACACAATATTTAATAAATGGCATGTAGAGTATCTTAATTGTACCCATTTATCACTTCCCTCTGTTTCTAGATATATAAAGTTATCAAAATCTGGAAACTCAAACATTTTATTGCGGAAATGGTTGGTTGGGCTTCATTCTCTGCTTCTTTTGCTGTATTGGATCTGGTTTTGAGTTAAATATTTCTGACACAACCTTCATGACTCATTTACATTTAAATAGCAACAGGAAATCTCTTTGCCAAGAAGGCTATTGGAATCAAATTTTACACCAGATTTTTTAAAAAGGCTTTATTACCTATTATTTTGTACATCAGAATACTTTTTGCTTTCTACTTTGCAAATCTAAGCATCATAGGCAGTGTACAAGTTTATTATTTTTCATCTTGGACACTTATTGCATCTGATGCTCATAATTTGTAACAGTTGCTATAATTTTAAAAATTAGAAAGGAATTTCTGAGATGCTTATTGCCATTGCTATTGAATGTTTGGTACAGAGAGCTTGAAGTATAATGCATGCCCTTGAACTTGTTGTCACAAGTTGAATGAGATCTACTTATAGGAGGGGGAGTATATAATTATAGGAAAGGTGATAAAATCAAATAGATTCCAAATCAGAAAATTGAGGTGTGATTTATAAACACCTAACTGATGAGAACATTTATTGCGACTCAATGCATGTTGAAGATGATCCAGAGCAAATCTCTGTAGCTTAGAAATGAACACTTTAGATAGAGGATCAGAAGATAAAAATTCCCAGGCATCCAAATGGATTTCACCTCCCACACTACCTCATATCCCCAGGAATTCTTTTAAGAAGGCATTGGAATCACAAGAAGGCTTCCAAGCTTATAAACCGACATCAGTGGCATCAGCTTAGTTAGACGTTGTTGTTCTAGATGTCCGTAGGAGGAAGAACAAATTCATTGTTTGCTGAGATCTTGTTATGATTTTCCCTGGATTAGATTTTTTTTTTTAATTTTAAAAGAGAGGTTTGGAAAGGCCTTGCTTAATAACTTAATTATTATTGAATTCTTACTCTGTACCAGGCATTGAATGTCTTACATCCATGAGTTCATTTTCTTCCTTCTGAAAGTCATTTGAAGTAGGTCACATTATCCCTATTTAGGGAAAACTGTGGCCAGTAATAGAGCTGGGAGTAAGATCTTGGCAGCCAACCTAGAGAGTCCACATTCTTCATCACTATGCTTGTTTTCACTACCTCCTGTCTGTCCTTCTAGTGGGAGGCATTGAAAATCACATGGATCCCCTCCCTCTTTCCCTCAGGTGCTCATGTAGACACCCTGCATGCTGTGTTCTGCTATAGGCACTCGGGAGCAGGCATGTTTATGGCAGATAGGATGCCTGTCTTCAAGGAGCAGATAGTCTCCTGGAGGACACAGACAATAAACAAGGAAGCAAATAAGTGTATAATATAATTTCAGGTTGTGCAAAGTGCAATAAAAATAAAGCCAAGTAAGGGGCCGGAGATCTGGAAGGAGAACATTGACGATAGGAAGATTTTCAACAAAAATACCAAGGTGTTCATAAATTCATTGACTCACTTGCTGGAAAGCTACGAAGCATGCCTTACTAGTGTAACTAAGTCTGATCTGGAAAGTCCAGGGGCCTCTTGGTGGGTCTTTAACCCACTGGACCACAGATGAAGAAAGTATAAGCCAGCAGGTGGCATTTCTAATGATCTCAGGACAAAACCTGGGACTTACTTGTTTCATTTGTGATCCCCCACCCCTTATCTTCTCTTTGAAAGTCCTGTCTGGAAGAAGCAGCAAATTAATTGTTTTGTTCTTAATTGGGAAGGCATTATAACTGACATTGTTCTTCTACAATACAGACCTAATGAGGGAGAGTGGCCATTTAGGAAGATTATATGGGATATTTGAACAATTTTTGTAGGGTAAATGTTAGAAACTTAAAGTCAGACTATTAATGTTGAAAAATATAAAAATAGCCTTTCATCACCTGTTTATTACTTCCTTTCTTCATTTCATTCTTCATGAAAGTCAAGAACTATGGGTGAATTAGGATGGAGGATAAGCTAGGAGAGGGATTGGCAATAGGCTTTATCTTAAGCACCTACCCTCACTCTTCTTGGAGGTTTCTTGGAGTGCAGTGTTGAGAAGAATTCTGAAGTTACAGCTGGGCTTGGTGGCAAGAATGCCATAGGCAATTAGTTATCTGCTGGGAGTCCAGGTAGGAGGAGTGGCTCTGAATTTGCAGACCAATGTTGGAACCAGGTTGTGGAAATCACTATCTTTTGATTCCTTTCATATGACTGAGTCAGAAAACATGGTGAGGAAACATATCTGATGGACTTCAATTAAGACTGACTCCCTCCTTTCCTTCCTCTCATTCCTCCCCTCCCCTCCCCTCCCCTCCCCTTCCCTCTTCCCCCTCCCCTCCCTTTTCTCCCTCCCTCCCGCCGCTCCCTCCTTCCTTCCTTCCTTCCTTCGTTCTTTCCTTTTCTTCCTCCCTCCTTCCCTTCCTTTTCTTTCCCCTTTCCTTCCTTTCTTTTCTTTCCTACTTTATTCCTTCCTTCTCTCCTCCCTCTCTCTCTTCCTACCTACCTGCTTTTCTTCCTTCCCTTCCGTCTCCTCTTTGTCTCTCTCTTTTCCCTCCTCCTCCTTATACCTTTCCTCTTCCCCCTTCTCTGACAAATTGTACAACATGACGGAGTTCACAGTTACAAAAAACATATGTTCCAGAGTTGGACTTCCTGGTACCAATTCTGGTTCTATCACATCCTATTAGTGTGCACCTTGTGCAGGACACCGAAACTCTTTGAACTTCAGCTTCCTTATCAGCAGTATGGGAGAATAATGCCTCCTTCCTCATGCCTATCATTTTGGGACTCTAGAAATATTTCTTACAGGACTGTTTCTCAATATGTGACACACATGCCACTGTTGGGAGGTTTACATGGTTTTAGGAGTTTTACGGACAAGGCATTAAATAAAATGGTCTTCTCTTGTTTTTCTTAGAATCTTTCTGTTAACTCAAGGATAAAGTCTTAATTTAGAGTTCTTTTCTCTAAGAACAGTCTAACACTGCTTTATTAGCTAAGAGAACAGACCCACTCAGAGCTTTCTGTTGAGACTGTCTATAGCCTGAAATTAATAATGTCATTTGCATTGTATTATATTTAGAATTACCTTCCTTTATGATGAGTGATACTTGTTTTATACTCAGAGAGAGGTTACAAACTTCCTTTCTCATTTTTGTGTAAATGTGAAAAGTGAGTCTATTTAAAGAAAAAATTCCAAATACATAATGGAATAATATACTGTCATGACCTTGAAATGCGGCCTGCAAATTGCTAGTGGTCAGGTGTAGGCAATGGAGTCAATGGAGACAGACCACAGGGATCGGGGAGCCAGTTAGGAGTAGGTTAGGAGAGGGTTCTCTCTGTTCTTGCCATGCTGGCCTTCCTTCTGTCCTTCTATCCTGCCAGATTGTCCTCTCTGCTTATAGTTCTTGTCCCCATTTCCACTTCCCTTTACCGAGTTTTTTTTATTTTTCAGATTTCTGCTCAATTGCGGCTAGGCATGGTGGCTCACACCTATAATCCCAGCATTTTGGGAGGCCAAGGTGGGCAGATCACTTGAGGTCAGGAGTTTGAGACCAGCCTGACAAACATCATGAAACCTTGTCTCCACTAAAAATACAAAAATTAGCTGGGTGTGGTGGTGTGCGCCTGTAATCCTAGCTACTCGGGGAGGCTGAAGCAGGAGAATAGCTTGGACCCAGGAGATGGAGGTTGCAGTGAGCTGAGGTCACACCACTGCACTCCAGCCTGGGTGACAGAGTGAGACTTTGTCTCAAAAAAAAAAAAAAAAAAAAAAAAACCCAGAAAATGGTGATGTTCCTTGATTCTTCCTGAAAGGCCATATTGTTTGTTATTGGTTCTTCTAGAATAGTGTTCAGTTTCTTCTGAGCACACATCGCTGGCTAATTCTATATTGATTGGTGGGATTGTATGAGTGGTGTCTGTCCCTGTTGGACTATAGGCGCCTTGTGGACAGGGTCCACGTCTGTTCTAGTTCAGCATTATCCCCAGCACCTACCAGAATATAGAAATTGTTACATTTCCTGTAATTTACTAAAAAAAAATTAATATAGACAGTTTAATATATCTCTCCATGTAGGTGTAAGTTAACTTTAAATTATAATTTAGAAGAAGTTAACATTTGGATTAATCTAGTCAGGAATTGACATTCCAGGCCTGCCATCTGATATCCCTGTCTGAGTCTGTACTATCTGGTCTGTTAATTAACATAAAGGATGTTAGAAATAATTTCTATTGGTAAAATAAATGATGTTCAAGATATCTAATTGGTTAGAAATCTGTTCTTGCACAAATGGGGTTCAAGAATAAGGCTATTACAGGTCTAGGACACTGAAAGGTCCAAGTCCCCCACTCATGGGTGAATTCTGTTGTCTAATTTAATTAGATGGGAAGCAAATCTGTCCTTAGAACACTATTAATTGTGCTTTACAAAGTACCTCAAAACCCTGAGAACAGAGAGTTTGCCCTGCTTAGGTCCAGGTGGTTTGATTCTCTGGGGACCTACTTACCCATAAATGATTGATGGTATGGTAGAACTCGATCTGAGGCTTGCTTGCGTTGTGACATGCCACCTGGGTAAGAGGAAGGGCTGAGGAGCCTGTAACTCTCAATCACCTCCAAACATTGGAGGTCCCCCATATTCACCAAAAGAGCTTGACGACTGGTCATGGCCACTTGGCTTTGGTCGTATTACAAGAGAGCAACAGACAATGGCTGAAGGCGGGATAAAGGGAAGAGGCGGTGGTGGGTTGAAGAATATTGAGCTGGAGTCAACAGAACTTGATGACTGATTTATGGGGATGTGAAGGAGGAGGCAAAGATGACTGAGGTGTGGGTCCTGGGAGCAGGTTTCGAGGTGTGGTTTGGTTGAAGGAGGCTTAATATTCTGTCTTGTAAACCCAGCTGGTCACTGGCTCCATTAGGAAGCAGACAATGTTGGTCTTTGCTCACCTCTCATCTCTCCTTCACTAGGCCCCATTGTCTAATCTACCTTACCCATGCCTCTGTCCTAAGTAACATCCTACCTGTCTGGTGTGCCGAGACTATTGCCCATGTCTTTGTTGTCTAGAAAAAGCACCATGGAATTGTTTACTTACCCAAGCTAAATTGGCTGATAATGGCTGGAAATCTTATGGGGCTCCAATCCATGTAAATAAATATGTGGTTTTTTTTTTTTTGAAAAAAACTTTACATTTTGAACTCAGGTTTACTGAAAAATTCCAAAATGAGCACCGAGAATTTTCTTATATATGTCACCCACATCCCTAATTATAAGATCTATTTTTTTTTTTTTTTTTGAGATGGAGTCTTGCTCTGTCACCCATGCAGGAGTGAAGTGACGTGATCTTGGCTCACTGCAACCTCCGTCTCCCACGTTCAAGTGATTCTCCTGCCTCAGCCTCCCAAGTAGCTGGGATTACAGGCACCCACCACCATACCTGGCTAATTTTTGTATTTTTAGTAGAGATGGGGTTTTGCCATGTTGGCCAGGCTGGTCTCAAACTCCTGACTTCAGGTGATCCACCTGTTTTGACCTCCCAAAGTGCTGGGGTTACAGGTGTGAGCCACCGCACTCGGCCCTTAATGATAAGATCTTAGGCTGGGCCCTGTGGCTCATGCCTGTAATCCCAGCACCTTAGGAGGCCAAGGCAGGAGGATTGCTTGAGCCCCAGAGTTTGAGACCAACCTGGGAAGCACAGTGAGACCCCAAATCTAAAAAAAACAAAATAACAACAACAAAAAAAAAAACAACAAAAAACACACACACAAATGAGCTGGGTGTGGTGGCATGTGCCTGTAGTCCTAGCTACTCAGGAGGCCAAGGTGGGAGGATCACTTGAGCCTGGGAGGTTGCTGCAGTGAGCTGAGATCATACCACTGCACTCCGGCCTAGGTGACACACTGAATTCCTGTCTCAAATAAAAACAAACCTCAAAACTTTTGCCGTAAGCTGTGGCTCACAGCATTTTGGGAGGCCAAGTTGGGTGCATCACTTGAGTTCAGGAGTTCAAGACCAGCCTGGCCAGCATGGTGAAACCGTGTCTACTAAACATAAAAAAATTAGCTGGGCATGGTGGTGTGCGCCTGTAATCCCAGCTACTTGGGAGGCTGAGGCAGGAGAATTGCTTGAGCCCTGGAGGCAGAGGTTGCAGTGAGCCAAGATCCTACCACTGCACTCTAGCCTGGGTGAAAAAGCAAGCTTCCATCTCAAAAGAAAACAAAAACAAAATGTTTGTAATTGTGGTACAATTATCAAGAAGAAGAAATTAACATTGGTACAGTACTATTAACTGAACTATAGCCCTTATTCAAAATTCACCAATTTTTCTCCCAATGCCCATTTTCTGCCCCAGGACCTCATCCAGGCCCCCATATTGCATTTAGTGGTCATTTCTCTTTAGTTTCCTCCAGTCTGGGACTGTATATCAATCTTTACTTGTCTTCCATGACCTGCATTCACACTTTTGAAGAGTACTGATCAGTTATTTTATAGAATAGCCCTCAGTTTGGGTTTATCTAATGTTTTTTCATAATTGGACTGATGCTATACATTTTTGGCAAGAATTCTACAAAAATATAGTGTCCTCAATGAGTTACATGAAGGGGTGTGTGATGTTGATATGTCTTATTACAGAGGGTGTTTTCCTTGATCACTTGGCTAAGTTGGCGGTTGCCAAATTTCTTCCCTGTCAAGTCACTATATTTCCCTTTGTAGTTGAAAACTTAATCTGTGATTTTTAACTTGGTAGCACGGCAATGAGGGAAATAAAATTTTGTACAGAAGGAGAAAGTTTCCCCTTCTTCCCAACCCCCATTTAAAAAGCTTTCATTTGAAAAATATGGTTTGTCCTAGAAAACTTAAGCAGAATGGTTGATGTGGCTAAAATAAAACTATCTTTTGGCTGTTTCAGTGACAGTTTTAAAAAATGAAAACAGTGAAAACAGTGACGATTCCTTTCTCCATTCTGCCATCTCTGTAAAAACCCGTCTTTGATCATTTAACTTTCCTGATTAAAAATGTTTGGTTGGTTCCAAATGACTACAGGAAAATGTCCCAACCTCCCGGTTTGCCACTCAAGACCTTCTGCAATAAGACTGCAATTGACTTTTCCATCTCTTTCCTACTTCCCCTCTCTTCTGCCCTCCTCTCCCAGGAATTCTATCTCTCAGCTGTGTATAACAACCACCATTCACTGGGTCTTTGTTTTTGCTTATGCAATTCTCTCAGCCAGGACCATTCTTCTTTTCTCACCTCTACCATTTTGAACCCTTGTTCTGTTTTGATAAATATTATCTCACACTTTCTGTGCCAGTTATTAAGCTATGGTCTTTCAGTTTCAAATCTATGCTTCTATACTCTGCTTTGTGATGCTGGGACTGGACTGTACAAACCACATTTCTGCATTTGCCAACTGCTTTGTGTGAGGCTCTACCCATATGGGGAACTAGAGGATACTGGAAGATATTCTATTCACACTTTCTGTGCCAGTTATTAAGCTATGGTGTCTCAGTTTCAAATCTATGCTTCTATACTCTGCTTTGTGATGCTGGGACTGGACTGTACGAACCACATTTCTGCATTTGCCAACTGCTTTGTGTGAGGCTCTACCCATATGGGGAACTAGAGGATACTGGAAGATATTCTATTCCTGAAATGACTGCCCCATAGTGCATCTTCACCCTGGCAGCAGCAGTTCCTTCTCGTAACAGCACTGGGATTCATCTGTAGTTTTCCCAGTGCTGGCAATATCTGCCACAGTATGCCTGCCCAGTGATACCAGTACCGGCTGGCCAGTGACCTCTTTATAGAGTTTTGGGTCCCAGCCCCATGGAAATCCCTCCTCTAACCTCGGGGTTAACAGCACCATGTGGGTAGTACCCTTTCTTCAGAGGTCTACTTTGAGAGAATCTTCTCTAAATTAATAACTCCAACTTCTTCCTTTGTTTCCTGCATCCCTAAGAGTGGGAGCAACTTCCTGCAGTTGCTGCCTGTGTGGTACCTTCACATTCCCTTTTTGCCCGATACAAAGTTATATCCTTATCTCTAAATGACACTTATTTTTTATTACATTCCCTCTTTAAAAAAAAAACCCTTGGCCAGGTGCGGTGGCTCACGCCTGTAATCCCATCACTTTGGGAACCCGAGGCGGGCAGATCATGAGGTCAGGAGAGTGAGACCATCCTGGCTAACACGGTGAAACCCTGTCTCTACTAAAAATACAAAAAAATTAGCCGGGTGTGGTGGCACGAGCCTGTAGTTCCAGCTACTTGGGAGGCTGAGGCAGGAGAATCGCTTGAACCTGGGGGGCAGAGGTTGCAGTAAGCTGAGATCGCGCCACTGCACTCCAGCCTCGGTGACAGAGTGAGACTCTGTCTCAAGAAAAAAAAAAAAAAGCCCCTAAACTTGGTGTTTCTGTCTCCCATCTGAACCCTGGATGTTATGGAAGTTGGTACCAGGGTCAATCCCAGGAAACAGGTAGATTTAGGGATTTGTTTCCTGGGGTCCTCAGGCTTGAGTGTGATACTGAGCTCTCACCCATGGGAAATGCAATGCTGGTAATCCATGGTGTGCAATGGCATCAAAATCAGTCAGATTTGGGTGATTGTGAGGAAGTGCCTACTGAAGCCAGGGACTTGGGGGAACAAGTGACTGCTTGCTGCCCTTGACCACTGTAGCAGTAATGATGACTCTTAGGACTGTGGTGTGAGGCAGGTTCTTCTGAATGTACTCACTGTTACCGAAAGGGAATGACAGGCTCAGACCTTCCAGTGCTCAGCTCAAGTCAGCAGAGATCCAGAGAGATTCTCTGGCAACCTTAAAAGACTTTGTTTCCTGGGTGTGGTGGCTCATGCCTGTAATCCCAGAACTTTGGGAGGCTGGGGCGGGTGGATGACAATGTCAGGATTTTGAGACCAGCCTGACCAACATGGTGAAACCCCATCTCTACTCAAAATACAAAAATTAGCCAGGCATGGTGGTGCGAGCCTGGAGTCCAGCTACTCGGGAGGCTTAGGCAGGAGAATTGCTTGAACCCGGAAGGCAGAGGTTGCAGTGAGTGGAGATTGCACCACTGCACTCCAGCCTGGGTGACAGAGTGAAACTCTGTCTCGGGAAAAAAAAATAATACTTTCTTACTAAAGCCACAGTTGGCGATGATGATGGTAGAGATGGCTATCTTCATCCTTATCGTATCTCCCTGGTTTGAGAGAGAGAGAGGGAATCTGAATAAACCCAGCTCGACTCAAAAGTCCAATTAGCTATGGCCAGGCAGGAAATGCCACTTGGTGGAAACATGGCTGCCAGCTGTGGGCAGCCACTTCCCATAGATGGGGGCAGATCCTGCATCCTTACAGTTGTCTCCTGAATACGTGTGGGAGTAGGGACAGTGGCCCAGAGGAGGAAGACTAATGTCTGGTCATTTTGAGGGTGGGAGGAGACAAGAGGAATTCTCCAGCTCAGCCTCTAGGACAAAGTTTGACCTTTAAATCCGGAGGGCCTCAGGTAGATATCTAAAGAAATTGTTTTCCTGAGGGACTTTTGAGATTTAAGACACAAGCTTGGCTGCCCTGCACCAAGGTAACAGAGCAGGACTCAGAGTTTGAAAAAGGGACAATTTTTTTTTTTCCTGCATGGAAATCAAGCATGGCTTTAGTGCAGCAAAGACTGAAGGGAGCTCAGTGCCATGCAGGGTTTTCTTCTTTGGGAGCACTAGTGAGATTGCATTCTGGACAGCGAAACAGCATTCTCTGAGGGGCTGGGCTGCAGTGGCAATAGGGGAGGGAGATGATGTTGGGGCTGCTCCACCCAGCAGGTGCCAACCAGGATGCCAGAGAAGAAAGATACATCGAAAAAAACTCCCCGCAGTAATAGGAGCTTTTGAAGTGGGGGCCACAGAGCCAGTGCAATTGAGACATAAATGTAATTTCGCTTGTACTTTCCGCACTGGTGAGGTTTGGGATTGCTCAGATTACATTCAAACCTGCCCAACAACTTTTTTTTTCTTTAATGGAAACAGCTTAGTTATTCCGTATCACTCACCTATGGAAGCCTCTCATCTTCCTGAAGGCTCATTTAAAACTCAGGCCAACCAACTAACAACAACAACAACAGCAACAACAACAAAAAGCCCTGGCTGTTAATCCCCTGGTTTTCACTTACATGCAGCACTGTATGCTTCAGTGACACCTTTTCAGGGTTTCCAGGAGAATGAAGTTGACTGGCAAGGGGCTTTCGAGACTGTCAACTCCCCCAAAGGCAGTTTGGGGTTTGTCGTCAGCAGACTTGGCCAAGCATGCATTGAAATAACTCATTACTCGTTCTACCTGTTGTTTTAAAAAGGCAGCATTGAGACACTTTATATATTTTGCTGTGGGGGTTTTGGCAGAACATATTTCAAATGGGGGAGAGAAAATAACAAACAGTGGGCAAGGGCAAATGGATTTCCTATGACCGCTGGCTAGTTAGGGCACATGCATATGTTGCGTGCGGGTTGAATTAGAGTATTTGGAGACACTGTGCTATTCTTTCTGAAGCCCTTTACTTATTATTCATGGTTTCATTATGGTCCCTTTTATTCACACACACATCTAGGGGAGGGGGCAGGTGGTGGATTTAGTCTTAAAAAAACAAACAAACATAAAACTTGCCATATATTTTAGAGTTATAGGTGCACGCATTTCTTTCCTCCTATCAAATCTTGCTTTTCCATTTTAGCCACATAAATGGTTGTCATAGTGACATTTCCTTCCAGCCTCCTTAGCTTTGGTATGGAGCAGAGAGCTCAGAGAGTATCCAGTGACCATAAATCAATTTCTTAACTGTCCCCTTCACTCCCTGGAACTAATCAGATATGAGGTCGGCTATGGCTGCTCCTGCTATTCCAAAATGAGTGGAAATTATGTCAAAATTAGGCAAAAAATAGACTCTGTCTGAGTTACTCAGAATGGTATTGTTTATTTTTGGAGAAAAGTATGTTAGTTTGACATTTCAAGGAGCAGTTAGCCAGTAAAAGTCATGATTTCTGGGATCTAGCAGGAAAGTGGACATTTAATTCCTTCTAAAAATCTCTGATATCTTGGGTGTTGAGTAGATTCTTAAAAGTTGTGAGATGCAAAGAACTTAAAACAGAACTGCCATTCAACCCAGCAATCCCATTACTAGACATATATCCAAAAGGAAACAAATCATTCTACCAAAAGACACATGCACTCGTATGTTCATCGTGGCACTATTCACAATAGCAAAGACATGGAATCAACCTAGGTGCCTAATAACGGTAGATTGGGTAAAGAAAATGTGGTACATATACACCATGGAATACTATGCAGCCATAAGATGAATGAAATTGTGTTCTTTGCAGTAACAAAGATACAGCTGGAGGCCATTATCCTAAGCGAACTAATGTAGGAACAGAAAGCCAAGTACTACGTGTTCTTACTTATAAGTGGGAGCTAAACAATGGGTCCTCATGGATATAAAGATGACAGCAACAGACACTGGGGACGACTGGAGGGGAGAGGAGAGTAAGGGTTGAAAACCTATTGGGTACTATGCTCACTACCCGGTTGATAGGATCAATTGTACCCCAAACCTCAGCTTCAAGCAATATACCCAGGTAACAAGCCTGCACAAGTATCCCCAAATCTAAAATAAAAGTTGAAACTATTTTTTAAAACACTGTTAGATGGTTGAAAAAATAACTTAAAAACATTTCTTTAAATCAACTTAAAACTTCCATCTTTTGTAACATTTGCTATTATTTTGCACAACTTTGGTTTATATTAAGATCCGGCATCATCTCTGAAGATGTTTCCTTAAGGATTTTTTTTTTTTTTTTTTTTTTTTTTAACAAAAACATTTAACTAGAATCCAGAGGCAAAGGCTTCAGAAGCATCTTGGCAGTTGAAGGTTCTGAGTTACTGAGAGACCGAGACCACAGAAGTGAAGTAATTAAAGGGAAGTAGAAAGAAAAGAAACGTCCTGATCCCAGTTCAGGCTGGGAGTGTGGCTGTGAGGGACTGGGTATTTCCCTCGAGTCTTTCCTGGGGGTTATGTGGGCCTCCCACTGGAGCTGGTCTAACTTCTATCATAGTGGGGCAGGCAGGTGTCATCTGTGAAACAAAATACGAAAAAAAGGGGCAGAGATGACTTTGGACAACAAATTATTTGGGATACTTTTGACTACCAGAAAGAAAATAGCATCTGAAAGTGGCTACGTTAATTTGCGTTTCTGTTTCTTCTAACAAGACATTGGGAAGTTAGGAATTACCGGGTTGGTTCAGCAGGTCCTTAATGCCGTGGTCCTGGGGCATTATGTCTCTGCAGTTTTTGACCCTTCTCCCCGCCCCCACCCCCCCCGGTTTAAACATGGCTCCTACAGCTCCAAGCTTATATCCTAACGCAGGAATGCCCAAAGATGGAAGGAAGGAGGAGAGGATAAACATGCTCTACTTGCTCATCTCTCTCTCTTTCTCTTTGTTTCTCTCCCCTTCCTTCTTCCTCTCTCTCCCCGCCTCCCTCTCTCTCTTTCTGTACTTCTCTCTCTCTCTTCCTTCCCCCTCCCCTCCCTCCCTCCCTCTCTCTCTCTCTCCCTCCTTCTCCCTCTCTCTCCCCCTCTCCCCACTCCCTCTCTCTCTCTCTCTTCCTCTCTCTCCCTCTCTCTCTCTCCCCCTCCCTCTCTCTCTCTCTTTCTCTCTACCCCCCTCTCTCCCTCCTCTCTCTCCCTCTCTCTCTCTCCCTTTCCCCCCTCGCCCTCTCTCTCTCCCTTCTCCCTCTCTCTCTTCTCCCCTCTCTTGTGCTCTCTCTCTCTCTCTCTCTCTCTCTCGCTCCCTCTCCTCTTTAAATCCCAGATACCTCCCTACCGCTGCACGTGTTCACTTATGTTTCATTGGTGGAACAGAATCAGACGACTGTCCCTAGTTGCAAGGAAGGTTGGGCAAGTGAGTATCTAGCATTTTCCATTTCTCTTGTGGGAAGTGGATGCTGCCTATAGGGCAGAAGGGAGAAGTGCCAGGCTGCTGTGTTGATAATCAGCAGTGTCAGCCATAGCTAGAGTTTTGAAACTGAAAAGACTTAATGACCACTGCTTTACCCTGTAGTCTTACGAAAAACTGGCACCAGAAGAGAATCAATGACCTGCCCACACAGCTTGGTGTCAGATCCAAAGTCTGAGTCTACATGTCTACATTTTTTGACTCACGACATAGAACTGAGGTTGACTATGACTAACATTTGACTTGCATATTACAGCTGGCATAGTGAGGGCTTTGTTCAGCATGTATTAGCTTGCTTAATTTTTGCCTTTGGCGCTGCGGGGCCTGCAGGCTTCTCAGAGCAGAGGGTGCATCTGCTGCAGCTTCCCATGTCTCCTGCTGAAAGGTAGCCAATCATTTCTTCCTAATTAGCGATCAAACATGATTTCAGATAGTCCTTCTCCTAAGATGCCATGGGAGATGTTCCTTGTATCTGTCAGTGGCACTGATCACGTTGTCATTTTTGGCAACTAATTCCCGGAATGAATAATAAAATTATAATAATCTTGTACCAGAGGGAGGGTGACCAATTTGTAAACTCCATTAAGAATCGAGCAAAGGATTGTCCTCTAATGAGATAGATAGCATCAGGGAGACCATTCATCAAGCCTCTCTGTCACAGATGCACAAAGGGACCCTGGAGGGAGGGGCTCCTGGAATTCGGGCAGACGAGGGCGGGTTGTCTTGGATGTGCATTTCCATATTGTCATTGATCAGCTGCCGGAGAAGGAATGACAAGCAGAACACCAGAGTTCTCCATTGTAAGGCTCCGGGTGTGTTTATGCCACCCTTGATTCATTCCCCACAGGGTGAGAAGCATTACTCACTATTTTCTCATGTGCCAGAAAGAGAAATGGAATCAACGGGCGTATCATCTCCTTGTTGGAAAATGACAGCTACCTTATTATAAATCCCCAATAAATTGATGGAAGAGCTGTTCAAACTTCATAGATATAAATGTTTCCAGGGATTAATGGGAACTTATTCCTACAAATGACTTACAGTTCAGGAACCGATCTTTGAATTGAGGTATTGTTTATTTTTCCTCTAGATGTCATGATAAGCAGTGGAGCATAGATGGCAAAGGTTTTCTATTTACTCCATCCCTGTCCCCCACCACTTTCCCACTTCCTAGGGCCAAACATTTATAGCTTTAGAAATACTAAATTATCCCTACCTTTTGGAAGAACAGCTTCTTCCTTTTGGAAATCCTTTACAGGAGAATTTAAAATTTGTAAACCTCCTTGTTACCTCTGGGGGAAACCATGGAGATGTAACACTTACATTGTAGGACAGAAACAGACCACTGCTCACTATTGTATGTATCTTAAAGAATTAACATTTTATTTCCATAGGTATCTCAGCATTTGTTTTCAACGTCCTTTGTAACCAGCACATTGAAGCTCTTGCCTGTCATATGGGAGGGGATTGTGCCAACAACAGCTTATTTTCTGAACCACCATGGTCTTCTCTGATGTGGCCTCTAAGGGTCATCTTGGGACTGTCATTTGGTATTTATATTAGTGTTGATACTCTTAGTGAGTGAGTGCTTTTATAAATGAAACTGAATCTTTTGTCCAGCACCAGGAGCATGTGAGTACTTAATAAGTACCAATCAATAGCTTTTGCTGATATTGGAATATAGGCCCATCTACTTCCTGGATGGCTCCACGGGGAATGAGGCACTTATAGCTTGTGCTTTATTCTATAGAAGATGCTAAGGGTTGCTTTCTAGATTGTCTTTGTTTGAATCTATGCTGGGCGTGATGTTTACCCATGCAATGCCATTCCTGTCTGCCGGAACCTGGTGGGTGTTGGAACTTCAGTGGCTCTTCCACTTGATTTGCTGAACTTCTAGTTTGTTCCAAGAGTCAGCTGGCCAGGGAGGAGCAGGGTGAAGAGTGTCTCCATGCCTGCCAGCCTTCTAAGTTGCCTGGAGCCCACACCCTGCCGCCTCCCTCGACTTCTAAGAAGTCACAGGGGGCTTGTGTTCTCCAGGCCACCCCACACTTCAGCTGGATTTTTCAAAGCTGGCAGATGTCTGGTAACGACTGTCTTCTCACCATTTCTATGGGAATTGATTCCTTTCGCCCATCCCCATTCCTGAAGTCCCACTAACACATGGATGGAATGTAGAACAGCATTTTAGTAAATCTGAGGATAAGGGAGAGAGGAGAGCAGAGAGAACACATTACACCTGAACACTGGACATCACTTTTCTGAACCGTGCCTTGGTTTCCCTTACCAAGGGGAGCCCTCACTAGTGGCCTTTGCTCCTCAGGTTCTGGGCTCCTGCCATGGCGCAGCCCCCGCTTCTCGTTATTCATTCATTCAACAAATATACATTGTGTATCCACTATGTGCCAGGAGCTGGGCTAATATTTAGCATTGATTCTTCACACCAACTCTGTGAAGTAGGTACTATTAATATTCCCATTTTACAGATAAGGAACCAAGAATTCAAGAGATAATAAGTCACTTGGCCAGTGGCTACTTAGGATTTGGATAATTTTATTCTACTCTCCATATTCCTACTCAGCCACTGTATTAATTGGTTCGAGTCTTTCTATTAGAATATAGCTCCTGCTGTACTATTTTTTTTTTTTTTTTGAGACGGAGTCTTGCTCTGTCACCCAGGCTGGAGTGCAGTGGCGCCATCTCAGCTCACTGCAAGCTTGGCCTCCCAGGTTCACACCATTCTCCTGCCTCAGCCTCCCGAGTAGCTGGGACTACAGGCGCCCACCACCACTCCTGGCTAATTTTTTTGTATTTTTGGTAGAGACGGGGTTTCACCATGTTAGCCAGGATGGTCTCGATCTCCTGACCTCGTGATCCATCTGCCTCGGCCTCCCAAAGTGCTGGGATTACAGGCGTAAGCCACCATGCCCGGCCCTGCTGTACTATTTTTATTAGGCTAGTTGTAATATAAAACAGGAAGAGAGCACTGTGAAGCAACTGCTTTGAGCAATGGAGATATTCCTACCTTGGAAAATGCTTGGATATAGGGCAGTAAATGCAAAACAGATGCCAGCCCTGACACCATGGAGCTTTCAGCCTTCAGTGGAGGAGTGAAGAGGAGAGGAGACATCCATCGCACAGCACATGCACGTGCACATATACTCGCTGTGATACATGATAATAAGGACAAGGAGGTAGAGAACTGGGTACTGTGAGCAAGATTAATAGCTTCCCTGCTTCTTCATATTCCTGCATACCTCCCTCTTTTCCCAGGTCACCTAGGAAACTCCAAATCCCTCTCACTCTATTCATTTTTCTGTCTTTAGTCTCTTTTTTGTTTTGACAGCCTCATTCTAAATCTGTCCCGGGTTTGGGACTCTCACCTTTCCTGCACAAAGACTCCATCAAGATACATCCCCAAAAAAAGTGCTGTCGCCCCTTATATGAATAGGCTATTCTTCTCCTGTGGGAAAACATCTGGGATTTTTTTTATTTTAAGTTGCACTTTTTCCTTCCTGAAACATTTTCTAAATTTTTTTTTCTTCTTTTTCAAAGTGTGGATGTCCAATGTGAGAGTGTGAAAGATGTGTTTAGGTGGGTCCTGGGAGAATATTAACTAGCACATCATATAGTGATGTAGATATTTTCTTCTTTTTATGTATATATCATGTCTTTTTATTTTTATTTTTTGAGATGGAGTCTCGCTCTGTTGCCCAGGCTGGAGTGCAGTGACGCCATCTCAGCTCACTGCTAGCTCTGCCTCCCGGGTTCACGCCATTCTCCCGCCTCAGCCTCCTGAGTAGCTGGGACTACAGGTGCCTGCCACCGTGCCTGGCTAATTTTTTGTATTTTTAGTAGAGACTGGGTTTCACCGTGTTCGCCAGGATGGTCTCGATCTCCTGACCTCATGATCCACCCGCCTTGGCCTCCCAAAGTGCTGGGATTACAGGCGTGAGCCACTGCACCCAGACTTTTTTTTTCTTTTTTTTTTTGAGACGGAGTACCACTCTATCACCCAGGTTGGAATGCAGTCGTGTGATTTTGGCTCACTGCAACCTCCGCCTCTCAGGTTGAAGCAATTCTTGTGCCTCAGCCTCCCGAGTAGCTGGGATTACAGGCATGTGCCACCATGGCCAGCTAATTGTTGTATTTTTAGTAGAGACAGGGTTTTGCCATGTTGCCCAGGCTGGTCTTGAACTCCTGGCTTTAAGTGATCCACCTGCCTCAGCCCCCCAAAGTGCAGGGATTATAGGTGTGAGCCACCACGCCCAGCCTCATGTCTATAATTTCTTTCATTTCTTATTCATTATTATTCATTTCCTTCCTTCCCTCCTTGCCTCCCTCCCTCCCTTCCTTCCTTCCCTTCTTTCATACTCACCAGATGGTAACACCTGACACCCATCAGTTACATATTTTCATGTTAACAAACATTTTTATGCTACTTATTATGTTCCAGATACTATTCTAAGCACCAATTATAAATTGATAGTCTTAATTGCATCAAGGAGAGAAATCTGAGCTAGGTGCTGACATGGCTTGTTTATTTCCTTCCTTTAATCCACAGTGAGCAGGCTATAGGCTCAGAAGCTTTGACATCTAGCTAGAACTATAGAACTCTTTTTGGTTTTGCTTTATTTTAATATCATATTTTAAGGTTATTTTTTACTTATAGCAATTGATTTAGTTTCTTTTTAAAATCTAAGTAGCTTTATTTTTAATGTTATATGTAATCAAACATAAATATATAGGGTGGGTGGTGCCTGGGTATGGTAAAATAATGTAGCTGGTGGCACTGACTAAGGTTTGGATGCCCTGCTAAGGTGTGCGTCAGCAGAGACTATGGTAGGCAGGCTGATGTCATTTACAAGGACAAGGGATAGGATGGGGGATTCGAGTCAGACCGGTTTGAATCCAGGCTTTGCCACCTCTTGTGCACATGGCCTTGGTCAAGTCTGTCTTCTTGCTGAACCTCAGTTTCCTCTCCCACCAAATGCTGATAAACACTGACGGCTGTACAGATACAATGAGAGAACACTTGAGAAAATTCCTAGTGTGCTGTCTGGCAAGTAGTTGGTGTAAAACAAATGTTTGTTTTTAAGTTGGAAGTGCAACATTTTATTGAATTAAGAAAGAATCATTTAAAAAAATGAACTGATAACTAGGTAATCCGTGATGAACAAGACAGGCAGGGCCCTGTGCTTATGAAGGTTTAATGCCGTCAAAGCACGTTTTACAAACACGCCTGATGTCAGGGTGGTGAGCAGCGCTGGGAGAGAGGAGTTGGCACTCTGGGTGGGTTTGATGAGCAGCCCTCATATTTCCTGGAAAATCAGAAAGATTGACTAGAATGACACCATCAAGAAATGTGTAAACTGAGACCTGAAAAATGTTTAGGTGTTTCCCAGGCAAAGAGGAGAGGGGAGAAACAATATTCTAGACAATGAGCCTACTCTCACTTCTAATCAGGAATTTCACACTGACCGCCGTGCACAGAGCAGGTCAACTCATCCCATAAGCAAGCTTGGTTTATGGCACCCACCAAAGGGTCTCATCTGTCCCCAGGTCTCAGGCAGTCCTTTTTATAGTGGTGATCTTTTTTCCTGTTTTATATTACAACCAAGGCCATTCTTTTTCCAAACTGCCTGGCAGCTGTACGAGTTTTATGGATACTTGGGTTTCTAGAAATAAGCCTTGGTTCCAAGTCCTCAATTTCTCCATCTCCACTGGCCTATTACTCACCATTTCCTCATCTCCTAAAGACACTTCCTTTTTCTTAAAATGAGAATTAATTGTGCTCTGTGATTACTGTTTTTATTTTTCTCCAAAGAGTCTTATTTGATGGGGTCAGTACGACCAGATTGAATGCTTTATTAGATGGCATTTCCCTTTATAGCATATTTTTGGCTCATTTTGAAAGAAGGGTCTACTCCATGGTTCACCACAATGTACCTTGTAGAGAAGAGTATGTCAGAAGCCAGGCCGGAATTATGATTGGGAGTATTAATATGTTCCTGTTTACTGGCTTTGAAAAAAAATCACTGTTCATGTCTTCATGCACCTTGACCAGTAAGGGATGGTTTCCTTAGCTTTCTGTATCTCCCTTGCTTGTTGTTCCAAGCCAAGGACTCTGGTTATGCAAGTTTGCATTTCTGCTTTCATTGCTCTAAAAACAGCTCCAGTTTTATCCAGTCTATTCTTATCTCTTGCTACTTACTGGCATGCTAAGCATATACTATAGCAAACTTCTTTTTGTTTCTTGAATAATCCTTATTCCTGCTCTTGTTCCTTCATTTGCTCATGAGGTGCTGTTTCTGAAAATTCTCCTCTACCTGAAACACTGATCACCACCCCCAATTCACCAGGACTGCTCTTTGTGGTCTGAGCTGATGTAGAACTTCTGGGAAGCTCTGTCTCAAAATGCAAGATGACATTGGGGCCTCTTCCATCTACATATGCTCATACAAGACTCTGTGATTCTTCTGTCTGCGCACTTGTTGCAACAGATTTTATTTGCCCGATTTCTTGTTAGTTTGCCCTTCACTCTACTGAGGTTGAGAGCAAGCCATCGTGTTCACAGCTATATCCTCTGTGTCTAGCAAAATCCCTACACCTTATCAGTATTCAACAATGTTTAAATAAATGAATGAATGAAGTGATAAATGAGTAAAGCCAGTGTTAGCATATGGGCTTGCTTTTGAATTCAAAATCATTAAAAGTCAATATTTTTCTCCCAGTCCCTTGCTATATTTCCTTAACTTCACCCAAGACATACCCTTGTTAAAAATACATTAAGATCAAATGTTAGCTTCGGTTTCACATCATCTCTGTTGCTCAAGGCAGTCCCTTTACAGCGGTATCTTTCTTCCTATTTTACATTACAACTAGCCTAATAAAAATAGTACAGCAGGAGCCATTTTCTAATAGAAAGACTCCAACCGATTAATTCAATGGCTGAAGTAGGAATACCGAGAGTAGAATAAAATTATTCGAATCCTATCTAGCCACTGGCCAAGTGACTTATTACCACTTGAATTCTTGGTTCCTCATCTATAAAATGGGAATATTAATAGTACCTACTTCACAGAGTTGGTGTGAAGAATCAATGCTATCTATTTGAATGAAGCATTAATAAAATAGACAAAGGTGACTGTAAAAATGACAGTCAGAGCAATGGCTTTTCTCGGCAGCCTGTGTTATACTGTAAATAAAAAGCTCAAATTAATTTCAGATAACTACAATACAAGGCCAGGCAGTGGGTAAGTACAGAATAAATAGTGGCTGCTATGGTAATGTGCATTCATATTGGTTTATGAATACGCTTCTATGTTTGCCTCAACCCAAGGCATCAGGGAAAATGCAAGCGTGTTCTCAACTTCCGAGGGTGATAGAAAAAGGAACAGCAGCCCCCACTGCCGTCTCGAGTAGTCCTTGTCAAAGGACATTGCCAGCAAGTCTCAGATCCACCTCCTCGTCACCACCATCTCTTTTGCTCTTGCTCATGGCAACTGCAGTGACCAAGCTCACCCTGTCACAGGGAGGATGGTGACAGGTGGCAAATGACTGTGAAGAAAAACTCTTGGGTAGAGGATGAAGATTAACACGTGCTTTACACATTTCCCTGGAGACACACGTCATCAGAGAGTTTCAGCCAACTGACATTATTCGTGATCTAGCATGAAAAATTGGGACTGAAGCCACTTTGGGCTTTGAAATTAATTTGCACTTTTTACTTTCTTTTGCAAGTTTAAGATTCTGGACCACTTTGGGGATGTCGTTAAACTAAGTGCTAGCCTCTTTCACCCCCAAGGCAGTCATCACAGCCAATCAAGTTGTTTTGGGTAATTAAGTACTATTGACATAGTTTTGGAAATCACTTTTAGACTTAATAATAGGGTTTTATGCTTAATTTTCATGGAACTGGGCTCACATTAGCATTTGCTTCTTCTGTTCAAAATGTTCTGCCTGGAAGTAAAGGATAGTGTACCTGGAGTGTTTTCCCTGCCTCTGTAGAAGAGTGTTCCCGGAGTTCCTGGGATTTGCTCTCTATTGGATTAACAATAAATCTGCAATTTATAAAACTTTATAACAATCACAATAATGTGAATAAAAAGATGAGGAAAGCTGTTTTAGCATGCATATTTATATATCAATCTATATATATACACATGTATATTATTGTGATTATATGAAATGTGTATATGTGCATATGTAATGATATATGTGCATATACCTGGATATATACACATACACACATTTATAGGCAGAATTGTAACTCAGTGCTTTAAAACAGTTGTCACCGGCTGGGTGCAGTGGCTCACGCCTGTAATCCCAGCACTTTGGGAGGCTGAGGGGGGCAGATCACGAGGTCAAGAGATCGAGATCATCTTGGCCAACATGGTGAAACCCTGTCTCTACTAAAAATACAAAAATTAGCTGGGCATGGTGGCTTGTGCCTGTAATCCCAGTTACTCAGGAGTCTGAGGCAGGAGAATCGCTTGAAATCGGGAGGCGGAGGTAACCATGAGCTGAGATCCGTGTCACTGCACTCCAGCCTGGTGACAGAGCGAGATTCTGTCTTAAAAAAACAAACAAACAAAAACCAAAAAAAAACAGTTGTCACCTGCCAAGACATATAAATGACCTACATCAACTCTCTCAACTTGTAAATTATGTGTGGGACTGATAGTAATGCAAATATGACCAGCTATTTTGACCTCTCCCCTTCTGTCCTAGTTGATGGATCAGTCTGTCATGACATCACCCACTAGGCATTCACAGCTTTGCAAATATTCCATCACTGTGTTCTGTGTGCAAATTACAATGGTGCAATTTTAAAATTGAATTATTGTCAGGACTTCCAGATATGGCTGAGTAAGGAAGTCAGTTAATTCTTTCTTCCAAAAATGGGAAAAATGGACAAAAACAACCCTTTCAGTGTTCTGGAAATTAATGAATGGCATACAACAATCTGAGAAGCATTCATGCTTAAACAACTGCTGAAATTCAGGTAAGAACAGTGGTAGTCTGTAGCGTTCTGGTCTGGAATAGAGTTGCTCCCCTTCTCTGCTCAGTTGGGTTGGCGTGTGCTGCCACAGTCAAAGGGAGGCTGTATTAGCATTTTCAGAGGAACAGCCACACACACACACACAGAGCCATATTCTATTGGTTATTTTTGTATATTTAGGTATCAGTGTATATCTAGAATGAGATTTATGATAAGGAGCTGGCTTACACAAGTATAGAGGTTAGGAAATTCTATGATTTGCCATCTGCAAGCTCCAGACCCAGGAAAGTCAGTGGTGCAACTTGAAGTCCTGAGAGCCATGGCTGATGGTGTAGATCCCAGTCAGCATCTGAAGGCCCGAGAATAAGGAGCACTGTAGGCAGGAGATATTGATGTCTCAGCTTAAGCCATCGGATAGAGTGAAATTCAACCTTCTGCCTTTTTGTTCTATTCAGGCCTTTGGTGGATTGGATGACACCCACTACTTTGAGGAGAGTCATCTCCTCTACTCAGTTCACCAATTCAGATGCTAATCTTTTCCAGAAACACCCTCACAGACATACATTGAAGTAATATTTTACCAGGTATCTGGGCATCCCGTGGCCAAGTCAAGTTGACACATGAAACTGACCATCACAGAGGCCTGCTTGATTTGGAACAGTGGGTGATGCAGGGGTGTTATTTGTGAAAGTGATGATCTTGGTGGCCAGCAAGTGGGAGAGGGCAAATAGCTCTAGTAGCCTGAGTTTTCATTCATGTTTGGGGTAAGATGTTCATGGCTGAGGCTGTGCACATTCACAGTAGAGACAGGAGAGAGCCTAAGCTGTTCATATACTCCTGGCCAACCCTGAAACTTTGCACATATCCACAGACTCAAAAGGGCCTAGCAGGAAGTAAAAGTAGGAATAGATTTGAGAGTAGCCTAAACTTTGAATGTCTACTACTCTCTACCATAATCAGAGGATGGTAGATGCACTGGTTCAGACATTGGAGCACAATCTCTTTCCAACTATTAGCTGACTACTAAGCTGTACTCATGCAGGAGCAACTCAAACCTGAGCAGGGACATCAGTGACTATATACTAAAGTTTATAAGTTTAGTATATAGTTTCTAAGTATATAGTTTCTATGTTTCTGTTTCTAAGTAATTAAAACAGACAAAACAGCAACAATAAAGCCATCAGAGGGGGAAAATCAGAATCCAGAGTTGTTACCGCCTATTATCTAAAATGTTCAGTTTTCAACAAAATATTATGAGACATGCAAAGAAACAGGAAAGTATTTTTAGAAGGAAACACAGTTAATAGAAACTGTCTCTCAGTGTCCCCAGAGGTTGGATTTAGTGCACAAAAATTTCAAAGAAGCTATTATAAATACACTCAAAGAACTAAAGGAAACCATGTTTAAAGAATTAAAGGAAGGTATGACATCAATGAATCCACGAATAGGGAGTCTCGATAATGGGACAGCAATTACCAAAAAGAGTCACGTGGAAATTCTCAAGTTGAGTGTAATAAATAAAATGAATAATTCACTGGAGGGGCTCAATAGCAGATTCAAGATGTCAGAAGAAAGGATCAGTGAACTTAAAAATAGATCAATAAAAATTAATGAGAGAAAACAAGAATAAAGAAAATATGAACAGAGCCTCAGAGAACATGGAACATTAAATATACTGACATATATTTAGAATGGAATTAATGAAAGTCCCAAAATAAAGAATACAGAGAAGGGG
This sequence comes from Homo sapiens, assembly GCF_000001405.40. Lineage (NCBI taxonomy): Eukaryota > Metazoa > Chordata > Mammalia > Primates > Hominidae > Homo > Homo sapiens. The sequence goes on from NC_000003.12 coordinate 73,239,134, forward strand.
TTGGAAAAGATATTTGAATGAGTCATGACTGAAAACTTGCAAAATTGATTTTATTTATTTTTAAATTTTTTGTGGGTACATAGTAGGTGTTTATGGGTACATGAAATGTTTTGATACAGGTATGCAAAGTGAAATAAGCACATCATGGAAGATGGGGTATCTATCCTCCCAAGCATTTATCCTTTGAGTTACAAACAATCCAATTACATTCTTTAAGTTATTTAAAAAATGAACAATTAAGTTATTATTTTATTATTATTATTGTGAGGCAGGATTTTACTCTGTCATGCAGGCTGGAGTCTAGTGGTAAATTTTTGTTCACTGTAACCTTTGCCTCCCAGGCTCAAGTGATCTCCCCACCTCAGCTTCCTAAGTAGCTGAGACCACAGGAACATGCCACCACACCCTACTACTTTTTGTATTTTTTGTAGAAATGAGGTTTCTCCATGTTGGCCAGGTTGGTCTTGAACTCCCAGGCTCAAGTGATCTGCCTGCCTTGGCCTCCCAAAGTGCTGGGATTACAGGTGTGAGCATCTGTGCCTGACCAATTAAATTATTATTGACTATAGTCAGCCTATTGTACCATCAAATAGTAGGTCTTATTCATTTTTTCTATTTTTTTTTGTACCCATTAACCATGCCCACCTCTTGCTTCAGTTACCCACTACCCTTCCCAGCCTCTGGTAACAACCATCCTTCTACTCTTTATGTCCATGAGTTTAGTTGTTTTGATTTTAGATCCCACAAATAAATAAAAACATACAATGTTTGTCTTTCTGTGCCTGGCTTATTTCACTTAACATAATGATCTCCATTTCCATTCATGTTGTTGCACATGACTAGATCTCATTCTTTTTATGGCTGAATAGTAGATGTACCATTGTGTAGATGTACCATGTTTTCTTTATCCACTCATCTGTTGATGAACACTTGGGTTGCTTCCAGATCTTAGCTATTGATTCTTCCAATCCATGAACTTGGAATATTTTTTCATTTTTTGGTGTCCTCTTCAATTCTTTCATCAGTATCTTATAGTTTTCATTATACAGATCTTTAACTTCATTGGTTAATTCCTAGGTATTTTATTTTATGTGTGGCTATTGTAAAAGGGATTGCTTTTTAAATGTCTTTTTCACGTTGTTCACTGTTGGCATATACAAATGCTACTGATTTTTGTAGGTTGACTTTGTATCCTGCAACTTTACTAAATGTGTTTAACAGTTCTAATAGATTTCCTCTGGAATCTTTAGGTTTTTCGAAATATAAGATTATATCATCTACAAGCATAGGTAATTTTACTTCTTCATTTCCAATTTGCATGCCTTTTATGTCTTTCTCTTGCCTGATTGCTCTAGCTCAGACTACCATTACTCTGTTGAATAACAGTGGTGACAGTGGGCATCCTTGTCATGCTCCAGATCTTAGAGGAAAGGCTTTCAGTTTTTCCTTGTTCAGTATGATACTAGCTGTGAAATCTGTCATATATGGCTTTGATTATGTTGAGGTGTGTTTCTTCTATCCCCAGTTTTTTAAGAGTTTTTTTTTTTTTTTTTTTTTGAGATGGAGTCTCACTGTGTCACCCAGTCTGGAGTGCAGTGACGCCATCTCGGCTCACTGCAAGCTCTGCCTCCCAGGTTCACGCCATTCTCCTGCTTCATCCTCCCGAGTAGCTGGGACTACAGGCACCCGCCACCACGCCCGGCTAATTTTGTTTTTGTGTTTTTAGTAGAGATGGGGTTTCACCGTGTTAACCAGGACGGTCTTGATCTCCTGACCTCTTGATCCACCCGCCTTGGCCTCCCAAAGTGCTGGGATTACAGGCGTGAGCCACTGCGCCCAGCCTTTTGAGAGTTTTTATCAGGAAGGGATGTTGAATTTTTATCAAATGGCTTTTCAGCATCAATTGAAATCATCACATGGTTTTTATCCTTCATTTTCTTGATATAATGTATCAGATTGATTGATTTGAGCATGTTGAACCACCTTTGCATCCCAGGGATAAATCCCACTTGGTCTTGATGAATGATCTCTCTAACGTATCATTGAATTTAGTTCGCTAGTATTTTGTTGAGGATTTTTGCATCAATATTCATCAGATATATTGGCCTGTAGTCTTTGTCATTGTTGTTGTTTTTATTGTTGTTGTTGTGTTTTGAGACGTAGTCTCTGTCGCCCAGGCTGGAGTGCACTGGTGCAATCTTGGCTCACTGCAACCTCTGCCTCCCAGGTTCAAGGATTCTCCTGCCTCAGCCTCCCGAGTAGGTGGGATTACAGGCCCGTGCCACCACACCTGGCTAATTTTTTCGTATTTTTAGTAGAGATGGGGTTTTACCATGTTGGCCAGGCTGGTCTCGAACTCCTGACCTCAGGTGATCCACCCGCCTCAGCCTCCCAAAGTGCTGAGATTACAGATGAGGGCCACTGTGAGCCACCGTGCATGGCTAGTTTTCATTTTTTTGATGTGTCTTTGTCTGGTTTTGTATCAGGGTAATACTGGCCTCAGATTGAGTTTGGAAGTATTCCTTCCTCCTCTATTTTTTGGAATAGTTTGAGTAGGATAGCTATTAATTCTTCTTTAAACCTTTGGTAAAATTTAGAAGTGAAACCATCAGGTCTTGGGCTTTTCTTGACTGGGAGATTTTTTTTTATGGCTTCAAAAATATGGAACACTTCACGAATTTGTGTGTCGTCCTTGCATAGGGGCCATGCTAATCTTCCCTGTATCATCCCAAATTTTAGTATATGTGCTACTGAAGTGAGCGCCCAAATTTGATTTTAAAAACTCACATCTAACCCGTTAACAAATCCCAACTAGAATGAAGACAAGATTGTCATCTAGACACAGTACAGCCAAACTCTTGAAAGTGAAAGGCAGAAAAACTTAAGAATAACAAGAAAAAAGTGACTTATTACAAACATGGGAACACCAATGTGATTGATGGCTGGCGTCTCATCTGAAACAATGACAGTCAGAAGGCAGGGGGATGGCATAGTCAGAGTGCTAAAAGGAAAGAAAAAATACTCCACTGTATATCTAAGAATTTATATCCAGAAAAACTACCCTTCAAAAATAAAGGCAATAAAGACGTTTCAAAATAAACAAAGGTTGAGAGAATTTGTTGTTTGCAGAACCGACTGTCAATAAATACTAAAGGAATCCTTTAGGTTGAAAGGGCAGGACACTAGACATAACTTGAATCCACAGAAGAAATATAAAGCACCAGAAGTGATATATACACTAACATAAGAAACTTTACAAATATATATTTCTTTTATATATATTTTATATATTCTCTTAATCTCTTTGAAAGAAAGATAAAACAGTAATTTGAACACACACAAGGAGAATGAAATGAAGCTATTATGCTGGAGCAAAGTTTGTATATTTTATTAGAATTAGGTTGTACTCATCTGAAATAGATTGCAATAAGTTAAGATTCATGTTGTAATCTCTAGAGCAGCCACTAGGAAGATAATAAAAAAATTAAAATAGTTAACAGAGGAATTAAAATGATACATGAAAAACCATTCATTTAGTTCAACAGAAGGCTGTCAAGGAAAAACAGGAATTAAAAAGAAAATAAACACGCACAAAACAAATACAATGGCAAATGTAAAACTGGCCATATTAGTAGTTCACTTTAACTAGGAATGATCTAAATTCCCCAATAAAGGCAGAGACTGTCAAGCTAGATTTTTTTTTAAAGCAAGACAATGTCTTAAATATAAAACAAAGCACACAATTGCCAAAAGAAATTCATAAATGGGGTTTAATCAAAATTAAAAACATTTGTGTTTCAGAGGACACCATTAGGAAAATGAAAAGACAAGCCACAGACTGAGATAAAATGTTCACAAATCATATATCCGATGAAGGTCTTGTTTACAAAATATATGAAGAACTCTTATCATTCAATAATAAGACAATCCAATTAAAAAATAGACAACAATTTGAATGCACAATCAACAAAGAAAATAGATAAATGGCTGATAAACATATATAAAAAGATGTTCAACATCTTGGCCAGGAGCGGTGGCTCATGCCTGTAATCCCAGCACTCTGGGAGGCTGAGGTGGGCGGATCACGAGTTCAGGAGATTGAGACCATCCTGGTTAACACGGTGAAACCCCGTCTCTACTAAAAATACAAAAAAAATTAGCTGGGCCTAGTGGCACGTGCCTGTAGTCCCAGCTGCTCGGGAGGCTGAGGCAGGAAAATGGCGTGAACCTGGGAGGTGGAGCTTGCAGTGAGCTGAGATCGCGCCACTGCACTCCAGCCTGGGCGACAGAGTGAGACTCTTGTCTCAGTAAATAAATAAATAAATAAATAAATAAATAAATAAATAAAGATGTTCAACATCTTAATCATTACCAAAATTCAAATTAAAACACATCCTTAGAATGGCTATAATCAAAAAGACAGACAATCCTAAATGTTAGCAATATGTGGAGAAATAAAGTATCATACATTGCTGATGGGAATGTAGAATGGTGAAGCCTCTTGGGAACACAGTTTGGAAGTTTCTTAAATGTTGAAAATAATTTACTATATCACCCAGCAAATCTACTCATAGGAATATACTCAAAAGAAATGAAAAGTTACGTCCACACAAAATCATGTACACATAACAGCATTATTCATAACAGCCCCAAACAGGAAAAATCCAAATGTCCATCCTGGTAGATAGATAAGCGAAATGTGGTCTATTCATGCAATGGAATACTATTAAGAAATTAAAAGGAACCTATACATGCTACAACATGAATAATCCTCAAACACATTTTGCTAAGTGAAAGAAGCCAGATGCAAAAGACCAGATGTTGTACAATTCCATTCGTATGAAGTGTTCAGAAAAGACACATTTAGTAGAGAACAATGGTTGCCTAGGGCTGGCAAAGAAAATGGGGATTGAGTGCACATAGAAATGGGGGAACTTGTGGGAGTAATGAATTGGTTTTATAATACGTAAATTATATCTCAATAAGGCTTTTGTAAAAATATTAAATCATAAAATATTGAATTATTTTAAGAGTTTCATTAAAAAATTCAGGTAAATGCTTCCAATGTTTGGGTTTCTGAACATCTTTACTCTATGGTCAGATATGAGAGAAGCTTTTCGAAATGAGTATCTGTAATACTTTTCTTAATTTTACTTTGGACCTATAGTTCATACATACGCAGAACTATACCATGAATCCATTTTCCCAATCATTCAGCTTTGTGAGATGTTATTGGTGCAAAAATCTCCTGATGAATAAGTACCTTCCTTTAGGGACGTGCCCTGTTAAATGCCAACTAGCTCATATTTTTTATAGTGCTATTTAGGGGAAATACTTTCAAAATACATTAATATATAGCCTTCCTTCATAGTATGTTGTTAGACTATAAATACATTCTTCCTTATAATCTGCATGCTATATCACATGCCCTCATCCAACGGTGTTTGGCAGGTAGCAGTGTATGATCTGCTGACAAGTGTTGCTGTGTGTATCATACAGTAAAAGCTTTCAGCCCATGAGTATTCTCCCATGTTATTCTGAGTTGAGTCTGTTCAGCCACCTGTGTTTATTCATCCACAGACTTTCTACCATTGTGTGTTACTGATGTGACTTATAATGGTATCAGAGGCACACAAGTGATAGTACGGGGCTTACTCCAGAGAATCAGTGAGAGAGCCTCCAGTTAGATGTAGATGCAAGACTTGCATTTAGTTAAGAATGGTCGATGTGCTTGCAGGGAAATGCTTGAGGAAATGCAGTCAAAGTCGGCAGACACTTGGAGACAGGTAGGAGTCTTTTGACCTTATCATGAACAAACCTTGCCCACCGGGATGAGTGATCAACAGTTAAATGATGGACTTCTGGGAAAAAAATCTCTAGCTTGAGGAAGTTATATCTTCAAGAACTGAAGAAAATGGAAGTTACTGCGTGATTCAGGAACGTATCCCCATGGGGATTTTCTAGAACAGCTCCATATAGCACATTCAGGTAGTGTCCCTGTGTCTGACAAAGCCTTCCAACTGTCACCCCTGCTGAATGACTGAGGGTGGGGACAGCATGCTTATATTTTACAAAGATGAGCACCCAGTGTTTCTGTCTTCAGGGACGCTGTCCTGGCCTCCTTGTGCTAAGTCTTGCCGTTTGTACAGTGGGTACTCCACGTTGAAATTGGAGTGATCTTTTAAAGTGACTGTTATGATAGTGTGTTTCCCTGCTCTAAACCTATGAAAGGCCCCCATTGCCCTTAGGATAATAGCCAAACTCAACAGTAGGGCCTGCACTGCTCTACCTGCCCATCTTACCTCATTGTTCACTACTCCTTGCTCCTCCAATTCCAGCCTTTTTAACATGTGGCTCCCCCTGCTTGAATCACCTTGGTACTGACCCCACACCCATCCCACTGCTCTTACACACACACACACACACACACACACACACCTGCAGACACGCAGGGTAACTCTTCCTCATTTTTCTGCCTCCCCTGATTGCTCAACAGTGTGTTACAAACCTCTGTTAAGTGCTCCTTTAGTATTTCCTGCATCCTGTTTTCTTGCCCTTACCACACTTAGAGCAGGCACTGCTAATTGCCTTCCCAACACCCATTCTACATTTTTTCCTTATTAGTAGAGCCCTGATTTTTCTCAGAGTAACAGTGTGCTCAGTTAAAAAATACTTAACCTTCCCAGACTCCCTTGCAGCTGTGTGTGGTCATATGACCTAGTTATAGCCAATGACATGTAAGGGAAGCCTACTGGATCGAATGTCCAGAAAGTCATTGTCTCCATTTAAAGCAGAAGCAGGCTCAACTAGTCTGTACATTGTTTTGCCTTTGTCCTTCACATTGTCTCCTCTGCCCATTTGGAATTTGGATTTGAGCCTTAAGGAGCAGCAGACATCTTAGGAAATCAGAAATGAAGGCAAACACCAAGGATGGCAGAGCAGGAAAATTGAAGGGACCTGTGGTCTTAGCAACAATAGGAAGCTACCTTAACTGTCTGGGGCTGTCTACCCGTGGATTTCTGTCTCTCTCTTTTTTTAAAATAATTTTTATTTGTTTTTATTTTTATTGAGACAGAGCCTTGCTCTGTCGCTCAGGCTGGAGTGCAGTGGTGCACTCATAGCTGACTGCGGCCTCTAACTCCCAGGCTCAAGCCATCCTCCTACCTCAGCCTCCCCAGTAGCTGGGACTACAGGCACGTGCAACCACTCCTGGCTGGATTTCTTTTTACATGGACATGTTTCTGTTAAATTCCTATTTTATTATTGTGTTATAAGGGGCTGAACACATTCCTAACTAATCTAGTACAGCTTTTTAACTGGCTGTTTACTTAACTGACTTTATTTCTGATGAGTGGTATTCCCAGTGACTGGAATAGTACTCGACAGGAAATTGGTGTTTAGTAAAAGTTTGCTGAATAAATAATTGGTTGGATAAATAAATCAAGGTGAAAATGTATGGATTTTTCCATGATTTATATTTATTCTCCTTAGGCATGTTTCCCATCTGAGGGGTGGGAGGGAGGTGTCTCGATATCCCATAAGAATTTTTGATATACTCTTTAGAGCAAGGTTTCTCAGCCTGGGCTTAATGGACATCTGGGGCCAGATAGTTCTTCATCATGAGTGAGGGAATGTGCTCTGCAATATTCGATGTCTAGCAGCATCTTTGGTCACTACCTACTAGATTCCAGTACCACTCCTGCCCCTCTCCATTTGTGACAAACAATAATGTGTCCAGAGATTGCCAGGTGTCTCCTGGGTGGCAAAATTGCTCCTGGATGAGAACTACTGTTCTAGAGAAGAGATTCTGAAGTTGAGTTCTATAAACTATTGGGTAGGATATGTATGCGTGCACCCCCTAAAATAATGTGAAACTGTTGTTGTGTATACATGCATTGCTCTGGGGAGAGTGCCTACAACTTTCATTATATTCTCAAGGAGGTCAATGGCTCAGCCAGGTTAAGAGCCATTGCTCTAGAATTTTCAAGCTGTTTTTCAACTATTCACCATGTTTCCCTTTAACCTCCTATACACCTTGAGCTTAATAGGCAGAGAGGCTGATTAAGAGCACTGCTTAACGACTATGCAAGTTTTAATCAAGTGTTCAAGTCTAATAAACTAGAATTGCTATGAGGCCCACAAAACAAGCCTTTTGATATTTTGGAGAGCTGCTATAAATATGGAAATTGAGGATGGTATTCTTGTGCCTTATAACCTAACAATCAATCCACTTAACAAAGGAGAATCAAATTGCAGTTTTGAAACTCTAAATGTAGTAGCAATTGGATGAAAAGTACGAAGAGAAACTCTCATAAACATATGACTTAAAAATGGTCTCAAGTGAATATATACCGGCAGGAAAATTTGAATTATATAAAAAAAATAAGATGGATGTAAGCCTGACTGAACTGAATTTAATGGTCGATGTTCTCACTTACTTAATCACATAATGCCACTACTTGGGACTCTATATTACTGAAGCAAATCATTTGTTGCATCCAAAGGGAGCCATAATAATGCAAAATGTGCCATGAAATACCCAATTAAATTATTTTAACACGTTGGAGATTGTGGGCCAGTGCACGTGTCCTAGTCATCCCTCAGCCTGACAGTCTGTAGGGTCTGATCTGTGTTTAATATCTGGTTTATATTTCTCCACTCTGGGGTGTGTGTATGTGTGTGTGTGTGTGTGTGTGTGTGTGTGTGTGTGTGTGTGCGCGCGCGCACGCATATGCACATGTACGGAGGTATTTACTGCTCAGCTCTAGCTCAGAAGATGTTTGAGTACAGCACAGCTGGGAATATAAGAAATAAAAATAATCTATAAATAAGACAGTCACTTCCCCGAGCACTCCTAGGGGAAGCTGGGAACATGGCATACGTGGAACTCGGAAATGAGGTTTCCTGAACTTTCTACCATGGCAGAAGCTTACTGCAGTGAATCTGCCATGGACATGTATCTTGCTAAGTGATAAAATAGAGTTGTCTGCTGGAAACAAATATTTCAGTTGCTTGCATTGGTTTGAGGGATGGATGGGGGAGAATGTACAAAACTCCCCTTTTCACCTATAAATTATCTTAATTCTAGTTATTCTATACTACAACTAAGGATGTATGTAGATAAACCACATATAGTTTAAATATATATTTTCTGAATATAAAAGTCATATGTATTTATTATAGAAAAATATAAAAAAGAAAATGAGAATTTTCTAGGACATTACCACCAAAAGACAACCACTCAATACATTTCCTTTTCATGTGTGCCAGAATCTAAAAAACTTAAAACTTTTTTTTATTAATACGGAAAGCTGTGATAATAGCATGCAACCCTTGGGTACAGAGATAGTAACTGCTCATTTTTGAATATAAATGTTCCTGTTTATTCTCCCCAAAGACTCTTGCACACATACATATATGTAAATGAGATGTTGTCCACCTAATATTCTATCATGGATATCTTTCTAAGCCAATAGTCAGGTCTGTGTTGCACAACAAAGCTTTATTGTTTTCATATAAAAAAGCCTGTTGGCCGGGTGCGGTGGCTTATGCCTGTAATCCCAGCACTTTGGGAGGACAAGGTGGGCGGATCACTTGAGGTCAGGAGTTTTGAGACCAGCCTGGCCAACACGGTGAAACCCCATCTCTACTAAAAATACAAAAATTAGCCATGTGTGTTGGCAGGTGCCTGTAATCCCAGCCACTAGGGAGGCTGAGGCAGGAGAATCGCTTGAACCTGGGAGGCAGAGGTTGCGGTGAGCTGAGATGGTGCCACTGCACTCCAGCCTGGGCGAGAGAGCGAGACCCCATCTCAAAAAAAAAAAAAAAAAAAGAAAAAGAAAAAGAAAAAAAGCCTGCTGGGAGAGGTGGGAAGAGAGGGGACATGTAGATAGGTTCAGAAAAGAGAATAATAATACCTCAGGCCCACCGTTCACATTAACATGGTGCACACTGAAAAACACATATATGTCCATTTATTGGATTTTACAGAAATGGGATTCGACTTAACTATTCTAGAGAGCCAGCTGTCACGTGCTGTGTGCTTTTTGTGCAAATTATAAAAAGGCGCCCTCTTCCTGGTGTATACAGCTCTCATCTGCCTCCCTGGGTTTGTGCAAGATTCAAGCTGTTCAAATATAGGCGGCACCTCTGCTGTTTCATAATTTGATCTTTTCAGTTAGCAATGTGTGGAAGACATCTATTATCATATATGGAGGTACTACTACTGCCACCACCGTATCCACATCACTACTACAAGAGGGAACACTTAATTATAGTGCTTATCGCACTCTAGGTACTGTTCTGAGAGTTTTAGAAGTCCTTAAACAACTATGTAGTAGGTACTATTATTTCTCCATTTTATAGATGGGGAGAAATGAGACATACAGAAATTAAGTCACTTGTCCAAAGTCATCCAGCTAGTGAGTAGCAGGACTAGGATTTGAACGTGGACAGTCTGGTTTCCGAGTCTGTGTTTTTAACTACTCTGCAATTCTAATTAATCTCTTGTTGGCAATGTCTTTTTTTTTTTCCCTTTTAAAACAATGTTGCAGTGAACATTTTTCCTTAGGATAATTTTCTACTTAGTTTTTATTTAATAAACACTATTAAATAACACCAAATGCCTGACACTGCTCTAAGCACTTTATAAAAATTAATTCACTTAATTCTCATAACAATGCTAGGAGTCAGGATTTATTACAAACTTCATACTGTACGTGAGCCACAGAGAGGGTAACCAGAATAAATGTCAGAGCTGGGATTACAGTCTGGGCACTTTGACTACAGGGTCTTTCCTTAACCATCAACTTATACAGCTTCTTCCTGTCTTCAAGAAGCAAGGAAGCATCATGGACCATAATTTGGATATAAAACTACCAGGTTGCATGGCAGAAAGAGTATACCAACATATATATATCTTCTCTTTTGTTTCAGTGATCTTTGTCTATGCACATCAAAATATAATTAAGATTATACTGAATACCCAAATTTATCCAATAATTAATTTCCTTATTAAAAATAATTTAGAAACTAAGATAAAAATTAAATTTCTAATGATAAACCATCCAGAGATAATCATTAATATTTGCAATAGGCTTTACAGTATTTTTTATGGAAGTATAAATATACACACATTAAATATAAAATTGCTATGCTTCTTGCAATGAAAATGATTTTTGACATTAAATAGACTTTACAACTATAGATCTTTTTATTGCAACAGTGAATTATAAAGGTGAATTACAGTATATTTAACAAGCCAATTATTAAAACAGGTTACTTCCAGGTTTAGGTTTTTGCTGGAAAAAACAGTGATGAACATCTTCATACATTATTCTTGGTGTGACTTTCTATTAAGGTAGATTCCTGGAAGAGAAATAATTAGGTCAAAGACTATAAATATTTTAGGGCTTTAGAGATATAACTTTTAGTTAGTTTGCAACATAGTCATTTTTTCTAATTTACTAAAAACTATTCACAAGTACCATTTTACTCTTTGAATAATATGCAGGTATACAGTTACTGTACCTTACGTAACCATTTTGCTCCAGTTTGATGACTTCTATTTAGAGTGCTGTTAATAATTTAAAGTTAATATCCCATTCTGATAACTATTAATACCTTATACCTCCTTTAATGTAATTTTTAGGCAGTATTTGAATCATTGATAATTTTAGGAATAAAAAATCGTTTTGATTTTGAAAAATTATTTCCCAGTCTGAAAATTTTCCTTTAGCATTTCTTGGAGTTCAGGTCTGATGGTGACAAATTCTTTTAATTTCCTTACATCTGAAAATATTTTTATTTTGTCTTCAAATTTTTTTTTTAGTATGTGTGCCAAAGTGAATACTTGTCTTCATTCTTGAAAGATATTTTAGTTGGATATAGAACTTTCTTTGGACAGTTAGGTTTGTGTGTGTGTGTGTGTGTGTGTGTGTATGTGCATGTGTTTTAAATTCAGGACTTTACAGTTGTTGTTCCACTGTCTTCTGGTCTCCACAGTTGCTGATGAGGAGTCTGTGATCATGTTGCTCCCTTGTATGTAATGTGTCATTTTCCTCTGGCTGCTTTCAAGATTTTCTCTTTATTTTTGGCTCTCAGCAGTTTGGTTATGATGTGATAGGCATAATTTTCTTTGTATTTATGCTGCTTGAGATTTGCTTAGTTTTGTAAAGATGTAAATATATAATTTTAACCAAATGAGGGAAAATTTGAATTTTATATATTAAAATATTTTTCTACCCATCTCTTTCTTTCTCTCTCTTTCCCTCCCTCTCTCTTATTTCCTTCTAAGACTATAATTATACAAAAGCTAGACAATATGTTATTATCCCAAAGTTCTCTGAGGCTCTGTATATTTTTCTTTACATTTGATAATTTCTTTTGATCTATCTTAAATTTCACAAAGTCTTTCCTCTGCCATCTCCATTTTCTGTTAAGCCCCTGTACTGACTTCTATTTTTATTTTATTTATTTAATTTTTTTGAGACAGGCCGGAGTGCAGTGGCACATTCTCGGCTCACTGCAACCTCCACCTCCTGGGTTCAAGTGATTCTTGTGCCTCAGCATCCCAAGTAGCTGTGATTACAGGAGGACACCATCATGCTTGGCTTATTTTTGTATTTTTAGTAGAGATGGGGTTTTGCCATGTTGGACAGGCTGTTCTTGAACTCCTGACCTCAAGTGATCTGCCTGCCTTGGCCTCCCAAAGTGTAGAGATTACAGGCGTGAGCCACTGCACTTGGCCTATGCTTACTTTTAATGTTGCAATTTTCAGTGAGAGGATTTCCATTTGGTTCTTTTAAAATTTTTAAATTTATTTTGTATTTATTTTTGAGACAGGGTCTTACTCTGTCCCCAGGCCGGAGTGCAGTGGTACGATCATTGTTCACTGCAGCCTCAATCTCCCAGACTCAAGCAATCCTGCCTCAGCTTCTTGAGTAGCTGGGATTACAGGCATGTGCCCCACACCTGGTTATTTTTTTTTTAAATAGAGATTAAGTCGCGCTATGTTGCCAAGGCTGGTTTCAGACCCCTGGCCTCAAGAGAACCTCCTGTCTTGGCCTCCCAAAGTGCTGGGATTACAGGCGTGAGCCACCATGCTTGGTGTTGGTTCTTTTCGTTAAAAATAATTTCCATTTTCTTCTCATTCATTATAAGCAAAATTTTCTTTACTTCATTGGCAATAGTTAGAATAGCTGCTTCAAATTCTTTTTCAAATCCCACATCTGGGTCATCTCAGGATTGGTTTCCATTTATTGTCTCTACTCTTGAGACTGGATCACAGTTTCTGATTCTTTACCTGAGTAACTTTGGATTGTATCCTGGATACACATTAGACACCATCATATTCCTCTGAAGAGCATTGGTGTTTTTGTTTTATCAAGTCATTAACTTGGTTGAACTAAAATTATAAACTCTGGGCCAGGTGTGGTGGCTCACGCCTGCAATTCCAGCACTTTGGGAGGCCGAGGCTGGCGGATCACGAGGTCAGGAGTTCAAGACCACCCTGGACAATATGGTGAAACCCCATCTCTACTAAAAATACAAAAATTAGCCAGGTGTGGTGGCACGTGCCTGTACTCCCAGCTACTTGGGAGGCTGAGGCAGAAGAATCACTTGAACCTGGGAGGCAGAGGTTGCAGTGAGCCGAGATGGTGCCACTGCACTCCAGCCTGGGTGACAGAGTGAGACTGCTCAAAATAAAAAAGCAAAAAAAAAAACCACTCTGTCTTTTGAGCAGCAGCTCAAATCTCAGTTCAATTCCGCATCCTTGTCTAGGCTATTTCAAAATCTGCTCTGTGCATACTTAGTTCACAGGTCAGACACACACTTGGGTAGCGTACATATGCAGAAATTGGAATTCTCCCTTTTGGCTTTCTCTTCTCAAAAATTCTCTCCTTACTTTCTAGTGGCTGTGATGGCCCCAGACTGTTCTCCTGTTCTTCAGGTCAGAAAAATCATAATTCCTCTTGCAGGGTTTTATGTACTCCATGTGGAGCTGACTAGCTTGCCTTCAGGCTTAAAGCCATAGAGACCGTGGCACGATCATAGCTCACCACAGCCTCAATCTCCCAGGTTCAAGCAATCCTCCTGCCTCAGCCTCCTGAATAGCTGGGACTAAAGGCACACACCACCACACCTGGCTAATTGTTTTGAGTTTTAATAGAGATGAGGTCTTGCTATGTTGCCCAGGCTCATTTTATGCCTTTCTTTTCTTCCAGGTTTTGACTATCCTCCTGAATGTCTGTTTTTGTTCACTCTCCAGTACCTTCAAGTCATTGTTCGTTATTTTGTGTTTTATCCAGAGTTTATAGCTGTTATGTTTGGGACCCCTGATTTCTGTAGGAGTCTCTTTAGCCAGACCAGAAGCTGAACTCCTATATGTTCTAAGGAAGTAATATAATTTATCTTCCAACAGTTGAACCTCTGAGGCAGGTTACACCCACAAACTTCAATAGCAGTTTTTTGGTAGCACTTATGGGATTTGTTATTAAATAACTATTTGCATACTTATTTGTTTAACGTGTCTTTCCCACGAGAGCCTGGAATCCTGTGATCCCAGTACCTAGCCCTGGTACATAGTGGCAGCCTCTTAAATATTTGTTGAGATGAATATGAACAGGAGCTGACGAGGCCTAAGTTAGGACAAAGGCATTGAATGTAGAAAGAACAGGATGTGTTTCAGGGAAACTTCAGAGAGAGCTTTAAGGGAATTTACTTCTTGGCTAGATGATTGGGGGGAATGAGGAAGCTGGAGGAGCAAGCCTCAAGGATTCTAGCTGGAGTTACTTGGCGGATGGTTAATACAAATAGGACAGGTACAAGAGGGCTGTGCTTTAAGACCAGGTGTTCCGAGCATTGAGAAAAATGATTCTTTGGTCTCTGCATGTTGATGAATCCTCCTAATTTGTGATTAGAATTTAACCTGCCCTCAGCCCATTTTTGTCTGGGACTGAGATTCAAGAAGGAGCAGTAACCAAGTTTCTAATTCTTCTCTCCTGTTCAGGTGCAGCTGGATCTGCTGAGAGAGAAGTGAGCAGGTCTAGAATCCAGGGAGTCTATTAAGGAAGGGTGTTTCTCTGTGATAAGGAGCTGAGTGTTGAAATGTAATCCTCCAAACCTTTGCCTCCCCAGGACTCCGTTAAATTGTTCCTATTAGCGTGATTGCACCAAGATACCACAAGAGCAGGGAACTATTAGAAAACCTGAAAATGAGGGGAGAGATTTCGGAAGCTGTGCCTCAGCCATGATTTAGGAGTTTCACTAAATTCGTAAGTGGAAATGTCTGACAGCCTCAGAACCCGAAATCTTTCATCTTCCTGGTGGAATACAAGTTTGCTTGTGCAGTAAAATGAAAACTGGTGTTGAACACTGCAGTAAAGTTCATGTTCCCTTAGTAGCGAGGTTGGGATGAGAGCATAATTACTCCTAGAAATGCTGTCCTGGGCCCCTTTCCTGTACACGGCCCCGAGAAAGGCAGCATCTATTACCTGATTCTAGGGCACTAGCCAAAAATTTCCCATTAGCACCTTTGATTGCATCTGGAGTCACAGGCTTTCAGCTAATTCTTCAATGAGGAGTTGTTGTTTTTCAAACCTCAGTCAAGACATTTAGCACCAGGAACACCTCTGCTGAGGGACTCCCCCTGCAATTAAGAAAAACAGGTTTCCAAGGGGGAGGAAGCTTTGTTGTGAGCTGTAAGTTGCAGAAGGATTTCTGTTGCCACTTCAGTGTTGAGGCGGTCCTCATCAGGATGTCTCGTTCTCTGCCACCCACCCCCACAGCTATGCACTAGGGGACTGATACCTTGTAGTCAGGGGGAGTTAGAAGTGGAAACAAGGAGATGATGAAGGATGAAACAAGTCCAGCAACTGGATGGAGACTTGCAGAAGCAGACTCTAGTGCATTCATAGTATTTTGCACAACAGAACAACGTTGCTAACCAAATGTCAATGACCCTCATCTGTGGACTCCTTCCCATGCAAGCAGCTAATTCTGGGGGCTCCAGGGGCCATATCTGGTGAGCACTCTAAGCACACCTTCTTTGCTTCTCTGCACCAGCCCCCTCATTGCATCCCACCCTGTGCATCCCAGGGTGCAGCCTGGTCCAGCCAAACAGGCACTACTGCCACTCTGAGTTGCTCTTCTGAGCACTAAAGTTGCTCTCCTATTCCCCACCATGGTCTTCCTAAGTCTGCAAGGTCCCAAGGCTCCCTCTCCAATTCCCTCTATAAAGCAACCTTGTGTGTGCCCAGAGCTCCATGAGGTTCTTCCTGAAAACAGCCCCTGCATGTCTCCCGGGCTACCTTGCTCTCTGCAGTTGGGGTTGTCACAGTGGAGCCCCACAGCCAGCTTTCTGTAGATACTGAGGTCTAGATTGCACCCTAGACCACTGAAATTAGGATCCCATGGAGTAGGCCTTGGGATTGTAATTTATAAGCTCCCCAGGTGACTCTAATGGTCTGAGCACTGTGGCTCTGCAAGACGCAGGTCAGAACCTGACCTCTGGCTGGGCTGGGCAGGGCAGAGGGTTGCTACTTCCTTGTTTCCCCATCTCCAGTCCCAGATGCCTGCAGGTTTCTTTCCTCCCACACAGTTAGATGTCTGCCTTTGCATGGTACTGGCGATAACTCACCCGCTTGGCTAGAGGCCAGACTTTGGATTCCAGTTTACTCATAAACGTTGTAAGTGGCAATTTCAAGTACTTCTTTTGTTCTCTGCTGATAAATCTGATGTGAAGCTGTGGGCTGAGTGTCTTAGGGATGGGAAAAAATGTGGAGTGGGAGGCTTAACATAGCCACAGAATCCATTTCTGGCGGTATGACCTTCAATCACTTAAACTATCTGAACCTCAGTTTTCTTATCTGTAAAGTGGTACATAAAGGCTGTAGCAGTATGTACCTCATGGAGCAGAAATTGGGTGATGTATACAAAAACATTTTGTATAAGTAAGGCAGTATGAAAAAGCAACACCTTGCTATTTGATTATTATCCAACTGGTCTTGTAGGTCTGGGACTTGAACTTAATACGGTGAGTATCACTGATTCACCATGAATTCATTACCGCTATTGGAAAAGCTGTCCTGGGCTGGGTGCAGTGGCCTATGCCTGTAATCCCAGCACTTTGGGAGGCTGATCATTTGAAGTCAGGAGTTTGAGACCACCCTGACTAACATGGTGAAACCCCATCTCTAATAAAAATACAGAAAAATTATCCCGGCATGGTGGCGTATGCCTGTAATCTCAGCTAATTGGGAGGTTGAGGCAGGAGAATTGCTGGCACCTGGGAGGTGGAGGTTGCAGTGATGAACAATGATCAAGATTGTGCCACTGCACTCCAGCCTGGGTGACAGAGTGAGACTCCATCTCAAAAAAAAAAAAAAAAAAAGCTATTCTAAGCACATGTCCTGGTGATGAAACCTTAATGCCTAATGCCTTATCTTTGTAAATGGGGGAGCAGCTTTATCACTATTGTTTAATTCTGAGATATTCTGTAATAGTACCATTTTCTATTGGCATAGTTGTTCATCTTCCCAGTACCAGGAATTCTGGCCCTGGAATATTCTCATTTTTCTAGAAAGGTACCATCTAGACCAGAAGTTCTCAAATATTTGCAGTAACAGAATCACCTGGAAGCTGTGTTAAAACAGATGACTGGGCCCCACCCCCAGAGTTTCTGATAGAGTAGATTTGAGTGGGGCCCAATAATTTGAATTTCTAACAAGTTCCCAGGTGAAGCTGATGCTGCTAGTTCAGGGAGCCCACATGGAGAACCACTGTGTAGACTTTCTCTATAGGTTGTCACAGCATAACCTCTAGGCCAGTGTTTTTATCCTTAGCTTCACCTTAGAATTGCCTGGAGAGCTTTTAAGAATACGGACCCCTGGGACTCACCCCACATTGATGGAATTGGTGTCTGTAGGTGGGGCCAGGGCATCACTATTTTTTAAATGCTCTGCTCCAAGGGTTGTTTCAACATGCAGCCAGAGGTGAGAAGCACTGGCTTGGCCTAAATCACATTTCTGTGCTTCCAGTCTTGTGCCCTGTCACTCATTCTCTGCTCAGCAGCAGAGGTTATTTTTAAAATATGAATTGGCCAATATCACAGCATTTCTCTGCTTCAAACAACTTCATTTACTTTCCCATGTGCTCAGGATCTGTACTCCATGTACCTCCAGACTCTGCTCAACCTACTCCCTCCTGACACTGCAGCCACACTGTCTCCGCATCTCACACATGCACCAGCACGTGGGCCTCCTTTCTGTTCTTCCAACAGGTCGAGCCCTGCCCCATGACAGGTCTTGGCCCTTGTCCTCTCTGGCTGGGCTGCTCCTTCCTTCTGTTTGAGCATCAGCTCAAATGTTCCCTTTCTAGAGAGGCATTCCTTGGCCATCCGTGTTTACATGGACACCACATAGATTTGTGCAGCTTAAGGGCTGTACAATTCCATGGGGCCCCTTTCATATCATGGTTACGCTCTCATATTTCTTTGTCTACTGTCTTTGTAGCCCTGATCAAATTTTACTGTCTTGTTTATTTACTTGATTACTAGCGTATAATCTGTCTCCCAAACTAGAAATTGGCTTCCAGAGGGTAAGGACTTTGTCTGCCTCAGTCACTGCTGTTCAAGGTCCCTGCCAGGTAGTAGGTCCACAGATATATTTGTTGAATAAATGAATCCTTTAAATCAGGGGCTGCAGGTACTTTGTTCTGTGACAACTGCTGCAAGGGATCAGCAACTCCAGACAAACCTGAAGATAGATTTTTATGGCCCTTGGGCTACATTTGGGGAAACTGGAGGCCAAGCTGGCTTCCCCTTGCTCTGAGTTGACTTCTCAGTGTTTGCCCATCACAGCCTAGGTCAGACAGTGGTGGGAGGGAGACTTGACGGGTGATTAAGGAGCCCTGGAGTGCTTCTCTTACAGAGGAGTGGAGCTGGAGAAGTGTCAGTAATTGATAATTGCCCATTTTATATGGAGGGTTTATAGGCTAATCTCAATTAATTGTTTCTGAAAGAGTAGTAAAATTAGGCAAGGAGGCCATCCACGATGATGACTTGTGAGGGGCGGCTGCACAGACAGGCGATTAGCATCACAGAGGTCAGAGCTGTCTGCATGTGAAGGGCATCATGTGCCCAGAACGAGGGGTCCTGGCTGAAGCATAGTCTTTCAAGGAGCCTAAATGGCAATTGCAAGGTTGCACTTCTATTGTAAGAAAAGAATCAGAGGACAGAATCCTGTGCTGCAGAGAAGGGATGTAGAGTCACAAAGGGTCAGATCTGAAAATCTGGTGATCAGAAGCAAGCAGGTCCTCTTTCTACAGATTTTTTTCCTTCTTAAGCACAAAGAAGTTTTTCACAATTACACATATCCCTACACTTTTTGCAGGTGCAATGGTTTCTCCTAGGATTCATATAAAGTAATGCATAATGCAAATGTCTATGCAAAACTGAAGTGAAAGAAATGAACAACTCATAATTATCCTTGAATTTCAGGATAATAGGCAACATTGTCCAAAATGTAGCCACCCACCCACACTCATCAGGTCAGTGAGTGTGTTAGGCACATATTATTCAAACATTTTGGTGGGGCGTGGTGGCTCACACCTGTAATCCCAGCACTTTGGGAGGCCAAGGTGGACAGATCACTTGAGCCCAGGAGTTCAGGACCAGCCTGGGCAACATAGTGGAACGTCATCTCTACAAAAAAAAAAAAAAAAAAAAAAAAAAGAAAAAAGAAAATTAGCTTGGCGTGGTAGTGCGTATACGTAGTTCCAACCTATCTGGGAGGCTAAGGTGGGAGGATCACTTGAGCCTGGGAGCTGGGGGTTGGAGTAAGCTAACACTACTGTACTCCAGCCTGGGTGACAGAGTCAGATCCTGTCTGAAAAATAAAAAAAAATAGTAAATTAGAAAATGTCATTAGGACATCAGACCTGTGTGTTTGCCTCTGTATAGAGGTATAAAGTCACTTGCACAAATAAATTTAGATAGAAAAGTATGAGTTGATTTTAAAGGACACAAACAACAAACAAGATAAAGTAAGGAGATAAAGCAACAATTATATAGGGGCTTGAGAATTACCAGGAACTAGGATTAGTGCATTCAGACCTAAGCAAATGGTTAAGCATTTTTTTCTTTGTTTTGTAGATGGAATTGTGAGGAAAATTGCTTTGCTACACATCTTCAGCATAAAAATTTGAGGAGGAGTGGGATTAACTGGCACCTTTGATCACCTGTTTATTCTTTGAATGGACTGGATGTTTCTTAAGGGAGGTTCAGGGAGGAGGGCAGAAAAGCAAGGAGACTCTACTTAATCAACTGGATTAGCCTAATCAGTTCTGGCTTTCCGATCGATAGAAGACAGATGCTGCCATCAGATGATGCTAGCTTCCTCCAAAAATCTGCACTGCCTCTGGAGACAACCTGGAAATCCCTTCTAGCATCCTTTGGCCCTAACAGGAAGACAAAGTTGGCAAGGCTCAGCAAACAGCAATCTTTTCCTACATTTAAAATTTAAAGCACACTTTAAAATTCTTATTTACACTAGTCACATTCAAATGCTTAATAGCATCATATAGCTAGTAGCTACCATATTGGATAGCACAAATATGGAATATTCGTTCCTGAAAAAGTTAATTGGCCAGTTCTGAATCAATGAGTTCTTTCTGAAACTTTGGACCAAATCAGCCTATTTTCCAGGAGGATCATCTAATCCTGAGGGATGTGGGGTACATGGGTGGGTGTGTTGGGGTGGGGAAGACAATCAGCAGCCAGTAAGGTTTTTTCCATTTTCTCTTCCCTCACCATTTCTTAGTCTACATGCATCCCCCCAGGATATGCCTCTTGTCAACATACTACTCCATCTGGGGTTGATTGGCTTCTCCACATGAATTTCGTGTGTAACTTGGGTTTACTAATTCAAAGGAATTCTTGCTATTTCTGGAGAGAGTTAATATGCAATGAATCAAAAAGGAAAAACCATGTCCTTTCCCTGAAGGTAGTGAAATAATCCACAGGCAATGCTAGCTCTCTTTGGCAGACAGTATATTTAAAAGAATAAGAAAAGAGGTGACTTAAAGGTGGAAGGAAATTTATTTTGGAGTTTCTCCAAGTGGAGTCAGGAGATTGAACTAGAAAAGTCAGAAGTGGATGTTGAAAACTCTGGATGTTTTTGTTACATGGGTCTCGTCCCTTGCAGCCCAGACTCACAGCTGCACTTTGAGTAATGCCGAAGAAACATCGATTGAGTGCTGAGGAAACAAGTATCTCCACTCGATTGGAGAAAATACAATGTGCCACACGCTTAGTGAAAATCAATAATGCAGGAAAATTTACTGGCTGCTATTCCTATCTTAGTTGCCCTAATTGTAGAGGCTGGCAAAGTCACTGGTTTTTTAGATTTAGAGGTTAAGCAGAACGTACCAATCACTAGCTCTTTGGTAGACCTGAAAAGAGTCTTAATGGAGCTGTTTTCTGTGATCATGGAATGAGAAACAAGTAGAGAAAGCCGGCTGAAAAACGGGTTGGAGGCTCCTGTGCCAAGAGCTGCTTCTAAGAGTTCAGGGTTTGTTGTGTAGGAGAGAATCATGAAAGCGCTTCGAGCAAGATTTCTCGAAGTAGAAATCCTCACCCGGCTCACTTCTTCCACATAAGTCATCCACCTGGCCCTGATTGGGATTTGAGTTTATGACCTTGCTTTGGGGGAATCTTAAGCATTGCTTATAAATAGGCCAATTTGAAGGCCAGTAGAGAAGGGAGGGAGAGCCTTCGAGGAGCTGTGGACTGGAGGAGTTGTCTGTTGTGGTCAGAATTGGAGGTAAAAGCTGTCTACCATGGGCCATCCCTTTATGAGTTATTGAAAAAGAAGGAATTTAGAAACAGTGAGAGAATTAGAATGTAGGGCAGGGGAGAGCTAGTGGAAGGGTGTGGATAGAGAAGGACAGATGACGATTGAACTCTGGTCAGTAACTTGATGAATTATAGTCCCAGCCCTTGAATGATGGCTGGAAGTCATCGAGTTTTTCAATTTTACTAAGTTGTCACTCACATGTTACGTTAGCTGAACTGATAACTGCTGCATCCTGCTCAGAAGGGGAAACAGCTCTCCATGCTATACTGCCACTTGCATAGTATTGATTTTGTGTGGATGGGCTGTAATTCATGGAAGTCCCTCCTTTCTTTATCTAGCTCCAGATTTTCAAAAGTCTTTTGTGAATTGCACTAGTTTAGCAATAGCCCAGTGTGAAATCTTATTGTGCTTGTAGATGATTGCTTGGGATTTGGGGAGGAGAGTACTAGTGAGAAGATCACCAAACATGCGGTGACGTAAATAAGGCAAGGAATAAGGTGACATCTGTCAATCAGGGATCGAAGGAAACAGTTCTGACTGTAGCTCTCACCCTTGAACTCAGAGGCATCCCTGGGGAAGAAGAGAGGGGAAAGTAAATGTTTGAAATGTTGCTATTTCCATATTATAAAGTTATTTCTCACTCCTGTAATCCCAGCACTTTGGGAGGCCGAGGTGGGTGGATCACTTGAGGTCAGGAGTTCAAAACCAGCCTGACCAACATGGCAAAACCCTGTCTCTACTAAAAATAAAAAATTAGCCAGGCGTGGTGGCTCATGCCTGTAATCCCAGCTACTCAGGAGGCTGAGACAGGAGATTCTCTTGAAGCCAGGAGGCGGAGGTTGCAGTGAGCCGAGATCACACCACTGTACTCAAGCCTGGGCAACAAGAGCAAAACTCTGTCTCAGTAAATAAATAAATAATAAATAAAGCTATTCAATTCATTCTCTCTCTCTCTCTCTTTTTTCTTTTGCTGAAACATTGGTCCCAGAAAGGAAGATTTGTTTATGGAGACAATAGACCAGTTGGGTCTTAGTGAGGCAGATCTAATGTTGCCCAACACTATGTACTTAGGTGCTGTGGGTACTTTTGTGCTTCTCTGCTCAGCTAGGATTTGGGATCTGAAGCTGACTTCTGTTGATTATCAATGTTCATTTAGACACGGCCATGGAATACTGATTCTACTTCCTTCCCTGCCCTCCCCACACTCTTGGGTTATGTCAAAGAGTGACTTTTGGGAGAATCTTGAAATCTGGAGGTGTTTTGTATAAGTGATATCTTGACCTTGATCTTTGACCTAGGAATTTGGGGCCTCATTCTTTGTATATTTCCACTGCAATCTGTTTTGTTTTACTCCATTCTGTCTCTTTTATTTTATCCTATTTTTTATTTTTCAAGAGGGACTCTCACTCTGTTGCCCAGGCTGTAGTGCAGTGGCGTGATCTTGGCTCACTGGAACCTTTGCCTTCTGGGCTCAAGCGATTCTCCTTCTTCAGCCTCCCAAGTAGCTGAGATGGCAGGTGCACACCACCACGCCTGGCTAATTTTTTTGTGTTTTTGAAGAGACAGGGGTTTCACCCTGTTGGCCAAGCTGGTCTCAAACTCCTGACCTCAGGTGATCTGCCTGCCTTGGCCTCCCAAAGTGCTGGGATTACAGGTGTGAGCCACTGTACCCAGCCGTATGTCTTTGATTTTAAGTATCACATTTAGCAAGTAACTCTGATTCAACACGTAATAACAATATATAATAATGATAACCAGTTATTATATCATTAATATTTTGCATAATATTAATATACGAGTTGATATCATGGTATACTTTATCACTGCTGATATAATAATAATTTTTATCACTAGTAACATTTATTGAGCCCCTAATATGAGCCAGATGCTGTGCTAAAGAGGATACTAAGGATACTTTTCATCTATCATCTCATCTAATCTTCATAAAACCTGTAGGTGAGTATAATCATTTTGCTCATTATAGATGGGCAAAAAGAAATTTGTATACAGGATTGAAGAGATGGGCTCTGGGACACATTGCAAGATGACAGTAGAGCCAGGCCTTCTGCCCCATTGTCCTCATTTGTCGTCATCTCCCCACCCACCCCACCCCACCCACCTTTTAAGCATGGCTCTGTGATTTGATGTGGGATGGCAGGTGCCTCCATGCCCAGGAGGCTGTTCCTCCCTCAAGCCTTCTGCTCTCAGGATGGTGAAGCCAGTATCAACCTCCAGGAAGATATCATTTTCCAGTGACCTAATGATGGCTCCAAGCCCCATTAGTTGACTGGCACTGTGGATTTCAGGGTGATTGTTTAATGGATCATGGAGCCAGTTCACTTCTGGGTCACCCCATCCCCAATGATCCTTAGCAATACATTCGTAGATGGGTGCCGAGCTCGTTCTGCAGTGGGTGAGCTCCACAGAGCACAGCTCCTGGGGCAGAGCAGTGATTCAGATCTGTTGATTAGCAGGCTCTTCTCCCCCTAATGCGGTCTGCCTCCTCTAAATAATATGTGAGGGACTGTGCAGGGAGTCATGTGATGATGAATTATGATTGGTGTGAAATTGACCCAGACTTGTCTTTGTTCTCATTGACAAGAATTTGTTCTCAGTGGCTGAAGATGGAACCTTCCACCCTCATACCATGGAAATACGAGCTTGGGTTTCTCTTATTCGTTCCCTGCTCTGGGGTCCCCAAGTCAGCCCACAAGGCTAGTTTCAGCAGTCAGATGCCGGTGTGTATTTTGGGAGCACCAAAATGCAAGTGTCTATAATTTGTCATGTAACAGGTACCTGGGAACCTACAACAGTGTTGTCCTTTCAGCTATACTGAGATCCCCTGATGGTTCCCAGGGTCCAGCAGACTCTTGTAGCAACATTGTAGAGGGGCAGCATAGCCTAGTGGTAGAGCTTTGCCTGGGACATCTTGATTTGCCTAGGACAGTTGCAGTTTGTACTTATTGTCCTGGAATACTTATTAATAGCTTCTTCTTTCACTCTTAAAAGTGTCCTGTTGGAAGAGAAAATGTATGGTCATTTTATGACATGGTAAAGAATGCAGGCGCTGGAGTCCATAGCCGAAGTGTGAATCTTGGGTTTTCCTATTACCAGCTGTGTAACCTTGGACAATTAGCTTTCTTTTAAAAAATTGATGTATAATAGTTGTACATATTTTAGGGGTATATGTGATATTTTGATGCCTGCATACAATGTGTAATGATCAAATCAAGGTAATTGGGACATTCATCATCTCTAACATTTTTTTGTGTGTGTTGAGAACATTAAAATCTCTTCAGCTCCAAATAAACACAATTAGAAATGAGAAAAGGGATGTTACCACTGACCCCACAGAAATAAAAATGACCTTCAGAAACTACTACAAACACCCCTATGCACACAAACTAGAAAACCTAGAAGAGATGGAT
Organism: Homo sapiens; assembly: GCF_000001405.40. NCBI lineage: Eukaryota > Metazoa > Chordata > Mammalia > Primates > Hominidae > Homo > Homo sapiens. Next base: position 73,264,416 of record NC_000003.12, read on the forward strand.
ACATTCCTGGACACATGCATTATCCCAAGACTGAACCAGGAAGAAGTGGAATCCCTGAACAGACCAATAATGAACTCCAAAATTGAATCAGTAATAAATAGCCTACCAACCAAAAAATGCTCAGGACCAGATGGATTCACAGCCGAATTCTACCAGATGTAGAATGAAGAGCTGGTACCATTCCTACTGAAACTATTCCAAAAAATTGAGAAGAAGAGACTCCTCCCCAACTCATTCTGGCAGAGACACAACAAAAAAAAGAAAAGTTCAGGCCAATATCCTTGATGAACATTGATGCAAAAATCCTCAACAAAATACTTGCAAACTGAATCAAGCAGCATATCCGAAAGCTGATCCACCATGACCAAGTGGGCTTCATTCCTGGGATGCAAGGTTGGTTCAACATACGCAAACCAATAAATGTGATTTATCACATAAACGGACTAAAGACAAAAACCACATGATCGTCTCAATAGATGCAGAACAGCCTTTCAATAAAATTCAACAGCCTTCCATATTAAAAACTCTCAATAGGTATTGAAGGAACATACCTCAAAATAATAAGAACAATGTATGACAGACCCACAGCCAACATCATACTGAATGGGGAAAAGCTGGAAGCATTCCCCTTGAAAACCAGCACAAGACAAGGTTGCCCTCTCTCACCACTCCTATTCAACATAGTCTTGGAAGTTCTGGCCAGAGCAATCAGGCAAGAGAAAAAAAATAAACGACATCCAAATAGGAAGAGAGGAAGTCAAACTTCCCTGTTGGCAGATGACATGGTTTCTATATTGAGAAAACCCCATTGTCTCAGCCCAAAAGCTCCTTCAGCTGATAAACAACTTCAGCAAAGTTTTAGTATACAAAATCAACATACAAAAACCACTAGCATTCCTAGGCACCAACAACAGCCAAACCAAGAGCCAAATCAGCAATGCAATCCCATTCACAGTTGCCACAAAAAGAATAAAATACCTAGGAATACAGCTAACGAGGGAGGTGAAAGATCTCTACAATGAGAATTACAAAACACTGCTCAAAGAAATCAGAGATGACACAAACAAATGGAAGGACATCACATATTCATGGATAGCAAGAATCAATATCATTAGAATGGTCACATTGCCCAAAGCATTTTGTAGATTCTATGCTACTCATATCAAACTACCAGTGACATTCTTTACAGAACTAGAAAAAAAAACTTTAAAAATTCATATCGAACCAAAAAGCCTTAATAGCCAAGGCAATCCTAAGTAAAAGAACAAAGCTGGAGGCATCACACTACCCTACTTTATACTACAGGGCTACAGTAACCAAAACAGCATGGTACCGGTACAAAAACAGACATATAGACCAATGGAACAGAATAGAGAACCCAGAAATAAGGTCAAACACCTACAACCATCTGATCTTCTACAAAGCTGACAAAAACAAGCAATGGGGAAGGGACTCCCTATTCAGTAAAAGCTACTGGGATAACTGGCTAGCCATATGCAGAAGATTGCAACTGGACCCCTTCCTTGTACCATATACAAAAATAAACTCAAGATGGATTCAAGACTTAAATGTAAAACCCAAAACTATAAAAACCCTGGAAGACAACCTAGGGAATGCCATTCTGGACATAGGGACATAGGAATAGGCAAAGATTTCATGACGAAGATGCCAAAAGCGATTACAACGAAAGCAAAAATTGACTAATAGGATCTAATTAAACTAAAGAGCTTCTGCACATCAAAAGAAACTATCAATAGAGTAAACAGACAACCTACAGAATGGGAGAAAATTTTTACAAACTAGCATCTGACAAAGGTCTAATATCCAGCATCTATAAGGAACTTAAGTTTACAAGAAAAAACCCATTAAAAAGTGGGCAAAGGACATGAACAGACACTTTTCAAAGGAAGACATACATGCAGCCAATGAGCATATGAAAGAAAGCTCAATATCACTTATCATTAGAGGAATGCAAATCAAAACCACAATGAGATACCATCTCACACCAGTCAGAATGGCGATTATTAAAAAGTAAAAAAAATAACAGATGCTGGCAAGGTTGCAGAGAAAAGGGAATGCTTATATACTGTTGGTGGGAGTGTAGATTAGTTCAACTATTGTGAAAAGCAGTGTGGTGATTCCTCAAAGAGCTAAAAACAGAACTACCATTTCACCCAGCAATCTTATTCCTGGGTATATACCCAAAGGAATATAAATCATTATATTTTAAAGACACATGCACACATATGTTCACTGCAGCACTACTCACAATAGCAAAGACATGGGATCAACCTAAATGTCCATCAGTGATGGATTGGATAAAGAAAATGTGGTACATATATACCATGGAATACTATATAACCATAAAAAAGGATGAGATCATGTCTTTTGTGGGAATATGGATGGAGCTGGAGGCATTATCCTTAGCAAACTAATGCAGGAACAGAAAACCAAATACCACATGTTCTTGCCTATAAGTGGGAGCTAAATGATGACAACTCATGGACACAAAGGGGAACAACGGATGCTGGGGCCTACTTGAGGGTGGGGGGGTGGGAGGAGGGAGAGGAGCAGAAAAAATAACTATTGGGTTCTAGACTTAGTACCTGAGTGGCAAAATAATCTGTATGACAAGCCCCTGTGATATGAGTTTACCTATACAATAAAACTGCACATATACCCCTGAACCTAAAATAAAAGTTAAAAGTATCCCCCTCAAAACAAATCTAGCTATTTTGAAATATATAACAAACTATTGTTAACTATAATTTCCCTGCTGTGCTACTGAATACTAGAACTTATTCCTTCTGACTGTATTTTTGTACCCCTTAACCACCACCTCTCATTCTCCCTCCCCACTTCCGTTTCCAGCCTCTGGTATCCACCATCCTACTCTCTACCTCCCCGAGAGTCACTTTTTAAGCTTTTCACATGTGAGTGAGAACATGTGGCATTGGTCTTCCTGTGTCTGGCTTATTTCACTTAACATAATGCCCTCTAGTTCCATTCATGTTGCTGCAAATAACAGGATTCATTCTTTTTTTGAGACAGGGTCTCACTGTGTCCCCCACGCTGGAGGGCAGTGGTGTGATCTTGGCTCACTGCAGCCTCAACCTCCCAGGTTCAAGTAATTCTCTCTTATCTCAGCCTCTCAAGTAGCTTGCTATTTTTTTTTTTTTTTTGGAGAGACGGTTTTTTCATGTTGCCTAGGCTGGCCTCGAACTCCTTAATTCAAGTGATCCTCCAGTCTTGGCCTCCCAAAGTGCTGGGATTACAGGTATGTACTACCACACCTGGCTGATTTCATTCTTTAAGGGTGAACAGTTTTCTATTGTATATATGTACCACAGTTCTTTATCCATTCATTCATCAATGGGCATTTAGGTTGATTTCATATCTTGGTTACTGTGACTAGTGCTGTAACAAACATGGGAGTGCACATTATCTCTTCAATATACCAATCTCCTCTCTTTCAGATATATACCCAGCAATGGGATTGCTGGATCATGTGGTAGTTTTGTTTTTTAGGTTTTTGAGCAACCTCAATACTGTTCTCCATAATGGCTGTCCTAATTTACATTTCCACAAACAGCATATGCAGGTTCCCCTTTCTCTGCATTCTTGCCAGCATTTGCTATTTTTTTCCTTTTTGATAACAGCCATTCTAACTGGGATGAGGAGCTATCTCCTTGTGGTTTTGATCTGCATTTCCCTGATGATTAATGATGTTGGGCATTTTTCTATATACCCGTTGGCCATTTGTATGTCTTCATTTGTTCTATATATATTCTGGTTATTAATCTCTTCTCAGATGGATAGTTTGCACATATTTTCTCCCATTGCATGGGTTTTCTCTTAACTTTGTTTCCTTTGCTGTGCAGAAGCTTTTTAGCTTGATGTGATCCTATTTGTCCAGTTTTGCTTTGGTTGCCTGTGGTTTTGAAGTCTTAACTCAACAAATCTTTGCCCAGGCCAATGTCCTGTAGCATTTTCTTCTACAGAAAGTAGTAGAAAGTGTAGTAGTTTCATAGTTTCTGGTCTTAAAATTAAGTCTTTACTCCATTTTGAGTTGATTAAATATATGGTGAAAGATGGGGACCTAGCTTCATTCTTCTGCATATGGATATCTTGTTTTCCTAGCACCATTTATTTTATTTTATTTTTTTGAGCCGGGGTCTCACTCTGTTGCCCAGGCTGGAGTGCAGTGGTGCCATCTCAGCTCACTGCAAACTCAACCTCCTGGGTTCAAGCTATTCTCCTGCCTCAGCATCCCAAGAGGCGTGTACCACCATGCCGACGAAATTTTGTATTTTTAGTAGAGATGGGGTTTCACCATGTTGGCCAGGTCTTGAAATCCTGGCCTCAGGTGATGTGCCCGCCTCAGCCTCCCAAAGTGTTGGGATTACAGGCGTGAGCCACCGTGCCTGACCTCTAGTACCATTTATTAACAAGACTGTCCTTTCCCCAATGTATGTTCCTGGTCCCTGACTACCAGCTTTCTGAGCTTCAGCTTCCTCATTTCTAAAATGGGAAGAATAATGGCTACTATTTTTGAGGGTTGTTCTGAAGATTAAAGGCAATAATACATGTGAAGGTGAGAGGTGACAGCGTGCTGGCAGTCCTCAGAGCCCTCGCTTGCTCTCGGCACCTCCCCTGCCTGGGCTCCCACTTTGGCGGCATCTGAGGAGCCCTTCAGCGTCCCCCGGCACTGTGGGAGCCCCTTTCTGGGCTGGCCAAGGCTGGAGCCCACTCCCTCAGCTTGCAGGGAGGTGTGGAGGGAGAGGCGCAAGCGGGAACCGGGGCTGCGTGCGGCGCTTGTGGGCCAGCTGGAGTTCCGGGTGGGCGTGGGCTTGGCAGGCCTCGCACTCGGAGCAGCCAGCCATCCCTGCTGGCCCCGGGCAATGAGGGACTTAGCACCCGGGCCAGTGGCTGCGGAGGGTGTACTGGGTCCCCCAGCAGTGCCGGCCCACCGGCGCTGTGCTCGATTTCTCTCCGGGCCTTAGCTGCCTTCCCGCGGGGCAGGGCTTGGGACCTGCAGCCCGCCATGCCTGAGCCTCCCACCCACTCCATGGGCTCCTGTGCGGCCCGAGCCTCCCCGACGAGCACCACCCCCTGCTCCAGGCGCCCAGTCCCATCGACCACCCAAGGGCTGAGGAATGCGAGCGCACAGCCCAGGACTGGCAGGCAGCTCCACCTGCAGCCCCGGTGCGGGATCCACTAGGTGAAGCCAGCTGGGCTCCTGAGTCTGGTGGGGACGTGGAGAGTCTTTATGTCTAGCTCAGGGATTGTAAATACACCAATCAGCACCCTGTGTTTAGCTCAAGGTTTGTGAGTGCACCAATCGACACTCTGTATCTAGCTGCTCTGGTGGGGCCTTGGAGAACCTGTGTGTGGAAACTCTGTATCTAACTAATCTGATGGGGACGTGGAGAACCTTTGTATCTAGCTCAGGGATTGTAAAGGCACCAATCAGCGCCCTGACAAAACAGGCCACTGGGCTCTACCAATCAGCAGGATGTGGGTGGGGCCAGATAAGAGACTAAAAGCAGGCTGCCCGAGCCAGCATTGGCAACCCGCTCGGGTCCCCTTCCACACTGTGGGAGCTTTGTTCTTTCGCTCTTTGCAATAAATCTTTCTACTGCTCACTCTTTGGGTCCACGCTGCTTTTATGAGCTGTGACACTCACCGTGAAGATCTGCAGCTTCATTCCTGAGCCCAGCGAGACCACGAACCCACCAGAAGAAGAAACTCCGAACACATCTGAACATCAGAAGGGACAGACTCCAGACACGCCACCTTAAGAGCTGTAACACCGCGAGGGTCCACGGCTTCATTCTTGAAGTCAGTGAGACCAAGAACCCACCAATTCCGGACACAAAACCAAGGAAGTGAATTTCAAACTTAATTTACATTTAAATAGCAACATACAGCTAGTGGCTACTATATTGGGCAGTTCATCTCCGAACTCTCTTTACCATGAACACAGAGTGCATTACTGCTCTAGAGCTCATATAGGGCTCTCTTCTATCTGTGCTGGGAGCTGGGTGACATAGCAGGACAACCACCAGGGATGATTATTGGGAAGTAATCTTCCTTTTTCTTCTTGTGTCACTCAGCAGTATTCCCAGAAGGCCACCAGCCCAGAGTACTGGGGACACTTCTTCATTATAGGGGATTTAAGTTGTGTACCCAGTAATTGACTATATTCTCTTCTCTGTTGTCCAAGGTTGCTGCTTCTTATACCCTGTTATATTTAGACCTATTTCCAGGGCGCTATAGAAGCCCCAGAAAAGCCTTCTCTGTTGCTTTGCCACCTGGCTTGTGTGTTTGTTTGGAAATTGATGAGCCTGCTTCCTTCTGCCTCTTCAACAACAGATGACGGTCCTTGCTTAGAATCTAGGGTTTCAGTTTCTCACTCCTCAAATGCTTAGCTTGTAATATATTCAGTATTGTTTGTTCTGTTCATGTAACTAGTAACACAGTATGGCTCACTGCAGGTCTGAGCTCAATACATCTGATGGAGAGTCAGCCAGGTCCCTTTGCAAAGTGTTGCTCCATCTGCTCATCCCTGACCAGCGGGGCCAGAATTGAGCGAGACCAAACTGCCCAAGGAAACAGCTGCCAAATGGCTTTTGGCAGACATGGAGATGCCCTGTGGCCTACTCCTGACCACAGCAGAAGAGAAATTAATGCCATACTGTATTGTCTAGTTACTTAATTCTTGGCAAGCCCAAGCTATGGATAATCTCATTTGTAAATAGATCAAATCATTTTAAACCCATAAAAGAAACAGGCCACAAGAAATGGTAAAAATGTTTGAATCTGCTCTTGGGTTGAAGAGGACATTGCAACTTGTCTAACTGTTCTGAGAGTAAACCTACATTGGTCCTCTGTGGTCTGACTATTGTTGCCTTTTATTTTTTAATCATAACTTATAGTTCCACAAATTGAGGAAGAGGCCAGGAATTTACCCACATAAACTATTATATCTGAATTCCCTCTAAGGCAAATTCTTTCCAAAATAACTGGGATGATAAGAGACAGCCCTCTTAGATGTTGTCTGTGTGTTTGCTGCGTGTCTGGTATGATGCTCAATGCTTTGTATGGATTATTCCCTTTAATCCTCACAATATTCTTCTAGAATATTCTAGAAATATTCTCATTTGCAGGTGAGGAGGTTTTTAGGATAGTGGCTTGCTTAATATCACCCAGCTAGTAAGTGATGAAACCGGGATTGCAATACAAGCAAATTGACTTCACGGGTCTATATTGCTACCTCCTGTACTAATAGTTACAACAGTGCACATTTGGAGGCCACTTTCTTTCTTTCTTTTTTTTTTTTTTTTTTTTTTTTTTGAGACGGAGTCTTGCTCTGTGGCCCCAGGCTGGAGTGCAGTGGCGCAATCTCGGCTCACTGCAAGTTCCGCCTCCCGGGTTCACACCATTCTCCTGTCTCGGCCTCCTCAGTGGCTGGGATTACAGGTGCCCGCCACCACGCCCGGCTAATTTTTTTTGTATTTTTTAGTAGAGACGGGGGTTTCACTGTGTTAGCCAGGATGGTCTCCATCTCCTGACCTCGTGATCTGCCTGCCTCGGCCTCCCAAAGTGCTGGGATTACAGGTGTGAGCCACCACACCCGGCCTTGGGGGCCACTTTCTATGTGCCAGAAACTGTGCTATGCACTTCATGTGAATTATCAGAGTTTTCTTCTTTTGTTTTTTCTTTTTGAATTCTCACAACAATCTTACAGCCTGTGGATATTACTCTTACTCCCAATTTATAGAAGAGCAAACTGAGGCTTACAGACTTGAAGGAGACTGACTAAAGTCAAATGGGAGGGAAGTGGTGGACCAGGATGAGCCCACAAATTAGCTCTCCCAAGAGCTGAAGTTCTTAGCTGCAAGAGGCTGCATTCATTCCCCTACCAGACTGAGGATTTGTCCTGGGAGGTAGCTAGAGTTTTGCTTCTTAGGGATTTCCAACTGATAAGTAATGCAATAATATGTTTTTGAATTAAACTGCGAATTAGGACAGCACTACAGATTTGTGGTAATAGAGTAGAAGAGATTCATGGTATAAATCAATGCTTCTCAAACTAGTAGTCCTGGTGAAGTACTAGGTTTTAGTTTAATTTTGTTTTGAGACAGTCTCGCTCTGTCACCCAGGCTGAAGTGCAGTGTGATCTTGGCTTACTGCAACTTCCGCCTCCTGGGTTCAAGTGATTCTCATGCCTCAGCCTCTCGAGTAGCTGGCACTACAGGTGTGCGCCACAATGCCCAGCTAATTTTTGTATTTTTAGTAGAGACGGGTTTTGCCATGTTGGCCAGGCTAGTCTCGAACTCCTGACCTCAGGTGGTCCACCTGCATCGGCCTCACAGAGTGCTGGGATTACATGTGTGAGCCACCCCGCCTGGCCAGTACTAGGCTTTATTTCCAGTTCATCATAGATCTGTTCATGGCCTTACTTCCAACGCAGCTTGGGCCACACCAAATTTACCAGGGAGCAAGCACCCCAAATGACCTATACCTGGTTTGGTGAGACACGCCACAGACCCTATGCTCAGATGTCTCAGCAGTGTCAACTTGCTGTAAAAGTTAGTAAACATATTCTCAATTTCTTTATTGATCTCGTTTTAGACAGGTAAAAAATAGTTCATGAACCAGTGCCAGCATGGGCCACAGTTTGAGAATCATTATTGAAAAATGAAAGCTTTCAGGCTCAGAATTCAGGAATCACCAATTCTAGTACCTGCATGTACCTTGCTGTGTGGCTCTCAAAAAAGTGAGCTGTGTGGCTTACTTAACCTCTCTGAGTTCAACCTCTTTGTCTGTCAATAAATGGGTTTGGAGCCGAGAAATACAAGATCCCTGCTAGCTCCAAGGCACTATCATTCCATGTTGATTTTAAGTCTTCTGTGCGGCAGATGCCAGTGGCCAGGAGCATGAGAACAACATACAATTTAGAACATATCGAAATGCTCTGTTTCTTGACAAACCTGGCACAAGAGAGTTGGGAGCTTTGCCTAATAAAGTGCTCTTATGATTTATAGCCAGTGACATCCCTTTGTTTGACAAATGAATTTCAAGGGCACCAGAGTAGGTTGAATATGCTGAAAATCAAAGTGTGTACAATGTGCCAAAGTGAGCTGTGTGTGGTAAATCTTTGAGTTTAATTACAATGATAGTTAAAATAACAGGAAATATAATGAGGCTTGTGAAGTATAATTCCCTTGTTTGTTGTTAAGTATGGTTTCTTTCAACATCAGTCAGGAAGCCAGGCCCGGGGTCCTGGGTTTCTACGTCAGTCGTGTTTGAGAAAGTGATTCAAGGGCCTCCACTTCTATGGTAGCTTCAGAGGGATGCTTTTATTCTGTTTTCTAAATTCTTGCCATAGAAAGTGTGGTCTACAGGCTGGCAGCCTTGACATCTCATCCCATTTGTTTAGAAATGCAGAGTCTCAGGTCTCACCCCAGGCTGAAGAAATCAGACTCTGTATTTTAACAAGACCCCCAGGTCAACTGTGTGCATGGAGACAGCAGCTCAAGGCCACTGAAATGGATGCGGAAATGGGAAAAACGGAAGCAATGCTCTCAGTGGCCTGTTGTACACCAGACCCTGTGCCAGGTACCAGGGATGGGGCCTGGAGGGGACAGAACTTGTCCCCCTCTCTAAGAAAGACGACCACCTAGTCACTCATGTCACACTGGACTCGGTGCTGTGATGGAGCAAGTGAGTGGCACCATAGGCATATAGAAGATGGACACCCAACCCAGACCTAGGGAGTTGGAAAGGCTTCCCAGGGAAGTGGCTTTTAGGCTGAGACACGAAAGTGTAATCAAAATGAAGAGAACCTGCAGTTGTTTCTTGTGGGGGCCATGATGTGGGGCAATAGGGACTTGCTTTGCTTTCTAGCCTGAAGGGAGTTTAAGGCGGGTTTATAGTTGGCCCCTGCTTCCGCTAGACCAGGGGCCAGCAAACTATGGCCCATGAAGTAACTCCAGCCTGCTGTTTCTTTTTATAAATCAAGTTTTATTGGATTACAGCCGTGCTCATTTGTTTACACACTATTTGTAGCTGCTTTTGTGATACAACGGTAGGGTTGAGTAGTTGCAACCAAGAGACCTTCTAGTCATTTAAAATGAAAAATATTTACTAACTAGCCCTTTCCATAAAAAGTTAGTGGACTCTTTTTCTAGACTAGTGGTTCTCAAGTTGTTTCTAATTCAGTAGCATCAGCATCCCTGGGAAATTGTTAGACATGAAAATCTCCTGGCCCCACCCTAGACACATTGAATCAGACACTCTGGGGATGAGGCCCGGCGATCTGTGTTTAACACGTCCTCCAGGTGCATATGATGCACTTACGGTCTGAGAAACACTACCTCATATCCAGCTCCTCCGTGCTTTGGGGTCGTCACATACTCACTTCTCTCTGGACTAGCTTTCCTCAGATCATTGTGTGCCTGGCTTCTTCTGTCCTTCAGGCCTCAGCTCAAGTGACCCTCCTTCAGGAAGACCTTCCTTGAGCACCAGTCTAAAGATGCCTCCTTGTCCAGTCTATACTGTCATCTCACTCTTATTTTGCATGTCACACCCTCTATTTCTCTCAACACCTTTTTTCAAATTGACAAATAATTGAATATATTTATAGGGGGCAATGGGGCATTTTGATATCTGTATGCATTGCAGAATGATTAAATCAAGCTAATTGACATATCCAGCACCTCGTCTACTTAACTTGTTTGTGGTGTGGTGAGAATGTGTGAAACCTACTGTTCTAGGAATTTGGACACATACAATACATTATTAACTATAGTCACCATGCTGTACTATAGACCACTAAAACTTACTCCTCCTGTCTAAACTTTTTGCCCTTTGATCAACATCTCCCTATCACCTAACCCCAGATGCTGGTAATCACCATCCTACTCTCTACTTCTATAGTTTTGACTTTGTAAGATTCCACATTGTATTAGTCCATTTTCATAATGCTGTGAAGAATTACCTGAGACTGGGTAATTTATAAAGAAACCAAGTTTAATTGACTCACAGTTCTGCATGGATAGGGAGGCCTCAGGAAATTTATAATTATGGCGGAAGGCAAAAGGGAAGCAATGCACATCTTACATGGTGGCAGGGTGGTGGGGGAATGCCACACTTTCAAACCATAAGATCTCACAAGAACTCAGTATCATGAGAACAACATGGGGGAAACCACTATGATCCAATCACCTCTCACCAGGCTCCCCCATCATGTGGGGATTACAATTCAAGATGAGATTTGGGTGGGGACACGGAGCCAAATCATATCACACATATATGAGAGATCATGTGGTGTTCGTCTTTCTGTGCCGGGCTTATTTCACATAGCATAAATGTTTTCCAGGTTCATCCATGTTGTTGCAGATGAGAAAGTTCCCTTCTTTTTAAAGGCTGTGTAGTATTCCATTGTGTGACTATATGCAAAGTCATTCTCTCTTTTCTTCAGTTTCCTCATCTGTAAAATGGGGATGATAACAGCATCAATGTTACTAAGTTGTTGTGAAGAGTAAGTGAGTTAAAAGGCTTAAACCCGGCTTACGTAAGTATTGGCTTAAGAGATGTTACAATGTTTTAGAAGTTCCCTGGGGTAACTTGTCAGGAGTCACTTGTCAGAGTAGTGAATTGGCTTTGGTTTGGACCCCATATCTCCTGAACTCTAAGCTAAAGTTTAAATATTTTAATAGCTTTTGGAGTACAAGTGGTTTTTGGTTACATGGATGAATTGTATAGTGGTGAATCTGAGATTTTAGTGCACCTGTCACCCAAATAGTATACATTGTACCCAATATGTAGTTTTTTGTCCCTTATCCCCTTCCCAGCCTACTTCTGAGTCTCCAAAGTCCATTAAGCTAAAGTTATTTTCAGCTGGGCTCCTTGAGTCTCTTCTTCCAATAACTGGACCAATAGAATGCTGGTGCTGATGGATCTTGAATGTACTCAGAAGAAACCCTCTGGTTTTCTAGGTAAAGGAGCCAAGGTCTTGGTAGTAACTCCTGGCTGCTCTATTGTTATGGAATGCTTTACTGGTCTTAGCTCTTTCATCCTCCAACCACTCTTCCTTATCCCCACTTTTAGGTGAAATATCTGTGGCTCAAAGAGTTTGACTATGTTGGCTAAGGTCACACAGCTGGAAAACGGCAGAAGGGTGGCTCACACCCAGAGGTCTGTGTTCTTAACAGATGTCTGGAACTTAGTCCTAAAGCATCCCAAGTGATCATGATTTCTACCTGTGGTGGCTCCTTTTGAGGTCATATTCTTCTGGAAGAGTAGAATCCCAGCTCCCAACAACAACATAAAGCTCATGGACATCCTTACTGCTGTCTGCTGGAATAGCACCAATGGGCTCTTCTCCGTGGATGCATGATTCAGAAAAATCTGAATAGAGGAAATGCCAAAAGGACAGGTTAGGCTCATTTCCCTCGAATGCTCCGCTTCTTTCATTATGTTTGACACTGTTGACACTGAACTTGATGCTGCTGGAATAGCCTTTAGCATCCAACTAACTTGAGATCTCAGTGGGGGGTAGAGGGGAAAAAAGGATACTATGTGGAAAACTGAATTGTCAAGGTTACTTACAAAGGTAAGGGTGGCTCGATATCCACTTGCCTGTAGGAAAGTTCCAATGAGATGACTATGGAAAAATATTAACCTGTGATGAAGAATTGCTAGCAAAACCAAATATATAATTTCTTATGACCTATGTTTTAAGGGTGAGGCCCCTTTGAAACAAGGCAGGCATGAGACTGATAATTACATAAAGCTAGGTCCTCCTTGTTCAAAGAATTAACAATAAGGGGTGCTGGCTTTCCCAGGCAGTTCAGCTCAGGACTTTGTAATTACTTTCATCTTGATAACATCCCAGGTCAGGTTATTTTTATTGCTTGCAAAGAAGAAGTGCCCTCAAGTTATCTAAGAAAAGCCAGTCAAAAGCACGTTTATAAAGGTATTGACCTTAAGATAATAAAGTGTGTGGTTGAGGGAGTGTAAAGGCATATTGGGTTTCTGCCGGATTCTGAGGGAAGGGGATTTTTATTGGGGAGCAGCAGAGTGGAAGAAGAACTGGAAAACTGGAACCTAGCAAACGATTCAATGCATTTGGATGCCTTTATTTATTTTTTCCTGACTTTGAGAAGCCAGAAGTAATTACAAATCATAGATATCTATTGTGCCCAATGTTCATATGGCTTTCTTTGAGGCAGCTTCAGTAGCATGGAAAATGCAGGAAGAAAAGAAAATGATTTAAAATAAAAATACAGTTTTAGTGCGGAAATCTTAGCCACAGAAATGTTCAGTAATCAGAGGCTTTTGAATGGAGCTTCAGTTCTCAAATCTAAGTACAGACTTTGAGGAAGCACTATGGGACAAATATAGCCTCTCTCCACCTTCTCTGAACCAAACGTGAAAATCAAGTCAGCTCTTGGCCTTAAGTGTGGACATGGGCCCAAGTTATGGGATTCAAGGGAAGAAATTAGCTAGCAACACTCAAAACATCTCTCAAAGTCTTGCTCCAATATCACAACCCATAATGACAGGCGGGTTTCTTTCTTTGGATAACTCTGATTTATTGGTAGTAGATGACTGAACCGCTGTGTTGAGAAGGATTCAGAGGTCATCCCTGGCCTTGGCAAGAAAGAGTGCCACAATTGATTAGTGATGTCTGCCGTGGAGATGAGAGGAGGATGGTTTTGTGTGTATCAAGCAGTGGCTGTCACCAAGTTACTGTTGAGCTAAGGTGCTATCCCAGAAAAGTACTATGCAATGCAAATCCATTACATAGGTTGGACAATAGCCTCATTCTTAATGATTGATTTGGAGAGTTTTAATAGACAAATAGGTCTATTTGCTTAGGTTCTGTGGGTAGATATATGTCCAGTTGTTCTGAAGGCTAAAATGACTGTAAAGCAAAAGTTGGCAAACTTTTCCTATAAAGGGCCAGATAGTAAATATTTTAGGCTTTGCAGGCTGTTCAGTGCTTGTCCCAGCTATTCAAGTCGGCCACTGTCATGCAAAAGCAGCCATAGGCCATATATAAATAAAAGGCATGGCTGATTTTCAATAAAACTTCATCTAAAAAAACAGGCAGTGGACCAGATTTGGCCCTTGAGTCATGGGTTTGCCAACCCCTGCTGCAAAGTAACTGCAGATGCCCTCTGGTAGAGGGAATTATTGATGGACTGCGACGCTGGCATGAGGTGGTTTTGGTGAATACTTGTGTTCACAGGTTGAAAACTCATAAGTAGAGGAGCTTCTATAGCGATGACCCATGGTCTCTAGTTTGTTTGCAGGCAGCTGTTACACAAAAGAGGAGGATGTGACAGCTTTGGTTTTTGAGCAACAGAGATTATGCCCAAGTATCTACTTCTCCTTTGGTTTGTAATTATATAGTTGGTTCTGGAATTTGTTCAATACTTACATAATGTGAACCAGATTTAGATACCTCAAAGAGACTAATTTTTTTTGTTCCCTATAATAAAATGATACAAAACGCAAGACTATCTCATTAAAAAACTTAAAATGTTTATGTGTTATAGGCCACCTCAACTTTCCATAACCACCCACTTCTGGACTTGTCTCTACCCATTCTCATCCTGTTTCCTTTGAGGTTGAGTTATGGGTCCTGCTTTGGGCTCCCAAGGCACCTCACATATGCCCCTATTGGCACATTCAACACCTAACTGAAATGAGCTGATTACATACTTTCTTTGGTTAGGGTCCAAGTTGCTTGAGTGGCTTTTCTTTCTCATCTTAGTGTCTGCAACATCTAGTGTAATTCATAGTATCTGGTAGATATGTTTAGTGAAAACAACATAGTATGTTTAGGGAAACTGTGGTAATATGGTTAGTGAAAATAATAAGTATTAATAACAGTCACTAATATTTACTGTGTGCTTTCTTTATGAAGGGTGTAAGGTGTTCTGTATCTATTATCTCATTATATCATTATATTAACCCTATGAACTTTCATTAGTAATTTCAAAATTAGAGTGAAGTGTTCCAGCAACCCCATACCTCATTCCCACCTTACAGATAATAAAAATAAATATGATCATGGAAAATGATATTTGAAGAACTTATGGTTATGAATTGAAATAAGTGTCTATTTTCTACCTTTCAGTTGTTGAGGTCACAGGAAAGCCTGCAAATTGTTGACCTGTGTTGCATTGAGTTCAAATGCTAGTTATGAACATTTACTAATAGGAAAGTTAAGATAACAGTTCTTGAACAATTAGAAGATGTGGCCACACCAGGCCTGCATTCATCCATGGCAACATGGGTTGTAATGTGTAGGGGTTGCCAAACTTTTTTTTTTTCTGTAAAGGGCCAGATAGTAAATATTTTAGGTTTTGTAGGTCAAAAGACAAAATCAAGGATACTATGTGGTGATTTATATAATGATTTAAAAATGCAAAAACCATTCTTAGCTCATGGGCTATACAAAAATTTGCAGCATGTTGGATTTGGCCTATGGGTTGCAGTTTGCTGACCTCTGATATAGTGGTTGTAGAGACTTCACCGTGTAGATAGGGCATCCTCTCTTCAGGTTCCCACAGACCATTCCCTCCCATGAACTGACTGCTGCTTTATTTACATGACCTATCGGACTTTTATAGGTTATTAAGTTTGCACCTTCTAGGCTGTAGGAATGAGCTCAAAGCATAACATCATCCTTCAAATCCTTTATATGTCATGTCTTCAAATAGCTGGTGTCACTGCTGAGTGGGAGGGGAATGAAGATGGACACTTGAGGGTGGGGAAGAGAGAACAAGGGCCGGCAGGCTCCAGTAGATGGTTCTCTTAGTTTGGAGCCATTCGTTAGAACAAAGACTAAGCCTGTCTGTGCCATTAACAAGCTGTGCAACCTTGGTCTAGCTGAGGCTTCCTGAGCTTCAGTGTCCTCACTCATACAATGGGGCTGCTGATGCCTGCCTGCCATGCCTACTGCCGTGGAAGCTTGTTCTAAGACTCAGATCACATTCTCTTATTACTTGAAGTTGTATTGGGAAGTGTAGTGTTTAGTATTATTTTCTTCTGTATTTAGTATTTTTCAACTTTGAGTCATGGAAGATTGAATGAAGGTGAGTTCCAAGTGTGATTGGAGGGCTTGAAGACCACATCCTGAGAGGAGAGACTAAAATTGGAGAGCACCCTTTGACCCTTGAATGGGTTAGTTTTAGAAATGAGAGCAGGAAACGTCACCATTTGGCAGGTGATTCTTAGGAACTGTTACTTAATGATGGGAAGTGTCAATTTAGAGATTTAATTAGGGTGTGGACAGAAGCTCTCCTTGGTTCGGGGTCTGGCTCTCAGGCATTGGGCCTCAGACTCCTGTCTCAGCACCGTCACCACTGTGCCTGTCTTTCAGGGACGCACTTGTGCTGACCAGGCTCCTGTGACCTGAAAACAAACTATTAACTTATTCATTTCCAGTGAAAACTGCAGCTGCCAAAGAGATAGAAATGCCCATGCCCAGATGACCACCTGCTTCTGTCCCTCTTAGCAGAACCACGTGGAAAGCCAAGCCCTACCCAGAAGGCTGCTCGGGAAGCAGGGAACGCACATCAGGGTGTTGAATGAAGTAAGTCCACAGGCCATAGGCAGAGGTTGCCTGTTTTTCTCATCTCCCAGATGTCCAGGGATAGCTTTATCCATGAGACTGAAAGACTCAATGTCTATTGCCTAAAATGTTTCCAAATTGCCTTTAACAAAGAGAAAAAAATTTTGTTAGAATAGCATTTGGAAAATCCAGAGAAGCACCGAAGAGAAAATAGAAATCATCTGTAATCCCGTTATGCAGTTATAACCACTCAGTTAATGTTTAATGGGAAGTTTTTTGTATTTATACACCCATATTGTTAGCAAAAATGACATTATACAATACAATAGTGTTTTAGAATTACTTTCTCCACATCACATGTTGGCAACATTTCCCCATTTCACTATATAGTCTTCTGCAACACCTTTTAAATTACACCACATTTTAGGCTGGGCGCGGTGGCTCATGCCTGTGATCCCAGCCCTTTGGGAGGCCGAGAAGGGCGGATCACAAGGTCAGGAAATCAAGACCATCCTGGCTAACATGGTGAAACCCCGTCTCTACTAAAAACACAAAAAAATTTAGCCGAGCGTGTGGGCGGGCACCTGTAGTCCCAGCTACTCAGGAGGCTGAGGCAGAAGAATCGCTTGAACCCGGGAGGTGGAGGTTGCAGAGAGCTGAGATCATGCCACTGCACTCCAGCCTGGGCGACAGAGCGAGACTTCGTCTCAAAAAAAAAAAAAAAAAAATTACACTGCATTTTAATGAACTGTTTCACCATTGTTGGATACTTATATTGTCATTCCTAGGTTTTTGATGCAGTTACCAAAAATTATTTCTGGAACAAGAGAGATGTAAGGAAGGAAGTAATATATTTGTGGTGACATCATAGGGGACGAAAGGCCTCCCTACAAAATGTTTTGTTGTTCTACCACCAGAGATGGTTCATAGGCCTAGCTTTGTAGGACAACTCTATCTTCATTTCTGAGCCACCTTTATGTAGATCTGATGTTTGACCTCATCCTTCTCTCTCTGGCTACTGTTTCCCAACTGTGTCACTAACATATACCGCAACTCCTGGTGCATAGCAGGTAGATGCCTCTGTTTCCTGCCTAAAGTTATCTCCAATCA
The DNA here is from genome assembly GCF_000001405.40 of Homo sapiens. Lineage (NCBI taxonomy): Eukaryota > Metazoa > Chordata > Mammalia > Primates > Hominidae > Homo > Homo sapiens. Next base: position 73,282,123 of record NC_000003.12, read on the forward strand.
CCATTACTCCATACTAAACATCCTATTCATTTTCTTCATAAACATCTACCTCTATCTAAAATATTCTTATTTATTATTTCTATTTCTTCTCAATTAGAATGGAGGCTCCATGAGCACAGGGACCATTGTATCTCATGCACTGAGAACATAGTAAGTGCACAATAAGTATCTGATAAATGAAAAACCTATACCAGAGCAATATTATATCAAAGAAACCTGAGCTTCTAGAATCTAATTTGTTGGCCTGGAAAGGTATATAACTTTTTAGCATAGTTAAAAATGATGACAAATGTGAACCATATATGACTTTTTGCCTCAATTAGACTGAAGTTGTGCTCATTTTTGGTGGTATTCTCTCAAATAAAATTCTGGGAAGCAGGTCCTATAGATAGAGTAGTTTCTTCTTGCCCTCTTTTTTTTTCGTTTTTCTTTTTTTCGAGACAGAGTCTCGCTTTGTCACCTAGGCTGGAGTGCAGTGGCAGCATCTCAGCTCACTGCAACCTCCACCTCCTCGGTTCAAGCAATTCTCCTGCCTCAGCCTCCCAAGTAGCTGGGACTACAGGCGTGTGCCACCGTGCCTGTCTAACTTTTGTATTTTTAGTAGAGACAGAGTTTCGCCATGTTGGCCAGGCTGGTCTCAAACTCCTGACCTCAGGTGATCCATCTGCCTCGGCCTCCCAAAGTGCTGGGATTATAGGCATGAGCCACTGTGCCTGGCATCCTTTTTTGTTTTGCTCAGCATCTTTATCCTTTAAGTCTCCCCACTCTCAGTAAAAGGCCATCACTGAAAAGCTGACAGATAGTATTTGGAACACCTGTGAGTCCTTGCCACATCTGGAGTGGGCCTTATGTGTGAGAGGGTTGGGGGTAGGGGTAGCTGAAGAGGGAAGGAGCTTGTGCACAATCCAGAAAGACCTCTGGGTCTTCTTACCTTTGACCTCTTGATTCCAGTAAGCAGGAACCTTCTTTTGTGGGCCAGAATGCAGTCTTTGAAAGAGCTGAGTTGGTCAGATAAGGCTGGGTCATCACGGCATAAAAGGCAGCCCCCTGGGCTTGGTATCTGCCATGAGGTGGGGTTCTTTTTGGCAATGAACATTATCAGTGACATCTTTTGGTCTCCTGTGATGTTGAGTAGAGCTCCGGTTTTCACGTGAACTAGGGAATTGTATGGTGCTAACAGTCAGCAAACTTTTTGGTAAAGGGCCAGAGAGTAGATATTTTTGGTTTTACAGGCCAAGGGGTCTTTGTCACAAATACAGTAAGTCTTCACTTAATGTTATTAATAGGTTCTTGGAAACTGCAACGAAATGAAACAACGTACAGCAGGTCCTCAACTAACATCATTTCATTATAATGTTGATGAGGAAAAAAATTGGTTATACATGGTTTCACTTAGTGCCACAGTTTCCAAACACCTATCACTGGTGTTAAGTGAGCACTTATTGTGCTTAGCTCTGCTGCTGTAGCTTGAAAGCAGCCTTTGCCAGTACATTCACAAATGGTGAGGCTGTGTTCCAATAAAACTTTATTTATGTATTTGTTTTTGAGACAGAGTCTCGCTCTATTACCTAAGCTGGAGTGCAGTGGTGTGATCTTAGCTCACTGCAACCTCCACCTCCCCGGTTCAAGCGATTATCATGCCTTAACCTCCCAAGTAGCTGGGATTACAGGCATGCACCACCATACCCACTAATTTTTGTATTTTTTTGTAGAGATAGCTGGGGTTTCATGATGTTGGCTAGGCTGATCTCAAACTCCTGGCTTCAAGTGATCTGCTCGCCTCAGTCTCCCAAAGTGCTGTGATTACAGGCATGAGCCACTGTGCCTGGCCTCCAGTAAAACTTTATAGAAATAGAAGGTGGTCTGGATCTGGCCCCTGCAAACTGTAGTTTGCCTGCCCCTGCACTATAGCATTGTAATTACAAATGTGAATTCTGGAATGAAACGCACCTGGTTTCAGATGCCAGCTCCACAGCTTTCTGGTGGTGTGACCTTGGGGAGGACACTGACTCCCCTGAACTTATTAAAGTTTGGAGGAATCAAAGAGCTCCGATGAGGAAAATGCACAGGCCTTCACATTGCTGTTATCAACTCAGAGAAATTACATCAGGAACATTGTACCTTCTACTTAGAAATGGAATCTCTTTAGTAGGAGAGAAAAAAAATCCTATTTTAAAGCAGAAGATTAGGCCTTCTTTTAACCTTGGCAAAACACGATCCTGTGGCCACTTGAGACTCTGAGCAACATAAGGCATCAGAAAGGAAACTATCTACCAAAAATATTTTGCTTTAAAAATCAAGGAGTAAACCAGACAGTAACTGGCATCCTTTAAACATGTTAACTTTTTTTCTCGTCGAGAAAATAAAGATACATTTCTAAAATCAAACTTCCCTCCGTTTTCCATGAAAAATGCATTTTAGAACAGACTGAAAAGCCTCAATGTGCCTGCAAAACCACCTCCGTGCAGTCCAGCCGGAGCGGTCTACTGCAGAGCCTCTCACGGCAGTGGCTGTTCAGCAAAATCCAGGGGGGTTTGCTTAATGAGGGGTGAATACAATACGGACTCAGAGATGCGGCCAGTTGTTTTTTCACAGTTGGTAGGCAGTGTTGCAGGTGCATTCTCTTAATGAGGGTTAATTTGTCTCATATTTTAATCTGACAGAATCTGGCCATGTTGTTATGTATTCCTCAGAGGTAACTTGCTTGTTCTTAGTTGGCATAAAGAGAGAAAATGGAGCATAATTTGGGGGTTATTCGAATGATAGAGCGACAAGCTGGAATCTGTAAGAAATCTTGATTTTCTAGTGCCCAGAGTAATATTTACATGGAAGAAGAGCATTTTAGTAGAAATGGCAAAGATGAAGGGAGGCTAAATTACATTTCTGGAAGACTGTAGTTTGCAGCCGTTCACTATACAATGAACTGAATCAAGCAAACAGACTAGAGGTGTGATTTTGCACAGCATCTGCAGTTTTGCCTGTTTCAAATATTGCTGCCTACAGTGTATGCCATGGTTCCCACCTTAAGAGTGAATACAGATTCTGTTTATGAAAAAAAAAACATTTTTTACTAAAAAATCATAAAATAATAGCTTATTGTAAAAAGTTAAAATTAGTGAATAAGGTTGATAATTTTTTTTCCCTAATTCAAATCTCAATCAGATGTAAGTACTGTTAAACTGCCTGGATATGTTTTGAATTTGGGGAGGGGTCATATGTAGGTATCTATGTATACATTCATGGTATCTGGGAGAGTTCTTTTACTTGCACAAGACAAACCCAACTCAGACTAGCTTACACCAAAGTGAAATCAATCGCTTATGTTATTGGGAAGTCCAGGTGTGGATCTGGTTTCTGGCATGATTCGATCCTGGGGTTAATTTGAAGTCTTCCCTCTTCTTTCTGCCTTTTGCCTTTTCCATCATTTAGTTGTTCTTCTCTTTTCATTTCAATCAACTGCAGATGGATTTCCTTCCCTTGGTAGGAAAGATGCTCACCCACACCCCCAGACTCACAATGCACCTATTCAGTGATTCCTGTAGAGGGAGGAGTGTCTGTAGCCACAATCCTGTAGATCAATCCCTGAGAAGGACAGTGACTTCTTGCTCTGTTTTGGCCATGTTCCTACTGCTTAGACCAATCTCTGCAGCTAGTGGGGATTCTAACAGGCTGGACTTGGGTTACTTCTTATCTCTGTGCCCAGGTGGGGTGGTGGTTATCATTGGATGTTGCAAATGACAGTACCACATGAACTGAAGGAAGGGAGTTGCTGGCACTAGAAAAAGGAAAGAATGCTAGTTAGACACGCATACACTTTAATTTAAAAAAACAAGAGGAATGCTCTATAGAATCTTTGCTATTCTGTAGCTTCATTTTCCACTTTGTGTACACCTCTGTGTGTGTTCTTATAGCTTTCTTTTTAAATACTATATAATCTTCTTACATATGCTATTTAGCCAAAGGAGGATCCATTTAAATAAATGCAATCATAGAGCATCCACCTCAGAGCCCTTGGCAATTTATATCTTCATGTTTGTGTGTCTTTGGCTATCCCCAAACTCCTAATTTCATTAAATAGATTTTTTTTCTTAAAGCCAGAAAACAAGAGATATCATATTAGGTGTAGGATTGGCCATCATCAGCAAAAAAGAAAGTAGAGCTTCCTAAACATTCAGGAAAGCCCTGACTTGTTCTTTATTGCCTGGAATTCCACCTCAGCAGCTCCTTTCCTTTTTGCTTGAAAAATGAAGATCTTAGCCCTGGAGGGGTGATAATGTTAGCACTGAATCACTTTTACTCCTTAAGGTAAATGAATATTTTCTAAGCCTTTTCCCTTTATGGGGGTTTGGTGGGAGGTGAGAGAAAATCTTGGACCTCTGAGAACAAGAGAGTGCTCCTTGGCTGGGGGACGGTAAAAGGGTCAGTAGGAGAGAAGGAAAGAGGGGTGAGGATAACACCAAACACATAGGTGGCTCTGGGGACACACTGGAGCTCAGTGCTTCATTAGATAAAAGTCAGAAGCTTCCTCGCCCCTTGGAGATTCAGCTCCATTTGTACCAGACCCTGTGAGTCCAGCATCCCCTCATTTCTGCCTGTGTCTTTCTGCCTCTACTCTGCCCTCATCTGGGCATGCTGCTTTGATCTTTGTTAGTTAATATCCAAACAACAAAGCCCAGGTCTTTCCCTGGTTTCCACAGAACACCAACTCACACCCTAGCAATTGGTGAGCATAGGAACTGTTGAAAATTTGCGGGTGCACACAGACAGGAGCAATGTTAGGATCCATGTGGCTCTTTCTGCCACCTCCTGGTGCCACCATGTTTCTTTCTATCTTCCTATTGGCCTCCCTTCTGGAGTCCAAAGACATCTTTCTTGTGCTTTCTACAGAATAGTTCTGTACAAAGTTCCTGAGTTTTCACTTTATACCACAAGCACTTTTCAAGAAGTAAAATATTGTTCTCCATCTGGCTAGAGCAATGGAAGGGAAAGAGCAAACGTGTTGGATCAGGCAGGCTTGATTTCACACTCTTGTTCCTTTGCTCACTGACTGTATAACTGGGCCATTTACTAAACCTCCCCAGACTGTTTCCTGATTGGTAAAGATGGCGGTAACAATGCCCACCTCAAAGCATTGCTGGGAGCATGAAATGAAGTGGGGCTGGCAGAGAGCACACGGTCTGGAGACTTGTGGGGCTGGAGGAGAGGAGGCCATTGAATGGCCAGTTGGGGGTTCTTAAAGGTGTATTGACAGAGCTGGGTCTTAGAAAGTTCTGGGAGCACAGGGAAAGATGTATGCTTCAGGTGGGTCCACGTAACTGCTAATGAGCTCTGGGGCTAAGACAATAGCAAATTTGAGCCCTGTCATGAGAGTGTCAACTGAATTTGATAATTTACTAGATTCAACCTTGGAGTCAGCTTCTGTTCATCAGTTACCTTCTGCATTTATTTGTGTGATTTACTACTACCCACTCATTATGCATATAGCATATTTTTCTAATTACATATTATTTTCTAATGGCAGCCAAGAGAATGCCTCAGCAAGGTTTGTACCCTTTACTGTGGTTTCCAAGCATGAGGGCTACTTCTACTGTGGTGCCCAGGTGTAGGCCCCGGGACAGTGGGGCCCTTTAGTAAATATTAAGTGAGCCACCATCTTTGTGCTTGTTCACTGTAGAAGAATTGAGAGGTATGAAACATAGAGGTCCTTGGTGAATTCTTTGGAAGGAAGAGAATCTTTCTCCCAGGCAGAGTTGCAAACACCTCTCTACAAATGATAGTTACCTCTGATCACAATGATTATCCAGAGTAGGTATCTCAATAAAATTCTGTTGCTGCAATTTTTGGCATCTGCATTGAGGAGATAATTGATGCTACTCTCATGCCTACTGTGTGGGGTGGGATGGTTAAAGGAGAGGCAGTAGAGTATTTGCAAGAAAAGGGATTGGAAAATGCCATGAGAAACTGTATATTCAGACAAAACACAAACTGTCAGGAATGAGAGTTTTCTGTTTTGGCAAAGTCACATGGGCTTTAGAATTTCCCCCAAATCTCAGATGTGAATCCTGAAATTACCTCTAGGCTGTTTCAACTAAATCATGTGATTGGTACTCCTTGATAAGACCTGTCTCCAAAGGCTTGGCAACCAAGAAGGCTGCTGTTTCGTTGGATCATCGAACAGTTCTCAAACAACTTCCCTAGTGTTTGAGGAACCAACTGCCTTCTCTAGGGCTGGCAGCTCCATTGGTACAGCCTCCTGCCTTGTCCCATTCTTGAGTTTATTTGCTATGGGGTAGATATAGCATGAAATTCCCAATTCTGTTTATGTCTGACTTGAACCATGTTTATCAGACTCATCACTCCTTATGAACGTTGAGATGGACCTTTGAAATGGAAGCCGAATCTTATTAAAGGCTTAATCACAGGCCTTCAAGTTGTAAATTGTTTGTGATACTCTCTCTCTCTCTACTTGTGCAAAGCAAGTTTGGTATCTAAATTTCTGTAAGGTCATTGAGCTAGAAGAGCTTGGATTTACTGTAAACTTGTTGAAATTATAAAGAAAAGTGTGTGTAAGGATAATAGATTCCTGTTACATACACTACATGTTCATTTAATCTTTTTAGATTAATGTCTAATTACTGAAATCACTTAAGTGCTACCTGAGAGTTTGGTGTGGGAGTTGGTGTCAGGATTTCTCTTTCAATAGGGTCTGGGACCTTCAAATCTTACTCACTTGGGTCCATGAGACCCATCTCACAATGAAACCAAGGAAATTTTCCTGAGCTACATAATGTTCAGATCTGCCTAAGGGCTTGTGAGGGAATAAGAAAGGGAGGAGAACTGTGCTTATTGAACAAAGCTGTCTGTCTTGAGTTCATCCAACCAAGGTTAAAATAAAAAGGAAAAACAATGAAATGGGAAATTTTGTTTGGTTTTGGTTATTGCTATTTTTTTGCCTGCTGTCATCAGTACTTTCCTTTGTCCACTTGCCAGATAATATGCAAGTTACCCCCTGCTATCCTTGTCTATACTTTGCAACTCTTGAAAAATCAAACTGCCCTTTATTTTGACTGTTTTTCATCAAATACAAATGCTTATAAATACACCAAGGCATAAGGTCAGAAATCAATTCCATCTTCCTAAAATTACTTGCATGCAGTAGACTGCTGCTCCAGGGAACCCAGTTCAATATCTCATACTTTACTCTTGGAGATTACTTGTTTAGATTCTTAATATCTGGAACATGCTATGGGATATTTTCTCTTATTTTCTTTTAAAGCAAAGAATTCAAAAGTGCTTAATGAAAGGAGACTAGAAGACCAGAGAAAACCAGCGTTTAAATTGCGTGCAAATATAGCACTTAGCCACACCAGATAAACAGCTGAATCCTGGGTGCTGCTGGGTCACTCGTCTGTGCCCTTGTGTTGCTGAGGATTTTGTCACAGGGTCTAGGAGTCCTTACCACCCAAAATTATGTTGCTGCCGTGCATTAATGGTATCATTTCCTTTCAAGGTGGGTAGTTTTTCTTGATAGACTAAAACATTTGTCGTAAAGACTCTCTAGTCCCATCAACAGATGTCTCCACTCATTGTGAGCTGTGTTGCAAGTGATTTGATCCTAATAATCAAAGTATCAAAGCCATCTAACTATATATTATTTTTAAAAGTAAATGAATGATTTCAAAGTCATTTCTACAATAGTATTCTTCTTGAACACCTGCTGTGTGCTGGGAGCCAGGGCCACAGTGGTGAACAAGGCAGACAGGCTTCCTAACTTCACAAACCTCACAGTTTATTTGGAGAAAGACAAAAAGGTGAACAAAATATTAATCATAATTTTTAAAAGGCAACAAAATAATTTCAGATAGTGGTCACTGCCATAAGAGAGGTAAAATAGTGTGGTAGAGGGAACGAGATGAGGGAGAGTCACTGTAGATAAGATGATCAGAGAAAATTTTCCTGGGGAGTCAACACTGGAGCTAAGACTTAAGCCATTAGAAAGATTGGCCCATACAAAGGTCTGGGGAAGAGCATTATAAGGAGAGGAAATAGCAAGTGCAAAGGCCCCATGGTAGGAATCAACTTGGTATCTGTGAAGAACAGTAAGGAGATTAGTAGAGAGGAATCGTAGACAATGACAAGAGAGGCAGCATGGAGTTGTTTCGAAGAGCATGGACTCAGGAGCCTGCACTAGAGTTCCAGTTGCCTCGCTCACTAGCTCTATGGCCTTGGATAAGTTCGTTAACCTCTCTGTGCTTTGTCTTCCTCATCTGTAAAGTGGGGGCAATGATAGCCCTACGTCATTGTGTTGGTGTGATAATTAAATGAGCTGACAGTTGTGAAGCACTTGGAATAGTATCAGGAACATAGCAAGCACCATATAAATATTTGTTAAATAATATTTTTCAAGAAATTAGATGAAGAAGAATTGCATGGGATCAATTTGATGCCTAGTAATTATAGTAATTCCATAAACACAAATCTTTCAATGCCATGGATATCACTATTAAAGGAAGAAATGGTTGAAATGCTGACCTAGTTCAATACCCCCATCTTAGAGAAGAAACTTGATCTTCACTTGCAGGTTTCATTTAAATTATTTATTAAGTATAGTATCTATGGCTGTATTCTTGTTATAAGACATTTGTATAATGCTGCCAAAGCTAAATTCTGTGCTGTTTCTATCCTCAATTCAAGTCCTCTCTCTGGAGGTCAATATCTGACCTTGTTGACACTCATTCACATGCTTAAGCCATACATATGAGAAAATATAGCTTAGTTTTTTATAGATGATATCATAAGAACACCTTGTCTTTTAAAATTATGAAACACTGAGATAAAGTGCACATAACGAAATTTACCATCAGCCATTTTTAAATATACACGCAGTTCAATGGCAGTAGGTACATTCACATTGTGCTAGAATATCTTGTTCTTAAAATTGTCTTCTTCCACTTTTAATGTGTATATTTTCACTTAACAGCAGGTCTTAGAGGTTTCTCTTCAGCATTAATGTAGCTTTTCCTCATTCCTCTTAACTGCAGCCTGGTGTTTCATGGTATTGTAAATAGCTCTTTGAATCATTTCCATATTAGTAGACATTAAATTACTTCCAAGTTTTTGCTGTTACAGGGAAACTGAGTCTTTAAAATATTTTCTCCTTTTACTGCTAAATAATGAAACACAATTCAGAACCATAATGAGTCAGAGCGCAACTTCTCAACAATTTCTTGTTGCTCTTAAGGCAGACCAGTCCCTTCCGCCTTGGCAGAAGGGAGAGCAGTTGATCTGCTGTTGCTCTGCAATAACCATCTTGGGTTCCAAGCTGGCCCAAACTGAGCTTTGGCTTAATGAATTATGGAGGCAAGATACCTTTTTAATAAAACCCCACCTGAGAGAACTGCAATCTGCTTTGTCTCCCATTTGTTTGCCTGCCTTCGTAATTTGAGGGGTGCTCAGATATGGCCTGGTAAATAATGGCAGTGTGATTTGTAATCAGACACCTGTCCATACCATCGCAACTGTCGGGATTCACAAGAGTCCCTTCGCATCTGGGGTGGTGCTGGCAGCCACACGCAGAGCCCAGCAACCCTTTAGTGGCTGAGAGGGCATGAGAGAGTTAGGCTCCCCGGGAGGTGCCATTCTCTGAATCCCAGGCACTGGAAGCCCTGAGCTCCCTGTGGGCAATGGTTCTCCAGCACTTGTCTACTGGCAGGGCTTCTGAATGGAGTGTGGCTGTGTGTTGCTGTTAGGGGCTGATTGTGGGCTGCCTTATACATGGCACGGACTGTTCCAGAGGGGAGTGCATATTACAGATGGGTTAAAATATAAAACAGCAAGTGTTTGTAAAGAAGTGTTCATTCACATTTTATGCAAGATTTATGATGTCAGTTGTCCATGTCAGGTATTATTATTACTCTTGCTGTGGTTACTACCTTGACTACTACTACCTGGAGTGCTTTAGGGAGACAGATTATTGGATGAGCCTCAAGCCTTTCTTAAAATAATCCCTCCCTAGTGCTGCTCTTCCCTTCACTGTTGCTTATTTGTTTGAAAGTAATCTCTCTGCTACCCTTTTCTGATGAGGAGGATTAACGGTCCAGATTTCCACAAACTAGACCCTTCTCTCACCTTCTCTGGTGTGCTAATATTGGCTCAGTTTGAATTAGTAGGATTTAATCTTGAAATGTGTACTTTAAAAAAAATATGAATTTTCTGCCCGACACTCAAGTTTGGCCAGAACATTAAAGAATGGGTCTGCTTGAGCATCTAAAGACTCAGGGAGACTTGGCAGGCGATCAGGTTCCAATTATCCCATAAATCGTACGGTAGGCTGGGCTTTGCTTTGATGTTTTCAAAGGGAGAGTAAAAGAGAAAACAAAAACCAAAGCAGTAACAACCACCACCACCAAGACCAGCCTAAAATATTCCCACCTGAAGGAACAACTCAAACTAGATCTCAAGAAGACAGGAAAATGGGGTCTGGCTGTTTGACTAGATGATATTTTGATATTTTGTCTGGAGTGTGCAGAGTTTGATGTTTTAGAAATTCCAAGTTGCTCCAAAGTGAGGAAGAGAGTGGGTCCATTCTCAAGTGATTTCTGTCACCTGCAGACCATTCACATTCCCAGGGATTTAGTGTTGGGGACGTGCGCTTTGTAGTTTGTAACTGACCAGTTCCAGGCTGTCTAAAGGACATAGATGCCGAGAATCACTTTTCATTTGGAGACATCAAATTGTCAGCTGCCAACACTGCCTGGTCAATGCCAACAACATTGGAAATGGTGACAACCTGGTTCTGGTCTTGTGAAGAGACTGGTGTTTTGGTGTTGCCACTAAGAAAGTGGCTATGTAGCTCATGTTAAACGTGGTTAAACTTTGTTCATAATGAGAGTTGACTTTTATTGAACACTTATTATGTGCCAGGAATCATGATGACTTTTTCGCATTAATTCAGTCAATTTTTATAGTAACTTTAGGAGGTAGGGGACATTATCCCATTTCAGAGCTAAAAAAACTGAGGCTTGGAGTTAATTCACTCAAGGTCACATAATAGGGATCACTCTAGAACCTTCAGTCTTAATCAGGAGTCAGCAAGCTATGGCCCACAGGCCAAATCCAGCCTCTGCCTTATATTGTATGGCCCATGAGCTAAGAATGGTAAAAAAATGGCTTTAGAAAAATCAAAAGAATGGGCCGGGCGTGGTGGCTCATGCCTATAATCCCAGCACTTTGGGAGGCTGAGGCGGGCGGATCACAAGTTCAGGAGATCGAGACCATCCTGGCTAACACGGTGAAACCCTGTCTCTACTAAAAATACAAAAAAAATTAGCCAGGTGTGGTGGCACGTGCCTGTAGTCCCAGCTACTCAGGAGGCTGAGGCAGGAGAATGGCGTGAACCTGGGAGGCGGAGCTTGCCGTGAGCCAAGATCGCGCCACTGCACTACAGCCTGGGCGATAGAGCGAGAGTCTGTCTCAAACAAACAAACAAACAAACAACAAAAATCAAAAGAATGATATTTTGTGACAGGTGACAGTGATATAAAATTCAAATGTCAGTGTCCATAAACAAAGTTTTATTATAACAAAGCCTTCGTTATGTATGCTCTGTCTGAACTACTTCTGCTACATAACAGCAAAGTAGAGTAATTAATTACAACAGAAACTGTATGGTTTGCAAAGCCTAAGATGTTTACTATTTGGCTATTTACAGAAAAATTCTGCCCACCCCTCTTGATCCTTACACAATTACCTACCTGTTAATCATCACTAATAATAGTGAACATTTATATCACATTTTCCGTGGACCAGGCACTGTTCTAGGCACTTATATTAATTCAACAATGGCTTTGAATCAGATGTCATCATTAACCCCCTCTTTACATGTGAGGAAATTGAGACATCAAGAGGCACAATTCTAGGCACTTTTACTTCTATGAATACAACCCTAGAGAATAGGTGCTCTCCTTGCATTTGATAGATGAGGAAAATGTGGATGGAGAGGTCAGATGACTTTCCAAGGGTTACACAGTAAGCAGGAACTGGACTCCAGGTCCCCACCCCTCAATACCATGCCCTACCCTAAGCAAACACTTTTTTTTTTTGAGATGGGGTCTTGCTCTGTCACCCAGGCTGGAGTGCAGAGGTGTGATCTGGGCTCACTGCAACCTCCACCTCCTGGGTAGCTGGGACTACAGGTGTGCACCACCACACCCGGCTAATTTTTTTATTTTTAGTAGAGATGGGGTTTCACCATGTTGGCCAGGCTGATCTTGAACTCCTGATCTCAGGTGATCCACCCGTCTTGGCCTCCCAAAGTGCTGGGATTACAGGCATGAGCCATCGCGCCCAGCCAGCAAGCCCTTTTGAGAACACACTGCAGCTACAGCATTTTTACAGAAGCAGTGTCACCGACAGGTGAGGCCATCACCCTCCATGGTGACTCTGACAGCCTAATCCAGGCTGGCCACAACTGTCTTTGATCTTTGGAGAGCTGGCTCCCCGCCTTCTTTCCTCGGTGCACCCTAACTCCTCGGCAGCCCATCCGTTCTTCCTGGGGAACCAAGCCTCAGTAATGACCTCATTTGCATCTGGGAGGGAGGAGAAGATTTAGTTGAAAACCTAGTGGGCCAAGGCACATTCCAGTGGCGTGCCTCTTAAGCCGTGTGCTAAAGCAAGTCTTGGTAATACCTTCTCTCTCTGGAACCAGAGGATTCGAATCCCAGCAGACCCTGCTTCTTTTAAGTCAGATAAATGGGGGCTCATGTGGCGTCTGTGGGAATAGTTTTGATGGTTTTGCAAGGTGAGTGTCCCTTGCTTTTCCTTTGAAGGCATTGCTTTTTAGGAGTTATGAGTGAGTCCCTGTTAGAATAAATTTAGTTGGTATGTCTCAAAAGCCCTGGTGCTCATACTACGGCGGCATAAGTAGGGCATATGTTTTGGAGGCATGAGAGGAGAAAGGTACTTCCTATATTCTTCAGATTATTTTCCATTTCATGCTACTTTCCCTTGCAGCACTCATCAATTCCAAGAAAACGCTCATCAAGCACCTCGTTCAAAAAGCATCCTTATTTAGGTTTTTTTTTGTGATTGATTTTTATTCCTAGAAATTTTTCTCCTTAAAAAAATTAAATCAGAATTTCAGACATTTGAATCTACTGAGAGAAAACTGTGTGTAAGGCTTGAGCTGCAAGCATGAGAGATACTGCATTTGAAATAGACAAGATATTTTAAATTCTAAGAAAAAGCAGAGTGTGAAGTACTAGGATTTATGTCGATTTACATTGACTTAGGAGTGTGAGGGGAAAGACTAATTGAGAGTAGGTGGCTGGGGGCAGTTCTGGGAGGCTCTCTGATGGAGGTGGGATTTGGAATCAGCTTTGAAATGAGAATCGGTTTTACAGAAGAGTATTGGGAATGGATTAGCAACAGGAAAATGGGTAACATCATTCAAGGAGTTAAAAAACATGAAGAAACATGTTTGCCTTCCTTAGCATGGCCAGTTAAAGCGTAGATCCAGGATAGGCAATCTACAACACGTAGGCCAAATCTGGCCCACGACCCGTTTTCGCAAATAAAGTGGAATGGAGCGCAACCACACTCCTTTGTTTGCGTGTTATTTATGGTTGCTTTCACCTTACAGTGGCAGAATCAGTAGTTACAGCAGGGTCCAAATGGCCGTGAAAACCTAAAATATTTACCATCTGATCCCTTTACAGAGAAACTTTACCACCCCCTGACATTGATAAAGATGTACTGGGTAAAATAGGATGGGAAGGAAAGGAGGGAAACGGGGAAAAATAAGGAGGTTTAGAAGAAGAATGAGGAGAAAAAGTACGTGGAGAGGCAGAAGGCAAGAGCTTCTTAGATTTTGTTTGTGCAAATGTGAGCTCTTTTTTCAGTTCAGCCTGTTTCCCACTTTCAACCAAATATGGAATGACTGTTATTCACAGTTCCTGACAGCTCTACTTTCTGTGGGACTATGGAGTTACAGTATAATCACTGTCAGCCCAAGGAGATCTATGATAACAACTTGCCCCGAAGAGTTCAGTGTAATATAAAATTCACAAGTAAAAATTCAAAACTCCAGAGAGCCATAGGATGCATGAATATGCGCCACATGCGGCCCGGAGGCCATTGCATTAGCATCCTGCTTTAGAAGCTCCACACTAAATGTGACAACTAGTAGAGCAGCTCACCAGGGTGAACTTAGCATTTCCCCAATTTCTAGATGATTCTTTGGTATTACATATCAGATAAGTTAGGGAAATGCTGGGTTAAAGAAAATTAAACGTATTTACTTGCTGCAGGACTTCTCAGAGCCTTTAATATGACTCACAGAGCTCTGGGAGCAGAAGATAAGGTGTTGCATTTCTCAAATGTATTTCACATGAGCTTCACCCACCGCCACCCTTATTTTTATAAAACATTTTGGGACGCAGTAGCCTAGGCATTATTTCAAGATCAATATATTCCATATACATTTAAAGCTAGACAGAATCTTAAAGGTCATACAACCCCATGCCCTCATAATAATGTTATGAATTATCTTTTCAGGAATTTTATAAAATCATATTTAGGCCTGGGAATCTGTGCTATTGATGTTAATGTTGTTCTTGGAAATTTGTTTATGGTGTTTGGGTTTAGAGATTTTATAATTGCAGTTTCTAATCAAATTCTGGCCTCAAATTCTGTACTCTTCTTAGCCCTGAATTCTTTCCTTCCCAAGGGGGTAATGTCGAAAAGGGGGTAAAAATGATAAAACTTTATAATTGACACTTAAAGGTCAGCCACTGGAAAAAATGAACCAGCGCATTGACTCAATGGTTGTGGATGATGAGTTTTGGTTAAAAAAAAAATCCTGTATTTCAAATACAGCACAGAATCAGCCCTAATTGCCTGAACTGCGAGCTTCCAAATGAGCGTTTGGGAATTGGCAGTCAGCACCAATCCACATCTGCTGTGATAAACTCCTGACTCTACCATGTCCCCCATCATGTGAAGAAGTCTTACTGTTTTCCCCAGTAATACTGTCACTTCAATGCAGATTTTGCTTCCTTTGTGACAAGCTTTGTGAACAAGGGAGGGTTACCGTAGGGGTCGCCTCAGAGCTTCAGAATAAACCAAGGGTATTTTCCTGAAGAGTCATTTTTAAATTTTTTTTTTTTTTGAGGTGTAGTCTTGCTCTGTTGCCCAGGCTGGAGTGCAGTGGCGCGATCTCGGCTCACTGCAAGCTCCGCCTCCCGGGTTCACGCCATTCTCCTGCCTCAGCCTCTCGAGTAGCTGGCACTACAGGTTCCCGCCACCATGACCGGCTAATTTTTTATATTTTTAGTGGAGATGGGGTTTCACCATGTTAGTCAGGATGGTCTCCATCTCCTGACCTTGTGATCCGTCCGCCTTGGCCTCCCAAAGTGCTGGGATTACAGGTGTGAGCCACCGCGCCTGTCCCTAAAATAACTTTTGTTGAAGTATGATACACACACATATACAGAAAAGCACACATCACAATTGCACAACTCAAATTTTCAACCCATGCACGTGCCCCATAATCACTCCTGGAGTGTCAATTTTAATCACATAGTCTACTTAAAGCAAGTACAGATGTATTACAATAGTATATCTGATGTTTAAAAATAAATATCAGACTTCAAATAAGTCAGAGCTCTTTATGGGTCACTGTAGGTTCTGACCCCGGAAAAGCTGCTGTCTATTTCTCCAGGAAAACAAGCAGACTCTTCTTTGCCATTAAGTTGTTTAGTGGAAAAAGTTCGAGAAGAACTGACTGGGCAGGGAAAAAAGTAATCATCCCTCACACTGTGTACTTATCTTTTGTTAAGCATTGGGTACGTAGCACCATAAATTTTCACGATGAGCCTGAGGGCAAGTACACAGCACACTTGGGCAACTGAGGCTTCAGGGAGTGGAGTTACCTGTCCATGGCACACCCTGCTGAGTTAGAGTTAGGACCCCAGATCTGAATGGCCCGAATGTCCATTCTCTTACTCACTCTTTTCAGCTGTCTCTGTGGCATTTCTGTTTTCTTTTGTTTGGGGCAGGTGATCTTACAAGGCTCTCTCTCTCGAGATATCTCGATCTCTCTCTCACCCTGTCCTGCTCTCTCTCTATGGATTGAATATCCTAGCCTCTTGTTGTAAGCACTCCAAAAACAAGAAATTCATTTTTAGGATGGAGACACACACCGATGATCTTGTTGCATAGCCCTCTGTCAGTTTTAGAGGAAAAGCAATCCAAGTTGAATTTGGAATGAATTACCTTCAAATGGCCATGCTTTGCAATGTACTACTGTAATCTGGGATATTGCAAGGCAGCTTAATGTGCTGGGTGATGACACGTATGGCCATTATGTGGCTCTCCCTCATTGAATGCGCTGGGCGCAGCCCAAACCATAAATCTGCCAGCAGACAAAACATAAAATTTACATGCAAGATCAAATCTCCCCTGTCCTGATTTTTATACAAGGGTCACCAGTGGGTAGTAAATTAAGATTCAGAATAAAAGTTACCTGCAGGTGCTAAATCACCAGACCATGTCAGGATCATAGAATTTTCTTTTGTTAATAACGCCAGTGTGTTATCAGCGCCCGTGCTTATATAAACCACGGGTCAATGTATAAGGAAAGGTGCCCTTTGTCCCTCAGAGATTTTGGATATCTTTTGTCAAACGTTGTTACATTGTTTTCCCAAACAGCAGGATATCTGGTACCAAGACCTGGGTTTGAAAACTAAACACAGGAGACCAGACATGCTTGGATGGTCTGTAGTACTAATAAATCTCTGGTTGCCAAGAAATTACACATATATTTTAATTTCATTAGCTTTCAGGAAATATTTATTGAGCACCTGCTGCCAGATATCGTGCTGGCCACTGAATGTGCAAATATGAGTAAGACAATTCCATTGAGAAATGATCAGTCAGAGACCAGGGCAAGAGAAGGAAACTACTCCAGGTATTTTAAGCAGGCAGAGATTTTATGTTGGAAATAAGAGGCTTATAAAATCCCAGGAAGCATCGAAGGAATACTTCAAGTCCTGGCCTCCAGAAATGATTCCCTGAGCACCTCTGAGGCACGATCCAGGCAACAGGAAGGAGGCACCAAGAATCCATTGTCAATGCTTCCACTGCAACTATCTCTTAACAGAGTGGAGAATGCATTCCTCCCAATTTCTACCACACATATCTCTGAATGAGTGCGTATACATAAAAAGATGTAACATTTTCCTAACCAGACCTGGAAATTGCTTATGTTGCATAAAAATATTCTACTCAGGGTTAGAGAGCACCATGTAAAGATCTTTGAATCTTCCAACTGCACTGTAATATGCGTAACTGATTTGTACTGCACTTTCATTCAACTAAGTAGCATTTATTGAGGAACTACTGTGCATTGATTAGCGCTAAGTTACATTCTAGGAGGAATACAGAAGACATGTATGATGTAACACCTGTTCTGTACGGGTTTACAATAGTACCTTGCAAAGACAGTATTTTAAAATTACAAAGTGCTCCAGAATACATTTTCTTCCTATGTGCCTAACAGCCACACACCTGTCAGAGTGGGTATAGGGGTGTGGAGACAGAGTAGCAACAGAAGCAAAACCACAGCAAGTGGCCCATGTGTCTACTTTCCATCTGTAAAATCGCCTCTTTCTTGCTTGCAGAGTTTTATACCTGATGGAACAGGGACCATGGATGGAAAGTAGATGCAAAGCAGTATGCTCTCCCCTCCCACTGCACTGTGCCAGGACTTCCCTTAAAGAAATCCTCTGTGTGCACAGGATGACTGGTGTGCTGGCGGAGGTGGCTTGGGTGGGTTTGTGTAAGAAGAGAACCCAGAAGTTTGCATTTCATTGTCTCGTGCTTGTCAACATCCCTACATCTACCTTGCATAGATGGCAGGCTCCTTCAGATCGAAAGGATTAAAGTGATGAACCGGCTTCCTTAGCTGATAATGGGGAAGGGTAAAGGGAAGTTAGCATAAGGACAACATGTAAGGAATACAGGACATCCCATGATATCAGGGCTATTACTGAGGACACAGCAGGAGACTGAGTGTCTGATAAAGGCTGCCATGATGATGGTAATTATTATTGTAACAAAAGCCACTAATACTTGCTGAGAACTTATTTCATTCCAGGCACTGCACTAAGCTGTATATCCTTACCTCTTTTTTGTTGTTGTTTCATTTCATTTTTAAATTTTATTTTTTAAAAATAGGTAACAGAGTCACAACTCAGAGAAGCATAAATGGATATTTCTGTCCCCTGGACAACTGTGTTATTATTTTTGTATATCCCTGCAGAGATGTCTCATGCATACATAAACAAGTATCTGTATCTATTCTATACCCTATCTTTTCCTTTTTCTTTTTTGTTTTTTGAGACAGAGTCTCACTCTTTCACCAGGCTGGAGTGCAGTGGTGCCATCTCGGCTCACTGCAACCTCCAACTCCCTGGTTCAAGCGATTCCCCTGTCTCAGCCTTCCAAGTAGCTGATATTATTATAGGCGCGCACCACCACACCCAGGTAATTTTTGTATTTTTAATAGAGACAGGGTTTCACCATGTTGGGCAGGATAGTCTCCATCTCCTGATCTCGTGATCTGCCCCCCTCCCTCAGCCTCTCAAAGTGTGAGATTACAGGTGTGAGCCACCATGCCCTGCCTCTTGTACTTTTTAAACACAAACAGAGGCATTCTGTATACCGGTTCCAGACTCAGCATTTTCACTGAACGATGTGTCGTGATTTTGTGGTTCTTTCCAGGGAAGAACATAAAAGAACCCATTCATTTTTATTTTGGGGAGGGCAGCATTATATCCTATTGTTTGGATAACATAATTTGTTTAGTCTTCTGTTAATAACTGTTGAAATTTTTTGTTTACAAATGGAAATAGTGCTGCAATGAAAAACCTCTTTTGTGAAGATATTTCCATTGCCAGTAGATCTGTAGGATACTCCCAGAAGCGGAATTGCCAAGTCAATAGGTTTATGTCTTTTTTCTTTTTTTCTTTCTTTCCTTCTTTCCTTCCTCCTTTTCTTTTCTCCTTTTCCCTTTCCCTTCCCTTCCTCGGAGTTGCTGTAGTTGCCCGGGCTGGAATGCAATGGTGCCATCTCGGCTCACTGCAACCTCTGCCTCCCGGGTTCAAGTGATTCTCCTGCCTCAGCCTCCCAAGTAACTGGGACTACTGGCACCTGCCACCACGCCTGGCTAATTTTTGTATTTTTAGTAGAAATGGGGTTTCACCATGTTGGCAAGGCTGGTCTCAAACTCCTGACCTCAAGTGATCTTCCCACCTGAGCCTCCCAGTGCTGGGATTTGAGGCATGAGCCGCCGCACCCAGCCTGTCAACAGGTATATGTCTTTATCATTTTGGGTAGATATTGCCAGTGTGCCCTGCGTGGTGGTCAGTCTATTTATTTATATGGCAGCGGACACATTTCTGTTGCCCACAACACACTGAGATCTTCGACTTCTGTGTCATTGTTAGGGAGCTAGGCAAAAACTGTCCCCTTAGTTTAGTTAAAACAGGCACTGGTCTTATTGTGAGTGAACATCTTTTTGTGTGTTTGATGATTTGCATTTTGCATTTATATTTTCTCTCTGCTTTGGCTTATCTCTTTGACTGGTTCTAGAAGTTCTTATTCATGAGAGAAGTGAATCTTTTGTCCGTGATGTGAGTTGCTGATATTCCCCCATTTGTCAGTTGGTTTTTAAGCTTTATATATGCGGTTTTGCTGTACTAATTTTAAAGCATTTGATGTAACTGAATTTTTTCTTCCAGGTTTTGTGCTGTATCGGAAGGGTGCCTCCCATTGTGATGTTACCCACACATACTCCCATGTTTTTTCGTAGTACATCTAAAGCTTCATTTTCGGATTTTCATTTTTGATCTATTGCCATTTATTCTGGTACAAGATGTGTGTATTTCTGTGTATGTTTCTGGTGGCTATCCTGTTATCCTAATACCAATTATTGAAAACCCATGTTTTCTCTCTGATTTGAGATGTCGCCTTTATACAGCATTATTTCATTTAATTTTCATGACAATTCTTTGAGGTTGGCCTCAGGTTCCCATTATATAGATGAGGAAACTGAGGCTCAGAGAGGTCACATAAATCATGCCCCTAGAAGTGGAGCTGCCCGGGTTTGAGCCTGGGTCTGTTCTAGTGGCCACTGTGCTATACTGCTTCTGTCAACAGCAATTCTATAAGGTGCTCAGTCAGGAGTTGACTTTCTGCTCCAGCTCACGTTATTGTGGCTCAGCTTTTGTCTGTCTCTGTTGTTACTGCTCCAGCGTTATCTACTAACACCTCCTTTCCGCAGCTTTTGGGATCAAATGCTTTAAAGGGGAGACGGATTAGTCAGCCTGCAGCCATCCACTGCAGCAGTCCTCGTGGGCAGAGCTCTCAGGCAAGACTGCTTCCAATGCCATAACCTGTTTGTAGATCTGCTGCCAACCCCACTGGCAGCCTCAGTCAAGCCAACCTCTGTGATGCAGCCACCCACAGGAGAGGGGTCCTTCACTCTGAGACTCCCCAGAAGGGGGCCGTTTGCTCAGCTGTCTTGGGGTATGGGCAATGTTCATCATTCTTGGCATGAGTAAAGCCTTATATCCTCTCTCTACAAATCAGAGCTTTTGGGCTGTAAGCAACAGAAAACCAACTTGAACTAACTGCAGCCAAGAGGAAGGTTATAAAGAGCAGAGGTCTAACTAGCCTGGGGATGCCAGGATTCAGGAACTTCAAAACCATCAAGGGTCTGTTTGTCTTCTCTCTTCCTCTTCTTCTCTTTCTACCACTTCATAAATCCGAAACAGGCCACATGAGCTGACAAATTGACAGTGCACAAAATCCAAGAGAAAGATTCTGACAGGCCAGACTTGGATGATAGATTTTTACTGAAATAATCACTATGGCCTGGGAAAGGGGGCATGAGACGTGTGAATGACCCTAGGGTGAGGGCGAATAGGAATTGTCATTGGAAGTTGCAGCAAAATCATGTGGTTGGAAGGGGAAGAGGTAGGGAGAGGGTGACTTTTACCAAAGGAGAGGAGGAAAGGTATAGGGGCAGAGAGCAAAAGTACAAACTGGTCCCATTTTATTCTGTCCTTTGCCTTACAGCCAAATCTGATATTATCTAATTTTGTCTGATATTGTCTAATTTTGGCACCAAATAATGTCTCCTTCTTCCCTTCTTATTTCTAGGCAGTCTCATTCTGCCTAGAAGTTCCTGTGAATTTTAAAGCAACCACCTTCTTGGATTTGTGGCTACTGATCAGTTTGTGTCAGATAAATGTATTTGCATACTTATGGATTGTCTTATCCAATAAGATGTTATTGAATTCTACATGCTAGTGGTCTGCTCTGTTACTATTATTGTGGATTGGAGATTCAAGATCTATAAATAGTCAGTCCCCTGAGGTATCAGTTAGGAGAAACAGAAATCCTCTAGCACTAGCTCAAGCAGAATGTGGGATGTGATGAACATACCTTGGAAACAAGACCTCAGGAAGGAACCAGAAATAGGCTTAGGAAGGATTGAGGATTTCTTGTGCACCTCTTGTGCCTGCTTTTTCCTATGGGTTTTCTTCCGTCTTGGGCTCAGTGGCCACATGTACCCTGCTGATCCACCTCTGGAGCTTATATATTATAGTTCTGGACACCTACAGAGACCAATTGTATTAGTTTGCTAGAGCGGCTATAATAAAGTATCACAGACTGCGTGGCTTAAAGTACAACAGCTATTTGTTGTCTCACAGTTCTGGAGGTGTGAAGCTCAAGAACATGGTGTCCACAGGGTTGGTTTTCTGAGAGCTGTGGGAATCTGTTCCATGCCCCTCTCTCCAGTGGTTTTCTGGCAACTTTTGTATTCCTTGGCCTGTAGAAGTATCGCCACCATCTCTGCCCTTACATTCCCATGATGTTCTCCCTGAGTACATGTGTCTGCGTTCAAATTTCTCCTCGTGTAAGGACACCAGTCATTGGATTAGGGCCCATCCTAATGACCTCATCCAGACTAGTTATATCTGCAACAACCCTATTTCAAATAAGGTCACATTCTGAGGAATTGGAGGTTAGGATTCCAACATATGGATTTTCAGGAGACACAGTTCAACCCGTGACACCAATTCTTTCTCTGTCTAAATTTCAAGCCTCCAGAAGATGGAAACTGACTTGCCTATTTTGAGTCAAGCGACAGGCATGTACCTCCAACAAAATCAACATGGTGGGTTAGGGGTAGGGAGAAAGAACACCTATCCCTGTGGATTGGGGAGATTTACAAGAACCACAAAAAGTCTGCTCTGGAAGCTTTGCACATTGGCTTCCCCCACCCACTTCTGAACTGTAAATGCCCCTAAGTGGCCAGTCATTATTGGCAGACACCTTAGCAATGACTTAGCAGAGCTGGCAAGACATGGTCCCTTTCAGTCTGGTAACCGAAACTCAGGCCCGCCCTGACCAAACTGGGAAGCTGGTCACATTCCCCAGACTTTATGTTTGGTAAAATGTTACATTTAGACAAATCCTTATACTCCTTTCTTGTTTTCTCTAAGAAAGGAACAAACTTTGTGTCAGGTTATTACTGTAATTTTTTTTTTTAAGAAAATTGGATAACGCAAAATATGAAGCAAATATAAAGCACCCCTAATCCCACCTACCTGAAGTAGACGCTGTTGGTTGGGCATGGTGGCTCACGCCTGTAATCCCAGCACATTGGGAGGCCAAGGAGGGCAGATCACGAGGTCAGGAGTTCGAGACCAGCCTGGCCAAGATGCTGAAACTCCGTCTCTACTAAAAATACAAAAATCAGCTGAGCATGGTGGCAGGTGCCTGTAATCCCAGCTACTTGGGAGGCTGAGGCAGGAGACTCACTTGAACCCAGGAGGCAGAGGTTGCGGTGAGCCGAGATCGCATCACTGCACTCTAGCCTGGGCAACAAGAGCGAAACTCCATCTCAAAAAAAAAAAAAAAAAAAAAGAAATAGACACTGTTAACACTTTGATATACTTTCTTCCAGACTTATTTGTTATTTAAAAACAAATGTATGTATATGCAAATGCATGCACACATGTTAACATAAATGGGGCAGTGTTGTATGTAATATTTTGTCTTTTTAATTTAAATGTTATTGATACCAAATTCCATGTTAATATGTATAGATCTACATCTAATTTTTAAAATAGCTACATGGCATTTCATACTATATTTACTCCTTCTATGCATAGATGTTTTGGGTTATTTTCAAATGTTTGTTATTATTAGCAATAAATTAATGACTGTTCTTATCCACATTTCTTTATGAATTTTTAGAAGTAGAATTGCAAGGCCAAAGGGTGTGTTCTGCCTTAGACAGGAAGATAGGAGAATAGGTTAGTAGTGGCCTGGTAACTACAGTTTCTCCCCAAACACACACAATGAGAGAAAATCTGTTTATGAGTAACATCAAGTAGCCGAGAGAATGAGTTTCCTGGGCCCGGGATAGGTGCTGTCTCTCAGCAGGAGTTTGCATCAGGCTGCTCATGTTATTGGGCATGATTTCCTTTGCTCTCATATATCAATTTATAGCCTAGAGCCCTGTTCTCCTGCAGCGGCAGGCACAGATCCAGTGATGAGGCCGCTACCCTCATCACTAAGAGTTGATAAGTTTTTCTGTCTGGTTTACAATTTAGCTGTAGATTTCTGCTCTTCCCACATCTGGGTTGAAATCTTGCTTGTGAGATGGCCTGATCTCCTCTGGCCTCAAACTGGGTACTAACTGGAGCAGGAGGTGGGCTCACTGTGGCCCAGGAGGCTGCGGGGAGAGGGTGGATTTTATGTTGAACAGAGTGGGCAGGGGTTTTTCTCTCTTAAAGCCAAGCATAAACCAAACAAAACAGAAACAAGAGACAAGTCAAGCGGCCCTTTACTCTCCAGGAAAATGTTCCTGCATTCCTGTTTTAAAGTCCTTCCTGCATTAAATAGAGGAATTGATGCATGGCATTTTATTTAAGCTGGAATTATTCTTTATGTCACCAAAGGCTGCTTTCAGATCACCTGCACATGACAGATTATAAAACTCAGGCAGTTCTGACATCTGGGTTGACAGTCCCCCAGTAGATCTTTGTCTCCTGGGATGTCTATAGATGTCTAATTCTTGGCTTGTTTGTCTTTTGGTTTCTGGAGCCCGCAGGGCTACTCTGTAGGGAGGGGACAGGAAGGCTATGTGTGTGCACGCATGCACTCACCCACATGCGCACCCGTATACATACATGTAAGGCACAGTTCCTGTATCATCAAAAGAGTTTAACCTGGGTCCAGTTGCACAGCTTCTTAAAAAGCCTTACACAAAACTATATCTATTTTTAAGTGTCCCCATACTCACTCTTACTCCTTGTGATTCTTCCTGAGATTATTGCAATCACTGGCAGACTTTGTTTGCAATTACAGCCATTCCTCAACTTGTAGACAACAGTGACTGAAACAATGGAGTGACAGAGAAGACAGAGGACAGTGGGTCCTAGTAGGCACAAGATATGGTGGTTTGAGAGGAAACAGGAGGTGCTAGCAAGTTTTTTTTTTTTTTTAAATGAGTGTTATAGGATGTGAAGGAGGGGAAGCAGGCTAAGGGAATCCAGACAGACCCTTGAAAATGCACTCCAAGATGTGTTTGGAGATGAATTGAACTACCCTAATTTTATAATTTAGAAAGTATATTATGTGTACCCAGAGTTTACTATGCAACAGGAACTATGCTAAATGGTTTACATACATCATTTCATTAGCTGCTCATAAAACCAATCTGTGGCATCATTATTAGCTCATTTTACAGATGGGAAAGCCAAGCCTAGGAGAAGCTACATAATATGCCTAGGATCACACAGCTAATGCACAGTGAGCTGTGATTGAAACCCAGTCCTCTCAGACTCCAGAGCCCTCCTGTGCTCTTAGTGATGATAGTCCTAAATCCCTCCCCCTATCCCCAGCCCCAACTGCTGTTCACATGTGCCTTTGGGTTTTGAAGATAATGCTTACCTTGAGACAGTAAATAAATACTGGGTGGACATCCTTTTGTCAGCAGTATGCTGCTTTTTAATGCTGGAAAGATGGATCTTCCTGGGGTGAGATCATAACAAAAATTTTAATACTTGGAGTTAATTGAGCATGGACTAGGGACCAGTTTTTGCACTAAGGCCTTGATACGTGTTATCTCATTTAATCCCCACAGCAACCCAGTGAAAGAGGTACTGTCATGGTCCCTACTATTTGTAACAGTTTTGTCTGTTTACTTTTGTTTTGATCCCCTTACCCCCATTAGAATCTGAACTTCATAGGCTGGGCGCGGTGGCTCATGCCTGTAATCTCAGCACTTTGGGAGGCCGAGGTGGGCGGATCACGTGAAGTTGGGAGTTTGAGACCAGCCTGACGAACACGGAGAAACCCCGTCTCTACTAAAAATACAAAATTAGCTGGACATGGTGGCAAGCACCTGTAATCCCAGCTACTCAGGAGGCTGAGGCAGGAGAATTGCTTGAACCCAGGAGGCGGAGGTTGCAGAGAGCCAAGATTGCGCCACTGTGCTCCAGCCTGGGCAACAAGTACAAAACTCCATCTCAAAAAAAAAAAAAAAAAAAAAAAGAATCTGAACTTTATGAAGGTAGGGATCATTTCTTCTGGTTCACCAATATGTTGCTAGTATCTAACGCAGTGTCTAGCAAATGAGGATTCAAAAAATTACTGTTGAATCCACGAATGAATCAGTATTTTAAAGACGCAGTAAGTGAAGTCTGGAGAGATTAGGTAACTTGCCCAAGGTGGCAGGGGACCCAGGATCTCTTGAATCATTTGTCTACTCCAAGTAAGAGTTAACAGTTATAATGAGGGAAAATCAGCCTTTAGAAAATTTTTTAGAAATAAAAGTGTGGCCCATTCTACCTTGGGTCAGCAATATGTAACAGTCATGCTGGACCATCCATGATGGGTACACATAGGCTGCTATAACAACATACCCTAGACTGGGTGGCTTTAAACAATAGACATTGATTTTTTTAGAGTTCTGGAGACTCAAAGTCCAATATCAAGGTGCCGGTAAGTTTGGTTTCTTCTGAGCCTTCTCTCCTGGGCAGGAGGTGGCCACCATCTTGCCATGTCCTCACGTGGTCTTTCCTTTGTGCATGCACGTATCTGATGTCACTCTGTATGTCCTAATCTCTTCTTTTCATAAAGACACCAGTCAGATTGGATTAGAACCCACCCATAAGGCTTCATTACCTTAATTATCTGTTTGAAGACCCTATCTCCAAATGCA
Source organism: Homo sapiens (assembly GCF_000001405.40). Lineage (NCBI taxonomy): Eukaryota > Metazoa > Chordata > Mammalia > Primates > Hominidae > Homo > Homo sapiens. The sequence continues at coordinate 73,308,425 of NC_000003.12, forward strand.
ATCACATTCTGAGTTACTGGGTGTTAAGACTTCAACATAGGAATTTTAGGGAGAACACAGTTCAGCCCATAGGAATTTGGATGTCACTATTCCAGCTTAGGAGTTGGAACAAGGTATTCTTTATAATTTCTTTATATCTACACTGGAAAACTTGAAGGTTCCTACAAGAAAACTGCACTTTTTTGCCAGAAGGGTTCTAGTTTCCTTGGCACTTCTTGCTCTGTACTTAGCCTCCTATAAATCTGTTTAAAACCCTGCCCTGTGGCTCTGCAGGCAAGAGCACTGTCCCAGGCACATCTTTCTCCGAAATCAGCTGGGGAAACTTGGAGGAAGGCATTTTTAAACAGAAGCTCCAGGGATACCGCAACATGGAGCCAGAGGCTGGTGCATTTAGACTGCTGGGGTGTGACTGGCTACCTTTCTTAGGGATGGGGGTTGTTGAGATTAGGCCAGGATGGACTGAGAAGACACTAATCTAGACTTCAGGGGAAAAACAAATCAATTTACAAACAGCACCTTGGCTTTTTTTCCTTGCTCATTTTAGTCACTCCTTACTTAAATATATTAAGTACCCACTGAGTCCTTTCTCCGAGTAAGACACATCACTAAGGGTTTTGCAACCTGGGCATTAATGACATATTATCGGACAGATAATTCTGTGTTGTAGGGAGCTATCCTAAGCATTGCAGGGTGTTGAGCAGGATCCCTGTTCTCTATCCACTGGATGCCAGTGGCACCCTACTCCCAGTTATGAGACTTAAAAATGCCTCAAGATAGTACCAAATATCCCCTGGGAGGAAAAAATGGCCCCAGTTGAAAGTCACTGTGCTGAGTGATTTATATACATTAAAGCATTTAATACTCAGCTGCCTACCAGCAATTACTTCCTACTCTGCACAGCTGGAGCCTGAGCCACAGGGAAGTTAGATGTTACACCCATTGTCGGTAAGGATGCAACATATCCCCAGAGCTGAGATTTTAAATCGCAATGCCTCTTGTCACCCTGAGAAGTACGATAAGGTCTGCTTAGAAGCCCAGGTTGCATACCTGAACTGGGCAGTTTCTTTCTTTTTTTTGAGATGGAGTCTCACCCCGTTGCCCAGGCTACAATGCAATGGTGTAATCTCGGCTCACTGCAACCTCCGCCTCCAGGGTTCAAGTGATTCTCCTGCCTCAGCCTCCCGAGTAGCTGGGATTACAGGCACATGCCACCACGCCCAGCTAATTTTTTTATCTGTGGTAGAGACAGGGTTTTACCATGTTGGCCAGGCTGGTCTCGAACTCCTGACCTTGTGATCTGCCTGTCTCGGTCTCCCAAAGTGCTGGGACTACAGGCGTGAGCCACTGCACCTAGCCAAACTGGGCAATTTCTATTGATGAGAAGGCTTCTGATTTGTTCCTTTGTTCATTTTTACAGCAAATATTTTTTGAACTCTTATGATATGTCAGGCACTGTTTTAGATGTTGGACGGGATGCTGAAGTGAATCAAATGATACAAATCCCTGCCTTATGGGGTTTGGAATGTACAAATAGATGGCATAACATTCCAAGTCCTCCGTGAGGAGGCAGTGAGACAAGGCAGTGAGACCACATTATCAAACAGGTGATAGGTTATGTTGACATTTTGCTTTTCTTCCTATTATAATTACTGTTATTGTTGTTGTTGTGTCAGTACCCACATCAGCTTAAGAGCTTTACTCCAGCCAAACTTTGAATTCCAGGACATTGCGTTTCCGCTACTGAAAAAAAAAAAACTGTATGCTGCTTTGGTAGAATCGAAATAAAGCTCAGAATCAGAAAGCCTAAGTATTTTTAACACAATATTGCAGAATAGCTGCTCAGCGTTTTTTCAAATCCAATCAGTTAAATTTTGTCTCATTTTCTCTCCTTACCTGGATAAATGATGGGGTTTTGATGTTCTTGCGAGTCATTTAATAATAAAGGCTTGAATCTAGCCCATTTAAACTCCCTCTTGATGGGCTAGAGTTGATGCTGTGATTTTTTTTTTCAAAAAAAAAAAAAAGAATTTTGTTTCATTTTAGGGTCCATGTGAATTCTTCCCGTAAGAGCACACACATAAGTTTCTAACACTTATTGAAGTCTTTTGATAAATGGCACCATAAACGTAGGCGATTTTCTACATCTTGTTCATAGGCTTTTGAAATTTACAAGGTTTCCTTTAATACAATTGTCTATGCCAGCTAACAGGCAGTTTTATGGTCTATCTGTATTTATCATTAGGATAAAAAAATACCCTCATCTTAGGTTCTTTATTCTCACAGGCACATAAATAATTCCAAATAACCAGCAATATCTTGGCCACTATTTGATTTGGTAGCTTTGGGGGAAATTTCTCCTATTTTGCTTACTATTAAACCACTTTCTACCATGCACATTTTCTTGAGTTTTGAAGGGCAAGGGCAAATTCTAAAATGAATGATGTGAGTCTGACTAATGTATCCAGAAGTGTCAAAATGCAGTTTTGAAACAATCATGATGTGACTGAAATTCCTTGGAACCCTATGCACACCTTTATCTTAGAAGCTGGGGTAGGTGGGCACAGAGAAATGCTTTCAGAGTGGCCGGCGGGTTTTCAGGTTCTATTTAAGACTGTCACAGCTGATAAACTTTTAGAATTGTTAAAAATTGAATTACATTTCCATTATACCAGAGCAATCAGTTGAATAGTTTGTCATCCTCTTAAGACAATAAGATCAAACCAGTTTGTCCTCCAAAAGACTGGAATTAACCTGTTTTGACAGTTTTTAATAGTTATTTTAAAAATAAATTTTGGCCCCCACTGTAGTTACATCTAACTACTTCCAACATGGTACAAAATATAAAAAGATATATTTGTTGTTGCAGGAGAAATATTACATTATTTATTAGGTATCTAAAAATTCTATTTTCTTATGTGCTGTTATTGATGTCATATAGCTCACATGCCACTATATTAAGACTGTTTCAGCTGTATATTTTAGTAACAGAAAAATGAAAGGAAAAAATAAGATTAACTTAACTTCTCTTTTATGTTTAAAAAACTAAGTCTAGAGATGGAAGTTCAGGGCTAATATGATGGTACCACAAAGGCATTGGAGACCCTGGCTGCTTCTAGCCATTTGTTCTCCATCCTTAGAATGTGTGATCATTGGCTCATGGCCCAAAATGGTTGCTGGAGTGCCAAGCATCACAGCCAGGTTCCAGGCAGCATGAAGGAGAAAGAAGAGAAGTCTCTGCTCACAATCTTTTAAGGAGACTTTGTGGGAGTCTCACACAACGTTTCTATTTACATCTTTTAAAAAAATTTATTTAACTTTTATTTTAAATTCAGGGGTACATGTGCAGCTTTGTTATATAGGTAAACTTGTGTCATGGGGGTTTGTTGTACAAATTATTTTGTCACCCAGGTATTAAGCCTAGTACCCATTAGTTATTTTTCCTGATCTTCTCCCTCTTCCCACCCTCCACCCTTTGATAGGACCCAGTGTGTGTTGTTCCCAACAATGTCTGTGTGTTCTCATCATTTAGCTTCCACAGATAAGTGAGAACACATGGTACTTGGTTTTCTGTTCCTGTGTTATTTCACTAAGGATAGTGGCCTGCAGAGTGGCCTGCAGCTCCATTCATGTTCTTACAAAGGATATGATCTCGTCTTTTTATGGCTGCATAGTATTCCATGATGTACGTGTACCACATTTCCTTTATCCAGTCAATCACTGATGGGCATTTATGTTGATTCCATGTCTTTGCTATTGTGAATAGTTCTACAATGAACATATATGTGTATGTGTCTTTATAACAGAATGATTTATATTCCTCTAGGTATATACCCAGTAATGAGATTACTGGGTTAAATGGTAGTTCTGTTTTTAGATCTTTGAGGAATCTCTACACCATCTTCCACAATGGTTGAACTAACTTACACTCTCATCAAGTGTATAAGTATTCCCTTTTCTCTGCAACCTCACCAGCATCTGTTATTTTTTGACTTTATAATAGTAGCCATTCTGACTGGTATGAGATGGTATCTCATTGTGGTTGTGATTTGTGTTTCTCTAATGATCAGTGAATTTGAGCTTTTTTTTCATATGCTTGTTGGCTGCATGTACATCGTCTTCTTTTTTTTTTTTTTTTTTTTTTTTTTTTTTTTTTTTTTTTTTTTGGAGACAGAGTCTCCCCCTGTCGCCCAGGCTGGAGTGAAATGGTGCAATCTCAGCTCACTGAAACCTGCAACCTCCACCTCCTGGGTTCAAGCGATTCTCCTGCCTCAGCCTCCCAACTAAGTAGCTGGGATTACTGGCACCTGCCATCACCCCTGGGTAATTTTTATATTTTTAGTAGAGACAGGGTTTCACCTTGTTGGCCAGGCTGGTCTTGATCTCCTGACCTCATGAACCACCCCCCTTGGCCTCCCAAAATCCTGGGATTACAAGTGTGAGCCACCATGCCCAACCCTGCATGTATGTCTTCTTTTGAAAAGTGTTGTTCATGTCCTTTGCCCACTTTTAATGGGATTGTTTTTTTCTTGTAAATTTGTTTAAGTTCCTTATAGATGCTAGATATTAGACCTTTGTCAGATGCACAGTTTGCAAAAATTTTCTCCTATTCTGTAGGTTGTTTACTGTTGATAGTTTTTATTTTTTTTGGCTGTGCAGAAGCTCTTTAGTTGGATTAGATCCCATTTGTCAATTTTTGCTTGTGTTGCAATTGCTTTTGGTATCTTCATCATGAAATCTTTGCCCATTCCTATGTCCAGAATGGCATTGCCTAGATTGTCTTCCAGGGTTTTTGTAGTTTTGTGTTTTACATTTAAGTCTTTAATCCATCTTGAGTTTATTTTTGTATATGGTGCAAGGAAGGGGTCCAGTTTCAATCTTCTGCATATGACTAGCCAGTTATCCCAGCAGCATTTATTGAATATGGAATCCTTCCCACATTGCTTTTTTTGGTCAGGTTTGTCAAAAATCAAATAATTGTAGGTATGCAGCATTATTTCTGGGTTCTCTATTCTGTTCCATTTGTCTCTGTGCCTCTTTTTGTACTGGTAGCATGCTGTTTTGGTTACTGTAGCCCTGTAGGAAATATCTAGAAAATCCCATAATCTCAGCCCAAAAGCTTCGTAAGCTGATAAACAACTTCAGCAAAGTCTCAGGATATAAAATCGGTGTGCAAAAATCACTCACATTTCTACACACCAACAACAGTGAAGCGGAGAGCCAAATCAGGAATGCAATCTCATTCACAATTGCAAGAAAGGAAAACAAATATCTAGGAATACAGCTAAACAGGGAAGTAAAATATTTCTATAAGGAGAACTACAAAACACTGCTCAAAGAAATCAGATATGACACAAACAAATGGAAAAACATTCCATGCTCATGGATGGGAAGAATCAATTTTGTTAAAGTGGCCATACTGCCCAAAGCAATTTATAGATTAAATGCTATTCCTGTTAAACTACCATTGACATTCTTCACAGAACTAGAAAAAAATTTTTAAAATTCATATGGAACCAAAAAAGAGCCCAAATAGCCACTGCAATCCTAAGCAAAAAGAACAAAGCTATTGGGATCTCTTTACATCTTATTGGCCAAAACTTAATTACCTGGTCATACCTAAGCAGCAAGAGAGGTTGGGAAATCCAATCTTCTGGTTTGAAGGCAATGTACCCAGTTGAAAACCAGGATTCTGTTACCGAGAAAGTTGAAAAAATTGTAGTGTTTGCACCTGCTTATTCCACTAGGCCAAAGAAACAGACTTGCCAAGTAAATGTTGCTGTGCCTCTTCTGGTTTCAAACAGCTGCTCTCAGGGTAACTGTGTCTTTGAATAAATGTTGATTCTCTTCTCTCTTCCCCTTTCTATTACCCCTGAGTGGTATCTGGTTGAGGAGCAGGCTAACCACCTCACGGGACAGCTGGGTGATGGGAGACCCTCTGTGCCTGGACTGGTGCCTGCTGTGGTGTGGCTGAGATGGGCTGGGCTGTCGTTCTGGTGAATGCTCAGTCTCTGAGTTTTGCATCTGTCCCCTGCTGCTGGTGACTGCAGACTTGGCCACACCTCTGTTCATGAGATCTCTCCAGTCCTCTGAGAACTTCCACCACCGCCTCCTGGGTCCCTTAAGAACGTCTCATCTAAGCACATGCAGGTAGAGGGAATCAGAGGCCAGACCTGAGGCCAAGACCTTTACCTGGGACTGTCTTCTTCCCATACTTCTCTCAAAGGGGTGAAGGGTCCCCCCAGGTGATCTAGGGGGAAGCAGGGTGCCAGCCCCAAAGTTTCTACCATTTCCTTCTCTCAAGTTTCAACCCTAAGGGCAGAGGAAGGAGCGAATTGAGGGCTCTGAGCTGTTAAGTCTCTGTCTTGCTTTCTCTCTTGAGCTGCTGCTTCTGGTGTCTTGATATCTCCCTGCTCTGTGGACTTCATTGTTGTGGGGGAAACTGCCTTTTCCTTTCCCAGTTAGCATCATGGCTTAGCCTTAGTGGTGAAAGGGCTGAAGGGAAAATAAAAAGAAAAAAAAATCACAAGGAAAAATACTTAGTAAAATATCCTTTGACACATGCAAAAGCTGCTTATTTCCTGCAATATAGAAGAAACATGGTGAGTGTGTGTGTGTGTGTGTGTGTGTGTGTGTGTGTTTTATTGGAGACGCAGTAAAAATCAGCTCTCATTCTACCTGGTCCAGTTATCAAGAACATCAAATTAACAAGAAACCTAGTTAAAAGTTGTTGTTGTTGTTGTTTTAACAATACTATTAACACATGACAAGATTAGAATGTGTACTATTTTAAAAAAATACTAAGTTATTTGGATTTTAAAAGTATTGTATTTTACAATAGTTGAAATACATCTGTTACATCATATATTACATCTGTTACATCAATAATATTGTCAAAGTAATGGATAAAACCATAACTTAACACATCAAAGTCATATACTAGATCTGATACTATTTAGTTTATTATCGAAATTGGAAGGATTCATTGAGCAGCATAGAAATTTGTTTACATGTTACTTTGGGATGCTAGGTATTTGTGGAACTAAAAAGAATCAGGCACTTTTGTACTTTGTTTTTAAATCTGTGACGTTCTTCAAATTTAATTCATAAATTGATGCAATTTCATACTTAGGAACATAAAAAATATTGTATTTTACTATTATTACTGTTTCCAGTTCCTGACATATGTTTATTGAATGAATAAATGAATGAACTACATATATACTTGAAATCAAGAATGCAGAAGGAAAAAAGAAAACTCACAAATCTCAAGATAAGCCCCTTTTTTTTCGTTTTAACTTCAGATATTCTTCCCCCTTTGGCATTTTGATGACCTTAATTCAAACTCAGATGCCCCTTGGCACATTTTTTATCCTGCTCAGAGGCGATATGAATTTTACACTGTCTGTCACTGGCAGTAATTGCGTTAGGGAGCATCATCGATACCCTCCTCCCTCCAGCCCCCTGCTCTGGAGCTCGTGCTTCCTGCCACGTCTCAGCTTCTGTCTGCGGAAATGCATGGCGTCCACATTAAGAACATGTTTTATTCTGTCTCTTTTACTCAGCGACACTCAGAAAGGAGGGTGTTTACAGAGCTGAGAGGGGAGCACCACTTTTTCTAAAGCAATAAACATTTTCTTTATCTTTTTCTTCTTTCACGTTGGTGGCTATTAATTGTAAACTTTTGTGATATTGGGAGCAGTAAAAAGAGCAATGAAATTGTTCCTGTGCATTGTGGGACTTTGGGCCTGTGGCATTTATTTGTTTAGATATTTATTATTTAAAAATAGATATACTTTAAAGATATAATAAGTTTTCTTGAGAGACCCAGGGTAGCTGCTTTTTTTTTAATTAAAGTGTCCAAATATTAATCTAAAGATTAATAAAGTTCTGCTGGTTTCCTGGGGCTATACAAGGTGCTATGACTTTTGGTCATACTTACCTCATTTTTTTTTCCAGAAAAGAAAATGCCTTATGATTTCATGAGGACTTTACTGAACTGTGACTGGAAGTTTGGGGCTTTGTAATTCATCCATCTAAGAGAAATGGACATCTTTGCGTTACTGGTGTAATATTTGCTGGGTGTTTTATTTGTGCAAACATTTGCTTTGGAGGGAGAAGGCAGGTTTTCAATTCACTCTGTAAGCTATTGGATGGTTCCTTTGGATGGGTCAACATGGCTCCTTTGAGGAATTTAAACCTGTCCAATCTCCTAAGTCTTAAACTGCATTATAAAGCAGAACTTGAGGGGAAATGAGCCTGAGTGGCTGGCACCCCTATGGTACACAGGAGGCTGTTTGCCTCACTCATACTTGGAGGCAAAACCTACCCTCAACCCCATCACTGGTCCCCTGTGAGTTGAGCTAAATGTTTATGTTTATTTTTTTCTTATGGCCAAACTATATATTTTTTTAAAAAATCAAATAGTACAGAAATGTACAAAAGTAGACAGTGAAAATCTGTGTAAATCACTTTTAGAAATAAATTATTACTTGGTGCATATCACATTACATGGATTTTAAAAGACTTGGAAAACTCAGAACGTCTGGAAACCATACGGTTTAGAAAATGGGGCAAAGCAGAGTAGGTGTGGTCACTCCATAGATCAATGATCCCAAATCCTGACTCTCTGTCCAAGGGATAGATTTCACCAGTTTCTGGTGAGATGAGAAAATAAGAATAATGCATTCTCTCCTTCCCACTTTTGTGGTCTTAAAAGATCATTTTTGAAATGATAATAAATTTAGTGTTATTAAGTCCTTCCTTGGAGTTGGAGATTAGGTTGTTATTCAAAGTATTTGTTGCCCATCTGCAGAGGAGAACCACATATCCTTTCCTACTCTGTCCCCCAAGATATGAAGGTTGGCCATGAGACTTGCTTTGGCTATTTCATTCGTCAAATGTACCCTTTCATAGCAGAATCTTTAAGAGACAGTATATATCTAGAGAGAAACATTCTCTAGTATCTCTCTTCCTTCTTCCACAGGGTATTGCCTGTACCATCTGCCTGGGTCTCAGACTGAGGATGACGAGGAGCAGAGTGGCAGCCAACTCATAATAGGTATGTTGCATAGCAGGGAAATAAAATTTTGTTGCTGCAAGCCATTGAGATTTGGGGTTGCTTGTTAGTGCATCATGACATAGCCTAAGCAAACCAATATACTTGGCAAAATTAAAAATAGGCAACCGTGTAGGGCCTCATCAGGTTATTACAATTTTATAAGTCTACAAATTCAGGCATTTGGGGCTTATCACTGTATGTAAAAATGAAATGGTAGGTAACAATGCTGAGTATTACTCTAGGCCTATGCTGTCTAATACAGTCGCCACTAGCCACACATGTCTATTGAGCACTTGAAATGTGGCTAGTCAGAATGAAGATGTGATATAAATGTCAAATACACACAAGTTTTTGAAGACTTAATACAAAGGAATGTGTGAAATATCTCAATTTTTATATTGATTACATGTTGAAATGATAATGTTTTGAATCTATTGGGTCAAAATCAGAAAGAGTGCTAGCTTTAATTTCACTTGCTTCTTTTTTTAATGTGGCTACTAAAATGTTTAAATCACATATGTGGGTCATATTAGATGTTTACTGCACAGCTCTGCTGTAGGCTATTACATCAAACAGAGTTTGGTTTCTTTCTTCATTCTGCCGGTGTCTCCCTGTGATCTTGCAGAAGTCGCTTCATATCTCACACTCCTCATCTGCAAGAGAGAACAATACTTGCCTCCTGGGATATTATAAGGACTAAGTAAGATCATGAGTATGTTGTGCCACCCATGGTAAATGCCCTTCTTTTCTCAAATCACACAATGATGTATTTTTTTGGAGGCTTCCTTTTGAATTAAAATTGGTTCATGATTTCTGTCAGGAAGGGCCAGTTCATTTAATAAATTTCAAATGCCTCTGGATTTGGGGACCTCGGAGTTATGTGTGAGATGAACTGGTTGGGCCAGAGTCTTGCTCTGAATAACATAAGAGGGAGCTTCTCATTCCACTTGTATGCTTTGGCTTCTCTGGAAGGTAGAAAATTGTTTTGGATTACTCTTCGTCCTGATTTCATTATTTGCATCTTTAGAAAATGCAAATGACCCATGCACTCTAATGGATTATATTGGGATATTCATCTTGAAATCGTTCATCTTTATTGATTCTTTTGACACAACACAATTGGGTGCATGAAAAGCAACTTCCTTGTGGACTGCAAGCTAATTTCCTTTATGAGTCCACACAAAGATGCCAAGTTAGTTTATTTTTCCTGATGACTGATCCATGAGACAAACTGAGCCATTTGAAAAATGTCTTATTGAGTTAAAACATTTCCATGTAAATACTTCACCTTACTTTAAGCATTTAAAAGAATCTATATAGTTGTTTTATAAATATTTGGGATCCTTTGGAGAGCTGTTGGCATATGTGTATAGCAGTTTGCAAAGTTTTAAAGCATCATTAATATAATAAACTGGTTGATCAAAGAGCTTCAACTTGTGGTGAGTTGCTTGATGCTGTGAGTAGCAAATTGTAAAGCTGTGAGCCCTGTAAGTTCTACAACACAAGTGTCAGAAGTGTTATGGTTTGGCTTTGTCCCCATCCAAATATCATCTTGAATTGTAATTCCCATAATCCCCATGTGTCAAGGGCAGGACCAGGTGGAGGTAATTGGATCATATGGGCAGCTTCCCCCATGCTGTTCTCATGATAGTGAATGAGATCTGATTGATGGTTTTATAAGCATCTGGCATATGCTTGCACTTCTCCTTCCTGCTGCCTTGCAAAGAAGGTAGGTACCTTGCTTCCCCTTTACCTTCCACCATGATTGTATGTTTCCTGAGGCCTCTCTAGCCTCAGGTGTAACTTACGATTAACCTCTTTTCTTTATAAATTACCCAGTCTCAGGCAGTTCTTTACAACAGTATGAAAACATACTAATAAAGTTTGTTTCTCTCTTGTCTAAACAAAGCACTGAGATAGGCAATTCAGGCTGTAAACGTGGCCCCGTAAATCCCCAAGGACTCAGCCTTTTTTCTATCCTGCTGCTCTGGAGTTCTCAATCTCATAGTCTCAAACGGCTGCTTGAATTCCTGCCATCATGACCTCATGCCTGTCAACAGAAAAGACAGTAGAAGAAGGGTCTGTCCACCGCCTTTTAAGAAGACTTTCTGGAAGCTGCATATAACACTTCTGCTTACATGTGACTAGCCAGCACTTAAGTCATATGGCTACATCAAGCTCCCAGGGAGACTGGGTCACATCCTCTTTATCCTGAGCAGACATGTCTCTGCTAAAAGTTGGAGGTTATATTAATAAGGAAGAATAAGAGAGCAGATATTGAAGTGAAGAACTAGTAGTTTCTTGTCATCTTTTATCTATAATTTTTAGGGAGTTTTCTGGGCCTCATTTTATAATACTTGATTAGTTCTTGACCCCAACCAAATGAGGGAGTCGTATTATCTCCATTTTTCAGATAAGAAACTGAAGGTCAAGAGCTTGCCTTTCTACTAAATCAAAGTCATAATAATAATTATCACTCTGAACATTTTATGTGCATTACCACCATTGATTTTGGTCCTGGTCCCTCCAAAACCCAGTGAGTTTGCTCTATTATACCTCAGTTTTATATCCAAGGAAATGTTGGATAACATGCCCAAGGTCACAGGCTACTAAATACAAGAATAACTAGGAAGTAGAACCCAGTAATCTGATTCTAAACTCCTGCATCAGAAACTGTCAAACTTTTTTCAAGCCATTTTTAGTTTTCTGCTGCTGCAACAACAAATTGCCACATGTTTGGAGGATTGAAACTATACCTATGTATTATCTAAAAATTCTGTAGGCCAAAAGTCCTGTGGGCCAGGCTGTTTTCTTGGTTTGAGGTCCCACCAGTCTGAAATCACTGGGTCCACAATCCAGGAAAATTTCCATATTTCTAGATTAGCTAATTAGTAACCTTAATTCTATCTGCAAAGTCCTTTTTGCCATGTAATGTAACATATTCACAGGTTCAGGGGATTACGGTATGGAGGTCTTTAGTAAGGGGCCTGGGGACTGTTATTTAACCTATCATAGACTGCAACCCATAGTAAGACATATCTTTTACGTTGAAACCTGATACACACATGTAATATAAGGGCTGAAATGAGCTTCACCAAACAATACCTATTCTATTTTATTACTTCATTTTTAAGAAGTGGTGGTCATGACCCAGCAAATTGATTTCATGACCCACAGCTTGAAAAAACTCTGCAAAACCTTCTCCCATTTCCGCTGCTGTTACCTCAATTTGGCCATCTTCCTCTCTTGTCTGGATTATTACGAGATGGTAGCCTCCCAAGTGCTATTCATGCATCTCGGCTCTCCCCTTTCCAGGCCCCCTTTAATACAACCCACCAGCCATCCTTACTATGCGTATGCTGCCTCTTACCAGGTATCTGCGTTCACCATGGCTTCTGAGCTAAGAAACCTGATGGGTATTTCAAAGAGTATCCCTGAGTGAGATGATCCCCGTTTTCATAACCAAGGCCTTGAGAAAGACTATAACTTCAAAGATGGCACATGGGTTTAACGTTGATCTATTGGTAGCATCTAATGCTCTGGAGTGCTGTGAAAGCACTGTGAAATCTCAGAAAGGACAGGCGGAGGACACCAGTATCAATTAGAGATGTCTGCTGTGGACACAAGAGGAGAGAGAGAGAGAGAGAGATGGCACAATGGCCAGACATTTGCCATCTTGGGGTTAGTGGATGTCCATCACAACTGCCCTTACAATTAGCAGGGGGACTTCCCTGAAAGGACAAAACCAAAATAAAAGGAGAGGAAAATTAAGCAGGAATGGATTTGAATTTTAAGAAGAAAAGAGTTTTCTCCATTTGTGTGGAGAACAACATAAATAAGATAGAGCAACTTGTAGGAGGCTGGGAAAAAATGATGTTTTTTGTCATTTGGGAGTATAGCACTGGGAAAGATATAAATCACTTTTCTGGGCTAAAAGAATTCTTAGCTCATTAAAACCTATTGCTGCTTTTACAACCATCCTCAGCATCATAAAACTCTGCTTTATCATTTCGAGAGCTCTTTGTATTTTCATTGCTCATTTTTCTGTTTCCCCAAACCAGAGGCCAGAAGCCCAAATACCTACAGGGAAGACATTTGGTGGCAATGTAGCGGCCTGGTTCAGAGCTGTGCTTTGGAGTCAGGCTGCCTGGGCTTAAATTCCAGCTCTGCCATTTACAATGAGCTTGATTTCTGAGCAAGTTGCTTAAAAATGGAAGGACAAAAATGGACCTCTTGGGGCCTCCATTTGTCATTGTATGCTGTTGACAACGTCGGTGCTGAGAAACGGGGGCATTTGCCATTTGATGGCCTGTGGCTAATGCTTCCTCCCTGTGGAGTGTTTTGGAGGAATGAGCCAGATAAACGGTGAGGAACATGAGGCATGTTGTCAGTGAGTAAGAAGTGGCAGTCATTATCGCTGAGTCAGAATTGATGGCTCTTGTTCGTACCATGGCTTAGCCATGTTTGAATTATTTGTTTACTTGTTTCTTTCCTCCATCAAAGAAGACCAAATGCTGTCTTCATCTTCTATCCCTCTCAGTATCCAATAGAGTGGGCTGAATTTCATCACATTCTATATGTCCAGCCTTGCTTCCATAGTCCCCTCCACCGAAACGGCCAGATGGGTCTTTATAACACCTTTCACATCAGATCCCCTGGTCAAGCCTCCCATAGAATGGCCTTCAGTGCCCTATGTGATTTGCTGTCCCCACATGTACCCCTCCAACCTTGCCACCTACCATGTCCTATTCTACTCTAGCATATCGGCCTCTTTGCAGGTCCTTGGATATGACAAATATTCTCCCCCCTTAGTCTTTGCACTAGCTGTTCCCTCCTTCTAGAATACTCTCCCTGTGGCTATTTTCATGGCTTGTGTTTTCACTTTATTCAGGGCTTTGTTCAAATACCACTGTCTTGGGGAGGCCTCTCCTAACCACCTTTTCTAAATTAGAACCACTCCATCACTGTCTTCTTGCTCTTTGCTATTCTTTGAATAATTTTTTTGTATCCTGATGTGTTGAATTTTTGTTTGGTTATTAGTTTTTTTTAAATTTCCAACTTTTATTTTCATTTCTGGGGTACGTGTGCAGGATACGCAGGTTTGTTACATAGGTAAATGTGTACCATGGTAGTTTGCTGCACAGATCATCCATCGCCCAGGTATTGAGCCCAGTGCCCATTAGCTATTTTTCCTGATGCTCTCCCTCCTCCGGCCCTTGACCCTGTGACAGGCCCCAGTATGTGTTGTTCCCCTCTTTATTTATTTATTTATTTTTTAATCTGCCTTCACCCATCTAGGACTTGTTTGATTTTGTTCACAGCTATATCTGCGGTGCATGGAATTCTGCCCAGCACACAGTAGGCCCTCAATAATATTTATTGAATAAATGGATAAACAAAAATTTATGCAACAGATTTTGTGAACCTACTCTGTGCCAGCCCTGTATCAGGTTCCAGTATATACAAATTGAACAAGACTGGACATGGTCCCTGCCATCTTGAATTTTGTGATTGATTAAAAGATCAATCACAAAAGCTTGTACTGATACAAACACATAAATTCCCGAATATGTGAAGAGTATTATGTTAAAGGAATTTGAGAGGGTTCTGGGAGATACTGCAACAGTCCTATCTAACCTAGGGCCTCCTAGGGAAAGGGTTATTTAACCTATAACTAGAAGGATTGCAGGACTTGAGCTGGATAAAAAGGTGTATTGGGAGTGGGGAAGTGTTTCAGACTGAACTGAAAATGTAATCACTGAAAACTTTTATGACTATCTGGATTTATGACACTTTAGAAGCTATTTTACAAGTTGTAGTAGAGATACATTGGGGACTCCAGCATTTCTATATAGTAGAGATTTGGGGGCAACAATTTGGTTGAAAGAGAGAATTGCTTTGAAGTAGTATTTGCATAAGAAGAACAATTTGTACATGGATCTAATTTTTGTTTTTAGCAGGGGTTTAAGGTCTGAAGAGATTAAGGACCAAAGCTTACCTCTGGCCACCTATTAGTGCCACAACCATGGATGCTTCTCAGATAGGGTGTCTGGTGCATGATTTCTGAGGCCAGGCCATATAAGGCACCACGACTTCCTCCATGTCCTCTCTGTCAGCCAGGCATGATACCATGAAGATACTCAGCCCATGGAGAGTCCACAGGGGAAGGACTTGAGACCTCCTGCTAACATTCTGCACTATGTGAATTAACTCTCTTGGAAAAGATTCTCCTGCCCCAGTTGAGCCTTCAGATGACTGTAGCCCCAGCCAACTTCTTGATTTAACCTTCATGAGAAAACCTGAGATAGAACCTACCTATCTGAGATGGTCTTGAATTCCTGACCCACAGACATGACAAGATAATAAATGTTTGTTTTAAGCCACTAAGTTTTAGGGTAATTGACACACAGGACAAGATAACTAATCCACAGTCACACTCTTATTGCTGTTATTTCTCTTCCTTAGTAACTGACACTTTTCTCTGCTCTTATCCCAACTTCCAAACATCTTTGTTTTATGGATCCCATCGAATAGATAAAGAAATTGATGAGGGAGTTCTTAACGGTTTTGTGAAAACTGAAATTTGTCCTGTCTGTGTCTTTTTATCACCCTCAATTTCAACCATTGATTGGGCATTTGCTATATACCAGACATCTCACTGTGAGCTTTTGAATACATAATTTCACTTAGTCTTTTCACCATCCCCGTGAAATTGTTATCGTTATTTCCTTTTATTTTTAAATGAGAAAATGGAGGCTCAGAGAGGCAAAGTAAGATTACAAAAATCCACGTCCTGTCAGTGACAAAGCTCCATCTCATTAGCTACACTCTGGGAGCCATCTGGTGCTTGGGGATAAAGGCAGGAATGGGAGATGTGAGAGAGCTGAAGGTGTAACCCAGGGTTTCCCAAACTTTAGCATGCATGCAAACCACCTGGGGATGTTGGTACACTGTAGCCTCTGATTCAGCAGGTCTGGGCTGGGGCCTGGGATTCTGCATTTCTAACCAGCATCCAGGCCATACCATTGCAGCTGACCCAAGATAACACTTTGGTTAGCACAGATGTAAGAGACCTGAAATGTGAGATAAAACTACCAGGGAGAGGCTCTGGCCCCAACCTTACTCCTTGTCGCAAAGCTTTGGAGATCAGATTTCTCTGAGCAGTAAGTGCTGACAAAGCTGTAAAAGGATTGGCACTTGGGAGTTTTGCCTCATTTTGGAAGCAGTTAGCCAACTACTTTGGTTTAATCATCACAGGAAAATGCAAACAGAGAGAAGACACACAGCCCTCATCCACCGCATTGTATTTCAGGCTGCCAGACCTCTGGACTCTTAGCTTTCACTGATATTACACAATGGATTTATATGTGGAATAAATATTCTTAAATCTTTATAAGATGCCTAAAATATTTATGGCTGTTTTAGTTTGGTTTGCATGCCATATTGCACTCTTACATTAAGCAGTTTTTGCACCATCAAGCTTTCCTATTAATCATTTCGGCCTGTTCCCAGCTATCTAACTGAGGGGAGATCTATTACATTCAGCAACCAGGGCCAAAGGATCTAATTTCTTCTTTGGCTGTTTCATCGAATGGTTCATAAAACCATGGCTATTATTGTATTAGGAAGACACATTGTGGTTCTCTAGTGTCATGTTGACATGTTTATGTTTCTTTTTCTTAAGAGAAATCATGATTAAAATGGAATATTCTTTCACAGAGGACATTTTATAACAATTTTGGCTTGATGAAATTAAAAAAAGGAACAGCCAGTCTCCAGCAAATGCTGAAGTGGTTGAATCACTGTCATTAAAAGATCAAAACCATCTTGCTCCTCTCTTCTTTGGCCACGAAATGATTTTAAGGAGCTTAAAAAGAAGATAGTTGCTTTAGTGAGAATAATTATCAGGGGAAGACACCAAGTTATGGTTTTATTTTAGGAGGGGATTTGAGGGCTCAGCATGGGAGCATTTGATGGCATTACTTCCCTGCCCAATGAGTGTACATGTTTTTGAAAAATAATTTTCTTGGTGTTTCAGAGTCCAATTTGAATCTTGTAACTTTGAAACCATTCTGAATTAATGTTAAAGAATTGAAAAGAGGAAAATTGCCTCAAATAAATGTTGGTTTTGATTGATTTCTTCGGGTTTTTTTGTGTGGTTCCTTTATGGCAGGAGGAGAAATGGACATAATCACCTTTGCACCTGAGCCATATCTAGACTTCCTTATAAAACAGACTGACATTAAACAACCATCACCATAAAACAAACCATCAGCTTAACCCCTTTAAATAGTTTAGCTGTTATAAGAAAGCAAACTCTTTGTCTATTTAGGCTATAAAATTACCTTAACTTTAAAAACTTACCTTTGATTCTATACATGTTCAAATTTATAATGCATCTGGAAGGAAATATGGCATTCTCGGCCTCACAGAATGTGTGGAGAAAATCTAAGTGAGCTCAGAAGTCATTTTTGGTAAACAATTGCTTTCATTCACTAAGTCATTATTACTAGCAGAATATATATTATATACACATGCCATATTCCTTAAAACCACACATCTTAACAGCAGTTTTCATACGCCTCTGTCTTTGCTTTTGGCTGTCATTTTGCATTATTATGGACAGGTATGAACCACCCGAGTAGCTGTCTACCATGTAAACCTGATTGATTTGCCACAGTATCCAAAAATTCACATTGGCAATCAGGGAAGGAAATTCCCGTGTAATCAAAATGAGTCCAAATCAAGTCAAATGGGCTGAGTCACCAACCCTGGAGACCTCTCACATCCATCCATTGTCAGGACCCCTTTTGTGAATGTGAGATGCAAGATTCTGCATTTTCTTCTTGTTTTTCTTACAACTTCAATTTTGTTAATAATTCTTGCAGAAGAAGTAAGTTGGTAAGGAGGAATAACCAAGAGCCAGAATTCAATATTGTTGACCAGGATTCAAAACCTAACCTAAGTTTTGTTTGCAGGTTGACAGCCCCAAAGTGGCCCATTAAAAATACATGAATGCAGATGGCTGTATGCACAAAAGTCACAGCTGTTCAACCCGGTACGATTCACAGGCACATGTTCTCAGCTGAGGTATCTGAAGCTTTAAGCAAAAGGGCACAATAGGGGGTGCCATTATTTTGATATAATCACCCCTTATCTCGCCCTCCTTTCTCCCCTCTGCCATCCCCCTCCCCAGCATTATGAGGCATGAAAGACAGCCAGGCTGAGTCCCACAGGGCCATGATTATTTCATGATAACAACACTCCCTGGTGTGGTCTTATTGGTATTATAAAAAGTGTTTATTGTGGAGAGAGCCTATATTTTTGGTGATGGCAGTGAAGGCTATTGCAGGGTAAGCACAGCTGAGGTTATGATTCGCATTGATTAATCTCATGCTTTTGACATCTCATTAGCCAATCAGAGTAATCCCAAAATAAGAAGGAAATTTGTAGAAAGAAGCGGAGCACATTCACAGTGAGGCCATGCCTTGCTGCCTGCTGCACACCACAGCGAAGTTTCTCCCGAGTCCCGCTTGCTCCTGTTGCAGGAGAAATGGGTTTGTTACAAACCTTCCCCTGGCACAATCAGTTTCAGGTATCTGGTTGGCCCTTGCCATGTTTTCTGAGCCATGACATTAACTATTGGTTGTTCTTGTCCTCTGAGAGGAGACTTAGAGTTAAATAATGAAAGCAGCCAAAAATCAAGGAGAGACTACCAAGAGTATGGAGAAATTTGCAACCTGACAGCTATGGGGCAGCAGTGATTCACATGCCTTCTGGAGGGCACTGAACATACCCACTTGGCTCGTCAGCACCCTCGGATTCTCACTTCAGCTCCTGAGTGGAGTCCTCATGTAGGTTGTGGAAAGAGGTCCAACTGTCCATCTCTAACACAGACATCAAACATCAAATTGGGCCTTGTTGTTAGCGGGAGAGCAGACACTTCCACACCAAAATGGGTACATGTGGGCACAGATGAGTAAGGGTGAGAGGCAGTAGAAATGGTCAGTTCTCTCCAGGACTGAACTGGCTAAGAAAACCCAGCCTGTCTCTAAAATGCAGCTTTTTATGCTTACCTCAATGCGATAAGCAGCCTATCAGGGACTGCTTATTGAGCATCTCTTATGTGCCAGGCACTGTGCTTGGTGCCAGCAGTTCAAAGCTGAGTGAGGCCTGGACTATGTCCTCAAGTCAGAGAGCTCACCCTCTGGGCTACTAGGGGAGGAGAGAGGTGGTTTTTAACCTATTGTATGCCATGGATCCCTTCAGCTATCTGATGAAGACTTGGGCTCCCTTCTCAGAACACTGTTTTAAAAATTAAGTAATGATAGGCACCCTGCTGTTCATTAGGTCTCCAGAGCTTATTTGTCTTATAATTGAAAGTTTGTACCCTTTGACCAACATCATCTCATTTCCCCAACCCCCAATTGCTGGCAACTGCCCTCCTCCTCTCTATTTCTACAAGTTTGGCTTTTTTAGATTCCACACATAAGTGAGATCTGTAGTTAACAATAATGTGTGCTTGAAATTTGCAAAGAGTAGATCTTACCACAAAGAGGTAACCACATGAGGTGATGGATGCATTAATTAGTTTGATTGTGGTAATCATTGCACAATGTATATGTATATCAAAACATCACATTTTATACCCTAAATATATAAAATTTTTGTCTATTAGTCCATTCTTGCATAGCTATAAAGAAATCCCTGAGACTAGGTAATTTATTTGAAAAAAAAAGAAAGGCTTATTTGGCTCATAGTTCTACAGGCTGTTTACGAAGCATGGCAGCATCTGCTTTTGGGGAGGCCTCAGGAAGCTTACAATCACGATGGAAGGCAAAGAGAGAGTGAGGCATCTTACATGGCAGGAGCAGGAGCAGGAACAAAAGAGTCAGGGAGGTGCTACACACGTTTAAACAACCAGATCTCATGAGAGCTTACTATCACCATGATAGTACCAACAGGGATGGTATTAAACCATTCATGAGAAACTGCCCCAATGATCCAATCACCTCGCACTAGGCCCCACCTCCAACATTGGGAATGACAATTGAACATGAGATTTCGGTGGGGATGCAGATTCAAACCATCCCATCTATTATGCCTCAATAAAGCTGAGAAAATGCATTAAATGGCAGAGTCACAAAGGAAACCAATTATACTGGCAATTATCAATAGATTTAAAATATTTTGATATATTAGTGAATATGGTTCTTAATGCCTTCAATAACTCAGCTAATGATAGAGCTAATAGCTAATTTCAGATTAAAAATTTGTATAAATAATATTTTTATATATCTATAATAACTACGATGTATAAAATATACAATTTCTATTAATGGGGAAGTCACAGATACTTGTTGCCTTTATTTGTAACTGAAGGATATGCTCAACTTCTGTTAGATGTCAGTGAAAGTGGAGGTGTAGGTTTATTTTGCATCTAAGTTCAGGGACCCTTGAATTCTGTTCCTAAAACCCAGGTTAAAGCTGAGATCAAGGTGGATAGACAGAACTTCGTCTACCACATCTCAAGTGATTGTGATATGGATGATAGGAGTAAGAATGAGAGGAGATTGCCCATTTGAGAGGGTCAGGAAACTCTTTGTGGAGGAGATGGTGTTTGGGCCAAAAGATGAGATAGAACTCCTCAGAAATGGAAGTGTGGGGACCAGAGGTATGTCAGGAAGAGGCATGGTAGGTCTGGAATCCTTTTCCAACAAATCCCTTTTTCTCTTAGTCTTACAGCTTCCTGTTACTGTGCTGAGCAGGCAGTGACGCTCCTATGCAGGACCCTACAGGTACATGGCCCAGGTACTGCCCCTTCCTAATCCCATGCTTAGAGCAGACCTAACTAATCAATCAGAATTGTAAACGTAGATGTGTTCCCACAGACCTTATTAAAAAGAGTTTCAAGTAGCCATGGCCAATTTATGAGTATGCTGATTAAACATGTTTCCCATTTCAGCCCCAGATGCAAAAGTGCCCCGCACAATGTTTAGAAGGATGACATTTACAAGGTTATAGACTGAATACTCAACTCCAGCTATGCTGAGCTCATGAGCAATCAAGTTTGCTTAGTCTTATTTTGTTTCCTCTATTTGTGATCTTTTTGTACAGTCAAAAGCTGATTGTTTTTGACAGGGCTCCTTGTATGATTGTTCAGGTTGTGCACTGACCAAGTGTGCTAGGTTTGAGGGCAAGTGGTGCCTAAGTCCAGCTTACATTTCTAGTTCAGAGCTGAGTTTATCTGCAAGAGCCTTTTTATTCCTTTAAGTTGGCCCCCAACACCTCGTGTGAAGAAAGAACCCTAGGTCTTGGCTCAGGTTCTTCTTTAATTCCCTAAAAAGTATGTAGTCTTTTTCTAGCTCCATCTTCCTGCTATGGCTGGCTCAAGTAAAAACCCCCTGCTTGGTGACTAGAGAACTCAGAAGCTCCCAGGCTGTAGGGGGAGGCCATTTAAGACTTCCTTGTAATGCTTTGCTTTCATTCTATTGGCAGAAGATCCCACATCCCATAATTATGTTCCTCCAAACTTGAGTCATTTCTATTCCATGTCATGTTTTTACATATCCACTTGCTGCCTTTGCCATTAATTACTTAATATTTTAAAAATAAATTTATTCTTAAATTGGCATGCACAAGAAAAAAAGTAAGTTGCAACTGTCAGTGGAAAATAGATGTTGACATTTATTTTGGAGGTAACTGTGAAAGTAAATATTATGCTATGAAATGCAAAACTATAAAACTCCTGGACAAGAACAGGAGAAAATCTAGAGGACAATGGACATGGCAATGGCTTTTTAGATACAACACTAAAGGCACAGTCCATGAAAGAAATAGTTAGCTGAACGGCATTAAAGATAAAGACTTCTATTCTGCAAAAGACAATGTCAAAAGAATGAGAAGATAAGCTGCAGACTGGGAGATAGTATTTGCAAAAGACATTTTATAAAAGACTGTTTTCTGAATATATGAAGAACTCTTAAAGTGCAACAATAAGAAAATAAGTAAAAAGTGAAGATGTGTTTTGGAAATATTTGGAACATTGACAACACCAAATGCTGGCAAGAATGTGGAGCAAGAGGAACTCTCATTCATTGCTAGTGGGAATGCAAAATGGTACAGCCAGTTTGGGACAGTTTGGCAGTTTCTTACAAGAGTAAACATACTCTTACCATGTGATCCAGCCGTTGTACTCTGGTATTTGCCAAAACTTTGAAGCAACCAAGGCGGCCTTTAGTAAGTGAATGGATAAACTGTGGTACATTCAAACAATGGAATACTATTCAGCACTAAAAAAAGAGCTGTCAGGCCATGAAAAGATGTGGAAGAATTTTAAATGCATATTACTAAGTGAAAGAAGCCAATCTGAAATGGCTACATACCATATGATTCCAGCTACATGATGTTCTGGAAAAGGCAAAACTATGAAGATAGTAAAAACATCCGTGGTTGCCAGGGGTTAGAGGGAGGGCAGAGGTGGAGCACAGAGGATTTTTTGGGCAATGAAACTACTCTGTATGATACTATAGTGATAAATACATGTCATTATATATTTGTCCAAACCCATGAAATGTACAACACCAAGAGTGAATCCTCATGTTAACTATGGACTTTGGGTGCTACTGATGTACATATTGATGTAGGCTCATCCACTGAAACAAATTGACCACTCTGGTGGGGGCTGTTGATAACAGAGAACACTATGCCTGGGGAGGGGCAGGGAATATATGAGAATTCTCTGATCAGTTTTGCTATGATCCTAAAACTACTCTCAAAAAAGTATGTTTAATTTAAAAAATTTATTTCTATAGGTTTTGGGGGCGCACATGCTATTTGGTTACACGAGTAAGTTCTTTAGGGGTGACTGGTGAGATTTTGGTGCACCCATCACCCAAGCAGTGTACACTGAACCCAATTTGTGGTCTTTTATCCCTCATCCCCTTCCCACCCTTTCCCCTAAGTCCCCAAAGTCCATTGTGTCATCCTTACGCCTTTGCATCCTCATACCTTAGCTCCCACTTATGAGGAAGAACACACAATGTTTGGTTTTCCATTCCTGAGTTACTTCACCTAGAATAATAGTCTCAAATGCCATCCAGGTTGCTGCAAATGCCATTAATTCATTCATTTTTATGGCTGACTAGTATTCCATCATATATATACACACACACACACACACACACACACACACACACACACACACCCCACATTACCACATTTTCTTTATCCACTCATTGATTGATGGATGTTTGGGTTAATTCCACATTTTTGCAATTGTGCATTGTTCCGCTATAAACTCGCATACTCACATACTCACGTGTGCAAGTATCTTTTTAGCAAAAAATGTATTTAAGTTTTAAGAAGTTTTTAAAAAGAAACACTGAGAATGTGTTCTAGATTAAATGAGAATAAGGAAACATCACATGTAAATGAGGCATTTGATCCTGGGTTAGATCCTGTACCAGAAAAAGGATACCAATGGGACAATAGGTGAGATTAGAATCAGGCTTATAAACTAGAAAATAGTATTTTATGAGTGTAAATTTCCTGATTTTTGTTTATAATACTAGGGATATTAAGAGGTTAGCATTTGGGGAATCGGAATATAAAGTATATAAGAATTCTTTATGCTATTTTTCAACTCTCATAAGTTCAAAATTATTTCAAAACACAAACTAACAAAGTTAAAAAATTATATATGCTGTTCTTGGCAAAGTAGGTTATTTTTGTTTTTATTTTAGCTAGTGTTTTATTAGTATGTTCTAAATTTAACAAAGTAAAATACATTATTGATTTGATTATGTGATATTTTCTTATGACTTAATGATTTCGTAACATGAACCACCCTCATATCCCTGGAATAATTCCTGCATGGCCATTTAAAAAAAACAATAGATAGCAGTAACAATAAAAAAATTATGCTGTGAAAACCAAATATTGATGTTTAGTTCAAACTGACGTTTAAATACTGTTGTCTGAGGGCTCTGAGCCACAGGTCCAAGCCTCTGTTTAAAAAAGAAATGGCAAATATTACTGAAGTTTTTAAGGATCCATTTACATGAATCTGAGGCTATTTCTTCAAAAGAACTGAAAGAGAATTAGTAAGGAAACAGCTTTGTCTCTGGTTTTGAATCCAATATTATTTGATATGCCATCCAGAAAGACCAGATGCCTTAATTCAGCCTATCTTGTCCTACAAGGGAGATCAGGTGGAGGAGGTATCTGTTTCTTTAGGGTTTCATTTCACAAAATGTGAGGAAGTGGTTTATGCCAGACAACGTATCTGGCTAAATGTGGATTAGCACTTTCCAGATTTCATCACCGCAAGCCAGTGGTTATTTCTTAATCCTGATTTGAGTGGGTCCTTGTTTTATTATTATACTTTAAGTTCTAGGGTACATGTGCACAACGTGCAGGTTTGTTACATATGTATACATGTGCCATGTTGGTGTGCTGCACCCATTAACTCATCATTTACATTAGGTATTTCTCCTAATGCTATCCCTCCCCCTCCCCCCCACCCCACAACAGGCCCTGGTGTGTGATGTTCCCCACCCTGCGTCCAAGTGTTCTCATTGTTCACTTCCCACCTATGAGTGAGAACATGCGGTGTTTGGTTTCTGTCCTTGTGATAGTTTGCTCAGAATGATGGTTTCCAGCTTCATCCATGTCCCTACAAAGGACATGAACTCATCCTTTTTTATGGCTGCATAGAATTCCATGGTGTATATGTGCCACATTTTCTTAATCCAGTCTATCATTGATGGATATTTGGGTTGGTTCCAAGTCTTTGCTATTGTGAATAGTGCCACAATAAACATACGTGTGCATGTGTCTTTATAGCAGCATGATTTATAATCCTTTGAGTATATACCCGGTAATGGGATGACTGGATCAAATGGTATTTCTAGTTGTAGATCCTTGAGGAATTGGCACACTGTCTTCCACAATGGTTGAACTAGTTTACAGTCCCACCAACAGTGTAAAAGTGTTCCTATTTCTTCACATCCTCTCCAGCACCTGTTGTTTCCTGACTTTTTAATGATCACCATTCTAACTGGTGTGAGATGGTATCTCATTGTGGTTTTGATTTGCATTTCTCTGATGGCCAGTGATGATAAGCGTTTTTTCACATGTCTGTTGGCTGCATAAATATCTTCTTTTGAGAAGTGTCTGTTCATATCCTTTGCCCTCTTTTTGATGGGGTTGTTTGATATTTTCTTGTAAATGTGTTTAAGTTCTTCGTAGATTCTGGATATTAGCCCTTTGTCAGATGAGTAGATTGTAAAAATTTTCTCCCAATCTGTAGGTTGCCTGTTCACTCTGATGGTAGTTTCTTTTGCTGTGCAGAAGCTCTTTAGTTTAATTAGATCCCATTTGTCAATTTTGGCTTTTGTTGCCATTGCTTTTGGTGTTATAGTCATGAAGTCCTTGCCCATGCCTATGTCCTGAATGGTATTGCCTAGGTTTTCTTCTAGGGTTTTTATGGTTTTAGGTCTAACATTTAAGTCTTTAATCCATCTTGAATTAATTTTTGTATAAGGTGTAAGGACGGGATCCAGTTTCAGCTTTCTACATATGGCTAGCCAGTTTTCCCAGCACCATTTATTAAATAGGGAATCCTTTCCCCATTTCTTGTTTTTGTCAGGTTTGTCAAAGATCAGATGGTTGTAGATGTGTGGTATTATTTCTGAGGGCTCTGTTCTGTTCCATTTGTCTATATCTCTGTTTTGGTACCAGTACCATGCTGTTTTGGTTACTGTAGCCTTGTAGCATAGTTTGAAGTCAGGTAGCGTGATGCCTCCAGTTTTGTTCTTTTGGCTTAGGATTGACTTGGCAATGTGGTCTCTTTTTTGGTTCCATATGAACTTTAAAGTAGTTTTTTCCAATTCTGTGAAGAAAGTCATTGGTAGCTTGATGGGGATGGCATTGAATCTATGAATTACCTTGGGCAGTATGGCCATTTTCACAATATTGATTCTTCCTATCCATGAGCATGGAATGTTCTTCCACTTGTTTGTGTCCTCTTTTATTTTGTTGAGCAGTGGTTTGTAGTTCTCCTTGAAGAGGTCCTTCACATCCTTTGTAAGCTGGATTCCCAGGTATTTTATTCTCTTTGAAGCAATTGTGAATGGAAGTTCACTCATGATTTGGCTCTCTGTTTGTCTGTTATTGGTGAATAGGAATGCTTGTGATTTTTGCACATTGATTTTGTATCCTGAGACTTTGCTGAAGTTGTTTATCAGCTCAAGGAGATGTTGGGCTGAGACGATGGGGTTTTCTAAATATACAATCATGTCATCTGCAAACAGGAACAATTTGACTTCCTCTTTTCCTGATTGAATACCTTTTATTTCTTTCTCCTGCCTGATTGCCCTGGCCAGAACTTCCAACACTATGTTGAATAGGAATGGTGAGAGAAGACAGTTGAAAACTGTCTTGTGCCCATTTTCAAAGGGAATGCTTCCAGTTTTTGCCCATTCAGTATGATATTGGCTGTGGGTTTGTCATAAATAGCTCTTATTATTTTGAGATATGTCCCATCAATACCTAGTTTATTGAGAGTTTTTAGCATGAAGTGCTGTTGAATTTTGTCGAAGGCCTTTTCTGCATCTATTGAGATAATCATATGGTTTTTGTCTTTGGTTCTGTTTACAAGATGGATTACATTTATTGATTATGTATGTTGAACCAGGCTTGCATCCCAGGGATGAAACCCATTTGATTATGGTGGATAACCTTTTTGATGTGCTGCTGGATTCAGTTTGCCAGTATTTTATTGAGGATTTTTGCATCGATGTTCATCAGGGATATTGGTATAAAATTCTCTTTTTTTGTTGTGTCTCTGCCAGGCTTTGGTATCAGGATGATGCTGACCTCATAAAATGAGTTAGGGAGGATTCCCTCTTTTTCTATTGATTGGAATAGTTTCAGAAGAAATGGTACCAGCAGCTCTTTGTACCTCTGGTAGAATTCGGCTGTAAATCCATCTGGTCCTGGACTTTTGGTTGGTAGGCTATTAATTATTGCCTCAATTTCAGAGCCTGTTATTGGTCTATTCAGGGATTCAACTTCTTCCTGGTTTAGTCTTGGGAGGGTGTATATGTCCAGGAATTTATCCATTTCTTCTAGATTTTCTAGTTTATTTGCATAGAGGTGTTTATAGTATTCTCTGATGGTAGTTTGTATTTCTGTGGGATTGGGGGTGATATCCCCTTTACCATTTTTTATTGCATTTATTTGATTCCTCTCTTTGATTTCTTCTTTATTAGTCTCGCTAGCAGTCTATCAATTTTGTTGATCTTTTCAGAAAACCAGCTCCTGGATTCATTGATTTTTTGAAGGGTTTTTTGTGTCTCTATTTCCTTCAATTCTGCTCTGATCTTAGTTATTTCTTGCCTTCTGCTAGCTTTTGAATGTGTTTGTTCTTGCTTCTCTAGTTCTTTTAATTGTGATGTTAGGGTGTCAATTTTAGATCTTTCCTGCTTTCCCTTGTGGGCATTTAGTGCTATAAATTTCCCTCTACACACTGCTTTAAATGTGTCCCAGAGATTCTGGTATGTTGTGTATTTGTTCTCATCGGTTTCAAGGAACATCTTTATTTCTGCCTTCATTTTGTTATTTACCCAGTAGTCATTCAGGAGCAGGTTGTTCAGTTTCCATGTAGTTGTGCAGTTTTGAGTGAGTTTCTTAATCCTGAGTTCTAATTTGATTGCACTGTGGTCTGAGAGACAGTTTGTTATAATTTCTTTTCTTTCACATTTGCTGAGGAGTGCTTTACTTCCAACTATGTGGTCAATTTTGGAATAAGTGCGATGTGGTGCTGAGAAGAATGTATATTCTGTTGACTTGGGGTGGAGAGTTCTGTAGATGTCTATTAGGTCTGCTTGGTGCAGAGCTGAGTTCAATTCCTGGGTATCCTTGTTAACTTTCTGTCTCGTTGATCTGTCTAATGTTGACAGTGGGGTGTTAAAGTCTCCCATTATTAATGTGTGGGAGTCTAAGTCTCTTTGTAGGTCACTCAGGACTTGCTTTATGAATCTGGGTGCTCCTGTATTGGGTGCATATATATTTAGGATAGTTAGCTCTTCTTGTTGAATTGATCCCTTTACCATTATGTAATGGCCTTCTTTGTCTCTTTTGGTCTTTGTTGGTTTAAAGTCTGTTTTATCAGAGACCAGGATTGCAACCCCTGCTTTTTTTTTGTTTTCCGTTTGCTTGGTAGATCTTCCTCCGTCCCTTTATTTTGAGCCTATGTGTGTCTCTGCACATGAGATGGGTCTCCTCAATACAGCACACTGATGGGTCTTGACTGTTTATCCAATTTGCCAGTCTGTGTCTTTTAATTGGAGCATTTAGCCCATTTGCATTTAAGGTTAATATTGTTATGTGTGAATTTGATCCTGTCATTATGATGTTAGCTGGTTATTTTGCTCGTTAGTTGATGCGGTTTCTTCCTAGCATTGATGGCCTTTACAATTTGGCATGTTTTTGCAGTGGCTGGTACCGGTTGTTCCTTTCCATGTTTAGTGCTTCCTTCAGGAGCTCTTGTAAGGCAGGCCTGGTGGTGACAAAATCTCTCAGCAGTTGCTTGTCTGTAAAGGATTTTATTTTTCCTTCACTTATGAAGCTTAGTTTGGCTGGATATGAAATTCTGGGTTGAAAATTCTTTTCTTTAAGAATGTTGAATATTGGCCCCCCACTCTCTTCTGGCTTGCAGAGTTTCTGCCGAGAGATCAGCTGTTAGTCTGATGGGCTTCCCTTTGTGGGTAACCCGACCTTTCTCTCTGGCTGTGCTTAACATTTTTTCCTTCATTTCAACTTTGGCGAAGCTGACAATTACATGTCTTGGAGGTGCTCTTCTCAAGGAGTATCTTTGTGGCATTCTCTGTATTTCCTGAATTTGAATGTTGGCCTGCCTTGCTAGGTTGGGGAAGTTCTCCTGGATAGTGTCCTGAAGAGTGTTTTCCAACTGAGTTCCATTCTCCCCATCACTTTCAGGTACACCAATCAGATGTAGATTTGGTCTTTTCACATAGTCCCATATTTCTTGGAGGCTTTCTTCATTTCTTTTTACTTTATTTTCTCTAAACTTCTCTTCTGACTTCATTTCATTCATTTGATCTTCAGTCACTGAAACCCTTTGTTCCACTCGATCTAATTGGCTACTGAAGCTTGAGCATGCGTCACATAGTTCTCGTGCCATGGTTTTCAGCTCCATCAGGTCATTTAAGGTCTTGTCTACACTGTTTATTCTAGTTAGCCATTCATCTAATCTTTTCTGAAGGTTTTAGCTTCTTTGCAATGGGTTCGAACATCCTCTTTTAGCTCTGAGAAGTTTGTTACTACCGATTTTCTGAGGCCTACTTCTGCCAGCTTGTCAAAGTCATTCTCCATCCAGCTTTGTTCCATTGCTGTCGAGGAGATGCATTCCTTTGGAGGAGAAGAGGTGCTCTGATTTTTAGAATTTTCAGCTTTTCTGCTCTGGTTTCTCTCCATCTTTGTTGTTTTATCTACCTTTGATCTTTGATGATGGTGACGTACAGACTGGGTTTTGGTGTGGATGTCCTTTCTGTTTGTTAGTTTTCCTTCTAACAGTCAGGACTCTCAGCTGCAGGTCTGTTGGAGTTTGCTGGAGGTCCACTCCAGACTCTGTTTGCCTGGGTATCACCAGTGGAGGCTGCAGAACAGCAAATATTGCAGAACGGCAAATGTTGCTGACTGATCCTTCCTCTGGAAGCTTTGTCTCAGAGAGGCATCTGGCTGTTTGAGGTGTCATTTGGCCCGTACTGGGAGGTGTCGCCCAGTTAGGCTACTCGGGGGTCAGGGACCCACTTGAGGAGGCAGTCTGTCCATTTTTCAGATCTCAAGCTGCGTGCTGGGAGAACCACTACTCTCTTCAAAGCTGTCAGACAGGGACATTTAAGTCTGCAGGTTTCTGCTGTCTTTTGTTTGGCTATGCCCTGCCCCTAGAGGTGGAGTCTACAGAGGCAGGCAGGTCTCCTTGAGCTGTGGTGGGCTCCACCCAGTACAAGTTTCCTGGCTGCTTTGTTTACCTACTTAAGCCTCAGCAATGGTGGACGCCCCGCCCCTAGCCTCGCTGCTGCCTTGCAGTTCGATCTCAGACTGCTGTGCTAGCAGTGAGCAAGGCTCCGTGGGTGTGGGACCCTCCAAGCCAGGTGCGGGATATAATCTCCTGGTGTGCTGTTTCCTAGGACCATTGGAAAAGTGCATTATTAGGGTGGAAGTGTCCCAGTTTTCCAGGTACCATCTGTCACGGCTTCCCTTGGCTAGGAAAGGGAATTCCCTGACCTCTTGTGCTTCCCAGGTAAGGTGATGCCCCGCCCTGCTTTGGCTCACACTCTGTGGGCTGCACCCACTGTCCGACAAGCCCCAGTGAGATGAACCCGGTACCTCAGTTGGAAATGCAGAAATCACCCGTCTTCTGCGTCGCTCACGCTGGGAGCTGTAGACTGGAGCTGTTCCTATTCGACCATCTTGGAACCCTTGAGTGGGTCTTAAAGAGGCAGCTGGTGAGATTGAGGTGGGGTACTCATTACCAGGCAGTCCTTTGCCTTCTTCTGGTCCCCATGTGTGTCCATGGGATCAAGCTGAGCCCAGTCTCACAAGTGGCCCCACCAGTATGATAGATCCATTCCCAGGTCCCCCAGGGGCAGGTCATTTGCTGAGAAAAAAGCATGACATATAGTTTTGGTCACTTACGGGACATGTTCCCATGGCTTTGTCACCAAAATCTCCTAGGCTGCTTTCTCCCTGCCTTCTTGTGTTTGAACAGGGATTCTTTTGGGCCTACAGTGGGGTTTCTCAGGCTCCGGCTGATTGACATTTAGGGCAGGAGAATTCTTTGTTGTGGGAGGCTGTCCTGTGCATTGTACGATGTTTGGTACCATCCTTGGCTTCTACTCAGTAGTGCCAGAAACACCTCATGCTCACCCCCCAACCCCTGCCTATGTGACACCAAAATGTCTCCAGATCTTGCCACATGTTCCATGGGGGAAAAAAATCTACCCACCCACCGTTGTTAAGCATCACTGGCCTAAAAGCATGAAATTTCTTGGTGTGCTTTGGGAATGAAACAGAACCAAGCTCCAAGGCTCAGCATCTCCTTGATCCCCTCCCTGTTCAGACACTTCCTGTCCCACCTGTGACACCGGCTAGTCACTGGATGGGCACAGCTAGTAAGTGGGCAATGGCTGGTGAGGTGACATGCTGTCATCTTGCTTACCCCTGAAACCCCAGTGCCAACACATGACACAGCCCACGGCTGATGCTGGCACCATTTGTATGGGATGAATTAATCTGACAGGCAGTAGGAGCCATTTTCAGGACATTTCATGGGTCTAGAGTGGCATTTAAGGAAGGAGTTTTGGAATGAATTGTGTGGTGGACTGATGGAATGAAGCAGCTAGTCCAGTAAATAAAAAATGGAGATTTAAGCAATGCTGTTGTCCTCAGTTGCTCCAGGCGAGGCAACGTGATAGGATTTTGCATCTCTTCTTCCATTTGGTCATTAAGACAACCTTATCAGGTAGGTGGTGTTATCTCAATTTTCTAGATGAAAACACTGAGGTAAGTCAGTTAAGCAACTAACTCAAAGTCAAACCGGGTACATTAACCATCACCAAGAAGCTGTGCGACTTTCAGATAGCACTCTCTGTTCCCCATTTTCCTTATTTCTAAAATTAGTGAACTATATCAGTTGTTTGGAGCCCTAAAACTCTTCCATAAACCAGGCAGCTTAAAGCAACAGAAATGTATTCTCTCACAATTCTGAAGGCTAGAAGTCCAACATCAGGACATCAACAGGGCCACACTCCTTGCAAAGGCTGGAGGAGAGAATTCATCCTTGCTTCCTCCAGCTTTTGGGGGCTCCAGCTGATTGTGGCCACATCACTCCAATCTCTGCCTCCATCTTCACATGGCCTTCTGCTATTTATCTTCTTCTTCTCGTCTGTCTCTTATAAGGACCCTTATTGGATTTAATTATTATTATTTTTTCCCCCTGAGACAGAGTCTTGCTCTGTTGCCCAGGCTGGAGTGCAGTGGCACGATCTTGGCTCACTGCAACCTCTGCCTCCTGAGTTCAGGCAATTCTCCTGCCTCAGCCTCCTGAATAGCTGGGATCACAGGCGTGCATCACCACACCCAGCTAATTTTTGTATTTTTAGTAGAGATGGGGTTTCACCCTCTGGGCCAGGCTGATCTGAAACTCCTGACCTTGTGATCCACCCCCCTCAGCCTCCCAAAGTGCTGGGATTACAGGCATGAGCCACCATGCCCCGCCACTTATTGGATTTAGAGCCCACCCAGCTAATCCATGATGATGTCATCTCCAGATTCTTAATTATATGTGAAGACTTTCTTTTTTTTTTCTTTTCTTTTTTTTTTTTTTTTTGAGACAGTCTCACTCTGTCACCCAGGCTGGAGTGCAGTGGCATGATCTCAGCTCACTGCAACCTCCGCTTCCTGGGTTCAAGTGATTCTCCTGCGTCAGCCTCCCGAGTACCTGGAACTACAGGCGTGTGCCACCATGCCCAGCTATTTTTTTTGTATTTTTTAGTAGAGATGGGTTTCACCATGTTAGCCAGGATGGTCTCGATCTCCTGACCTCGTGATCTGCCCGCCTTGGCCTCCCAAAGTGCTGGGATTACAGGCGTGAGCCACTGCGCCCTGCCTATATGTGAAGACTTTCTCCAATAAGGCCATATTCACAGATTCTGGGGATTAAAAATGATCACACCTTTTGGGAGTCTGTCATTTAACCCACTGCACTGGGTCTCTGCTTCCCATTTTGGAATGGAAGAAACTCAGTAACACTGACAATTCTAGACAGCTCTAAAATGTTGAAACCCTCTACCTTGCATTAGGATTATGGCACTGAGAGAAGAGAGAGAGAAAAAAATTCAAGAGACACTGAGGTGAAAGAAAGGACGTGTCTCAGCAGTGGCTTTTATAGTAACCTGGTTTCACCAACTGCATTCTAGTGCTAGGCCCAAAGCTGAGGTGGTTGACTCCCTGTCTGCCTTCCAAGCTTACAGCACAAGGGTTTCTTAGAAAAGCTACACTGGAACTTCTCGGACACATAGCTCATCTCAAAGCCTGAGAATTCTCCCCAGGTTTTCAGCTCCATTTCTCAATGAGCTGCCATCAAAAATAAACCAAGTTATCATTCAGAAAATGCCTGCTGTTATCCTCAAATTTGCATACCCCAGATGAGGCTGCAAAGCCATTTATCTCTCAAGAGCAGCCTGCTGTGGTCCCTTTTATATTTTTATGGGATTGTCCTTAAATGGCTGATTAGTTTGGGGGTGATTTATAAATGCTTCAAGCTTGGCAATTTCTCCCTAAATGATTGGACAGATTTGTGTCTGGCTTTAAGCAGCCTGGGCTTTTTGTTTCTTTAGTGCGTCACCTCACCAGCCACCACCCCCAATTCATGGCGGCCTCTTTTTCCAGTCTAAGTCAGCTTAGTCTTTCACCAAGTTTTCCCAAGGCTTTAAAATTGCAAGCCTTTGGCCATTTATTTTTTGGAAAGGCAGAGTACCAGGTACAGTTTCTTCTTTCCCTTCCTTTCTTATTCAGGGACAAGAGAGAATTGTGCAGACGCTGGATCAGTTATTTATCCTTTTTGGGCCTTGGTTTACTCATTTGAAAAAGGTGAAATGATATAATCTTGTTCTCACTAAGCAGTGGAGAAAGGAATTAGCTTCTGTTAGGAAATTGCTTGGCACTATTCTGTGTTCACAGTACACCCCTAATCTTAGCTGCTATTTTTACTGTTATGATGATTTGGCAAGAGGTGAGCATGAAAGGTGAGGACACTTTCAGCTTCATGTACTTGGACTCCATATGATCTACTTACAGTTATTCATGCTTGGCCTCATCAAAGTGAAGCTTATCTATGGTAGGTCCAGCTTTCTACCTATCTGTGATGATATATCCTCATTTATTAATTTACTTTATGTTTTGTTCTATTTTTAATTTAATTTTTAATCTTACTAAAGTAATAAATGTATACCAGATGTCATGTTCCCATTCTTGGATCTTCCTCTATAGAGGCAAACTACTTTTTTCACTTTTCTCTGTTTCTTATGTGATGTTTATTTCCTTTTCTTTGAGACAGAGTCTTGCTCTGTCGCCCAGGCTGCAGTGCAGCGGCACAATCTCGGCTCACTGCAAGCTCTGCCTCCTGGGTTAACGCCATTCTCCTGCCTCAGCCTCCCAGGTAGCTGGGACTACAGGCGCCTGCCACCAAGCCTGGCTAATTTTTTGTATTTTTAGTAGAGATGGGGTTTCACCGTGTTAGCCAGGATGGTCTTGATCTCCTGACCTCATGATCTGCCCCCCTCGGCCTCTCAAAGTGCTGGGATTACAGGCGTGAGCCACCGCGCCCGGCCTTATTTCCATATTTTTAAGAAATACACTTACCTGGCTATTTCTTGGCTTATTCATTTTAGACTATTTATTGACTTCCTAAAATGGAAGGTGATATATGTACTTCTCATATGTCCGCCACCACACACAGACACAGCCCACGTGCAAGCTTCCCCTTTCCACATTCTTCCATTACTATGTCATAAGTTTTGGTCAATTACTATTCTGTGTTAATATTGTTTTTATTATGAAAATATTGTTCACTGCCAAACCATGGAACATACTATAGCTAACTTTTCCTTTCTTTT
Source organism: Homo sapiens (assembly GCF_000001405.40). Lineage (NCBI taxonomy): Eukaryota > Metazoa > Chordata > Mammalia > Primates > Hominidae > Homo > Homo sapiens. The sequence goes on from NC_000003.12 coordinate 73,343,189, forward strand.
ACAGCCTTTTCTTTTTCTGATAGTTAATAATTGCTTTGATTATTTATTTTAATTTGCTTAATTTTCCATGTTCTTGTCATTAATTTTTTCTCAAACACTGATAAAAGTATAAGACTCTTCACAACATAGGCTAACACATAAGGCAAACCATCAGTTTTATTTCTGGAAAGGCATTCCTGCACCCACCTGAGCTAGTTGTCCTGTAGGTCAGCTGTACAATTATCTTTCAGAGATTTCCTTTTACCATCAAATGGGGGGTTTCCTTTTCCTCTTTTGATTGATGCTCTTTCTCTTGGATCTCTTAGAAATTATTATTGGTTTACTCACTCATTTTAGTGGCACACATCTCCCAGTAACTTGCTAAGAAAGGATACATTGAACACCAAAATATTAAGACTTTATATGTCTGAAAATATAAAGACTTTTTTTTTTTTTTTTTTTAGACAGAGTCTCACTCTGTCACCAGGCTGGAGTGCAGTGGTGTGATCTTGGCTCACTGCTACCTCTGCCTCCTGGATTCAAGCAATTTTCCTGCCTCAGCCTCCTGCGTAGCTGAGACTACAGGCACATGCCATGACACCCAGCTAATTTTTGTGTTTTTAGTAGTGACGGGTTTTCACCATGTTGGCCAGGATGTTCTCGATCTCTTGACCTCGTGGTCCGCCCACCTCAACCTGCAAAAGTGCTGGGATTACAGGCGTGAGCCACCACACCTGGCCATAAAGACTTTTTTTATTACATTTGATTAATAATTTATTAGGCTATGTAATTTTGGGTTGGAAGTAATTATTTCTCAGAATATTCAAGGCCTTACTCCATTGCTTTCTGCTTTTCAGGTTTGCTGTTGAGAAGTCTAATGCTAATTCCTGTTTGCAGGTGATGTGTTGTAAATATTTGTCTCTTAGGAAGTCCTTAGCTTAAAGTCTTCTCTCTATTGCTAGTGTTCTGAAATGTCCTAATGATACACCTTAAAGCAGACTTTGTCAATTCCTTCTGCTCCACATCCAGAGGCCATTTCATTCTAGAGATTCAGGTTTTGCAGCTCTGGCACATTTTATTGCTTTTTATCATTGATGGTTTTCTTTCCATTATTGTCTCTGTTTGCTCCTCTGAGTCTCTGATTTTGGACTCTCCGGATTGAGCCTCTGATTTGATTGATTCTCTTCTGCTTCCCATATATTTTGTCTTTTTGTTATACTTTGAGAGATTTTTCGCAACTCTATACCATTTCTTGTATTGATTTTTTATTATTGTATTTTAAATTTCTAGACACTTTGTTATTCTCAAAGTGCTTCCTTTTACAGAATCCTATTCTTGTTTCATGGATGTGATTTTTTTTAAAGCTAACTATTGTGATTATGGTATTTGAATTCCTCCTTTCCTTCCTCCCCAACTCACCACCATCTATTTGTCTTGGTTTTGATCGTTTGTTTTCGGAGGTTTATTCACATATCTGGTTTGATTGTCCATTCATATTTTGGGAATCAGGGAAAAAGCTGCTTGAAATTGAGTGTGTGTGTTTGGGGTGTTTGAAGTATGTGTGCATGCCTGGAATATGTGTGTGGTATTTGGGGTGTGTGTGTGTGTGTGTTTGGGATATGTATTTGGGGTGTGTGTTTGGGATGTGTACATATATAGACACGTTGCTTAATGATGAGGACAAATTTGGAGAAATCTACCATTAGGCAATTTTGTCTTTGTGTGAACATCATAGATTGTACTCACACAAACCTAGGTTGTATAGCCTACAATGCACCTAGGCTCTGTGGTACAGCCTGTGGCTCCTAAGCTACAAACCTCTATGGCTTGTTACTGTTCTGAATACTGTAGCCAACTGTAACACAATGGTAAGTATTTGTGCATTGAAATATATCTCAACATAGAAAAGGTACAGTAAAAATGCAGTATGATAATCTTACGGGACCACTGTCACATATATGGTTTGCCATTGACTGAAATGTCATTATGCACTGTATGACTGTGTATGTCTTTGGAAGGGTGTGTATGCATTTGGGGTATATGTGGATTTGGGGGTGTGTGTGTCTGGAGTATGTTTGGCAGGGAAAGATTGGTGGCTTCACTGTAAAGTAAGCAAGCCCACTCCAGCCATTTTGCCATGATACTCTTCAAATGTAAGTGTCTGGAGGTTTTTTTCTGTTGGATCAGTCAACCTAGGAATCTTTCAGTCTCCTGCCTCAGGAAGAATAAGCTCAGCTCCCAGGATGATTCTAGGGACCACAGTGGGCAGAAGGAACAGGGGCTCTCATTATTCGGTATGCAGAATTTTACTGCATCCCTCTTTTCTGTTCAATGCTTCATCTATATTTTTGCTGTGCCTTAAGAGTTTTCAGGTTTGGAAAACATGTCTGATTTGACAACTACAGATATAAAAACCCCATTAACTCTTGGGGTTAGAATGGGTTCCAAACTGGCTGTGAGGTGTTGCGAAAAGTGCCCTGGAAGTCTAACGGTTCCTTTCATGAACTCTGAGTTAAAAGTTTAGTCTCTTTTGGCCTGGCGCGGTTGCTCACGCCTGTAATCCCAGCACTTTGGGAGGCCGAAGCGGGCAGATCACGAGGTCAGGAGATCGAGACCATCCTGGCTAACACGGTGAAACCCCGTCTCTACTAAAAATACAAATAATTAGCCGGGCATGGTGGCGGGCGCCTGTAGTCCCAGCTACCTGGGAGGCTGAGGCAGGAGAATGGCGTGATCCCGGGAAGCAGAGTTTGCAGTGAGCCGAGATTGCGCCACTGCACTCCAGCCTGGGAGAGAGAGCAAGACTCTGTCTCAAAAAAAAAAAAAAAATTTAGTCTCTTTTTAGTCTTATCCCTTGTCCTTCTTTTAGAGATATCTGGTGCTCCAATTCCTGCATCTTTCGGGGGTCCAGCACACATTGGCAACCCCCACCACCCAAACACATTTAGGTCTCAGCGTTTTGTGTTCAGAAGTTTGCTGATATCTTTTAACTGTTGGCATCTTATCTCCTATTCTCTTTGTCCTTGTGAATTTCTATCTTCTTGTACCTTTCTTGATATTTAAATGGAATTTCGGAAGGAAGCAGAAATAACTGCATATTTTCAATCAATGCTTTCCGAAGTCTCAATTACTCTGTGTTAACATATCTTAAAGTCTACACACCGCTGAGGAATGTGATAGAAAGCAGGGAAGACTGATTTTTTCTGTTTTTGCTGGGCTCTATGCATTATGGTAGGGCTGTACAAATTAGGTTTTTTCAACATATATTTATTGAGCACCTCCCATATGCTAGACATAATTTTAAATGGAGAGGGGCAGATGCAGAGGTTAACAGATAATATCTTTTCCTTGGGGGAACTTGTATTCTAGGTGGTGGTGGGGAGACAGGCTGTAAACAAAAAAGTAATGTCAACATTGTCAGGTGGTTTTAAGTGCTGTGCAATGTGGAAACTAAAATATATGAGTACTGGAAAGTTATGAGGGGACATGTTTTGACTGGGTAGTCAGGGCAGTCCTCCCTGGAAAGGGGACTTTCAGTTGACCTCTGAGTAATCAGAAGGAGCCAGCTATGGCAAAGCCTGCACAAGCACAGGGAACATCTAGAACAGAAGCTCCAAGGTAGAAACATAAAGCATCCAAGAAACATAGAGAGAGGTGGCTGGGGTACAGAGGGTTATGGGAGAGAGCAGTTTTAGAAGTGGTTGAGTATTCAGCAGGATGAGACTGTGTGGGTTTCTAGGAGAGGTGAGGCATTTGAATCTCACCCTAAGTTGAAGCTTTGATAAGTTTAAATTTTTGCTGCGGGGGAGGTAGAGGAAGTAGCATGATCTGATTGCAACTTTTCTAAGTCCACTCTGGATGATATTCTGAGCAGAAAGGATGATAGGAGGTGTATTAGCTGGCTCAAGCTGCTACAACAGAATGCCACAGACTGTGTGGCTTAAACAACAGAAATTTATGGCTCTCTTCTCGGCTTGCAGACAGCCACCTTCTTGCTGTGTGCTCACATGGCCTTTCCTCTGTGTGTGTCCTCCTGGTGTCTCCTCCCTTTTTTCTCTCTCTCTTTCTTTCTTTCTTTTTCTTTTCTTTTCTTTTTTTTTTCCTGACAGAGTCTCGCTCTGTCACCCAGGCTGAAGTGCAGTGGTGTGATCTTGGCTCACTGCAACCTCTGCCTCCTGGGTTCAAGCGATTCTCCTGTCTCAGCCTCCTTAGTAGCTGAAATTACAGGCACCTGCCACCATGCCGGCTAATTTCTTTCTTTCTTTCTTTTTTTTTTTTTTTTTTGAGATGGAGTCTCGCGCTGTCACCCAGGCTGGAGTATAGTGGCACGACTCCACTCACAACCTCTGCCTCCTGGGTTCAAGTGATTCTCCTGCCTCAGTCTCCTGAGTAGCTGGGATTACAGGCACCCACCACCACACCCAGCTAAGTCTTTGTATTTTTGGTAGAGACGGGGTTTCACTATGTTGGCCAGGCTGGCCTTGAACTCCTGACCTCGTGATCCACCCGCCTTGGCCTCTCAAAGTGCTGGGATTTCAGGTGTGGGTCACCGCACCCAGCCCCTTTTTTTGTATTTTTAGTAGAGATGGGGTTTTACCACGTTGACCAGGCTGGTCTCGAAGTCCCGACCTCAGGTGATCCGCCTGCCTTGGCCTCCCAAAGTACTAGGATTACACTTGTGAGCCACTGCACCCGGCTTCTTCCCTTTTTTCATGAGGACAGTAGTCCTACTGGATTATGGCCACATATTTATAACCTCATTTAACCTGAATTATCTCTTCAAAAGCCCTATATTCAAATACAGTCACATTGGGGTTAGGGCTTCAACCTGTGAATTCTGGGAAGACATAATTCAGTCCATAACAAGAGGCTAGAATGGAACCCACAAGGCCAGTAGAAAACTTTCAGTAACTCAGGTAGAGGTGCTGATGGCTCAGCCAGATGGCGAGCAGGCAGCTGAAGTGGATGGGATTTGATTGGCAATAGAGAAGGCGGGACATACAATTGGATTAGATGTGGAACAAGAAGAATCAAGAATAATGTTGGATGCAAAGACATAAGAATGATACAATGAACTTTGGGGACTCAGGGGAAAGGATGGGTTGGGAGTGAGGGATAAAAGACTACAAATTGAGTTCAGTGTATACGGCTCAAGTGATGGGTGCACCAAAATCTCACTAATCACCACTAAAGAACTTACTCATGTAACCAAATACCTCCTGTTCCCCAAAACCTATGGAAATAATTTTTTTTTTAAAAAAAGAATAACGTTGGGATTTTTGGTTTCTTTGGGGGATTTTAGAGGAGCAAGTTTTCAGAAAAAGCAATTGGCAGCACTGTTCGGGAATGTTAATGTTTAAAAGTAAGGCTTTTAATTAAAAGTATAAACCTTAGCTATGTATAGAAAAGCAACAGCCATCATCAGTGATGAATTTTTACTGAGTGAACATGTTCACATAAGCACTTCACAGATCAAGGCACTGAACCTTACCGGCACCCAGAATGTGTTAGTTTGAGAAGTCTCCTAGACACCCGAGTAGGGATATTAAGTAAGTGTCTAGAGGACAAGCTACAGGGAAAACTTTAGGAGCCATTTGGCATATACATGATGTTTAAAGCCATGGAACTAGATGAAATTAACAACAAAGAGATGATGGCTAGAACCCAGAAGGTTTTTCCTTACTGTCATAGCTTGGGGGGTACAGACAGTTGGATTTGGAGCAGAATGGGCAGACTCATACTAGGAAACTCAGCAGGGCCATTAGGTAGGAGAGGCAGTGGCTCCCTGGTGGGCTGGAGGGCAAGATTGTGCTTTGAGGAGAGAATGGTCAAATATGCTGAAAGCTGCTAAAAGAATGAGTAAAAGAGACTAGAAATGTGTTCTTTGCCCTGAGTGACATGAGGGACCCTGGTGACACTGAGGAGCCATTTCACCTGTTGGTGGGGGAGATGTACAGCTGGTGTCAGTGAAGAAAGAAGTAGGATGGTGAAGAAGTGGAAACAGCAAGAGGACACAAAATTAGATAACTGTTGTGAAGGGGAGCAGAAACATGCTATGGTGTTTGGCGGGGGTGATGGGATTAACCTGGAGGATTTTCTAAAGATGAGAGATAGGCATACAAGTTTGTGAGCTCTTGGGAATGATCCAGTGGAAGTGATGACTCAGGAAAGAGTGAGTCTATGTACCAGGGAAGTGGAGGGGTCCAGAGCACAAATGTATTTTAAAGAATAAGGATATATCTCTGATGATAACAAATCATAGGCAGAGAGAGTGAGTTTTTCTTGCAGGGAAGGTGCTGGATTCACATCTCCCTGGTTTCATTTTTTTCCTGAAGTATTAGGCAAGGACATTGTCTGGGAAGTGCGTAGAGAGGAGAGAGATACAGGGGTATGAGAATGGAGAAGAAGGTGCAAAAGAATAATTGAGAAACTAAGGAAGTAAACATACCAGAGAGGTGCTGTTGGCCATGAAGTTCAGTGTCTACTTGAGATTTGCAAGTGTGAATTTCAAATGAAACCAATCAGCACGGTTGTAACTTTGTTTCTCCAGCCATGTTCAAATGCTTGGGTACCAGTGAGGCATAGGTGAACATACATCATAAATGACATACTTAGCTCCAGCAACAACCCTAGGAGGGATGAGGTCAGCTCTCCAGAGATACAGAGCTTGCCAGTGGTGGAGCTGGAGCAAGGCCACTTGATTACAGCGTGGTGCGTGCTCTGCTCCCCTCTGCAGAGCCACCATCACAGTATAGAGACAGAGTGCAAGCAGAGAGAGAGAACAGGTGACTGCCTTAAATTTGGTGCTTTTTGGCTTTTAATCTGACAAGTGCTTTTCCTGATTTCCATCAGGAAGCAGAACTGATTTCTGGCTTCTTCCACGTCTGATTGTCAAAGGAGATCTTCTTCGCTTTGCTTCCATTTGTAAAGGATCAGTTTGCCACACACATTCTAGCACATCATTTGGGGATTATGTGACATGTGGTGACATCTACCTGTGTTATCTTCTTGACTGATGGAAATAGTAAGGAATTCAATCTATCAGAGTAGAAGGCAACGTTGGTACCTGAGTCACATCCCCTTAGCCTGCCTCTGGCTTCAGCCAAAGCCACAGGAGGCTGTTGCGTGCAAGTTCAGAAGCAATTTCAATCTCCTGTGACCCCACCTGAAGTCCACCCATCTCTCTGAATTCTGCCCCAGGGCATTGGGCATTGTCATGGAAGCGCACTTATCTGGCACATGCACCACCCAGAAGTAGGTAAGAGTGTGTGTGTGTGCGTGTGTGCGTGTGTGCATGTGTGTGTATGTGTGTGTGAGAGAGAGAGAGAAAATGCCCCTGGATCCAGCCTTCAACCAAAGGGGTCTGGTGGCTGAAATATCACCATTCTCCCACCTTTCTGGGTGACTCTGGGAGGCAGTGCATCTGGTCAGGAGGTCCCAGGGGGACACTGCCCCAATGTTCACGGCTGCCTCCGTGACCTTTACATTGGCCTTTTCTTACTCCCTCTTTTGCTCTTTCTGCCCTCTTGCTCCTGTTATCTGGGACTGCCTCCCAAATAAACCCCATGTCCCCAAGTTCTTGTTCCAGGTTCTTCTTTCAGGGAAACTTAAGACGGTCATTTACTTTAGCAAGGACTCCCTTGGGGCAGCTCCCACAAAACTGACAAAATTTCTAGCTGGCATAACTGAATTTGACAAGAGACAGATTGAGCAGAAATAAACCTCCGAAATGCAGTATTGCACAGGGGTTAAGAGCTTGAGCTTTGGAGTGAGACAGACGTGGGGTCCTGTGGATTCTGCTCATGTCTAGATATGACATTGAACACATTACTTAAACTTTCTCACACTCCTATTTCCACCGTTTCAAAACAGGCGTGTTGAGTAAGTGTTCTCCAGTTTAGATGCATATAAGAAACCTGGGGTGCTTGTTAAAGAGCAGATTCCCAGGCTCCACACTCACAGAGCCTGAGTAACTTGAGCTGTCTTGTCCAGTGTTTGCTAGAGATTCTGGCACAGGTCATCCGTGCACCGCACTTTGAGGAATGCTATCCTGGAAGATTATGAAATGATATGGCTTATGTAGGACACTGTGCATGGAGAAGGGGAGAACCTGCTTTGCTGCCTACTAAGCCCTCAATAAATGGTGGTGGTGAGGATGACAATGACAGTTTGTAGTAATTCTTCCTAAGGCGCCACTTGCAATGACAGTGCTAAGCCTATCGCCTCTAACTGTCCTTCTCCAGAAAAGGAAAGGGAATTGGGGGAGTAGATAGTGTCTGGGCAACCACACAATGAGACCACAGATACCTGGCAGACCCTGCGTAGGCAGTTCCCAGCCGTCAGTGCCTGCATGCCAAAACAAGGATATCAGGGTTTAGACAAGGCAAAGAAGCCACTACCTCATGCCCTTGGCTCTGGGGCATCCAGGGAAGGGAGTGCTGTCTCTCTTACCAGCCGGAGTGGGGGCAACAACTCTCTCCCGAGGTGTGCTGGGAGCTGCTCTTAGCGCAATATTTATCTCACCACGTAAACCAATCTAGCTGGTTAAAAAAAGCAAGTTTTATTGCATTCTTAGGCGGTGCACTTAGCTGGCTGGTCTCCTATAAAGCCATCTGTGTCTGACGGTAGAAATAACTTATCAGCATAAAGCCTGGGAAAATTAGATTAAGAAATCACTGTGTGCTGACAAAGTGGACAGAATAAGTTTAGAAAGGGAAGAGAGGAGACAAAAAAATAAAAAATCAGGGAGGAGGAATGTAGTGGTGTCTGAGCCAAGCTGCAGAGCCAGGCTGCCTGGGTTTGAATCCCAGCTCACTTGCTGTACGAGCTGTGTGACCTGGGGCAAGTTACTTGACTTCTCTGTGCCTCAATTTGCACACAAGAAGGGGAATTCAGTGAATGAATGTAAGTATTAACAAAGTTCTTAGAACAGTGCCTGGGAACAGTAAGAACTCAGTAATATCAAGTTATGATGTAAGACGCCTTTGGGAAGATTGGGATGTGGTCTTTGTAGGGCCAAGTGGGCGAAGAGTATGGGGTACTCACTGGAAGTGCAGGATTTAAGGGGGTACCACAGAGCTCAGTAATCAAGTAGTATTTTCTTTTTTGTTTTTTTTTTTTTGAGACGGAGTCTTGCTCTGTCACTAGGCTGGAGTGCAGTGGCATGATCTCGGCTCACTGCCGAGAACCTCTTCCTCCCTGGTTCAAGCGATTCCTGCTCAGCCTCCCCAGTAGCTGGGACTACAGGCGTTCACCACCACGCCTGGCTAATTTTTTGTATTTTAGTGGAGAAGGGGTTTTACCATGTTGGCCAGGATGGTCTCGATTTCCTGACCTCGTCATCCGCCTGCCTCAGCCTCCAAAGTGCTGGGATTACAGGCCTGAGCCACCGCGCCCGGCCTGATAAGTAGTACTTTCTTATAATATTTTAAAAACATCAGACTCCATGTTGAACAAAATTTTAAATAATGACATGATCTGACCCTACAAGCGTGCGCCCTGCCTCACTTGGGTTACCCTAATCCTGGCCCTGGACTTCCAACAAAGCTATATTAACACAAACAGGTGGCTGACACAAGAGCCATAGTTTAATGACTTGATTTTAAAAATATTATTGCCTTAAAATAATCTGAATTTTGAGTTTTTGGCCCCTCTCCCTTAAATTTTACAGCTCAGGTGAATGCCTCCCTTGTCTCATGCTATTTCTAGCCCTGGATGTTTTCTTTCTCTAAGAATCTCAGAAAATCTAAATCATACACTGACCTCAGAACTCTAGGGGCTAAGAGTTTCCCAATTAGCTGGAGGATGTAGAATAGGAATCGATTGTGCATGTGACACTTTGGGATAGTGCCAGGCTTCAGGAATTGCTCCAGGGTCACCTTAAGGCTAAATTCCCAAGCCCAGGAAAAAAAAAAAAATCTGTTTTCTCATTCTCTCCTTCCACCCACAAAGCATATTTGTGAAATTAAACTAAATGAAGGGGGAAAGGAAGGGCAAAGGGCAGGAGACGGCTAGGTGGAAAATCTCAGGTCCCAGAGTTGCTGCCTTTTTCTTTGTTGTTTTAACCTTCTCAGTGCTCTTCAAAAGAAGGCATTTGTCAGTGACACTATCAACTTTAGTGCCCTCCGTGTTTATGGCTTTGGATTTAATAGCAAAGACATAAACATATACTTTTCATCCATTTTCACCATTACTCGCTCAGCTCAGACAACAGCTACGATTATCACAACCCTTCGGAGGGAGCTATTATGGGTCCTGTGGTTTATCCTTGCCCTAGCAGAGCCATAAAGGACAGCGCCTGGGTGTGCAGAGACACACCATTAACACATCCCAGTCATTGTCAAAGGCCCCCACCCCATTTGTTAGGATTAATCTTCTCTTTTCAAGGCCTAAAGTCAACCCGTTTTACCTCTCCCCTGACAGTTGCTTGTAAGTTGCAGTGGATGCATATAAAATGCAGACTATGAACTGACCTTTCTTGAGGGCAAATATGTTAGGGGTTGCCTTGGAATTTTTTTTCCCTGGCTCTTTGGTGGCAGTACTGGCACTTTGGCCATTGTCTAGGGCCAGAAAGCCACCAATGTAACCACTCGCTCCAGAGAGCCAGGGAGGAAATGTCCGTTCTCTCTGATTTATCTGCCAGCGGCCAGTGTGATCTGAGCTAGGCCACTTACCCAGCCTGGGCCTGGGGCCTTGTGTCTGAACGGAGTGGGTTTGATGTCAAAGGCACTTCCAATCTGGGAAGGCTGTAAGGCTGGGATTAAGGGCCAGGCTGGAGGGAGGGAGAGGTGTGAACACTGTGTCCCGTTTCAGTAGCCCGAAAGTTGTGCTTTCAGATTTTGTGGCTTTGTAGAGTCTCCAGGAACTCAAAGAATCCTTCAGCTATTTAAACTGATGTGAAGTAAAGTATGTAAATGACTCAAAAAGGAAAATCTAATCCACACACACACAGAGAGAGAGAGAGAGAAAGCAACCATCCTATCGTAATGAGGAAATTCTGACACAGCAAAACAAGGGTTAATTTTCAATTCTTTCTATGCCAGTCTTTGGCATGGGGGCTTGCTTCTTCCTATTAATGTGAATTTTGTGATGTCTTGGAGGTTATAGAAACTACTAAGTAGTTATTTTTAAAGTATTCAAGTTATTAAAGTTATACTCTAATTTTTCCTCAAACTTTTAACTCTAATTTATAAATCTCATTATCATATTTATATAAATCTCACATTTTAACAATCTCATTAAAGGAGACTTTGCCATTGGAGGTTATTTAACTGAGTTAATTCTTTCTAAACATTTTAAACTGCATTTATTAGCAGACTATATTTAATTTCCTTTTTAAGAACTTTGGTTTACTGTAGTTGTACGAGTGTTTAGAACTTTCCATGTGCTTTATTAATTCTTATAACTCTAATAAGTTGAACTATGTCAATATGGTGAGCATTAAGGTCTCTTAAATGTTGCAATATTGTTTTTAAAATAGATTGCAACTTAAGTATTGCAAGCCTAAATCTGTTACTCAAATACAGATTTCAAACTGGCATTTATAAGGATGATTGATTAACTCAATCAGGCAAAGTTCTCCATATCAGAAAAGAAATGAGCATAGATTCTCTAATGCAAAAATATTAAATGGCTTTGTTGCTCATAAATATTTCTTTACTTAATTCTAAATATTTATTTAAAAGATACCAGGAAACAGATGTCCTTTCAATAATGTGGGGGCCACCTTTTCAAATGTATTTGAGCTCATTTTCTCAGGTGTCTGAAGTTTCTGAAAGAGCAGAGATACCAGCTAGAATGCAGATTAGATTTATATCATGGCCCTGATAGACACAGCTCTGCAAAATTGTTAGTCTATACCGGGGTCTCCGTAACTCAGCCCACTGGTCATACAGATCCACACAGACTGTATTGAATTTTGTAATTCTCTGACCTTTAAAATATTTGAACTTTGCAGACCTCTGTCCTTAAAAATCCTATGTATTTTTCTGTTTGCAGAATCAAATTCTTACTGATATTACAGTTATATCCGATTGGCTTCTGTATATCACAAGGCTATATTTGTGCACAAATGTTCTTATGGGTTGAATCATATCTCCCAAAAAAGATATGTTGAAGTCCTAACCCCAGTACCCTGGAATGTGATCTTATTTGGGGATAGGGTCTTTACAGAGGTGATCAACTTGGAATGAGGTCTGTAGGATGGCTCTAATCCTATACGACTGGAGTTCTTATAAAAAGGGGGAAATCTGGACACAGAGACAGACATGCGCAGCAGGAAGACTGCGTGGAGGTGGCCAGGTGGTGTGGGGATTGGGATTGGAGTGTTGTATCTTCACGCCAAGGAACACCTGAGGCTACCAGGTGGTGGGAGAGAGGCATAGAATGGAGTCTTCCCCAGCACCTTCAGAGGGAGCGGGGCCCTGACACCACCTTGACTTTGAACTTCTGGCCTCCAGAACAATGAAACAATAAATTTCTGTTGTTTTAAGCCACTCAAGTTTGTGGCACATTGTTATGGTAGCCCTAGGAAATGATCCAAGTACTGAGGAGTCATTTCTATGACAGTTTGTTTCTGCCAATTGGAAGGTTTTGTTTGTTTGTTCGTTTTTGAGACAGACAGTGAGAACTCTGTTGCCCAGGCTGGAGTGCAGTGGTGCGATCTTGGCTCACTGCAACCTCTGCCTCCCAGGTTCAGGGGATTCTCCTGCCTCAGCCTCCTGAGTAGCTGGGATTACAGGCGTGTGCCACCAAGCCCGGCTAATTTTTGTATTTTCAGTAGAGATGGAGGTTTCATCATTTTGGCCTGGCTGGTCTCGAACTTCTGACCTCAGGTGATCTGCCTGCCTCGGCCTCCCAAAGTGCTGGGATTACAGGCATGAGCCACCACGCCCGGGCCAATTGGAAGGTTTTTAAACCTTAGCTTTAGAGTACGTTGACTCCATATTGTTTTCAAAAATGCCCTTCGGGTTCTTCAGGTGAGTTCTTACCTCAAGGCATTTGCCCTTGGTGTCCTTCAGCCATGGAGCACCCTGCCCCAGTTCTTGTAACCGTCTCCTCTGATGTCACCTCCTTTGAGAGGCCTTCTCCGACCATCCCCTCTGTCTCCTCTGGAACAGCAGTGCTCACTATTAGGCTGATGCAAAAGTAATTGTGGTTTTCGCCATTAAAAGTAATGGCGAAACCTAGTATCATGCTTTATGGATTTTTTAGCACCCTGCACAGTCTAAGATTGCCTTGTCCAGATATTTGTGGATCATCCATTTGTTCTCTTGTCCCCTACCCAACTAGGACACATGCTTCAGGAGGCTAAAGACCTTGTTTGAGCTATTTCCTGCCATATCCCTGGTGTCTAGAACAGTGCCTGGCACGTGATAAACTCCTGATTAATAAGTATTTAATGGCCAAGTCCAGAGCAAGTTCTAGATAATAAAATATCTCTCCACCTCCCATTCTTCACTAAGTTCTTCCTCCTGCTTTCCCATTTCCCTGGAAGAGCTCTGTGGAAAATTTTCCTCTCTCCCTTCTTCTTTCCCTTTCTTTCTCTCTCACTCTCTCTTTTTTTTTTTTTCCAAGACGGAGTCTCGCTCTGTCGCCCAGGCTGGAGTACAGTGGCGCGATCTCAGCTCACTACAGGCTCCGCCTCCCAGGTTCACGCCATTCTCCTGCCTCAGCCTCCTGAGTAGCTGGGACTACAGGCACCCGCCACCATGGCCGGCTAATTTTTTTTTTTTTTTTTTTTTTGTATTTTTAGTAGAGACGGGGTTTCACCATGTTAGCCAGGATGGTCTCGATCTCCTGACCTCTTGATGCGCCCGCCTCGGCCTCCTAAAGTGCTGGGATTACAGGCATGAGCCACCGCGCCCGGCCTTCTTTCTCCTTTTATTCCCTCTTCCCTGGAAGATCTCAGTGGAAAACCCCTTCCTTCTTCTGACCCTCCCTCCCTCTTTTTCTTTCTTCATCCCTTCCCATTTCTTTGGAAAACCTCCATGGAAAATCTATCTCCCTCTCTCTCCCTCTCTTTCTCCCTCACTTCCTTCCTCTTGCCTTCCCTTTCTTCCTCCTCCCTTCCTTTTTTCCACCCTACTTCTACTTATACCTTCTACTTGCTACTTCTCCTTATACCTCCATCCATCACATCTTTTTGAAGTATCTGCTGTGTCATAGGCACTGTGTAGCATGTAGTACTCAGCAAGAGAGCTGTGTGCCCTGTCCTTATGGAATTTCCAATCAGGCGTGACAGACATTAAACACATTGTTACCACTTCTGTAAATATTAAGAAAGAAAACTCCAAGGTGCTCTGCATGTTTACAATGGGGGACCTCCCTTAGTCTGGACGGTGAGTGTGAATGTCAAAGCTTCTCTAAGGAGGTAACATCTTATCTAGAACCTAAAAGAAGAGAAGTTACTAGGGAAAGAGGGGGCAGGGGCAGGGGATTCTAGAAAATGAAATAGCATATTCAAAGACCCTGAGTGCGAAAGAATATTCTGGAAAAAAAAAGACATTTGTGTGATTGGGTGTTTGTACAGTTGTCAAGTGAAGGTCATCTCCTAACACACACTTACACAGCTGGGCAGGGTGTCAGTTGGCATAGCCTACCTGGAGGTGGTATCTCTCAAACTGCAAAATGATGCTGTACTTCCACTTGTGAGATTGCAAAATAATGAAATAATTGACCAAATGTGCAAATATGGTTCTATTAGGAAGTTTAGTTCAGTGCTGGTTATAATAGTCAGACACTGGCAACAAATTAAATGGCCTTTCTCATGGCCTAATTGAGTATATGGTGTATCCATGTGATGGTGTACTATTCATTTGTGAAAAATGATAAAGCACATAGTTATTCATCAACATGGAAAAATGTCCCTCAGTAAACCAAATCTGTAGCACATCAAGAAGCTAATTCACCATGATCAAGTAGGCTTCATTACTGGGATGCAAGGCTGGCTCAACATATACAAATCAATAAGTGTGATTCACTGCATAAACAGAATTAAAAACAAAAATCATGTGATCATCTCAATAGACAGAAAAAGCCTTCAATAAAATCCAACATCCTTTCATAATAAAATCCTCAAGGAATAAGGCATTGAAGGAACATACTAAATAATAAGAGCCATCTATGACAAACCCATAGCCAACATAATACTAAATGGGCAAGAACTGGAATAAGACAAGGATGCCCATTCTCACCAGTCCTACTGAACATAGAGGTGGAAGTCCTTGCTAGAGCCATCAGGCAAGGGAAAGAAAAGGCATCCAAACAGAAAAAGAAGAAGTCAAGCTATCTCCTTTTGCTGACGATATGGCTCTATACCTAGGAAACCTTTAAGACTTCACCCAAATGCTATTGTGACTGATAAATGACTTCAGTAAAGTTTCAAGACATAAAACCAGTGTATGAACATCAGCAGCAATTCTTTCTTTCCTTTTTTTTTTTTTTTTTTTTTTTTGAGACGGAGGGAGTCTTGCTTTGTTGCCCAGGCTCGAGTGCAATGGCACAATCACAGCTCACTGCAACCTGTGCCTCCGAGGTTCAAGTGATTCTCCAGCCTCAGCCTCCTGAGTAGTTGGGACTACAGGTGTGTGCTGCTATGCCCGGCTAATTTTTGTATTTTTAGTAGAGATGGGGTTTCACCATGTTGGCCAGGCTGGTCTCGAACTCCTGACCTCAGGTGATTGACCTGCCTCAGCCTCCCAAAGTGCTGGTATTACAAGTGTGAGCCACCGTGCCCAGCCATCCGTAGCATTTCTATACACCAATAACCTTCAAACTGAGAGCCAAATAAAGAATGCAATTTTATTTACGATAGCTGAAACAAACAAACAATGGCAACAGCAAAATCTTAGGACTACGTTTAACCAAGGAGGTGAGAGATCTCTACAAGGAGAACCACAAAACACTGCCGAAAGAAATCACAGATGACACAAACAAATGGAAACACATTTTATGCTCATGAATTGGAAGAATGAATATCCCTAAAATGGCTATAGCACCCAAAACAGTCTACAGATTCAATACTATTCCTATCAAGTTACTAACATCATTTTTTACAGAACTAGAAAAATCTATTCTAAAATTAATATGGAACCAAAAAAGATTGAATAGCCAAAGCAACCCTGAGCAACCCTAAGCAAAAAGAACACAGCCAGTGTCATCACACCACCTGAGTTCAGATCATACTGTAAAGCTATGGTAACCAAAACAGCATGGTACTGGTACAAAAACAGACACACAGACCAATGGAATAGAATAGAAAACCCAGAAATGAAGCTGAACATCTACAGTCATCTGATCTTTGACAAACTTGACAAAACTAAGTGGGGAAAGGAATCCCTATTCAATAAATGGTGCTGGGATTGCTGGCTAGCCATAAGCAGAAGAATGAAACTGGACCCTTACCTTTCACCATATAAAAAAATTAAGTCAACATGAGGTAAAGATTTAAATATAAGACGTCAAAATATAAGAATCCTAGAAAAAAACGTAGGAAACACCATTCTAGACATCAGCCTTGAGAAAGAATTTATGACTAAGTCCTCAAAACCAATTGTAACAAAAACAAAGATTGACAAGTAGGACTTAAGGAGCTTTTTCCCAGCAAAAGAAACTATCAACAGAGTAAAGAGACAATCTAAAGTATGGGAGAAAATATTTGTAAACTATGTATCTAACAAAAGTCTAATATCCAGAGTTTATAAGGAATTTAAGCAATTGAACAAGCAAAAACCAAATAATTCTATTTAAAGTGGGCAAGACATGAACAGACACTTCTCAATAGAAGACATTCAAGTGGCCATCAAACATATGAAAAAATGCTATAAATCACTAATCATCAGAGAAATGCAAGTCAAAATCATAATGAGATTCCATCTCCTACAAGTCAGATGGCTATTCTCAAAAAGTCAAAAAACAACAGATATCGGGGAGGCTGTGGAGAAAAGGAAACACTTATACACCGTGGGTGAGAATGTAAATTAGTTCAGCCACTGTGAAAATTTGGCGATTTCTCAAAGCACTTAGAATTACCGTTCAACCCAGCAATCCCATTACTGGATATATATCCAAGAGAAAATAAATTGTTCTACCAAAAAGACATATGCATGCATATGTTCGTTGCAGCACTATTCACAATAGCAAAGACATGGAATCAACGTAGGTACCTATCAATGGTGGGTTGGATAAAGAATATGTGGTACATATACACCATGGAATACTATGTAGCCATAAAAAATGAGATCATGTCCTTTGCAGCAACATAGATG
Source organism: Homo sapiens (assembly GCF_000001405.40). Taxonomy (NCBI): domain Eukaryota; kingdom Metazoa; phylum Chordata; class Mammalia; order Primates; family Hominidae; genus Homo; species Homo sapiens. The sequence goes on from NC_000003.12 coordinate 73,360,435, forward strand.
CAGCTGGAGATCATTATCCTAAGCAAATTCATATAGGAATAGAAAACCAAATACTGCATGTTCTTATAAGTGGGAGCTAAACATTGGGTACTCATGGACATAAAGATGGCAACAATAGACACTGGGGACTACTAAAGCGTAAGGGACAGGGAGGAGTTGAAAAACTATTGGGTGTACTATACTCAGTACCTGGGTGATGGGAGCAAGCACACACCAAACCTCAGCATCATGCAGTACACCCATGTAACCTACACATCTAGCCGCTGAATCTAAAATAAAAGTTGAAATTATTTTTGAAAATGTCCACAAGACCTCTTCTGGGGGAAAAAGAATGTTACAGAAATTGTGTTCCTGTTTTTGTTAATAAACAGAAAAGCATATGCCAGCTTCCAAGAAAATATAGAAATGCTTTTTAAAGTGTTTTCCTGTGCAAGAAACTTCATAGCTTGCTCTCACTAAGGCATGAGGAAAAAACAAAAAGACTGCTTTTGTGAGGATTTAGATGGTCACTTGCCGTGACATAAGGACCAAGGCAGAGTGCCCTCACAAGGCCACTCTCTCTCATACAATTGGTTTTAGGACTGTCTTTGTACCCCTAAAAGAAAATCCAAAAATCTTCACTTGTTTATTTGAAGTGGTACCCTCCACAATGAGTACTCAGCAGGCCACATAGATTTTGGTTGAGAGCACTGGCCTTGGAGTCCTGAGTGTGTATCCAGCTCTGTTGCTTGCTATGCATGAGACTTGGAACAAGTCACTCAGCCTTGCAGAAGCTTGGCATCCTCACCTGTGCAAAGGCACACAACCTCAGAGGGGTTCCTAAGAGCCAGGGGACGTTCAAGAGCTTGGCTCAATGCTTGGCACATATTAGAGTGCTTGATAAATCTAGACAGATTGTTACTAACTGCTTCCAGGCACTTGACAGGTTCCCCTCAATTTTACTTGGCTTTTCCATCCTTTGGGGACCACGCTGAAAGGAAAATGGTGTAGTGAGAAAAGCACTGGACTGTAAGCAAAGAACTGGGTTTCTCTACCCTTGTTTTTCCATAAATCCTCTGTATGACCTTCAGTACCACTTAGTCCTACTGTTTCTTTAACTTTAAGGAAAGTTAAGTTAGACTGGGAAAACTTCTGTGTCTCTAATTCTGTGACTGCATGGTCTAAGGACCAGATAAAACCTATTTGACTATCTAGTTCCACCTTACAGGTAGAGGTCGGTTATCTGTGTGCCCTAGGCTAGAAGGGATCACTGGGGGACTAATAACAAAGAATTCTGTTTCTATTTGCTTCCTGATCTTGTTGCACTGGCTGATAGGCCTGCAGAAGGCTGTTATCAACAATTTATGGTCACCTGAATGCCATGCTCTTATCAGCAGAGCTAATCACATTTTAAGCTCTCTGAGTTTTTCTGCTTCGAATAATTGCTTGCTTTTACTGCCTAACAAATCTTTAAGTGATAGTTTGATTCTTTGGTGTGGGAGAACGGGTGGATAGTTCTGGAAAACTCCAGCTATTTCTGCCCCAGGGAGAAACCCATTAGGAAAAAAATGGCAGCAACACACTTTACTTTTCTTTGCAGGGTGCTGTGGGCCTTGGCTCTGGCTGAGTCTGGTTAGATGTTGGTGACATTGCTTTCTCTTGTGTGTCTCTTTTATTATTTTTTGATATTCGTAAAGTACCTTGTTATATTAAACACTAACACTTCCCATGTAGTTTAATCCAATGTGTCCATAATCTTTTCAGAATATGGAACCCTTTTGTAAATAATAACACTCCCTGGCATATTGGTGAACTAATATTTTGAAAAGAGTCAAGATTGTGCGTTGGCCCCTTGAGCAGAGTTGAACCCTAAACTGTAGCTTCTATTTAGAAGGACCCTTGTAGAGGGTTCTGGATTTGACTACCAAGCGCCCAGCTAAGATGCAACTGTATGAGTTCTCTTTGTTGAGGCTCACTCATTCTCCTGCCTTCCCTACCAGATTGTGTGCACCTTTTGGGGAGCTGTGAGAGATCTCTCTCCCCTGCCTCTTGGGCCTTTTTATAGCTGGGCCAGGCTTCTGGAATCAGATGTGAGGGATGTAGAACCTCCTCTTAGACAGCCCTCTTCCTATTCTGCAGAACTGAGGTAGGCCAGTGCTCAAGTAGATGTTCCGGTCTCTAAAATCTTCTAACAATGGAAACCTAAGTCCTCTGCTTCCTGCCAGGAGACTTGACATTCCCTGTCTCTACCCCAGCAGGCTCCAGCCTCTTCCCCCACATATTGACCCAGGGGTGGTACCTGTGCCAGGCACTTTGAAACTGGCTCTGATTTTATTTCATTTTTTAAAAATAGGCACTCATAAATACAGGCAATGACCCTATCTAGAGAAACCGAGAAGAATGATAAGAAACTTTAGAATAGGCTGGGTGCAGTGGCTCACGCCTAAAATCCCAGCATTTTGGGAGGCCAAGGTGGGCTGGTCACTTGAGGCCAGGAGTTCGAGACCAGCCTGAGTAAGATGGCAAAACCCTGTCTTTACAATAAATTACAATAAATTTACAATAAATTAGCTGGGTGAGGGGGATTATGCCTGTAGTCCCAGCTACGAGGGGGATCGATTGAGCCTGGGAGGTCAAGGGAGGTCAAGGCAGTTGCATCACTGCACTCCAGCCTAGGCAACAGATTGAGACCCTGTCTCAAAAAAACAAAGAAACAAAAAAACAAACAGAAAACCACTTCGGAATAAACAGAGGCCAAGGCAGCATTTTGCCCCATCCTCTGTTTGAGTATTAGTTGGTGAGGGCTACCATAACAAAGTAGTATAAACTGGTTGGCTTATGTAACAGAAATTTATTCTGTTGCAGTTCTGAAGGCCAGCAGGCTTAGATCAAGGTGTTGGCAGGGTTGGTTCCCTCTGAGGCCTGGGGGAAGAATCTGTTGCATGCCTCTCTCCTCGCTCCCGGTGGTTTGCTGGCAAGATCTGGTGTTCACTGGCTTGCAGACACCTTCCTTTGGTCTCTGCCTTCCTCTTCATGTGGTGTCCTGTGTGTGTGAGTCTGTCTCCAAATTTCCCCTTTTTATAAGGATATCAGTGATATTAGGTTAGAGCCCCTCCTAATAACTACATTGTAACTTGTCTACCACTGCAAAGACCCTATTTCCAAATAAGGTCACATTCTGAGGCATGGGGGTTAGGATTCCAACATATGAATTTGGAAAGGGGGCACAATTCACTTAATAATATTGAGCATTGGTGATCACCAGAAGGGTGATGATACCACAGCATCTCCCACTCCTCATGGAAAGCTGGAGGAAGGGAGCTGTAGACCCTTCCTTGATATGACCTGTAAGAGGCCCAGGTCATGTCTACATAGCACCAGATGATTTGCATGTTTTGTGTAATATTCGAGAACTGTTTTGGGTACCCATCTACTCTGCAACAACACTGTTATTTTATTTTATTTATTTTTTGAGACAGAATCTTGCTCTGTTGCCTAGGCTGGAGTGCAGTGGCGTGATCTCGGCTCACTACAACCTTCTTCTCCTGGGTTCAAGTGATTCTCCTGCCTCAGCCTCCCAAGTAGCTGGGACTACAGGCATGCACCACCATGCCCAGCTAATTTTTGTATTTTTAGTAGAGACAGGGTTTCACCATGTTGCCCAGGATGGTCTCGATCTCCTGACCTCGTGATCCGCCCACCTCGGCTTCCCAAAGTACTGTGATTACAGTGGTGAGCCACCGTGCCTGGCCTATTTTATTTTATTTTATTTTATTTATTTATTTTGAGACAGAGTCTCACTCTTGTTGCCCATGCTGGAGTGCAATGGCATGATCTCGGCTCACCACAACTTCCGTCTCTTGGGTTCAAGCGATTCTCCTGCCTCAGCCTCCCGAGTAGCTGGGATTACAGGCATGCGCCACCATGCCCAGCTAATTTTGTATTTTTAGTAGAGACGGGGTTTTTCCATGTTGGTCAGGCTGGTCTCGAACTCCTGACCTCAGGTAATCCACCTGCCTCAGCCTCCCAAAGTGTTAAAGTGTTGGGATTACAGGCGTGAGCCATGCGCCCGGCCAACACTGTTATTTTAGCAGAGCAAACACAATAAGTTGAAAGCCTTAATAGATCAAAATTGCTGATCATCACTCAAGTAAGAGTTCTTTCTGCCCTGATGGCCTTTGGACTGGGACATCAGCTTTTTTCTTGCCTTCAGACTGAAGCTTGAAATATAGCTTATCCTGGGTCTTGAGCAACGGCTGCTTTGGGACTGGAATTACACTGGAGAGGACCCAGACATCTCCTGGGTCTCTGTCTTGCTGACTCATCCTGAAGCTGTTGGGACTTGCTTGCCTCTATATCTGTGCAAGCCAATTCCATGTAATATACTATTTCCAATAAATGTTTTGGAAACATTTATATGTATTACATATATATGTGTGTGTGTGTATATATATGTTTTAATATGTATGTATGTGTATATACACACACATACACACACATTCTATTCGTTCTGTTTCTCTGGGGAAACCTAACCAATACATGGTCTAAGCCAGGAGTTAGCAAACTATGGCCCACCAGCCAAATCCAGCCTGATGCCTGTTTTTATTTTTTATTGCCCATGAGCTAAAAATGATTTTTACCAATGAATATTTGTAACCAATTTGATGGCAGGGAACACTAACTTAGAACCTCAAGCAAACAAAGTGTTATGTTTCTCGAATTCCATTCTTCTCATTAGAACTATATTACTCACAATTATATTTATGTACTTTGCAATTTATCAGTTTAAAAATTGCGAAAATTTATTTTCTTTCTTCTTGCGTAAATACCTATATAGCAGTTTTGATTTTGTCTCTTGGCTCCTGTATCCTATGTATGGTATTTACTGTTTGACTCTCTACAGAAAAAGTTTGCCAACCTTTTGTCCAAGTTGTGGGTATCGTTTTTTTTGAAATGGAGTCTTGTTGTGTCACTCGGGCTGGAATGCAGTGGTGCAATCTTGGCTCACTGCAGCCTCCGTCTCCTGGGTTCAAGCGATTCTCCTGCCTCAGCCTCCCGAACAGCTGGGATTACAAGTGCCCACTACGATGCTTGGCTAATTTTTGAATTATTAATAGAGATGGGGTTTCACTGTGTCGGCCAGGCTGGTCTCGAACTCTTGACCTCAAATGATCCACCTGCCTCGGCCTCCTAAAGTGCTGGGATTACAGGTGTGAGCCACCATGCCTGGCCTATTGTGGGTATCTTAATATCAACGGCATGATTATTTTTTGCCCTTTTAAAAAAATCTCTTAATATTTGGCGGTATTTTTTCACGTTAAAAATGAAATCAAGGAAATTTTCCCAGTGGGTATAATTTAGAATAAAGCCTGCATTTTCTCCTAGCTGCCTTGTCCACATTTCTTTGGCTGACTGGCTTTGTGCATAGCCTGGCCTGGCCTGGGTCTGAATGATGTCATCTGCATCGGGCTGGACTTGGCTCCAGCTCCCTTGCTCTGGCTCCAGGAGGCTTGAATCACTACAGTGGAGTTTCTCACTGCTTTTTCTCCTGTGCTGCCTTTCATCTGCTCTTTGTGTTGCCATTTTGAATTTTTCTTGGAACAGTCTTTGTTTATTGTCTTGAAATGACGAGGACTGGGCTAGCTTCAGAATAAACTGTCGAAAGTCAGAACTCCTGGCATGGCGCTCCTCCATGTTATGCCAGTTTTCCTTCCTTGCTCGCTGGGAGACACCTGGGAACCCCTTTGTCCAAGGTCGCTGAGAGTTCATCCTGACGGGAGAACAAGCCAGGCTCTGTGAATGATGCCCGTGTCTGCAGCGTGGCCCTGGTTGGTGGCTTCACATATGTAGAGCCAAACAAGAAAGGCAATTGTGTTCGGGGAAAAGACAAGTTTTTAACCAGATAGTTGAGCTAAGAGGATACGTACTCTGTTCCTTGGATAGTTAGGACTCCGGGTCCCAGGGTCAGAAATTGGACTCTTGATCTGCAAAGGGTGGCTTGCCAGGCAGTCTGCTCCTGAAGAAAGTTCTTTCCCCAAGGTTTTGCATTTGCTGCTTTAGTCAGCCTGGAATATTCTTCTTCAGACTCACTGCGACGATTTCTCCAACTTTTGGTCTAAGCTTAAATATTCAGAGAATTCTCGGATAACCCAACTTAAAGTACCCACCTTGGTTCCATCCAATTGCTTGTTCATCTTTTTAACATATTTTACAAAGTGCCTATTATGTCTAGGAATTGTTCTAAGGACTGACAGGAGGTTCAACGATGGGGGGCGGTGGGGGGACCAGTCGAAACCCCTGCTTAGTTTGAGTATTTCTCAAACTGTAGCCTGTATCCATTTGCGTCATCTGGAGGCTTGGGAAAACAGATTGCTAGTCCCCCTCCCCTGAGGGTCTGAATCAGTGGGTCTGGGGCAGGACGTGATGGTTTGCCTTCCCAGCAATATCCCAGGTTATGCTGGTGCTCGGGCCCAGGAACCCAACTTTGAGAACAGTTGGTCTCATGGGTCATGCTCCTCTTGGTCCTATGCTTATTCCTTCTCATGGTTTGCTATTTTGTCTTTTCTTTCTTTGTTTCCTTGTGTTGCTTTTTCTGCCTCCCTTACCAGAAGAGGCAGTCTCTGAAGGGGAGACCATCTCCGCCTTGTTTTCATTGCATCTGGGTGCCCAGCACACAGTAGGTGCTTTATAAATACTTGAAGGGGTGAAGGTGGAAAGGCTGGCAGCAAGCAAAACTTCTCCCTATCTCTACATACGTGCCTTTCTTCATTCAGCCACTTCCATTTCCCATGGGAAATCCTGGCAGTAGGAACAGGCAGAACTTGGGTTAGCTTCTCATGCCCTCCTCAAAATCTTGTGAGTTCTGTTACTGCAGAGCAAACAAGGCTTAATGCCACAAGGGGTAATGTTATGGAGCAGGTGAGTAAGTAAAAGAGTGAGAGTGAAGGATTCTAATAGTGGATGTCCACAGCTATGGGATCGGTAGTGGGAGGGAAGGTTTTGCAGCCAGAGACCCTGTAGCATTTAAACATCCAGGCAATTTTTAAGAGTCCCAGAATTTGGGCAGTAAAATGACTCTTGTTGAGAGCTTCCTTCTTGCCTAGGTTATTTTAAGGCTAGAATTAACCCAGAGAACTCTGTGCCATGAAATCTCCCTATGAGGGCAACAAGAGGCAAATCAATCAGCTGTACTTCCCTTCTTGAGACTGACCTCTGTCCCTCCCAGTTATACCAGAGCACAAAGTGTCTTTGGAACTCACATCTGGGCCAGCTGAAGGAATTTTTTTTAAAATTCTTTTGGTATCATTTGACACCATTTATAATTGATAGTTCCTCCAACAGGTCTCAAAGAAGCCTTGATCCATGCCCTGAACAGTCTTCAGACCTAGGAGACATGGGCATAATTCATTTCCTGGGTACCGAAGTTAATAAAAGCACTCTCATTGCAGACCAAGGACATCAGATTCATTTTGCCTCGGATCCATTCTGGCATCTAGGAGGGCTTTTATAAAAACTATGAACCCCCTGGCATTGCAAATAAAATGTGGCATATATGTTCATTTCTTGGGTGACTGTACATAACTTTCAACAATGCTTGAGGCAATCTATGCTCCCAAAAACCAAAGGGAATTTGGTTATGTTAGAAAGCATGATTTTTTAAAACTATTGTATTTAGGTACATATACATAAAATAAAATTATATATAAAATATAATTTACCATTTAAACCATTTTTTAAGCACACAATTCTGTGGAATTGATTACATTTACAATATTGTGCAACTTTCACCACTATTTACTTCGAAAATGTTTCATTATTGCAAACAGAAACAGAGGATGCAGTTATTAATAATGATAGCAATACAAGGGGCAAGTCAATCAGCCATTATTAAACAACAACTGCATCCTCTCCCGCAGTCCCTGGTAACAAGTTTTAAACTTACTGTCTCTATGATATTTCGTATAACTGGAATCATACAATATTTGTCCTTTTATGTCTGGGTTATTTCACTTAGTGTAATATTTTAAGGTTCATTCCTTTTTTTAAAATTTTATTATTATTATACTTTAAGTTTTAGGGTACATGTGCACAACGTGCAGGTTTGTTACATATGTAGACATGTGCCATGTTGGTGTGCTGCACCCATTAACTCGTCATTTAGCATTAGGTATATCTCCTAATGCTATCCCTCCCCCCTCCCCCGACCCGACAACAGTCCCTGGTGTGTGATGTTCCCCTTCCTGTGTCCATGTGTTCTCATTGTTCAATTCCCACCTATGAGTGAGAACATGCGGTGTTTGGGTTTTTGTCCTTGCGATAGTTTGCTGAGAATGATGGTTTCCAGTTTCATCCATGTCCCTACAAAGGACATGAACTCATCATTTTTTATGGCTGCATAGTATTCCATGGTGTATATGTGCCACATTTTCTTAATCCAGTCTATCGTTGTTGGACATTTAGGTTGGCTCCAAGTCTTTGCTATTGTGAATAGTGCCGCTATAAACCTAGTGTGCATGTGTCTTTATAGCAGCATGATTTATAATCCTTCGGGTATATACCCACTAATGGGATGGCTAGGTCAAATGGTATTTCTAGTTCTAGATCCCTGAGGAATCGCCACACTGACTTCCACAATGGTTGAACTAGTTTACAGTCCCACCAACAGTGTAAAAGTGTTCCTATTTCTCCACATCCTCTCCAGCACCTGTTGTTTCCTGACTTTTTAATGATCACCATTTTAACTGGTGTGAGATGGTATCTCATTGTGGTTTTGATTTGCATTTCTCTGATGGCCAGGGATGATGGGCATTTTTTCATGTGTTTTTTGGCTGCATAAATGTCTTCTTTTGAGAAGTGTCTGTTCATATCCTTTGCCCACTTTTTGATGGGGTTGTTTGTTTTTTCTTGTAAATTTGTTGGAGTTCATTGTAGATTCTGGATATTAGCCCTTTGTCAGATGAGTAGGTTGCAAAAATTTTCTCCCATTCTGTAGGTTGCCTGTTCACTCTGATGGTAGTTTCTTTTGCTGTGCAGAAGCTCTTTAGTTTAATTAGATCCCATTTGTCAATTTTGGCTTCTGTTGCCATTGCTTTTGGTGTTTTAGACATGAAGTCCTTGCCCATGCCTATGTCCTGAATGGTATTGCCTAGGTTTTCTTCTAGGGTTTTTATGGTTTTAGGTCTAACATTTAAGTCTTTAATCCATCTTGAATTAATTTTTGTATAAGTTGTAAGGAGGGGATCCAGTTTCAGCTTTCTACATATGGCTAGCCAGTTTTCCCAGCACCTTTTATTAAATAGGGAATCCTTTCCCCATTTCTTGTCTTTGTCAGGTTTGTCAAAGATCAGATAGTTGTAGACATGCAGCATTATTTCTGAGGGCTCTGTTCCATTCCATTGGTCTAATCTCTGTTTTGGTACCAGCACCATGCTGTTTTGGTTACTGTAGCCTTCTAGTATAGTTTGAAGTCAGGTAGCGTGATGCCTCCAGCTTTGTTCTTTTGGCTTAGGATTGACTTGGCGATGAGGGCTCTTTTTTGGTTCCGTATGAACTTTCAAGTAGTTTTTTCCAATTCTGTGAAGAAAGTCATTGGTAGCTTGATGGGGATGGCATTGAATCTATAAATTACCCTGGGCAGTATGGCCATTTTCACGATATTGATTCTTCCTACCCATGAGCATGGAATGTTCTTCCACTTGTTTGTGTCCTCTTTTATTTTGTTGAGCAGTGGTTTGTAGTTCTCCTTGAAGAGGTCCTTCACATCCCTTGTAAGTTGGATTCCTAGGTATTTTATTCTCTTTGAAGCAATTGTGAATGGGAGTTCACTGATGATTTGGCTCTCTGTCTGTTATTGGAGTATAAGAATGCTTGTGATTTTTGCACATTGATTTTGTATCCTGAGACTTTGCTGAAGTTGCTTATCAGCTTGAGGAGATTTTGGGCTGAGACGATGGGGTTTTCTAGATATACAATCATGTCATCTGCAAACAGGGACAATTTGACTTCCTCTTTTCCTAATTGAATACGCTTTATTTCCTTCTTCTGCCTGATTGCCCTGGCCGAAACTTCCAACACTATGTTGAATAGGAGTGGTGAGAGAGGGCATCCCTGTCTTGTGCCCATTTTCAAAGGGAATGCTTCCAGTTTTTGCCCATTCAGTATGATATTGGCTGTGGGTTTGTCATAGATAGCTCTTATTATTTTGAGATACATCCCATCAATACCTAATTTATTGAGAGTTTTTAGCATGAAGCGTTGTTGAATTTTGTCAAAGGCCTTTTCTGCATCTGTTGAGGTAATCATGTGGTTTTTGTCTTTGGTTCTGTTTATATGCTGGATTACATTTATTGATTTGCGTATGTTGAAAACCAGGCTTGCATCCCAGGGATGAAGCCCACTTGATCATGGTGGATAAGCTTTTTGATGTGCTGCCGGATTTGGTTTGCCAGTATTTTATTGAGGATTTTTGCATCAATGTTCATCAGGGATATTGGTTTAAAATTCTCTTTTTCCATTGTGTCTCTGCCAGGCTTTGGTATCAGGATGATGCTGGCCTCATAAAATGAGTTAGGGAGGATTCCTTCTTTTTCTATTGATTGGAATAGTTTCAGAAGGAATGGTACCAGCTCCTCTTTGTACCTCTGGTAAAATTCAGCTGTGAATCCATCTGGTCCTGGACTTTTTTTGGTTGGTAAGCTATTGATTATTGCCTCAATTTCAGAACCTGTTATTGGTCTTTTCAGAGATTCAACTTCTTCCTGGTTTAGTCTTGGGAGGATGTATGTGTCGAGGAATTTATCCATTTCTTCTAGATTTTCTAGTTTATTTGCATAGAGGTGTTTATAGTGTTCTCTGATGGTAGTTTGTATTTCTGTGGGATCGGTGGTGATATCCCCTTTATCATTTTTTATTGCGTCTATTTGATTCTTCTCTCTTTTCTTCTTTATTAGTCTTGCTAGCGGTCCATCAAATTTGTTGATCTTTTCAAAAAACCAGCTCCTGGATTCACTAATTTTTTGAAGGGTTTTTTGTGTCTCTATTTCCTTCAGTTCTGCTCTGATCTTAGTTATTTCTTGCCTTCTGCTAGCTTTTGAATGTGTTTGCTTTTGCTTCTGTAGTTCTTTTAATTGTGATGTTAGGGTGTCAATTTTAGATCTTTCCTGCTTTCTCTTGTGGGCATCTAGTGCTATAAATTTTCCTCTACACACTGCTTTGAATGTGTCCCAGAGATTCTGGTATGTTGTGTCTTTGTTCTTGTTGGTTTCAAAGTACATCTTTATTTCTGCCTTCATTTTGTTATGTACCCAGTAGTCTCATTCAGGAGCAGGTTGTTCATTTTGCATGTAGTTGAACGGTTTTGAGTGAGTTTCTTAATCCTGAGTTCTAGTTTGATTGCACTGTGGTCTGAGAGACAGTTGATTATAATTTCTGTTCTTTTACATTTGCTGAGGAGTGCTTTACTTCCAACTATGTGGTCAATTTTGGAGTAGGTGTGGTGTGGTGCTGAAAAGAATGTATATTCTGTTGATTTGGGGTGGAGAGTTCTGTAACTGTCTATTAGGTCTGCTTGGTGCAGAGCTGAGTTCAATTCCTGGGTATCCTTGTTAACTTTCTGTCTCGTTGATCTGTCTAATGTTGACAGTGGGGTGTTAAAGTCTCCCATTATTATTGTGTGGGAGTCTAAGTCTCTTTGTAGGTCACTCAGGACTTGCTTTATGAATCTGGGTGCTCCTGTATTGGGTGCATATATATTTAGGATGGTTAGCTCTTCTTGTTGAATTGATCCCTTTACCATTATGTAATGGCCTTCTTTGTCTCTTTTGATCTTTGTTGGTTTAAAGCCTGTTTTATCAGAGACTAGGATTGCAACCCCTGCCTTTTTTTGTTTTCCATTTGCTTGGTAGATCTTCCTCCATCCCTTTATTTTGAGCCTATGTGTGTCTCTGCACGTGAGATGGGTGTCCTGAATACAGCACACTGATGGGTCTTGACTCTTTATCCAGTTATCCAGTCTGTGTCTTTTAATTGGAGCATTTAGCCATTTACATTTAAAGTTAATATTGTTATGTGTGAATTTGATCCTGTCATTATGATGTTAGCTGGTTATTTTGCTCATTAGTTGATGCAGTTTCTTCCTAGCATCAATGGCCTTTACAATTTGGCATGTTTTTGCAGTGGCTGGTACCGGTTGTTCCTTTCCATGTTTAGTGCTTCCTTCAGGAGCTCTTGTAAGGCAGGCCTGGTGGTGACAAAATCTCTCAGCATTTGCTTGTCTGTAAAGGATTTTATTTCTCCTTCTCTTATGAAGCTTAGTTTGGCTGGATATGAAATTCTGGGTTGAAAATTCTTTTCTTTAAGAATGTTGAATATTGGTCCCCACTCTCTTCTGGCTTGTAGAGTTTCTGCCAAGAGATCAGCTGTTAGTCTGATGGGCTTCCCTTTGTGGGTAACCCGACCTTTCTCTCTGGCTGCCTTTAACATTTTTTCCTTCATTTCATCTTTGGTGAATCTGACAATTATGTGTCTTGGAGTTGCTCTTGTCAAGGAGTATCTTTGTGGCATTCTCTGTATTTCCTGAATTTGAATGTTGGTCTGCCTTGCTAGATTGGCGACGTTCTCCTGGATAATATCCTGCAGAGTGTTTTCCAACTTGGTTCCATTCTCCCCGTCACTTTCAGGTACACCAATCTGACGTAGATTTGGTCTTTTCACATAGTCCCATATTTCTTGGAGGCTTTGTTCATTTCTTTTTATTCTTTTTTCTCTAAACTTCTCTTCTCGCTTCATTTCATTCATTTCATCTTCCATCACTGATACCCTTTCTTCCAGTTCATCGCATCGGCTACTGAGGCTTCTGCATTCGTCATGTAGCTCTCGTGCCTTGGTTTTCAGCTCCATCAGGTCCTTTAAGGACTTCTCTGCATTGGTTATTCTAGTTATCCATTCGTCTAATTTTTTTTCAAAGCTTTTAACTTCTTTGCCATTGGTTCGAATTTCCTCCTGTAGCTCGGAGTAGTTTGATCTTCTGAAGCCTTATTCTCTCAACTTGTCAAATTTATTCTCTGTCCATCTTTGTTCCATTGCTGGTGAGGAGCTGCATTCCTTTGGAGGAGGAGAGGTGCTCTGATTTTTAGAGTTTCCAGTTTTTCTGCTCTGTTTTTTTCCCATCTTTGTGGTTTTATCTACCTTTGGTCTTTGATGATGGTGACATACAGATGGGTTTTTGGTGTGGATGTCCTTTCTGTTTGTTAGCTTTCCTTCTAACAGACAGGACCCTCAGCTGCAGGTCTGTTGGAGTTTGCTAGAGGTCCACTCCAGACCCTATTTTCCTGGGTATCAGCAGTGGTGGCTGCAGAACAGCGGATATTGGTGAACCGCAAATGCTGCTGCCTGATCGTTCCTCTGGAAGTTTTGTCTCAGAGGAGTACCCGGCCGTGTGAGGTGTCAGTCTGCCCCTACTGGGGGGTGCCTCCCAGTTAGGCTACTCGGGGGTCAGGGACCCACTTGAGGAGGCAGTCTGCCCGCTCTCAGATCTCAAGCTGTGTGCTGGGAGAACCACTACTCTCTTCAAAGCTGTCAGAGAGGGACATTTAAGTCTGCGGAGGTTACCGCTGTCTTTTTGTTTGTCTGTGCCCTGCCCCCAGAGGTGGAGCCTACAGAGGCAGGCAGGCCTCCTTGAGCTGTGGTGGGCTCCACCCAGTTCGAGCTTCCTGGCTGCTTTGTTTACTTAATCAAACAGCTAACTCGGCAATGGTGGGCACCCCTCCCCCAGCCTCGCTGCCGCCCTGCAGTTTGATCTCGGACTGCTGTGCTAGCAATGAGCGAGACTCCATGGGTATAGGACACTCTGAGCCAGGTGCAGGATATAATCTCCTGGTGTGCCGTTTTTTAAGCCCATTGGAAAAGCGCAGTATTATGGTGGGAGTGACCCGATTTTCCAGGTGCCGTCTGTCACCCCTTTCTTTGACTAGGAAAGGGAATTCGCTGACACCTTGTGCTTCCCAGGTGAGGTGATGCCTCGCCCTGCTTTGGCTTGCACACAGTACGCTGCACCCACTGCCTTGCACCTACTGTCTGGCACTCCCCAGTGAAATGAACCCGGTACCTCAGTTGGAAATGCAGAAATCACCTGTCTTCTGCGTCACTCACGCTGGGAGCTGTAGACCGGAGTTGTTCCTATTCGGCCATCTTGGCTCCTCCCCCAGTTCATTCCTTTATTAAGGCTGAGTAATATTTCACTGTATGTATATATCATTTTGTTTATCCATTTAACTTCTGATTGACACGGGTTGTTTCCACCTTTTCTGGCTGTTGCGAATAATGTTGCAAGAAACATTGGTGTACAAATATCTGTTTGCGTCCCTATCTTTAATTCTTTTTGGTATACAAGTGGAATTGCTTGATCATATGATAATTCTATGTTTAGCTTTTTTAGAAACTTCCAAACTGTAATGTACAAGGGTTCCAATTTCTCCATATCGTTGCCCACACTTATGATTTTCTGGGTTTTTTTTGATAGTAGACATCCTGGTGGGTGTGAGGTAATATCTCGTTGTAATTTTTTATTTCCCTAATGATTAGTGATGTTGAACATCTTCTCCTGTGCTTTATTGGCCATCTGTATATCATCTTTGGAGAAATGTCTACTGAAGTTCTTTACCCATTTTTTAATTGGGTTATTGTTTTGTTGAAATGGTCTCCTAATGCAAAATGGCTGGAGTTCTGTAGGTATTCTGGATACTAGACCCTTATCAGATGTATGATTTTCACATATTTTCCCTTCTATAGGTCGTTTTTTCATTTTCCTTATAGAGTCCTTTGGGGCATTAAAGTTTTTAATTTTGATAAAGTCCAATTTATCAATTTTTTTCTTTCATTGCTTATGCTTTTGGTGTCTTATCTAAGAATCCATTGCAAAATCCAAGGCCATGAAGATGAATGATGCCTTTTGGGATAGGAGATCAAGTCAACACTTATCATGTCTTTGCTTAAGATGGCACATTGGTTCTATAAATCCCTCCCAATTATACGAAAAATTGTGTGCATTCTTTGTAGCTTTCTCTGGAGTTTTAAAAGAGTCTCTGTGTCAAAAATAAATAACAAGGAAGCATTTTGGTATACTATGAATTACTGGTTGATTGCTTTGGAGTTCTGACTACTGACATTTCCCAAAGCATTAGTTGAAAGGCATGTTCACTGTATGGTAAGATTGTGAATATGCTAATTGGGTTTGGTTGTGGATCCATCATACTTGCAGGGCTTTTCCATGTAGGCTGAGGTATTCACTGAGCTCTTGGTGTTTAAATATTTGGCTTTGTTTCTAAATGCAAAACTATGTACCAATATACATACTCCTTTTATTTATTTATTTTTTTGAGATGAAGTTTCACTCTTGTTGCCCAGGCTGGAGCGCGATGGTGTGATCTCGGCTCGCTGCAGCCTCTGCCTCCCAGGTTCAAGCAATTCTCCTGCCTCAACCTCCCGAGTAGCTGGGATTACAGGTGCCCGCCACAACATCTGGCTAATTTTTGTATTTTTAGTAGAGATGAGGTTTCACCACATTGGCCAGGCTGCTCTTGAACTTCTGACCTCAGGTGATCCACCTGCCTTGGCCTCCCAAAGTGCTGCAATTACAGGCGTGAGCCACCGCGCCCGGCCCCAGTGTACGTACTTCTTTTGGAATTATTCTTGATGCTGAATGAAGGAATACACTCCAAGCCTGTTTTATAGATTGTACCTGTTGTTCATAAGGGAAACATCATGATATCTTAGTATTACAGAAGTGTCCCTAGTCAGGAGGAGGAAAAAGCAGGAGAGTTGATGGACTAGAAATAGAAACAGGTCTCATTCCTGTAAAGACTGCCTCAAAAAGAGCCAGAAGTTTAGCAGCCAGTTTAAAAAATTGGTATATATTGGTATTATATATATATTTATAATTGCATATATATTGGTTTATATTTGATAAGCCTTCCCAAAAAAGTGCCACTTAAAACATTGGTGGCTTGGAATCCAGAGTGGGTGTGCCCATGTTCTTAAGGTAACGAAGTCCATAAATGTTTGTGACAAGGCCCAGTTTAAACTGGCAACTTCCAAAGACACAGGTCATACTGAAAGTGGTACTTAGATTCTCATTTTTCGGTCAAAACTCAATCCCCTTTATCCATAAGACTCTCCTCTGAAACCCAACAGGCAGATTTTGTTTGTTCTGGTAACTGTTAAGCATTTATAAAACCCACATTCTATGTCTTAAATCCCCTGCTTCTCAGAAAATGGCAAAGCTTAAATTATAGTTAGGAATTCATTTAGCCCCTGTGTGCTGTCTGTGCCTCCAGTTCATGGGCACTGAGAAACTTGTTTATAAAGGTGGCTGTTTAGTGCCTGTGAAACCTTGTGGCCTCTGCTTACAGTGCTTTGGAGATCATTTACGGAAGGAAGATCTGATTGGGTGGCAGCAGGGATTGCAGAACCTTGCTCTTCAATGTGGAATCACCCACATTAATTTACACAGCAAGGTACAATTCAGGACAGGTATTTCACGGGGGTGGGTAAGCAGAGAAGCTGTGGTCCTCAAACCACTTAAATTGCCTTCTTCATTATGCATTCAATGGGACCATCTCATCAGATCAGGTACTTCTCTGGGGTGGTGGTGAGAACTGGTGGTAAAGACTGTAGCTGGTAAGCAAGGGAAAGGAAGCTCTCTTCCTAAGCTCCTGTGTGTTTCCTGGTGGATGATGGAAAATGGAGCACTGGATTGGGAAATATGTTCTATCTAGTGGTCAAGGTGGTTGACTTTGCAGAAGTGGATTGAGAAAGCATGTTAAGTTTTCATCTGCTGTGGCATAAAATTGGGAAGTAACAGGGTTATAAACAGATTTAGTCCTGAGTAGAAAAAGGCAGGGCACAAAATAGTCACCAAAGGTCTCCAGATGTTAGGTATCTGCTGAAATACATGAGCCTTTTCCACAGTGCCTGTCATGGAGGTGCTACTTCCAGCCCAGCGATTCAGTGCGGTCAGAGAGAGATGGTTTCACTTTTCCCCTTAGCCATGTACCAGCTGGTTGCTTTTCTAAGCCTTCTTTATTTCCTTATCCACAAAATAAGAACAATCCCACCCATCAGGTAGGCTACTTATGGTTAAGGGAGTTAGCACATGTAAAAGACTTAGCACAGTTTCTGGCACATATTAGATGCTCAATAAAGGTTGGCCATAACGAATAGGTTATCTATGGTCTAGTAGACAGTGTCATTCCTTCCTAGCTCCCTGTCTTTTCACACTGAATTCTATTCTCTTTGTCCATTGTTTTTGAGCTCAAGTCACGCCGGACTGTCTGTCTGTTTGTTTCATGTAGGCCACATCTCTCTCACTTCAGGATCTTTGTACATGCTATTTCCTCTATTTAACTACCTTTCTAGTTAACTCACATTCATCTATTGGCTCTCAGATCAAACATAACTTTTTAAGGGAGACTCTCTGTGAAATCTGTGGCACTGGCTCTCCTATCTGACCCTTATTCCGATCTTGTTGATGCTTTATAAGTATTTGTGTGATGATTGCATTACTGTTTTCTTTCTCACCGGACTGTACACTCCAGAGACCTCCCCATGGCCCTAGATTGAGTATGCACATAGTAACTAGTGGATGAAGGAATCCGTGCTGGTTTCTGACATGGCTCCTCGATGCATAAGGTTGTCATAATTCCACAGAGCTGAAACTGCTAAGTCAAGCCCACAATGTCTGGGAGACATGTAGTTCTCCAAAGAGAACTAAAAACACAATTTAATTACTTCCTAGTATATTTTTGAGAGACTCTGATGAGGTTTAGGGAGTTTCTTTTGGCTTTTGAGGATTTTAGCGAGACTTACTAATTGGTGAGCAAGTTTAAATTTGCAATAGCCCCAATGAAGGAGGGATCATTAATTCCCCATTTTTCATTTTAAAGAGATGCTGAGTGCACGGAGGTCAGCATTCTGCCATTGAAAGGCAAAACCACATTATAGGCAAACCACATGTCCCTGTGGACTGTGCCCTTTCAGGATTAGTTGCAGCTGAAAGCTAAAGAAAATGAACCATTTAAGCAGAAAAACCCCATCTGAATGAAACTCAAAAGAACAACACTTTGTTTTATAACTGCTTTAGGGAATTCACATTTAATCAAAATTGAAGACTACAGCATTTGCCAGGAGAATTCTTGCATCTTATCTCAGTTTTAGTGATTTTCTTTTTAATTAGTTGATGCTCCACAGAAATCCTAAAATACTTAAAAGCGAGAAACAGAAATAAAAGTGGGAGTCTCAATTGCTTGTGGCAGAATTGTGTTTGCTTCCTTGGTTTTGGGCAATGTTGCTAACAAGTAATCTGTAACCTACTTCTGAAGGCTACAAGTAGATAATTACTTGGTTAATTTTCATATTTCAGCTTATAGTCTTAATTAGTTCTCCAACTAGTATTCCTTAGGCGATGTATAATCCCACCTTATCATATTTGTGATTTTTGCTATTTGGGATCTCCTGTTTCCATTTAAAAGATGAAAAACTTAGCTTGTGCCCCCACATTACTAGATATCTATGCATTGTCATGTGTTCTTGCCGAGAGTTAGAATATTCTGCAATTTAGAACTCAAAGGGAACTGAGTGAAATGCTTGCTACTTTGAAGTAATTTCTTTGTGATTATGAATATGTTACAAATATTAACCTAAACTGAACATACTTTGAATTGCTTCTTAGGAGGAGATGGAAGCACAGGTAAAGGGTTTGGTATTAGGCAGATGCCAATTCAAATCACACCTTTATGCTTCTCTGGGCAAAGTTCTTAATCTGAGTCTAAACTACTGATAAAGCATGTGCTTCATAGAACTGCTCCAAGGATTTAGTGAGATGATGAGGGCAAGGGTTTAGCATGTACTTGCCCGATATTTTCTGTATCTGTGCTGCCCAATGGAAGTATAATGCAAGCCACATATGTAATTAAAAATCTAGCATTCACATTAAACAGTTAAACAGGTTAAATTAGTGATAACTATGTATTTTATTCAATCCAACATATGCAAAATGATTTCTACATAAAAATTATCAAAATACTTTTCATTTTTAAATACAAAGTCGTTGAAATCCATTTTCTCAGAACATTTCAATTTGGACTAACCGCATTTTAACTGCTTAATAGCCAGATGTGGCTAGTGGCTATGGTATTGGGCAGTGCAGCTCTAGATGGTCAAAACATTGTCATTTCCTTCTTTTGTATTTTATAATTAGTTTAAACCTGAGTCATCCAGCCAGTGGGGTGGCTGCTATGGAGAATCAGAAATCTGTATTAATCATTCCTCAATTTACATAGCTGTGAGAAAAACTGCACAATGACTGGAAGAGTGTAGGTACTAGTGATTTGGTAAATTTTAATTGTGTTAAACAATATAGTTCTAATAGGAAGAAAAGTAGTCCTTGATATTAAAAGTAGGCATTCAAATCAAATAGTGTGCTATAAGATGAAGCTGAAATAAAAGTCTGAGAAATAAACCTATCAAATTTGGTTATTCTAAACTTGGGGTTCTTGCATGCTTAGAGGGGATCTGTGAATGGACTTTGGGGGTATGTGAAGTCTCTGATTATATGCACTTTTTAATGTATTATTCATTATAAGTACATTTTCTGCAGATAGAATCTATAGCTTCCACCAGATCCTTCAGTGGGTCCAAGAAGTAAAGTACATGCAGCCAGGGCGGTAGAAAGGCCTGTTAGTTACAGTGGACGTTCTGTTTACACAGAAACTAGGGCTTTACATCAGTGAGAACAGAAGCTAGAAATTGTCTCATCACTATTACCCAGGAAAATTTTCATCCCAACCGCCAGCTCAGAAATGCACTGTGAGGCACTTGGAGTTCATGCTTCTGGAAGAAATGGCAGATTCATGATTACTCTTATGTTCACTCTGGGGCATCCACTGGTGAAATGCATTTGTTTTTTGGTTGAGGGCAAAGGATTTAATGCATTTAAGTTAACTGTGCACATGAGGACGATTCTTCAGAGTATGGGGTGCTAAGAATTGTGGAACCAGGTGTTGGGTTCTGAGTTCAAATCCCAGTTTGGTTATGAATGAGCTGCACTGTATTTCTTTGCCTCTCTGAGTGCCCTGTTCATTGATAAAGTGATGATTTCTTTCTTTTTTTTTTTTATTATACTTTAAGTTTTAGGGTACATGTGCACATTGTGCAGGTTAGTTACATATGTATACGTGTGCCATGCTGGTGCGCTGCACCCACTAACTCGTCATCTAGCATTAGGTATATCTCCCAATGCTATCCCTCCCCCCTCCCCCCACCCCCCCACAGTCCCCAGAGTGTGATATTCCCCTTCCCGTGTCCATGTGATCTCATTGTTCGATTCCCACCTATGCGTGAGAATATGCGGTGTTTGGTTTTTTGTTCTTGCGATAGTTTACTGAGAATGATGATTTCCAATTTCATCCATGTCCCTATAAAAGACATGAACTCATCATTTTTTATGGCTGCATAGTATTCCATGGTGTATATGTGCCACATTTTCTTAATCCAGTCTGAAGTGATGATTTCTAAGATCTCTTCCAATTTCTTTTAGAAGTTAATCGGCTAAATTAGATTTGGGAAGCCTCATATTACACTGCATGTTATGACTAAGTATATCTAGATGATAAAAGTGATTTAAAAATACGTTGAAATCAAAGGATCTAGAATTGGATTTGAATGCACGCTATTATTTCCCTCTACTTTTTCTAAGTGCACGAGCTGACCCCCAAATCCAGAGACACGTGGGGAGACCTGGTTAGAAACCCTTGTGCTTGACTGTTTAGGTTAAAGCGGTTCCTGTGGCCACGTAGCCTCCTCTGGCCTTCAGCGAGAACACACAAGGGGAGGAAAGCTATTTCCCCATATAAACTCACTCATACGCTTATATATGCTTTGCAGCAATTTATAATTCATCTGACTGATGTTTGTTCACTGTGAAACATTAACTAGGAAGACAGGGTATGAGGTGACATGGCTGTGAAAGGGGAGCTTCTCCTGGGAGGTAAGGATCAGATTTTGTGGAAAGTTAAAACTTGGAGAATATTGGAAAACCGAGGCCCTAATAGTGCACTCTTTGCAAAAATTTCACCTTGGAGGGCTGATTAGAATAATGTAGCAGATGTAATTATCTTAACAATGCCTGGTTCTGGAAGAGGTAATGAACAGACATCTTAATAATGAGGAATAAGTACTTCAGTGTTTTATTTTCATTAAGTTGTTTTATTAAAAGCGTGACTACTAATTAGCCTCAAGATTCTGGTCCCAAAGGAGGGACTGTGGTTCGAGCAGGGTCTGTGGGAGGAATGTATGTCTGAAATGCCTAAAACACCTGGTCATTTCAATCCAAATTCCATTTGGATTGGAGAGTAAACCAGATGTATGGCATCATGGCAAATAAAAATGACACTCTTCCTAATCCTATCTATCTTTATCTTACTTTTTTTCAGTAAGTATTACAGCTGAAATTGGTGTAAACATTACAATCAATCAGGAAACAATTATTTGTAGCAAATTCATTATTTAGGATCCTGGTGGTTGCAGTAGTCAGAAAGATACCAGATTTGAAGCCCACCCAGTTTGGTGACCCCTGTTTTTCTATGAAAATATTGCCTGATTTGCAGATGCATCTTAGAAATGGAAAGCTGGACCTAGCCACCCGGAGTTGTTATTACTGATAGGCAGTAATGGTTGCAATAAACGAAAGAGATTTCACTGTAAACATGACCCTGATTGATTGATAAAGTTGCTCATAGCTATTCTTGTTTATAGGATATTGGGCCAGGCTGAAACTTCCTGTGAGACAGGCAGTGAGAATGCAGGGTTGTATTGTAAATTTGACCCTGTATTCTTCACTGCTAGACCTTCGCTTTATATCCATCATTAGGTTTGAGGCTGAATGTGAAGACATCAGATGGTCTAAAATACTTAAATCCTTCCAAAGTAGCATGTAATACAACCACAACCAAGGGAAAAAAAGCAAACACTGCAAAAGGCTTTTATTTTATAGGCACCACTGCAAAATGAGGAATCACATCAAAACATATCAAATAGAAAATAATAATTTATTTTAACTTCATTTTACTGTTTGTAACTAATCATGATTTTGTGAACTTGCCTGTATAAGTCTGTACCTTCAAATCTACAAAGCAAAAGTTTACTACAATGAGCACTTAAAATTCCACAAACCGTCTCCATCCACAACTTTCCTGTACATGCAAATTCTTTCAATGGGCTGCAATATTTGCAAACATGCTTTAAACTTCCATAAAGATGCAAGATATTTTGCTTTCTGCTAAAACCTTTACACTCTCTTGGGAACCTTAACCAGGAAAATGTTTAAATGTATATCCCAACTCTAAACGCTGCCGGTTTGGTTATATGTATTAAATCGTTAACCACCGGGTTGGGTGGTTTTGAGTTGAAACCTTCACCTAAATGATAATATCTTAACGGTCACGCATATGAAACACATTCAGTAACGTACCATTATAAAATAGGGTTCCATTAAAAATACATACTGGCAGTTGTATTTGTGTTTTAGGCAGGAAAAAAAGCGTGTTTAACTTTTTTATATGAATATAGTTTAAACAAGTTATTCTGTGAAAGTATGCTTAATAAAAGATCTTTCTGAAATTTAAACACTTTATGTAAAAGGGTACAGGTAGAAAAGTACAATTGCTATTTGAAAAAAGCTCTGTTTGTTAATATTGCCTTCCAAGATAGTAAGGGTGTTTTTCTCTCTCTTCCCTTAAAATAGACCTATGACACCCAGAGTTGTAGGGTTTGCAAATTTGGACTATAAACATGAAGACCGTACTTATCTTATATACAAAAACTTGCCGCATTGAACGAGGCAGGAATTTCTACCCCAGTGGTAGTGGTCTCCTTTATGTACATAATGCAGAAGTGAAAATTATACAGTAGTCACCGATAGGAAGGAATTGTATACTCTAGTGCCGTCCGGGGATTTTGTGCCGTGGGTTAAGAGTTCTTGGATCGTCATCCAGTTATCGAAGATTTTCTTATTCCTCTTCTTCATCATCTTTTTGTGGCTCAGTTCGAGAATGTTCATCTCCTTCCTGTCATCGGCTGCTTGCTGCTCCTTGAGACAATCCAACCTGCTCTGCATCATGAACTCGCGCCGCCGCCGCTGCTCCTTGGCCTTCACCAGGTGCTGCTTCCTCTCCTCCTTGCTCCAGTAGCGCCCCATCTTCATCTCGCTCACCGCGTCGTCGTCGGTGGTCATGCCGCTGCGCTCTTCCCGGATCTTCAGGGCGCGCTCCCGCAGCAGGCGGTCCCGCACGGGCCTCTTGGTGATGTAGCGCGTCCCGTCGCTGCGGATCTTCACCTTCCACTCCATGCGCGGCTCCGACGGGGTGGGAGAGCTCAGGTCCTTGCACATGCTCACCAGGCTCATCTGGCTTTGCGCGTACTCCACGGCCGACTTCTGCTGGATCAGCTGCATGTAGCTCTGGTAGTGCTGGGCGTGCGCCGGGATGTGCGCGTGCTTGTATGGGGAGTGGTGATAGGAGGGCAGGTAGGCGCTGCCCAGCTTCTGGCTGGGCGTGGGGCTCCGGCTCCCGTCGCTGGCTCTCCGCTCTTTGCTTTCCAGGGGCTGGTTGGGGTCCAGCTCCTTCAGGGACGGGCTATAGGTAGGGGTGCCCACTTCGGGATCTTCCGTGATGGAGAGCAGATTCTTGGAGGCTGGCCCGTAGGCTTCCGTGGTCCCCACAGCCCCTTCGCTGCTCGGGCAGCTGATGCCCTCCGCCGCTCTCCTCAAGGAGTTGTCGGGGGAGATCTCCAGGGTGAGCGGGGTGCTGCGGCAGCTCTCGCCTGTGTTGTAGGCGCTCGAGCTGTCCTTGTCGGATTTCTCCGGGAGCTCGGTGATATCTGAGAGCTCGTGTCTGCGCACGTCGATGCTGGTGTTGTAGTTGCGGAAGCCGCTGTTGTGCAGCATCCAGGACTCGCGGTACTGCTCCTTGAGCTGCTGCATCTTGTGGGCGCGCACGATGCTCAGGCACTCCAGCTCGATGCTGCGCAGCTCTTCGTTCAGCAGCTCCAGCTCCTTGTCCACGCTCTCAGGGTCACTCTTGCCGGCGTCCAGGGGGCCGCTAGGGTAGTACAGGCCGTAAGGGGTGGCGCTCTTCACCTGGCACTTGAGCTCCAGGAGCTCGCGGAAGCGCTCGCACTCGTCCACCGGGATCCCCAGGTAGTCGGCGTCCGTGCAGTCGGCCGAAATGAAAGACTCGTTGCTGAAGGGCAGGTCGCCGCTGCCCAAGGTGTCCTGGCTGCAGGTGAGCTTCCTCTGCCCCGCCAGCGGGTTGGAGGATGCGGTGGCGTCGTCGCCATTGTTCTCTTGCTCCGAGCTCTCGTCATTACGGGTGCTCTCGTCGGTCCGCCCCACACCGCTGTCCTTCTCGTGCTGGTTGGACAAGATGGTGGCTGTATCTGTGGTCCCACCGTCTTCGTCGTGCTTCTTCTGCATAAACACAAGAACAAAGGGTCACAGTGAGGGAGGCCTGCGCAGCAGGTACTCAGGTTTGACCTTTCCTTGCGGTTTCTGGATAGGGCAGGCTGTACATTTCTAAGGCCAAGGGACAGCATCTGACAGTAGGACCACGTCAATAGCGTGGGCCTTAGCTACACCTACCCGTATCTACCTGGGCAAGTCACTTATTCTTGTTCTTGTCCTCAGTTTTGTAAAATGAGGATAATAGTCACTTTATCTCAATGAATGATTCTCAATGATTCTGTTAAATGAATCAGTACACAGGTAGAAGGATGTATAAAGGTCCTTGTTCAACTCAATAAGGACTCAATAAGTGGCTCATTAAGACTCTGACAATGGTAGTAGCATAGCAGGGAGCTAGAGAGCTCCAAGCAGCTCCTGTTAAACAGAGGGGATTGCTTTACTTTGGAAAACATGGCTTTTTGCAATCTATGGTAATGCCAACGCATATGTTTTCCAAACAAATTATCAGAAGGTCAGCTTTGCTTTGGCAATGTTGCTTAGATTTAAAAGCTTAGCTAGGGACAGTACCAGCTTGCATTTCACTGGTCTGGTGCTCAAATAGAAAAGTACTTGAGGCTGTTTTCTTGCTGCCTTCCAGGTGGATGGACTTCTGATGGTCTTTAGCACCATAAAGGGAGATGGAGGAAGCAGATTTTCCTCCAGCTCAGCAGGGCAGAGTGTCAGGGACTGGTGCGTGGGCGTTACCTGCTGCAGCACGCTAGCTGTGAATTGCATGGCCTGGTGGTGCTGCTCCTCCAGCATGTCCATGTGCAGGTCATCCAGAAAGTCGTTCCTGTCATCATCCATCCAGCCCTCATCCAGCTGCAGGCAAGAGCAGCCAACACATGCCTTAGAAGTTTCCTTTCATGTTCATTTATGTTTTTTTAAAAATGACATTACCTTGGGGGAAAATATTTCTAGGGCTTCCTCCAAGAGTCATCAAAATGCAGTCTGCCCAATGATTTGCTGTTAAGTCAGGAAACTATCCAACCCTTACATTAAACAGACCTCCAACCCTACACTACATCTGGGGAAGTCTTTAATATCCATGATTTTTTTTTTTCAGGGTGAAACTCTTTCATCCATCTCAGCTACCTTCAGTGCAGTAGGACACCTGTGTAGGAGGGTCAGGTAGATTTAGCTGGTCCACCTGCTTGCTGGACCAGACACGAGTTTAACAGGTCCCATAGAAAAATGATTTTCAGTGTGAAAAGAGTTCTTTCTGATACAGTAACTAGCTGTTTGGCTTGGGCAAGATATCACTTTTTTTTTTTTTTTTTTTGAGACAGAATCTCACTCTGTCTCCCAGGCTGGAGTGCAGTGGCACGATCTAGGTTCACTGCAACCTCTGCCTCCCGAGTAGCTGGGATTACAGGCAATGCGCCACTATGCCCAGCTAATTTTGGTATTTTTAGTAGAGATTGGGTTTCACCATGTTGGCCAGGCTGGCCTCATCCTGACCTCAAGTGAACCTCCTGCCTCAGCCTCCCAACATGCTGGGATTATAGGCGTGAGCCACTGAGCCTGGCTGGATATCACTTTTAAGAGGCCTTTATCTGCCTTGCCCAAAAAAGAGTGAACTATTCAGAAGTTGGCACTCTATAGCCCATGGGCTGAATCCAGCCTGGTATTTTTATAAATAATAATAAAAAAAGTTGAATGAGAACACAGCCATGCTCATTCGCTGACATAATTGTCTATGGCTGCTTTTGCACTAGAGTGACAGTCTAGCAGTCATGGCAGAGATGGTATGGCCACCCAAGTCAAACATTTACTATCTGGCCCTTTAAGAAAAAGTCTGTGACTGTGGGTGAGATGATTGCTGAAGTTCCCTTTGAGCTCATGAGGCTCCCATCTGTGGAGAATCAGATGCCCCGTATGCCACTGTCTGTCTCTCGGCTTTTTCAATCGGGTTTCATACTGATATGGTTTGGCTGTCCCCACCCAAATCTCACCTTGAATTGTAGCTCCCATAAGTCCTACGTGTTGTGCGAGGGACCTCGTGGGAGATAATTGAATCATGGGGGCAGTTTTCCCCATACTGTTCTCATGGTAGTGAATAAGTCTCATGAGATCTGATAGTTTTATAAGGGGAAACCCCGTTTGCTTGGTTCTCATCTCTCTTCCCTGCTGCCACGTAAGACGTGCCTTTTGCCTTCCACCATGATTGTGAGGCCTCCCCAGCCATGTGGAACTGTGAGTCCATGAAACCTCTTTTTTCTTTATAAATTACCCAGTCTCGAGTATGTCTTTATCAGCAGCATGAAAACGGACTAATACACATACCTAAAGAGATCTACTACTGGATTGCCCTAGATGTGTTGCTGGAGCCATTCTAAGTGGATCAAGAGTGCCACCTGGGTGAGTTCATGATTCCTCCTGTGGAAGGAGTTATTACAACACAGAGGTTTCTGAATCAGATTACTTGGGCCTGAACCCCTCCCTGCTTTATCACCCTCCTTCTGGGCCTTTCCTGGGTAACTTTTGAATCTCTGGGAACTTCCATCTCCTGGGAAGGCTCTCCTGTGTGTAAAGTGCTCCACGGAGGGCCTAGCACTTATTCGGTGGTCATATCAGTTTTAATTATTTATCATTCAATGTTTCTTTTAATTTGAAAGAGCAAGTTTTAATTCCCCATACTCTGCTATTGTAAATGAAACCTGCACAGATCAAGGCTGGAACATATGTCAGGCCTTGGGAAGTCAAATGTCTTGACGTGACCCCGGTTGTGTTTTCCATTCAATTCTGTTTCCTTTTCCTTCCCTATGATCCCTGCATTAATGAACGTCGTGGGCCTGCAGTATAGATGCCAGGGTGGGCATCTAACCAACCTTAAATGGCTAACTCATAAAGTGAATTCTGAATCACAGCAAGTTTGATTACATTTCCAGGGAACAAAGCACCTTCAAGTTCGCAGCCAATACTCAGGTGCTCTTTTGCAGGCCTGGGGATCTTTTGATTTTAGAAATATAGACCCAGTTTCATCTGTAGGAAGCCAATTTACCTGGAGTTCAGGCCTTGCAATCAGCAATGAAAAGTTTTTATTTTCTTCACTGGTTAGAAGAGCCACAGCCTCTTCACGGTTCTGCACCTCTATCCCATTAATCTTTTAAAAAAAAAGGGGGGGTGGGGAGAGTGGGGAGACAAATAGCATGATTAGATGGTGCAAAATCATTCTATTTTATTTCAGACCTGCATTTGTCACCCACTCACAGTTAGAACATACAACTTCCGTGTAGCTGGAAAAGAATACTGATGTTAGGAAGGAAAGGTCTTGCTCAGACCAATGCAGTTTCTCTGGTCTATAAGGGAGCCTCCATGAGTATAGTTCATGAGGTGACTGTGATGTGTGGGGTGTGAACAGAAGGGGCTGGACCTCCAGAAGACGGCACTGAGAAAAATCATAATGCTCTGCAGAGGGAACATGGAAGCAATTAGACATAATATTCAGGCAGGAGTATATGTAGACATTATTGGATAATATAGAAGAAAAAGCAGCAAACTGAGGTTAAGAAAATGGAATAGAATTATACATGGTGTTTTGTGTCCCCAGTTTGACACTTAAACTTCTTTGGGCCAGGCGGAGGGTCAAGTGGGCGTGACACTCTCACTATCACACTTGATTAACCCTCTTGCAGGATTTTTGCTTGCATGTCCTGGTGACTTTGAGCCCTGCTGGTCTGGAGGTCTTAGTCCTGGTGGAACGCCGCCTCCAGGGGACACAGCAATGGTTCCACTGAATTGGAAGTGGAGGCTTCCATATGCCTCCTTACACTAGTGAGCCAACAGGCAGCAAAAGGGGTGACTCTATTGGTTGGAGTGATTGCCCTCAATTACCAAGGAAGATGGGCTTGCTGTGACACAGTGGAGGCAGGGAGGATTGTGTCTGGAACCTAGGGGATTCCTTGGAGTACCTCTGAGTGCTTCCATTCTCAGTAGTAAAGGTTAATGGAAAACTCCAGCAATCAAAAAAAAAAAAAAAAAAAAAAAAAAGAGGCAGTATGCTGAGGACCCTGACCCTTCAGGTGTGAAGGTTTGGGTCACTTCCCTAGGGCAAGCGATCCTGAGCAGCACAGGTTCTGGCTGAAGGCTAGAGAAACCCAGAGTAGGCAGTGGAAGAAGAAAATCAAAATGACCTGTGGTGAGGTATGCAATGAGAAAAACACAGTGGATTAAGAATGAGAGGATACGGATGAGAAGAGGTAGAAAGCTAAGCCTTGTGGACACAATGAAGCCAAGAATTTCAATTCTGTGAGATTAAAGAAGGTTGTAGCCAAAAGAGACATGAATGGTCTCATTTGGACTAGACGGAGCAACAGGGCTCGAGGTCAAGTAATGACCCTTAGAAGCGATTCCAGGATGGTTAGATGTTGAGTCAGAAAATTTCTAAGACTTTTCAATCGATGCTGCTAAATTTGCCAAAAATGTTCCCCTTTTATGGACGAGCCTCTGAAATGCTTGGTCCAAAGTTAATCTTTCAGAGAAATCTAAAACGAGAATTATTTTAGTTCACAAGTTGTAAACTGTTGGCCTGACTTTGGCTCACTGATGTTTGTTTTGATCCAAACAGAATGAAACAAAATAAGGAGAACTGGCTCAAATTTTGCAAGGCCCTCTTTGGAGAGAACATGCCCCATCTAGTTTGTCCCAGTCCTCACCACTCCCTCTTGCGTCTTATGACTCAGAGATAGCCTCACAATTAGTTTAACTTGTCTGGCCTCACTACACATCTGCGTTTGTGATCCCTGTTCTTTAACCGCTTCTGCATTTTCAACCCTAGACCTATCATTAGAACCAGTTTGTTCTTTAGTGATAGGCCCATCATGAGGCCATTGTTTGGAAGTGGACTTACCTGGATAATGCGGTCTCCTTCTCGGATGCGCCCATCCTTGGCTGCAATGCTGTTAGGGTCAATCTGAAACACACATGGACCATCTCAGCGCAAACGCAGACATGCATGAAAATAAGCAACAGCACTTTCAAAACCATTTCTAAAACACAGTCATGCTCACCCCTGTGTTTCTGTTTTGCACAGAAATAAACAAGACTTAGTGTCGTGCAAGGAGAGGCAAACATGAGCTGATCTGCTTCTAAGCCCTTTCTAGGGCTGGTTCTTGGATCCCTGTGTAGCAACCCTGTTACACAGCAGTGTGTGCAGGCTCTGCTGATCTGAGGAGGCACAGCTGACTTTTGTTGCATGCATGGTAATTAAAATCAAATCAATGATGTAGAACAGGTTAAAGGATACCCTTCATTATGTGGACTAGCAACTATACCTTATTTTATACCAAATACTTGTATTAAAATTTGGAAAATAACTTTAAAATTGAAATATAATTGGGACAAGGGGGACTGGTAAGGGGAGGGATGTCCCCAAATGCAGAAAGGATGGGTTAACTTAAGCTTGGTGAATGACATACAACCAAAGAGATAATTATTAAGTCTAGTAGATCATTCTGTAGCGACAAATTTTATTTCCTGACAAAATTGGGTTTCTGTGTTTGCAAGGATGGGTGTGCACTGTAAAGTTTCCATACTGAAATCAGTTGATTTGTATTATCTTCTCAAGGAAGATCAAAACAGCGTGCATCTATGTAGTTTGATAAGTACATACAAGTCACATTTAACTTATATGAAGTCAACTATATATACTCCACCAAGAGAAAAAAAAATGTGTGTGTGTGTGTGTGTGAGAGAGAGAGAGAGAGAGGCTTTAAAAAGTGTAAGTGATTCCATCCACCATTCCACTCAATGAACACGAGTTGGGAAATGTGAATCTGCTCTTCCCTTGGGGCTAAACACACAAAACCATGTAAACGGCTCCATTTTATGGC
This sequence comes from Homo sapiens, assembly GCF_000001405.40. Lineage (NCBI taxonomy): Eukaryota > Metazoa > Chordata > Mammalia > Primates > Hominidae > Homo > Homo sapiens. The sequence goes on from NC_000003.12 coordinate 73,390,798, forward strand.
TGATTTGCAGGCTTCTCAAGGGTAATTTTGCCATAAGTACTGGCATTAGAACTTAACCTCCGTGGAAAGATGCAGCGCCATGGAGTGTGATGAGGGGGACAGAATAATTTGTGTCTTTCCAAAGAGATCTTGATGAGGTGGGTTAGGGTTGGTGAACATGAAAAAAAAAACCCTTTTGGTCTTGATACGATAGTTAGAAAAACAAAATCAGCCTTTGTACCTCACTGATATAAATCCCAATGTCGTCTTCATCGTCCGTCCGGTAGCACACAGTGAGGCCCAGCTTGTCCTGGCTGTTCATTCTGTAGAGGTCCACTTCCTAGACAAAGAAAGGCATTCCCAGTGAGACTCCAGCAGGCAATGCGAGTTGAGGGGATGTCAAATGCTTTAAAAATATTATCTTCAAATGAGGAACTGGATTTCTTTGCATTCAACTGTGTAGGGCCGGTTAACTTACTAAACAAAAAGTGATTATGGACACAGGATCAATGCCTACGGCATTTCTGACCTTTCACTCAATATAAAGTCATTTTGAAAATAGTTATTTCATTGATCCCCCAAAGAAAAATTACCCATATTTCACTCAGCGTCAAGACTTCTGGGGCAGGGCTTTTCAAAAACACTTTTTCAATGTCTGCCACAAACAAGAATATTTCCATACCCCAAACCACCCAGCCATTTCAGTACAAATGTTTCCAATGTGTTTGGTTAGATTATTTCACATTGCGTTCCCTTAATATTCACAGTCATAGAACTTGCAAACAGATTACACATAAATTGATCCAAGAAAGGAGGGTAATGTGATAGCGTGCAATTAATGTTCTCCACAACAGCTGTGATATTTACAGTTGAGAAATTAGTTTCAGCCGCTATTACTGCAAATTAAATAAGAGAAAAGCAAAGTGAGCCCAAATGTGGGATACATGCTATTGTATTTGCCAGTTAGTCTGTGCTTCAGAATGAAGTCAGAACTTTGGAAATTGTTGGAGCCTTAGGGTGCCATCCTAGGGCTCTCAGTGTAACCAGGCTAAGTCACTCCCCCGCCCACTCTGCCAATGACTTGTGCAAGTTTTTGTAGCTCCAAGCTGCAAGCCTATTTGAAGGGCCACGTGATAAGTTCTCCGGTAGATCCTTTGGTCTAATTTTTAGTGTTATCTGCTCACCAAGCAGGAGAATGGAGGGGCTCTGAGATGGGGTCTTCGTGCCACTTTATCTGGGGACTATTTCCAAGTGGTCTCTCTCAAGGGTCTTCTTAGCGGGGAAGGAGAATGCAGCTGTCTATGCGGAGAAGCTCAAAGCAGTTATTTGGAAGATACTTCTTGAACTTTCCCCGATGAAAGGCGGGTGCCAGGCGCCACGGACACTTCCCAGGTGGAGCAACAGCAGGTGCAAAAGCCCTAGGCCAGCATGGCCAGAGCCCCATGTTCAAGGAAGAGAGAAGTGGGCTGAGGGTGGCCAGGTGGCAGAGCTAGACCGGGCAGGGCCCACAGGCCAGCATGAGTAGCTAAGATTTTATTTCAACATAATGGGAACCCATCAAAAGGTTTTAAGTGAGGACTGCCATGATCTTAACGACTTTCAGCAGTCTGTCTTGCTGATATATGGGGTATAATGTGGTGGGGAAGAGTTGGAACTGTAAAGACAGATGTTCAGATCCCAACTCTCCCTCTTTCTAGCAGCTCGATCATGAGCTTGTTATTATATCTAAGGTCCGTGTCCTCACTAGTACCTGCCATCCTGCCTCCCAGAGTCACCAACATGAGGCACACAAGAGCTCTTAGCACATTGACTGCCCCATAGAAAGTCCACGGTCACCAGTAGTATAATAATTACATGCAGGTATGGTTACTTCCCTGAAGTCACAAGAAGTTGTTTGTGGCAGAGTGGGTATATTTCAGTGCCCCTCTTACTAAGATTATTTTCTGAACACCAATATGTTAATTAATTCAACAGCTTCCTAATTATAGCTCTAGCAATATGGTAAGTTCTTATTAAATGAAACCCCATTAATTTCTGATAATTAAGTGGGTTTAAGGGTCATATTTAACAATGAGAGCAAGCCTAAATACTTGGGTTTCCAAATACTTTGGAATAACCAATTTGCATACCACAAATATACTAGTCATACATCATCCTCTTATGTTTCCACAAATATACTAGTCATACATCATCCTCTTATGTTTCAAACACATCCCCCTGTCTCTCTTAGGGTACACTTCATTTGAATATGCATAAGAGGGAACACTTTTTCAGTTTTGACATTTCCTCAAGGTTAGTGTGAATCAACGAAATATCACGACGGTTTAGGTCCAACTGCACAGATGTAGCTCGCCCAGTGCTACCCCTGCAGGAGACACATCTTGCTGAAACAGGTCCACGTGCAACCCAAGCAGAGAGAGCGAGCAGTGGGAAGATTGTAGGAAGAAAAATGAGAAAGACAAGAAATGTTGATAATTCAAGTTGCAACTTTTTCTGAATGGCTGGCCGCCAAGGTGACTATCTTTCAAGGAAGTACAGAAGATTCTACAGTTCTACTGGACTTTCTACTACTACTACTACTACTACTGCTACTCAAAGCGTGCTTCCTGGTCATGACGAGGTGAGCACAGAAATTGAGGGAAGTGTTCAGAAACCTCTATAGCAGCTGGACATTGTCATGATAACCAAGGGCATGATTAGCAGACTTGTCTCACTGGACAAGGTGTAGACCAGTTCAGGTGTTGGTGAACGCGTCGCAGATGGGGTGAGTTACACAGTCACACACAGTAGGACCGTGTATTGGTTAGAGACAGACTGAAAAGTAAACAAACCAGCCAACCTGGTCCTTGTGGCTTTTCAGTACAGTCTGACAAGCACAACTCTGTAATACACTTCTAGATTTGAGTGTTCCATTTGAGAGGTGTAAGGTATGAGTATTTTCGTTCCTTGCTTGTATTTCTTGCTTGTATTCAAGCAAGAAAAAGACTCCTAAAGAATGTGATAGTGACGCTCTGTTATGTAGAAAACGATTAGATTTATTTGGCCTACTACCAAACATGTAGGTGGCCTGATATCACGAGATTTTAGAATACAGTTTTGATAAAACCTAACCTGAAAAGCATTTCTGTTCTATCTTTTGTCAGTATTTTGATTGACAGAGATTTGGAGGACTGTTAAGCTACAGAGTAGTTGACATTGTTCATGTTGCTAATCATGATTTTTCTGTACATTTTTCCTTCTGAATCTGTCAATTCCTCCAACAAATCTTTATGACTTTTTTTTTTAATCAGGGAGAAAACTTTCTTAGAACAAAGTTTCAGGCTGCAACAGAAGATATTCAAAACATTTATTGCTTTAAGATATTTTCATCTGAATCAAGAACCACTTACGCTTCCTTCCTTACACACTTTTTATACGTTGCCACTAACCTCACCTGTGTTTAGTAAATTAGTAATCGATTCTCCATAAATGCAGTTTGATATTTTTGCACGGGAGAGAAGAGGGTCCAATTAATAGTTCTGTTCCCAGTTAGTGTTCATTTTAGAACACATACTCCCTCACAATAGCAGAATGGCGTAGAGCCCAATGCTGCGTTTAGCCTTCAACACCCATCATAAATCCTCTCAGAACAAACCGTCATGGGGACAGTCACATTCTCAGCTGGATCTTTAAAACAGACATAAGAATGGCAGTGTTCTACTTCAAGGGCAGCACTCCAGGAGCAGTTTTCTATCTTAGAAGTGGTCTGTGTTATCAAAGGATGAGTGATATTGGATGAACAAATGCTGGTGAAGCACATTTCCAATAATAAAAAAGCAAAGGGTATTCTGGAGCTTACTCTAGGTATTTACTTGACGTGGATGTGAGACAGGATGGTGTGGGCTATAATATTTCCTTGCCTTATCTCTGGCCCTTCTTAGGAACTCTAAACAAAAGCTAGAAAAGCTTCATTTAGAAGGCACAGGATACCACTTAGCCTTGGTCATTTAATTTTCAAGGGATGGTTCAACATCACAGAGAAGAATCTGGTTGCTGACAGTTAAGCACAGAGTGATCCATAATAGGCTTTCAGAAGCTCTTGAAAAACAACAGTGTAAGAGCTGGTATTGCCTCTGGATCTGTACGGATTTATGGTTTACCTTGTTTTCTTATAAAGATTACAGTAAGGCAATAGTAGCTGAATGATGAATTGTGCAATGAAAGCAGTGTCTAGATTTGTATGCTGTGCACAGTAGGTGCTCAATAAAATTGAATGAATGAGCTTGAGAGTCCAAGGCAGGATGATCCAAATGAAAAACCAGTTTGGCTCCATCTGTAATGAGGGAGGTTGCCTTGAGCAAGTCATTGAACTTCGACAAACTTAGCCATTCTGTGGTTTTAAAACAAAATACAGTATTTTGGGGCTCAGTGGAAAGTAAAATTCCTCAAACTTACTGGGTGGTTTGTAAATTCTCAGCATTTCTGTGTGACTCTCATCTAGTTTTACACAATTAAGCATATTGCTGAAAGCATAGAAGTTATCAATATGTTATCTGTCTGTGATGGAGATAAGATTTCAAAGAAGACTATTAATCAAACTGGTATGAATAATGTAGTAGCATTATCTGGATTACAGCTACCCCTGTTACTGGTATCTTGTTGCTTACTGGTCTAGATGGACTGTTGATAAAAATGAACAGTTAAGCCTGACATTTCAGAGGAAATTGAAACGATATTCCAATGAAGAGTATTAAGAGGGCCATTCCACCTTGTTGATTCAAACTCTCTGTTGCAGCATCAGCTACCTTAATTAAAGGGGATCTCAAAGACTAATTTCAATGCTTTATCCACCTCCAGGAAGACTGGCCACTAAAGCATAACTCTTCAACTTACTGGTCCAGGTTGCTGTGCACATTTAAGTTATCTCAACAGTTTCTGTATCTAGTCATGGTGCTATGTGGGATACAGAAATATCTTTAAAGACTGCATTTTCCCTCAAGGACCTTATGTTTGAGATAGGGTAACAAGGCATTTTATTCCTTCATTCAAAAAATATTTCCTGGGTGCCTACTATATGCCAGACATGGTCTAGGCAAAAGGAATATACAGTAAATGAGTTAGACAAGAGTCCAGCTCTTAGGGAGCTTGTATTCTAGTGGGGAAGAAAGACAAGAAGTAAATAATGGGCCGGGTGCAGTGGCTCATACCTGTAATCCCAGCACTTTGGGAGGCCATTGCAGACAGATCACTTGAGGTCAGGAGTTTGAGACCAGCCTGGCCGACAAGGCGAAACCCTGTCTCTACTAAAAATACAAAAATTAGCCAGGTATGGTGGCACATACCTGTAATCCCAGCTACTTGGGAAGCTGAGGCAGGTGAATTGCTTGAACCTAGGCGGCTGCGGTGAGCCAAGACTGCACCACTGCACTCCAGCCTGGACGACAGCAAGACGCAGTCTCAAAACAAACAAAAAAAAAAGTAAATAATAGTACTGGTGGCATAGGGATGCTTCAGAGAGTAGCCAGGGAAGATCCTCTGGAGAGATGACATTTGGGAAAAGATTGAGGCATGTAACGATCTGGGGCACTGCCACGCAGGCCGAGGTAGGTCCTGGTTTGCAGGCATAGTACAAAAAATGGCAAAGACCCTGATTACACAGGAAAAGTAATGAGGAAGCCACTTCAATCCAGGATGGGGCTGACCAGGAAAGGTTCCCTAGATCTATTCCTTGTCCTGTGCCTCAAAGGCTAAAGAAAAAAATTCTAGACTGGCTGGGGCATCCTGCATAATCTCCAGGTCAATCCTGGTTCCCTTCTGATATACTTAGCTTCCTCTATGAAACCAGGTTTGGAGAGCATTTTAGTCTCCTATTGAAATTGTAGTTTTCCTTTCCTTTCTGGTCTCAGAATTACATCCTGAGAATACAATACAGGTGACACATCCTGAGAATACAATACAGGTGACAGCAGTTTCGCAGCCTACATAGGATGCTACTGATGAATCGCCTGGGAAATTAAAACAATAGACAAAAGGAAAAGCCTTCTTTGGGCATGTATTTTCTTTCTTAATTGCCTACAGGAAGATGTAGAGCAGGTGTTCAGTGCCTGAAAATTTATGGGTAATTATTTGTCTGCTCAACCCTAGGGTACACTGGGTGTAATCCCTTTAACTCTAAGCAGTCTCATAATAACAGAGATTTGACACTTACCTAAATATGATCATTTTGTGTACTTTAAAAGGGAGAACATCTGTTTTTCTTTTATTTCTTTCTTCTTTTTCTTTCTTTTTTTTTTTTTGAGACAGAGTCTTGCTCTGTTGCCCAGGCTGGAGTGCGGTGGCACAATCTTGGCTCAATGCAACCTCCGCCTCCTGGGTTTAAGCAATTCTCCTGCCTCAGCCTCCCGAGTAGCTGGGATTACAGGTGTGAGCCACTGCGTCTGGCCAGAACCATCTGTTTTTCTCTGTGCATTTGCTTTAATAATATCTCAACACACTCATACATATTTTCCTCGTATATAATATCCATGGAACTAGCTGTTCTTTGGAAGGCGCTGACTTTAGTCCAATTCAATTTAGATGATAAGTGGTCTGTTGAGATTGGCCCCTTACTTAAATAACAGCCTGATTTTTCTAAAATTGAACCCAAGAGTTAGAACAAAACAGGATGGAATCTAGAAGGCAGACTGCGACTGTTCTAAGAAATCTCGTGTAGAAGCAGGGATGACAGGCATGTGCCAGTCTCCCTGAAAACTGGGCCCACTTGAGGAAACTCATTTCTCAGCATGCGGGGTTTATTAATTAACCTTCTTGAACTGACTGACCAGAGAGACACACCTCTGAAACAGAGCAATGCTGGAGGCGCAGCTACTGTTCTCTAGTGGAGAGACCCTTCTGGTGAGTGGCTGCAGTAGGCCTTAGCTGATATGTTCCTAGCCTAGGAGGCCTGAGCCATCACCACCACAGGACTGAGGACGACATCTGTCCAAAACTGCCAGGTTCACTTTATGAGAAGGTACTTAGGTAAGAGAAATGACCTGGTGACATCTGAGTTGCTGTGGACAAAATGTTAAAGCAAGACTTCCTGGCTGCTATGGACTCAGAGTACTCTAGGGTAACCATTCAAAGGGGCTAGAGATGGAGAATGCCCTTATTCTGGTTGTTTAAGAAGAAACGAAAAGCTAATGTCTAATGGTCCTAATGGCTTGTGAGCTCCTTAAGGGCAGGCAGAGTGGTGACTTCGTGATTTTGCATTTCTAGGGCCAAACAGTATATTTAATGTAAGAGACAATAAAATGAACAGAATTGAAAATAAACACGAATATAAAGTCTGATGGCATCCAAGGTCTAGCTTAAAATATTAATACCAGACTAGTTTTCTAAACACCTGCGTTGTGTCTGCTTTTATTCATGAAAAGAGAGAAGCAGTCTTAGGAACACAGTGTCACATGCCTACGAGGGGCTCAGTCGTTCCTAGGCCCTGATAATGTTACACTGCAGGGACAGTGTGGACAATATTCGTGACTTGGCGGCACATCTCGACACTGCAGTGAATGAAAGGCACCACAAAAGCCTCGCTGGTGTGACTCAAGAGAACAAGAGGAAATGATAGCTTGGGCTGCTTTATCTGGGTCTGTGGCCTGTAGGTCAGGGGTCCTCTGGCTTTAATGGGCACCGAGGTACCTAGGAACCTTGTTAAAGTGCAGATTCTGATTCTGAAGATCTAGGGGGCCAAGTTTCTGTAGTTCCCACATCTCCTAGGTGAGAACTCTACTTTGACCAGCCAGGCTGCTGGTCCTCCTACCACACTTTGAACAACAGGGTTCTAGGGAACAGTTTCTGAGTGGCTCCCTCCTGCTGAAAGCAGGATGCTCTCAGGTGCTTCATGCTTTGAGGAGAAAGACTCAGTCTGGGCTAGTCTTAACACTTCTTTAATACTAGCTAATCTCCTTAGAGAAAAGGCAGGATGTAGTGGCCCCAGGCTCCCAACCCTCAGCAGGCACCCTTATTGAGCACCAGGATTTAATAAATAACACTGGCTTGTGTCCACTGTATTTAATTGTATGGGATTTTCTATTTAAGGCAATGGATGCTGACTTTCTGCTTGACGCAGTGGTATAGTGTTTCCTTTAAAATAAAATTACCGTAGTTTAAATAAGTTGAGTCGAATTAAAGAGAAATAGAAAGCACGTAAGAGTTCTGGTGATAGTCAGGTATAAGGAAAAACTGTAAGGCAGAATGGCCCAAATTGGGCAGATACTGTGGGGGCTCAGTGAATCTCCTGAAACCATATGCAAGCTCTCACAGACAGGAGCATTTTTCCAGAGCGGGGGGCTGTAGGTTCCATCAGATTCTCAAAGGTATTAGAAACTAAAAAAAGAACTAAAGAACCCACTGCTACAAAGTCAAGTTTAACTAAATACCAAAGACTACAAAGTCTCTACTACTTCATAACTCTAGCTTCTGAAACACTTTACAGCTTTTTAAAAGAACTCTACTTTGCCACAATTACATCATCAAAAAGCAGTGTCGTCCCATAAAGATTACGAAATAGCCCTCTGTTTGGAGAGCAGTGTTTCTCCAACAGTGTTCCAGAGAACTGTAGACTGAGGAAATATAAACAGGTACTTGGCCAGAGAGGTGGGGGAAATTCTGCCCACTCCCCCAGGGGATTCTAGGTAGATAGTCAAGATTCTCAGAAGTCCTCCAAGAAATCTGTTTCGTTGTCTTCAGTCTGGCATTTCCCAAATGTATTTCATTATGAACCCCCTTTGGAAGGAACATACATAACAAATTAAGGAACAAGTGTCCTGAAGGAGTCACGGCTGCTTCACCAAACAGCCCTGAAGCTGGGGTGATAGGACACTAAATAAGAGGCAGAATCCTGATTTTTGAAAATGACAAAACTACATTTTCTGGAACAATTGTTAAATGGCAAGCGCTTTGGTAAGTGGCTGACAGCAAGCAGAAACAGTCAAGTTTTTATAGTGAGAATACTGGCCATTGCTGTTTAGACCAGGTGCATTTAGGGAAAATTTTAAATTTCTGAAAACTGGCACAGAGTCAGTCATGCCACTGGCAACAAGTCCTTTGATTTGACTGTATCTGGCTAACCATCAGTGAAGTCATCGTTTGCACACAATTATTGATTTTTAACTTCTGTCTTGGAATGAGAACTCTTGGTAACTTTAAGTTGAGGAACATAGCTGTTTTCTACTATTTGACTGCTTCTGTCCTTGCACAGAACCTACTGCCACTGAACAATTCAACTTCAGAAGTATTGGTAGGACAGCATAGATTACACAACAGTTAGCCATGAAATTGGATAAAATGTTCGATTTTTCCTGGGTGACCTTTTGATGGTACCCAAGGGCTTACCTGTCAACATCAGGTGTCTTTTTACCTTATTCCATAAAATCAGCTTTCAAAAATGCTGTTATATTTTTTGAAACCCCATTGAAATATAAAAGTGTTTTCCCCAAAATATAAATATATTATACAAGTTAGTGTTTTCTGTATTTTCTATCACCCTTAATAAAAGGAAAATGGGAAGTAGAACTCTGTTGGCAACCTGGTGTCCTCTAAATATTTTAAACCTTAACAGAGACCTATTTGACATTATGTAGCATCTTGAATCTTTATTCCTGTGTGGCCTCAAATAACACTTAAGAAGAGTTGCAGACTTGTTTAATTTCTTCTGTATCAATGTTAGCAAACTTGAAGCAAGTGAAGCAGTGAACAAACCCTTTTGTTAGGGCGGGCTAGCATTCACTCAAGTAATTTATCCACCTACTCTTGAGCCATCTGCCTTTGAGTAAAGAGTGGTGATGACATAAAAGGGAGGAAGGTGAGGAGGCTTATGTTAGTTACAAGAATGTATGGATTATGTGGATTCAAAGGTTGACAACAGGATTTACTGTCCTAACTTTTAAGTGATTCAAATTAAAAAAAGTTTACATTTCTGCTTTTGGGACTTGATTATTAAGCTCTGTTTCCAAGGAAGGAAGAAGAATCTCAGTTGTGCCTTTCAAAGGGCATCAGTAAAAGTGGTTCTGCTTTTGTTACTTTCCATCGGCATCCGTAAACTAATTTATGCTTATAGAGAACTTATTAGGCATTCTGTGTTCTTAATAATGACTCCTAAAATGAGACAAGGATGTTCTTCATACCTCCAGCTCCAGCTCCTCCCTGTCCATCTCCTGATGGATGTCTCCAATGTAGTCATTTGGATCGTAGTATTCATGGGCTGAGGGATGCCTGAAAAGAGATGCAACATCTTTACAGCCCTTCTTCCGTTGTCAGTATCTGTTTTTCTTACACCCATTGTCAGGCCAGTGGCACAGTAGCAATTCCCAGGGTGTGGGCCCTTTCATGACTCACTTCCCTCTGGATGGGGCTCTCAGCACGGTCAGGACCTCCATCATCCTAATTTTACCATTTGCCTTTAGTACATTTCCTCCTGAAGGACTTAAGATGCAAAGTGCAAGCCTGATGGGCTTTGTTGTTTGCAGAGCCCATCCCGGAGCCTGCCAGTCACGTGATTCAGCGTGACTGATTTCTAACTCCATCTCTACGCAGGAAACAGGACAATATTTTACTGCTTATTGCTTCATTGTTAGATTTTATCTCTGCAGAGAACTAGGCTCGAGCCCAGGCAACAGTCTAAGATATGTGCTGGCCTCTGAGATCAGTTCAAAAGGCTGAGAATGAAACTGTTCTGCTGTTACCTAGGACCGTGTCTTTTTGAATGTTACCCACAATAATATGTTTGATATCACAAACGTACAGTATGCACTTACATGGTTGAAATGCACATACAAACATGTAGGCATAAGTGCATCTGTGTGTATATGTTTACATATAATGAGTACACACACATTCACTCTGCTAGGAGACTGGAAGCTTATGTTTCCCTAGGACAACATATGCAAAACACAGTCCACAGAACTCACGACATCTTTGGAAACGTCATTAATGCAACCTCAAGGAGCCAAGGCAGTGGGAATCATAACATACTCCATCAGCAGCTTTGAAAGGAGCTTAACAGTCCACGGTGCCAGATGCAAAGCTTCAGCCTCTGATTGTTGGCTGGGGACCCAAACCTTCACGTCCTCAAAGGTCAGCACAGCAATCAATGGGCTCTAGTCTTCCCTCCCAGGCACTTAGTTTTGAAACAACAGATCAGACATGAGTGGCCATTCAAACAAGGGCTGGCTTTCAATTTTCTGGACCCATCAGGCAAATATACTGCCTGCACTTAAAGGGCTTTTAGTACTGAGGATACTGTTGGAAGGTCTGGGCTTTCAAGCATCAACTTAACATTCCCCATTCAGTCCCGACACACGCTCTTGCTGTTGTCTGACCTTGCAGCCAGAACCTGAAGAGGCCTGACCTCTGGACTCTTCTGACATTTCTCAAGTCGCCCCCAGGGGATAAGTCATGTCATGTTAACTAGACCTAAGAGGAAATTACAGGTTTAGCTTCTAAAAGGCCCATCACTGTGACAGGTCAACATTTAAGAGTCAGAAGTAGCCTTAAAGGCTTCATCAATAATGTGAGGCAGTTTGGTCTGTAACGTCAGATAAATGGTCTGGATCATCATACTCAGTGAATCAGCCAGTTGTTCCAGAGGATGGAATGGGTCACTACAGGGTACTGTGGTTCAGAGCTGGGAGTCGGGGTCTGACTGACCTGCCTTTCCATCAGCTCAGTGGAACCTGGTGAGTCTGCAGTTCCTCATCTGTATAAAGGGACAGTCATGAGAAATGAAGGAGATAGATAATAGTTCTTTGCACATGTGCACACTGTGAGTGAATGTGAGACGGATGCCCTGTCCTCTGTCTTTATGCTACCAGCTGCTGCCAAACCTACTCTGTCAAGCCTGGGGAATTAGTCCTGGGTTCCAATGACAGCTAGCCACTAAGACCAAGGGATGAAGGGCAAGCCTTTATCCAGAACTTGACTGAACCATAGGAAACATGTGCTCACTCCAGCTACTGAGTTACTAGTAGGAATCCAACAGGTATTACCCAGTGGATTCTCCTGTAAGAGGTGAAAATGCCCTTTGAAATAATGTATCAAGTCAATGATCTGATCCGAGATGGAGCTGAGATGAGAAAACACAGGGGCGACCCTAACATCAGCTGGAGAGGCTGTGTCCTCAGATGTGCAAAGTCACACATGAAAAGCTTTTTTTTTTTTTTTTTTTTGAGACGGAGTCTCGCTCTGTTGCCCAGGCTGGAGTGCAGTGGCATGATCTCGGCTCACTGCAAGCTCCGCCTCCCGGGTTCACGCCATTCTCCTGCCTCAGCCTCCCGAGTAGCTGGGACTACAGGTGACCGCCACCACACCTGGCTAATTGTTTTTTGTATTTTTAGTAGAGACGGGGTTTCACCGTGTTAACCAGGATGGTCTCAATCTCCTGAACTTGTGATCCACCTGCCTCGGCCTCCCGAAGTGCTGGGATTACAGGTGTGAGCCACCACGCCTGGCCTTGAAAAGCTATGTTAAAAGCTATGTCGAACTGGACACCTTGGGGGCCAGCAGTCTATCACAGAAAGTGTCTTGCTCTTCATTTTTTCCTGAATATTTTACATCACCCACTAAATTAACGGTGATCGCTGGTACCATTTACTGAGTGCTTACCATATGCCCCATGAGCACTTCCCACATATTGTTTCATTTAATCCTTCAATGATAAGAGATTGATACTGTTATCTCCATTTTAATATAGGAAAAATACAGCCCCACAAAACAAAGTAAGTTACCCAAGTTCCACAACTAGAAATCACTTTGAGCATCAGGTTTGTCTGACTTGAAGCCTCTGAAGGACTCTTTATCGCTGGCAGAAATAAGTTGAGAGAAGAGGTGTGTGTAAAGAAATCCATGTGGCGTGCTGAGTTGCAGCTGTTATTTAATTGGTTGATGCAGTACTTAGATGAGGCATGTGCGGGCTTATTACATGGATCCAGGCTTGAAATGAGACCCAAGAAAGCAGAAGGCACAACCTCCAGGGCTCTCTTGACACACACAACTTACTTTTTTGTCTATTTAAAAGAATGATCAACATTCCCTAGTAATAACTGCAGGATCTTCAAATTACCATTTGGGGTGATTACATTTTATTCTGAAACAACTTTTACAACATTTGTAAGTAATTCTGTTCTTAGGATATAATTTGAATAAGTCCGCTCCAGGGTTATAATAAAGTAATTAATATGTCGGAGCGGTTTTGAGCAGGATTCGATTTATTGCCTCTATAAACAATAAAGTTAAACATGGGCAACTTGGAGGAAAACTATAGGGTGCATTAATTTTTTTCACCACATAGAAGAGAAAGAAACCAACTTGGAAATACTTCTTAATGCATTAGGGGTTCAAGATTAGGTTACTTACTCCTCTGGCAAGAGATAGGGATCCAGCACGGGTGGGCTGGGAGAGGACATCTTAGTGAGGGCCATGATATGTTCAAAGGTGATGTCGGTTTGGGTTCCCGTGTCCACCAGCTGAGACTCTGATGGAGGCGTGAACATTTTGGTCCTTGGTGTTCTTCTCAACACCTGCACCACTATGGGCTCCTTGGCTGTCTTGAAAGCTTCCACAGCCTGGTCATGAGTTGCTCTGGATAAGTCTCTGCCGTTGACCTGTGGAAAAATATTTAGGGTGGGACAAGGTTAGAATAAAGCAGAAAACGGAAGGACAAATACATGAATTGCCTGCTTTCATGTGTAAGCAGCTAAAAGAAAGAAGCAGGTGGTGGTGTCAGAGAACTTCAGTTCTCTGTGTTTAGGTTTCCCGAAGAATGCCTGGTGGAAAGAGAGTGAGTTTGGAGGTATTCAGATCTGGCATGCAATAATAAATCTCACAGCGGGAAGGCTTAGCTTCCCCGTGGAATGTCTTTAACACAATTTCATCACTTGCTAATCTTGCCTGTGAAAGAAAAGGCCAGCCTCAGGCTCCGAGCCTTTATCAGGCAATAATAGCTAACTAGAAATTCATTACATTGTTATGTTTTAATAGTGTGTATTTTTCCAGTTTGTGTCAGATGATACCAGTCTTCCCTTCATGGAAGTAATATGAAGTTTCCTCTTAATAATCCTTTCGCTCTTTAAAAAGTCCATTGAAAATATTAAGTAAATGACAGTTCAGGCCATAGCGGCATATGGCAAGTTATTATGGAGAAGGAATTCAAATGGCCAGCGTTTGGGGGAAGTGACCGCTGGCTTAATTGCTGTTTTGGTTCCCACTGTGTGCAGTGCTTTGCTATTACTGCATCCTCAAAGCCTGCACTTATTGAGTGACTACTGTCTGCTGCATGACTTAAATGAAGATACCTCTCAACAGTTCTCTCATCATAGTCCTGTGAAGTTGGCAGGACTGAAAGTAAGATCATCTCCCTCCCTAGAGCCTCAAACCTCATGAGAGGACCTTACTAGTTTATGCTGGGTCAGAACGTTGGACGCGGTGTCCAGGATTCTCCCAAATGGTACAATCAAAACTCACTCAACCCAGCTATCTTTAGAACAGCTGACATAAGATGAAATAGAAATCAGAGTCTTATTTCTAAAAATCAAAGTCGTTCCAAGTTAGATGGAAGTCCAGTGATTTAATTTATCCTCTCTTTTCCCTTCCCCCATAAAACAAAGGAACTATGTTCAGGTGGTTATATGCAGAAAGTCTGGTAACATCTTATGATTGGACTGCATAAAATGTATCAGGCTCCACAATATTTTAATATTATAGTATTCCTCAAGTGGTTTGGTTGGTTTTTAAAAAGCAAATGTAAAATGATGGTATAGGAATCATATTCCATAGGACACATGGCTGCAGAAGTTGCTCAGCTTCTCAAAGTTTTTCTGGAGAACACTGACCCATTCAAGTCACTCCTCATAGCAATTCCTGAGTTTAAATCTCTTAGATTAATAGTCCACTCTTGCAATGTGCATGTTTTTAGCATGTATTTATAAATGTCAAAATGAACACTGAACCACAGCCTTTTCCTATTTGGCATATATACATTTTCCTCCCTTAGTATCTTGGACTTCAAAGCATGCTGACAATTAGGTCTATCCTCAGAGCACTTCAGTTTCCCTATGTCCAGGCAGAACATAAGTATTGGTTGTAAAGCTGTTTTTCTCTTTTTTTCCCCCAAACCCTTTCACTCTGGCCCTGTAGGGACAACAACTCTTAGGCTGAAGTGCGTTGTAAACAACTGTTGGGTTGAGAAATAGATGTTGAATTCTTTCCTTGTAATGAAGCCCAAATGAATCATGCCAGTGGAGGTTATTAATGATTTGGATTCAATCCACTTAAGTAATTTATTTACATCACGAGGGAGTTCGGCAGAAAAGAACTCTGGGTCACAAAATGACTTGAGTGCACCAGTAAATAAGGAACTGTCTGAACCACCAAACTTTTAAATTCCCCATCCTGGAGGACTTGGAAAGCAGGGTTTAACACTACGACTGTTGCCATGTTTCTCCCTTTGAGAAAAGAATGAAAGGACAAGAAAGAATTCTTTCTAGCTTTCTATCCCAAGTGACCTTGGTAAGTGCTTCCCTGCTTAGACCCTAGAATGCTGAGGGCTTGGCATGGGAAGGAATGGGGTGTAGATGGGGATGAAAAACAACTTGGGGTGCTGTGGAATTCATGCTGGGGCCGGACTATTTGAGCCATATCTTTCATTAAATGTGTGACACCAAGAGTCACATAATACAGGAATTTACAATGCTACAGCAAATTTGTTGCTGAGAATAAATTAATGCAACATATAGCACCCTTAGGAGGTGTGGCTGTGGTCAATACCACCCAGTCACGCTGGTCTTCTGCCCTTGGTATTCCCTGGGAATGGCTTGCACCAACGTTAGTTATACCCACAATGAATTCAGATATTAGGATTTTCGAGTGGGTGCTACAAGATGTGTCAAATTTGTTCTTCTTCTATTTAACAGTATACAAATACCAGGCCTTTTGCCAAAAAGGAATAAGAATGGGATTTTCTTACTATGGCATATTTTTCCTTTATGACTTCCTGTTCTTCTTAAGAGGAACACTAAGCTAGGTGAGGAGAGGATGGGGAATTAGAATCCAGGCATCTTCTAGTTGTGTCCAGAAAGGAACCTATGAGTTTACACTTTTTAGAGACACATAATTCTTACAAACACTAGAGCAGGCAATGTCAGCTGCCTGGGCAGCACGCACCCATCCTCACCCCAATGCTCCCTCTCTGCTAAAAGAACTCTTTGTTACCTTTCTACCAGATCCTATATCTTTCCCTCTGGGGGAGATTTGAGGTGTGGATTGTGATGGGCTCCCGCCTATCATGGTGGTCTTGGTCCTTTTGCCTCGTGATGGATTTAGACATGGGTATACAGTATAATTCTGGCTGGTTGGATGGGATGAGAGAGCTGCTAGGGAGCTCTGAGGTTTTGTCCATCCTTAAACTAGGACTAAACTAGGACATGAGATAGGAAAGGGCCATTTTTTGCCTCTAGACAAGTCATCTGCATGCTTTCTTGGACTTGTGGCAGCATCTTGGGACCATGTGGGGAGCTGGCCTCAGAGGCCAGCTTAACACACTGAGGATGGCAGAGTAGAAAAATGAGAGAATTGTGGTCCTAATAATATCACTGAATAAGTGAATTAACCAAGTTTAGAACGTCTTATCCCCAAAATTCTTGTTATATTCAATAATACATTCCTTATACTTTAGGTCATTTGACTTGGATATTAACTACCTACAGTCCAAAACATCCTAAAAAGTGTAAATATCACATAGATATATTGTAAAATTAGGCACAAATGTTTTCTCATTCATTCCTAGAGACATTCTTCTATGTGGGTAAAATAATTAGTGAAAATCCTTCTCTGATTAGGATTACATCTTAGTTCATTTTTATAGCAAGGTGATGGCAACTATTGCTTTACTTGGATACATTTTTATAAACCAAATGCTAGTACCATTGAGTGGATGTTTAAATGGTACCAAGAAAATGATGCATGAAGGACCCGCTTGGATCAGTCTAAAGCTAAAAGCATTCTTGGCTACAAAGAGCTCCTCTGTGTTGAGGCATACTCAATTACAAAAAGCAGGAAAGCTGTTCTGAATCTGTCCAGCTTTGGGTACTGTTACACGGCATTGATACAACAGCATCCATACTGCCCAGGTTACAGAGGGAAGAGCAGTAGCAACCCCAAAGGGAGAACTGGGACTTTGGGGTGACTGAGAAATGCCCTGTCATCCCACACAAGAATGTCCCCCCTGCCTACAGCTGGGTTCCACAGAAACGCATTTCTGACAACTGTGCCCAAGAAAACAATTTTAGTAGCCCATGCAGTTTTCAATCAAATACAGTTCAAATAAGCCCCTCCACAAGCCAGATGACCTCCTCCTTTTTCACAGCTCAGAGGTGGAGTGTGCAGGGACAGCAATTGTGGGATGAAGCCAGCGTTGGAATCCTGGCTGTGGGCTTTGGGCAATTTAACTGTTCTCAGTTCCAGTTTTCTCATCTGCAAAATAAATATAGCATCATGCTTTTTAGGGTAATATAAAGTTTAGATGAGATAACTTACTGGTAATGCCTAAATGCCAATAATAAGAATTTACTAAGACTCCAGTGCTCGTGGGGATCCTGTAGTAGAAGAGACACATTTTCCCAGGAGGAAACAATCTATAAATCAAAGAAGCAAAACCCAGCCTAGTGAGGTGTTCTTAAGAGACATTTGTATGCCGTAAGGCTTCTTGACTTCCCAGAAGCTCCCTGCCCATCTTGTGTGTTGCTGGGGTACCAATATGCACATGGATATTTTCAGCCCTCGAGTTGGGATTCTTGGAGGAGGGGGGGGGGTGCAACAGAAAAATTTTACAGGACTTGACCCCTGCCACATGAGCTTCTTGACAAGGTATTTTAGGGATCATTACATTCTCTTAAAAGATGATGAGACAAGGCGGGAGTTTACTATCCTAGACGATCCATTTTTGCAGCCAAATTTGTTTTGAATTACCTTGTGCACATAACACTTATTACACTGTCATCTTGGAATCACATCACTGAGACTCTTAGCGAGATGATGACTCCGGTGCACGCCGTCAGCCAACCGAGAATGACAACTTTTATTCTCAGGATTAGCATTGCATCTACATTACACAAAACAGTGGTGATGATGGCTGTGATTATAGACGGGATGCACCCAGTGACGTTTGGCCCGGTCAAATTCAATATCATTAACTTGCCCAATTGAGCAGATTGCCTTTAAAACAGTTTATGCAGCTTTAAAACCAAGTAAATGGAATGTTTTGGAACAAGAAATGCTGATTGCAAACTTTATTATAAATTAAATGCTTAAATTATTCACCTAAGGCTCTGGCTGGTCCCCTGGGACTTAGGTGCAATTATGGCAAAAATCCAATCAGTTAGTCTGAAGGCAAACATCCCTGCTGCAAATATGACATGACACTAAGGGACCTTAAAGAGATCCTTTAGCATAAGGTCTCCTGAGACAAGACAGACAATTATGCTGAGGGCATGGAACCATTCCTTCCGGGTTCAATTTGGGCCGGAATAACATTGCTGTTGCTCTTCCTAGGAGGTACTTGTAGCTGTCTTTTCCAGTTGGTCCTGAGAACTAACACAAAGCTGGCGAGCTTTCCATTTGGGAGGTAAATTTCACTGACGACCCATCTGTCTATCTTTCAGTCATTCACTCATTCAGCAAGAATTTACTGAGCTTATTTAGTGAGACCAGTTCCCTTCTTGGCTGACGGAATGTCACTGAAAGAAGTTCTTGGAGGAAAAATGAAGCTACAACACATGGGAATCACTTAAGAAATGGAAAGATGAATGCATTATGGGTGGCGTTTTACCAAGACATCGAGTGACTCAGAGACTACACACGATGGAATGCTAGCCGGGCCCATAAACCAGAGAGAGGCTTGGTTTTCACGGTCTACTTAGAAATATCATGGGTTAAACTATTGTCATACAGTAGCACCTTTCAAAACACAGAGTCCCAGAGAGCCTTCAAAGTTTTCTACAACTTAATCGTAAGCAGTTCAGGATATTTTAGAATGTAGTATTTGGAAAAGGCATACTATACTCTCTCCAAATTAGAAACTAAGTACCTATTTATGGGGGACATTTGCTTTCTGAGGTTCAGCATATCACAGTCACCTCTATTTCTATTACATGTGCAAATGACCTCATATAAAGTACGAATGCAATTTTAAATTCAGCCTAGTATAAATTATGCCCCTGGCTAAAATCCAACTTTTATAGGGTTCATTTAATTAAATACAGGGGGAGTGATTTCATTCTGTAAAATATCACACCTATGTTTTCAAACTAATTAAAACATAGAATTCACTGGAAGCAATAGACGATAATACACTATATACTGAAAAGTAAAAGGTTTCAAGCCCTGATTTAGGTTGGATAAAAAAAAGTCTTTTTTTCATTTAGGCAACTCCTGTCTGTCTTAATTTATTTCAAATTTATAGTCTCCTCTAGGGCTTGGAGAAGGGAAGGCAACTTATCTAAAATGCAGGTATTATGGCAGTTAAGAAGAAATGTGAGTTTCAGGAATGAATGGTGTTCAAATTAACGTGTTTCTGAGGAAAGTACGTCTACTTCAGAGATGGAGATCTGTAGATGGCACTGCCACAGCTGTCAGTTTCTATGTATGGATGTGTTGGGTTCTAGTTGGGACCTCAGCAGTTTGTCCATGGTATTTTCTAAATGCATCCTGATGTTATTTCCCTAGATTTGGTATTTTTACAACCATCAGATCCCCTCCTTACTCCATTTCAAGCATCCTGCACAGATAAATTTATAGCTTGGGTAATTTTCTTGTTAGAAAAGTCGTCTTTGTGTCTAACTGATGTGTCTCACATTTTAAAATTCTTTACTGTTTTCCTAAATGTAGAATACATCTGGCTACCAGCCTCTGATTAGTAAAACAGATGAGTCTTAGAGGTTAAAAACATACATGTACTTACTTTTATAAAATACTTTCTTTTCAGATACCAATCCCACCTTAGTATCTCCTTTGGAAACCTTGGTATCATCACATGAAATCTCATTTCAAGCAATGGCATCCAAATGTCCATTAAGCTACAGTATATCTGAACCAGTATGAATCGAAAAATTAACATGTACATTTTTGCATCACCTTACAGGTGATAATTTGAAGCAGTAGCTCCAGATATTATAGGAAAGCCAATGGCAAGTACTTGGCAACAAGCTGTTTCTACAGCCAAATCTCCCTATCTTCTACATCTCCTAAGTTCTTTGCAACTTGAGGGTCTTCTCCAGTAAAAAGTACACAAGTATTCAGTGAGAAGTGGTTTTGCTCTTAAGCTTATTCTAGACCATTTCTTGATAGGATAAAAATAGTATCAAGGACAGTATCCTCTGCTTTGTCGAGAATGAAAAAATGAGGTCCAGAAGGTCTTGGAGTGTTTGCAAAATAACCAAGTGGCTCTGGCCAAGCTCTCCTGCTGTCTCTGGTTTCTGCACTGCAAGTGACAAGGTGGGGCCATTTCAAGTGAAAAATGACAGAGAGGAAAGAGACAAGAAATAACAAGTTTATAGACCTCACAGAAAATCACAACATGCAAAGTGGCTTTTCTTGGATAACTGATTTCTCTGTCTGTCTCTGTTTTAGAACTTCTCTGTAGTACCCCTGCTTAGGGATGTGTAGGCTGAGGTGTGAGCAAAGGCAAGGTGGCAAGTAGGGCAGTGGGCTAGAGGCCGTGTCCATCCAGAGGAAGAGAAGCCTTCCTCTAAATCACGCAGAAGTGCTCGTATGGGCTGGTGGTGGTCCTGCTTCTGGCTTTCACTAGGTCGGGAGTCCACCATAGTGGCAGCAGGTGATGATCTGGCCTCCAGACTCCTGCATTTCAGCCCTGGACACATAGAAGGGGCTGCTGGGTGACTCAGCTCCCTCTATAGCAAAAGGGCTTGAAAACGGTGTCTCCCAGAGCACTTCCTGGTTGAACAGTCCATGAAAGTCGCTATCAGCCACTCCGTGCTTCGTTGCTCACCTTTTTATATATGAGTGTCCGGAATACTTCAAATAAAATGCTGGAGCTTTTGACACTTTAATCATGATAAACCCAACAGTGGTACAACACTTCCTCTGTGCCAGACACTATTCTATGCACTCTACCTATATTTACTCATGTAATCCTCACACAAGGGAAGTACAGCTACTATCACTGTTTCGCAGACAAAAACGAGAGACACAGAGGGCATCTGCGCATCTGCAGACATTTCATTTAAGATGCTGGTGGCTTTCACCTTGAATTGGGAGAGGCATGCTTTAAGTTCACAATATAGAAGATGACATGCTTCTTTTTTACACGTCAATGTTATTGCATTTAATGATCCCTTGGCATTATCTCTTGCTGTAAAGGCAAATACAGCCACAAATTGAAGGAGGAAGGTGTGGTTAGGTTTTTGCAAGCGTCATGCCCGAAGCCTTTATGAAGGCCGCTTTATTATGCCATTTCCTCTCCCTGGTGTAAACTTCATATTGGTCTCATAAATACCTTGAATAAACTTGAATTTGTTAACTGTTTTCATCAGAGTCTAGAAGGCTGGCTACAATAAAATTTCTACTCTCAAGCCTCTAGTCATCAGAGGAAAGGACAGGAAGAGTCCTCCATCAATGGAATTGTTATCACACGGAGTTAAAAAGAGCGTTTAATGGTGTTTTCTATTTTGTGTCACCATAGTCATTTACATTTAAAATTAGAGGAGCCTTAAGGATGCTGCATGAAGATGCAGAGGAGCAGGCAGGAGTTCTACGTCTGATGAGGGCCATTGTCAAGGTGCAAAGCTTTGGGTCTGTTTGCCTGGGGTTCAAGTAGGCTGTAGCACTTGTGAGCTGTGCTATCTTGAGCAGGTTATTCATCTCTTGATGCCTTAGTTTTCTTCTCTGTAAAATGGGTTAACAGCAGGACCTAACTCACAGAGTTGTTGCTGGAATTAATTAGGCTCTGCATAGAAAGTAGTTATGGTTCATGCCTAGTGCATACCAAGTGCTCAGTGAAGGTTAGCTATTTATTATCCTCATTGATTTGCAGAATCAATGTGCCATGTATTGATAAAGTGGTGAGGAAGGCTCAGTAACACTGGGTGAGAGTGGGCATCACTGGGGCTCCAGGGTGAGACACATGGGGGTCTAAGTCCGTGCTCTGCCATTTATCAGATGTGTGACTTTGGGTAAATTACTCCATCTCTGTGTGCCTCAGTGCCCTCGATAGAATATGAGGAATATTTAAGTACATGCTTCATAGGTGATACCTGAATGATGTAATTAAAGTAAAGCTCTTGGCACAGTGCCCAATGTCAGCTGTTGTTATAACTGTCACACTTAGACAAATTTTCTAGCCTCTTCCTGTGCCTCATCTATAAACAGGGTTGTGAAGATTCCTTGTAAAGAGCTTAGAAGAGCGCCTGGCTCATAGCACACTCAGTAAACGCTATCTTTTTCGGGAAATACTAGCCTAGGTTTGGGCTCCTAAAAAGTCCAGCTGCCAAATTTCAGTAAAAACCATACTCCAAATAAGTCACATAAGAAAACCCATGAAAAGCAGTTTATATTGCAGTCATGTCTATGGGAGGAGCCATTTCAAGGATATGACACTGAACGCCACACATGGGTTTTTGTTCTGTGTCGGGCAGTGCAATAAATGCTTCACACACATGATTTCATCCCGTCTTCAGAATAAGGATGTCACTGGTGAGGTAGGTGGTGTTATCTCTACCACCTCAGAAGCTGAGCAGCTTCCTAAAAGTTGTGCAGCTTATGAAAGTAGAAATGGGGATGTGACCCAGGTCTGCCTGGCTTCGAAATGCGTGTTCTAACCACCGAGCAGCACAGCCGGCAGTGCTGTTACCTGACCTGGGCTGTAAAGCAAAGGAGGCCGAGGTGTTCACCGGTGACTGTAGGATGCCAAGATGTGAGGGTGTAGTGAAAAGGGGCAGTCATCAACAAGAGGGAGAGGTGGGGCCCGGAGGTGGAAGGTGATGTTCCAGTGAGAAGGATACTTGCCAAAGGAGAACGTTCATGGTGCATGCCATGGCAAGGGCACGTGCGCTTTACCCTGAGAACCAAGTCAGCTGAGTCTACTGACCTTTCCCAGGAACTCACCTTGGGAATGGTATGTTTAACAAGCAGGATGGAGAAAAACACTAGTTGTGGATCTTCACTAACCTACCGGAAATTGATTTTCTTCTGTCAATTCATTTCTTACTAAGTTGTCTCAATGTGTTTGCCCTACAAATGTCCTATAGGCAACGTCTAAGGCCCCTGGGATGGAATGGCATAAAAAAATAGTACAGTTAAGACAAAAGTAATGTCAGTCATGTCTCAGAGTCAGAGAAATCTCTGAGCAGCAAGAAAACAAGCAACATCACACATTTTTTGAAGCGCCTGAATCTTAGAAAGCAAATTTTGAAAAATGCTATTGGACTTAATGTCCTATACTTTATTTGTTCCTCTTATTACAAGACTATGAAAATTCCTTAAACACAAAAGTCAGGTAACAAACCAATGAATGCCAGGAAAAATCAAAGCTAAAGTTGATTCACTGTAAACAGAATTTCCTGGGTCTTGTGGATTTGTGTTTCAGAATTTTAGTGTAACCTACAAAGAGTGGTTTGGCATCTTTTTTGTTCTTTTTTTTTGTTTTGTTTTCTATCCAAAGAAATAAAATTATGATGTGTATCACTTGATCAAAATTAATTTTGGCTCCTGCATAGCCAACTAGTTCATCTTGCAGTTTACAGACCATGTGGAAAAACTTTCATTAAATTGATTGTGATAGGATCCTTGGAAGAAAATGCTGTTGATATTAAACCATGGTTTTAGTGGTTCAAAACAAACAACTCAGTTTAAAAGAGCCTGGTGCCAGTATGAATATAAAACTACCAGTGAATGTTGATAGAATGGGCTATTTTTTCTTTTGTTTTCCTATAACAGTAATCATTAGTTGGCTTGTCCATAATCAACATTCTAAATAAATTATGACAGATCTTCTCAAATGCCTCCAATTTCCTAGACAGCATTTAAAAATAATTCTACATCAGCGATAAACTAAAGAGTATGGCATGCATTTGAAATACTCTTCAAAGACTAAAGCCACTTTATTGCAGGAATCATCTTTTGCTTCTTTGAATCTCTAGCAATGCTTAACACTTCCGCGTTATTTTCTACGTACCATGCAGTATGCTTGGCACTGTACATTCAATGGCTCATTCATTTGTTTATTGGTCAAATAATGATTGCGAATGTCTCCATGCTCAGCACACGGCCTGGGGCTGCCAATATAGTGGTGGGCAAGACTAGAAATGGAAGCTGTCCCTAGGAAGTTGACAGTCTGGTGAAGGAGAAGGATGCTAGGAATCCCACTACTGAGAGAAGGAAAGAAAACCTGGCAGGGAGAGGGAGGTCCCCTGAGGAACAGGTGTAGAGCACCAATCCAAAGGGCAGGATTTAAGTGGGGAGGAAGAGAGGAGAGGGAAAGGCATGTGCAAAGGTCCTGTGGTAGGAGAAAACCTGGTACAACTGATGGGCTGCTGGTGCACGTGAGTGGGGTGCAGACTATCATGCGTTAAGCCTGGAAGCATGGGCAAGGGCAGGCTATGCTGACTCTTGGAGGCTTCAGGTTGGACTTTGTTTTTAAAAAATATTTTTATTTTCTATTGTTTATACTTAAGATGTACAGCATATTTTGCTATACAGATGATCTCCAATTTATGATGGTTTGACTTATGATCTTTCACTTTTACAGTGAAAGAGATACATATTTAATAGAAACTGCACTTTCGGTATCCACATAATCCTTCTATTTTTCACATTCAGTACAGTATTAAATTACATGAGATATTCAAAATTTTATTATTGCGTTTAATGATTTTGCACAACTGCAGCTGATGAAAGTGTTCTGAACATATTTAAGGGAGGCTAGGATAAGCTACAATGTTCAGTAGGTTAGAAATATTAAATGCATTTTTGACTTAAAATGGGTTTAAGATGTAACTCCATCGTAAGTTAAGGAACACCTGTACATATGTGTAATGAAGTGATTACTACAGTCAAGCAAATTAACATATCCATCATGTTATAGTTACCTTTTTTCATTTTTTTAGTATTAACTATGGCTAATAATAGTGTGTCACATACTGGACATTTGCCAAGAGAGTAGATTTTTAGGTACTTTCATCACCAAAAAAAAAAAAAAAAAAGACTTTGATTTTGAGATGATTTAAGAGGAGGGTGGAGAATCCACAAGATTAAGGGTTTTTTTTGTTTGTTTGTTTGTTTTTCCTTCTGTTTGTACCTTAGAGACATGATCATGGGAGTTGGCTGCTGTGTGAAGAAGAGATTAGAAAAAATTAGGATGACATGGGACAGGAAGGGTAGCCCTCCCACCGTAAGCGCTCCAGAAAGTAAGTGACTTGCCTAAGGGTTATTAGCTACTAAATAGTAGTTTGGGAGCTTGAACTTGGCCTCTTACCTCCAAGTACATTATTCTTTGTTAAGCTAAAATACTTGACGTGTGAGGTCTCAAGACAAAGCAAATGCAAACACTAAATTTCAAAAGCTTGAAATAAATTAGGACTTAGATAGATCCTGGGCTTCTTGAGAATTTTAATTGTTCTGCTACTAGATCACGCCATACCGACATAGTCTTTCTGTAATGGGCTCTGGATCGCAAGTCACTGTTCCTTCTTGGGGGCTTCCCTCACAAGTACATGTGGATGTTGAGGACACTGCCTACTATTCTTACCCTAACCTGGGGTATTATTTATTTCTAGAAACTTTGCTTCCTAAGACTCTGGAATCATTTATCTCCCCCCACAGGAAGGTTGGATGCAGAAGGAAGAATGGTTTATTCTGTGACTGGCTAGAAAAGCCACTGAATCTTGTATCTCTGAAACTCTCTGCAAAAAGGGATGCATATTCCCTAGCCCCAGTGGGGGAAGCTCTACCCACTTGCTCTTAAAACTCTGTTCTTCACATGAACTGTCCCACGTTGTTTTTAGAACCATATTAAAAAATCCAAACCATATCCATCTTTAACCTGCCTAGGTTTTTTTTTTGTTTGTTTTTTTTTGGTTTTTTTTTTTTTTTTTTTTTTTTTTTTTTTTTGAGACAGAGTCTCACTCCATCACCCAGGCGGGAGTGCAGTGGTACAATCTTGGCTCACTACAACCTCTGCTTTCTGAGTTCAAGCGATTCTTATGCCTCAGCCTCCTGATGGCATGCGCCATCAGGCCCAGCTAATTTTTTTTTGTATTTTTAGTAGAGACGGGGTTTCACCATGTTGGCCAGGCTGGTCTTGAACTCCTGCCATGGCCTCCCAAAGTGCTGGGATTACAGGCATGAGCCACCACACCTGGATGATTTTTAGTTTTGACTTTTAAGATGTAACTCCATCGTAAGTTAAGGAACATCAACAGTTCAAAGTGGCATTATCATGGGTGATTTTCTTCATTTTCATTATGCAAATTTTGATAATTTTCTCCCTCTTGCTTCTCCCCATAAGGAAAACTGAATAGAAGCCTGCAGTTAGCAGGGCAGCCCTTGCTGCTCAGGCTTTCTTAGAGTGAGGAGCAGTGGTCCGTATTTTATTCTACTGAGTTATGACAATTGAACTATTCTGGAGAACTATGCTGTGTGTGCACGTGCGGGGAAATACCATTTCATTGCTTATCTAGTTCACATACAGAATTAAAGCACAAAAACTAACTTTATGTTTGTCCTAAACTTTGTCAAAATTCTGTATTTTAATTGCAAATTATTGCTCAACTTGGTGAAATTTAGGCTAGAGGAGAAAATATTTGCCTCTCTTCTGCTGTGTTGACTAAGTTATAAGAGAAAAAGAAACCCTCCCTATCAGCTCAAACTTAATTTGTAATATGTATGAATATTCCACTGAAGAGTGCTTATGTGCAATAATGAATCTGGCTCTATCTACTGAATTGCCAAAATATTCTCAGTTTGCTGAGACCCTTCCATGCAACCAGAGACAACTTTTATCAGTAGAATGTATAAACTGTCTCCAAGCTATCTATCTCCATTGAAATGTGCAATCACTGTGAGAAATTGGTGCAGATTTCTGGAAATATTGGCTTTGCAAGAAGAACCAATGAAAAGGAGCAGGAATAACTAACAGTGGAGACATCTACGGTGGAAGACACAGAAATTGGGAAGATTTAGAACCTATATGAATCAAAAGTAAACTTAAGTGTGTACTTCTTTCTCAAAGATTTATAAATGTGATTTACAAATGGCACAAAAAGAATAATAATGACATCCTAAGATATTTATCACCTGTAAAATGGGAAATAAAATGACTCACCCTCTCGACTTCACAGGCACAGAAGGGCTTTAAAATATGGCCATATTATAATAATTGATCCTTGCTTTTTGTGATTACATTTTTAAAAATAAGAATGGTGGGTTAATACCTTATCTTAGCCGCACAGAACACCTGACTTATACATAGGAGGCCCACAATACCTTTGGAGAACTGAACAGAAATAAACATGTTTGTGGAAAGTATGAACTGGGCTAAAAACACTGCAAGATTCATGTATAGGTGAGTCCATTGATACATGCTGGGAATCAAATGATAAAGTAAACAAAATAGTATACTTGCATCTGAAGAAACTACTGATCATTTCTGGACCTCAATTTCCTTACCTGTAGAAACTGGGAAATTAGATAATGTTGATTTTTAATATAAGAGGAACCTCACTAGACTGGTACTTACACCCTTCTGAATTATTTCAGATCACTCCCCATCTGGTCTTCTATGAATGCTTTACAGCCTTTGTAGCTACAACTCCACAATCTCCAGCCCCAATAATCCTATCACATCCTGGAAGCAGGAACTGGGCCCCCGTCCTTCCCCACCCTATGGCTATGCAGTTAAAACTTCCTGACTTCATTTTCTTGTTCTCAGGTTAGTTACATGGTAGTGTTGCCTCAGGACAATGGATCATTCATCTCCCTGACTCCCAGGTCCAACAGGGGACACAGAAGAGACAGATGCCTTGCCTGCGTTCACCTGGAGAAAGTTTGTTTAGATGACAGAATAACCCTGGGTATATTCCAGCTCAGCAAGCTTGAAATGACTCTGGGGACTTGGCCTGGCCAAAGCACAGTTCTGAAATCTTTTCTTTGTTGTCGAATTGTTAGAGTTTTAACAATGAAGCTAAAGGGGTTGCTTTTAGTGAGAGGTAGGAGAATAAAACTTCACAGGGGCACAGCAATTAGCGTGTGGACTAGATCCCTATGACGGAGAAAAACCTGCAGCATTTTGTAAGATGATTTATTAGACATGGGTAGAATTTGCTAGAAACCTACCAGGAGCAAATCATCTGGGAAGGAATTAATGATCCAAACAAAACACTTGATAATGCAATTAGAACTTGAGGAAACGTAGGGGTTTTTCAGAGAGAGAGAGGGGAGTTCATGTACATGACTTTGATTATGTCAAATGTAAGGCTGGAAAAAGGATGTTAACAAGTTTTTAAAGAGTAAAGTTATCAGAGGGTACAAGGAGATGACGGGGGTGACATTTATAGTTCTGATGCATCAGTGTAGTTATCAAGTGTGCCCAGCTGGGTGGAAATGCACTTGCAGCTTTGTCTCAGCAAAATGGTGTGTGGGTCTGAGAAACAGAAATGAGCATGCTGGAGGCAAAAATACGGATCCCCTGCACACGCAACGGCAGAGAACAGCCACCAGGAGAACGCGGTGTTTTTCTTTAGTTGCTTTAGGCAACACTAAGTTTCCCCCTGCTTTTGTTTGGGTCAGGGATTTTTTTTCCTTTAAATCTTTTCTCAGTTGAGTTTAAAACTGTGAGTATGAAGCTCTCTAAGCTTTTCTTTGACCTCGTTTCATCGTGCCTTACAGATGAGCTCATTGAAAAACGTGTTTTGCAGCGGTACCATCCGCTGAGTATGTCCAGAGGACATTTCTGGCCATATACGTGTCTTAATTGCTATCGCAGGCTTGGCATATCAACTATATCTGGGTCTAACATAGGCTATCTTTTGTTGATATAAACATATATGTTTTTAAATGTGTAATTTGAAAATATGTTCCCTTCATCAGCTTTTTAGTTTGGAGGGGGATGTGGTTAACATTTTTAATGACTTTCCAAAACATTTCTTCTTTAAAATATACATTGCAGAGTCATACACCACCATCCACACAGAGCTTTCATACTTTCCTAAGTGTTTTCACTTGCTTTAGCTCCAGGAATATGTGTCAAACTTGGGATAGCCCCTTAGAAACATGGCCCTCTCTGGATACGAGACAGTGTAGGACACAGATGCACATTAAAGTATTATCAGTGAAATGCTTTTCCTAGAAATCCATGACTCCTTCTGTCTTGGAGACTATGCCTGGCTGACACTGACTGCTCCATATTGAGATGACTCAGGAAGCCCAGCCTGGCCATCGTAACTGGGTCCCATCCTCTGTTTTGTTCCCCTTGCACTTGGCACTGGCCACCCCAAGTGCTGGCTGCGCTGGTGCATTTTCATCTGTGTGATAAAACTTGGTGGATGTTTTCCTCCATCTAAGACCAGGACCTTGTTAGTTGGACCACTGCAGTCCTGCCAGTGGATGCCCCTACTTGGCACACTGGAGGTGTCCAATAAATACCCTACTGAACAAATACTGAATCTGAGAATTTTCCCTAAAAGTACTGCATATTTCCACCACCATATATTGTTTTTAAGAAGCTTTGGCTTTACATACTTCTGTTGAAACCCTTATTCTCCACTGTTCCTTTCAAGAAAATGATGTAGCACCAATGATCTCTGAAGATGTCCACATAAGTTGACCTTTCTGGATCTATTCCCATCATTTTAACTGTCCCCCAAGAGACTTTCAACCCATAAAGATGACCCTCTTTGACCCAATTTTGGAAGCCTGGCTGCCCCCACCTTCTCTAGAAATGCTGGCTTTTTCCTTCAACCCCTAGATTGGCCTATTAGACAATAGAGTCATCTCCCCATATCCATGAGATATTGGCTCCAGTATCTTCCCAAATCCATGAATTCTCAAGTTCCTGATATAAAATGGCACACAGAGTATTTGCATCCTCCCATATAGTTTAAATCACATGGCCATATACTTGTCCTAATTGCTATTGTAGGCTTGGCATACCAACTACATCCTCCCATATACTTTACATCACCTCTAGATTATTTATAATACCTAATACAATGCCTACATCATGGGAATTCAACATAGTACTGGCATGTGGCAAATTCAAGTTTTGCTGTTTGGAACTTTGTGGAATTATTTTTTCCAAATATTTTTGATCATCAGTTGGTTGAATCCACAGATGAAGAACCCATAGATATGAAGTGCTGACTATATGCCCACATAAAGAGCCTACACTGTGCCATACGGGTTCCAGATACACTCACACACACATTAAAGCTCACCTGGACACTCCTAACACCCTAGGAGAAACAGCTCATATTCCTGAGCTTCAGAAGAAGAGTTTAAGGTTCAGAGAGGCCCAGAGACTCTTCCGGGGTCACTCAATGGCAGAGCCATAAAAAGAACCCAAGCCTTCCCCTTTTACAACTGAGGCTCTGAGGGAGAGGGAGGTCCTCTGAAGTAGGACATGAACACTGTGAGCAAGTGGCTATTTTAACCTGTCCCTCAGCACAGCATATGACCCGGAGAACATAGTAGGCACTCACTAAATGCTGCCTTTAAGACAATCAGGTGGTTCTAGACTGTGGTAACTTGCAAATGGAATCCTTCTCCTGCTTTAACAAAACAGGATGAACTTCCACTTGAGCAAGATATAAGATATCACCTTGATACCTCAATTTAACTGCTAAAGCTACAAAACTACTTCAATTTTTTTTGAGACAGAGTCTTGCTCTGTTGCCAGGCTGGAGTGCAGTGGCATGATCTCGGCTCACTGCAACCTCCGCCTCCCAGGTTCAAGCGATTCTCCTGCCTCAGCCTCCCAAGTAGCTGGGACTACAGGTGTGTGCCACCACGACCAGCTCTTTTTTTGTATTTTTAATAGAAACGGGGTTTCACCATGTTGGCCAGGATGGTCTCGATCCCCTGACCTCGTGATCTCCCCGCCTCAGCCTCCCAAAGTGCTGGGATTACAGGCGTGAGCCACCGTGCCTGGTCAAGTACTTCCATTTTACAGAGGAGAAAACTGGGCGGAGTTTCTTGTTTGGGTCTTTATATGATGTTTCTGCAGTAGAACCACATTCCTTTAGAGCCTTTACCCCACATTGTAATTATATTCTCAGCAGTGTAGTATTTAACTTCTGACCCCATCTCTCTCTAGAATGTAAGCCCCTTGAGGGCAGGGACTTTTCTTTCCATTGTACTACACTGGAACATTCCTCCAGAACACTAGAGGGAGATGCCCACTAATGTCTTTTAATGGAATGAGTGACAGGATGAGTGAGGGAGCCTGCCCAAAGTCACTGGAGTCAGACAGTCCTGTGTTATGATCTTGTCTCTGCAACTTACCAGCTGTGTGACTCCAGGCTGCTTTGTCAACTACTTTAACCCTCAGCTGTCTCATCTGTGAAATGGAAATAATAACTGTATCTATACTTTTAAGGGGCTGTGTGAGAAATACATGAGCTTTTGGATATAACTCATGCATTTAAAGCCTGTGCAGGATAAGTAACACTCAAAAGCTATTTATCTTTGTTCTTATGAGGACAGGAAAAAAAATCACTGAAATATTAATTTGGGTTGGCACTTGTTAATTCAAGGATAAAAAATACAACACTGGAACTGTGTCCTCCCTCCCCTGGCTTTCTTAACCATGGTTGGATATGGAGTAGAGTTGGTTCTGAGACTTCATGGACAACTTTGAGAAAAAGGATGCATGGACCCTTTTGGTCAATTTCTCAGTGGTGGTTGACTCCCTCCCTTTCCTCTTTGGGGAACAGCCACTACTTCCTGTTCCAATCCATGGCGCAACTTGGAACAAAAAGTTCAAGTTAATTTAACTGGGGAGGGAGAGATTAGACAGACATGCTAAACAACTCAAACTTTAAATACTGGGAAGTTTCCAGGTACTCAGTCCAATGCTATAAATCTTGGATTTAGAAAGTCGCCAGAGAGAGAAATAAAAAGGAGAAAATACCAAGCAAAGGAAACAGAGGTATCTCTTATTAAGGAATTAGTCCAGATAGGAACTTATCAATGGAGGCAGTTAGCTGCAACATATAGTAACTAGTATATAAAATGTACAGTATGTGCATTACAAGTTATTCCTGCCAGTCATCCCCTAACTAGATAAAAGGAACTTAATTTTGAATATAAAATACCATTGTGATTCTGAGGGGAAATAGCTGCTGCTTTTCATCTCCCGCTGCTAACTGAAATATTGTTATGAAGGATAGTAATTTCTCTGTTTTGAGACTCCCAAAATAGAAAACAGCTGCTTGATAAAGGAAAATTGGTTCATATTCTTTAGAGTTTTACTTTATTAAAGTGCATGTCACTTCTAATGTTATGTGCCACAACCACTGACACTTTTGGGCAAGGGAGGGGAATAATTGTCATGTGAGGCAAAACAGGAATGTGTCTGTGTTATGGTAAACTGCTTAACGCACTGGGAGAAAACTGTTATTCTCCCAGATGTCTAACAAATTACCTCTGTTTTCACTGGTTTAGTGCTGTGAATAGTAAGCATTTGTTTGCCGTATTTGGTTCATGTGTTGTTTGTTCACAAAAAAAGATAAACTTTTTGCTTAAGATTTATTTAGCTAGAAACATGTAAACTTAGGAAATGTGTTTATAAAAACATTAGTTCTAACTGTAGTCTTACAGATGTGTCTTCTTTTACAACAAATGTTACAGTTTGAGAAAATCTTTTTACAGATGAAGAATGCTTTATATATATATTTTTAAAAGTGGCTTTTTGTACTTTTTGTAAAGATGTTTACAGCCAGCCCACTCCGTCTTCCCCTTATTAGTATTTCTGATTTACTTTCCTTCAGAATTTGGGGTAGTGGAGGCTTTTAATAAAAGATATTTATTCTTGGGTCTCCTCTTAATATTTTCTTAAATGTCAAATAAGTTTTAAAATTTCTAAGATACACGTATGGAATTACAAAGAATGTTACAATGAATGCCTGTTAAACCTACCAACCACAGAGGGAAACTGGCATTTCCCCGTGACGAGGAAGAGATGGGCTTGTCTATAAGATATACCAGAAAATCTGTATTTATACAAAATGAAGTTGGACTCTAACATCTTACCATATATAAAAAAGTAACTGTGATAGACAAAATTTATATAAAACTTTGGGAGGAAAATATAAGTAAATATCTTTCTGACTCAGAGAGAGAAAACACATTTCCTAGCAAAGATTCAACAAGCACAAACCAAAAGAAAAGGGATATATTTGACTTTATGAAATTAAGAGATTTGGTTCATTAGAAAACATGATAAAGAATATGCAGGCCAGGCATGGTGGCTCACGCCTGTAATCCCAGCACTTTGGGAGGCCAAGGCAGGTGGATCACAAGGTTAGGAGATTGAGACCATCCTGGCTAACATGGTGAAACCCCGTCTCTACCAAAAAAAAAAAAAAAAAAAAAAAAATAGCTGAGTGTAGTGGCAGGTGCCTGTAGTCCCAGCTACTCGGAAGGCTGAGGCAGGAGAATGGCGTGAACCCGGGAGGCCAGAGCTTGCAGTAAGCTGAGATCGTGCCACTGCACTCCAGCCTGGGAGACAGAGTGAGACTCCATCTCAAAAAAAAAAAAAAAAAAAAAAAGAATATGCAAAGACAGGATACAAACTGGGAAATGTTTACAACACTTACATCAGAGGGGTTGGTATCCAGACTATGTTTTTCCAAATCCTACAACCAGGGAAGAAGAGGAAAAATCCAACAGAGAAGAGGAAAAATCCAACAGAGAAATGGGCAAAAAGTTGGAGCAGGCACTTTACACACAAGGAAGAAACTAAAAAATGGCCAATATACATAAATATATACTTAACTTCATAGTCAGGGTGAAGCAAATTTAAGCCACAGTGAGATACCGCTTCATATTCACTATATTGGAAAACTAAGAAGTCAGACAATACCAAGTGTTGGCAGGGATGTGAAGCAACACGAACTTCTCTACCATAATGATGGAAAGCAATTTGACACTAGTAGAACTGAAGAGGCACATAAATGCCTTCTCTTCCCCAATCCTTTCACTCATCCACTCATCCATCAGTATTTTTTTTTTTTTTTGAGACGGAGTCTCGCTCTGTTGTCCAGGTTGGAGTGCAGTGGTATGATCTCGGCTCACTGCAAGCTCCACCTCCCAGGTTCATGCCATTCTCTTGCCTCAGCCTCCTGAGTAGCTGGGACCACAGGTGCCTGCCACCACGCCTGTCTAATTTTTTTTTTTGTATTTTTAGTAGAGATGGGGTTTCACCATTTATCCACGATGGTCTTGATCTCCTGACCTAGTGATCCACCCGCCTCAGCCTCCCAAAGTGCTGGGATTACAGGCGTGAGCCACCGCGCCCAGCCATCATCAGTCTTAGTCTTATATAATAATGATTATCCTAGAGGAGTAGATTTCAAAGGGTGATTCCCAGGCCGGAAGCATCCAAAGTCTAGGGGTAAAGTGTGGCGCACAGTGTTTAAACATGCCCTCCTGGTGATTCTGATGCCAGTTCAAGTTTGAGAACCACTGCCCTAGCGGAATTTTTCTACCTTGTGACTGATATAATCCTGTGAGTTAAAAACAGGATTCCATCCTTTACCAGTCTGTCACCTTGACAAGCTGAACACCAAAGAGGCAAATAAGAAGAAAAAAAAAAAAAGAGAATCCCCTTCTCACCCAGTGAGTACTGGGGTGAAGAGCGAGGTAAGGCGGATACTTATACACTGGTGGGTATTACGCAGACAGACTCATTTAGGGGCAATCTTTATTAAGACTTTTAAAAATGGTCATCCTCAGATACAAAAAAATCGACTTCTAGAAATGTACACTAAAGATTGACCAATGATGTTGTTTAATTGACAGGCTGTAACCTGAAAGCCCCCCAGATGTGGTGTCTATAAATCATGACCTATCATTATGGTGATAGCTATACAGCTCTCATCAGAAAGAGGCCCCTGCTCAAACTTATTTCCACAAGAATTCTGCCAATTCAGATTCATTTGGGTAATAAGGTCCTTCTTAAAAATACATTCTCTTCCGGCAGGAGAATTCTACCCATCATCATTCACATTATTGGAAATTAATCAGGTTACTTTCTTATTTACTACTGGGAAGGGAGTATTTGTAGGAGCAGGGGGTGTCTTGTTTAGGAGGATATAGGATAATGCTGGAGCCTGGAGTGATTCAGAGAAAGAATATGGTGAGATATATATATACACACATGCATATGTATACATTATGTATATAATGTATACATAATATTTATCATGTATATACAGCAACTTCCAGAGACTCTTCCATAGTCAGAAACACTGTCCTTATTTCCTACTGCCACTCAAATCAAGACCAGTGTGCAACACAAACTGAATACTGGTGCCAATGATATTCTTTCACTTCTGCACTATTTCAGCTTATTCTTTATCACAAGCTGATGAATATCAGATGTATCTGAAAATTTTATATATTCTCTCTCCTTTACAGACAAAATTCAATAACCTTCAATTTTCTACTTGTAAACTAGATATTACAGAACTATTTGCTTGAAAAAAGTTCTCAAACAAAACAATTTATTTTTGGTATTAACCAACAGATGGCTAAATTTTTGATCCACATCTAAGTGTCTGAGATGTGACTTCTTTGCTGCCTACTCATCCGACAAAGACTCAAGAAAATCTGTCAGAAGGCTTAGGTCACCTAGCAGTCCTCCCTCTTCCAGCATTTTTGATTTAATACAGAACATAGGCTCCTAAACGTGAACTTGCGCCAAACCCACCTGGAGCCCTTGTGAAACAAATTGCTGGGCCCCACCCCAGCGTTTCTGATTCAGTAGCTCTGGGGCGGGGCCTGAGAAAGTGCATTTCTAACAAACACGTTCCCAGATGCTGTTGCTGGGCCAGGACCCTACTCTGAGAACTAATGACTTAAAAGAAACTTCCAGAGACTCTTCCACAGTCAAAAGCTGTCCTTGCTTCCTACTGCCACTCAAATCAAGACCAGCATGCAGCACAACTGAACATTAGTGCCAATAATATTCTTTCACTTCCGCATAATTTTGGCATATTCTTTATCACAAGCTGATGAATATCATCAAATGTATTTGGAAAAAAAAATTATCCCATGAGGCAGGCAATTAGTAGATGGAAAAGGGATCCTTTCCCTGAAGTTCACCAATGAATACACAACTCAAAATGCCCTTGATGAACAAGTAGGCAAACAGGTCACTCTAGGCAGGACACATTCATTCCTGACATTTCTCAGGGCAGCACCAGCTGTTCCGCAGCACAGCTCGACTACATTTTACCAACGTTATGACGCCTGTCACATAAATGACAGTGGCACTGCCAGAAACTGGCTTTGTGGGCTTCAGAGAGTGAAGGCTGTTCCCTGCTTAATTCCACACTGGTCGGAGAATGCAGGATTAGTGGGGCTCTGCTGTGCCTTCACCCCGAACTGTTGACGGTATTCTTTTGTGCATTACCCACCCCCCCACCACCGCCCACATTTAACCATGACCTCTTCCTGCATTATTAATGAACACAAGAGAACTCATTTATTAAAGCTGGATTTTTTCACTATTCCATATGTTTCCTTCTGCATGCCATGGCAGGTGGGTGACAGGAACACAGAGAGAGGGGCTGTCTTCTCCCTTGTGACCCCGTACCATCTGCCTCATGGCAACGTGCAGCTGTATCTGTGGAAACCATTAGAGACCAGGGATATGGACTCATTTGTCACGGTAAAACCCTTCCCAAACCAAAGTGGGATCCACTTGATACATTTCTCACTCAGAAGTTAATCTGGTAAACACATCCTGAACAGTTACTAGTTATGTGCCAGGACCTGGGGTTTCACAGAGAACGATGCAAAGTCCCTACCTTCATGGGGCTGACATTTGTCCAGGAGGTTGGGGTTGAAAACAGGTGATAAGCAAGCCAACAAAATACAGGAGCGGTGCACAGAGAGGTTAGAGTGGGTCGGGGGATTTTCTTAGGTCAGGTCAGGCCTCCAGGGAGAGGGACATTTAAGCTGAGCTCAAAGATGAATTGGTGAACTAACTTACAGGCAGAAAGGAACAGCCAGCTGCAAAGTCTTGAGAAGGAAGGAATAAGGTGGGTTCTGGGTCTTGAAAGGAGGCCTGCAGGACCAGGGCAGATGAGCAGGGCAGGAGGTTTATGGGAGAGGTCAGAAGAGGCTGGATCTCACAGGGCTCTGTGAGCCACAGTTAATTCACTGAATTCCAAGGGCACTGGGGAGCCAGTGAGCAAGTGGGTGAGCACCTCGGTTCTCAGCACTTGGTGGGTCGGGTGAACGTGTTGGCTGAATGAATGAAAAATGAATGTCTTGTGTCCCCTCTGTTCCACATCCTCACCTCCTTGGTCCAAACCATGGTCATTTCATTCAACACCTAGTTCTCTTTCTAAATTCCTGATTTGTATTCTTCTTTTCTTGCTCCTCACTCTTCCTAACAAACACTACAAAATCCAACTTATTCAACCAACCATGTGCTGAGAGTAACAGTGGTGATGAGACTTCCTAGTTTACAGTGTAACATGGGAGGCCAAATTAACATATATATGGAAACAAGGTGGAAGGAAGTGCAGGGCACCTTGGAATACTTCAGAAGGACACCTAAGCTAGGACGGTGGGTATCAAGCCCTAGTCCTAAGGGAAAGGAAGGAAAACTCCTTTATGGTCCTCTAAAGCTTTGTGTCTTAAGAGGAGACAAACTGAAAGAAGAGAGGTAATCTCTGGTCCCACCCTAGGTCGTTTCTTTTCAGAATCAACATAAAAGTGGTTTATAATCCATTGTTAATTAACAAGAAAACAACAGTTAGTGACAAATAACGGCCATGTATTAAAAAGTGACTTTCTCAGCCATATGCTGGCTCCATATTCAATAAAGGGCCCTGTTTGTCAAGGTGGGAGGAGAAGATGGGCTTGTTTTTTTTTTCCCCCAGAGAAGGGGTCTTGCTCTGTCACTGTCACCCAGGCTGGAATGCAGTGGCACCAGCATAGTTCACTACAGCCTCCAACTCCTAAGCTCAAGTGATCCTCTCACCTCAGCCTCCTGAGTAGCTGGGACTACAGGCATGCACCATCATGCCTGGCTAAGTTAAATTTCTTTCTTTTTTTCTTTTGTAGCGATGGGATCTCATCAAGTTGCCCTGGCCATTCCTGAACTCCTGGGCTCGAGCAATCCTCCCACCTCAGCCTCCCAAAGTGCTGGGATTATAGGGCATGAGCTTCCATGCCTGGCCAAGATGAGCTTTCTTTTTCCATACCTACTTTGCCTAAATGAATTCAGAATGTAAAGCTGCTTCTAAAACAAAGCTTTTAGAATTAATAGGCTGTTTAAGCAAACACACTCCTACTTGCAGGAAAATTTTGCCAGGTTCAAAACTGCTGTGTGGAGGTCAAGTTTATGTTCATCCAATTAACCGTCATTAATTGGGTCCATACTTAATCGAACCGTGACCCATCTGACTCTCAGCTGATGCAGAGTCTCTTTGCTCTACAGCAGTAAACTCATCTGAGTACTGCATCTAGCTAATATGCAAGCAGGATTGTGCAAAGTCAAGTTTCCAGACTTCTCCATAAACTTGATTCTGATTAGTATTTACTTTGGAAATCTGTGTTTTTCTATCCAACTGGCTATGAGATTGATGTATAAAGGGTCACAAATCTGTATCAGATCTATAGTTTTCTGGCAGGTCACAGTTAGTGGTAAAGTTTTTGCTTCTCAAAGCTAACAACTTCAAGTGCCATAAGAGGCACAAATTAATCTTATGTGATGTTTCCTGTTATTACTGAGAGGCAAAAGGACATCAGCGTTCTCAAATCATTCATTCTTCAGGTTGCCTGATAAGCCAGTGGGAACTCTGTGTTACTCCGGAGCTCATTTTTCTCTGCACATCACCCTTTCCAGGTATGAAGGACCAGCAACCCCGTAGGAACCTTTCTCAGGAGGTACCACGTAGCACCTGGGCCTGTCTGAGACACCAAGGTCTTTATGTTAGCCCCACAAAGGCAAGCATGATTTTTGGAAACTGACCCGCAGGTTCCCTATAAAGTTGATCATCATTCATTCATTGACAATGCTGGAAAATGATTTATACAAGAAAAGAATTCACAGATGTGGGAATTATAGTGCAGATCTGACTCCCAGTCCCACTATAATTCCTTTGTATGTCAGTTTCTTCTCTTTGAAATAGGGATGACAGTATCACCTATCTCTTCATGCTTGTGTACAGATCTGATGGGAAAGTGCACAGCTGACACTCAGCATTGTGCCGGCACATAGTAAGTGCACAATAAATAATGCTGTGGCTGTCAGTAATGAATAGTCCTGTGACTATAGATAAGTTTTCCTTATCCTGAAAATGTGCATGCAGACTTTAGGACAATGTGCTACTCATAATTTCTAGTTTGAAGCTTAACTCCCAATCAGAATTATTTCCTTGTTGCCTCATCAAATTAGAAAAGGTCACCATTTTACAAAAAGTCTCTGGTCGATGTTAGAAGAGGTGGAGGGAGTAAATGATACTGGCTGGGGTGGCACTCTGTTCCCCTCTTCCTGGCCTCCATTGGAAGACCCTCCTCAAAGCATCCACAGACTGGCTGTCCCCTTGACTTGACAGTACATGGCTACAAACAAGGCTGGTGCTTAGCCTGTGCTGGAGTCACTGGCATCAAACCCACAGAGCCACAGACTTTCCCATCCTTACACCCCCAACTCCCACTCCCTGGCCCCAACACCTGGTAACCACCCTTAGCTGGATTCCAGCCACAGCCCAAGAGCTGTGAGGCTCCCTATCCCATTACTCCCAGAACATGAGATCTCCTGTGCCAATTAATTTATCCAAGTAGGAGACTGTACTCCTTGACAACCTTAAAGCATCTTCCTTACTTCCCTGTCCTTTCACCTTAATAGTGCTTCTGAGTACTCAAAGGTACTCAAGACAGGCTAAAGTTTTCCAAATCATGAAGCAACTGTTAAATTTCAAATTTCTGGTAGGCAGAGGCCCTGTCTTGACGTTTCACACTGCCCTGCAACCCCCACCACCTGGACACCACAGTTATCATAAAAGCATAAAGAACTGCTATACTTGTCTGACCTGACCTTACGACCCCAGGTAGGCAGGAGGCTTCCTCCCTATAGAAGTGTTTGAGTGTCCCTAAATGTCTTGGTGCATCTTTTAATGCATGGCCCCAATCACTGATGCGTCTGCACTCTTTGCAATGCCCTTTAATGACCAGGCAACTTTATGTGGTGGTGTTGTTTTTCTAATGTGATTAAAGGTACAATGAGGTATGTGTGCAACAAGAGGCAAAGCCATTGTTCTGCATCATTAAGCTCACAGCAGCCCCCAAAAAGAAACTGTAGGCAGCTTGCCAATGGCCCTAATGAAGAGCATCTCTTTGAATTATCTCTGGATGAGGAAAGGATAAAGTCTGAGCCCTGGAATATTTGATCCTCTTTGTGCTGCTGTTACGAGGGCTTACTGAAGCCAGACGCACCGGACCTTCTGGAACTGTAATTTATGGAAACCTTAATTTCTCTGCCCTAATAAGGCTTTGCATAATAAGAGCGAGAATGCAATTATTAATTCCTGCAAGTGTTTTGTGAATTCCTTTATGCTACGGTTCAGGACTCCCAAAGAATAGGAGCAGGGGGGATTTTACTTAGTTGGCACAAGGGTAATGGGTCTGAAAAGTAGTTTGAGTTTCTTGAAAATAAATCTGCATGGCTTCCTAAATTGCTGACCAAGTATATTCCAGATGGAAGTCATTTATCAGCAATTTACTGAGCAATGCTTCAGCCAGAAGTATTTCCACATAAATTCACCTAGTAAAAAACAAACAACAGAATCCAGGCTCCCTCTTTTGGGGGCAGTCGTGTGTGTGTGTTTGGGGGTGGGGCTGGGGGGACTGAGCACAAATGATACAGAAGAATAAAAGACAGGTTCACTTAGATTTGCCAGAGATGTAGTAGAGTTACTTTTTGGAGGGTGCCAGTGTAATTAATACATCCACAACTGTGACTGCTGAATGATATTTTATGTGCATTGATGGTAAAAAGCAAAACATTTTTAAAAGGCAAATTTTAAAAACTACCTTTTGACTTACTATGTTGAGCTATTTCAAATATAGCGTCAAAAGTCTGTAACAGAACCACCTTGCCCAAATGGCAGCGTCTGCTGTTCCACTTGTTTCCTGCCTGCGTGCTGGACTCACTGAGAACTCCCCAGCTCACTGAGTGGGATAACTTGGCAAACTGAGGACTACACCTCACCACATGATCACACAAGGGATGGGGGCCAGATCGCCAGTGGTGAAAGCGCTTTTGCCCGAGATCTCCAACATGTCTCCCAAATGCTTTGAAAAGGACTTAAGTCCAGTGAAGTCCTGAGTGTGAAGTCACAGGTCGGAAATGTATTTATTCACAAGACTTATTTAAGATGCTTGTTTTTTGTAAGATATGTACCCCTTGCCTAAGGAGAGTAGCAAGCCTCAAAAGGTTTGTTTTGACCCTCTCTCTGTCTCAGTGGGGAAGGCAGACAGACAGAGAGATACTTTT
Organism: Homo sapiens; assembly: GCF_000001405.40. Classification (NCBI taxonomy): domain Eukaryota; kingdom Metazoa; phylum Chordata; class Mammalia; order Primates; family Hominidae; genus Homo; species Homo sapiens. The sequence goes on from NC_000003.12 coordinate 73,432,532, forward strand.
TGTTCACCCAGGGTCATTTTATCTTTAGGTTTTGTCCAGAGAGGCAGCCAACCCACCTTTTGCCGCGTCTCCCTGTGTCTCTTTAAGCATATCACCCCCTGGTGGCCTAAGCAAAAAATGACACTCAAATCAAATTCTTTTTTAAAAACTCTGGCTCTTTAAAAAATATATTAATATGCCATTGATTGTTATAAATCAAGAAACACACACCCTTTGTTTCTCACTTGCTGTAACAACCTTCTTTTAAAGTGCTTATCTAAAAAGAAAACCTTAGCTGGATTATTTTTTTTTTATTACTGCCAAGACACATTTGAAGAATGATTTTAGGAGAAAATCCTTACCTGCCAAGGTAGGTTACCAACAGCAGTATTAAACCTCCTAGTTAAGAGTAGGACTTGAATATTTAAAAATAAAACATTTGACAAAGATGTAAGATAAATTATCTGGGTTGTATCGTAAATATCCCATTTCATCTCAACTGAAATTTTCATGTTGCTCACAATGACTCAGAAGATACAAGTCATCTGATGTGAATGACAGCACCCAAGATCAAGTCACTTGCTTTTGAAGTTCTTAAAAATTTCACAGACAGAGGTACAGAAATGGCAAGTGAGAAGTACCAATTTGAACCATATGTCCCACTACAAGAATTGCTAAAAGAACCAAGTCAGCAGAGGGCTTGGGCTGTACTGAAAGGAGCGCCTTATAACTATTTGTAAACACAGACAAAACCTTGCTAGCATTAATCATCATCCATGTCTTCTCTAACTTGTTCAAAGGGTGCATGACCACTCTTTGACCCTTTGAGTTCGACACTCTGGAGAGAGGTCAGTTGTGAAGGAGCCTTGTGACAAGACTGCTTGAAACACATTTTATGACCATCAACATCTATTTATATTTTCAAATGCAGGCACCAAAGTGCCACTGGATGGAAAATTTTATAACAGACTTAAGAGAAAATACACAAAAAAGTCAGAAAGGCTGCGTCTTTCAGAACACAAAATATGCACAAAAACACACATAAAAATCCCCACTACCTTTCCTAGAAGTTACACTTGGCCAGGTGGGTGCCTATGCACTTCTATGGAATAAAATGCAGGGTGTTACCTGACAAACTTCATAGAGTAATTTGTACTGCTCCTCTTGCTTCTGCAGGCTGCACAGACTGCATCCCATGTTTAGAAAAACGTCAAAGGAAGGCTTCCGTTCTCGCCAGCACCCGGGAAAAGCAGCTCCCTTACAGTGCAGGCATTGAAGGTATCCTTGGAGAGCCTCAGGTGAGTCAAGCGACTGCAACGCTTCACATTGGCGCTGCTCTCAGAGGCTAGACAACAACTCTCTCCCCCCTTCCACGCTTCCCTTCCTCCCCTCGCAGCATGCATGCATGCACGCGCGTGCACACACACACACATACACACAGACATACACGCACACCACTCCCTCCTCTGAGTGACTCTGGCAGCTGGATTGTGGTCCAATGCACACGCTATATATACTGCTGCTCATGCATATTAATCAGCTCTCATTGACTATTCATAACAGACAATGATACAGAAGCTATAATTGCCAACTATGACAGTTGAAATTTCTCTAATTAACAAGCAAGTGCTCCAGTGGTAGGGAATAATAAAAGACACTAACAATTTTGCAAGCTATTTTCTGGCAGTTACAAATAAACATGACTGCATTTTTAGCAAGGTCTCTTAGGATAATCCCTAATGTGTTTCGGCTAGGTAGAAATTCATTTTTAAATATATCATAAAATTTCTGATGATATAAAATGTATTTAATGCTGCAGATAATGATGGCATATAAACGGACTTTATGGAAAGGACATGTTTTGAATAATGTTCATATAATATTTAGTGCTTTACAAAGTTGCAGGGAAAATACTCCACATATGAATAAAATATAAAAATTTAAATTGCAGGATATATCCATGAGTATGCAAAGTAGCTAGGGGTTATAAGGAGAGAGGCTGCCCTACAGGTGAGAAAGCAGATAATCATTCCCCAAATGCATTTTCAATTCCAAAAGCAGAAAGTTATTTGTTGAAGGGCTGCCCAACTAACTGGAAGGAAGAGAAGCAGTCAGCTTCATGCCATCCCCTCAGCCATATAGATGCTGCAGATATTTCAGAGATGATATGGCTGGGCTGACTGTCACTGGTTACTACGGATCTGTATCTGATGTTCCATACCTGCCTAGACCTCTGAAGCTGTGCCCCAAGTTGTGTGTGAAGAAAGCAGAGAGCTGCCAGATTCTACTTGGGAGGTGACAACAGACAACATTTAAGAATTTTGGTTCTTGCTGCCTTGCTTCTCTCCTCCTTCAGCCTCTGTCCTGCTGAGTAAGCCTGACACCTTTTCTAAAAACTTTGTTTTTAAATAAATGATTGCCCCATTGCCTGAACGAAATGCACAGGTACCTTTTTCTCAACGAAAATGGTCGATGTTTAAAATTCTCACAATTGCTTCCAGAGCCTTCACCATTTTACAAAGGTTTCATTTTACAAAGGTTTAACTGTCTCCGGGGAGGACTCCCACGTCCCTTGCTGAGACGTGCCATGGGGCCTGAAGAATAATGCTCCCTTTCTCAGGGAGCCGAGACACACCTGAGACGTGAATAAACCAGTCCCAATAAAATCCCACTTGGGCTGATGGCCAGCAGATGCCTCTGGACCCATTTCTCAGACACCGAAGACGAGGCACAGTGACTTGGCTTACACCAGCTAACAGCCCTGACTTGCTGGAGGGTGAGGAGCCTTCCTTCCAGGCCCTCACCTGGTGTCACTGCCTGGACTGGAGCAGTAAACTGGAACGTGCCACCAGGGAAAGGAAGCCACAGATGGGGCGGGGCAGCTGCAGTAATTGCTGACTTGTTTTGATGCTGCGCAGGGCCCTATTAACCCATGAGTACGTTATTGGCCCTCTGGTCTCTTAATCTCTAAATAATAGGTATGATGCTAATTACCTTGCAGAGTTTTGTTGCAATGATTTGAGAAAACAAAAGCAGCTCTAATAAAAAACAGAGGTCATATTTCTTCACTCTCCTTGCCTCATCCCCACCCTTGGTCCATCAGTGAGTCTGGTCTGTTCGACCCCAAATTAGATCTCAAACCTGTCCATTCTGCCTATTGCCCTTGCACACCATGGATTCTCACTTGATGATGCCCAGAGCCTCCTGGGTGCTCTCTGCCTCCTCTCCTGCCTACTCACCAGTTGCTTCTCTACCCTAGTTCATTCCCTACACAGTTGCCAGGCTGGTCTTTACAAAGCAGAAAGGGATGACTCCACCGTTTGCTGAAAAGCCCTCAGATCACTTCCCATCACTCTTGGATTGAAACCCAAATTCTTCACCAGCGCCTATAGTGCTCTGTAAAATCTCACCTTTGTCCATCAATGTCTCATACCCATCATTGCTCACCCACTCTGGTGGTCACCACACTGCCAGCAAGCCATGCCCTTCTGCAGGGCCTCTGCAGGTCTCTCTGCTGGAACCGCTCTTCCCTTTCTCCTTCCTTCCAACCCCCATCCCCATCTCCGCTCAAATGAAGCCTCCTTAGAAAAGCCTTTGCCAGGTATCTTGTATGAATTTACTTTCAGATCTTCCAAAGTACTGTGTCGTATCACCCCGTTCATTTCCTTTGCATCGCTTTCCAAAATCAGTAATGATTCTGTTCACTTAACGCTTATGTGTTTGCTGACTGTTTCCTTGTGCAAGCCTTTTGGCTTCCTGAGGACAGGGACTGGGTCTGAATTTCTACCAGCCCAGGCCCCGTGAAGGTGCTCAGGAAAACATACTCACTGCATGAAGAGATGAAGGATGACCTGTGCGGTCTCACAGACCCACCAGTCACAGCACAATTGGCAAGTACCAGCAGGGAGAGGAAAACAAAGTGTGCTTGGGTGTCCCCACAAAAAAAGGCTTGCAATCACGGTTGGCTCTCCTCCCCCAAAGTTGAGGGCCTTTAAGTTATGTTTTTCATAAGATTCTGTGGTTTCAAAGTAGTCCTTCACCTTTTTCCTGCACATCCACAAATCAAAGTCGAAATGGGCCTAAGCTACATGATTAGGGAAATTTTACACATCCTTTTTACTCTTTGTTAGAAAGTTTCCCAATCTCAATAACAAGCTGGGACAGTTTTACTGCATATGGCACTGTATTTCCGAGCAGTGGTTCTCTAACATTTTGGCCTTAGGAACTCTTTCACTCTTAAAAATTACTGAGAACCGGCCGGGTGCAGTGGCTCATGCCTGTAATCCCAGCACTTTGGGAGGCTGAGGTGGGCGGATCATGAGGTCAGGAGATGGAGACCATCCTGGCCAACATGGTGAAACCCTGTCTCTACTAAAATACAAAAAATTAGCCAGGTGTGGTGGCACACACCTGTAGTCCCAGGTACTTGGGAGGCTGAGGCAGGGTAATTGCTTGAACCCGGGAGGTGGAGGTTGCAGTTAGCCAAGATGGTGCCCACTGCACTCCAGCCTGGCGACAGAGAAAGACTCTGTCTCAAAAAAAAAAAAAAAAAAAATTACTGAGAACCTCAAGGACTGTTGTTTATATGGGTTATATTAAGCAATATTTATCATATTAGAAATAATCAGAAATTTTAAATTTATTCATTAATTCATTTTAAAATAGCAATAACAAACCCATTACATAATAATATAAATAACATTTTTATGAAATGACTATATTTTCCAAAACAGAAGTTTTTGAGAAGGAAAGCATAGTTTTACATCTTCCAAAAGCTCTTTAAGGGCTAGTGTAATTGAAGATAGCTAGATTTTCACATTTTCTTCTGAATTCAAATGCTTGTGATATGTCATGTAACCGCTAGAAAACTCCACTGTACTACATGCTCATAAAAGAATGACAGTATAACATCTTGCTATTTTTACAAAAATGTTTTTGACCTCACAGATCCCCAGAAACAAGTGTGCTGGACCCCCAGGGGTGCCCGGGCCTCACTTTGAGAACAGCTGCCTTACAAGGGTACTTTGGTGAGTCTGGTGTCTAAGAGCCTCACACTGCAGGAGGCGGAGAGGAATGGAAAGGATACTAATACAAATTCGACTCATGGTTGAGTTTCCATTCTTGTGATTAATATGTGTTATTTGGAATAAAAAATGGAAAACACTCATGCACCCATTATGCCTAAAACAAGACATACCAAAGTGATTTTTTTTTTCTAATTTAAAGTACCCTTTACTTTGGAAAATCATCTAGCACATTTAGAATGGTGTTTTATTTTCAAAATGTTGCTTTCCTATAGTAAGGAACACACAATTGTGTAAAAAAGGAGGTTCACCTGCTTGATGATACACACCCTACCATTTAGTAAAGCTCATCCCAGAGGCAGTGTAAGGGCAAAGAAAGTCTGTTAGTGATTGCAAGTTGTTTATAATAGAACTGTTTTTGAGAGAACAGCTGTCCCAGTAAAAATGAAAAAACTACTGGCCACACAAAGGCACACATTGTTTGATGAAGATGCTTAACGTCTTTTTCAAGTTAGTAATCACATCACTGGAAAGTGCCTAATAAGCTCACCAGAGCACAAGGCACTCTTCTCGGGTGCTCTGCACCATCAGACGCCTGCCTCTTCCTGCCTTCATGGAAATTAAAAATAAAGTGCAAAGAGGGGTCACCAAGGAACACACAATGAGACAAACAGATAGACAAGGCATATACACAAAGGGCTTAAAGTGCCCAGGGAATATCCCTCATAATCGTTCTTTGAACTTCCATAAGTCATCAGGGTGCTACAGACAGTCAGCAGATGTAGACATGAACTTATATTTATTTAATTGCTGAATAAGCTATCTAATTCAAGCATATTATTTTCAGCATACTGATTGGATTGTCTATTTGCCTGATACCTAAAATACAACCTTGTTTTCTCTATTGTAATGATGAGCACAGGTCTCACCATGCTATGAACTTCCAGTCCAGCCATATAGACTTCTGGAAGAGTCATGTCAAAAAGAAGTGAGATGGCAGGACTGAGGAGGAAACAGGTCTGTGTGGAGCAATGGCATCCCTTTGTTAGGCACCGGCCAGTCACGGGATAGATTCTTCCTCTCTCAAATCTCTCAGACCTGCCCGCTGGCTCTTCTTTCCTGGGGATCTTTCCATCTTTCTTCTGGATCACACAGATTCACTAACTTGTCTTCTTCCCGGGTGGAACCCCACTCTCCCTTCAGTTACTACTGTTCGCCGGGCTAGAATAGTCCTTAACAATACACACACAGCCAATAAACCCATCAAGCTCAAGACACAGCCCAATTTCTCATGTGCATGGACCCAACTTCTCTTAGTCTGCCCAGCCTCATCTGCGTCCTCTGGACATGCGTGCTGTTTTCTGGCAGTGCTGAATGAACTGGGTCAGGTTCCTTCACACCTCCACGTCTACACATAGGCCATGACCTCTGCCTGGAATGCTCAATTCCATCTCCTTCAGGGTGCCCCTTAAGTCTCACCTCCTCTGTCCCACCCTCCTCAGTGCCCTGCACACTTTCCCAGGTGCCTCCTTATGGCACGATTCACACGGATGGTCACTTTCTGTTTGCATCCCTCTGTTCTTCCCTGGAGAGCACTCTTCCAGTGCAAGAACCAGGCCTCAGTCAGCGGTATATGCCCACCAACTTCCTCCTCTGATGTTCCATAAATATCTGATGAATAAATTCAGCATCAGATACATACTGAGGGCCTGCTCAGCACCAGTCACTTTTCTGGGCTTTGGGAGTACAGTAGTGAGCAGATGGACTATAGTGTCTGACATGAACAAAGAAGTTGGCTCTCACAAGAAGGTCAAGGCTGTAGACCTAAAAGAATCACTTTTTGTGCCTTTGGTAGGACAGTTGCTCCCACAAGCCCTGTATACTATGCATGGCTAGAGAGCCCAAATCACAATCTGTTGAAGAAATGGTTTAGTCACTCGTGAACCCTCATCCTTGTCAAAGTGACTTTTCAACAGCTTGTCTGAACCCTATTTAGTGAGTGGCCACTGGTTCTTGAACAAGGAGTAAGACGTGGATGAAAACTGTGTCTTCATAGCAAGAAAAAAAGCAACTTCAAAGATGTCAGAATGCACACACAAAAAATGTCAAAGTAAAAAATATGTAACAGCAGCTGTGAGTGCAGTTTTTGTTTCTGAAAAGCTATGTAAGCTCAGAACATCTGCTTAGGCCCTCATATTTTATTTTATTTTATTTTATTTTTTGAAACAGAGTCTCACTCTGTCACCCAGGCTGGAATGCAGTGGTGTGATCTCGGCTCACTGCAACCTCCACCTCCCAGGTTCAAGCGATTCTCTTGCCTCAGCCTTCTGAATAGCTGGGACTACAGGCATGCACCACCACATCAAGCTAATTTTTCTATTTTTAGTAGAGTTGGGGTTCACCATATTGGCCAGGCTGGTCTTGAACTCCTGACCTCAAATAATCCACCCACCTCAGCCTCCCAAAGTGCTGACATTACAGGCATGAGCCACCGCGCCCAGACTCTTATTTTTTTTTTGAATGAAAAAATATTTTTCCTTTGCCAAATTGATTGAGGTGCCGCTGTCTTGAGGACATTTTCTTTGGGCTGCAGAGATCTTGAGGAACATCCTGGCTGCCTGAGACTGATGGCTCACTGTTTCACTTGAAGTACTAGTTTGGTGCAAAAGTAATTGCGGTTTTTACAATAACATGGAGAGGAGGCACATGCTGAGCCCTGCTGGGAAGGGGAGCAAGGCAGCTGGTGAGGGCAGCCTACTATGTGCCTGTCATGGCTAGCTCCAAATCCCACGCAGGCCAGTGAGCATCAGTCTCTGAAAGTCATGCAACAGACCCGGAAACAGGCTGCTGCAACTGCCACAGGAACTGAGAATGGGGAGGCCAGAATACAGGCATCCCTGCCCTAGGCCACCAGCAGGAAGGAGATTTGATGCGCCTTGATGTCACAACATGCAGCCCAAGCTGAGGGGCCTGAGGCCTCACGGACGCCCCGTGAGACACCTTGACTCCTTGGAGGTCCCAGAACACACTGTGTTTCCCGACACTGGCGACAAATGGGTACCCCCATTTCCCCAACTAGATTGGAAATTCCCGAGGGCGGTTCCCGAGCAAGTCATCTTTGTAACCCCTGAAATGCCTATGACAACACCCAGCCTCCAAAAGGCCCTTGCTAACTCTTTGGAATGAACAACTGTGAGTTCGCACAGTGAGTGTCTCGGGGATGGGACAGGGAAGTGTAGAGAGTGAACTCAGCCCAGTCCCTCAGAACAACTTGCACAGAGTGTGGGAAATTCACAGCCTCTTAGGAACTTGGTTTCCCCTACTAACAGTCGGGCAGTCCTCCGACCAGGGGGACGGTTCCTGAAAAGAGAGAAAGCCTTGAAAGGTATTGAAGCACAGTCTGTGGGTGTGCACTAAACCAAAGGAACAGTCACAAACCAGGGGCGGAAAGCCCTTCCAGCATTTTCTGGTGCAGGGGTCGGCAAACTTTTTCTAGAAAGGACAGGACAGAAAATATTTTACACTTTGTGGGTCAAGAGGCAAAATCAAGAAGAGTATATAGATACTTATATAACAACCATTTAAAAATGTAAAATACGGCTGGGAGCGGTGGCTCACGCCTGTAATCCCAGCACTTTGGGAGGCCGAGGCGGGCAGATCACGAGCTGGGCAGATAGAGACCATCCTGGCCAACATGGTGAAACCTCGTCTCTACTAAAAATACAAAAATTAGTTGGGCGTGGTGGAGCATGCCTGTAATCCCAGCTAGTGGGGAGGCTGAGGCAGGAGAATCACTTGAACCTGGGAGGCGGAGGTTGCTGTGAGCTGAGGTCGCACCACTACACTTCAGTCTGGTGACATAGTGAGACTCTGTCCCAAAAAAAAAAAAAAAAAAAAAAGTAAAATACATTCTTAATTGCAAACTGTACCAAACGAGGCTGTGTGCTGGATTTGGCATGTGGACCATAATTTGACGACAAAACAATCACAGACTGAGCTAAGAGTTCTTTGACACTTGGTGATGATACGGTCAGGACGAAGTATTTCTCTTACCCCTATTTTACCCAGGAAGGAACTGGGGCTCAGGGAGGCAGAGTAATTTGCCCAAGAGCACACAGCCTGCAAATGGCAGAAATGAGATCAGAATTTGTAACCCCAAAGCAAGTAAGACCTTACATCTTCATTAGGAATGCTGAGGCGGGCAAACAGGCTTTCAAAACTGGCTTCCTGGGAAATGGCAGGGGCTGGTAAAGAAAACAATCCAGGAAACACAATGTACTCGTGAGGATGCCGATCAACATACAGAGTCTGTAAATGACTGGCCTGCTGAACAGGACAAGGCATGGCTTGCTGAGACTATCTCCTTCTAGATACAAGGTTTCCTTTTAATACTTACAGCTACCAAATGGCCTGATCACAAAGTCCCTGCTGAGTCTGGGGGATAGGAAGGGTCTCAATCATGGTCCATGGGTAATCTCTTTGCCCATGTGAATGTGACCAATGTATCAAAGGCTCCATTCTAAATGGCATGGTGGGGCAGTGGTGGGCATTGTGGCTCTGTGATCTGGGCCAGGCTCCCAGCCACCCTGGGGGTTCCCTGCTGGGCTCCTGGAGGACCTGCCTCAACCCTTGGATATGGGGTTCCACCTGACAGCAGGAAAAGAGATTTGAGGCCTGGAGTCCAGGCAGGACAGATGGTAGAAACCAATGGAGATGCATGGTGAACACTCGAGACAGAGGGGAAGTGGGGAGGGCATCAGGCCAGGATTTGCAGGAATTCAGGTGGCGGGCCTTTGCATGTTTCAAAGTCCTAGGTAGCTTAAGCCAGGCTTAGCTGCAAGGGGAGAGACCCTAAGGAGAGAAAAGGAGAACAAGTGATAGGATGAAGAAAGGGGAGAGATTCAGAACTGGCGCTACAGGGCACGTGAACGTGACACCAATTGTGTTATTGTGGATTCAGAAAAATGACTAGAATAACACACTGGGAAAAATGTTACGAGGAACACTAGGTGTTACAAATCCTCGAGGGAGATGTGATGGCATTAAGTTAAAAGAATTAGGTGAGAGGTCACAAACTCTATAGTGGGCTGTTGTGGTGTCTTTAACATTTTAACTTAGGCACTAATTAAAAAAATCAGCAGCAGTCGTCTGAAAATGTGTGGATTTTTTTTTTTTTTACATCTTTTGAAAATTCCTAGTGTGTGGCACATATGACCTTGCATTCCCATGTGACAAAAATGAGCAGAAGCAGGGTAAAGCTGTCCCTTGAGATGGGGTATGTGGTCCCCCCATGCCACAGCTCCTCCCAGGCCTCTTCACTGGCCACTTTCAGCTGGAGTACACTAAGGTGCCTAGGTCCCTGTGGTGTTGTTTATAAAGGACAATATAAAACAGAAGAGCCTTGGTATAAGATCAGAGGCAGAGACTGCAGCCTACCTCCCTCCCTCCCTTTCTTCCTCCTTCACCTGAAGGGAGGCTGTGTCTCCTATGAGCTCACTTCAAGTGGGGGCGTGGGAATCCGGCTGCTCCCAGCCGCGCCCCACCACCGGCCCAGTGGGTGTCAGTGTCATGGGTGGAAATAAAAACCTCACCTCATACCTTCCACCTATTCATTCACGCCTCCGTATTGATTGCCTACTATGAGCCAGACACTGTTGTTTAGTGGTAAACAAAACACACAAAACCCCCCCTACCCTCCTGAAGCTGCTGTGTGCATCTGACTTGCAGCCACCCCAGGACAACAGCTGCTCTAAGTTCGCAGATGGCTTCCCAGTTGCCAAACTCCAACCATCCCCAAGTCTTTGGAGTCATTGGCCTGGGTGACTTTCCACATGGAGTCTTCCCACTTCCATATTTGTGCATTCCAAACCTCCGGCTGCAGGGAACTACCATGATTTTTGACTTACAGCCTCTACTACTATTAACTTGATTTATTTTCCTTTTTCTTTTTTTTTTTTTTTTTTTGGGGGGGGGACAGCGCTTGCTTTGTCGCCCAGGCTGGAGTTCAGTGGTACGATCATAGCTCACTGCAGCACTGAACTCTCGGGCTCAAGCTATCCTCCTGCCTCAGCCTCCTGAGTAGCTGGGACTACAGATGGGCACCACTATGCCTGGCTATTTTTTTATTTATTTTTTTGTAGAGATGGGGTGGGTCTCACTTTGTTGCTCAGGCTGGTCTTGAACTCATGGCCTCAAGCGATGTTCCTGTCTTGGCCTCCCAAAGTGCTGGAATTATAGGCATGGGCCACTGAGCCTGGTCCAGCTTTTTTTTTTAAAGCTATTCACATGGTTTTACTTAAAGTACTTTTGAAATAAAATCTAATCCCCACTGTAAATGGAAAATCAGCATCATTTGCTATGTATTAAAAATTACTATAAAAATAATCACATCAATTTCAAAATTAAAAAGGGCTCATCTTTATGCCACATAATTTTGATCCCACCATATGTAACATGGCTGGAACGAACGCGCAATTGGTACTGAATTTCAGCCTCACTGTGACCTTTCCCACATCTGTCTCATCAGCCTTTCCTATCTGTCTCCTGCTATCCTGCCCCTGACCCCATGCTTGGGTCTGCTTTGTGACTGACATCCCTAATCCTTTCAATCCATGATGCTTTTATTGGACCCATTAGCCCTACCTGGAATACCTTCCACACATACATTTGTGCTTGTTGAGATGTGAGCTCCATCCTTCCAATCCCATGCATATTAAAGCCCACCCCAATTTGTCCATCAGAATTGATCTCTAGCTCCCAGGTGCTCTGCCAGAGGATTTGCTGCCATCTGCACTGTGCCAGTTTCTTGAGGGCATGTCCATCTGTCCTCCTACTCCTTTCATTTAAGCAGGTGAATGTTATGCTAAGTGTCTAGGACAGAATGGTGACTGTGGCCAGCCTCTTCCTTCTAAGAGGAAAGCAACAAGTTCTTGAAGACAAAAACCCCACCGTGGTTTATGACCAATAAATAGCTTCATTACCGTGATTAATCAACAAGCAAGTACTTATTGAGCATCTGTGCTACACATCGTCCCAGCTCAGGGAATACAGAAAAATTGTAAAGCCTGTCTCTATACTCAAGCAGCTGATGATGTCTCCTGGGAAACAAGACTAAACCATAAAGGGGGAGAGAAGTCAGCTGTAGAGAGTGGAGGTAGTGGTGGAGTAAGGAAGGTTTCTCCTGATAACCCCCATGGGGTAACTACAATATAACTCTTGGGGCCATGCTTTTTGGTTTGCTGTGGATACTACAGCCTTTGTGGAAAAGGCACAATCTGAGCTGGTTGTTGCAAGATGGAGGGAATACAGACATAGGGAAAAACAAGCCAGGCCAGAGCCACACGTGAGGAAACGCAGAAAGAGCTCTCTGACTAGAGATGAAGCAGGTACATGGGCTGTGGTGCCTAGGGAAGGTGAGTCCACATGAATGGCGGTCTTGAGGGCAAATGAATGATGGGATAGAAATGATTTCTGGTGAAGAGGCCTGTGACTGGCGTGTAGGCTGAAGTGAAGCAGGAAGGTATGAAATGGCGAGAGGGTGACACTGGGGCAGAGATAGGGAGAGCCTAAATCTGAATTCAGAACTGGGAATCTCAATTACCAAATTACTTTGTATCTTGCTTGGTAGATCTCAGGTCAAACCACAGCCAGAAGTGGATCTGGGAAACACAGATTTTTGTTTTTATTCTTGGCCAGACTCTAGGATTCAGGACATGCCCTCGTAGTAGATGGTCCTTTCCAACAGCCGGTAATTGAGTCATAGGCAACTTGGGTGTTCGTGTCTGAAAGAATTTGGAGGCTAGGAGAAGCAGGAGTTGGATGGATAACTTAGGCACTAAAGGGAAGCTAGTTTAATATTTTAAAGTCACCCAGAAGATAAAACAAGTAGTTGCAAGAAAGACACTTGAGAAAAACAAAACAAAACAAAACAAAACAACACTGCAAAGTGAGGCTTCATAATTCACTCGTACCTATAAGGTTCATGTGCTATCAAGTCTGAAATTACTTACCAAGCCTCTATCCTAGATTTACTTTCTCTATAAAACAGTACTTCAGAGAATAAGTAAGTAAACACCATTATGACCAATGGTTTAAGAGAAAAATGCTTCCACAAATGGCAATACTAATTTTTTAACATTCTCTGAGAAAATATAACAACTCAATACACTTGAGAGCCGGGTAAGAACTACTGATGTTGTACTTAATCCTTAAAACTGATATATATGTGTGTCCAAAAGCTAATAAAGTTCCCTCTCCTATAAATGGGGGAAAGGAAAACACTAGATCACAGGCAACACATGCTTAGGATTCTGGTCTGATGGCCAGAGCCCAGGGGCAGGGAAAATTGAAGTGATTTAAAATAGTCCCTGATAGGATATATCTGATATTAGTGGGCTTGCTGAAGCGAAACAGTAATATCAGAGAGATACAAAGGTGTAAAACCCATCAATGTGCGTCCAAATGTTTTGATGCCTTGACCCCAACATCTTTCAGGTGATTCGTCCCTGGGGGTAAGCACAAGTGTGCTGGGTGATATCAACTAGAAAGCTGATAAGTGGGTGCTCTGAAACCACAATTTATTTTTTGGAATGAAATGGGGAACATTAACAGCTTATTTCATTTTACACCTTTCACTGCAGAGGGGTCCCCGTCAGCACTCTGAGTTCTGCCCACCTTCTCTTTGAGTCCATCTACCATGACCTACCTTGGCGTGAGGCATTTTATTTCAGGAAAAGGAATAAATACAGTTACATGGGCAGTGAGCGTTTCTTCAAAGCTTTGCTTGGCCAAGCCATGCCACGATCCCACCACAGCAGCTAATGACCAATCATACCGTGTGCTCTATACACCAATACTATTCCATCATTTGGATTTCATGGACTGGTAAAATTAGAGGGGAACAATGCTGAGGACTAACAGAGTGGCCAAATACATATTTGTCTTATAAGGACATTTAAAAACTTCATGCGTTAGTACCTTAATTGGAAAACAAAAACCTGAAAAAATTATTAGACATAACCTCAGGAGTTTCAAAACAGAGTAAGTTTAAATTTACAGAATACTCACTACACTTTCTTATCTGCCTGACTCTCTGTACAAGGATTCAGTTGCTGGCGGGGACAGAGAGCAACATGTCCCAGGGAAGCTGAGGAAGAACGTGGATGGAAAACAGACTGCTTCTGGCGATGTGAACCTTCCCTTACCTTAGGAAGAAGGGTAACCAGGGTGCACAGAATGGCGAATTGAGGACCTTTTCTTCTCAGTTCCTTCTTTAAAATACTGAATCCTACTGCATCGAGTGAGTAGGTTTTCATGTCTTACCCTCGTGACTTGTGTATTCTGTTGCTCTCGACAGTGCTGGGTGAGCTGGCTCCTAGCTCCTGCCTTCTCCCACTTCCCAGCTTGCTGCAGCCCTCTGGTGACAGTCAGACAATGATATGGAAGGATTCCTGACTAATTCGGATGGACGTGAGCTGAACCTTCCCTGCTTCTGGCCAACCTCTTGACTATATATATATATATAAAGAATTGCAATATATATATATATATATTAGATATATATATTAGATCTAATATATATAATTTTGCAATCCATTTATTTGTCTCTGTATTCACTCCCATCCCCAAATTATTTTCATGGTGGAGAAACAAACTTTGTGCCCCTTCTTCAACTGCAAAACCTTGCTCTGCCCTCCCTTCAGTTGCACTGCTTCTCTTAGTCTGTGCAGGAAATCGAAGCCTCGTGCCCTCGGACTCAAGGCTCTCCCAGACCTCCATCCCTCCCACTCGTGCTGTCTGTCCTAGCTTCCTGTTGCCTGTCTCCTCCCTCTCCAGGCCGACAGAGGTTTCTCAAGACATTCTGAAGGCTCCCAAATCTGCCACTCCCCAGTCTTCTCCCTCTCCCTCCTTTTGCTGACACGTTCCTCCATAGAGCAGTCTACACTTAACTTCTCTTCTTTCTCACCTCCACCCATTCTCTTTGGTTTGCCCTCTGCAATCCTTCCTCCATAGCCGAACACACACTACTATAGCTGTCCCATCTGGGGTCATAATGACCTCCCAATTGCCGCAACCAAGAGCTTGTTGTAAGTCCTCCATTCAAACTATCTAAATAGGAGGACGTGGAGGTCCATAGTTCAAGATTTACCTCCACTGGCTTTAGAGATAATTCAGTTGCAGTCCAAAAAGATTACTTACCGGCGGAACTGAGATGTGGCCCCAGCCTTCTGTTAACCATGTTGATGTTCTTTCTCCTAAAGACCACCACCTGCCTTGACCTTCCCTGTAACACCTGACCCTGTTGACTCTACACTCCTTCTTAACTCTTCCCTGGTCCTTTCATAGTATACATTCCTCATCTACCCAGATCCCTCTGGTAATGCCTGCTAGCTCCTTTTCCTCTTGCATTCTACATAAATATAGATATGCCCTAAATATCATAGCTTTTCCAGTAGTAAGGATCATATCTAGCACACACATTTTCTTCTTCCCACCTCTCTTCTGTCTCCATATACTGCCAGTGGGAGTTCAACCTATTAGAAATGCCCTCTGACAACCAAAAACATCCTTCTCTTTCATCACCCGTAAATAAGCACCTACCATGTGAGATTCAGCACAGGAGGGGAATCTGGGATCAGACTGCCTAATTTCAAATCCCAGCTCAGCTTCTTTAGCACATGCCATTGTGACCTGGCAAGATTCTTCCCAAGTCTTCATTTTTTCTTCTAACCACCTACGATTGTTGTGAAGACTAATGAGAAATTACTCATACAGAGTTACTCAGTGAAGTGGCTGGCTTGCAGCATTAATGGTAAATGCTCAGTAGATTTTAGTTTTCTTCCTTTCTTTTTTACATTTTCACTTTTAATGTTTGCTAGGGATGATGCTGAACCCTAGTTCCATCCCTTGTATAGCTCAGCGTCTGGTGTAATTAAACTTTAGATGTGCCACAGCAGCTGTCTGCAGAGTAGATGGGGAGAAAGGAGTGAAGAGTTAATTCTACTTAGGGCATCAGAAAAACCTTCATTTGAAGAGCTAAACACTAATCTCAATCTTGTTTTTTTTTCCTGGGGACTAAGCTGCTATACAGACCACATGTAAACTTTATTTAATAGAAGCTTCACAAGTGAGCAATATCATGGCAAGAAAAAAACATTTAGAACAGAATTGTTCAGACATTGGGGTGCATTTAGCTACTAGGGTGGGCAAGAAACATAGGCCAGAATAATTTGTGGCTACCCCTGAGGATATTCACAGTATGTAACACCTCAAGCCAGAGAAGCCATGGAAACACCTGGTGTGATACATCTGTACTTGTGGCACGAAAGTCAGGACAGGCACCTTTTATATTTAAAACCAGTCACCATGACTACCACAACCCAGTTTCTCATGCTACCACAAACCTTCTATTTCTCACTGCAATGTGGTGTGTGGCATGGTTGGAGTCACAAGACTGATTTTCATGGGACTTTGAACCTCTGATTCTTATGTTTCTTTGAGTTTCATTTTAAGCCTGGTCTTTGCAGAGAAAGGGGGAAGAAATCACAGATAATTAAAGCATAAAATATTCTCATTTCATGGTGGGGCTAACAAGTGAAACTACAAGTAATGATGTAATCCAACTTGTCAAAAAGGGAAATGAAAAGAGGAGACAGAAGGCAGGACAGAGCCTTGGGACCCAGCGTGCCATGTCATCTTCTAATTAACTAACTGATCCTTTAAACTGTCAAACTCGGCGAGGAACTCCATGGCCTGGCATCTGATTAATATTCATATTCGGGCACTGGATGCTCTGATTTAAGTCCCAACGGCTGTAGTTAAACATCAGTCTTTAAAAAAAAAAAGAGAGAGAGGGAAATAAAAACCTGCCTGGTGAACCAAAGTCTCCAGGTTTTACATTCATAGGGAAATGAGGGAAGGCCACACTGAGTTCCATAATCCACAGTGCGAGCAAATCCTCCGTGGATGCATATTGATTTCTGAATCATGATGAGGACTTGTATATTGAACAAATAATTATTTTGCTTCTTTCTACTGGCAGCCACATTGTTAATCATATCCCACGCCTCACTGTTAAATAAGCGAACAACGCGTGTAAAATTACATAGCATTCGGTAATATAATCAAGCTTTTAATTTCAAACAAAAATAATTGAATATGTAATTTAATTAAAACAGGCTAGAATCCATCATTCAGTTAAACTGTAATAAGTGGCAGCCTGGACTTTTATTCTTATGGCACAGGCTGCAAAAGAATATATTGCCTCCCTTAAATTGACTTCTCGACTAAAAAATGCTTCAGTCTGGGGTGTAAGAAAAGCCTGTTCTAACTGCATGCTTTACGTAGATGAGGCAATTGACTTAAAAAACTCAAACCAGCACCCCTAGACAGAGTCTCAGTCTGATTCACACTCCCAACCACCAACAGCTGGGCAGCACACGCCATAGGTACCTCCTCTGGAGGACGATGATGAGAAGGGTCCTTAGGAGGCACTGGATGGACTGTGCCTTTTCCTTTACTCTCAGTTCTCTTTTTATTAATTAAAGACCTCTGAAGGAAGAAAATAAGTCAGCCCAGTTCCACTGCAAGTTCTAACAGCATTGGTTTTTGGAAAATGTTTCCTAAGATATTTTTATATTTAATGTGAGAGAGGCTTCCCTCTCATGATGCCAGTCCATTCTACATTACTGTGTTCTACATTGACATGCCACTGATCCCATATGCCTTCTCAGTAGCAATTCTTCCTTACCCTATAGAGCGTACTAAACATTCTCAAGCCCTTGTTAAACATACTACTTAGCTATTCTCCAAGTTATATTTAAAAATGGGTGACATTGCTCATGGATGTGCAGATTGGCATCATAATCAATACACACACAAAATACAAAAGGTGTGGTAAGAGCTAGGCTCAAGCTGATCAGTGCAGCCAATAGATATCGAGGCCTATCACGTAATCAGGCACATTAATAAGTCACGATTCATTTTCTTTTTAGCAGGGAGGACATGCTATACATCTAATCAGTATATTTTTAATAAAGGAATAGCCCACTTGTAATAAATACATACATACATTCCAAATAGCTTGTGTGATTTTCCAAATTGAGCAAAAAATGTGGTCAAACTGGTTTAGGGTACAAGTTTAAATTCCAAAAGGCATTTTTGCATTTCTGCTAACTAGAGTAGGAAGAGGAGGAAAACCATCCAACAGCACCATTACTATCTCTGCATCACACCTGCCTTTGAAAGATCAGAACTGAAAAGGCAGACTGGCTGGTGCTGCCCATCAGAAGCCTTAATTCTTTTCACCCTCTGGATGAGACCTGCAGAATCAACAATCAAAAAAGTTCTTCCGCTGATAATTATTCTAGGATGATTTGGAATATTTCTCATGCTCTTTAAAAAAAAAAAAGCTGGCACATCTCAAATTTCACCCACACCCACCTCTATTTGGAGTTTTCAGGCCATTGGGGAAACCTACCGTCACCGCCAATCCTGACCTGTAAACTGCAAGTCAGGAGGAATCCAATAGGATGGCAGAAACAGTCTTGACATCTCACTTCAGAAGACAATGTCAGTGCACTGCTTGCCAGATGACATCCTATGCTGTGTTCCTCGGAGCTGCAAATACTTCTTCCGGGTGGGGAGCAGGCCCCTGGGACACCGAAACTGGCTCACATCCACAGGCAATATAGTAATTAATGGTGTCTTTCAGGGCAAGCGCAGTAAAAAAATAATTGCTCTCAAATTTTTACTGCTAATAAATGATTGGTACAGTCAATATTTGTGTTGTTGGGAGTGGATGTGTGGCTCTATGTGTTAGAGGATGAGGAGGAAAGTCTTTTGGATGCAAATATCCAAACCAGTCTATCAGCTCAGTTAATAACTCTGACCTGCCAGACCACAAGTGCTGAATATGTTGACTTTAAATGTCTACAGGGAACATATGTCATGGATCAGAGAACACACTGATTAGTCCAACAGAGACCAAAGTCTGTCACTTTGGTCATGGTGCAAAGATGTGCCAAACAGGGTCACTAAAGAGAGTAAATAAATGGGAGAAAAATACCAAAGCAAAGTTGGTTTTAGAGAGAGGCTGAGCTGCCAACTACCTGGCTAAATGCTATTTGATTAGGTAAAATATATTTCCTGCCCCAGCACACCTGCCCACTGTGTTAAAACATCGCTTCCCCTTTCTTAAAATAACTACCAGCTTGCTGATGCCAAGTAACTCTCACTCATGTCGTAATCATTTACTATCATATGATAGGTCATCAGCTTTCTGCCTATTGAATCCCGCAGATGCTCTAGCTTCTCATCACACACACACACACACACACAGCCTTATAAACAGAGATTTAAAGATGACTGTGCTCAGGGTGTTTACTGGGAAGTCAGTTCTCCTAAGGAACAGGAATCCCTTGCTGGTATGAACTGTGAACACAGAGAAAATTGTGAGGGCCAAACAGAATCGAATCTTTACTAATGTGGGTAAGCAATAACCTGCTATGTCTTTATGGGCTAGTTAGCTCAGCTATGGGCTAATTAGCTCAGCTGGTTAGACGATGGATATAGCTCGGGCCACAGCAATAAGTCTGATTCCCATGTGAAGAGGACAAATGACCTCCTGGCTACAGACTGACTCCTTTATCTCCAGCCATCATTCCACAGATAGACGCTCTCAGGGTGGAATGTGGGGCTACACGACTCAAAGGCACTGTCAAGGTGGTAGGTTAGTAGCACGGTCTCAAATAGGGGTGGGGTCACTAAAGAGAGTAAATAAATGGATTTAGACTTGAGCCACAAAACACACGGCTTTTCTCTACCACCAACATGATAATTATTTGTTATCTTCTCCAAGAAATCACAAAATAGCTGCCACAGAGAGTTCTCCAAAACTGGTATAGGAATATACTTTTTAACTTTGCAAAGGTAATTCCATTTAAATTTGCTTCTCTCTATGATTTCACTGAAGGCAGAAACGCATGCTGGGACCTCTACTTTCACAGGGAACAAGATGTATGGCCAAGTCAGTCCTGGCTGGGCCAGGCTTCCAGGATCATCTCATCCACCATCCTAACTGGTGGTATTATTCAGGCATTCACTGAAAACTTGGATTTTTAAAGCATATGCATCTCCTTTCAGATCTTTTTGTGGGGGACCAGATTTTACTTGGTTTTAAGTTGTGAGTTACTCTGATGCTGTCTCTCAAACCATGCTAACACTTCGCTCAGTGGTTACAGTTGAATAATATTTTAAGATATTCATGAGGCAACGACTAGTGCCAATTCTCTAACGGTCCATATATCTGTGTGTGTGTGTGTGTGTGTGTGTGTGTGTGTGTTTTAAGTCCATGCAGTTGTCTTTAACTTGTTCTTCTGCATAATTTATTGGGCAGCTGTCAAACACACATGTTCTCCTGTCTCACAGCTGACATTTGTACAGTGATAAATGACATAGGAAATGGACTACAAGCAAACTGACACTCTGCCATTGAATACAAGGAAGAAATGGAGTATGGGGGCAAGAGAAACAGGTTGGAGAAAGTATGCCACTTTCCCTTTCCAGCAGTCAGGCTAGAAAGAACTTGCTGTTGGCCAGGTGTGGTAGCTCATGCCTGTAATCCCAGCACTTTGGGAGGCCAAGGCAGGCAGATCATGAGGTCAAGAGATCAAGACCATCCTGGCCAACATGGTGAAACCCTGTCTCTACTAAAAACACAAAAATTAGCTGGGTGTGATGGTGTGCACCTGTAGTCCCAGCTACTTGGGAGGCTGAGGCAGAAGAATCACTTGAAGCCGGGAGGCGGAGGTTGCAGTGAGCCGAGATCTAGCCACTGCACTCTAGCCTAGAGACAGAGTGAGACTTCGTCTCAAAAAAAAAAAAAAAAAAACAAAAAAAAAAAACAAAGAAAGAAGAAAGAATTCGCTGTTAATTCCTGAACAGTCCACAGAAATGGCCTTACTTTCCAGAGACACTTGCTTTACTCAATGGCTGTTTTGCTTTCTTTAAAAAAGGTACAATAATTTCAATATATAGATATAT
This sequence comes from Homo sapiens, assembly GCF_000001405.40. Classification (NCBI taxonomy): domain Eukaryota; kingdom Metazoa; phylum Chordata; class Mammalia; order Primates; family Hominidae; genus Homo; species Homo sapiens. The sequence goes on from NC_000003.12 coordinate 73,453,576, forward strand.
GAAGTATTTTCTTCATGCTTTAAGTATATATACATTTATATATAATTATATATAATCAAGAATGATTTTGTAGAATTAGCAACGTTGATATTGTAATGCAAAACACAGTTTGAAAAACTCTTAAATTTCTCCAAAGAGAACGCTTAATTCCTGTAAGTGGGCCAAATACCGCAATTCTGAAAACCTCACACACACAGACAATTGATCTCCGTGTTAAGCCACAAAGCATTGTTACTAAGCTCACATATTCATTCTTTTTGATCTCTTTCCATTTCCTGCATTGTATTCAGTGCCTCTTATCCTTGTCCAACATCAACAGGTCATTGCAGAGGGGTCAGTGTTGGCCAATATAAATAACCATTATAAAAACCTCTAGCATGTTTTAAATCAACAACCAAAGTGGCCTACACTGTTTAAAGTATAAATTCCAAATATTTTCACGACAGAGAGTAGGCCAGGCCTGTGAAAAGTACAGGTAAAAATTATAGTTAAACAGATCACAGCAAGCTATTCCAGCACAAGATTCCTCATTTTAAGACCAGCTTAAAAACAAACATAGATGATGGTATCCCCTGGGCAGGAGAGGAGGCCTGGGATTCCTACCCCTGGCACATATGTTTCACAAGAGTTTCCCACACATGGCAGAAATAACCACCATCTATACAAACCCAGAGAGTCTCTGAGAAGCCTACAAGAGCCAGAGAACCAGAGAGTGTAGAGAAACTTGGAGTAGGGAGAGGAAGGGGCCTAGCACTTGGAGCCACCTCTTTCTTTTCCCTCACCAAAACCCATCAGCAATGACACCTCAACCCCCTCCTGAGCAGGGTGAGGCCCTGCAACATCAATGTGTCTCCAGACCACTCTCCTTTGGAAGAGGTAATGAAAAAGGGGCTGATTTGAGTCGTCCAAGAGTTCCTGATACCTGACTTTGGGAAGGACGACACGTAACCTATCCTGACTCTGGATTTACTTGTTTGCTTTGCCTGGGTTGTTATTGGAATTAATCTGCATCATCTAAGAATACAGTCATTGAACTGGGTGGGGTGGTATCTATAAATGCTAAGAGTGACAGGACCAAGGAGGCCAAGAATAATATTGACCATTAATCCACATTTACTGCTATGGAAAGATGGCCAGAATATGGTACTGATTGAGAATAAGGAGGTTCTCAAAAAAGCTTGAAAAGTGTGGCATTATTTTACAAGTAACTAAATAGATTTTTTAAAAGCATGAACAAATACTACAAAACATCCAAAGGATATATACTCAAATATCATCTCTATGTATTAGGATTTTACCCATTTTAAAGTTTCTTCATTTTTTTTTTTTTAATTGCGATCTTGGTTGGACTGACTTATCATCTGTAAGAAATGTCTTGATTTTCTACACTATCTTGACTAATTTCTCCTGGAGTTCCATTCAATTATGCCCCTCTTATTTCAGACTATTTGTTTATGAGTACAATATTTCCTGGAGTATTGAACCCTTATCATTTGAAAGTTACCCTCCCAGTTTTCACAGTAAGTTTTTATTATCAGGAAAAGAAGCTGCTTTCATGTTGGAAAAAGAATCACCATGAGTAATGACCAGAGTATTTTCAGATCAACATCATCATCATCCATTTACTTTAAGTACCATTTGTTATTTCATTTAATCCTTACAATGACTTTACAAGGTAAGAACTCTTGCCAACAATATTATTTTCAGTTTGTAGACAAGAAAGGTGGGGTCTAGAAAGTTAGGTACCCTAACCTTCTCAGGATTACAGAGTAAGTGCTAGAACCAGAATTAAACCTCAGTTGACCCAGCTACAGAGCTTATGGTCTTCATGAATACATGATGCTGTGCTGACATTAAGAAATGGCTATGTCCCGACTCCACACTTGTGAAAAAGACATATCAGATCTGGGAAGTCAAGGCATTGGCCATTATGTGCCACTTATAGAAATCTACTTTTTTAGCCTGCAGAGACTCTCAGCAGCAAGGCATACATGATTTCTGAACTTCTAATTTTTTCTCACTTGCAAAACAGATATTATAATAAATCTTGTTCAAAAGATGAACAACCTTTATTTATCTCCAACCTTATCTACCTCTGAAAGGATGGGATGTAATATGCTAGTTTAAATAATAATAGATCGTTTTTCTCTAGCATGGAGCAAATAAAAGCATAAAACTGCATTTAGGTTTTTCAAATACAGACTTGGACAAATCAAAAGGTACACTTTCTTCGCTAGGCCAACTGTCCTCCTCTGACCCCCTGCTAATTTTCCTGATGATGTTTGAGCAGAACATGCTGATTTGGGTAATTCCATGTCCATGCACAAAAATAATTGATGACATCAGCATAGTTATGGGAATTAGACTTATTAGTTAATTACAGAACCAGCAGAGGGAGCACAAACCCTGCATAAATAATAACCATTTCTTCTGGGTATCTTATAAAATAGTGGTAATGGTGGAAGGAAGAAACAGATTCAAAAACTAAATTGTTAGTATCAGAAAATGGGCTTTGCTTTCTTGGAATGGTGTTAGGGCAGAAACCTAATACATTGTTCATATGGTCTACGTATAAATGTTGACGTCTTAGGTACTGAAGAGAAGAAAAATGTGTGTGTGTGTGTGTGTGTGTGTGTGTGTGCGCGCGTGCGCTTCTCCTTGTTATCATGGTGAAACCCTCCCTTCTGTGGAATAATTAAGGTCAGATGGTGAAACTTTCCTAGAGTTGGCAAATACTTGTTGTATCTGACCCTGATATCACAGGAGCTTTCATTTTAGCCTTGCTCATCCTAAACAAAGTCCCAAGTGAGCCAATCTTATTCTTCTAAAGGCAATCAAGATTTACATTTATGGTTGAATAAAGATTTGACAGAAGTGAAACAAAATAATGTCTATTGCTACAAAGAAAGAAAAAATAAAATTATTCTTTTTAAAAAACTATCTGCCTTAAGTCCTGCTTAACATTTTAAATAGTCACCATTTCCAAATTTGAAGCCAGATGATGTTCACAGTTTTTCCCCTGAAGAATAAAATGACTGATAGGACAGTACACAGATATATGCCTCCCATCACAATAACATCGTCATGTATAAATAGGAATTAAGATAAAAGGCATCCATTTATTCAACCATTGATAGGTTAAGCAAGATACGTAGGGCTGAAAAGTTTTGTTTCCTGGACCAACGTTCAAGACTAGGCCAAATGTTAAAGGTAGCTATAATCATACCACAGGCATAAATACTGCCCAGCGTGGTATAAAATTTAGCCAGAGAGATAAATAATATATAAAGAACTTGATTTCTGTGCTACGAATTTCTTCTGCTGATTTTTGAGAGGATGGTCTCTCCAGAAGGGGAGTAGGGGGAAAAAAAAAACACCTGGTACTTAATAGACATTACCATTTAAAATGTATGTATCCTGTTGGTATGTTAAAACAAAATGCTTACTTTAAAAAAGTAATATGAATGGATTCATGGCAGGGAGAAAGAAATTTCTACCTTAGCTCACTTTTTTTTGAGACAGAGTCTCACTCTGTCGCCCAGGCTGGAGTGCAGTGGCGTGATCTCGGCTCACCGCAACCTCCGCCTCCTGGATTCAAGTGATTCTCCTGCCTCAGCCTTTCAAGTAGCTGGGATTATAGGCGCCCACCACCATGCCCGGCTAATTTTTGTATTTTTAGTAGAGATGAGGTTTTACCACGTTGGCCAGGCTGGTTTCAAACTCCTGACCTCAGGTGATCCACGTGCCTCAGCCTTCCAAAGTGCTGGGATTACAGGTATGAGCCACCGTGCCCGGCCGTACCTTAGCTCATATTAAGAGCACCATCAAGGCTCTGGAGTAGAGAAACAGTGTTTGTGAAGAAATGGTATACTGAGTGGAGAATGGCCCAATATGGGTTTGTTGGGTTCCAGAGAGAACCAACTCTGGGATATTGACAGCCATACTCCTAGGGTGCGTGCTGTTCCATGTGCCCCCTGGATTCCCTTACCTCTTCCTCGGTATCTGGCCTGGTCCTGTTTCTCATCATTTTGCAAGCCCAGTACTTGCCACCACAGAGATGTTACTGTAGTCTGAATGTATGTGTCTCTCCAAAATTCGTATTTTGAAACCTAATCACCAATGTGACGGTGTTAGGAGGTGGGGCTTTTGGCAGGTGATTCTGAGACCTCAACGAATGCCATGAGTGCCCTTCTAAGAGGCCCCAGAAAGCACCCTTGCCCTTCCCACCATGTGAGGATGCAGCAAGAAGGCATCACCTATAAACCAGGAAATGGGTCTTCACTAGACATCAAATCTACTGACATCCTGATTATGGAATTCCCAGCCTCCAGAACTGCAAGAAGTAAAGTTCTGTTGTTTATAAGCCACCTATTTTATGGCATGTTGTTATAGCAGCCTGACCAGATGGAAACAGACATGCAATGGCAGAGGCAGCAGCAGTTCTACCAGGGAAACTGGAGAGACAGGCACACAGGGCTCAGAGACCGAGGTTCTGTTACCAGTGGGGAAAAATGTGGTCTGTCCTTGCTTTTTATTCTTTTTCTCCCTTGAAGGATTCTGAGCACAGTGGACCCTCCAAATGTGGCCCTTGTCAATGGGTTACAGTTTAGCTTGGGGTGGCTTTGCTTTCTTCATCCACACAATGAGAAAACAGGAGGCAACAGAGCAGTCTTCATGAGTGGATTCTGCTCGGTGCCCAGCAGATGCCCGTAACAGCTGTTAACTGACCACTCCCAAGTCTGATGCCAATACCTCTCTTTCAGAGACTGGCCACCTCTAAGTACTGGTTTCTTCTGCTGCTGAAGAAAGCCAAGGGACTTTATCTTACAGGGTCAGGTAAACTCCCTGTGCACAGATCCTATGCCTCAATGAGATGTTTTTAAATAGGTTTTTTTCCCATTTAAAGTAATTTTTCTCCAACGTTTATGCTTATTTGAAGTTTTCATGGCAAACTAGCATTTATTGAACACTTATTACATACTAGATACAATGCTAGGAAACTGACCTGCATGATCTCTTAGATCTCAAAGCTTGCATTTTGAGCATCTCATACATTTTGAGTTGTATTAGTCCGTTCTCACACCTCTATGAAGAAATACCTGAGACTGGGTAATTTATAAAGGAAAGAGGTTTGGGCTGGGTGCGGTGGCTCACACCTGTAATCCCAGCACTTTGGGAGGCTGAGACAGGTAGATCACGAGGTCAGGAATTCGAGACCAGCATGGCCAATATGGTGAAACCCCATCTCTACTAAAAATATAACAAAATTAACCAGGCGTAGTGGCACACGCCTGTAGCCCCAGCTACTTGGGAGGCTGAGACAGGAGAATCGATTCAACCCGGGAGGTGGAGGTTGCAGTGAGCCAAGATTGCACCACTGCACTCCAGCCCGGGCAACAGAGCAAAACTCCATCTCAAACAAAAAAAAAAAAAGAAAAAAAAGAAAAAAGAAAAGAGGTTTAATTGACTCACAGTTCGGCATTGCTGGGGAGGCCTCAGTAAACTGACAATCACGGCGGAAGGCACCTCTTCACAGGGCGGCAGAAGAGAGAATGAGTGCCAGCAAGGGAAAATGCCAGTTGCTTATAAAACCATCAGATCTCCTGAGAACTCACTATCATAAGAACAGTACTGGGGAAACCACCCCCATAATAATTCAGTCAGCTCCCACCAGGTCCCTCCCATAACACATGGGGATTATAATTCAAGATGAGATTTGGGTGGGGACACAGCCAAACCATATCATGAATTAAGTACTTTTTAATTTTATTTTCTTTCATCTTTAACTTTTATTTTAAGTTCAAGGGTACATGTGCAGGTTTGTTTTATAGGTAAACTCATGTCATGGGGGTGTGCACATTATTTCATCACTCAGGTACTAAGCCCAGTACCCAATAGTTATTTTTTTTCTGCTCTTCTCCTTCCTTCTACCCTTCACCCTCAAGTAGGCTCCAGTATCTGTTGTTCCCTTCTTTGTGTCCATGAGTTCTCATCACTTAGTTCGCACTTACAAGTGAGAATGTGTGGTATTTGGTTTTTTTGTTCCTGCATTAGTTTGCTAAGGATAATGCCCCCCAACTCGATCCATGCTCCTGCAAAAGACATGGTCTTCTTCTTTTTACGGCTGCATAGTATTTCATGGTGTATATGTACCACATTTTCTTTATCGAATCTGTCATTGATGGGCATTTTGGTTGATTCCATGTCTTTGCTATTGTGAATAGAAGCACTCTTCTTTTATATCTGCCTAACAGATGGGGAGCCTGAGACTCAGAACAGTAAAGAACTTGCCCAGGTCACCCAGCTAATACGTGGCAGGCAGGAGTCACATCCAGATGTCTGCCTGTGGAAGTCCATGCATGCCTTTTCACTAGAGCTCACTGCACTTCCCCTTCCAAGTGAAAAATGTAGATGACAATGTTTGTGGAAGATGACAGAATCTGTTATTGTTAGAATTCTCATATATACATTATGGGGGCTTTTAAAATGATTTGAGGTAAAATATACATATATAATGTATCATCTTTACCATTTTCAAGTGTACAGTTCAGTGGTAATAAACATTCACATTCTTTTCTGTGGTGGTTGTTCTAAGCAACTAAAAGTTTGTTGATTTTGAGAACTATTATAATAGCAAAAGAAAAAAGTCTGAGCGAAAGAATCCTGTCACTGAAAAAATATATCAATAGGTGAGAGTGCGATGACAGGGCAAATCACTACCTATGCTAACATTCTCTCCATTGATCCTTCCTCCCTGCATTATGATTTGTGTCTTTCATGGACATGAGCTTTACTCTCCATCATGATGGCTAAAAGTCAGTACAGACCCAATCAGCAAGCCCAGTGGCCCCTCATCTGTTGGAGTCATTAAATCAAAGTAAACACTACCAACAATCTTAAGCCTCAAATCCTGATTCATCTTGACCATCCACTGGAAACGACAGGCTTCTTACAAAGTAAGAAATTTAAAAATTCTCCACAGGGAGTATGTCAGGTATCTGACAAATGTGGCCTCACCATTTTCTTTATGATAACCACATTTTCTTAATGCAAAGTTATAGCATTGAATATAGCATGAAGGTGCTCTTAGTAAGAGTTCTTAAATAAGAAGTTGATCAAAGAACAAAGAAACAAATTAATAATACTTATTTTCATCTAGTAAATGAATTTAACACAGCCTTTTCTATGATGAGGCAGAAACACAGAGATTTGTTTTTTATTTTTTATTTTTTTTTGAGATGGGAGTCTCGTTCTGTTGCCCAGGCTGTAGTGCAGTGGCACAATCTCGGCTCACTGCAACCTCTGCCTCCCAGGTTCAAGCAATTCTCCTGCCTCAGCCTCCTGAGTAGCTGGGACTACAGGTGCATACCACCATGCTGGGCTAATTTTTGTATTTTTAGTAGAGATAGGGCTTCATCATGTTGGCCAGGCTGGTCTCAAACTCCTGACCTCAGGTGATCAAGCCACCTTGGCCTCCCAAAGTGCTGGGATTACAGGCATGAGCCACCGTACCTGGCCAAGATTTATTTTACATTTGCTATTATTCATTGTAGTGGAAGTTGATCTCAGAACGAATGAATCAGTAGAGACCAGCACTGTGTCTCATTTTATCATGTTAGGAAGTGGTTGAAAATCTAAACCCTATCATTTATTTCAGTGAAAAGAAATATGCCTGAAAAGAACCATTAGCCAGGCTTATTCTACATGTATATGTTTTTATTTTTAGCATTTTGCAGCATTCTTAGTCAATTTTGCAGATAATTCAGGAAGCTATGTAAACATGGAATGTGCAGCATGAGTTTGGAGACCAAAGAAATCTCAAAAGGAATCATTTGGACATGTCTCCCATTTAATTAAATAAACAAACACCGGAGAGATCTGTGTTAGTGGAACCCATCTCATGAATGTATTAGGTAATGGTCACCACAAATGTGTTTTGTTAAAAATGGGCAGTTGGCTTCATTCATCTATTGAGAGACACCATCTCCCCATCCTCACCCTACAACAACAGTTGAAGTTCCTAAGATAATCTGGACATGAAACACAAAACTTTTCATGTAGATTAGTGACTTTTTCTTTTAAAATGAAATCTGGAGAAGTTAAGCCATTTAGATGGTTTTGCGGACAGCAGATGCATCATATCACAGACATGTCATGTGTACATAAAAAAAGTATGTGTTGTGGTAACTGCCAAGTCATTCACAGCCTAGGTTCCCCAAGGACAGGGGTTCAGCCATGGGGAGGCCAGAGAAAGGGTCATGATTCACTACGGCAGGGCCAGCGCTTGGACAGAGTTGCCTTTAATTGCCTGGTTGTCATCTCCCAGATACTCTCGGGTGACACTGTAGCTAGAGTAATGAAGAAAATAAATACACAGAATCTCATATATTCCTTGATCCTGAAATGCTCTATTTGCTCAATATTCATTAATGAGAGAAAAAATTAGATCATCTCTCATGTTTCACATTGATACCATATATCATTTTTGCTTGAGTATAAACTGACATATGTGTTCTTTCAATTATATGAAAAGCAAGATGTCAGATAGATTACATGTTTGCAATGATGCTGTTCTTTATGCTCACACTTTTGATTGGGAAAGTTTGCAGTTGAAAGGCAAGGGTAATCAGCTCAGAACAATCTGAATGGTAATTTTCTCTAGAGGTATAAAGTCATACTTTTGTCATTAAAAGGTCACATAGTTTGTGAACCTTTAAAAAAGGAACTTGAGGCCGAGGCGGGCAGATCACGAGGTCAGGAGATCGAGACCATCCTGGCTAACACGGTGAAACCCTGTCTGTACTAAAAATACAAAAAAAATTAGCCAGGCGTGGTGGTGGGCCCCTGTAGTCCCAGCTACTTGGGAGCCCGAAGCAGGAGAATGGTGTGAACCTGGGAGGCAGAGCTTGCCGTGAGTGAGATTGCGCCACTGCACTCCAGCTTGGGCAACAGGTGAGACTCCGTCTCAAAAAAAAAAAAAAAAAAAAGAACTTGATTCCATTTGGGTCTAGAATTTTTCATCATATTGCAGAAAGCAGCAAGAGGTAAGCCTGAAACACTTTAGTTTGGGTGTGATGGCATGTCAAGAGAAAACTGAGCTTTCCACTTGTATTCTCAATACCTCTCTGCATGTGGTGGAAGGGGGTTATCCTCATTCTGTCACTTAACAACAGCCATCGTTTAAGTGGCCACCACCAGATACAGGGACCACCCTAAGCTCTTTGCACACATTAGCACATTTAACATTTGCAACTACCTTTTGCCTTAAGTCTTATTGGCCCACACTTTTACAAATGAGAAAGGAGGCTTAATGGGACTAAGTATTATGCCCAGAATCAGGATTCACAGCCAGGTCTGTCTTGCTTCCAAACCCTGTGCTCTTGACCAGCTAAATATGCAATCACCTTCAGTCATTTTGTTTTGTGACTGCTTACTATTAAGACCACCTCTGATAGAAAGGAATAGGAAAGAGAGATGCTAGGACAAAGTGTTACCATTGCAAGTAAGGACGGCATACATGTGAGAAGGGAAGACTAGTGTCAAAAAGAGGTGGTCATCTTGTTGGGCGAGCCATGGCCAAATTCCTGCTTTCCCAGGGCTCGCTGCATTGTGACTTCAACCAAGGCCCATCCTTACTTGGTCAGACTCCAGCAGGAAAGGATTACCCAAAGCATGAAACAGAGAGCTTGGTCTCTTAGGTGGAAGAAGCTAATTCCTATGACACAGTATTTGAAAGGTGCCTGGTTACTTACTCTGAAAAGGTGTTGTCCCTGAGATGACTGGAGACACTAGTAGCACCAGAAGCCATTTTTTCAGTCACATGCTACTACTTATTACAGACATTCTCCATTATTTGAAAACTCCATATGTATACATTTCCTATGAAGGGATCTGTAACTTAGAAAAGGGTGTCTCCCAGTCAGAATGGCTATTATTAAAAAGTCACAAAATAACAGATGCTGGCAAGATTGTGGAGAAAAAGGAACACTTTTACACTGTGTGGGGAGTGTAAATTAGTGCAACCATTGTGGAAGACAGTGTGGTGATTCCTCAAATACCTAGAGACAGAAATACCCAGCAACCCCATTATTGGATATATGCTCAAAGAAATATAAATAATTCTATTATAAAGACACATTCACATGTATGTTCACTGCAGCACTATTCACAATAGCAAAGACATGGAATCAACCTAAATGCCTATCAGTGATAGACTGGATAAAGAAAATGTGGTACATATACACCATGGAAAAATAACTAATGGATAGTAGACTTAATACCTGGGTGATGAAATAATCTGTACAACCCCCATGACACATGTTTACCTATGTAACAAACCTGCACATCCTGCACGTTACCCCTGAACTTAAAAGTTTTAAAAAAAAGTGCTATGTATTCTTTTTTATTTTTTATTTATTTATTTATTTTGAGACAGAGTCTTACACCGTCTCCCGGGCTGGAGTGAAACAGGGCGATCTCGGCTCACTGCAACCTCTGCCTCCTGGGTTGACGGGATTCTCCTGCCTCAGCCTCCATAGTAGCTGGGATCACAGACGCACATCACCACACCCAGCTATTTTTTTGTATTTTTCGTAGAGATGGGGTTTCACCATGTTGGCCAGGCTGGTTTTGAACTCCTGACCTCATGATCCGCCCACCTCGGCCTCCCAAAGTGCTGGGATTATAGGCGTGAGCCATGGTGCCTGGCCCTGTGTATTCTTTATTGGGTAATTCCTAGATACTTCATGGGTTTTGTTACTCACTATTGTGAGTAATATCTTTTTTTGTCATATTCTAGTTGGTTATTATTGGTATAGAAAGTGCACAGCTGATTTATGTAAGCTGACCTTATATCAAATAACATTGTTGAACTCTCATATGAGCTCTAATTGTCATTGTTGAACTCTCACATAAGCTCTAAACTCTGCTAAGATTTTCTATGTTGGTAATTATATCATCTATAAATGATAACTATTCTGTCTCTTCCCTTCCAGTTTCTGTATCTTGTTTATTTTTCTTATTATATTGGCTAGAATCCCCAGTACAACGTTGAATCATTATTAAAACAAAGATAAAGGGCATCCTTAAATTTTCCTATATTTCAAAAGAAAAAAAGGTGTCTCTTTTTAAAAAAATCTGGAACCTAGATTCTGCTCTAAATTTTTTATTGACAGATAAGATTGTATGCATTTATCATGTATGACATGATGTTTTGAAGTACATATACATCGTGGGATGGCTAAAGCAAGCTAATTAATATATGCATTACCTATCATAGTGGTCATTTTTGTGGTGAGAATACTTAAAACCTACTCTCTTACCACTTTTCAAGAATACAATATATTGTTATGTAGTCATCATGTTGTACAATAGATCTCTTGAACTTATTCCTCTTATTTAAGTGAAAATTTGTAACCTTTGACCAACGTCTTCCCAACCATCTGCTCTGCTAAATTTCTGAATACCTGTGATCACAAGTTTCTGTTGCTAAGTTGTCTCTAGGTTGCTTATCTGTAATAAAATGAGTCTTAATTATGTTGGAATAGGGTATGCACCATCTCTTTCCCATGCTAAATGAAAGCACTCACAGGCAGAGTCGGTATAAAATCCATCACTTTATCTCCGGAGCCCAGCCTGGTGCCTGGTACACAGCAGGTACTAAACAGCCAATGGATGATGAAGTATACCCCTTCTTCTATGTGTTTTAGTTTTTGCATTTTGAATCTCCATCTCTCCTCCTTTTCTGTATATTTCCCTTCCTTTACCTTAAATCAATTAACTTCTTTCTATAACAAATTGCCTTATATAGATGGTGCCAGAGGATGTGATCTGAACATTCACTGAGCTACCTGTTTCCAGCCTGCAGAATTAGAGAAGATTTGGAAAACAAAACCCAAAATGAACAAACAAAACAAAATACAAAATATCCCTTTCCAATTTTGCAAGGAAAACCTCTTAAGGGACAGAAGTTGATGAACAAGATCTCACCATTATACAATGATGAAGCTAGCCCGCGGATGAGAAAACGGCTACCAGGAAGTCACGATTATTGTTGTACATTATTTGTGTTTAGTGCCAGAGAAACGATTTTCTTTCTGCAATATCTTTGCCTCAATAAAATTAAGAACGCAGTGTAAGATCCAAATTCCCCCCAAAGGGGTCAGCCTAAAAAAATTTATTATCTCTACTGCCACGGGGATTTATAGTTTCTCCTTTAATAGTTATAGTCTGATATACCATAAGTTTTGTTGGTCACTAGGTGGATTCATTTATCTCTCTTTTGAAAAACACATTGAATGTTTTAAGCAAATTCTGGCCTTTCAATTGACTGAATTTTGCATTGAGGAATGAATTGCTGAATGACTTTGGAATATGTCTCCAAAACAAGTAGACCTTAAAATAAAAACAGATACTGAAGATTGTATTTTCCTGATTGTCAGTCAAGCTAATTACGCTTTACTCTAAAGCTTTGTCTATCAGGCTAGAAAGGAAAAGGCAACTGGGGGCTCTCTCCTTGCAGAGCCTGATGTCTGGGAATATAACACCAGTTTATTCACAGCAGGAGCCTGCTGTAATTGGCAGTTCCATTTTCCCCTACTAGAGGGTAACTCTCTAGTGAAGAAAACACAGTGTTAACAAGATTTTACAAATTTGACATATGGTATCCTATCTAAAATGACCAACGAAAGTTCCTTATCTCCCCAAACAAATGCAGTTATCACAGGATAGGACTACAAAGAGTGATAGAAAAAAAAAAAAGGGGGGGCCCTTGGAGTTCTTTTATGGGGCCTGCAAATCTGTGGTCTTAACAAAAAACCTATTAATAACAACAAAAGCAAGACACTCACGGTGGCTGTGTCTCCAAGAGTTGGTGATGAAATGATGGTAAAAACCTCACCTGAATTGGTGCTTCAATAACGACAGGTGATTATGGCTAGCTCATTTGGAGTGAGGATTCTGGCCCAGGAGAGAATCCTTAGTGAGTCTATTCAGTTTAGGATGGGGCTGGTCCACGCAGCAATTAAGAGGAAATAAAAGACATGCAGGAACTAGCAACAATTCTGGGTTTATCCTCACCCTCTCCCTTAACACGCAGAAACTCTAGAATGAATTTGTAGAAAGGGTCAAATTGTTTTGATGTGGATCCAAAAAGGGCTTCTTTATTATAATATAAATCTTGCTTAAAACCATACACCCCCAATGAGGTCTCTGGTTTCTGTTTTAACTAACAAAAGAATGAAAGAAAGATTATTCTGGAACATAAAACACTAGGCAGAATGTATGCAAATTTTCCAGAAAAAGCAGAGCAAGGATTTGTGTTCTCTTTCCACTTGAACATATTAAGTGATGCATCATTTCATTTTTCCTCTGTAGGACGTTTGGGTAGATTCTAAAAAGGGGCAAAAATGGGTCCCCAGGAATTTATCCTGGATCTGCTGCTAAGATACCCCCAGTTTATTGTCTACAGTCATAATCTAGGGACTGTCATCAGACCCTATCTGATGTTCCATCTGACCCCAGCTGCAGAGATGGTGCAGGAAATGGAGATTCACTTTCAGGTTGGTGATCTCAAGGGCATTACAGAATGGGATTAATGAGCAGCTTCCAAGCACCATGTACTCGCAGTAAAGCCACAGAGTCAGGTTAAGTCCTAATTTTCATGGGGAATTAAACTGCCTTTTGATACCACCTGGTGACATATAATTGACAATCAACTGGAATCTACCCAGGTGAAGGAAGCAGCAGGATGGCAAAGCCAATTTTTTTGTTTCAGTATACTCAATGACACACACGCTCAAATACAAAAGGACAAATATTTGTTTCTCCAATTAGATTAGTTGCTCACTCAGTGTTCCTGTTCATTTCTTCTTTCCTGCCTAGATGTTCTACACAGCGATTCCCAGTAACACCTGAACTGTTTTGAAGTAGTGGAAGGAAAGGCAGGCCTTGAGTTAACACTGAGTCCCATAGCAAGAGGGTTTGGCTTTATCAAATGTCTTACCATCTTCCAGATTATGAAAGAGTCTCAGTTCGGTGCTGCTACATCTTTTGCGCCTTGCTAATATTTGCTAATCTCAGTGGGAGATAAGAACCTCAGAGTGTCACACAGTAGAACTCAGCTAGCATCTAATAATGGGCTGCTTTCATTCTGTTCATTTTTATGGCTATTCCCTCTATTTATGACAAGCATTACTGATTTTCCATTTCTAGAAGTCAGAGAATGTTTTCATGGAAAATATAGTTACTCATGCTAAGTGAAATAAGCCAGTTACAAAAGGACAAGTACTATATAATTCCACTTATATGAGGTGCCTGGGGTAGTCAAATTCATAGACAGGAAGTCGAATGGAGGCTGCCAGGGTTAGAGGAAGGAGGGAATTAGGAGCTGTCATTTATTGGATAAAGAGTTTCATTATTTGCAAGATGAGAAAATCCTGGAGATTGGTCACACAACAATGCAAATATATTTAACACCATTGCACTGCACACCTAAATATGGTTAAGATGGCAAATTTTATGTTATGTATATTGTACCATAATAATAATAATTAAAAAAAAAGCTGAAGAGGGAGGCAGAGAGGAGGATCAGAGGAAGCTGTGCTATGGAAGCATCATCAGAGAGATGGCACACTGTTGGCTTTGGAAATGGGAAGCGACCATGAGCCAAGAAATGTGGGCAGCCTCTAGAAGCTGGAAAAGTCAAGGAAACAGATTTTCCCTTAGAGCCTCCAGAAAAGAATGCAGCCATGTTCACACCTTGATTATAGTTTGGTTACACATTTTGATTCTGGCTTCCAGGGCTTACAAATTTGTGTTGTTTTAAGCACCTTTTCCCCCCTCTCCATGCCCCAAATACAGTCGCTTACTCTTTTTTTTTTTCTTTGAGTCAATTAAAGCACATTTGGAAATTATAGTGACGAGGTACATGTCTATGGAAAAACCATGAAGATGGCATGAGAATGCTTAATGTTTGAACAGAAGCCCTATCTCCTGGGCTGTAAAAGTCAAACCATGTTTTCCAAGATCTCTTATACACAAAAGGCATCATTACCATGGTGACAGATTGAAATAGGTATTTAACAAGCTTTAAATAACCCCAACTGAGGCAGTGTTCTTTAATTTTTAAAAGCACCCCCACCCAAACCCTCTCATTGTGTTGACTGATGCAAAAGTGCACCAGAGGTTAAGCGGGAGATCTGGAGCCAGCGATCCTGGATTTAACCCTGGCTCTGCCACTTACCAGCTGAATAAACTTGGGCTTATCACCTAACCTCAGAGCCTCAGCTTCTGCATTTGAGAAATGGGATCATTAGTACCTCCCTCAAAGGAGCTACTATGAGAATCAAAGAAGAAGCATGACAACTTTTGGTTTACGCCTGACACCTAATAGGTGTTCAAGTAATATTGGCTCCTATTATTATTATGATTATACTTATTATTACTAGGCATTCTGATGCTACCAAATATCTATTTTATTTCTTTCAAGAAAAAAAGATTCATCTTTTTTTTTTTTTTGAGATGAAGTCTCACTCTGTCACCCAGGCTAGAGTGCAGTGGCACAATCTCGGCTCACTGCAACCTCCGCCTCCCGGGTTCAAGCAATTCTCTGACTCAGCCTCCCGAATAGCTGGAATTACAGGTGCCCACCACCATGCCCAGATAATTTTTGTATCTTTAGTGGAAACAAGGTTTCACCATGTTGGCCAGGCCGGTCTTGAACTCCTGACCTCGTGATCCATCCGCCTCAGCCTCCCGAAGTGCTGGGATTACAGGCGTGAGCCACCACTCCCGGTCATGATTCATCTCTTTAATACGAATGAGATCTGAACAACTCTAGCCACCAGTGGAGGTTGCATTATTTGGCGTCAGGTGACTTTGGAGTCTTCCATCAAGGCAAGGTATGCATGCTCTTGGGGATGGCTCTGCTTTTAGTGAAATTCACCAACACTCCGTGCTTACTCACTGTGATTACAATCACCGTTCATGTAGGGGTCAGCCCAAAAGCTTTTGGCCAACTCACGTTTAAAGCCTGACCCAAATGCCCGGTTTGTCCACAGCTGTCATTTATCAGCAACACAATACCCCAGGGCAATGTACTCATCAAACGCTTATTGACTTAAGCTGATGGGGTTTTTTTTTCATAACATTAGAAAATATTACTTCTGATTTGAATGTTTTCTTTGCAGGATGGAAATTAAAACAAAGTGCTATTTACATGGCACCCATTTTCTGATTGGATGCACTGATTGAAGGTGAGCATTTACTCATGAAAATATCTTGGTAGCTTAAGGCAGAGTTTCTCAACTTCAGCCCTGTTGACATCTTGGGCCAGATAGTTCTATGTTGAAAGTGGGTAGTTAGTTCAATGTGCTGTACGTTGTAGGATGTCTAGCAGCATCCCTGGCCTCTACCCACTAGATGCTAGTTGTCCTTCCTCCTCAGCAGTGACAACCAAAAACGTCTCCAGACATTATTAAATGTTCCTTGGGGGCAAAATTGCCTCCAGGTGAGAACCACTGCATTGGGGTATGATATCAGCTCTGAGATTACTAACTAATCAAGATTAGTGGCTGTTGGCTAAAAAAAAAAATTAAAATATTGAACATAGGAAGATTCATAGTTATAGCTACCAGTTGTGAATAATTTAAAAGAAGCATTTTTATATTTTTAATCGTGTCCCTCAATCAATAAATACAAATTAAATATAGTAAGTGAAATTGCCGTGTAAACTATATAGTGTTAGATAACTAAAATTATACCAGTGTGGTCTGAGACTATATAAAGGATGGGCTGCTTGAAGAACTAACCTTCATGAAGTCTGTGCTATGTGCTAAGTACTTTGTTCATACCAGCTCATTTGAGCCTCATCCACTAGGTTTTATGGAGGAGGAAAAGCTCAGGAAAGAGAAGTAACATGATCAAGGTCACTCAGCTAGTAAGAGGTGGTGGTAGGATTTGAATCCAGGGCTGTAACTTTCCAAAGCCTAATGCTCCCCCACCCCACTTACTGCCCGCCATGTGCTGTGGATGCTGTTCTTGAATAAGAGGGAAATACTCCTATGCTCCTTGACAAGTCCTTCTGGAAACAATGCACAGACATACAGAGAAGCCAGCCACAGGTGGAGTGAAATCTGTCACCTAGAGCTGAAGCCACTTGAAATGGTTAACTCAAGTCTACATGCAGGACCCAAAGACCCACTGTGCCAATCATTCCGACCAACTAGTCCCAAACGGACATTTTTGAGATCCATTGTTAGTATGTGCTATTCTTTTCCCCTAAAACATCCAGAAAATTAACCTTCAATGAAAATATCTGGGAGAAACACATTCCAAATTGACTTAGACAACAAAAGGAAATAATTGATTCCATTTTGCAATTTTAAAACTTGATGTCTGTAATGTGTTGAAATGTGCCCCTCCACCCCCGACTGACTCAAAAGATATGCTAGAGTCCTAACGGCCAGTCCTTCAGAATGTGACCTTATTTGGAAATAGGGTCTTTACAGAGGCAATTAAGTAAAAATGAGGTCATTAAGGGTTGGCCCTAATCCAACATGACTGGTGTCTTCATAAAAAGGGGATATTTTGATACAGAGGGACAACGATGTGAAGAGATATAGAACACCATGTGAAGACAGGGCATTGGAGTGGTGCATCTTCCAGCCCAGGAACGCCAAAGCTTGCCGGCAAACCATCCAGCAGCTAGGAAGAAGCAAAAAAAGGTCCCCCCCCAGGTTTCACAAGGAACGTGGCCCTGAAAACACCCTGATTTTGGGTTTCTAGCCTTCAGAACTTTGAGACAATACATTTCTCTTTTTTTCAGCCACCTAGTTTACAGTACTTTGTAAATGCAGCCCTAAAAAACTCATATAGTATCTATGTAATAAATTAATCTAGGGGCTTCTAGAGAACTTTACCTTTATGACTGTAAAGCAAACCAAGTGTTTTGAGGTGGCTTGTCATCCAAGTGGTGCCTGCCATATGCATGTCTTGGAGCCGGGCCATGTCCTCTGAGGGGTCCTCACCCATGCCAACTAGCAGCTGGGCCCAGTCAGCCTTCCCTACTGGTTTTGCCCTCAAGGAGGGCTGGGACTCCCTTGCTGTCTGTCACTGGCTTCTCCCTGCTTCTTGGCCTCTCAGTCCACATCCTGAAGGCTTGTCTTTTCTAGTTCCCAGGCAAAATGGCCTCCTGGCTTTAGCCCCTTCCGTTTAGAATGTTTATTCACAAGAATTCTAATGGATTTGTAAAATATCACATCTTAGATTAAAAATTTACCATGTGACAGCTATATAAATGGGTCCAGGACAAAAAGGAAGACTATTTAGTAATCACTGAAACACAAGCGGCATTAATGTTCACACTCACCTGAAATGCGGGTAGACAGGGATAAGTTAGTGGGCTACGGGGAAAAGACCAACAAAGCCTTTTCTCAAAATGTCTTAAGCTGAAGTGCCATGCTGATTTACTATTTTTAAGATACTGTTGTGGAGAGAAATCTAGGTGAAAGTTAAAAAGTTCACATCTGGTGTTAGCAAAGCAATGCAGAAAACAACACACAGCTCCTCTCTTTGGTGAGCGAGGCCAGTGCTGTTATCTAATTATTTCAATTCTGGCTTTGTTAGAGCTGCCAGGCTGGATTTGTTTATAGGTGTCCTTTCCTTCAAATCTGCCCATAGGGGCTCACCCACGTCATTTGTCAGGGCTAAATAGCCTGAGGCCGAGAGTAGACATTTACTTACAGAATCTTCAGACTCTTTTAAATAGGCCTTTGGGATCTCACCACTGACCATTCTGTGGCAAGAGGCTCAGGGACACGTTGCTGGGTGTTCCTTTTAATTGACTAACCACGGTGTTGCTGTTCAAAATTGCTGTAACCCGTATATGCCCTCGGTCTGAAGCTTCTAATGACCTTTCTCTGGCCCTCAACACATATGGCTGAGACAATGCAAACATCATTTGGAAGATGAGTAAATTCAATAACTCAATTACAGCTGCACCAAAGCACCATTTATCAAACTCGGACCACAGCACTTTGTCTCTCTTAGCTCTCTGTTTTTCTGTGGCCAGGCATTTGGGGAAAGTTGCTAATCAATTTAGGAATGATTAAATTGAAATTTGTAACACTTTCCATTATTAAACCTTCAATCTTCATTATGGCAACTTAATGATTACATCATGGCTGAGAAAAACAAATTATGGGTAGCTGGTATCGTTCAGAAAGCTGGATTAGCAAGTAAATTGTCAAAAACACCAAAAGTTTAATATGTGTGCTTGTATAAATGACTGTTTGACATGTACAAAGGAATATCAAATTACTATTCACTTTCCAATACAAATATGCATTCAAGATATACCATGTTGGTCTTTACTGCATTCTTTGTCTGTTTATATAGATTTAATTAACGTGCAGTGAATGGACGATATCTGGGGACCTCTCAAAATTCTAGGCAAACTTGGATGTGTACACCTGAGCCTTATCACTGAAGACAGTCCAAAGATCCTAAGAGCCCCTAAAAGGAGTGTAACAGATAGAGATGCTCTCTACTTAATATCTCTTATTAAGTGAACTCTGTGTATATATTCTACAACCTTCCACTATGTCTTTTTTCCTGTGTTTCATCTCAAACTGTAGTTATAGTTCTCTGACCAAAAACTCTTTCGCAGAAATATTTTTTTTTCTCTTTGTTTTAATGACAGGGCCAATATTTGGTGCAAGTTCTCTGCAAATTCTACCATTAGCCACATCCTTCCATGTCCTGGCAGCCAACTGAGACCCCAGGAGGGCTCCATCTGTCTTTGGGTATTGACATTTTGATGGGTTCTAATTGTAGGCAGTCAAGAAAGAATTTGAAATTCAGAGGAATGGGAAGATTGTTGGTGGCAAAGAGGAAAAAAAAAAACAGAAATTGGAGATACATAGGCCCATTTAAACATTATAGGAATTATGGGGTAGGTGACGATCACAATGATGATAAAAATGGTAAGAAGAGTAAGGGAGAATTTAATCATGAATCAGATGACATGCTAAGCACTTTCATTGAAATTCAATCTTCACTATAATCCTTTGAAGTACTACTCTTTTCCTTATATGATATATGAAGAAACAGAGGCTCAGAGAAGTTAGGCACTCACTCTGAGTAAAATGCCAGGAGCAGACCCACGTGGTGAGGAACTGAGGCCTCTTGCCAAGAGCCATGGGAGTGAACCTCGAGGTGGATCCTCTGGCCCCAGTCAAGCCTCAGATGACTGCTGCCCCAGTCAACATCCTAACACAGCTTTGTGAGAGACCCTGAAACAGAACCACTCGGGTGAGCCACTCCTGGGTGTCTGACATTCAGCAACTGTGTGACATAATAAATGGTTGCTGTTTAAGTCACTAGGTGTTGGAGTAATTTATTACACAGTAACAGATAACTAATATACTTGTCACACATCTACTAAGCGGTAGAGCCTGGACTCAAACCTAAGCTTATCTGGCTCTAGGGTCCATGTTCTTAACCACAGTGCTACCCTGTCTCCCTGATGCTTCTAAACCATTCCTTTACACACCTAGTATCTTCTTTGGGGGAAAACACACATTAATTTTGCTCCCACTGCCACGTTGATAGGCACTTTCAGAAGTTGCTATGGTTTTCACCAGCCTGTCAATCACCAAAGAAAAAGATCAAAGGTAACATGGTTCATGGTACAGACAGATGGGAAAATTCCCAGTGCTTGGCAGGTGCGCCCTTCTCCTTGCTTTGATCAGCTTAGGAAGTTTACTTTACCTATGCAGTATTTCTAAAGCAAACTGCTATCGGTGGTGTATAATGAGCAAATACAATCACATCTTATAATTATCTTATTCATTAAAAAAGGTGGAGCAGATTAAACTCACCAAATACCATCTTCCACCATGGGGTTTATGTATTAGAGTAAATTTACTGAACAATAAGATCATCCTCTTGTGTTCCATCTTCATTTAAAAATTGACTCAGTGAAGCAAGGCAGCCTGCAGGTCCGCAGTTTCATTGCGATCTAAGCTTGGTTTATGTTGAGAGTACTGAGCAAATGCTATGGTTGTGGCAAGGGTGTACACTTTTAAGATCACAGAATAGGGAGGCACTGAACAAAAGAGGAGCAGCAGGAGCCCCATCCATTTCAGGCCCTGGGAAAGGTTCCCCTTGCGAAGTGAAGGGGGGAAAATGGGCCATAAGGTATTAAGAAAGGAGCAAGCTGTGAAATGAACCAAGGGGTGGATGGTGAGGTTCATGACCCTGCAGCCTCATAACACAGTCCTTCAGCCCTGGGGTGGCTAATGAAGGGTGATGCCTGGAAATTAATGGAGGGTTGTGGGGTGTGAGGGTGAAAATGAGAGCACAGTGGTTTTTCCACAGTCTTTTCTGCTCAAAGAGTCAGGCAGAATGGTTATTGAAGCTTCCAGTACTTAGATAAGTTAATATTTCACCATTATATTATTAGAATGAGCAAGTCCAGGCATTGAGTATCCAAGCATCTTCTTTTTGAAAAACAGAAGGGACCACCAGCTCTACACAGAAGAAAGGGAATAAAGACAGGCCAGTCTGGCTCCAAGCTCTGATGTTCATGAGGCAAGGGCCTTCATTTTCTTCCGTTTTAATTCAAAAGGCCCCTTTAACCAAGAAGACCCTGCAAAAACCCTCCACTGAGAGATCATACCCTAATCACATCCTTCCAAAAGCCTCACAGATATTTACGGCAAATACAAAACACCAAGCGTGCTGACTTATGAAAGGCGATTTGTTCATCTGTGAATTGAGACCTGAAACCTTTCTACTTTCCTGTTAGCTGTCATTTTTCTCCCACAAATGAAATGAATAATTCCTCCTCATGGCAGTCAATTTCAAATTCACAGGGTTCCCCCCCCAACTCTGAACCCATTATGTTTTGTTGCATAAAACCCATCTCATAAAATAAACCTCTCAAAGTTGTAAATTAAAAAATAAACATTCTTGAGAAAATGTCAAATGCAGGCCTGAGAGAAAGGCCAAAAAATCCATTTAAGGGAATACTGCAGTGAATCCATCCCCAGAAAATCGGGGGAAAACACTCAGATGGGTGATTGAATATAAATTCACTGCCTTCAGCCAGTTGGTAATGAAATGAACTTTTACCTAGGGGTTGCTATATACTTTTAGAACTGACTGTAAGATGAGCCATGCCCACAGTACTGGATGATCAAAAAATATGTACCAGAATATTAAAGTAAAAGCTGGAGTGAAGAAATGGCAAAGGAGCAAATGCAAGCGTTTGATACCATCTCAGGATATGCAAATTAGAAGCCACAGGAAACACCCTTCAAACATGCATGGTGGTTGCACCTACCCGCAAAATGTACCACAGACTGATTGCTTAGGCTGATAGGCTTTTGGTGGCAAATCCTTAATTTCAGGCAAGTTTTCCTAAGCTCAGCTTCCCACCTTCATGGTTTTGGAATGTGATTTAACATTCTTAGAAACACAGACCACTGTGGCAGTCAGCCTCCAACATGGCCTTAATGATCCCTGCCTCCTGGTACACAGGCCCTTGGATAATATCTTAGTTCGTTCTTGCATTGCTATAAGGAACTACCTGAGACCAGATAATTTATAAAGAAAAGAGGTTTAATTGGCCCACAGTTCCACAGGCTATACAGGAGCATGGCTGGGGAGGCCTCAGGAAACTTACAATCATGGCAGAAGGTGAAGGGGAAGCTGGCACATCTTCACCTGGCCAGAGCAGGGAAGAGAGATAGACAGTGAAGGGAAAAGTGCTACACACTTTCCAACAACCAGATCTTGTGAGAATTCTATCACTAGACAGCACTAGGAGGATGGTGCTAAACCATGAGAAACCACCCCCATGATCCAATCATCTCCCACCTGGACCCCCCTTCAACATTGGGGTTTACAATTCAACATGAGATTTGGGTGGGGACACAGAGCCAAACCATATCAGGTAGTATGTTCCCACACTGTCCCAAGGTTGTTGTGTGTGACCAACAGAAGATGGCAGGACTGATGGCTGCTACTTTCATGGTTAGGTTATAAAAGACACCGCATCTTCCATTTTTTGCTTGTTCTTGTACACACGTACCCTCTCTTTGATCATTTGCTCTGGGGGAAGCCAGTTGACGTATCACAAGGATCCCTTTTGGAAAGACCTATGTTGAGAGAAACTGAGGCCTCTTACCAATAGCCAGTGAAGACCTGAGGCCTTGGCAAACAGCCCTGTGAGTGAGCCGTCATGGAAGCCGACCCTCAGCTGAGCCTTCAGATGACTGCAGTACCAGTAGACAGCTTGACTGCAACCTCATGGGACTACCCAGCTAAGTGTCTTCCAGGTTTATGACCCTCAGAAATTGTGTGAGACAATCGGTTTTTTTTAAGCACTAAATATTAGGCCAATCTGTTACACGCAATAGATAACTACAGTAACTACCATTGATACCATATATTTATTGAGTTCTTATAATGTATCAGACAGCATGTGAAATGTTTTTCATGAACTATCTTGCTTAATAATGGATCATATTCTATTATGCAGGCACCATCATTATTATACCTTGATACACCTCATGGGGTTGTATTATAGATTAAATGACAAAGCATTTAGAACAGTGCCTGGCACACAGTAGGCACTAATTAAATGTTAGCTATAAAGACTATTATTATACCCATTAGGCAGAGGAGAAAACCAAGGCTCAGCAAGAGGAAGTATCTTGCTCCAGGACACATAACTAGGAAGCAAAAAATATAAATTCCGGGTCTCTCTGGTTCCAAGATCCATCTTCTTAACTCAGAATGTCATCTCTGACAAAGCAGTCTCCAATGAACAAACAGAAATGCATGCTAAAAGTGAGACAGATAATTCCTGGATTGTCCACAGTCTTGGATTAACCATAGTCTTGGATTATTAAAATTAAAGTCTGCTTGGTGAGGGCTGCTGAGCCAACAGTATTCCCTAATGTGCAAAAATGTTCTCCAACATTCAAAAATAATGAAAACAAACGCTCATGAGCAAAAAATCACCCATAAATCAAGATTTTTAAATTCCTATTTAAGGATTTATTGAATGTCAATGACATTTAGGGTATGGAACTGGCTAGATGCTGCCATGAATCCCTAAATCATCACTATCTTTGTGTATCAGTCCATTCTCACACTGCTCTAAGAAATACCCAAGACTGGGTAATTTATAAAGGAAAGGAGGTTTAATGGGCTCACAGTTCCACATGGCTGGGGAAGCCTCACGATCATGGCGGAAAGTGAATAAAGAGCAAAGGCATGTCTTACATGGTGGCAGGCAAGGGACGTGTGCAGGGGAACTGTCCTGTATAAAACCATCAGATCTTGTGAGACTTATTCATTATCATGACAACAACATGGGGAAAACCTGCCCCCATGATTCAATTACCTCCCACTGGGTCCCTCCCAAGAAACACGGGAATTATGGGAATTACAATTCAAGATGAGATTTGGGTGGGGACACAGCCAAATGACATCACTTTGAGATGAAATCAAAGCAAAGAAGGGTGAATTTGCATTACTTTGGCCAAATCCTGAATCTGTATAGAACTGTGATCTAAAACTTGGGGTTTCCAACCCCAGGACTGGTACCAGTCTGTGGCCTGTTAGTAACTGGGCCTCACAGCAGGAAGGGAGAGGTGGGTGAGTGAGTGAAGCTTCATCTATATTTACAGCTGCTCCCCATCACTTGCATCACCACCTAAGCTCTGTCTCCTGTCAGATCAGCAGCGACATTAGATTTTCATAGGAGCATGGACTCTACTGCAAACTCTGCTTAAGAGGGATCTAGGTTGTGCACTCCTTATAGAAATCTAATGCCTGATGATCTGTCACTGTCTCCCATCACCCCCAGATGAGACCATCCAGTTGCAAGGCTCCCACTGATTCTAGATTATGGTGAATTGTATAATTATTTCATTATATATTACAATGTAATAATAATATAATAATAATGTAATAATAATAATAATGTAGTAATAATAGCATTACAATAAATGTAAGAGGCTTGAATCATTCCAAAACCATCAACTTCTGCCCCGCCCAGTCCGTGGAAAAACTGTCTTCCATGAAACTAGTCCCTGGTGCCAAGAAGGTTGGGGACCACTGACTGAAAAGGTAGTTGTAATAGTTGTAAAAGGTCAGTAATAGTTGTAGAATTTTAAACTGTCAAAAGAAAGGTCCAGTTCTCTGAACCATGTTGCTTTTTTCTTCACTGCATCCCAAGTGGGGTTATAACCCACAAGAGATTAAAATGGGGCTAAAAGAAACTACATGCTAATAATGGTTAAAAACACATTTTGGCCAAGTCTTACAGAATGGATTAATCAGCATTTAGCCTTTATTCTCAGAGCAGAAACTTAGGTTCTATGTGTAATGGCAAAAGTCGCAATTACTTTTGCACCAACCTAATAATTCAGCACTGAATGAACATCTGTTCACTATCAAGACTGACTTCCATGAGCATTTAAAAGAAATGTGGCCTGAATCCTGTTCTACCTTCAATAATTCTCTGCTCCTTTGAGCTTAGACTGCTTGAAAAAGGTCCTGGCTTTTAAAGATCTCATTTCTTTAGGATACTGTCATTGTATATCAGAATAACCCAGCAACTTCAAATAAAACTGCCACTCTGAGCATCCATGCTCTTTCAGCCCCCAAGGAAGAAAAGTTAAATTCCTTCTGTTTATCAATGTTTTCAAGTTGTAAAGAGACCAATTAGCAGAATATGACCACAAGGGTCTCTCTGGCATGGACAGGCTCCTTTTTGCCAGCATACACCTTCTCAAAGTAAAAAAAAAAAAAGTGACTTCCCTTTTCACTGTTATTTCATTGCTTGGCCACATTCAATAACTCTCCAGGAATACCGAGGGGAGTCATCCACCAGCCCGCTGTAGCTCAGGCCAGGCACCTGTCGGAATTGTTCAAACCCTTCATCGGTGCATGGCTCAGCCTGAGAAGCCAATCACGATTTGTGCTGGCACAGCAGAGTGCTTCAAAATGGTCTTTGTAATAAGAGTTTGCTGAACAGGCCCAAGCCTTTCCCTTTTCCCTTGGTCTCAGCCTCCTCAAATAACATAACCAGATGGATGGAGCAACCCCCAAAAATCCCATCTCCCCTGCCTGACCCCAGCCCAGGCCTGTGCTCCCAATGCCTTGTGTGAACTCAACTCCCCTTTCACAAATGTGGTGGGGACTCACGTTCACTATAAAAGAAAAATATGATTCATACATGGCTATAGGTGGTATTATTTTGTAAAACTAAACATGTATGAGTTGCGGGGGGCGGGGGTAGATGATGAGGGGAAGGAAAGGAAATTAGATTAGCTGCAAGGGACAGGGTAGTACATTGGAATACAATTTCCAATACAGATACAGGCACCAGGTGTTCCAATAAACTCTTTTGTTTGTAATGTGATTTTACTGGGGGCAATCCAATTATGAAGAAGTTCAAGCCACCATCCTTGGGGTAGGACCTGAGGCCAGGGTCTAACTATTAATAACTCTACTAATACTCCCCCATCACTAGACATAGCAGTTTGCCCTTGGCCATTGTGACTACCTGTCAGAGAATGCCCTGATTCTAAAACCACTGGGGCATGAAGGCCAGCCTGGCTGAAGCCACTGTTGTCAAAACAGTGGCCAACAGGCTATAATGACTGAAAGAATTCAAACCTCTCAGAGGTTAGCACCTGGGGCGGGCCCTTTGTGATCTGGTTTTAACACCTCCCTTGACCCTCCATATTCTGAAGCCTCTGTTGAAATTCAAGCAGAATTCCTTGGCTCTTGTTCAAGATCCAGGCAAGAAGTCTCAGACCTTTGGTTTTCTGCACACATAAGTCTCTCGGCTTGGGAAGGCTTCCAAATTTTAGTCTAACTTCTTTGTCTGGCTCTCTTCTCAATCATGCTGACTGCATACTCCACCCTGTTCTTTCCTGGACATACTCTCTAGCCAGCTTTTCAAGCCTGACATAGAAAGTTCTCCCCTGGCCCTCCTGCCTACCCCATCACCCAGAGTGCACGCTTGCCTCTGTAAAAGCACATGGAGAAGCAGGGTTGATATTTCCACTTCTTTCCCCACCATACTGTGTGTTCCTTAAAAGTCAAGTCTTGTCTTTAATTGATTCTGTATCTCTGGCATCCGGTACAACAGCATCACCAGATGATATATCTGTCTAAAGAAACAGTGTCCTTCCCCAAGCCCTGCTCCCAACCTAGTACGCATACTTTGGCCAAAGACCCTTGCATTCATATTACTTTCTTAACATGTTCCATAACATTTTCTCTCCCAACAAAATAAGAGCACAAGCTGTTTCTATAATTTTTTCTGGTCACTGATGGCTTGTTTATATATACTATTCCATTTAATGCCAATCATCCTAAGAATTACATACTCATATTATTCTTCATTTACAGCTAGGGAATTAGGGCTTGAGTAAGTGATTGCCCACAGTCATGTTTAGTAAATGGCAGAGTTGCAATGTGGCCCCAGCCTGTACTGATGCAGATACCCGTGCTCTCACCTCTATGCATACAGACTTCTTGCTCTCTAATGATTCCTACATGGCTCTGAGCCCTCTGACACAAAGACTATGTGCGGTCATTAGGCACAGCAGAGGGTAAATGGGTCACAGTGCTCAGCCAGGAGTTTATCACTTCAGAGACTAAACTTTTCCCTTGACTTAGAAATAACCAAGAATGAAGAGAATACAATTTATTAAAATTAATAAAATGTGTGAGGGCAGGATTCTTTTTTTCTTTTTGAGATGGAGTTTCACTCTTGTTGCCCAGGCTGGAGTGCAATGGTGTGATCTCGGCTCACCGCAAGGTTCAAGGGATTCTTCTGCCTCAGCCTCCCAAGTAGTTGGGATTACAGGCATGCGCCTTCATGGCTGGCTAATTTTGTATTTTTAGTAGAGATGGGGTTTCTCCATGTTGGTCAGGCTGGTCTCGAACTCCCGACCTCAGGTGATCTGCCCACCTCAGCCTCCCAAAGTGCTGGGATTACAGGCGTAAGCCACCACACCTGGCCTGAGGGCAGGATTCTATCTCCTATAAGACTGAAAGCTGGACACAGAGATACCCATTGAGTTCATGAGCAGCAAACCTCTTACTCTTATTTCTTGCCCTTAAAAATGGAAATGTTCAAATTTATAAATAGGTTGTTCATAAAACTTAAAGAGTGTAATTTTAAAAGTATAATGGACCTCAACGATTATTCAATCATTTTATAGAAAAGAACAGTCCAGAAGAGAGAAAAAGACAAAAAAAGAATTCCTCCTTCCCTTCCAAAAAACAGAAACCATCCCTTCGCACCCCCACACAAAGCTAGCTAGTGGTAGCATTAAGGACTAAACACAGATGTCCTAAATCACAGCCTAGCATTCTTTCCATTATGCGAAAATGGCAAACAAATGGTTTTCAACATTAAGAGCATCTTTGATAGATTGACAGTGGCTGCCTGGAGTGATAACACTGAGAGCACTCTGGAGCCATGGGTGGACTCTGAGGATAAGAATGTGATGATTAGTTATGTCTGACGCAGGTATGAGATAGAAGCAGGGAAGAGCTAGCTGCTCCCTTATCAAGTTTGTTTTTCACAGAACTGTGTCTATTTAATTGTACTGTATTTATAATTCATTTCAAGAACAATTATATGCATACCACCACAGGTTTAGTTCATTAGATTGTTTCCCTGTTTCTAAGAGAAAACACATTATGATATAAACCCTGGGCCCATCCTTAAAGCAAAGCCACAAAGAAAAGGAGATAAATCCACTGGAGAGTCTCAACTCTTCATTCTCTTCTAAAAAAAATAGTGGACAACTTTAGATAGACACAACCTCTCCTACGCGTTTATAGTGACTGTCATTCATCTAGGCGTCTCAGAATGGCCAAATCACACATTTACTACCTGGCTCATCTGAGGCTTTTGTTGTTATTATTGTATTTGTTTTTAAATCTCTGACAGTCTTCAACTCCATTTTTTAAAACATCATGTACCCCAAAGGTGGCAATTCTCCTCTGTCTCAGAAATCCCCTAGGCAAGCTCAATTAAATACCTAAACACACTTTAAGGAGTTGGGTAGTGCCCTTGGATATCCTCAGGGCTGGTCTGGACAGCCCCCCAGCAACAAAAGTAAAGGACCCCAGGTTGCTATAAGACACCATTACATAGTGACACAGAATTTATGGGATCTTTAACTTACACTGTTTCTGAGGACAGGCCACAACCTGTTGTTTATTCAGTGCAGATTCAGAAGCTATGCTACTTGCTTTGGGTCAATCCAAAGAAGGCACTGCTCTCTAGCTTTCATCATTACATATGCAGATTTTTCCTTGGACACCAAGGGGCTTAGGAAATTGCTTTTGATGGTACTTATTTTACCGTAAATTAAACTCTAGTGCCTTAGAGAACAGAAGAGAACAAACACGCATGCCTTGCCTTTGCTTTATAATCCAGGGTAGAAGATAAAACTTTCTCCGTACTTCAGAGGAGGTCAATTAACAAAGAAAAGATTACTGTGATTGTCACAGAGATACCAGGCATCTGAGTGGCTGCTCAAAGCACTCAGAAAGGAGAATGTCACCAAGAAAAATCTACAAGGATGAAGGGAAGAGGCTTCATTTTGAAGCAATTTATAGGAAGCCACAGAGACGTTCCTTCTTGAACTTGCTTTTTCCCCATTTGTAAAGTCAACATAATGAAGATGCAAGAAAGAGCAGTTGACTTAAACCCTTTTAGTTAGATGCATTTTTAATGTAAGCTGGATACTCTTGTCAACCATATCTTCACAGTGCTGTTGGCTGTCCCAGGGAGGAAATGTGCCCTGGGTTCACAAATGCTGAAGTGTTTACAGAAAAGAAGAAATGTATTTTTGCATTTTCCAGATGCTATCATGATGCTCTTTCAGGTTTCCTGCCATTCTCTCTTTTCTGGGGAAAGTGGCTGCCACATAGTTAAGCAAATATATACTTATTTTTTAAGTGGCATATATGGAAGTGACATAAATTAATTGCATATGCTACAAAGTGAGGTAGATAATATGAAATCTAGAAATGACAACTACAACCCAATCAGTGAACAGGTGAGGTGGGTTTAATTGACCATACCAGGAAGGGTAGCCCAGAAGGAGGAGACAGTGAATGCAAAGGCGTGGCAGCAGAACATTCCCAGATGTATTTGGGAGGCAGTCTGGCTGACGTTTGGGTTGGGCAGAGCCGGCTACAGTGGGAAGTGGTGTGTGTGAAAAAGGCTGTGAAGGGCCTTGGAGGCCAGGCAAAGTGACTAGAACCATATTCTTTACTGGGAAGCCGTCAGAACTTTACCCATTAGGAAAATATATATCAAATCAAGGTTTTAGAAAAATTTTAATGCTTGAACGTATTATAAAAGAAAGGACTGCAGGAAGGAAGAAAAAAGTGGAGGGACGTAGAATCTATGGAAGGAGGTATAACAATCCTGGCAAACATGATGCGGGGGCCTGGGGTGGATAAGGAGGGGATGATATGAGAAATAATTTAAAGTTAGAACTGGAAGGAATTGACAGCGGGTGTGTGAGAAGCAGAGTCTAAAGCATCTCTAAGGTGTCCTATGTTAAGAAAGACTGGAAAGGCAAAGAGGAGGAGAAGGAGAAAGAGAAAGTGCAAGAGTTTGGATTCATATACCTTAGGTTTGAGGTATATTGACATTTGAGCAGAGATGTCCCAGATCAGGGTTCTGGAGCAGACGCATGGGTGATTTGGGAGTTGCCAAAGTCATGAGATTACCCAGTGTATGCACCAGAGTGGTGAGGTCAGAGGATCATTTTCCAATGGAGGGGGGTGGTTAGTTCGATGCCCCAGAGAACAGAGGGAAAGGTGAGAACTGACAGTATGTGTTGGATGTGATGGCAGAAAGGCCCTACAAATCCTCTGACAGAAGAGCTTCATGGAGAGCTGGGGGAAGAAGATAAACTATAGCACAGATAGTAAGGAAAGAAAAGAAAGCTGCAGCAGATTGTTCTTCCAAGCTGACTAGTATTAAAGGATAAGAGAGAAATGTAGCAGTACCTTGAAGAGGACTAGGTATGGCTTTGGGAAGGAGTGAAATACAGAAATATACTCGCTGCTCCTAGTGTGGTCTACAGACCAGCAGCACCAGCAACACCCATGAGCTTCTTAGAAATTCAGAATCTCAGGCTCCTCTGCAGAGGAAATGAATCAGAACTTGCCTCTTAGCAAGATTCCCAGCAGATGCGTTTGCATATGAAAGTCCTAGAAGCTGGTATAAAGGAGGCCTGGGCTTTCTTTTTGAGCAGACTGGGAGGCACCCGAAACCAGGGCGAGCCAACCTTCTCCTAGAGGAAGTGAGATGAGATTAAAATAGAGTAAATTTAACTTTAAAATGAAACCAGAAGGAGCATTCATCTATTCTAACCTTTCTTCCTTTGCCCCAAGTAAGCGACAAAAACAAGCTTTTTATTAGTCTCAGTTCTCTGACTTGTAAAACAAGAAGAATGAAGATACCTGTCTCAAGACTGTTCTGAGCATGAAATATTAGGTCGGTGCAAAAATAATTGCGGTTTTGCCACTGAGTGGCAATTACTTTTTCACCAACCTAATATTACATGATAGACACACATAGCCCCAGAAAAAAATCTGACATACAGATTCAGCACTCAGGAAAATTACCAATTAACTTATAATTGGTAATATCAAAATAATTTATATTATTTTATAATATTAATATTTATAATATTAATATTTTAATAGCATCATCGTGGAATAAGAAATACTTTCCTCAAACTCTTTTTACTTCTTTACAAAAGAAGACCCTTACAGATTCAAACAAATTTTGAAATATTTTTCAGTGGTTTAGAGCTTGCTCCTAATTCAGATTCTTCGTGGTTGAAGTAGTTTTCCTACTACTACTTGGCTACTAAAACTTCTGGCAGCTTCAAAGTCAAATACTACAAAGCATTGCAAAGAATTAAGCTCTTATTTTAGCATAGGTGAGAGTATTTTAATCTTCCAACAACTTTCTGAATGAGATCTTGGTCAAGTCCAAACTTACTGGTGGCAGGAAATGCTAATTTTAAACTATAAGACGATGAAAAATCATTTTTCTAATCCAAGCACCCAAAGAAATGCAAGTGGCATGCAAAGAGTGACAATTAAATAAGACAATTTCAGGGAAACTGGCAGGTAATCTGATATGTGTTAGCCTATCCATCTCCACTTGTAATGTTCATAAAGAAATTTGGAAAAGCTTACAGGCAAGGCAAAGATGATAAAAACCTCTAATTACAACCAAAAGGCAGTCCATATAGCATCTCTATCAAGTAATTAACAACATGCCTGACAATGATTGCACGTGACTTGCTGTTTCCAATTTCTTTAAGTGAATTTTAAAGCTATTAGCAATGCCCTTGCCAGCACACAGCATGGAATGCGGCTGAGCAGATTTTGTGCAAAAAACCTTTATCTTCATCAGAGGAAGGTAAGTGGATAAAGCTGACAGGAAGCTGGGAAAGAGCACGCTGCAAGAAGAGACTGCATAGTGAAGGAAACAGAAAAATAATAAGCACATTAGCAGACAGTGGGGGCTGGGAGATGCCAGTGGCTGGGAATGGCTCGCTTTTAGGTCAACAGCTTGAATTTGACTCTGATGGGCAATAACTCCAAGTTCTATGGCCTGTGTAAGAGCCCATGGATAGGAGGGGTGGGATTCCAATCCAGGCACAAGTGTACAGCTGGGGATTCCCATGGCTTTGGAGCTGGCAGGGCACTCATAGAATGGAGAAGAGCATGAGGTGGAAGGAAAAAAAAATCAATCCACCAAGCATTATGATTCTTAAAAGCCTGAAAACAGCCCCATTAAACCAGCCAAAAAATAAACAAAAAGCCATGCATTTGTTCAATGGTTACAGAATTTCTGTGTAGGGTAATGAAAAGGTTAAGAAATAGAAGTGATGGACGTAAGACAACGTGAATGTAATGTATGCCGCTGAATTGTACATTTAAAAATGGTTAAAATAGTAAAATAATAAGTATATTTTACCATAATTTTAAAAGAAGGAAAAAGTCATACATGCAATTTGTCAGGTCTATGAAAGTTTCCTCAATGTAGCATTGGTTAAGTTGGGAGGCAGAGCTGGAAGATATTTTGTTTTGTGATTATTTGCAAAGCTGGCGGTAACTGATTGGCATAGATAACAACTAAACGTTATCATCGGACATATCAAAGGTCAGATATTTTATTTCATATCAGGAAAACTGATTATTTGGAAAGGACTGGAGAGATATAAATAAATCAACCTAAGAAACAGCCTTAAACTTATGGCCTATTATAAGCTAAATCTTTGTCTAGTTAAAATGTCTTTTTGCTCCAAAGTTGGTGCCCACTGTATTTTACACCTTGTCTCCTCTTTCCCCCAATAAATTAGTTAAGACATCTAAATATTCAAAACTTCTCATCTACATGAGAATCAAATGGATTTTTATAGCAATATAATAAAAAATCCACAATATTAATTGACTTTTAATAGGGGCATCTAAATGTCAACTTGCTGGATTTTTTTTCAATAACTTCAATATCTCTAAATTTATAGGTATTTCCTACATGATAGTGTCAGGTTCTAAAATTCAAGCCACTTTCTAGAAAAATTTTTTTTAACTATAATAAATTTAAGTGGCATTTAATTCTGTGCCTTATTATTAGAGGGTCACGTTCTTCTTTAAAAAGGAAGCAAATGATTTTTTACCTCTGGGGGGAAAAGCCACCAATATAAGTACTTAAATAATAAAACGGAGCAGAGGAACCTAGACAGTCATTTTAAACGTTCACTCTTTACACCTCCCAGGAGAAGGCTGTCTTTGCTTTTCTATGTTTTCCGAGGGGTGGACTAATCAGTTCATTACAATACACAAGATGAAGATGTCACAATTGCTTGATCCCAGCTAATGACTGCTGGGACTGTCCAGGCCGTTTCGAAGCTCTGTTCTCCTGTGACCCTAAGCTTTCTTCTCTGGCTAAAACTTACTTTCTTTTTTTTCCCCCATAAATTTGGGACAGATATGCCCCATTAAATAGCCAAAACAATCACAACCTTGATTTTCTCCAAGCACCTATAAACAGCTCTTATGTAAGCTGAATAATTCCTGTGTCACTATTTGAGGCAAATGCAGAACATTTTTGAAACCCATCTGACCTTTCCAGCAATTTCTTGCTCTTTGCCAGAAGCGGGGCCTTTGGCTGCTCATTACTTAAAGCATTCACCTTTAAGGCCATTTCACAACAGGGCAAAGACTCCCAGAAACATCACCTAATGAGAACCCTAGAAACCATTTTCTTATCTCACAGCAGTGTGTAGGAGAAAAACACATTATATGCCTACTGTGGGCTGATATTCCCCAATTTTAGATAAGCTCTTTTCAATAAGGTTGCAACGGTGGCACTAGGCTTTTATATTTCAAGGGGGCAAATGAAAGGCACAAAGTGTTCTGAGTTTTAAATTAACTGCCACAACAGGTGCCAGCACAGGTCTGATAGCTACCAGATGAAACCCCGTTTTAAGGAAACAAATGAACTAAAATGTAAATTTTTCTATTAAAGGTTTCCTTGGGATTAAAGCCTCTGCCTTTTAGGAAGAAATTAACCCAAGATGGGGAGGAGTAGAAAGATACAGCTACCACTTGGGGAAATTAAAGGCTATGATGATAAAACTTACCCTGTCTCCAAATATCTGCCTGCCCCTATCAACCTTTCCTACTATCTCCCATGGTACTCTCCTCCCTAGTCCCCAGGCCCCAGTCACAAAACCTTCTTTCAGTTTTTCCAATGAGCCAGGTTCTTTCCTACCACAGGGTCTCTGCACAGGCTGTCCCTGCTGCCTGGAACAATCTTCCCAGCTCTTCCCTTGGATGCTACCTTCTCATAGCTTGGGACTTGGCTTCAATGACTTGTCATCCAAGAAGCCACCTGCCTACCATCTCTACAAGTCTCTCACCTTCTCGGCCTTTCTTTGTCCTGACCTCTTTGTTTATGTCTTACTTAGCCCTTAGAAGAAATTATATTCATAGGTAAGGGGAGGCATCTTCCTATCTTTCTATTACCAACAGGGCTGGCTTCGTGCACTTAGGAGAACCCTGTGCTTGGGGCTTAATGCTCTAGTGGTTGTCTTAAAATTCTAAATAATTTTATCTTAAAATTTGTGTTTTGTAAGTGAAATTTGATGGGATCATGGAGCATGCACTGGGGACCTGGAGGCTTGGCCCCTCCTGGCCCCCTCCTCCCCATCTCTGCTGCTGATTTCCATCCTTGGTGGGGCCTGGGAGAGGCGAGGGTTGGAGTCAGGTGTGTGTGCCTGTAGTGGGTGGGCATGACAGTGCCACAGTGTGTTCGATAGGCCTAACGCATCCTGGCACATTGGTTGCCATATCTTTGGGCATCATGCATTGGGTGTGGATTAGGGCTGCAGGCCCTTGGGATGGGGGAGATACCTGGCTTGATTTCCCCAGCCCCAGCCAAGGCACAGTGCACTGAGCAGGTGACTAGCAGGAGAGGTACCCAGCAGCTAGTGGGCAGGGTGCAGCTTCTTCCACTTGTGCTATATTTCCTTGCCTGAAAATGCATGGCATTAAATAGCAAATAGCAGGACAGGGAGACAGAAAGATCATGAAAGAAAAGGAAAAGCTTTATATTTTCATATCTTTAATGGTACCTTTTCCTGCTTTTTCAAACAACGGATCCCCATATTTTCATTTTGCACTGGTCCCTGCAAATTATGTGGCTGATCCTGTTTAGCACTGTATCCTTAGCATCCAGTACAGAGTAGATACTCCAACTCTGCTGAAGAAAACCCTCTTTCTCCATTGTCTATCACAAATAGTGTAAGATAGTGAGAAGTGAGAGGAGGACTTCAGAGGAGTTGCCCTGCATAAGACTAAATACAACATCAAGGCTGTCCTAGCCATGCATATGGGCAGTTTCTTTTCTTTTTTTTTTTTTTTGAGATGGAGTCTCATTCTTTTACCCAAGCTGGAGTGCAGTGGCATGATTTCGGCTCACTGCAACCTCCGCCTCTTCGGTTCAAGCGATTCTCCTGCTTCAGCCTCCCCAGTAGCTGGAATTACAGGTGCCCACCACCATGCTGGGCTAATTTTTGTATTTTTAGTAGAGATGGTGTTTCATCAGTTGGCCAGGCTGGTCTCCAACTCCTGACCTCCAGTAATCTGCCTGCCTCAGCCTCCCAAAGTGCTGGGATTCCAGGCGTGAGCCACCACGCCCGGCCGGTAGTTTCAAATATTCTCACAGGCACCCAAAACGGTGATGGTTCAGAAGGTCTCTCAGGCATCTAAACCCACAAATGTGATTACAAAATAATGATCTGATTTTGTGAGTAGCTTGTGGAATCAGCCAAGTTACTTATAATCACATCTCTTTATGTGTGAATGTATGGATTGACTAAAAAATCCTCTGATGAACTGATTTTAATTGGTACGATCTGCTCTGCAGAAACTTAAAGACATTATTTTTTTCCAAACAACTAATTTTATCTTCACGCCCCAGCACACCTGCACCCCTGGTGGGGCACACCTCTCCCTCTGAAAGGTGGCAAAAGCAGCAGAGCCTGCTTTCCCTTGGGCTTAAAGGGAGCACCCCATACAGAATGCTTGCTTGGCTGAAGTTAATGCTGACCGTTCTGCTTTGGAGACCAACTCTCACTGCTGCACATGGAAACCCAAGACCATGTACGCCCACTACGAAGAGAAATCACACTGTGCTCCTGTTAGGATTCTTATTGATAATGTACAACCAGCACATTCTGACAGTTTTCAGCTCCATATTTGACTGAAAAAGCCTCCCAGCCCCTCTCAACACCCACTGCAAGAGCAGATCTTGCTCCTTTTGGGATGGGCATCTACATCACGGCAAATGTGGGCAACAGCCCCACAGCTGTATTTGTACCAAAGATCAAAGGTTTTTTTTCTTCACCCATTCTCCACCTATAAATTCAAATGTGAGCAATGGCAACAAAAATGGGGGGTATGGGCTTATTCTTTACTGCTGAATCAGCACAAAATCCCACTTAAGGGGAAAAGGCTGAACTATTCAGTCATAGTCACATAAAAATGACCTTTCTAATGAAGGCCTGGTTCTCTGGCAGGTAAGCAATGGCAGACCCCATGCCTGCCTCCTGAGTAAGGAATGCAGGCAGTGGCTACCGCTCCCTGTATCCCTGAACTTCAAAGGAATTCAAGTGACCTAGACCAGCTGGCTGCCAAAGAAAACAGTGTCCAAGGACTCCCTGGCCAGAGATAAGTGCAGGCACAGCAGTCCTTCAACGCACGGGGCTTCTATTTCCTGCCCCTCTCATGTTGAAACTGCAATATCAGGAGACAGCAAAAGCCTGCCAGGCAAGCCCTCCAAGTTCAGGGTCAGTTCAGCTCGCTCCAGGAAAGCTCAGGGAGGCTGCTGATTCCCAAAAGCCCCATTTGCTCAAGCTCATAAGTGCGACCCTCTGGCCTCCTGGCAGGCAGGCTGCATAAGCCCTTGTACCACGCAAGCTCCTGCTCAGGTTACAGAAACTCATATTTTAAATCGGTGAAGTTCTCTCTGGGGTGCTTAGGAAGAATTCTTGCAGCCCATGTCATTCCCTACTTCAGGGAGTGTACTAAGATTAGCCTATAAATGACTCAATGGTTCACCAGGGGCCCCTTTCATGGCCTCCCCCATGGAAGATGCAGCCAGGAGGGGAATCTTGATATCTGAATGCTTTTTGTACCACTCCTGGGTTCTGAGCTGGCTCTACTGGCCACAAACCTGCTTCTTGGAGCCCATTTCAAGAAGATGCAAATTTATATTGCCAGTTAGGTTTTGCATCCATTGCTCAAATGCAGATTTTAAACTGAGAGGAGTATGAGGTCATGGGAAGAAGAGCCCTTGTTAATTCAAGTAGACAGACTTCCAGTCAACAGGAAGAGCAAAAGAAAAACCTTGTGTGGAAGGTTCCTTTTTTTTTTTTAAGAAGCAGGGTCTTCAGGGTCTTGCTTTGTTGCCCAGGCTGGAGTGCAGTGACACAATCATAGCTCACTGCAGCCTTGAATTCCTGGACTCAAGCAATCCTCCCACCTCCTACAGAGTAGCTGAGACTACAGGTGCATACCACTGTGTATGGCTAATATTTAACTTATTTTTTATAGAGTTGGGGGGTCCCTTTTTGTTGTCTAGCCTGGTCTTGAACTCCTGGCTTCAAGCAATCCTCCTGCCTCAGCCTTCCAAAGCATTGGGATTACAGGCATGAGCGACCATGAAGCCAGAAGGTTCTTGATTGGACCAGAGGTGCAGGGTTCACACGTCTCAGGGTACTCCAAGGCTCTAGCAAGAAATGAATTTAGGGACCTCTGCCTTTGATATGTGCTTCTTCACACCCCACCCTCTCTAAAGGAAAAACACACAGACCACTGAAAAGAACACTCTTAAAAAGATTCTGAAAACTAGCAGTGAAGAAAGTTTCAACTAGTGCTTCTCATATTCTCTAACTGTAGAATCCCTTTCCTGAGCATATCAGGCCCCCAAACCAATTTCAAGGGGCCTCTGAAATTTCTAAATTGGTTTCCAAAATAAAATTATCAAAATATTTCACAGAAAAACCCAGATTTCTGTCTTCTCGTGCAAAAATGTGGATGTGCAGGCAGCTGTGGGCTTGTATCTCCTCCTGGGGATAACTAGGGCTCTGGAGTAGCTTATATCATAGGCTGGGCTGTGTGCCTGTGAGCTCGCTACGGTCCCTGGTCTCATTCCCTCTTGTCCTTTGCCTTCTTGGCCCTAGGGGGCATTTGAATTTATGACCCTTGCCTTGAATATGCTCTAAAAAATATGGGACTTAACAATTATCCAAAGCACACGTGAAGGGTATTCATTGGATGTCTGGGTGCATGGTGCTGTTCTCAGTGATCTGGGGCTGCAGAGGTGTTTAAGAACACCCCGCTTCACAGGAGCTTAGAGAAGGGTGAAAAGATAAGGCACATTCAGCAGAGAAGCACCCAAGGAGGCAGTGTGGTACTGAGGCCCTGCTGCTAAGCACTGGCATTTGGACAGCTAGACAGGAAGAAAGGGCTCTGCTGTTCCATAGGCCTGTGGGGTGACTACAGTTAACAGTACTGTGTATTTCAAAATGGCTAGGAGAAAGGATTTTGAATGTTCCCAGTGCAAATAAATGATAAATGGTTGAGGTGGTGGATATGCCAATTACCTAATCTGATCATTACATATTGTATGCATGTATTGAAATATCATATGTACCACATAAATATGTACAATTATTATGTATCAATTTTTAAAAATTAAAACAAAAATAAATGAGTACTCTTAGGGTTAGACTAGATGGAAGGCTTTTCAACCTTTTTTTTTTTTTTTTTTGGCCCTCCTTACACTTTGGAGACTCTTCCCTTATGTGAAATTTTATAAAGAATGAAATCTGAAGGAGGTGGGAGAGGGTATGTCCGGGCCCCCATCTCCTTGGTGTTCCCTTCTTATGCCATAATTTCTCCTTGGCCTCAGAGGCACCTTTACTGCAGGTGAGGGCTCTTTCAAGCCCAGATGGAGCCTCAATGGCCTGGGTGACACCCAAGGTCTCTCTAGACTCTTATGTTCTACCTGTCTTTCTGAAAGCCCCATGGAGTGGGGAGGACAGCCATGACATAGTAAGAAAAGGAGAATTCCCTAGCACCTGACTGAAAAAAATAACTGGGAAGAGAGACAGTGACAATACACAATACACATGACCTCACGTACATGGAGCACGGTGACCATGAACTGTAACATTAAGTATCACCTCAGAAGCATTCCAAACCTGGGTGACTGAG
This sequence comes from Homo sapiens, assembly GCF_000001405.40. Lineage (NCBI taxonomy): Eukaryota > Metazoa > Chordata > Mammalia > Primates > Hominidae > Homo > Homo sapiens. Next base: position 73,493,449 of record NC_000003.12, read on the forward strand.
CGCCCCAGTAGATGAGGAGGAGCAGGAGGCTGTGTGGATGTTCACACACCGCCCCCACCTCCCCCAAGAAGATAAGCACTCATGGAAAATCAGAGAGACTGCAGACTCAAATCCCTGGTATCCCTGTAATGTGCACCTCTTGTTTCTGCCCGCCCTCATCCACTCTTGGTAATAGCTCATTTCCACTAGGGCAGCCATCCCTCCTCTCCTTCTCTCAACAGGGTTCCACTTAAGTTGATTCTATCACGACTAGTTTTAGTGATGAAGAGGTGCCTCAGGCCTGGCTAGTCAGATTGCTGATTGGTTAAGGGATGGCACATGCCCTAAACTGGGCCAATGGGTGACCTCCCTATGATTTTTGCTAGAATTATCAAGAAAAGGACTTGCTTTTAAGCAACCACTGGGATTGCTGGGCTGTGACAGGATCAATCTTGGCGGTGCTAGGGGCCACTTTCACCATGTTTGAGAAGAACGTGCCCCAAAACCAAGCCAACAGTGTTTAGCACAGCTAAGTAAATTGAAAGAGACCAATCAACGTTGGATGACCAGATTTGAATATTTGGCTCTAGCTGAGTCTCAAGCTAGATATCCTTGTATTTTTCCATTGCTTTAGCCAATGAATTGTCATTTGCTTTTCGCTATGTTTTGTTTTCTGCTGAGGCCAATTTGGGCTGGGCTTCTGACACATGCATTCCAGAGAGTCCTGCCCGATAGAATCTTTCTTCACTGACCACCACTGTAACAAGTTAGTTAAGTACCTCAAATTCATACTGAGCCTTTCTTACTACAAAACAAGATCAGAATCAGAGAATTAAGAAGTAGAAGGCCATTTACATTATCTCTGTAATAGTAGTTACACATCTTTAACACCACTCATTAGAAAACTAATTTTGGTCCATGTCCAAATCTAACCATTCCCTAAAATAACTCACTTTCATTGGTTAACTGTAAAGCTCAAGGAAGGACAGTCCTAACATATTTACATAAAGCTACTCCTGAAAAGTTGTGTGAATAAAATCTACATCTGCCTTATGGAAAGTCATTTGCTGTCATCCAAAACACCAATAAAGGAACTTATATACCTAGTATAAAATTTATCAAGAGAAATGTTCATAACTTACGGAAGAGTATTTGCCAAAAATAAGTTTCACCGCAATTGTATATAAATTGTTTTTATTGAAATAGAATATTTAAGAGCTGTTGGTTCTGGATATAATTCTTTCACTTCTTTAAAAAGCTTAATTTATTAAGTAATTTTTGCCTGCCTATGATCTTTTTCTTCTGCATTATTTGAAGGACACTTATGTAGTCTCAGTATCAAAAGATAATATCTAAAGAGCACACATAATTTTTTAGAGAATGAAAAACATGATTTCTGGTTCCTTAACTTTCCACAGTATAGAAGATATAGCTTACTTTTCCAACACCCAATCGAGAAAACATGTAACTTGAAGAGATAGTGTTACAAGGGAACAGAAAACCAAATAATGCATATTCTCACTTGTAAGTGGGAGCTAAACATTGGGTACTCGTGGACATAAACATGGCAACAGCAGACACTGGGGACTACTAGAGGGGGGACAGAGGAATGCAAATGCTGGAAAACTGCCTATGGGGTATTACTCACTATGTGGGTGACGGGATCAAGCATACCCCAAACCTCAGCATCACGCAATATGCCCATGTAACAATCACTTTACAAAATGTAACAATCACTTTACCCTGAAAAACAATCATTTTACAAAATCATTTATTGAAAAGCTTCTTTCGATAGCAAGATTCTTTCAGCAAGTGGTTTGCTTTTTAAAAGAATTTTTAATTATGGAAGTAAGAAACAAATATATTTTGCTTGTAAAAAAAAATTAGAACATGCTTAATATAGCTAAAATTCCTTTTGGTCATCTCCTCTTCCAAGGAGAAACCACTGACATCTACCTGGGGTATGCCCTCACAGATCTTTTCACTTACAGATTTATATTGATTCATGTATATGCATCTTCCCATAAATGCCATCAAACATCATGTATTATTTTGTAACTTTTTTTCCTCTGGACAGCATGTCTTAGAGACCTTTCTTATCCGTGCGCATATATTTGTCTTATTATTTTTAATTCTATACTTTATTTAATTATTCTGCTATTGATGGACACTTAGGATGTTTCTGATTGTCTTTTTCCCTATTACAAACAATGCTGCAATGAACATCGAGGCATAAGCCTCTTTACACACATAAGGCTAGAACTTCTCTAGGACTGATTTATGCTCACGTTTCCAGTGTTATAAAACACAAGGCAGACTTTTATGATATTGGCAATAGCAAAAATGCAGTGCCAAAGAAAGTTTATGTAAATGAAAGTTGTTTATTTTTCTCCACTTTTTAAGGATCAGATCACTCTTCTTGCTTTTCAAGAACTGCTATATCTTTAAGGAAGGTTGCCTAATTAAGATAGAAACCATAGCTGGTACTCAACATCGATTTTTTACTTGATCTAATTCCCTACCCTTCCCCCTATCCCCATCCCCCCTGCCAAGATTTTCAGCACCATATATCTGTTCTTAATTGATGTGTTAATTATAAGGATTATCTGTTCATCAAAGTACAGCCTGAAAGACTAAGTCTCAAGTCAAGATATGCACTTGAAAAAAAAAACTGCTCCATATTGATGGACTTCATTTATTTTTAAAGTGAAATGTATGATACATACAAAATAATGCACACACGGTATATACAGTACAAAGAATAAAAAATACCCTGTACCCATCATTTAACTTAAGAACATTTTCCAAGTTGTTGATGCCTATTGAGGGTTACAATCCAATTACCTCATTCTTTTTCTTCGGAGAGGTAAATATTCTGATTTTTATGTTTATCTTTCCTTTGATTCCTTATTAACACTTTATTATGGAAATTTTCAAATATATACGAACATAGAGAACTAACTTAATAAACTCTCATGTACCCAACACAATTTGAATGATTAATCAACATTTTGCCATTCTTGTTTCATATGTCAACTCGCCATTCTTTTTATTTCCTGGGTGTTTTTTTTAAAAGCAAATCCCAGAGACCATGTCATTTCACACAGAAATAATTTATAACGTATTTCTAAGTAAAGAGGACTTAAAAAAAAACAAAATTATAACTACAATGCTAATATCACATAACACAATTAGCAATTCTTTAATTTCATCTAACATCCATCCATATTCAAATTTCAACACACAAAAAGTCCTTTTATAGTTAGTAATAAAAAAGGTAAAAAAATTAAAAAGATACAAACCCAAGAAAACCCCACATTATTTAAAAAATATTTTACTTAAAGCTTTACCAGGTGGCCAATCCATCCCTCAAATTAGCAAACAATTGTAAGTTTTACTATGTAATCAATAGCTCGCTGACCATTACTAATTATATTCAAGGAAGCTAACTGAGGACACAGTTTCTTCCTCTCCCGTCCTGTATTTGGCCTTGTCTTCAGCAGAATCATTAACGTATGGGCACAGCAAATGGCAGGGTTTTGAGATTCGCACGTGTGCTGATGTGGTTAACAAATGAACTAAATTATATGGTGACTCTGATGTTAAAATGTGACTAATACACACTTTGGGCCTTATTTTCTATGCTTAAAAATAATTGGGTAAATACTACAGAGTATTTCGGTTTGGAGCTTGTTTATTTTGCTTTCTTTAAGACAGCATATGATTAATTTAAATGTGGCCATTCAGGAACATTTGCTTCCCTGTTCTGTCTGCTTTTTACACTCAGAACAGAAAAAAAAATGTACATTTGGAGAGCAGTAACACACATGCATTTTACAGGGAGACTTAGGTAAATGTGGAAACAGCTTCTGTGGGATTTTGGTCCTGCTTTTCTTGGTGTATTTATCAATAATGAAGAAAGCCATGAAAACTCATCTTTAAGCCAAATGATCAGATTTTTGTGAATTCAGCTACTTTAAAAAAATTTTTTTAACTTTTTTACTAATCAAAAGAGCTGGAATATCAGCTACTATTATAAAGCAAATGATTCATTATCACTGCTGATATTAGAGGTGCATCCTGATTTAAGAAAACTCAAAGTACAGAAAGGCTCAAGAATTAAAGGTGATTATTGCCATTGTAAAATTTTTTTTATTCTGGAAAATTCCAAACGTATATAAAAGTAGAGGACAGCGTCCTGAAACTCTACGTACCCATCACCCAGCTTAAACAGTTATCAACGTGTTAATCTTGTTTCAAATATACCTCAAATGGTTTTACAACAGGGACAGCACACAGCAACAGATTTGTCTCCATATATATCTAGGGATATAAGGGAGGAAAGAAAACTCATTTAGGGCCGGCACAGCGCCCCCCGTCCCCGCCCCCGCCAACAGCTCAGCGCAGTGATGGGGACGTAACAGGGGCACGACTCGAACCTCTGGGCCCACACCCACAAGAACCCCCCACCACTGCCCAAGGGAGAAGCACTTTAGGTATAGTATGCTGATAATTGAAGAGAGACCTGAAAGGGTGGTAGGGTCTGGGAAGATGCTGAGGTAACAACAGTTGAGCTTGCTGGTTCTAACTCCTTCCTCTCCTCTAGGCAGAGATCTGTTATATCTGAAGTTCCGCCAGAGAAGGTAAGGCCACAAATCCTGGTTATCTGCCTCTGTCATGTAGAGATACAAAAATCATCTTTCTCCCTCCCTCACTTTCCAGACATAGTAAGTCATCAATCCCTGTCACTCCACTTGAAAATACTTCCCAGACCCATCCCATTTTCTCCATCCTCCTGACTTGAGTTTCTATCTATCAAGTCCATCCACAGTGACTTTATGTGTATCCCGACTAACCTGAAAAGCTCCTGGCCTTCCCAGCTGGGATAAGTAGACATTCAGTGGTTAGTGTTGGGGGACAGTTGGTAGTATGTACCAAACTACCGCTGGCTCCAGTATCAAAAGAGAACACAGGACTCTAAGCACTGCTTTCACCAGAGTTAAACAACACCACCTAGGCATTTGAAAAATGGTCGAGTACTTTTTCCCTAACTGCAACATCAAAAACAATGAATTAATTGCTATTCCCTATAACCTAACGCTACCTTTTTGTGCTAGCAGGAGAAAGGGGGAGATGCTCCAAGCCCACAGTGATTCATAACTTTTTTTTTTTTTTGAGATGGAGTCTAGCTCTGTTGCCCAGGCTGGAGTGCAATGACACAATCTCGGCTCACTGCAACCTACGCCTCCTGGGTTCAAGCGATTCTCCTGCCCCAGCCTCCTGAGTAGCTGAGATTACAGGCACACGCCACCGCGCCTGGCTAATTTTTGTATATTTAGTAGAGACGGGGTTTCACATGTTGGTTAGGCTGGTTCTCGAACTCCTGACTTCGTGATCCACCTGCCTCAGCCTCCCAAAGTCCTGGGATTACAGGTGTGAGTCATCGTGCCTGGCCCGTATGTTAACTTTTTACAATACACACAGCATAGACCCAGATGCTGGCTGTGCGGGTCGCTGGTCAGGCTTGCTGCTTGTCTTCTGAGATACAAGCTGGGGTAGCAGGGTCCCAGCATAGGCAGAAACCAGGCTCTGTTCCTGCCTGAGAGACGAGGTTTAACCAGGAGATTCCCAGTGGCCGGTGACACCGCACGAAAGGGATAAACAACCACACGGCTGGTTCTTATGCTCCGTAATCACTCTGCTGAGTGTCCTGGATCCCTTACCACCTGCCAACAGCATGCCTCTTTCCTTGTCCCCTTCAGCAAATGCCAGGTGCCAGGCATTGCTCTGGGCACTGGTTACAAACATCAGTGAAGACCGGCGAGTCCTGATCTCATGGAGTTTTCATTTGTAATCCGTATAGTGTGATTAGGGAGCATCCATGACCAAATTATAAACCTACGAGGCCCAGGCTGGCCCCAGGTGACGCTGGTAACTCACATGGCCACACGCTGTGGTTTTCACACATGTAGGCTGAGCCATGAGCCGCTCCCCTCCCAGGCTCTCAGACCTGACTCACAGTCATCTCTGTCTCGAGTCCTTACACCAACTCACCACCTAAAACATATCTGAGGCATCTGCTACTATTCGTGTAAGGCTCCAGGGTGGATGCTCTAGATATTAACAACCACAAGTTCTGGATTTTCTGGAATGATCCTAATTCTGAAACTATTCTAGTCAATCGCTAGATAAGAAATCGATGAAATTTTAATATTGTGGCATCTAAATGACATCCTCTAAAATGCCCAAAGCCTGAGGTGGTGGTGGTGGTTGGGTCTTCTGTTAGATTACAAAAAGCAGTAAGGGGATCTGGGGAAGCTTCCCTGGCTCATACCTGGGTTTCCCACCTCCTAGTCGTATTTTCTTGGCAAGTTACATAATCTCTCCATGACATAACTTCCTTGCCTATAGTAAATGATGATAATGAAAGTACCTACCTCTACATTATTGTGATGATGAAATGAGTCAACATACAGAGCCTAGACCACAGCTGGCCACACAGAAAGCCTGGTGGATATTAGCTAATATTATTGTTGTGGTTGTTATTGCTATTTAGTGTTGAGGATTTCTTTCATTATTTGGAAAACCCCATCACCACAGGAATGGGGGTTACAAAGAAAGCCCTTGCTTTTTTTCCCCCACCTTCTAGACAGGGTCACACTATGTCACCCTGGATAGAATGCAATGGCGTGATCATGGCTAACCGCAGCCTTGATCTCATGGGTTCAAGTGATCCTCCGCCTCCCAAGTAGCTGGGACTACAGGCATATGCCACCACAGCTGGCTAATTTTTAAATTTTTTGTACAGACTGGGTCTCACTATATTGCCCAGGCTGGTATGGAACTCCTGGGCTCAAGCAATTCTCCAACCTCAGCCTCCTAAAGTGCTGGGATTATAGGCATGAGCCACTGTGCCTGGCTGTCCTTATTATTTATTATTATTTTTTTAATCTGTCACTAAGATTGAACTTGGCCTTTTAAAATGCTTTCTGATACTCCCCTCTCCAACCCCATTTCCACATGAGCTCTGCCACATTTCACTTTGGGCCCTGAATATTTCTGAGCTGAGTTGCCAGGACTGCTGAATGCTAATCACCATGGCTCCACTCTATATAAGTGTTGTTGCCAGAATAATCCTCTTAAAACACAGCCTTAACATGCTCTTTTCCTCCCAACAATGCCTTCTTGTTCTAGAGTGGATTAAGGGTAAAGCTCCTCATCTTTTTATGTTGGCATCTTACTAACCTAGCCTAGCCCACCTGCCAGTTCTCGCCTCCTCCCAAGCTGGGTCACCCCTTTAAACCACCTAAAAATTTATTCCAGGTCATTTCTACCTCTGTCCACCACACCAATGCCTTCTAAAGAAACCTCTTTTTCTCTCCAAAGCCTTCAATCTTAAGGCTTTCATTTCTTCACACAGCCTAACTGATCCACTGCTGCCTATGTGAATCTATCCACCAACTCTTCTGCTCATGTTGAGCTATATCATTTCTTTTTTTTTCTTACTTGGTGTTTTGCCTCCTACGTGCAAGTCTGGTCTCCCATGACAGACTCTAAAATTCTCAAGGGCAAGCATGGTGTCGTATATTCCTTGTTTTCCATCTTCTCTTCTCTTTCCCTACCAATGTCCGTGTAAGCAATTCAGAAATACTTGTAATTTTTGAAACTCTTTGCACAGCTTATCATTATAAACTCTTGCTAACATTTGGCCATAATTAATGAACCTGATTCGAGTCGCAAAATCCAAACACATAGCCACAGCTGTTGGGCTCTTAACAGCAGAACCAGTTTCCCCACTTGTTTTCCACCTTGGCTTAAAATCACATCCACTCCTCACCTGAGCTAGAGGCATCTCTCTGAGTCCTTTCCACTGTCAACTGGGACACGGGCTTTGGAGGTGATGCCCTCCATTCAGGATCTCATCTACTTTTAACATGTTCCTGGAGTTTGCTCATAGATTCTGTGGAATCTGTCTCTCCAACAGGGCACATCCATCCCATCTCCAGCTTCCCCCTTTCCCTATACAGGCCACTGTCATCACTCACCTTGACGACTGCAGACGACTCCTAACGATTCGACTGTCAGTCTTTCCCACTTCTAATCTAGCAATGGCTCATTCAACAAATACCTGCTGTGTGCCTACTATGTAAAAAGCATAAATAATAATGTTGGAAAGAAGTGGATGCAACGCGAGGCTCTCAGGGTGTCAAAGGAAAACCTCGTTAAACTTGGCTCTCTAGCTCCATATTTGGTGAGAATAAGGTGGGTGACATTGACATCCACATTCTAAAACAAGTCATTAGAAGGCCAGGTGTGGTGGCTCATACCTGTAATCCCAGCACTTTCAGAGGCTGAGGCGGGCAGATCACTTGAGGTCAGGAGTTCAAGAACAGCCTGGCCAACATGGTGAAACCCCATCTCTGCTAAAAATACAAAAAATTAGCCGGGTATGTTGGTACACACCTGTAATCCCAGCTACTCAGGAGGCTGAGGCAGGAGAATCGCTTGAACCTGGGAGGCGGAGATGCAGTGAGCTGAGATCGCATCACTGCACTCCAGCCTGGGTGACAGAACCAGATTCAGTATCAAAATAAATAAATGAAATGAAATAAAATAAAATAAAACAAGTCATTAGAAAATGAAGCTCCTTGAATTGCTGCTAGCTTGTAGACCAAATGCAACCGTTTTCTTAGAGCTGTGCTATTAAGCAAAGAGAAACAACAGTGGGCTAAGTGAGAAAAAAATAAGGCACTACTTACACATGTGCATCTTGATTTGGTTGCTCATGATGGAGAATCAAGTAAAGGGTCACAATGAAGAATCATGGCATGGAATCAGGTATAAAACCTTTTGTTTGGGGTAATAATTATGCATTCAGTCAAAACTATAACTTGGTTGCAGTCAAAATGATAGGTTTTTATTTTAAAAAGATTCCATTTCCATAATGGTGTTCTCTGGCATCTAAATAATTGCTTTCCTAAAAGATGGGAACTGTTAGGTGGAGCTGAGAAAAGATACTGAGTTCTCCATAAGTTAAGGCCACCAACAACTAAAATTATCTTCTCCAATATCCATTGATTCTATTTAACATTTATCTTTCTGAGTTTTCTTTTACTATAGCGGTTTCCCTTCAACTCCCTCCCTTGCCTTACCCATAAGGCTGCGTGGTCAGAATTCCTATTTTATGGTATGCTATGTTCTGAGACTGGCAGCTCATGAAACCAGGCAGCTGTAAGAAATGACAAATTTCAACAGTACAGCTATAGAGAAGGCAGCTCGGTCAAGGATGTTAAATGGTCAGATGGAAAGCAAATCCCCCAGAGGCCAGGTATTTCTAAAGATCAGCTGTGTGGCATCTTACAGAAAATCCTAGAGCCTGGTATCATTGAGACTGCAGCCCTCCTCTCTCAGTTGAAACGAATGATCAAGACGTGGTACCAGAGCACCACCTGCTGGCTCACAGGTGACAGTGTCTTACACAAAATACTTTCTACAAGATGGTCATTTTGATCTGTTAAGTAAGAATTTGCAAGAGACAGGTGTGAAAACACAGTTGTGGTTTTGCACTTCTGGGGCTGTGTATATGAATACTGTTGGTCAGAGAATATTATACTATCATGGATAGTAGTTTTGTTGTTTTGAATAAAACAATTTTATCTCAATGCTTTCTTGATTTTAACTTAAAAATTTTAACATTTTACTAACATAAAATGTCATGAAGTACTTTGGTAACCCAGTCCATTTAAAAGAAATTAAACTAGTTTTAGATACTAGTGTTTCCTTTATAAGCTAAACCTATACTTGTTTTAATGGTTCCCTCAAATTTTCTCTATTAGGTGCTACCTTTACAAGCAAATGTATAAGTGGTCCTTTATTTACTTGAAGATTCTGAGGTCATAAATCTGACGTAAGTTCCATTTACAAATGATGAGTGCGTTAAACATCTGGGAATGCATAACCAAAGTCTAGCATTACACATGAATATTTTTAAACCTCAAGGAAGTATGATTTCATTCTTTAAATACCAGGCTTCAAAAAAAGTATGATTTCTTCACTTTAAATCATTTCTTTATCCGTAAAGCTTTAATGAAAGTATTATTCCCATTGCTGTCTACTTGGCCTTATCCAATGAACAATAAAAAATTCTTCTTTTGCTTTGTTTGGTAGTTTTTGACTATAGAGGACATCATCTAATGCTTTTCCCTATGTACTTTGCAAGGTCTTAAATGACAATACAAGTACGTTTCCAAAAATGTAACACAGCATTTATTGTGTCTGAACTCAACTCTCTCAGTGCAACCATGAACGTGCCTTGAGAAACTTGGTAAAAGCTTTGAACTTTTTTGGGGCAGAAAGGTATCACAAACTGAAATTAAACCTAGAATTAAGGCTTTTATACAAAATGTATACAAAGATCAAGTTCTGCTCTCTGACACATAGGAAAGAAAGCAAGAGTGGGGAGGGGGAGAGCCTAAACAGATGTGTTTTTGTATCATGCAGTCGACTTCTGCATCTGAAACGTAACTCAGCGAAACAGAAACCCAGCCATGTGACTCCTTTTCTGTAGAGAATAGAGTTGAACACAGTATCCCGAAGTCACAGGGCATGTGCTAGACATTCACTTATTCATATTTCTGCCTTCTTTATAAACAGAAATTAATATTACACTGCTGTGTATGTGTGTCTGCTTTTCTTGAGTACTTTATTATTCTCTCCAGATGCCCACCTGATGTACCTCATTCTCACAATTAAAACAGTTATATGGTTAAACACACAGGAATAGACTTAGTTAGCATGTGGTGTAACAAATGAACTCACATAAAATTTACATGATTTAATTAGCTGATAATGGGTCATTAATTGAGGGACTGAAGAAAGGAAACATATTCTCTTGGACACATAAAGGCGCCATTCAGGAAGAATAGATTTGTTTTTACTCAGCCCTTCTCAGGAGAACCACCTGTGCAAATACGGGGCTCAAGTCAGATGACAAGCAGGGTTTTTATGGGACCAGGAAGATTTTCATCTCCATGACAACCTTCCTGGTTCCAAACAGAGAATGTTATTTTTCTGGACTCCTCATCTCAGCCACACCAGTGGACTCAATTCGGCCCTGACATGCATCTGAACACTCTTTCTTGGACAGCCATTATTAACCTGGGCTGCTTCTGACAAATCATTTGGTTGGTGATTACAGATCTGACATATTTTGTAATGACTCCATTTTCTGAGGGCTTCATTTTCAAGAAGTGAAATAATGCTGTGACTTAACACCTCCCTGCAACCACAAGCCACTTTCCCATCTCCAAAGTATACCACTTTTTATTAAGGAGGTCTTATACCCACATAAGTCACTAGCTTGTATATATAAAGATAACTGCGTTAGTATCATTTAAGTGCATGTATATGATCTAATTTTTCATTATATTAATTAACAACATAATTGATTGACCTGTGGGGAAATACACAAAAAGGCTTCCTGGGAAATTCTCTCCAAGTAAGTATGGAAAAAGCAAAACAACAATGTTTTCATATGAATGTGCTTGTGATAGGAAAAGGATAGTCTCTGTAGCAACTCCAGCAAGTGCCCTTGGCTCTTTGGAAATGATATTCTATCTAGTTTTTTATTTATAGCCAAATCCCGTTCCTAGTCTAAGATAGTGTGACACCCATGGGAGGTGGCTTGGAATTTGAGAGTATGAGATTACGAAGCTGAAGGCAAAGATTTTGCTTTTTAATTAAGAACTAAACTATACTTTTATACACGATGACATTTTATGTAACTGGTTACCCACGAATAATCATTTGGGAGCACTTCTGATATGAAATTACCCTCTGATTGAGCCCTTTGAGAAAACCCCAGTCCTTAAAGATAGACTTTGCTTCAGGATTCAAGGCACAGAATTAAAAGTCATAGAATTTAATTCACCCAACTATCTTTACTCCATCAAGATTTTTGTTATTGTTTTAGCAGAATCAGACTACAAATACACTGGGTAGAAATAATAATGCAAAAATACCTCTCCCAAACAAAAATTGCAAAACATCAATTGGTTATTCAAATTAAAAAAAACATTTTATTTAACAAACCAGTAGACCTATCAGAAAATCAGGATTTTTCAAATTGTCTACCTTGTGGATGATATTCTATTGAATTTGTCAAGCCTTCGAAGCTTGGAACCTTACAATACGAATTACTATTTGTTTAATATACATATTACTAAGTAACTTGTTTATTAAAGGTCATTTATTTTCATCATCAGAAACTTACTGGGTATCAGAAGAGCACACATATTCAAACTGCATCAGTTTATAGGTGATTTGATATGTCCTCTTGTTTTTTTAAAAAAAAACAGCACATAAAGTCAGTGTGAGGAAAAATAAGCTCTATTTAAAAATTTGAGGCAAAAAATAAAATTGCGCTGGATTAGAGACCCCCAACCGACTTTCCAACCAATCCCTCTGTAATAAGCACAGAGGAGGCACTCAACCATCTTTTGGATGGTCAAGTGAACTCATTTAAATATGACAAGTATCCCCCCTAAGACTCCCATGAATCAACACAGCCACAAACCATGGAACTCAGGTACGGGCAGGTAGAGAGCAGGTAGAAAAAAAATAAAGGAAATGGTGTCCACTGTGATCCCCTCCATCCATGTGAAACTCATTATCTCTGCACTGAGATAAAATACACAAGATATCCTCAGAACAATTTCAAGTCTGAATATCAACATAAGCAGAATAACAGGGTGCAGGTGGTACCTCAGGGCTGAGAGAGCACAGGCCCCAGGGCTGGTCAGGTTGATCTTGCAACGTCCGTTTCTGAAGTCGGGCCTGGGCAGGATAACAGTTTTCTGATCATATAATTAATGATTGGCATCTCCCAGTCTCAGGAAAAGGCAAACCATATTCAGGGAATAAATGTGTACAACAAAGATGAAAAGGTTGACATCTTTAATACAAATAAAGCTTTTCTACATCAATAAGAAAAAAGATAAACAGCCCAGCCCAGTAACAGGGAACATAAGCAACTGCACCAAAGAAGAAATACAATTGGCTAATGAAAAAGAAAATAAAATTCAATCCAACTAGATAACAATCAGCTACTCAAATAATCTAGTGCCACTTTTTACTCAACAACATGGCCAAAGTTGAAAATAACCCTGTATTATGGAAGGGGCAGGGAAAAGACTTACTCGAATATGATCTGTGGGAAAGCAATAGTCACAACTTTTCTGGAGAGATATCTAAAATGATGACACAAATATTCCAATTCTAGAAATTTTTCTTAAGGAAAACATAAGTTAATGGAAGGATTTACATATAATTATCTTCAGGCACGGTGGCTCATGCCTGTAACCCCAGTACTTAGGGAGGTTGACGCAGGAGGATGGCTTGAGCCCAGGTTGAGGATGCAATCAGCTATGACTGTGCCACTGTACTCCAGCAGCCCAGGTGACCATGTCTCAAAAAAAAAAAAAACAAAAAAACAAAAAAAACTTCAACCCAGCATTGTTTTTAATGGTAAAAATAACCATAGTAATAGGTGAGGTAAATTGCATCACAGCCAGCACAGGCATAGGTTGAATACTACATAGCCATTAAAAGCCCTGAGGCTGAAAAACTACCTAATGACAAAATATTGTTTGTGGAACACTGCAAAGTAAAAGTAGGCAACAATACACTCAGAAAATGATCTCTTTTTAAAAACATTTATGCACACATATAAGCATAGATTTCATTCTCATTTTTTTTTTTGAGACGAAGTCTCGCTCTTGTCCCCCAAGCTGGAGTGCAATGGTGAGATCTCAGTTCACAGCAACCTCTGCTTCCCGAGTTCAAGTGATTCTCCTCCCTCAGCCTCCCGAGTAGCTGGGATTACAGGCACCTGCCACCATATGCCTGGATAATTTTTGTATTTTTAGTAGAGATGGGGTTTCACCATGTTGGCCAGGCTGGTCTCAACTCCTGACCTCAGGTGATCCGCCCGCCTTGGCCTCCCAAAGTGCTGGGATTACAGGCGTGAGCCACCGTGCCCGGCCATTTCATTCTCATTTTCTACCACCCCCTCATGAAGCACACGTAAGGCATAGGTATTTTTCTGTATTGTGAGATGACAGGTTACTTCTCACTCTGAGCTTTCCAGTGCTTTTAGAAATGAAACTGTATCACTTCTGTAACTTGGAGAAGTTATGGAGTTTGACAATGTCAGGTCTAATTAGAATCAGCCATATGAGAAATCACTACTGGCAGCTGAACACTTGGCAAAGAAAAGATGTATTTAAATGAAGCCTTAGTGGAGATCTAAAACTGCATACTAAAGGAACTCTCAGGTATTGGCAATTGTAAGTCAGACTCGCTAACAAAAATTCTGAGATGCAGCTGGCCGGGCGCAGTGGCTCACGCCTGTAATCCCAGCACTTTGGGAGGACGAGGTGGGCGATCATTTGAGGCCAGGAGTTCCAGACCAGCCTGGCCAACATGGTAAAACCCCGTTTCTACTAAAAATACAAAAATTAGCCAGGCATGGTGGCACGTGCCTGTAAACCCAGCTACTTGGGAGGCTGAGGCACATGAGAATGGCTTGAACTCAGGAGGTGAAGGTTGCAATGAGCCGAGATTGTGCCATTGCACTCCAGCCTGGGTGACTGAGACGGTCTCAAAAAAAAAAGAGATGCAGCTATTACCAGCCCTGTTCCCACTCTTCACAATAGGCTTGGCTATCGACTAGAAATGTACTTCAAAAAACCTCTCTTCCCCGGCACATGCTGGACACCCTTGCTGAGCAGCAGCCACCACCATACAACCCCTCCCATAGTGTTGCCTTGAACAAGGAGCAAGGCCTCAGCAAAGTAATTTTCAAGGAAGACCTCCCTCCACCTTTGGTCCTCAGAGCTTCGTGCATAAACTCAGTCCTGCACTGTTCTTCAGAAATCTGGAAACAGCAGTGAAGACATAAAGGAAAACCCTGGGAGTGAAAGAAGAAAAGTCAACCGAAGTTTCTCCTTGCAGAATTCTGTCATCGTGATGGCCAATTTCACCTTGGAGCAATGCAACAGATGATGGTGCCTCCAACTGGGACCTGCCGTGCAGCTCCTCGGGCAGGAGACTATCAGTGACTTAAGGGACCACTAGGGGGCGATTTAGGAGTGAACAGTTTTCTATCCTTAAGAAAGATAAGCCAGGAAGCCTTAATTTCCAACCTTAAGTCACTGGAGGGTATTAGCTCCCAGGTAAATCCTGTTTTTAATTTTAACTATAAATGTAAACAGGGTCTTTCATTTTAACTTCTCCAGAAATGTAAACGTGGAGAACTTTCTGAAAGAGATATGTGAAAAGGCAGGGTATGGCACACAAAATTGATACATTGGAAAATAAATATTTTTTCTCTCCCCTGTCCACTTCCCTAGCCATAACCAAGGCCCTCTCATACAAAAACCAAAAAAGAAAAATAAACCTCTGGCAACAGAGCCCCTAGTGTCCCTTTGAGGTTCTATTTATATATTATGCCTATGGTTTATCCAGACAGGCCTAAAACGTCTCTGCAGCAGCAAAGACAATTTCCCCCACCCAGGCTCTCAGCATTTATCTGTAAGCCTCACGTGGCAATTAGTTACTTACTGTGTAGTGAGGGCTCTGGTGTTGGTGTTTAACTCTCCTAAGCTGCCTTAAATCCTTTGTGGAAGGAGGCAAGATATAAATAGTAGTTTTTAAAACACACAGGCTTACTCTGTTATTTCCATTTCTTATGTGTTTTGACTTTTCCTTTTTTACTTTCCAAGCCCCCCGTGAGGAAGTGACTTTGCCCTCATAATCACATTGGAAACCAGCCATCTGGAGATGGGATGGTCTCAGGGCAACACGCTCACTAAGCATCTACCATGCAACAGGCACAGGAAAGGGCGGACCCAGGAGGACGCAGACCCATGCGGTCTCAGCCCTTTAGGTGCAGAAATTGGACCTCTGTCTGTTTGTCCTGTAATTTCTCCAACATGTGGGCACTAGGCTGATCATTTCATCTCCCCTGGCTCAGTTTCCTCTTCTATAAAAACAAGGTCATTGAAAGAGATGGTGGCTCATGTCCCTTCTGGATCTCCCAGTGCTATGGCTCAAAGGGGCGTTCCCTCAGTACTCAACTAACGTACTGACAAACTAGGCTTTCAGTCTTGGAGGGCAAGAAGTATCTCTCACCTGAGATCCTGCAGGAAAGTCACAGCAAAATTTAATTTTAAATTGGAGATTCAGGCTTTTAGGCCTTTCCAAGGAAAACAGCCTCTTCTCTTACTGCCTAAGCAACTCCTAGCAGTAACTTTCAACTCTGATTGAATAATCAATTCTTGCCCAAAGACGCCTGAGTAAATACCAAACAGACAACTTCCTGCCTTGAATCCTGGCACGGGCGGGCGGCTCTTCTCTGTGACTTCCCTGAAAACCCACTGCAAATGTTTCCACCTGGGGAAATCAGGGGCTGAGGCCTCCAGCCACCCTTTCCTTGAAAGCAATCGTTGCAAATGTTTTGAAAACAACGGATTATCTTTAAAGAAGCAGTAACAACAGAAAGCCATTTGTTTCTTCTACCATGACTGATTCATCTGTCGTACACTGGAGGTTGGGGGTGGAGGAGGAGAGGCCCTCAAACAAATGTTTCCTATCAGTGGCAAGTATTTTGATAATCAGGAAAATACCAAATAGATTTGCAACCAGCTTGGTAAACTACTTAGCTTGAGGATTCAACAGGATCCCTACTGCACGCTTTCTGCCTCCTGTAGCTAACTCTGTCCATTTTTGTGTCACGTAATTCTTCAGCCAGAACTCAAGCACGACCGTAATAAATATAGTTCATGGGTATGTAAAACTAGTGCTCCTTATGTACAACCTTTTACGTCTGGTCTTGCCTGGAAACTGGTGGCTCCATTTCTAGATCTCTACCCGAGAAGAAACACTAGCACATATACACGCACAAGGAAAAAGGTCTATGAAGGCTCGCAGCACCATTGCTTGGAAAAGCAAAAAAGCTGCAGTCTAAATATCCAGTTATAGGGGAATAAATAAAGCATGTGCTCTATGCCAGTGAAGAGGCCTGAGTCAGAAGGAAATTTAAAAGACCACATAAGCACAAAATACAGAAGGAAAGAAAACATAACATTCATAGAGATCGACTCCTGCAGTGGGGAGGAGGCTGGTTTGGAGCTTGGAGTCAAGGAGGTAGATCCAAGGACAGCTTTAATTATATATGCATAGTCATCTCCCCCTTATCCTCTAGGGATATATTGCCCAGGGCCCAAATGCATGCCTGAAACCACAGATGGTACCTAACCCTACAAACATTTTTTCCCTATACATAAATACATATGATAAAGTTTAATTTATAGATCAGGCACAGTAAGAGATTAACAATAAAATAGACCAATTAAAACAATATACTGTAATAAAAGTTATATATGCATGTGGTCTCTTTCTCAAAATACCTTATGATAGGTACTATACTCATCTATTTTCAGACCATGGTTGACCACAAGCAGCTGAAACCTTGGACAGAGAAACCGTGGCTGGGGGGACCACTGAAATACTCTACAGTTCTGACATGAAAATATGAAGGAAAAATATTCAGATATCGCTTTTAACATATACAAAGGGAGAAAACAAAACACTGAAGGCAGAGGCGGCAAAATGTTACCAGTGGCTACTTTTTTATGGCAGAAATATGGTGACTTCATTTCTCTTTCATGCTTTTCTCTATTTTTCACCCCTCTCTTACCCCCAGTAAAAAACAATTAAGCAAGCCTGTAACCCATCGTGGTCTCTGACACTCTCACCATCAGGGAAAGTGAAGTCTACTGAAGAAGGCTCCCGCCAACCCAAAAACAGAAAGGCCCAAGCAGGAAGCGGGACGACTCTCTTAGCCCTTTGTTGTCCATGCTAGAAAAAAGATCATCCTTTATAAAACGCCTCTACTCCAGCCCTGGGTGTCGGCTGGGCCCCCCGTCTGCATCCTCTAGAGCTGGGTTTCCAGGGGGTGAACGTGGTGGGATTTCACATGTGGTTTTGCTTGTGCATTTGGACATTCTTTGTGGGGCAAGCTTTTCCCTTCTTATTTTCTGACTGCTCCTAGAGAAGATGATTTGCTGCACGCCTCCCCCTACAATCCCAACCCGGAGCCAATGAGGGGAACAGATCTGGGGATGGAGGCAGATAATGGCAGCATTTCTCACTGCCCTAAAGTACCGTCCACCACGCCAGCAGACAAAGCGGGGCATGTTGTAAAAAGCAGTTCTGCTGGCAAACGGCTAACAAATCCATGTATTTGCAACCAAGGACTGGCGGCCGCATCTAAAACAGACACCTCATTGTGCTTGGTTTAAAAGGAGCCCTTGGAAGTAGGGCCTTTCAGGCTGACAGTTAAATCACAACGGCCCATATTTACATGAACGGCTTCCAACCGTCTGGGCGAATACACAATATTTCCATTTCACAGAAACCAGGGATGGTGACAACACAGAAGCCAGAGAGACCAGAAAGTAAACTTCTGATTGGTACGAATGTGTTTAAGCAGCAGAGCCTATACACTTATACACTTGCAGAAGTTAACGCGCTCCTTTGGTAAGCAAGTTTGTTATTGTTGTTAATTCCATGACAAATGTAACAGCTCAGCATACACACACCTAGGTGTCTCAAGAAGGCTTTCTACTCATTTAATCAAGTGTGTTCCTGTGAGTGCTTTCAGTTGCTCTGGCATTAGCAGGGAAGCTGCGTGATTCTTCAGTTCTGATTAAAAGCTAGGAGAGCACAACTTTGTAAGCCCATCACAGCAGCGAACCGTTCCAAATTCAGACAGGAAACACCTGGAACTCTGTGCACCACTAGGAACGCACTTTACATTTCAAAACAGATGATTCTAAATTGTTCATAAATATTTGTCTTGTTTCAATAAAACACTCTTCAACCAGTTTCATAAACCCTTGGTTCAGAAGGCTAAAACGTACACGCTACTAGGCATCCACATTCTTTTAACATTGCATATATTTATGTGGACAATATCCTGGAAACATAAAACCCAATGGCAGGCATTTAATAGCGTCATATGGGAATTTTAGTTGTTTTTTTTCTTTTTTTTTTCCGGGGAGAAGGACAACTCTCTCCTTCCATAAATAAAGCCCAAATTGCACTTGTTGTCTAAAAAAAGTGAACTGAAATATAAATTAAACTCAAGTTTCTTTAACTTGCCTGTTATAGTAAATAAGACCCAGACAAACCCTTCTGGAGGCTTAGAAAAGCTTTAATATAATTGATTATTAAACCTCCAGCTATAGGATAGAGTCATACTGAAGGCCTTGTAGCCAAACATTCCCTCATTCTTGAACATGATGAGCCCTTTAAAATGTTTTTAAAAGCTGTTTTTAAAAAGACACTAAAATGAAAAGTAGCTTAGTTTATAGGTTGAAAATTAATCTTTAAAAGCCATTTCTGTACATTTTTAGTATTGTCCAGATTTTCTACCATACACATGGACTTGTATTGCTTTCATTTATTTTAATGTATACTTTGATCATTAGAAAAAATGAAAATGATTTACACACACACACAAAGAAGAAAGAATCGGGTACCAAGGGCCAGTTCCCAGGTGCTGAGATAGGGTGTTGCGGAGGCTGCAGCCACAGCCTCAAACCCAAGCCAGCCTGCCAGGGCACTCTGAATCTAGCCCACGGACCTCCAAAGTCGAAAACAGGGCAACCCAGGCTTCCCAAGAGTTAAATGGGAAAGTGGGTCACTTCGAAGTACTGTCCAAAGATTGCTACGAGTGAGCTGCTGTTCATAGTCATCGTCTTCTTTTTAAACAGTTATAATTAAAAATTCATCAACTGACCATAAACTTCTTACTCTGGTCTAACTAAGAAACATCAGCACACTGCTCCCGGTAAATGAAGATTAGGCATGGCGGTGATAAGAGACTGCATAGAGGCTCTTCGGAACCATAAAAGATGGTCGTTAGAGGTAATGATAAACTAATTCTGGATACATCAGGCAGCAGATGCTCAGCCCTAGGTTAATGATTAACGTGCTGGACCCTGGCCAGTTAAGAAGTTGTTTAACCAATGCCCCTGAGAAGCAAACTTGTTAACATTCACTTGTTCCTAACTACAGCCACTGTTTTCTCTCTCTACACTAACTACACTGCAAGTAAGTTTTCATCTTTCCCTGCCTCAAACCAAGAATTTAACATGGAGGTCCAGAACTAAGACCTAAGCATAAAGCTCATTCAATTTTCTCAGACTTTTGAACCTTTACTGAACCAACCAAAGAAATATTACTCTCCCACTAGACTAAAATATTCTGACCCACAGTTGAATGGTAATTGGTAATAGCTTAGTTTGTTGTTCTTGGATGAATTTTTATTGCACCCGAAAAGAGACACCCACAAAATTTAAGTGCATTGATGAAATTATACTTCAGAGATGACAAAATAGAAGAATCTTATTTGTTTCTATATACAAGGTTTCTATGTCCTTCTAGTTGGTACATTCACAGATAGGATATTTAAGGGTCAGGCTGCCACTGTCAAACAAAATAAAACCATTTAGAGACATTTAATCTAATTTTAGGAACAATGCATTTTAGGAAGGTGATTAGTAATGCAAATGTAAAATTACCCTTGGTTGGGATAAGCAAGACAAACAAAGGATACTTAGAAGTACTTGTGTTGTCTTCAGGATTAGGGAATGCTGCTTTGATCATGTTGAAAGGAAGATAGAAAAAAGATTGAAAAGCTGGGTCTCTAAGGTAGGAGGTCTGGGATCTGTTTATTCTACTTAGTTCAAGTTGGAATTGATGCTGTTAAACATGTGAGATGACCCTAAACTACTCTTCAGGGTTAAGGCAGGTCTGAGGCAGATGGATGAATTACGCAAATGGACTATAATGTGTAATCTGTGCATGTGTGTAACAATAAAATACAGTTCTATCAAGATTTTGGTTGAGAAAAGTTAATGATAAAAGGGCTGGGCTGGAAGACTGGGTCGAGGAAGGAGAGTGATACTTAGGGTTTACTCACATCTTATCTAGGCAACTTTTCTGGTCTTGATTTGGGCTTTAAGGGCCATGAATACACAAATATACTTAAATTCCTACATTTCCAGTATATATGATGTAAGAAATTTCAACCAATTGGTCTGAATCTTCTATATTTTGCACTTCTCATCAGGCACCTAGCCAACGGTTGAGGGCTGATCTTCTGACTTGGCTTTCCTGGTTGACCAGTGCTGGTTCTATAACCCAATTAACTATCAGAATTCCAAGCAATGAACTAAGCTTGCTGGTTTCATCCTGGCAGAAATGAACACAATCTTGAGCTAAAATTGTACAGTTGTAGTCCAACAATAATGGCAGATACAAAGGCTATGTTCCCGGTACAAAGACAAGCATTTCACCTGCATAATCTCATTTAGCACTTAACAATTCTGTACCGGAGATATTATCTATAAACCCATTTTACAGACGAGTAAACAAACTCAGCTAGATTACAAAGTGAGAAAGCGATGGAAGCCACATCTAAATCTAGCATACCTGATTGTAAAACAAAATCCCCCTATACTGTTTTCTAACATGAATAACCACTCCACCCCAGTACTTTACCCCTACAGATTCATTGGTGGTATAGAAACAAAGGACTCCAAGGACACAAAAGCCTAGGTGTCCTTTTCTGACTAGGTAATTGGGTGAGAGCCTCCTTTTCCACCAACAATCAGCCCTTTTTTTTTTTTTTTTTTTTTTGAGATGGAGTCTTGCTCTCACCCAGGCTGGAATGCAGTGGCGCGATCTCGGCTCACTGCAAGCTCCGCCTCCCAGGTTTACACCATTCTCCTGCCTCAGCCTCCGAAGTAGCTGGGACTACAGGCACCCGCTACCATGCCCAGCTAATTTTTTTGTATTTTTAATAGAGATGGGGTTTCACCATGTTAGCCAGGATGGTCTCGATCTCCTGACCTCGTGATCTGCCTGCCTCGGCCTCCCAAAGTGCTGGGATTACAGGCGTGAGCCACCACGCCCGGCCCAATCAGCCCTTCTTAAACACCTAGAAATAAATGTGCTTCTCTCCCAACTCCAAAAAGTTCCTATAAGGAAATGACCTCATCCACCCGTTACAGAATCTCTATTTCAAATTTAACTCCACCCAATATTTTTTAAAGATCGATTTCCACAGAAAAGCAGAGCCCAGGATATATCTAGATCATACTCTGGAAATCAGCTCTCAGCTCCATTTTTTCCTTTCCAAAAGCATAGCTCTGGACAATTATATTGCAGAGAGGAAATCAAGACTTAAAGCTAAATTTAGTTATCTATAACTGTTAGAACCATTTTCACATGGATTTCAATCAAATTTTAATTTAAGTAAATAATGCATGGGTGAAAAGTCCTTTTAAAAAGTACAAAATAAAAGCAGGACAAACCAGGCCTATGCACATACCTAAAACAACAGTCCCCAAAGTTTAACTACTGCTCATTTTTAATGTATCCTTTCAGATAAAAGCATATACCAGTATAGAGATCTCATTTTAAGAAATAACTTCTATAAATGCTTGCCACAAAGTTTGTAGATCTGTCTAACTGAGCGTTTGGAGCTCTACTTCATTCTTTTTAATAGGGCTTCCTGCCGTATAGATGTATTGTTATTTAACATTTATCTTGTTTCTAATTTGGGAGGAAGGGATATATTGTTGTGGTGGGTTTCCATTGCATAATGTTACAAGTAGCATTCTTGTGTGCATGTATGTGTGCCTGTATACATACATATCTTGGCACACTCTTTTGTGATTACATCCACAGTATAGATTATGGAATTTATAAGCCAGACAGAATGAACATTTTAATTTTAATAGATATTGCCAAAAGCTGCACCAATGTAAACTCTCACCAACAGTTTATGAGTGCTTATGTCAACACACCCATCAATGTTGCCTATTATCCAACTGTTACATCTCTGCCAACATCATTTGGTTGTGTATTTTCTTAATTATGAATGAAGTTGAGTACCTTTTCACATGTCTATTGATTATATTCTTATCTTGCTTTTCTATTGGGTAGTGTGTCTTTTTCCTTGACATGTAGAAACACGTTAAGAAAGGAGAAAATTAGCCCTTCATCTCCTCTTGCTAGTTTGTTATGTTTTTTGCCATACATAAGTTTTAAATTTTTATATAGTCAAATGACCAATCTTTTTCTTTATGGTTTCTGGGTAGGCTGGATAAAAAATAGATTTAGATTCAGACCTATAAATAGGCATCCATGAAAAATGTAAAAACAACCCTGGCCAAAATTATCCTCAAGTTCTGACATTTAAAACAAACACTCCAGAAAACGTTTACACTTGTTACAGGACACGGAGTCCTGGACACCTGCCCAAACCTTCTACAGATCCATTTATGGTCTTGGTCTGGTGCTGGCTGTGCTCATGTGCCTATGGAATGGGCTATGAGGAGCCTTTCGGGTCAAAGCAAACACTACACACAATGGAAAATGAGGACAAGTTGCTGTGCTCGGTTATCACAGCCATGCTGAAGTTTTGGTGGCCCCTCCTCAATCCCAGTAACCCAAATTCCATCACGAAAGGGAGAATACAAAGTGCTTATTTCACTTCCCATCTGGGGCATGTTGAAACAGTCCAAACATCTGAAAGGAGGTGTGTGTGTGCGTTTACCCTATCACAGGTGGCCACATGTGGAAGGATAGAAAGGTGATACAGTGGAAAGATCCACATTTAAATTCTGGATCCTCCATTTCCTAGCCCTGTGACTTTGGCTAACTTAGTTAACCTGTATAATTTATATGTGTGACTAACTTTTGGCAAGTTATAATACAATTCAGAACAAATCACAGTTTCTTTTAAATTTATAATCCTAGTTTGCCAAGGATTTTCCAAACAGGTCTTCTTTCTATGTGAAAAAAGCTATGCTGGTCATGTTTCTATGTGAAAGAGCTCTCAACAAAACATTGCATAATTATCGAGAGCTCTTTGGCACCTAAAATTTACTTATAGAAGAACAGATACTAGGTAAACAAAAGCCCTCAAAGTTAACGTCACAGCGAGGCTTAGGCCCCAAAGGATGCTAAGAGATTCTTTAAAAGGCTGAATGAAATGTACACAAGAGAATATTCTCAAAATGGCAGGGAGGAAACTACAGGATATTTGTAGAATCTATAGCAATGGCAATCAAAATATTCAGTATGCCATATAATTGAATCCATATCTGTAATTTACACATCTGCTTTGAAAATGGCTTCACATTTCACAAGCAAGACGATGTAGAGTTTCTGTAATGTATAATACTTTGGTAATATGTTTTGTGCACCAAAATATTTTCCAGCATCAAAATTATAAATGGTTAAGACAAAAACAGCTGACCTCACATGCACGACTAAAATAAGTTTCTTTGATGTGGGATACCATACAGATAGGGCAATTATAACTGTTATGTCTTTCAGGTCAAAGCAAAGAATACACATAACTGGAGATGAAAAGAGTATGGCCATCCTCAAAAAATTAAAAATAGAATTACCATATGATTCAGCAACTCCACTTGTGGGTATATACCCAAAAGAATGGAAAGCAGGGTCTTGAAGAGATATTTGGATGCCCACATTCATAGTGGTGTTATTCACAATAGCCAAAAGGTAGAAGCAACCCAAGTGTTCATTTAGTGGATGAATGGATAAACAAAATGTGATATACAATGCCATATTATTTAGCCTTAAAAAGAAAGGAAATTCTGATACATGCTATGACATGGAAGAATGTTGAGGACCTTACACTAAGTGAAATTAGCCAGTCATAAAAAGACAAATCCTGTATGATACCACCTATGTGGTATCTAGAGTAGTCAAATTCAAGAGGCAGGAAGGAGAATGGTGGTTGCCATGGGCTGGGGGAAGGAAAAATAGGTAATTATCGTTTAACAGATACAGTTTTGGTTTGAGATGATAAAAAAGTTCAGGAGATGGATAATGGTAAAGGTTGTACAATAACATGAATGCACTTAATGCCACTGAATTGTACACTTAAAAATGGTTAAGGTGGTACATTTTATGTTATTTATATTTTACCACAATAATTTTTTTAAAACTTAAAAAAAAAGACTGAGGTATACCTACTTTCTCAGTTTGCTTGGGCTGCTATAACATAATACCATAGTCTGGGTGGCTTATAAACAACAGACATTTATTTTCATAGTTCCAGAGGCTGAGAACTCCAAGATCAAGGCACTGGAAGATTTAGTGTCTAGTGAGGGCCTGCTTCCCAGTTCATAGATGTTGCCTTCCGTCTTCACATGGTGGAAAGGACTATGCAATTCTCTGGGGCCTCCTTTATAATCACTAATCCCATTCATGAAGGCAGAGGTGTCATGGCCTAATCACCTCCCCCAATCCCCACGTCCTAACACCATCACCGTGAAGATGGGGTTTCAACCCATGAATGTTGTGGGAGCACAAATATCCAGCCCATAGCACCTATGTAGTGAGGTTCCCTGAGGAGACAAGTGACGTACTTAAGATGAATCAGGTCTAATTGCAAAGTGGGTGCAGAGGGCAGAATGTGCTTGGAAGAGGTGCAGTGAGTTCAGGAAACTTCCCTCCACAGCCACAGCCCTCATGAGACCACCTCGAAGGGAGAGACCCCAACCTCACTTATCTACTTCACTCTGATCTCCTCCCACTGGCCACACCCACCTGGAAGCCAGGGAGCACTGGCTGATGGAGTCCCTTGGGCAGAAAGTAGGGTGGGAAAGAGTGGCTGTGAAGAGCAAGGAGACTGAGCAAAATCTATACACGCCAGCGTAAAGAGGAGGCCAGAGCATACAGCTGAATGAAAAACAGCAAGCTGTGGAACAGGAGGTTCAGTATGATGTGATTCATGGTAAGAGGAGGGGGAAATGCCAGCACGAAGGCTATTTTCTACCAGCAAACTCAGAATAGAGTCTAAAAGCGATATATACCAAACTGACAAGAGTGTTAACTTCTGGGGCAAAGATGAGAGAAAGAAGGAACTTTAGACTAATCTGTACTGTTTCAAGTTCTTCCACAAGGAATGTGTTTATGGGCTTCATGGAGAGTTCAATATTAATTTAAAAAGAGTAAGTGGGATCATTAATTGTTTCTATAAAATGGAGATACCCCCAGCTTTTGCAAAATTGGGTTAGGCAGCCCATGTCCAGGCATGTCCTGGAAGCCCTAAGTGAGTAAAGAGTCGTAACAGAAAAAACATCAAGTTACGTCAAGCTATGGCTATGCCAGTGGTTCTCAAAGTGTGTTCCCCAGAACAGTAGCATCACATCACCCGGGAATGTGATAGGAGGGCAGATTTTTATACCTGACCCCAGAACTACTGACTCAGAAACCTTGGGATTATCTACCAGGGAGAGGGTCATATGTGATGTGGTGGGACAGGAGTCTAAGGCCAAGCACTGCTAGACCTTACTGGCCAGAGCTGCCATAGACAGCAGTACAGGCTGTACAATGCTCCTGCAGCTGTAGGAGGTGTTATTCACATAGACTATGATGAGAATGGCGTTCCTTGGGGGTGGCGCACTGCAAAACCTGCATCCCATCCATACCTGTCAGCCCTTAAAGCAGGGGGGAACACAGAAGAGTTTTAAGCAGGCAGATGACATCATCAGGTTTGCATATGGAAAGACACCCCTGGCACTCTGCTTAGAGAAGAAAGAGGTAACAGAGAGCTATATCAAACTGCTTTGTCTCCTATATATCTTTGGGGCTGCTAATTAGCTATATCAAGAGTAAACTAGGCCAGGTGTGGTGGCTCACACCTGTAATACCAGCACTTTTGGGAGGCTGAGGTGGGAGGGCTGTTTGATCCCAGAAGTTCAAGAGGAGCCTGGGCAACATGGTGAGGCCTTGTCTCTATTAAAAATGAAAAAATAGCTGGGTGTGGTGGCGTGTGCCTGTGGTCCCAGCAACTTTGGAGGCTGAGGCAGGAGGAACGCTTGAGCCCGGGAAGCTAAGGCTGCAGTGAGCCGAGATCCCACCACTGCATGTTCCCGCCCAGCCAACAGAGCAAGACCCTGTGACAACGACAACAACAACAACAAGAGTGAACTAAAGTAAAAGACTCTTTGAATAGAATCCAAGTTGTCTTTACAGCCCAACCCTGAATCAAGGCCTCCAGATACTTGGGTCTCAATTAGCAGAGGGGCGGGAAAAGGAAAAAGGAGGACAATGAAAGACTCCCAGGTCCTACATTACATGCGTGTCTGTACACACACAAGCACACACACACAGAAAAAAATGAAAGCAGGGGTAGGGGGAGCAGGGGCAAGCAGGTGTTGATAAGGAAGAGGTGAGCCCCTTGGGGAGGTAGTTTGAGGAAGAAACCTGAAGCTAGGGGGCAGGTCTCACTGGCAATACTGATTCAAAAGCCATCAGCACCCAGATGGTAATACAACTACAAGCAAGGATAACATCACTCAAGGTGCGTGTAAACACTGGAAAATCAGTGGGCTGAGGCCAGAGCCCCGGAGAACCTCTACATTTAAGAACAGGAGCTAGTGAAGGAATGTGTTGCACATGGCTTGGAAGCTAGGCAGCTGGAAAAGGCCAGCAGGAATACAACCAAAGACTCTTGGCATGGCAGAGCCCAGGATTTAATTCAAGTGAGACGTGTCAGCAAGAGAAAAAGGAGGAGACAGGCACGGGGAAGTGCTGCCAATGTATGTTTTCCCTCAGGAGCACTGGGTTGCCGGTGGACTCGTTAAACGGGTTGTTGTGCGTGCCACTCCGTCAGCACCCCTCCTCTGCTCAGCCTGCAGAAAGACTTCACGCTCTGGACATCTTTACTGGGGCCAGTGCACAGCCCTCCAATTCCCCATTAACTCTCATTCTGAGGAGCTGAGATCAGCTGAGGAAAGCTTTGCCAAGCTTCAGAGGATCAAAATGTGCATTTGGGAGGGGTAGGCGGGCAGATGGCGCCAGATTAAAAAGATGCTGGGCTCGCTCGCTGCTCTGAGGTCTCTGAATTGCCTCCAGCACAGCAGTGTGCAATCAGGAACTCCATCACACGACCTAAAAACTTGTTGAGTCTCTCCAAAAAGACTTAGCCTGCTACAAGATACTGAGGGGGATTGAGATGCACTTCCAGAGGGCCTGAGATTCTAGAAGCCCAGCATCCACCAGATGCCTGCTGAAGTCGATGGCTGCTGCACACTCTGCTGTAAGTCTAAAGCATTTTGCATACTGCGTTGTAATTATTCTTCTTATTATTATTATTTTACCTCTTCCACCCTGCAACGCCTCTCCAAGTAGACTACAAAACCTCCAGAAAAACATTTGTTTTGTCTCTGTATCTTTCCTGCCCAAATTGGGGCTGTCATGCAGTAGCAGGCCCTCAGAAATGTTTGTTAAATACCTGTTGTCATGGGGAAGGACGAGTTGTAGAAGCAGTGGTTGCATGCACCTCTCCCTCTCTGTTTTGTCAAAGTTCTAAGACTTCAGTGTAGTGAGCAGGGTTGACAAACTACAGCCTGTGAGCCAAATCTGGCCCATGGGCTGTTTCTGTAAGGCTTATAAGCTTTTCAGTGGTTGAAATAATAATATTTTATGACATGTGAAAATTATATGAAATTCAAATTTCACTGTCCATAAATCAAGTTTTATTGAAACACAGCCACACCCATTCACTTTCATCTTGTCGACGGCCGCTTTCATGC
Organism: Homo sapiens; assembly: GCF_000001405.40. Taxonomy (NCBI): domain Eukaryota; kingdom Metazoa; phylum Chordata; class Mammalia; order Primates; family Hominidae; genus Homo; species Homo sapiens. The sequence goes on from NC_000003.12 coordinate 73,522,140, forward strand.
CACGTCAGTAGTGCTGAGTAGTTCCGACAGAGACAGCATAACCCACAAAGTCTAAAATATTGACTCTCTGGCCCTTTAAAGAAGTATGCTGGCCCCTGATCGACAGTAACACTAAATGTGGAGATACACATGAGATAGACATCCAGATATGATCTTCCTCACAAGTGGAATTCTTTTTAATTTAACTTTTAGACTTTCCAGTTACTGACATAAAAATGAAAGACATTTTAACTTACCTTGGGGCCATAAGCATCAAAACATGCTAGTGCTATAAAGTGAGCAGGCTGTGTGCTCCTCAGAAGGGTCTGCATTTATCGCCATGCTATGACAATGTCTAACAAGTTACTTACATTCTAGGCCTTAGTCTCCTTGGCAGTAAAAGGGGCACAATGGTAAGACCTCAGAAATTTGATGTGAGAATCAAATACAGTGAGTTTTTACCTCTGAACCTGGTATCTGACCTCTTGGAAGCACCTGATAAATGGAACTGCAATAATTTTCCTCTTTGTTTTTGGAGGAATATTTCACTTTACAGAAGATTTGCTCTTGGCCTCCCAAAGTGCTGGGATTATAGGCATAAGCCACCATGCCTGGCCAAAACGAAGAGATATTTGAAAGAGAGAAACAATTCTCATTATTTAGAGATGACATAATTTGTTCTTCAATAGTTGTACCTAATATGAATTACTTGTATCAGTCTGCAGTTTTTATATTTTATGACAAAATTGGAATTACTACTCTAGGACATAATTGCTAACTATGAATTCACTCAAACCTCAATGATGTGTGTCTAAATGAAAAGTTATGATAGCACAGGATGTTCTAGCCAATGAAATATGACAAGAAAAACACAATAAAAGGAAGAGTTTTTTTTGTTTGTTTGTTTGTTTGTTTGTTTTTTGAGAAGAAGTCTCGCTCTGTCGCCCAGGCTGGAGTGCAGTGGCACAGTCTTGGCTCACTGCAACCTCCACCTCCCTGGTTGAAGTGATCCTCCTGCCTCGGCCTCCTGAGTAGCTGCTCAGGACTACAGGCATGCATCACCATGCCCAGCTAATTTTTGTACTTTTGGTAGAGACGGGATTTCACTATGTTGGCCAGACTGGTCTAAAATTCCTGACCTCAGGTGATCCACTCACCTTGGGCTCCCAAAGTGCTGGGATTATAGGCATAAGCCACCATACGGGGCCAAAAGGAAGAGATATTTGAAAGAGAGAAACAATTCTCATTATTTAGAGATTACATAATGGACTACCTTAAGAAACTTTAGAACAAATTATAATACCATTTATTTAAATAGTCACAAATTGCAATAGCTATATATATATATGTACACATTAATATATGTACATACATACAAATACACACATTTATGCATATAAAATATCAAACAACAAAAGCACTGTATAGGGATTCTTTGCAGGAAGAAAAAAACCCAAAGTTTTACTGAGGGTCATAAGGAATACTATGAAAAAATATTTACTACAGCACTTCAAATAAGTGAAAAATATGATCACAAAAACAGAACAGTTGGTTAAAGGTCCGAAGAAAAATATGGTGGCACAACTACAGGGATGGAATGGCTTCATAAGACAAGCATCAACCTCAGTGTTACACAGCAGGAGAGCACACAGCCCTCCCATTGCTCAGATGTCCTTGGCCACTGCTTTCTGGAAGCTGCACTCATTTAGGAATGAACAGATGCAACTGGCAGAAAGGAGGCAGAAGGCTTTTCAAAAAGCAGCAGGAAATGAACAAGTAGAGAACGCATTCACTGAGACCCTGGCAAAGGATCCAAAGCATTCTGTAAAAGGAGTTCAGAGCCTGGGAGTCAATTTATTGGATTTGCAAAAATCAGTAATGGATAGTTTCAGTGAAATGAAATATTTCTTACAAGTAGATATCACAGGGCATGCTTACACTTCCCCGGGACCTCTCCTTTCACAAGGCACTATATTCAGGGTATTTGGGAAACATTTGGACTAACAGGCTGACTTTTACTATTTAATATAGAATCCTGCAAAAAAGAAGGCATGGCAAGATACCATCATCCTTTTTAATAGTCAAGGCTGTAAACATATCAAAGAATTTTGGAGACCAGAAGACAATCTAGCTGCAAACTTAAAGTTGAGGCTTAATTTATGTAAAGCAAGAAAATACAAAACTCCTTTCTCTTAAAGATAGTCAAAGTAAGTCTTTAAAAAAGCTTAAAAACCACAGTGATGCATATTACCACCAGCTATCAAGGCAATCACAGGGAGATTTCAAGTTCCCTCTGAGTAACAAATTAGCCTCTCTGAACAGATCAAGTTCGGAAAAAACAGTGAACTCTGAAAGCACAGGCTTTGACTGCTGTGGGCCACTTATCACAGGCTGCCTGTACTGCAAGTGGCACGGTCAGGTGTGCCCTTGGAGATCAGAAAGCCTTTTTATTAAAAATGAAAGAGAATTTGGTTTTCTCTTGCTGCTTTGATGTGAGATCAACAATTTCTAATAAAAGAGATTTTTTTTTTCCTAGACGGGGCTACAGACCAGAAATCTATGTTTAAAAGGCTGTGTTTTCATTGGCAAGCTCCAGTTTAATTAATTTCGATTTATAAAGGAGTAGCAAAGGTTAGTGACATTGTTACCCAGGCATGCAAATTAAAAGTGAACATAATCCTAGTTTAAATTTTAGGAAAATATTCAGTGTGTCTCAGGAGGTGAAACATACCACAGAAGGGCAGGAGATCTATGATTTTCATATATATACGATCTTTCATCTTTCATATACATATGAAAATCACAGATCCGATTCATATATATGAAAATCATAGATCTGATTCATATATATGAAAATCACAGATATAAGAAATTATAAATTTATAATAAAATATATATGTATTTATATAAATAAAATTATATATATTATCTATATAATTTCTTTTTTAAATATTGCCTTCTATGCCAGAGTCAAAAGGTCTGGGTAGGTACTAGCAGAAAGGTTTTTCTTGAAATCTTTTCTGGTGGTTTCCATGATGTGGCCCTGTTAAAAGCAGAGCAAATAAATTAACATTCATTAATTTTATGCATAGCATGTTTCAGCATTTATAATAACTGCTTTTTTGAGGGCTTCCTTGCTCATAGTTATAATTTTGTTAAGTCATGTATCTATGTATACGTGTGTGTATATATATGCAGAGGAATGCCATGTTTTATGAACACATGTCAGTTTCTAAGGAATCAAGCCCCATAAAAGACCACTGAGGAAATATCTGGAGGCAGAACTTCAAAACTTCTCCTTCCTTCTGTTTTCCCACATTTGGGAGAAGGGAGAGGATTTGTGAAATGTGGCCACTTATAGGCATTCAAGCAAAGGCTGAATCCCTTTCATGTTCATAAATTTGAACATATGTAACAAAATAGAGAAGGCACTAAATCCGGAGAGAGAGCTGCAGAGTTCTTCTTCCAACTGATTGGGAATACGTTTTAAGCTCAAAGTATTCTTTACCAATAACCACATGCACTCATGATGAGCAGCTACTTTAGTTGAGCCCCTGGTATCCAGATTTTTCCCATGTCTAGGCTCACACATGGTGGTCCCCCTGCCAAGGCGAGGCATGCTGCTCCCTACTTGTTGCCTCCTGCATTTTCTGGGTCTCACCCCCTCAGCGAGGGCTTCCTGCATTCGCCAGTCTCACGTGGTTTTCCTTGCTTGTTTCTCTCATCTCACTCTGTCCCTTTCCTTCATGGCACTTAGCTGTGCATTGTCTTTATGTTTGCTTCGCTTCTGTCCTTTCCCCACTGGACTGTGAGCTTCCTGAGGGCAGGGACCCTCTGTGTCAGTAGATGGAGCCACACATTAGGATGTCATGGTGAAAACACAGGCTTTAGAGGTAGATTGTCGGCTCCCAATCTCAGCTCTGCTGTGCACGGACTACGTGATCTCGGCAAGTTACTGAACCTCTCTGGGCGGTAGTTTCTTCATCTTAAGTAGATGTAGGGTTAATATTACCTACCTCATGTTTTTTCTGTGCTTGAAATCAAAAGTGATGATGCAAGGAAAGCACTTAATACGCTCTCTGGTACATAATAAGCCCTTTGTAAAATGAGCACTATTATTATTCACCACTGTATATCTAATGCCATCCACAGCCTCAATACTAAAAGATGCTGAATAAGGAGTCATCAAATCAATTTACTTGTATATTCATAATTCAATCAGAGTATTCTCATACCAACCCATCAAGTATCCCCATACCCATTCCACAGATAAGGAACTAGAGAGCTGGAGACTTCTGTTTTCTAAGCCCCAGCCTTGCCAGCACCTCACCAGCATAAACTCAGAACATTATCTCCATTACATCTCTCCTGTCAGGTTTTCACATCAACTTTGCATCCAGGAGCAGTCAGAAACAAAGTACAATATATCTATGAAGAACAAATCTGTAGCCATGAAACAAAAGCTTATTCAATTATGAACTGAGGACATACAGACAGAGCAATGTGGAGAATGTGCATATTCTCTAGTCCTGTCCCATAAACTTTGTCTTAGTTGTTGTTGTTGTTGCTGTTGTTGTTATTGTTTTTTCCAGACAGTCTCAGTCTGTTGCGCAGGCTGGAGTGCAGTGGGGTGATCTCGACTCACTGCAACCTCCACTGCCTGGGCTCAAGCAAGTTTCCTGGCTCAGCCTCCCAAGTAGCTGGGACTATAGGCGTCTGCCACCATGCCCAGCTACTTTTTTTTTTTGAGTTGGAGTTTTGTTCTTGTCGCCCAGGGTGGAGTGCAATGGCATGATCTTGGCTCACTGCAACCTCCGCCTCCTGGGTTCAAGCGGCTCTCCTGCCTCAGCCTCCTGGGTAGCTGGGATTACAGGTGCTCATCACCACCCCCAGCTAATTTTTTTTATTTTTAGTAGGTGTTGCCATGCTGGCCAGGCTGGACTCAAACTCCTGACCTCAGTCCACCTGCCTTGGCCTCCCAAAGTGCTGGGATTACAGGCGTGAGTCACTGCACCTGGCTGAGTCTTAGTTTTTACCTTCTGTGAAATGGGGACAATATAACCTTCCTGATGCACAGTGGTAAGGATGAAAGGAGACAATATATGGAGAAGGCCTCATGCAGGGACTGGCATCAAGTAGGTGCTCAGTAAAAGGCAGCTTCCATTACTCACTTCCTATCCTCCGCATAGGATATGAACCAGTAAATGGTTTTTAAGGCCACAAGTTATACTTCATCCTAGATCTTATCAATTCAATATTGAAAATCCATTAGAAACGGATATCTTGCATTCATAGTAAAGGGCAGCTAGAATGCTGAGGTCCTCGAATGTGCAGTAGATATTAGGTTAGGCGATTCTTTCTAAAAGTTTCTAATTTCTCTTATGATAAAATATGAAGAATCAAAAATTCCATCTGTACTAGAATCTGACTGTCAGCCTCGCTATTTCCAATTCCTAAATCTAGGACATGAAAAAAAAAATCATACATTCTGAGCTGTTCTCAGAATTCTCAGGTCTATGAATAAAGTTGTTTCAGGGAAAGTGGCTGTCTTTCTTTGAGCTATTTAAAGTGGTCTAACTAATTACGAAAAGAATTTGCCCACTCCTAATAGTAGAAAGACTCATTTTCCAGAACTCTGGTTAATGTGGGCTCGGCATTGTTGAAAGAAGGACAAGAGGAATCCTAAATAATCACTTTTCATGTCATGTCCCAGACCACCCAGAAAGACCACTTGACCTAAAAACCAAAGGATGGAAATAAACCCCTATTTACTCGCATGAGGCAAAACACGAACTACAGAGAACTCTTATCCCACGATGAGCAGATGTTCATTGGCTCAACTCATGAGGTCTCTCTGTGCTGGCATAGCCAAAAGCCCACCGGCTTATGTCCACACACAATAAACCTGGACAAATCGCTCTTGCTGACACTCAGAAGTATGGAGGTCAAGGTCAAAAAGCAGTGGGCTCAGAGGTCAAGGGCTGCTCCCCCAGACTAAAGAGATTGAGGGCTGGATGGCTCCTTATTACTGACGTGGTTGCCTTGGATCTCTCCTCCTTAGACCTGCCTGGGATGCAGGTATTTTGAGCAGCTGGCTTTAAAAACCTTCCAACGCCCAGTCCTGCTTTAACTGGTGTGCCAGGAAGGCTGACTATCTGTTATAACCTTACCGAAGGCCAGGGGAAGCTTCCTAAGGAGTCTCGAGGCTACCAGTGTAGAGAAAAACATTTCAATGGGAAGAATGGCCAATGGAGGCAAGCAATCATCAATAAAGATTAGACAAATCACGCAATATACAGGGGAGCACTGTTAAAGTTAGAGTAATGTTACCAAAAGAAAACACGGCCCAGTTTTAGCCCAAGAGAGAGTCTTGGGGATAAACTGTCAAGAATAAACAACTGACTCAGAAAGAGAATGATCTTTTATATGCGATTACGAAGTAATAAGGATGATCTCAAATTCTGCTAATTTAAACACTAAATGCTATTCTTCACTCTATTTCCAGCTGGATTTCAATTATATTCACAGCCATGTTGTGAATATAATAGAGCCATGTTGTGAAGATCAAAAAAAGTAACAAAACGAACCATTTTTAAAGGATGGTGAAACAGCATGAACTAGATTGCGGGACTGGATATTGGTAAAGAATTTCTTGTTGTACACAATCTGGCATTGAGGTCTGTGCATCAATGCTTTTTGGAGTGGAGGAAGAAGGGGAATGGCAAGGTAAAGTGGACACATTTAGTCCTAAGAATCTTTTGTGGGAAACACACACACACACACACACACACACACACACGCACATGCACACACAGAGCAAACCTTCTAAACAAAAAAATCACTAACCCAAAGGTTAGTGGGGATAAAACTTGCTGATCACCCTGTTTTCCAAAATCACTCTGACAAGGTTAAAGTATACTTACAGATATTTCAGGGGTTTTTGTTTTGTGTCTCTGTGGCTAGGGCTGTGGAGCAAGGATTTGGAACCGGGGTCCATGTGGGCAAATAAAAAGTAAGCACCTCTGCTGGAAAAAATCTTACGGTCTGTCTTTCTACATAAAGGTTTTGTTGATTATCTTCTAAACACGGACTAAGAAATCTCAAGAGCTTGGTGGTCTAGCTTCTTGTTTAGTAGCTGTGGGGAAAGAGACCGTGCAAGTGTTTGGTGCCGGCACCCTTGCCACTGGCCATGTGCTTGTCCCAAGGCATTAAGACAAAACTGTACCAAGCCAGGGCAAACAAACACCTGCCTCTATCCAGGGCTGCAAACAGGTGACCTGAGGTTTCTCTGCTACATGTTCTTCACTGCCCACAGTCCCCACCCCTCCCCCTATGGCTCTGTACCCCTGCTACAGTGAGAACGTTTGCACTGCCACCTTTGGGACTCCTTCTGCCTCACTGCACTCTAGTATGGCTCAGATCATCCATTTCTAATTCAAGCCAGCAAGTACTGGCTTTCTATTATCCGCAAAGCACTTTGTTAAGCAAAAGGGCTGTGGGAGGGTGGGACAAAGAAATCACAGAAACAGTAAAATAAAGCTGGTTATCAAGGTGATGCCAAGGGGCTGGATAGAAAGATAAGAAATCTGTTTCAAAGTGCCTGTGTCCAACTACATCATCTTGATTGACTTACTCATTAATTCCCTCAAACAAACCAAAAACAAACATCAGCCAGGCTGGGTTGAGTCTAGGTTCTGCCACTTCATTAAATGCTCTATATTAGGCAAGTCATTTAATCTCACTATGCCTCAGGTTCATCATCTATAAATAGGAGAGAGTAACAGTCCCTTCCTTATAGGATGGTTGTAAAAATTATATGCATTAATGCACAGCAAGCCCTCAGAACAGTACCGGGCAAGTGTAAGCATTCCATAAATGTTAGCTGTCACCATCATCATCATCATTATTAGCATGATTTTACTTCTTACCCATTCATGTAATCATAATTTCTTAAACTCTGATAACCATTACGAAAGCCCAGTGCAAAGCCACAGAACAAAAATTCCCATCGCACTCTGGGGGTCAAATTTTGGCCTCACCACAGTGGTTCTGTTGATCTGAATTCTCTGTCAGCCTGAAGTTAACGCTGGAATGCTGGAACAATGACCACAAAGATGTCTAGAGAGGTCTGGTTCTTTTACTGAGCACAGTGTAGACACTTTTTATGACTTAACACTCTTGCAATAAAAATTAAGTGGTTACATAAGACCACTACCAAATGACAAAACCACGATTATGTACTGGCTCCCTACAAAATCCTTCACAGAAATGGACATTAGTTGAGAACTTAACATGAATAACCACAGTATCAATGACAACATATTCAAGTTTTTATGAAAACCAAGGCAATTCTTGGCGCTTTGAGAATTTTTTTTTAAATCAAAGTAACCATTAAAGTGATCTTGTAAAAAGTCCTGGTTTACCTGGTTATGCTAAATCTGGGTCAAATATAAGAACAAAACCGTAAATGGCATTCATAGCTGAATATAGTCTCTTAAATTGTGATGAGAACAATGCAGATCAAATGTTTTTTGTTTATTTTTTAAAGTAAATTTAAACCAGAAATTTTGGATTTATTTCTTAGAGAGAAAATCAGGAAAATCTTTGGTTTCTATTCATTTCTTATGTACCTCAAAATTTAATCAATCAAAACTTTGAATTTTAAGAAAGAGATGTCATTAATTCGTTCAATGGACCAGCATATTGACAACTCTTCTGTTACTTTGTTGTGACAAATTTAGCAGGTTATGAAGATCAGATAAGGGATAAAGCTCTGAAGAAAACCAGATAAATGGAAAAGGTTATTACTTGACTATAATTTCTAATTATCTTTACTTTATCAAGAGTGCTGGCCAGGCGTGGTGGCTCACGCCTGTAATCCCAGCACTTTGGGAGGCCGAGGTGGGCGGATCCTGAGGTCAGGAGATCGAGACCATCCTGGCTAACACAGTGAAATCCCGTCTCTACTAAAAATACAAAAAAATTAGCCAGGCATGGTGGCAGGTGCCTGTAGTCCCAGCTACTCAGGAGGCAGAGGCAGGAGAATGGCATGAACCCGGGAGGCGGAGCTTGCAGTGAGCCGAGATCGCGCCACTGCACTCCAGCCTGGGTGACAGAGCGAGACTTCGTCTCAAAAAAAAAAAAAAAAAAAAAAAGGAGTGCTAACACTGTCCCAAAAGGTGTTGGAAAATGAACTATCCTGTTTGTTTTGAATCAAATGAATCCTGCCTTTCTCCCTGGCTTCTCCACGGTCAGTCATGTGTCCTATTCTACTGATGCTATTTCCCTAATCTTCCCTTGTTCCTATCTCTATCATAACCATGTTTGCCTGTGTTACACTTGAGGATGACTTGGGATTGTATCTATCACTGTGCTCCATGGCTGGTTATAGTGGCTGATCTTTCTGCCTGACCCAGTGTCCCAACCCTCTTCCCAAATACTACTTCTGATTAGTTGCTACCAAAGCTGCATTCTCAATCAAAGAGACAGGCTCCTCAGAAGGAGGCATCTCTCCTTCAGTCATTGGTGTATAAGGGACTGCCTTCCTGGTCCAGAGACAAACACATCTCAAGGCCTACATGTAGCCTCCCAAATTCCCAATGCTACACACAGAAAATACACACATTTGCTCATCGAGTCTAATCAGCCTAATGTCTAGACCGAGTGTCATCAATACTTTAGCTGCATTCAGGGTTCAGGCAGAAACATGAAGGAGGGAAATGAACCCAGCACATACATCTCCACCCAACGGAAGCAGCCACTTTCAGCCCCTGCTGATAGCTGGCCCTGTGGGGACTCAGGGAGAGGAGAGTGTTGTATAAAATAATGCCAAAACTCCAGACTTTTCTGTAAAAGTCTCCCAATTTTGAATCATTGGCAACAAATTCCAAACTTTTTTTTTGAGACGGAGTCTCGCTCTGTCGCCCAGGCTGGAGTGCAGTGGCGCGATCTTGGCTCACTGCAAGCTCTGCTTCCAGGTTCACGCCATTCTCCTGCCTCAGCCTCCCGAGTAGCTGGGATTACAGGCGCCCACCACCACGCCCATCTGATTTTCTGTATTTTTTTTTTAGTAGAGACGGGGTTTCACCGTGTTAGGATGGTCTCGATCTCCTGACCTCGTGATCCACCCACCTCGGCCTCCCAAAGTGCTGGGATTACAGGCGTGAGGTACGACGCCCAGCCAAATTCCAAGCATTTTTAAGCACAGTGTTAGTTCAATAAAACTCTTCTTTGATGACATTCAGCTCAAGCCTACCAACTGCGGAGATACTCCCAAACAAGGTCAGGACACCTGAATAATAATTTCCATCTCTCCAGCTTTGCAAACATAAATAACAAATAATGGGCACCTATCGTGCGCCAGGCATTGTGCTGATGGCGTTCCTTGAGTCATCTCACTTTGATCCTCATTACACACTCACTGTGATATTGTTACTTCTGGCAAACACATGAAGAAAGGTGCTTAGAAAATACCTTGTCTAAGTTTTCACAGGCCGACAGCAGCAGGATTGGAACTTGGGTCTGCATGACTTTAAGATCTACCTGCTTTCCACTAAACACCCTGAATTGCATCTAGAAACAACCAAGAACAAAGATGACCTCGCAGAAAGAGCATGTTCAGTCCTGGGAGAATAAGTGAAGAGGCATTACAGATCTCCATGTTATTTGCTGGGGGCACATATTGCCATGGCTGTTGTTTAGAGGGTCAATGGTCTATTGTGGTAATGTAAGAAGCGAGAAATCTGATCTCATTTCAAATTTATCATTCAGCCCTTCAGTGTAGTGACTGCCGGCTAGAGTGTTCCTGACCAGAAGAATCTAGAAATCTAGCCACTAACTGCATTCGCAAACAAATCTGCTACTGAAAATCACAGTTTAAAAAAGGCAAACCTAGAAACTCTTTGAGAAGTCTTTAACTCAATGGGTCTTTACGTCCATAGGTTTCATATTTAACAAGTTGATTTTAATCTGATTATTTCAACATCAAAGACAGGAAAAAATGTTTGACATCAAATGGATCAGAAATGAAGCATTTTACAAAAGATTTCTAATAACCTCATCTAGCAATCTCTCTTAATTAAGTTAACTTAATCAAGTTTCCATATTGTTTATGGCGAAAGTTAAGGCAAAAGCAACTGAATCCCAAACTAATTTGGGATTCAGCACATAAGCCAACTGCAATTTTTACTTGCCTTAATTTTGCTTGACAATGGAGCCATTGCGAAGGACAGAACTTCCTCCCAAAACTTCTACCTCTATCCACTTACTCAAATCTTTTCAAAAACAAATTTCAATTACTTTCAGAGCTGTAGAATCACCAGAATTTTAAATCACATATCAATCTTTTTTTTATTTTGAACTCCAAATGCAATAATTGAAAACATATCTATCCATGGCATATTAGAAACTCAAAGGACTTTAAAAAATTGTTTTTTTTTTTAAATTTTGTAACAAGAGTGGCCTAGGGGATTATGTTGGGAACGTATCCCATATAAGAAACAGATTATCCACCAAATGTCCACAGTAACCACCACTATCTTTGTGAAGTCATCAGTTGCCCCTGCATTTGAAGTGGGAGGGTCTTACAAGGTGTAATACACAAAATAAGAAACCCAGGATAGAGAAGGCAAAGAAATCAGCTATAGGTGTGTTACTGGGTGTTCCACTCTGCATTTTGTGTTCCTTCACTGAATATCAGCCTCATTTTCTCCCCTCTGCATGCAGGTCACCTCTTCAGTGAGGTTAGCCTGACCACCCTATACCAAATAGCACATCTGACTACAACTCTGTAGTCCCTACCCCCAATTCCCTACCCCCACTCTCCTTTCTTCATTTTTTATCACTTAGTACCACCGGATGTCTTATATGTCAATTTGGCAGTTATTATTTTCTATTTATAACTTATTTTCTATTTATTCCCCCATTAAAATGCAGATCCATGAGGACTGGACCTTTGATTCTTCTGCTTACCGTTGAGTCCCCAACATTTAATAATAGGTTTTTTTGAATAATTAATTTACAAGTGAGCAAATGATTGATCATTAACTGTCACACCCACTAGAAGGTAAATGCTTCAGAAGCAGGGCTCCTGCTTGTCTCAGTCTTTTCCTCTAACCCCCGAATACCTGCAACAATGCCCAGCACATAACAATGAAGGGCTGAATCAGTGGGTGAATGAGTTGACCCACTCTTGTTTATTCTGAAGCTACGCTAATTCCATTGGCAGTAATCTTCCATGTTCAGTCAAGATTCCAATGGAGGTTAAATTCCGTCTCTCTTTTTTTGAATTTGGGACATCCCTACATCTTTGGAAATGAATTTTACAGCTAGTGCATCTCATTTTATGTGTTGATTTTTGTTATTTTAACACTTAAGAGTTCTGGTGAAAGGAGCAGACTCATTCCAGTAGTTTCCTGGAATGAAATGCTTGTAGAAAGGAATATGTTCATGGGAACTAATGACCAGATCTCAAGAGGTTCAGAAAACCATGGGTCAAGATTTACAAGGAGTCTGTGGGCCAGCAGGAGCCCCTAGGTCTTGCCTCGGCAGTACTGCCTTTCTTAAGCTCTTGTTCTGCTCCACTTTTCACAGATTTCCTATTCTTCTCTTCATATCTTGTAGATAATATCTTTTGACACTGATGATTCTAAGATACCTTTACGGAACTGAGGCTCAGAAAAGAGGGTAGATGTCATTTCTATCTTTCTAATAGTTTGCTATCCGGTCTTCAAAACACTTCTGGTTTACAAAGGACAGCATTGAGCAAGTCACTCTTGTGTCTTGTTGAGTGCAGTAGACTGTATTATTTATTGCTCAGTCTATTTGCTGCCCCTCTCTGTGGGGAGATGATACTTCCCTGCCCTGGTGATGTCAGACTTCATCCTGTCACTTGTTAATGCAATGTGCCTTGTGAAGTCATTGGTTGCCCCTTCTCGGGGGTTAAGGCTAAGGACCATCACCTGGGTCTGCCGTGTTGTCTTTTCCTTCTGCCTTAACACCAGCAATGACCCAGGTGGCAGGCTGCTCCTTTAGCCTGGGTTCTAGAAGGCTAATGACATGGAACAGAGCAGCTGCTGACCCAAAATGGAAATGTATCAAGAGCAAGAAATATATTATTGTTGCAGGCCTCTGAAATTTTCCAAGTTGTTTGTTATTGCAGCAGGGCTTACTCTAAGCAGAGCAATACAGTGACAATCACTTTGTGATGATCATGCATTTCTTCACACTCCAATATATCATCAAGATATGCAAATAAGGACTTGGAAATGCCCTCACAGTATCCAAGGATTCCTCTCTCTACACCTGAATGGAGACTTAACTGGAGCATCAGTGATACAAATGCCCAGTAACAGCAAAGGCAAAGATGTATCAGCCAAGCCATGGGCTATCAGTGCCCCTATCCATATTCCCAAAGCTTAAAGTGAAAGCAAAGGCTCTCGAGAAAATAAAAACAGACACATATCCACAGAGCTGCCTTTTTGGGGAGAGAATATCTTGTGAAAGTTTCGCCTGACAGTTCACATGGACTGACTACAGAGTGAAAACAAGTCAAGTTCCATTTAGGTCCATAATTAGAGTAATTGCACGCTTATAACCTGCATTTCCTAAACTGTCATTCTCCAGTCCTCTGTTGTTACATATGGTGTAAATCTCGCCCATAATGTACACCTTGAAGGTGATTGTAGAATACCATTTATTACGCACCCACATGCATGGCATATTGCAAAAACAAGCAAAGCAGACTCTAGCTATGCCCTGAAGTAACTTGGCTTAGGAATTAACTGCAGGTAAAGGGAAATTTTACAAGGATTTGGATTTGGGGTTTCTCTGTAATTATATATTATGTAACACCAAAGTAAAAGAAAAATATGATATGATTTAGACAGGTCCCCTTAACACATACAAACAATAAATGTGATTGAGCTACACCAACAACAACAATACCAAGGAATGTAACTGTAATTTCTTTCTTTAGAATGTAACCTTTGCTCATGGTAATAAATACAAAGGTCTCTGCCACTGCACTCCACTGTAAGCCATTTCTAATAGGTCTTGGCATCTGCTATCTTTAATGACTCCAAGGAACCAACTGTGCATCCCAGAGATGTTGAAAGCTTCATTACATTGAATTAATAAAATATCAAGAATGAGCATTCTGATTCCAGTGCTCCATTCCATATTCTCCTGGTGTCCTTGTAGCCTGCCTGCAAGAGGAGTTGACAGGATGGAAATGGTGGAGTGTGTCCCACAATGGGATCCCCAGCAGTACTGCTTGTGGTGGTCCAGAGCCCACCCTGACAACCCAGGCATCACTGCTGCTAAGGCAGACACCCTGAGGATGTGGCTTTGCTGGCATGACAGGTATGTGTGTCATTTTGGAGCATCTGTCATGTCCACTGAAAAAAATACACAGAAGCACATCTGAAACCTCTGCCCCTTCCCAAAGATTTCCAGCTGCTTCTAATCTGGAGCATTGAGAACTTATTTTAAGAAACAAAGGCTTCTTTAAACCAATATACGTAATTTAGAGACTGAAAGGAAGGCCATGTGTCTAGAATGCCACACGTGTTATTCAGCTGTCCTGGTCCTTAAGTCCCACATGGTGGTAGGTCTCTACCCAAGGGAAAGAGGTTTTCCACATTCAAGAACCAATGCATCAGACACAAGAAAGGAAATGGACTCTGAGATAAATATGATCAAGTGGCTTTACTTCTGTTAGGTCACGGGGGTCGCAGAGGTGGGGTCTTAATCCCTCTGTTTGCAGAGAATTTCTCCTGTATTGCAAGAGTTGTTTTCGTTGCATATAATCCAGGCCCACTGGAGAGGCCTCCTATTTTGTACTCAGACTGAAAACTATGTCTGAGAGTCCCAGTTGCCATGACCTTCTGCCCTGGTCCTCAACAGGAAAGCTAGGGCAGAGACTGCTAATGCTCACTGATGCTGCTCTGGGCTCTGAGCTCAATTCAGCCTTCAGCCTCTCTTGCAGTTGGCTGGGGGTCAGGTAACAGAGTTCTGGCCAACAGAATGTGAGCAGATGCAATGTACACCACTCCTGAGCCTGCCCCATAAAAATCTCCCCTGTTGGATCTTCATCCTCTTTCCAAGTGGAAAGATTCAGAGATCCTAGGGAAGGTGGGGCCACAGATGGAGAAGACTGTGTTCCTAAATCCCTGCAAAGAACAGAGCCCTTGGCCTGCTGAACTGTATTTGGCCCTTGACTTGAACAAGTAATAAATATTGTGTTAAGCCTCTGAAGTGTTACGGTTGTTTGTTACAGCAGTTAACCTACTCTAATAAGGGTGAAAAATTTGCTTTATTTGACCAGGTGGCTTAAACCTGTGACACTAATCAGTCTAATATTTGGAAATGTGTTGATATTTGGCATCAACAATTCCCAGGCAAGGGCCTCAACTTTCCACCTTCTATGGAATGTTCTGAAATTATGGACAGTACTAGTTAATGAAAGGCCAATAAGACCTGTTATCTTCTTTTTTTTAATTAAATTAATTTATTTATTTCGAGATGGTGTCTCACTCTGTCGCCCAGGCTGGAGTGCAGTGGCACCATCTCAGCTCACTGCAGCCTCCATCTCCTGGGTTCAAGCGATTCTTCTACCTCAGCCTCTCAAGTAGCAGGGATTACAGGCCTGCGCCACCACACCCGGCTAATTTTTTTTTTTTTTTTTTAAGTAAAGACGGGGTTTCACTGTGTCGGCCAGGCTGGTCTCGACCTCCTGATCTCAAATGATCCGCCCGCCTCGGCTTTCTGAAGTGCTGGGATTACAGGAGTGAACCGTTGTGCCTGGTACAACTGTTATCTTCTTTAAGAAATGATGGGAGGCCTTTTTTCCAGGTATCATAGTCAATATCAGCACCCAGTTTAATGTTCCAACAGGGATTTCTGGACCAAAATGACTCTTTATGCTTTGTCACATCTTGAGTGAGCATGATCATAGACTCCATGGAGCACATTTACAACTGGGAACACAAAGTCTGTTCACTTTTCCCAGGCCTGGGCCATTACCTGAAGATTAGGACACCCAATGATACATTCTACTTTAATTTTACACTTCAGACTTCTAGGAGTCTTGCATCTGTTTTCCAGCAGCCACAAAAGACATTCTCTAATTACTTCTGAATGAAAAACAGAGACTTTTAATTTTCTTGCAGAGAACACGCATGCACTACATACACTTTAAGTACACTGTGGTTGTCTCATTTTCTGTAAATACTGTACTTTTCCTTACTGGCAAAGAAGAGCTTTTTCAAATCAAAATAATACTCCTAAAAAAGTCAGTGTAGTTTTCTGAAGGTCAGCAAAATGAGCTTTGCCAGAGCACCAGGGACTCCAATTACACATATTTACCTGATGTACTTTTATAGGACACATAATTCAAAAATTGCAGACTGCCTTTTACACTGTATACTATGCATTTTAATAATGTATTTATTATGTCGAGCTCTTTCTTTTGTGGTTTCTTGATGCTACTCCTCATTTAGAGTAGTTTCCTGGTTTTTCCTTATGTCAGGCAATGCAGTTAACCTTTAGCAATATAGAGCACTTAAGAGTTTTGCAAGCCTTGTTTTGCATCCATTTTTCTCCTGCATAGAACATTTGATTGTTTCATCTGGTTTTCATTTTATACAATGATGTAGGTAGAGGCAAACTCTAAGACCTGGTAATTACAGCCTCATGGCAGCCCAACTGATGCATAAGAGACGTTTGCTAATTACAGTGATATGAAGGCTCTCCTCCTCTGAAGGCTCACTGTGTTTCTTTAAGGTGTCTCTTTTGTTCCTTAATCTAGTTGCTTATACAAGAGTACATTGATCAAACTGCTTTCTAGTAACAAAGCATATTCTCAAAGAAATGTTAATTTTACAAATTAGTCTCCTAGGCTTTGCCAGCAAGACACAGTGCTGTTCCTCCTTAACCAGGGCACCACCAAATTTGCCCCATCCTTCAAGGCTGATGACAGATTTGCATTTCTCCATGGGTCTGCTTCGCTGGCTTTACCACCTCTCTACAAATATAACTTAAAGTCATTATTCCTCAGACTAGGCAGTCACCTCACATCTGGGTCCTTATATAGGTTTTCAAAGTCACTCTCTTAATGACATAGTTTCGAACCACAAAATATTGTTGAAGGAAGATAGGTCACCTTGAGATAGTTTCAATCAAGGGATGTTTTGGATGCTTACAGAAGAAGTCATTAGAGACAATCAGTTGAAATTGAGGTTGTAGTGGGTTAAAAGTGGCGATAAATTCTTTGCTGCTCCTCTCAGCAAGAGGTGGAATCGATTTCCTCAGTGCAAACCTGGGCAAGCCTCAGGACTCAGTTGCACTAATAGAACACAGAAGTGACAACAGGTGACTTCTGAGTGAGACTTCAAAGACCAGACAGCATCCACTCTTGCCCTTCTGATGCTCTGAGGCTGCTGTATCAAGAAGCCTGTGTGAGCCTCCTTGTGCATGAAAGCCACTGAGAGAGAGCCCACCATTGTCCAGCACCAACTGCAAGATGAACAATCCAGCCATCCCAGCTAGGACACGAGCAAGTCCGCATGAGACCAGCAGAAAATTCTTATGAGAAACAATGAATCCTGGGTGCTTCAAGCAACAAAGTTGGGATGGTTTTTTACACAGCAATAGATAACTGAAACCAAGGGGAAGAATACTGACACAGACTTAGTATTTATTCCTGCTAGGTATAGCTACACAATTCCAAGCATCAGATGGCACTGAAAACAACTTTTAAGATTAATTTAAAAAGCAATCAGTAAGTGGTTAATTGTGGTGAGCATAAATATACTTTCATAAAAGGAATGGAAAAAATATGTTAAAGTACTGCACGGATGAAGATTCATGGCTCAGGATAATACTTCCTGTGACATGTATGATTCAGGAAGTGCCGTGTCTCTAACGACTTAGATAAAAGTGAGGACAGATGCTCTGAAAACTGTTGGATGAAAAAAAAAAAAAAAAAAAAAAAACAGTTCTCAAGAGCTAACAAAGCAAATAACTGGTGTTAAATACTAAGAAAAATTTTAAAAAAATTCTCATAAAATAGGAAAAAGTCAGTATTTCTCACTTAGCATTTTATATGTGATTTATCTGTGACCCTAAATATATATAGCTAAAAAAAAATGTTATGAATGGGTATTTCACATGCCTCTGTAAACATTTACATATTCTGTTCAGGTTACTCCCCTCCAATAAAAACAAAACCAAAAAACATGTTTTTGAATCTTGTTTGGGAAATAAGGGAACTACCCTCTATATTGGACATATGTAGTATTTTATAAAATGACTGTTACGGTTTGGCTGTGTCCCCACCCAAATCTCATCTTAAATTATGGTTCCCATCATCCCCACGTATTGTGGGAGGGACTCAGTAGGCGGTAATTGAATCATGGGGGCGGTTACCCTCATGCTGCTGTTCTTGTGATAGTGAATGAGTTCTCACAAGATCTGATGGTTTTATAAGGGGCATTTTCCTCTTTGCTCAGCACTTCTCCTTCCTGCTATCATGTGAAGAATGACCTGTTTACCTCCCCTTTCACCATGATTGTAAGTTTCCTGAGGCCTCCCCAGCCATGCAGAACTGAGTCAATTAAACCTCTTTCCTTCATGTATTATCCATTCTTGGGCAGTTCTTTATGGCAGCATGAGAACAGACTAACACAATGATAAAGCACAAGAGTATAACAAATGATTAGAGACTACAATTTAGCAGAAAGTTACTCTAAGAAGATATAAACACTTACATTTATTAATATTTTCTGGAAACAACTGTAACACATTACATTACCCCTGAGATGCATGTTTACCCAATTCTTAAACTATACCTTACTGTTACAAATGACAAAGGGAATCAAACTGTCTACTCTAATGTATGCTAAAACTTCTTAAGAAGCAAAGGGGTCCTGGGAACTTGTGGAAAACTTTTAATTCCATTTATGGAGGTTAATAAAAAATTTTGAATTGAATGTCAGCAAAAAATGTTGCCTAACCTCCATTAAAATATGCTCAAATTGACTTTTTAGTCATCAAAGTATGACTCACCTGTGGTATACATATCTTTAAAAGCTTACTGAAAGACCTGACTTTAGAAATATTTTTTTCTATCAAAGTCCAACATGTTCACTGTAGAAAGTCCGGAAAATTTAAGACTATGAAGAAAATATAATCTCCCCTAATCTCACCATTTAAATATGCCCAATATAGCTAACATTTATTGAGTACTCTTTAGGTCAGACAGTGGTCTAAATTCTTGATACATATTAATTCATTTAACCCACATAAGCCTATGAGTTATGTACCATAATTATCTCCTTTTTACACAAGAAAACTGATGTAGAGAGAGGTTAAGTAACCTTAGTTATGTGGTCCAACAGCCAGTAATAGGAAGAACTAGGCATTCTGGTTTAAGGCTGCAAGCTCTGAATCATTACACATGCTGTCACTTGGCTGGGATTCTGCTACTTCTTTCCAGTCATTTTTCTACATTATATATGTGATATATACATGTTGGACTTCTATAGCAATTTTTTTGAATAACTATTAGCAAAGTCTCATCTTTACCAAGAAGACTTTCTAGGTGTCTCCAAATCCACACAGTCTCCTAAGTGGCTAATTTAGCAATTTCAAGCATCTAGTATTTTACACTGTGGTGTTTAGCTCAATGTATTGCACAGGTCACTGAGTGCAGAGACCACATCTTATTTTATTTCCACTTTCCAATTTTCTCATACTATGTAAATGTTTGTAAATGCTAGAAACCTATGGGTGCTTGAAATAGTTTCAGCAGAGTGGTAAGCTAAAAGGTAGTATTTGAGTAATAATTTTCAAAAGACCTTTGGAAATATTCTAGACCCCGAGCTACTGATAAAAGAGATGCCATTAGAACCTAAAATTATGGGGAAAAAAAGAGAAGATAAGAATAACCTGGAGTTTTTCTGCAGAGGGAACTATTAATGGGGTTGCATTAGGACAGGTCTTCACAGTCCTATAAACAACCTAAGGAAAAAAGTACACAATGAAATTCCCACTTTGATGGCTTTATTAAATAATTATGGGCAGAGAAAGGCAAAGCAAAAATGAAATCAGCAGAAATATTTTACAGGTCTCTCTAGATGACCAGAAAGCAACAGGTAACCAGCACCTGGGCAAGAATACAAGGATTGTTTGTTTACATGGTTGCCATGAGCAACGGCCCCACAATCACACTGCCTGGGCATCAATCCCAGGCCAACAACATTGTCTCAGTGGATCTTCAGTAACTGATTGTTCTAGGAGATTTATAGGTTAAATGTAAACAAGTCTTCCACGTGGACCATGACATAAAAAAAGGCATTTTAAGACTCTCTTGCTGGCCGGGTGTGGTGGCCCATATCTATAATACCAGCACTTTGGGAGGCCGAGGCAGGTGGATCACCTGAGGTTAGGAGTTTGAGACCAGCCTGGCCAACATGGTGAAACCCTGTCTTTACCAAAAATACAAAAATTAGCTGGGCGTGGTGGCAGGCGCCTGTAATCCCAGCTACTTGGGAGGCTGAGGCAGGAGAATTGCTTGAACCCGGGAGGTGGAGGTTGCAGTGAGCCAAGATCACACCATTGCACTCCAGCCTGGGCGACAAGTGGGAAACTCCATCTCAAAAAAATAAAATAAAATAAAATAAAAATAAAAAAGACTCTCTTGCTGAAGATCATTACATGAGACACACATATATACATTAACTTCATACAGTCATGTGGAACGTCATCATCAAATTTGGTACTTCAGGAACCTCAAGCATCCACACCCCTTCCATAACTGGAGTTTGCCACAGCAAAAGATACTTTCCTGTGTGTACTCCAAGTGTCTGGTACTTCTGGACACTCCACACTCTATTTGGTGATTAATATTTTACCTGGATAAATGCAAATACACACTGCTCATATTCAAAGACAGCTTTAAGAAGGTAAAGATGACATCTAGAGAGAAACCCCAAGGATTCAGGATTGTTTTCTATTTCCAAGTGTTATTAGGAGTGGCATGCCAAGACAAACAGCATCCAGAGCAGAAAGGGGACAAAGGATTTGGTTTTAGCAGGCAAGCAAGTCCAGTGCCCTGCACCTTGGAGGCCAGCACTGGGGTGTGAGCACCCAGCATACTGGATTTCCCAAGAGCACAGCAGAACTGCCTTATACACATTTAACTGGCCCATCACCTCCTCAGAAGCAAAAAGGTAGCTTCTGCAGTGAGATGTAGGCAGCACCTGAGAGGTGAGGGGGTTCCCTCTTCTACAAATGAGGCAAAATTGAGTCTTAACATTGAAAAGAAAAAAGGTATCTCATCCAGACTTTAAATTTGTTCTTTCATGTTTACAATGGAAGAATTTATTCTCGCATGCTTGCAATGCTATTTGGTGCTCTCTCTTTCTCTTTACTAGGGTTTCTAACAGACAAAGGATTCAATATTTCCTTTAGGCTTCTCAGCTCTTCCACAGTCCAATTCCAAGGAAAGCTGTAAACATAGCTGGCACTGACAGATGCTAGAGCACGCTGATAAAACTGGACCAACTATTTAACTTAGAAATGAACTGCGCTGTAGAGAGTTAGCTCAGCAAAGTCAATCCTTGGGGCTATTGCACAGAACATCTGATACCTTTAACATCTAAAACAGACTATTAAAACTGACCAGACACCAACAAGCAAAAAGGGTGTTCAACTTGCCTAACTGAGATTCAGTAGTTTTAGCTGTTATTATCAAAATAAATATAGGTTCATTACAAAAAGTTTAAAAAATAAAACATGTATAAAGAACTAATTTAAGGCCGGGTGTGGTGGTTGACGCTTCTATTCCCAGCGCTCTGCCGAAGGAGGCAGATCACTTGAGGTCAGGAGTTTGAGACCAGCCTGGCCACCATGGTGAAACCTCGGTCTCTACTAAAAATACAAAAATCAGCTGGGCGTGGTGGTGGGCACCTGTAATCCCAGCTACTCAGGAGCCTGTGGCAGGAGAATTGCTTGAACCCAGGAGGCAGAGCTTGCAGTGAGCCAAGATTGCACCACTGCACTCCAGCCTAGGCAACAACTCTGTCTCAAAAACAAAGGAACTAGTTAAAGTTTTGTGTGCTTATCCAACCCCACACCGTTGGTGTGTTTCTTTCTACTGTTATTCTACTCCCATGTCCATTATTATATTACACAGATGAGACCATATTATACACAGTATTTTTAAACTTGCTCTTTTAACAATGCATTTTGAACTGTTACGTATTTTTGGATTTTTTTTTTCCTATTAAGCCTTTAAAAGAGTGGCTTTTCCCCCCAGTTTTATGGAGGTATAATTGACAAATAAAAATAATTTAAGGTATGCTAGTTGATATGATAGTAGGTGTATACACTGTGAAATCACCATAATCAAGCTAATTAACATATCCGTCACTTCATATGCTTTTTTCTTTTTGGTGTTATTATATTTGAATGATAAACAAACATTCAAAGGACACCACTCTGTGGTGCCGAGATATTCAGCTTTATTGAATTTTTTCCATTGACTACCCTGAATTTCCACTATCTGGGTTTTTTTTTTTTTAAATTACTGAAAAGACTGAGCTGATGAGATGCCCTGGCATTTAAAAATGCTATAAAATCATGTGCTTTTCTTTTGAGAAGGAAATATCTGTTGGAGTTACTGTTAATCACAGCATTTTCTGAGGAGCTGATTATATGCCAGGCATCACCATGTGACACATTTCTTCACAGATTTCAGAATGTGTGAGATTTGATATGAAAACTAAACCCAATACTGTGCCTCTTCAAAACCTCCGTAGCTGTATTCCCCATCTCCAATGCATGCACACATATATACAAATAACAGCAAAACAATAGAAATGATGTAAAAGGGAAGAAATAAAAGGAAAAAAAAGGTCCGCTTAGATTATCCTGTTCATTTTACAGCATGCCTACCTATACTGGCATTTAGTAGCAATAACAAAAATCATTGCTAACCTTTACTGAGCCCACACTGGGTGCCAAGCGCCTGGCGTCTCCTGACAGGGCCTGGGGAGGGATGAGTGGAAGCCCCCACCACGACGGATGGTGCTGAATTCAAGTCTGCTTTATCTCCTGTGCCACCAGGGCCCCTTTCATTAAAGCCTCCATAGGTGATAATAACAGCAACCTCTTCCCTAGAAAGGTCATAATCTGCGGATCAGAGGGTTTAAGAAACTCTTTGGGGAAGGGAGGATCACACTGTGAAAAATCCTGGTAGCTACTGCTGTAAAGTTTATGAAAACCAAATTTTAATAATATGTTCTACAACTTTAGCTACGTAAGAAAAAAAATGCAACTGGACAACAGGCAAATGGTTAAGATTGCTCAGAGATGTCTGAGTGCCTGGGACATAACAGCAATTCTGGGTATGTTTACTGAGCACTTACTACACACCAGATACAAAGAGGAGGCAAATGTCACGGTCTGCACTATGAGGAATTGCCAATGTCCAACCATTCTGACCTACAAGAAAAAAGAAGTTTCACAGGGTACACTCCAGAAGTTCCAGTTTTGAGACTCTATCAACTAGAAAGTACTCAAAACATGTCAATAAAAATCGCTGGATCTTTAAACTTCTTGACCACAGCAATTTTCTGATGAAAATGCTTTTCCCTCAAAGGCTTTTAGTGTGTGGATTTTGCTGAGGGCCATGGCAGAGTTTTTTCCACACCACATTAGAAGGGTTGTTCTGAGGGAAGACACTTATTGCGGGGAGGAGGGGTTGGTGGGAGGTGAGGGGGAGGATCGGAGGATCTTTTATTTTTTTAACAAAGCTAAAAGGCCCAGGTCACCATCCGGCTCTGCCACTCCCTTTTACTGCTAAAATACAAATAAGCTCCATCCACAAGAACAGTAGCTGCCTGAGGGCAGGGGCCTCCTGTGTCTTGGACTTGGGCCTCCTGTGTCTTATTCTGTATACTGTGTCCGCAGTATACAGAATAAGGCCCAGCACAGGGTAGGCACTCAATATATGTTGAATAAATGAGCAAATCAATGAATGAATAACTCTGGGTGAAATTCACTGGAGGAAGTTTAGCTTCTGTTTCTCCACCTGGCATGATACCACAGGCGACCCAGTGAGGGTATTAAAAGGAAGATGTGTGTAGTGCCTCATTATCTGTAAACCAGTATTACTGGAGAGTACGGACCTGTTGGAGGCAACACAAAACGAAGACAATCTCACCACCACATTGCATCAAATGATCGTCACTGTCTATAAGGGAAATTTCAAAGCCACTTGAAAGTACTTTTGGGATGGACTCACAGCTGTCTGTCCTTAGATCATAAAAGTACTGGCTTGTTCATTTTGAGAAATAAATGTAACCAAATAAGCCCAGCATACTTGTGCCATGCCCATTCATCAGTGAGGAAACAGCTTCAATACAAGCTTTTTTGTAATGGCTTCCCCTGCCATGGGATTTCAGGTGAAGCTCAGATTTCAAGGTTCTGCAATACGTAATTCAGATGGCTTTCCAACTTGTCTAAAACATTTTATAGTTGCCCTGAAATATTTCAAAAATTCTGCTGAGAATGATTCTCCCATTTACATATAACACAAAATGTGTATGGTAAAATTTAAATGCAGTGTCTTCACGCTGAAGCTGAGCAATGACTTTATCAAATTCTGTATCCTGGAAGATGAAGCGTGTTTCTGAAGATGAATGCTTGGAGGTGATATAATTTGTAAGTGAGCGGATGATTTTTTATTACACCGTATGCATCCACATGAAGAAATAAAACTCTGGAAAAAGCCTGAGTTCAGCAGCTGGAAGATGAGGTGAGAACTCCCAGGTCCAGCTCTACTCCCAACTACATGCCTATGCATTTCCATGTACCCAGGTTCTGCCTCTGAAAGGCACAGCACCATTCTGAATCAAGGAAACAAGCCAGGACGTGCAAAGATGAGGGCAGAATTCCTTCCACCCCACTCACGACAACAGCCCAAGTAAGGAATACTAAGCTCTTGAATGGCTTTCCATAATTCATCATCCTAGGATAGAGGAGAAAAAATACCCCACAACCTCTCCCTAGCCGAACTCTGGAAACAGGTTGACTCATTTCATTTCTGTGGTTTTTCAGAGTAAAAGCTCTGGAATCTTCATGGCAGTAGATAGTTGTTTTCTTTAAAGCTTATAAGCCTTTCTTGATGAAGAAAAACTAAACACTCAAAAGTATCATTAAGTGACAGCAGCACCAACAATACCACCATGAAACCTGGTATAGTTGTGGGTGCCTCTGTCATGGTCCCAGTGAAAAGATAGAAGTCCCTGATGCATAGGCAGTCCCTTGGTAAGAATCTGGCCTGGAAAGTCTTGGAGATACAGTGCAGTGGCCTGCAAGCGGGTAGATGAGCGGCACTGCTTAAAGGAGCTCCTCCTCGAGGTTCTGGTCCAGGTGTGGCCATCTGGCCCTATCAGCTCTCTGCTCACAGGACAGAGAGAAGAGGCTCAGCTGGAAATAACTACATAGAGTCAAGTGGCTGCCTCCAAGAGATGCTGTGAGCCCAAACTCACTGTCACGTGGGGTGTAAGTGGGATTAGTGCCTACTTCCATGGCTCCAGAAAAAGGGTAAAGACAGTCATTTCTGTTTTTGCTGAAGCTAAGTCCACTGCAGACTCAGACCAGAGATGGGTCAGGCCAGAGCCAGAGTCAACTCTGAAGCTTGCTTTTATTTACTCTTGGCAAGTCCCAACTTCCTGGTTCTAAGAAGAATGAAGCGGGGGAGGGTTAAAAGTCTTATAAAAAGGCTCCAAAGGCTTCTTGGACACCAAAGAGCTCTTACAAAACTACATTTTGATGAGCTACATGTAAATGAATCAGAAACATATGGATTTCATTTCCTTCATAATACACAGGGGTTTCAGAACGAAGAGGTTGTGGAGTGCTTGCTGAGATAAGTCTGGGCTCTGTGAAAATGTTAAAGCGGGGGAAGCTTCAGACATATGCTGAACCTAAATTAAGACTAGGCCAACAACCCCGCGCCCACACCCCTTCCTCTATGGGGCTTTGATATCCACCAGCTAACCTTAGGTGCTACGTAGAGAGAGAGCAAGCACTACATACCCAAATGTGACAGGCGCTTGGGGTCTGTGGCTTTCTCTGATGATGTTTGAGGATTTGGAAGTTTCTTGTAACCAGCTCCAAAACATTGAATATTTTGCTGGCTGCTGGGAGTTACGAAGCAGAAGATACAGACGTTTTATTTCCCCAGATTCCACTAAAGGGGATGCAGGCAGCATGTCCCTGAGAGGTGAACACTCTGTATGCTGAAGCAAAGGAGGGATCCTACTTTAGAGCACTCACTAATTTGAGGCTTTTTGAAGCACACACCCTGGAGCTTCGACTGTCTTGCGGAGAGCTCAACCTAGTTGACTTCCCTGGGATGTGGGCTGGAGAGGGAGTGGGCAGACATCCATATTGTAAGATTGGTAATCTTGGCCTCTGCCTTTTCACACAAGCATTTATTAAGCTAATGAATTATGAGGGGGCAATAAAGAAGCTAGTAGTAAATGAGGTTTCTGCAGGGAGCTGCTTGATAGGGTCAATCACTCAACACCTGTTTTAGTTAAAAATTAAATGGATTGTTTTAATTTTATGTCAGAAAGCCAGTGTGTCTGAGTCAAGAAAATAGATTGTCGCCAAAGAAAGAAAAAGATAAAACAAAAAGCAGGACAACAGATGCTGGTGAAGACATAAGGAAAAATGGAAAACAGACAAGTGTTACAAAGGCAGTCATGAGAACTGATGAGAAAGAACTTTAAAACAGCTGGAAAAGAGAGAAAATGGTGCAGAAAATGGCACCTGCCCCATGCAAGGCACAAAGCTGGTTGTTAGGAAGAACATCAAACATCACAAAAGCCATTTTCTTTTGATAGGTCAAATGGTTGGTGGCATATCTCTTCTCGCCTCTGAACACAACTACAATCACTTTCTGTTGATAATAATGTTAAGCTTAATTATACAGAGGCTGCACTTGAACGTTTCCTTCCTTATAGCTAAGCGATGCCATTATTTTTCATTTAATTGCAGAATAACGAGTGCTCTGTTCATGAAGTCCAGGAATTGCTAATATAACAATGGTGAATGCAGTGGCAGTGCACGACTTCAATTTTCATGATTACTATTCATTAGCGGTCTGTCAAATGGATAGAATAGGCTCTTTTCTTCTCTACCAGCTAGCAAAGGGCACTGTACCCGAGAGAAGTTGCATGGCAGGAAGAGTGAATCAAGCTGCCCTGTCTGCTGCAGGCTTAGGTTCAAAGTCCAACCCTGCAAGCCCAAATCCCAAGTCTTTGGACACAGAACAGCTGCTTATACAAGTTCACACTTCTATAAAATCAGGTGAGGACAAATGGACGATGATGCAGCAAGTACACTCCTGGTAATCGGCAAAGGTGGCATCCTTTGTTGCCAAACATTTCATAAAGGGTTTTTCACTCAAAGACGGAGAGAAGGGTTTGGAAAAGGAAATGGAACTAGAAGTCCCAAGAATCGGAGAAAGAGAAATGTAGGGCGTGAATTTAAATAAGAAATGGATATGTCTCATCACAGGCAGTACATTCTACTGTTAAACTGCCCTCTTTAGGGGATCAAGTACCATGTTTGTCTGAGTCACCTTCGTACTTCTGTGCCATATTTCATGCTGCCCAGGGAATTATTCACATCTTAAGCTACGTATCTCAGTAGAGCTGTACAATCCATAGGTAATTTGCTAACCTTAGTAACAATTCTATAGATCCTTGTAGCATTTTTTATTTAAAAAACCAACTTCTCACCTGCCTCTAATCCATGTCCTTTCAGATCCTGGGCCCTGGCTGCCTGTTAGTGCAGATGCTGCCTTAGCAAACAGAGGGTATGGTCCAACTTGCCTATG
The DNA here is from genome assembly GCF_000001405.40 of Homo sapiens. Classification (NCBI taxonomy): domain Eukaryota; kingdom Metazoa; phylum Chordata; class Mammalia; order Primates; family Hominidae; genus Homo; species Homo sapiens. Next base: position 73,550,035 of record NC_000003.12, read on the forward strand.
AACCGGGAAGCATAATATTTTAATATTTGTGCCTTAAGCAGTTGTTTTACTTAAAAGCACAGGAAATCCTGTCTTTTTTCTTGTTATAAAATCTTACAAAGCTACTGGAAAGATCTCCGCAGGCCAGTGGTTTTCAAAGTGGGTTCCCAGAACTAGCAACAGCTGAATCATCCGGGAACTGGTTAGAAATGCAAAGTCTCGCCGCCACCCCTCAACCCCCCAGACCTAATGAACCAGAAATTCTGGGGTGTGGCCCAGTGGCCTGCGTTTTAACAGGCCCTTTAGGTCATTCTGCTTCACGTTCAAGTTTGAGAATGGACACTCTAAGGCACTGGTTCTCAATCCTGGCTGCACATTATAATCACCTGGAGGGTTGTTTTTAAAAACAATCAATACCTGGTCTTACCCTAGACCAATTAAACCAGAAATCTCTAAGGCAGGGCCCAGGAATCAGTCTTTATTTAAAAGCCCCCCACCTGATTTGACTGCAAAGGCAAAATTGAAAACCACTGTTGTAAGCAGACCTGCCCTGTGCAGCTTCAAGCCAAATCTCACAGCAGCAGACATTGCCAATAACTGCAAGTAGTTACCCCAAAGCAACTTACTATTATTGATTAAATGCTGGTTTCTAAAAAATGAAGGCACACCTGTATATGGTGACGTCTACCCAAAGATGTCCTGGTCTAATATCAGGTTTGTGAATTATAAAGAAATAGAAGTGCCAATGATCAGGGTAAGGAAAGGATGAATAAACTGAAACAGAAGCACAACCAAAACAAAACAAAAACACGCTGTTTCAGGAATCAGCAGATTTGTTGGAACAAGGGTCATACAGACAGCAATACTCTGAAGTGTCTCTGCCCTGGAGAAGCAGAATGTTGCAAAATGTTCTTTTTCTTTTAAATGTTTATAATGAGAGTTATCAGAAAGAAAACTAGCTAAAACTGAACAGTGCAGAATAACGCTGGATGCTTTCAGGGAACACCTTGTGTTTGAAATTGTAAAAACTGTGATGTCATTCATTTAAATTTGAGTGAAACAAGATCACTTGGAACAAGTAAACCAGCTAAACATCCCTGTATGTGCAGGGCCAAAGGTGTAATATTGCCAATTTTTAATTTAGGTTTAATTTTGTCACTCCTGTTGTGGCTTATTAAGAAAATGTATTTTTTTGAGAGGTGGATACTGCAGTCTGTAGGGGAAAATGACACACTGTCTTGGATGAGCTTTGAAATACTTTGGTATAGAAAGAAGAAAAGGAGGGAACCAAGAAAAGTCAATGTAGCAAAAAATCATCAGCTCTGTCAAATGAAAGTAATGGCTATCATTGTTTAATGTTCCTTTTGCATCATTTGAAACTTACGGAGGCCAGGAGTGGTGACTCACACCTGTAATCCTAGCACTTTGGGAGGCTGAGGTGGGAGGATCGCTTGAGCCCAGGAGTTTGAGACTGGCCTAGGCCACACAGTGAGACCTCGTCTCTACAAAAAATAAAAAAATTAGCTGGGCATGGTGGCATTGGCATGTGCCTGTGGTCCCAGCTATTTGGGAGGCTAATGGGGGAGAATCATCTGAGCCTGGGACGTCAAGGCTGCAGCGAACTGTGATTGCACCACTGCACTCCAGCCTGGGCAACAGAGTGAGACCCTGTTTCAAAAAAAAAAAAAAAAAAAAGGAAAAAAAGAAACATATAATTATTTCCCCACTTCTAATATTAGAAGCCTACAGAGAAAATCCTAAAAGTGCTAAAGGGTCATATTTTTGAGATGCTACCTTCTTGAAGCAGTAGACTAAGCCTATGTTTATACCTGCATGTGATTTTATTTATTTTTCATAGCAACACAAAGGCCATTATCCTTCCCCTGTTGTACCTGTGAAAAGCCTGAGGTCTGGAGAAGGTCAGTAATTCTCAATGCCACACTGCTAGGCAGTGGCTGAGCTGAAATACCCATGCCTGTCCAAGTGACTGATTCCTATGACCTTCCATCCCCCTTCACTGCCTTTCCTTCTTTGTGGACAGTCCTAAGTTTAGGGTCAGCACTACAAAGCGAAACACTCCAATCACCTGGGGCACATTCCTTTTCTCACTCCTTCCCACGTCCTCGTCTTCTATCCTCCCAGTTACTCATCTCAGTACCTCAGTTTCCCCACCTAAATGTTGCCTCTTAGGTTTCACGTGGGAATTAAAGGAGTGTGTGTGTGTGTGTGTGTGTGTGTGTGTGTGTACCCAAACACCTTAGAACAGTCCCTGGGAGATAGCATTATATACATAATCACTATTATACTTCTACCCTAGTAACTTTCTCACCACTCAAAACTTTCTCCTTCATGAAGTGTCTTCATGATTAACTTTAAATGGATAATAACTGGACTAAGCAGCAGATTCACTGAGGAGTTTACACAATTATCTCATTCATTCCTCATGACCCTGTAAAATTAGGGTGTTTTCTTCTCTGGAAGAAATACAAAATACAAAGAACATATGTTTATGGTGTGTATGAGGTTTTTGCGCATGTGAGTGTGTGTGTCCACAGTAGCTTTCAAAAGAACAGTCATTCTTATCAACTAGATTCTGCAGAACTTAAGAGAAATGTGATTAAAACATTACTGACAAGGCATCGCTATTTATGTTAGTGAATTCTAACTGGACCTATCCAGATGTATGTTTACGGATTATTTGCCCAAGAAGAACAGGTGCTAGTCCTTGGAAGAAGTATGATTAATAAACACTGTTTAGGATTTGAGATGCCCAAATAGGTATTTGGAAAACAGATCTTCAGAAGGAAGGTAAATATTTCTATTAGAGTATAAACAACACAGTCCTACCGAGCACAGTTGCTCAGTGTGATGACTCATCATGCAGCTTCAGCCTACTTGAGACTCACTAAGGATCACACAATAATAAACACAACCTACTACGTGCTCACCACGGTGGCTGATTCCCTGGTGAGGAGAGGAGTATCAGGTGACTCTAGTCCAGATAATTGAAAGAGAGAAAGCTAACATATAAAATGGAATAATTAAAGGTTAAAGTAGAGACTACAAGGAAGGGAAAGTGTTTTGAAAATGTAAGACATTTCATGTTTGACTCAAGGTAAGCGGACATGTCTTAACTTCAGAAATAGCCTGTAAAAATGCACCAATATGGGAAGGTCATGCACCAAGTTCAGAATAGTGCTTACGCTTCTGATAATTAACACGGTTGACACAATGATCTCATTTATTCCTCCTGATTCTATGAGGTAAGACCTATTATCGGCCAGGTGTGGTGGCTCACACCTGTAATCCCAGCACTTTGGGAGGCCGAGGCGGGTGGATCACCTGAGGTCAGGAGTTCGAGACCAGCCTGACCAACATGGTGAAACCCCATCTCTACTAAAAAATACAAAAAATTAGCCGGGCGTGGTGGCACATGCCTGTAATCCCAGCTACTCGGGAGGCTGAGGCAGGAGAATCGCTTGAACCCGGGAGGCAGAGGTTGCAGTGAGCCGAGATGGCACCATTGCACTCCAGCCTGGGTGTGACAGAGTAAGACTCCATCTAAAAAAAAAAAAAAAGAACTATTATCCCCATTTCAGAGACAAGGAAACTAAAGGGCAGCAAAGCAAAGTAGCCCAGACCCAGTACTTGAACTCAAGCCCTCTAATGTCACAGTGTATATCCTTAAGAATTCCGTGGTGTGACTTCAGAACACGCAGGAAGAAATGTCAATACAGGCTGGAGGAGTAGGCCAAGGTGACAGGGAGTACCTTATCCCTACTTCAGCTCTGGCAAAGTAGTGGCGGCATCTGGATAGGTGAGGAAGGCATGGACAGGGTGACAGGAGATGCTGGAATACGCATGGCACACACATGACCAGGAAGTTCATGCTGGCCAGAGCCACAACGGGCATAAGGACTCATGGAAACAAGAATGAGAAAGAATGGGGCTGGAAGGAAGAAACTGACAACTGTATACAACTATCTCACTGGCAGCTGGAGGTACAAAGTAGAGGCCCATGAGGCCTGGATATCTGGGCATGACCAGCACAGAGCTGCTGAGTGAAGGTTATATGCAGCCTGAGATGGAGAATAGAGGGCCAAGGGCTGATGTGGAGAATGGCCACCACTTAGGTCAGAAGAAAGGCCTGGTGAAGGGGAACGTGTATTTTTACAATCTTATATATACCCATGAGGTTCCACCTGGATTCAAATCCAGTATGCAGCTTACGAGGTGTGACATTGGCCAAGTCACAAAATTTCTCTGCGCCTCATTTTACTCAAATATAAAAAGAGAATAAGAAGGTATATAAGAATATCTCACAGGATTGTTGAGAGAAGACACACACACACACACACACACACACACACACTCCCAAGATGAGAACAAGGCCAGACACAGATAAGTGCTCTGTAAGTGTCCGCTTGCTGCTGTCATCATCGTCATCGACATCATCATCATCATCACTCTTCACAGAAGCATGGGCCACAGCGTTGTTTGCAACAGTGAAAAATCAGAAACAAACCATAATGTACGTTCAAAGGGAAATGGCCAAGGAAATAAATATCTATACCATGGACTGTCACACTGCAGTTTTCAAAACTGAGGTAAAGACTTCCATATCCCAACTTAGAAAGGTCTCCAAGACATAAAGGTAAGAGAAAAAAAATAAGCCAAATTCCACAATTTTCATCCACACTCACTGGCAGTGAATATGCTCTTTCACACAAATATTCTCAGTGTCTTGGTAATTTATCCGTAAAATGAGTTATGAGAAGTTACTGTCCATGATGATCAAACTACCAGATTCTTAAAACGTGTTGCTTTTACATCATGCCAAATGGGTGAACCAGAACAATTCTGTTCTAGGTGACTTTTGGAGAGTATGTCTAATAACAATTAGATTTTTCTCTTACATTTTTCCACATGATAAGGTCTGAGCCCAAGCCCTCAGTGGCAGGGAAGGGACCAGATTCCAACAGGCCTGACTGGCTGTCGCCTATTTTAATCACCAGACAAAGCAGATAAGTTGCAGGGGGGATAGAAAAATTAAACATGTCCGTTTTTGCTTTTCAGAGGCAATTAGGGGATTTATAGCCAATGTGTTGTTATTTTTTGAATCAGAGCCAGTAATTTTTTTTTTCTTTCAGAGAGGATGATTATACCATAATCACTGACATTTTTAAGGAACATTTTGGAGCCACAACTTTGTTTCCCTAGAACAAGCACTAGTTACTAAAACTTGCCATGTCACTTGGGACGAGGAAGAAAATTTGAGTGTGAGGCCCTGGGGAAGCTCTCGGAAGAAACACCTTTGTTCTCAAAGTAAAACAACAAATAAAACAGCTGCAATGATTATTGAAATGCAGAGCCAAACTCTGAATCCACAAACCTGTAGGGAGAATCCTAATTTGCAGAGATTCCTGCAGTCCAGGATGTTTAGAAAGAATCCAACTCTCTGAAGTAATTAAAACTTTCCCACTGACATTTTGTTAAAAGTATTATTCTCTTTGGTATACCCTTTCCTTATGGAAAATAAGGGTTGTCTTCAGGCTTGCTCCAGTATGATGACCTCCAATTCCACATTGCTTGAGTCTCAATCAACGGCATGTGTACCAAGTCCTATACTTTGGGGAGGTAACACTGACAGAAAATATACCCAGTGAATTTAACAGCAGGAGAAGAGAAAACTCTAGGAAAAGATCGAAGTTCAGGATTTGAACTTTGGAGAGGTGAAAGGAAAGTCAATGGTAACCTTGGTTTTCTATTTCTGAATTGAAATCAGCTATTTAAAATGTAGAAAAATAAAAAGAATAGGCTTAAACACAAGATTATCTATAGCTGGAAATACCTCTTCCTTCCACATCCTTATTGTTCTTACACACATAAATTCAATTGTAACTCCAGTACTTAATACATGCAGAGTACTGTGCTAATCACTGAAGAGGGTGATTCAGAAAAGGCAATAATTACAAAATATGCTTAAGGATTCATAAGAGAAAATTCCTAGAAATGCTCCCCACCTCCCAATTTTCTTTCCTCAATTCACCACTGACTGAGAAATCCTCTTAACTTTCAATATCTTCATCATAAAATGAACATAATAATTGCCAACACACTCTTCCCTCTTTGAAATTTTTCTAGTGGCTTAAACATCAAGAAAATCTCACATTTAATAAGTAATAATCATAATCTATGAAAGTTTTTCATTTGAGAAAAATATTTAAATCGAAAGTTAAGATATTTTTTCCAAAAATGGTTTCAGAAACTAAGGATATAAAAGTTATATAACACAGCAAATTATTTTATAATTATATTGAAATATAATAAATATACAATAATACAAATAGTAATTTGTCCTTTTCCTGTTGGAAAACACACTGCTATCTCACCCAAAAAAGAGCTACCAAAATTTCCATATATATTTTTATCAAAAGATTTCAGAAAGCTAAATAAAGCAAAGAGAAGTAAAATGACCTTTAAATGGTCATCTTTTCCTTTGATGAATTTTTACGGTGGACTTTAGGATGCCAGGTACAGGGCCTGGTGCTGGGGATAGAATGTTGGATAAAATATGGGGAGGAAAATATTACTCAAATAATCATGCTAATACATAACTAGAAGCTGTGGTAGGGACAACCACCCAGTGCATGGAGATGATTTCATGCCAGGAATCAAAGGCAGACCTGAAGAATGACATCTGAGCAGCTCTTTGAAGAACACCAGAGATCAGGCAGCAAGTCAACTGCAGCAAGCCAGGAACTCCAGTACGTTCCAGCCTGAGGGTCTTCCCCACCAGTCTCTTTCAAGAATGCTGGAGGCTGAGATTCAAGTACTCCTCCTGGAATTCCACGCTGGGACCCTGAACCTGACTGAGGAGCAGCCTTCCCTCCTGGCATCTGCCCCTTGGAATCTGCCTGTTTTCCTCTTTCCAGCCCCTCCCACATGCCCCTGGGACTGTCCCCTGTCCTGTCCCTCCTATTACTGAGAGTTTATGACAATGAGATGCCCAGGAGCAAGGCTGGTGCTCATAGATGCAGGGAGGGTTTATCCATCCTTCTTTCCCAATCCCCCCACCACTGTGCCCAGATCCTGCACAGAACTTGGTCAAAGGCTCTTTCCCCTTTCACCCTGTCCTCCCAGCAGCTGCACAGGGAAAAATCTCTAGAGCCTCAGCCTTCCTTCTCACAAGGAAAAGGCCAAGAGCTGGAGTTCCTGAACTCAAAAACAGCTCAATGATGGGAAGCCAGCTGCTTTAAAAAAGAAAAAACACAAGTATTCTTTATAAGACCTATTCCATTTCTGTGGGGTGTGTCATATTAGAGACAACAGCTGCTTCAAGTTAATAAAATCTGAAATATCTTCGCTCGGAACCTGATCACTAGTTTTAAGTTGGATTTCTGTGACTATTTCTCATCTTATGATATGAATTTTTCATTGCTGTGTGGCAATAAAATTGAGCATGTGGTTATTCTTTATTCCCATTTTAAGTTAACAATGATATACTTTAAATCCAAGGCCTCATATTACAAACTATGTAATCAAACTAACGGCCGTAAATAACAGAAAAGTAATTACAAAGCTGGAACTTATCTCAGCACTCTTAACCAATTAATCTCATGGGCAATTTTCTGCCATTCTGCCATTCTGCCATTCACTATTTAAAGGTTGTGTCTTATGTCTTATGACTAACATTAAATTTCTGAAAAAATATTTAAAGATATTGGAGACTATGTTGTTATGATTCAAAAGGTATGCAATTTAATAAAATTTTAAAATATCATTTAAAATCACTTAACTCTGTAATCAGTGATTTTAGAACATTAAATACCATTTACTTCAACTTATGTCTTGCAGACAAGAGAAGCAAAAATACAAAAACTCAAGAGTTAAATTGTATGACCTCAATTTTTTTCTATGCATAAAAAGAAAAAACACACCAAAATCTTAAGTGATTATCTTTGGGGTATAGAATTTCACTTTGTCACATATTTTCCTGTATTTTCTATAAAATGAAAATGCATAATTTTTACATTTAAAAAGTTTATATCTTTAATATATGTTTTTTTTCTTTAGGAGTGAAAAAATCAAATACAGAAATTCTGTTGCCAAAAATAGCCCTCTGTAGTATAACCAGTTATGTTTATGTAATGCAAATAAAATCTTTGGCTAGCTCTATACCATGGAGGGAAAGCTGCTTGGGTATGTGAAAAAAAAAAAAATCCAGGAGCATATCTGGAAAGTCAGCAGGGAGATAATTTAAAAAACAAAGTACTAAATATGAATCTTAAATGTCCTAATTTTTGTACAGTGTGATAAGTTTCTTCTAAGGTCTAAGTATCATGGCAAGATTCAAAAATATTGTTTGAAAAACTAAATTTTCTTTATCATTAACAACTCTCCACAGAATAAACCACGGTATACTCTCAAGTTATGGTATCTACTCCAACAAAACAGATATATAGGCAAAAGTGGATAAACTAGATGACTCATCCTTCACTGGCCCTTTTGCAGCAAGAGACACAGCCACTCAGACACAGAAATGTGAATGAGCAAACTCCCCTTCCTCCTCTTTTTCCTGTTCGGTCCCGCTCCCTGGGTCAGGGGCTGGGACCCAGAGGACCTGATAAGGAAAGGGGAGAAGTAGGTCTCTAAGCTTTTGGAGAATCCATTCCAAGACAAACACAGCAGGCTCCCTCTATTCCTTGCAAATGCAAAATGGCAGGAGAGGGTAAACGAAGAACTGTAATTAACTAAATATGCTGTGTAAGCTTTACAATAACCTCTTAATCATGGACTCTCTTAAGCCTATGAGTTTCGACATTAACCCTGCAAGCCAGGAACAGCCCAGAGCTGCACTGTTTGACAGCCTACGCAAAGGGATCACAAGTGCTTCCAAGGACATGCGTCTGCTCTGTTTGGCAAGCTGTGGGAGGCTTCAAGTTTACCCAAGAACTATTGATGGAATTGACCATATGCATCTTACTAGGCTAAGAATTCAAGAGAAATGCTACAGTAGTGTTGAGACACAGTTCCTACCCTCAATAAGACCCCAGGCACACCAAGCAACTGGAACACACAGGCAGACACAATTAACCACAATTAGTGGGATGGCGGGGGTTGTCACAACCTTTCTCTGGCTGATGCCTTTCAGTGGGTTTGGAATTAATATTATGCCCGGTTGACAATGTTGTTCTCAACCTGAAGGCTTAACTGAGAAAGAGTTACTGAAAACTGTGGGTTTTGTTTTGTTTTAAACACAGTTTCACAGTTTGGCCCAGCAATGTGTAGAACTTTATTTTCTTTTGTTTCTGGTGCCATTTTATGGAAAGGGGCAACAAAACCCCTCAATGATAATGATATTAATAAAAGATGAGATTATGACGTTAAATGAGGTCTAATCTACAAAATATGTTGACACAAGAATCCAAACAAGAAAACCTTCCGAACTTGTCTCAGGAGTCTATATTAAGGAGAACCTCTCTGGTGTGAAAGTGTCTTAAACGGCTCTCACACACTTGCTAATCTCCCTCTTGCACATGGGTTTCAGGCCTTGGAGCCTTCAGTTGATTTGAAGATGTTGTTTTTCACTGCACATCAAGGCCACCTTCTAGTTACTGCATGTGATACTTGTTTCCTATTTATGTAAGAAAGAGACGGTTTGCTTTTAAAATAAGTTTACACTTTAAAAGAGGGGATTTAAATAAAAATATTAAATAAAAACATGGATAGTAGAAGGATGGATGGTGGTGTCTGAATGACTGAAGTTTGGCCAAGGCTGGAATATAGTTTCAATGTGTGTGCAATTAAAACAAAGCAAAATGAAAGCCTAAACAACTAGAAACTATCTCACCACAAAATTATCTTAGTTCTTCCTTAGAGTCAATATTTACATTCCCAGAGAACATGTGAGCACCCAGTTCATTTACAAATCACATACACTATTTTCTGTCAAGGGCGGGAGCAGCTCTGCCATGCCCACTGTCACTGACATGATGTAATTAGCATGGGTTATGTTAAAACTTAGGTTTCTGCAGGGGACATCTCCCAGAGTCTGCACCAGACAGTGCCTGCTCTCAAGAGAACCAACAATCTGTAGGTACGAACATGACTTTAATCCAATAAGGCTTGAAATCTTTTTCTTCAAAACCTTTTCCCTGAAAACCCTCAAGAGAAGAAAAACATTTTCGAAGAGCTCCTTTTATGTGCCAAAAGCTATGCTGGACAATATTCACAAATCTGCCAAATTTGACTGTTATAAGCATCTTATGACTTACCATTATTACTGTCCCCATTTTACCGATGAAGAAACAGAGGCCAGGAAAGAGAGAGTGAGCGGAATAAGGGACAGAATTCAACCTCGAGGCTGAGTGCTCCTCATCCCCCAACTATATAAGGGTGTGTTTGGGGGCAAAAGCTCTGGAGCACAATATACAGATGGAGAAACAAGACCTTCCATAAGAAAATATGCACCACTGTATATGTGGTGGAAGAACCGGGAAATCATTTAAATATACCTGCTCAATGGCATGTCAGACACATTTTGCTCCATTGAGAAATACTCAACCTACTCATCATTCAAAGGGTTGTTTAAATGTTTAAATGCACCTGTGCATACTCAATTGTATCTGCCCCTTTTCCCATATTCATGGGATGGAAATGTTCGGCAGATGGATCCCTTTGCATCAGCATCAGATTAATTTTGTAGAGATGGAGATTTTAGAACACAGATATTTCTGTATTTAGCACAGCCATGGCTGAGCCTCATTCATGATCCAGAAAACAGCATTATTAGGAGTAAAAGATTTCTTAATGCAGAAAGCCCCCTAGGCTCCAGGTGACTGACAATGAGTCACGGCTCGTGCACATGAAATGCGTTTGGCACATTTGTACACTAAAGTCTATTTGCTGGGTCTAGATGGTAATGGTCAGAGAAGCAGGGAAGACAAGGGAAGGGAAGAGAAGAACAAGCAACTATGTAAACAGCTCTTCTGGGGAAACCATGTAAAAATTAAATGAATTTGCCTATTAGCAGAACATAACCACATAAAGAGATCCCGACAATAAACTTTACACACATGACTTTCTCACCTTCAGTTAGGATGCTTTACTTCTCATTGATCTACTGGATGGCTGAATAAAATATAGAATTTGTTTGTGATTTAAAATCCTAGAGCTGCAAGCAGTATAACTGTTTTGTTTTTACATTTGCCAAACTGCCCTGGTGGAGCTGCTTTAAAGAGAGGTGGCAAACATTCTGAAAGCTGTCAACCTTTCAACCATTAGGGCTCACCCCCTCTTAGACAAACTCCCATACTTTATCTGTCATTACTGCTGTGACCAGGGCAAGCTGCATTTTTGTCCAGTGGCTACAATGAAATGAGCATTCCAGCTGATTCCACAGCATGTCAAGAAGGGAAAAGGTTAATATACTCACCAGGGAAAGCTGGGGTGCCTCAGAAGTCTAGAGCTTCCAGGGATGTTGTTTCTATTCAGTAAGAGAGACATCTCAGGTGTATCCTAAACATTTGGATGCGTCAGCTCGGAAGTGTTATTTCTCAGCAACTGACTTTGCTTATCCGTTCACTTGCAAGGCTATTATATAAGAAAGGCTGAACTGAACTACTGTTGAAAAATGATGCACTCACATGGTGAGCACCAGAAAGGAAGCTGTGGTCTTCACGTGCATCTTCGCATGCGGATCCTCACATGCGGATGCTTGTGCACTTGTCTACCCCATTTTCTGAGGCACGTGTTTGGGCCAGAACTCCTGAAATCCCACGTCTCAATTCCTGGACAAGCAAACTTAAAAAAAAAATCCTCTTTCCTCGATTTTTACTGTGATTTGAAACACATAATCAGAACTTGGTACAATTAACATCACAGAGAAACCCAAGTCATTTTTTTTTTTTTTTTGCTGGAAAAGCTGTTTGTTTTTCATTAGGAATTCATGTGAGCTTCCTGAATTTCAAGAAGATACATCTGCTCCTTAAATTTCAGTGCTGTGTCAACACTTACTAGGAAATTCATAAATTCTGGTCAAAAACCATCTTTTGATCTGGTTTGATTTACAGTTTCTAAAACAGAATAGAAAAGCCTAAATCCCCATTACACTCACATGTACAGAGATGTATGAACTGATATCTCAGTATTCTCTCCCTACCTCTCTCTATTGCACACAGTGGGAGCTAAATAACCCTTAACACATTAATGTCCCACAGATAAAAAAAGAGTCATGAGAATACCATTAACATCACCAGGGTAAAAGCTAATAAAAGAAATCTAGTAGGTAAGTGTAATATAGATAGTGTTTTGTACATAGGACATCCAGTATAAGATGGGCATGATATGCCTCTCTTAGGAAACTGACCTGAGAAACCCCTGGCATTAGGAGGTGTTTCATTAGATTGAAATTAGACGTGGTTTCCAGATTCCCTTTAAAAGAATAAAACAAAAAAGTCTCCATTCCCTGTAAACTACACACAAAGTATATCATTACTAAGACGTCACTTTGCTTTTGGAGAAGTTGTGTCACAAAACCATCCTCCCAATCACAAACCTATATTTACCAAGGTCAGCCCCGTTAAATGCATGCCATCTACATTTCCGGGACTTCAGGTAGTGCAAATGCTTCTGAAGCTTACATAATTTGGGGTACAATGGATTCACCCCCATCCCACCATCAAAGCCCGAATAGAGAGCACAGCTGTCTATTCACTGAAATTTAAGGCTTTTGTACTTCATTTGCTTTTCTTCCTCTTTTTAATTTGGGGAAAGGGCAAGAGAATTCTTTACCAGAAATGATTCCAAGATGCACTTCTCACATTAAGAATGAAGTATATCTCCTTTAAGTGATACTGTCAACATAAAACATTTCTAAGTCAGCTTAATCCTTTTTTCTATGAATGGAAAATACATTTTCAGACTTTCTGGTGGTACTTATTTAACCATGGGCTGCAAGTTGGCAAATTATATATATATATATATATATATATATATATTTTTTTTTTTTTTTTTTTTTTTGAGACAGAGTCTAGTTCAGTTGCTCAGGCTGGAGTGCTGTGGCACGATCTCTGCTCACTGCAAGCTCCGCCTCCCAGGTTCACGCCATTCTCCTGCCTCAGCCTCCCGAGTAGCTGGGAATACAGGTGCCCGCCACCACGCCCGGCTATTTTTTTTTTGTTGTTGTTGTTTTGTGTTTTTAGTAGAGATGGGGTTTCACCGTGTTAGCCAGGATGGTCTCGATCTCCTGACCTCGTGATCCGCCCGCCTCGGCCCCCCAAAGTGCTGGGACTACAGGTGTGAGCCACTGTGCCCAGCCGCCAAATTATATTTTCTATTTAAAAAAAAGATGATGAACTGGATAAATCAAAAGCAGTGGTTAGGAGAAAGCTAAGCAGACCCGTAGAAGGAATATTCCTCTTATAATCACCTTTACACAGACTAAAACCTTATATTTTTTAAAAAGTTGCCTGTTTTCTGCATGACTTTGCTGATAATTTGGAATCAGAAGTCTACTTTCTATGGCTACTATTTTATACAATTTCATTTATAAATCAAGAGACATTTGCCTGCTGTGGGCTTCTGCAAATTTCCTATGGCAAACAGATTTTTTAAATGCCTGAATTTTCTACCAACTTATGGCAGAGTTAAGTAGTCATGACTGACGCTATATGGCCATAAATGCCAAAAACATTTACTATTGAGTCCTTAATAGAAAAGGTTTCTGACTCCTGCTCTACATGCTTAATAAACTCTTACAACATCCTATGAGGTATAATTATCATTCTAATTTTGCAAAAGAGGCAACTGGGGCCCAGAGGGGGAAAACAATCTGACAGAACATAAATAGCGAGAAGATGCAGAGGTAGGACTTGAGGCAGGCTGGCTCCAGAGCCCAGGCTCATAACCACAAGGTAACCTCTCTGTTATTGGGTATTAGTGTAATTATTACCATGAACATGCAACCACCTTGAACACACATGTTCTCCCCCTGGGCTTCTGGGCTGCTGTGAGCACGGTTGCTGGTTTAGAGGCTGTGCCTATTCTGCCCTCTTCCTGGCTCCTCTAATTCTCTCTGCCTGAGTCATGCCTTCTGTAGCCAAACCTGTATAACTCTACATCAAATATCCCAAATATGGGGACTGAAAGTCTCAGCTGAATGATTTAGAACAGTCACTTAACATCTTGAAAATTCTGTCTTCCCATGTGAAAAATGTGTCTGATAATCCTGGGAGCCATGTACCTACTTTGCAGAGCTGTTCAGACCTTAGCTGTTCTCTGCCCTCCCTACCCTTCTTTGTGTCCTAGTCTCACCTTTTATTGAAACCAGCACCTGGGTTTGTTTTCACTGACAGCCATGTGGCCTCAATTTAGGGTGTGTGACATGGGAGGGCCAGGATCTCAACCTCTGCCCCAAATACATTCCATCAGCCCTCTCCAGCACCTGTAGCCAACTTCTCCTTTCAAAGCTCAACTCCGTTCCTTGAGGTTTCTTCTCCGCCCTGCACTTTCTCTTGTGGGTTGAAGAGGCAGGTCCAATTTTCACCTGATCTACACAATCCCCTATGCTCACTGGATGGTCCAATCCCTCTTAGGGCTTTTCACTCTTCCAGGTCATTCCTGGTACCACTCAGGAACTTTCCTTCTCAGCATCATAAATACTATCCTTTCCCTCCCCAATAATTAGTGGTAAGCCTCATAATTTAGAACTCAGGCTCTGAAATTAGGCAAATGTGAGCTAGAATGCTAACTCTGCCACTTCCAGCTGTGTGACACTGGGCAAGCCTAACCTCTAAATTCACTTTCTTCATCTGTCAAATGGGGCAATAATATAATTATTGTGTTACAGCTAATAGGTGTAAGCATGTTGCCCAGCATACAGTAAGTGCTCAATAAATGTCAGGTAGCTGCTCTCTTATGATTTTCATGATCATTCTCATCATCATTACCACCACTGCCAATTTCTACATCTGCATTATCAAAGTTACCCAAGTACAGAGTGTTAAGGTAACTGTACACACAATATCAGACAGCATAGCACTATGTAATACTGTATATACCACCCGTTCTCCAGGGCTTTAGGGAAATACTATATCCACCAATTTTTTTTTTTTTTTTTTTTTTTTTTTTTGAGATGGATTCTTACTCTGTTGCCCAGGCTGGAGCGCAGTGGTGTAATCTCGGCTCACTGCAACCTCTGCCTCCTAGGTTCAAGCAACTCTCCTGCCTCAGCCTCCCAAGTAGCTGGGATTACAGGTGCCTGCTACTATGTCCTGCTAATTTTTTGTATTTTTGGTAGAGACGGGGTTTCACTATTTTGGCCAGGCTGGTACTGAACTCCTGACCTTGTGATCCGCCCGCCTTGGCCTCCCAAAATGCTGGGATTACAGGTGTGCACCACCATACCCGGCCTATATCCACCAAAAATTAATGGAAGTGAACAAGTCACTTAATCTCTTTAGGCCTCATCTGAAAAGGAGAGAAGGTTGGATGAACTGACAGTTCATGTTTATGAATGTTGTCTCTAAGGATTAGGTTGATAAATCTGTGGTCTTATTTCACCTTCCACTACGCCCTGGGAAGTTGGGACAAATCCTACCGCTTTCCAAGCCGACTCTTCATTGAAAACTATGCTTCAGGGGCCGGGCGCGGTGACTCACGCCTGTAATCCCAGCACTTTGGGAGACTGAAGCGGGTGGATCACCTGAGGTCAGGAGTTCGAGACCGGCCTGGCCAACATAGTGAAACCCTGTCTCTACTAAAAATACAAAACACACACACACACACACACACACACACACACACACACACACACACAGAAAACTATGCTTCCAATAAAAAAAAAATTCCCTATTCTCATAAAAACCAGGTTTGTCTTCATTCTTCAAACCAATTCCTGAGGCTTATCCTGTGCGATAAGGATTTTTATGTCAAAGACATGAGTCACATCTGAGAAAAGTGAAATAAACTGGATACCTTTTCTTACCTCCAGAAAAGTCAAACAGCTGAAAGCCTGAATATCCAGAGCATTCAGGTAATTAGGAAAAAAGGCAAGGGAGTAAAAACCTGAAATTTCCAGATGTGACATGATCATTGTTTGACAATTTTAAATTATATTTTAAATTTTTGTTGTAAGAGAGAGAAAGGGATATCTTCATTCAGCAACTTTGCAATTAGACTTACTTGAACCAATTTCTTTTCCTGGTTTACACAAAATGACACTTCCTCTAGTACGAGGATTGCAGAAAACCTCAGCGATAAACAGGCAGGCTCACAAGTCTTTAGATTAAAATGGAATTATAACATTTTCTCAAAATATTTACATGAACTGTGAGCACAACATTCAACTCATAAGAGAAAATACTGAAGGAAAGTCTTTATCCATAAAATTCTCTTAGAAAATTTAGAAGGAAAATATGAATTTATGTAAGGAACTCTGCAACAAAAGAACCACTCCTTTGTCCTGATTTTGAAAATGCTCATTATTTGAGAGTAAGAAAATGTATCCATAAAGGGGGGTTCCAGTAGGATGAATCTGGTATGGCAATGACTACTTATTGCCTACTCATCTCTTTGCTGCCTTTCCTTTGATGGTGTGACCCATATTTTATTTGCCCTCAGAGAAAGTGCATAAATCCCAATTGGTCCAAGCCATTCATGGTAATTTATGGCCCATAATAGGATTAGTGGTTTGTTTCATTCTGTCCAACAAACCACTAACAAGGGGCAGCCTGTTCTAGAGCTTCTTGGAAAGCTCTCTTCACACCTATAAAGACAAGAAAACGGTGTCTTGCTGGTGTCTCTGGAGACTGTCATGCCGAGATGCAATGCCTGAATCTGTGGCAGCCATATTTTGACCATGAGGAGACTACTCCAACATGCTAAGGATGACCACAAACAACTTGGATCCTTGACAAGGCCACTCAGCTCCTCTACTCACTAACCTGGGAATCACCTGTCCTTGTACCTAAAATAATATGTGTAAGCTATTTGGATTTGAAATCTCTATTACTTGTAGCCCCAAATATCTAAAGTAATAGAGTTGACCCAGTGGAAAAATATAAGAGAAAAACCTAGTTGTTATTAGACATGCCCTCAAAAAGTCATCCAGAACAGAATTGTTCTGGTTCAGCCATATGACACAATGTAAAAGCAACATGTTATAAGAATCTGGTAGTTTGATCAACATGGACATCTATCCTTCCTGGGGCTTTTCATAACTTTCCTGGATACTTCCACATCGAGCAGACAATGCCTTAATTATTTGCATATGTTGGACTCTACAATCTGTCAAATGGAGATTTAGGAACAAGACTTTCAAACTATATGTGAATATGAGAATGATCTAAAAAAATAGTAACAAAATCTGTTTTTAAAAAAATGCCAGGTACATTATTAGAAATAAAAGTTCAAAATCATGACCTGAGTTTCCAAAGTTTAAAAATTCCTCAAGGGTTTAAAGCAAAACTGATGATTAACAGATTTTATCAATTCTACTCAAGCAGAACAAGAACAAGCATTGGAATTCCTTCTAATTCAAAGCCCACTGAATTAGAAAAAACTCCCCCAAAAGCAAGTCTTATTTATCTGCCAGACATGATTCAGAGAACTCTACACATATTGAAGTCTAAACCTGGTTCATTTGTAAAAATGTCCTTTTATAATAATCCTCATACCTCAAACAGCCTTCCTCCAGTCCGTTTCCTACTGTTGGAACATAGGAACTCAATGATCAGCTTAGTCTTTAAAACTTAGCCTCTATCTCCCTTCCAAACATGTTAACAAAGGGTGTCTGGTATGTCAGGCACCTCCCTAGGGCAACAGAAATACAACGATAGGGTCCTTGCCTTCATGGAGTTTATGTGTTTTTGTTCTAATGCTGGAGACAGACTAATCAATAAAATTAAATAATAATTACCATTTGAAAACCCAAGAAATAAAACTAGTGGCTAATGCGATAATGAAATAAATAAGGAGTTGAAGGGAAACCAGAGGTGGGAAAAGCAGTTTAACCTCCAATAGAGAAATCAGGCATGGCTTCTTTTGATAGGTAACAGACAAGCAACAAAGATAGGGGATTAGGGATAAGAAGGAGCCAGCCAAGGGAGGAGCCATGTGAAGCCAGCAATCAAAAATAAATGGCTTCTTGGACCAAAGCCACAAGCCACCTCAGGGATCTCATCTGTAAAATGGTGCAGATCATCACTAACCTGTCTATCTCCCCAGAGCTAGATATGATAATGAACAGGAAAGTCTTTTTTTTTCTTTTTAAATCAAGGTTAAAAGCCCTATAGTTATGTGCCTTTATTATAAATCTTCCCCTAAAAAAGCAGGTGGCTTGAGTTGCTACAGAAATAGACACTCATTGCTGTCATATGTTTCATACTGCATCTCTCAAGCAGTAAAATTAAAACTAGTTTTGACTTGAGAAGTTTTACAGCCTTTGAGATACCTGGAGATCCAAAGGGCTATGTCTCTAAACCACAGCTGAGAGTCGCTCTCCTACAAAACTGTGGTAAATGCATGTCATTACTATAATGATCAACACAAATACACACCAAAACTACCTTCCAAATATCACGCATGTGAGACAGACCGATGTCAGCAGGGGATTCCCGGGCAACTCGCTTGATATGGTAGCACATGGCAGCAGAGGCAGCTTGGGACTTGCTGGCCAACAACCAAACTCTGTTTGTGGCATACTCTTTTTATAGCCCTACCTTCTAATACATGATATTTGCTACATGATTATCTAAAAATTAAATAATCAGCCACAGCACTAGGAGGAAAGTCAAATCCTGGGATTAAAACAGGTGATATGCATATCCCAAGGCAACACAGTGGCCCAGGCTTATGCTGTAACTGTTTCTATTTGATTCACGGAAGCCAGACCTACAGTCTTTAAGAGAGATTTGCACTGTAGCAGGGAAGGATAACTGAAATGATAGAGCCTTGCTGAAATTGTTGTTCTGCCCTTTATCTCTCAGGAGGTAGGTATCATTATTCCCATTTCTAGATGAAAAAACTGAGGTCCTATGAAGTAAAATAACTGGCCCAAAGTATGTGCTGCAGCTGAACTTTGAACCCAGCTCACCTATTCTAAATCACACACCCCTTTTCATCACATTGCCTCACCTGGTTAATCATGTTTGATTCTTCTTTACTCTTTGATTCATCAGGAGGAATCAGATTTCTGAAGGTCCTTCATAAATACTTCAGTCTGCAAAGATGAACAAGAGGAGCCCGAAGAATGTCGTATGAAATGAAGACTGAGATACTGAGATTCTCTCAAAACAGCCTCAGGTGAACCAGGAGAATAAGCAGGTTAATAATCTTTAGTGAGGAGGCTGGGAGGGAGGGGGCCACATGTGTGCCGCATACCTGTACAAGAGTACATATTTCCTGTCTCTTCCATGTCACGTTCTCTTAAGCCCCGAGGCGTCTACACTGACAATTTCCACTGCACAGAATGCCTTTCTCCTCTTCTCTGCAATGAGATCAGCTGCTCCTCAGTGAAGCTTTCTCAGAAGCCTCCCACCCCCACACCCGCACACACATTGACAGACACAGAGGACAGACAGCCCTGTGCCAAACCTCAGCCCTGTGTCTGGGGTCTTCTCCAGGCAGGACCTGAGGTTACCTTTCTCTTCCTCCCTAGTGCTTAGCACAGTGCCTTGGTTCAAACATGCACTCACTGAGCCTACCCCTGGCCAAAGGTCCAGGCGCTGGGCTGGACTAGGGCTGGCAGTGGTGAAGAGAAGGAACTCTCGAGGGGTTGAGAACAGGGGCTCTGAGTGACCTGATATCTACCTGCTGTGCCATCTTGGCCATCTCTTAAACACTGTGCCTTGGTTTCATCATCTGTAAATGGAAATGACAGTCCTGCTTGCCCCCTCACAGGGCTGTTTTTAGGATAAAAGGCAGGAGGCAGACAGGAGTTGGGTGACACTGACTCCTGAGAGGGGGTGAGAAAATGATGCCATTTCAGCCTTTAGCCTTCTATTACTTTCTGTTCTCTTACCCTGCTTCATTTTTCTTCCAAGCCCTTATACTACCCCGCTGACACATTATATATTTGGTCTCGCTTACTGCCTGGCTCTGTCCTACTAGGATTAAGCAGCATGAAGGCAGGACTCTTGTATTCTTCTCTGCTGTGTATTGGCACCAAGGACAACAATGGGCATGTAGAAGGTCTCAAATATTTCTCAAATGAATGAATGAATGAATGAAAAAACAAATAAATGAATGACAAAACAAACGAATACTGACTAACTTATGAGGCATACATCTAGAAGAGACAACGAATGTTAACAAAATGTGAGACTATGAACTGCTATTTTATGGCAACAATTACCGGCATATTTCACTTGCTTTTGTACTGGCCAAAAAGTAAAGGCTGCGTATGAATACACTTCTTGAATTGATTTTTGGTGTTCTGCTATGTGGCACAGGAATCCTCACACCTGCACCTGACATATCCCCAGATATGTAATAAATGCGGCATTAACCCACATGCTCACTTACTGATGGGATTATGCATTCATAGAGTCCTCTAAAAGAGAAGGAATCCTCTCTAAGATAATCTATTGCTCCAAATGACCGGCTGCCTAGATTCAGGTTTCCTCAAAAGCTAGCCCTTGATTTTGACTGATCCGGGAGCAGAGCCTTCCCATCTACAAGGAAGCATCAATGGTGGCCCGTATGAGCCCCCATCCATGTGGCAATGTATCAGGTTTCCAGCAGCACAGAGAAAAGAGGAGGAGGAGAAGGAGGATGAAGGTGCCCAGGAGGTCCCCAGACTCTGTAACCCCTCCCTGGACTCATGCCTTCCAAGAGGTTCCTAAAAAGTCTCTTAAGGTATTAGTTTTATTCTTGCCCTTAACATCCTATAAATACATCTGCTTTTGCTTGCTCTCATCTACCTGGCTGTGGGCAGAAGAAAACTTGTGCACAAGATAAAGAGAAGAGAAAGATTGTGATTTTTATCACCATCATAGCTACCATGGAAGCCCTACATTAAAAAGCATGATTATATGCTGCTCAGTGTATGGACTAAGTTTTTGACGATTCAGTTTTACAAAAATCTACCTTAACTATGGTTTTCCTCCAAATGAGATTAAAACATTTCAGTCAACAACATACAATCTCAGTCCTATTGTACTTTCTCTACCATGTTTTCCATAAAATTACATGCCCTGGAGTGCTTTTATTTTTCCTATTTTTAAAAGGTCTTTGTATCCCTTTTTTCTCCATATCCAGTGGTGAGAACAGTGATTTATCACCTGCCACACTCCCGCTATTCAGTATTCCCACCATAAATCGTGCCTTTGTGACAAAACCCTTATCTTCAAAAACAGATAGCGTCAACCATTACTGCTTTTTATGTCAATGTCCTTTTATTTCAGAATGACTCTGTTTTCATTATAGATCCTTAAACATATTAGCAGAAGACACATTCGCAGCAAATGCCTTCAGTGAGGGGCAGTCCAGCTGTAGTCACATTCTCACTTCTAAAGCAAGGGTAAAATCCTTAAGTAAACACGTTCCACAGGGGCTGTGCTAAAGTACATTTTTCAAAGACCAATGCCATTTGGTTGAAGTCAGCTCCAGAGGGCCACATACCTTTTCAATCAAAGCCGCAGCTGCCGGGGTGAGAGTCCTGCCCCCAGAGAAGAGCCTGGAGACCTCTACCTTTATCTCCCCTGAGCAGGCGGCTCTCACCTCATCAACAGACTGCTCCAAGAGTTGACCTCTAAGACGGCTGCTCAGAACCGGAAGAGCAGAAGTGGCAGTGAGATGGAAGCTGGTGTGGTCACAAATGTGTCCCGAGCACCGTTTTGAAAAAACAGGAACATACTTTCCACTCACTCCAATCCTCGGGCTGGGAAACGGCAGGGTAAAGAATGGAACATGGCATTGGGTTTAGAAAAAATTTCCTAGGCAATTTTGTACTTAACTTGAGCAAGGGACAGTATGATACTTTTTAGAAATCTAATCAGGTTTGTGACAACAAAATGTTGATTCAGTGCAAAAAAAGGTCTTAAAAATCATTTCATTTGGTACCTTTCTTTTAAAGAAAAGCAAGCTGGAGTGAATAGGTGGAATTCAGGTGTCCAAAGTCATTCTTGTTTCAAATTCTATTGTAAAATATTGATAAAAATAAACCATTAAATCCATTTGCCCGGGCTGTGAATTTGCTAAGTTTTGACCCATTTAATGTGTGGTCACAAGGATTGGTTTTCTTCCTTTATCTCTTCTCCCTCTTTCAGAGATTTTAATAAGCTCTTCCAAAGTAACAAAGTTCATGTGGTTAAACTTCTAGCTGCTAGCTCAGTTTTATGGAAATCCAATGCTGTGTTCTATTCCAGTATACTCTAAGTTGACATAAAAAAGTCCTGGATCGATTCATCACAGTGCTTAGAAATGTCATTAGCATCCATTGGTTCCTTGGAGTGTATTCCTCTACCCTGGGCCTTAAAACTTCACATGTATGTCAGAAAACCAGGCTATCTGGGGATCTCTGTGTGAACAACTCCCATAAATCACACTGTACATTCCGGCTGTCAGGGTGCATATAATTCAACCACAGTTGGTTGCGTCCTTGTTCCAAGCACACCTGAGTCACTGCAAGCAGTGGGACAGCAGTACAAAAAAGGAGCAGCACTGTCCAGAGACAGCAACAAATCAGATACTCAGAGAAATAATTACATCAAGCCAAGAGGGATGAGGCAGAGGGAGTAGCTTTATTTTGCAAGAGTGCCCCCTCCCTTTTTCAATAAAAAAATGCAGATTCCCTCCTGCATTTGGGAAAACTATGCATATGTATCATTTGGATTTCAATGATTTAATGGGAAACTTGGAAAAAATTGTTGGAATTTTGAAAAGATGGCTCCGGGAGCAGTTAGGCTGGAGAACTGAGATAAAGTGAGAAAATAACACACAACTCATTAGCAAAAGGGAGGTTTTAGGCTCTTTTGTGTCCCACAGTGTGCCGGAATTAAGGCTTATCTCAGAGCCTCTAATAAGATACAGAGGTTGGTTGTTGATAGTTGACTGGAAACCAGGGGTCATCTGTTGAAATGCTGATCTGTCTTACCTGTCCCAAGGGCCTCTCTGAGGTCCTACAGTGACCCTCTCTGGCAAGACAAGACCCCAGAACATATTAAGGTAGGACCCCAGAGCAGATCAACAGCTAGGCAAGATCTCCAGGGCCTTCAGTTGCCAGGGAAAGACAGAGTATATATAAAGCACCCAGAATCATATGTTCTTGTTACAGACTGTAGCAAGTGACAATCTGCAATGTGGCATCTGGGAAGACGAGGAGGCAAAGTGAGGGGCAAAGTGTCCTCTAAGATGAAATCTAGCCACAAAGCCAGAGCTATATTTAAGCAGTAGAACTTTCTAGCAGAGGTTAACACACGTCACTCACCAGGTCATATTTGTCCCACCACCTGTTTTATTAAATAAAGTTTTATTGGAACAAAGCCATGCTCATCCAGTCACATATTGCCTGTAACTGCTTTCACACTACAATGGCAGAGTTGAGTAGCTGCAACAAAGACTGCATGACCCCCAAAGCTGAAAACATTTACCATCTGGCTCTTTACAGGAAAAGTTTGCCAACGCCCGTTCTATGGTAATACCTCAGTTGTAAAAGGTGAGCGTCAGAGATGGTTTTCATTTTTCCCAATCTATGCAAGTCCACCAAAAATACTTTAGCAGGCTTTAAAAATAGCCACACACACAAATACATACACACATATACATATACATATACATATACATACACATACACCTATACATATACATATACATATACATATACATATACATATACGGTCCTTACCATAGTCAGCTCTAAACATTAACCCATATTGTACCACTTTAAAAAAAATTCACAGCAAATATAGAAGGGTGTTTCTATCCCATTCAAGATAAGCTGGCCAAGTTTGCCTTGCCATATATGCAAACTTCTAGCTGCCTGGAAAAGCATGCAGCTAGCTTCTTAGTACATCCTCTGGACATGAGTGGTTTGCAGGAGGCAAGAAGGCCTGACATTAAAAGGGCAAATACCCTTTATTCTAACATCACAGAGAAGTAACAGTTGTCAGGATTAATGAGGGGGCTCTCGCCCTGTCCGATATTTGACACTCAGCCTACAAAGGGAAAAAATGTCAAACATCAATTATCTTCTAAAGCCAAAGGCTGTCCTCTAAGTACACTCTAACCCCTCTCTTGGAGCCTCTTGACTGCTAATCTTCTCACCATCAAGAGAACTTGCCCTAGGATAAAACCAAACTGAGTACTTGACCATGGTAATTAGGCAGAGTGAGCTGGTATAGCTGAGAAATCCTTCTTAGCCACTCCCCTCACAACACTTCTTTAAAAACAGAAATAAAGTCAATGAGTTCACAGGAAGAAGCACTTTTTTTTGGCTGGGGTGGGGGGGGTGGGGAGGGCGGAAATGGAGTCTCACTCTGTTGTCCAGGTTGGAGGGCACTGGTGCAACCTCAGCTCACTGCAACCTCCACCTCCCGTGTTCAAGCAATTCTCTTGCCTCAGCCTCCCAAGTAGCTGGGATTACAGGAGCCTACCACCACGCCCGGCTAATTTTTGTACTTTTAGTAGAGATGGGGTTTCTCCATATTGGTCAGGCCGGTCTCAAACTCCTGACTTCAAGTGATTCACCCGCCTTGGCCTCCCAAAGGGGGAACAAGCACTTTTAATACAGCAAACTTAGCCAAAGGGCAGAAACCAGTATCGACTAAATCTAAAAGATAAGAAGGTGCTTTTTACAACAAATTCAACTTCCCCCCTCATCTAGCCCCTTTCCGTCTCTGGCAGTTCAGCCCTGTGCTAAACAATCCCTTCATTTACAGCACAGTCCTATTGGAGCATGCTGTCAAATATAACCGAGTTTTATATCTCTCAGCTCACCAAAGGGCTTGATAAGGTGTCATTCCTTTGAAGTGTTGTACAAGAGAGCAAAGTGATGTTTTGTTTTTTAAAAATAAAAAAGTTAGTAAGTTAATACAGCAGAAAATCCCCAAGCTCTAAAGGACTTCATGTTTATCACAAAAATTAGTATTTCTGTAATTCAACATGATCGCCTAAAGAAGTAATGAACGTAAGCAGCATTATACTGTACTGACAAGGAAGAACAGGGGTTTATAATTACACAGGTACTTCTTGAGAAGTTCACAAATAACTATAGAGCAAATACAGTATGTGTGTTTTTTGCAGTTCACGTCGGTGCCTGGAACCTGGAAGAGCCATCCTTGCATGACCAACTCCACTGTACTACCTTATCCCTCCCAGAAGGTTCAGAGACCCCATTTTCAAGGCAAATCTCCTTTCCAAACTAACATGTGCCACAAGCTCAGTGAAGCACCACACAAGAAGAAGTTGCTCCAAGAAGCCTCATCTCATCTTTTTCTCCCAGAATTTGATCAAACACAGTGACCTTCTCAAGTAGAAACGCGAGAAACAGCAGTCAAATTGAATAGAAAGTTAACTACCAAATTTCATAATGTTTACTTTACAGTTGGGACAAAAATGTGAGGTGTGCTTAAAAAATGCTTATAGACAAATGTGAACTTTATCCAAGAAAGTTCAGAAGAAGAAAGAGAAGGGCATTATAGAAAGAACCTGCATTGTGTTGTAGAGACGACAAATGAAGACTGGCTCTAGTCCCAACTCTGCAGCCATCAGATGACGGAATGGGAACAGGTTCTTCAGCTCTGTATGCCTCTGTTTTCTCATTAGACAAACAGGAGACCAAATTAACTGATCCCTGAGTTTTTAAATTTTTCCTATGATTCTTTATGGTGATCTAACCAATTTTTGCATATTACCTAAGCAGTAAGCCTCTTAACAAATGTATATTTGACTGCCAAAACTTAGAGTCACACAATTTGGAAGTTCAGGAGAAATATCATAGAAAGAGAGACAGAGAGGGGCAGGGGGATGAGGAAAGGAGGACAGGAGAAAAAGAGAGAAAAATCAAGCGAAGTCATCTTCTGTTATATTGCTATCATTCTGCAGGGAGTCATTATATGTCCTTTGGAAGAAATTACACACATGCATGCATACTCTCTCTCACACACACACATATGCACAGTGGCATACGGAGCTGCCTATTTTCTGCCAACTTCTTTCCTTTACCCTCCACTACCCCAAACTGAGGAAATGAGCTCTATCCAGTGTTAAGGATGGGAGAATAAGGTCTAAATTGAGATGGATTAAAATAACACAGTTTAGATATATGATTAGAGGTGTTACCCAAAGCCATTCAAAACTAAAGCTGATATAAAGCTGATATCTATATACGTGATATAGGCCGAGTGAAACTGCATCCTCAAGACCTATGTGTCCCATAATCAATCTACGAGTCAAGACAACTGCTAGTGTTTCTAGGTTCCAGTGTGCCAAAGAAGAATGCCATAGCCTGACTTTAGCAGGGACTTTACATGTACTTTTTCTTTCTGTATAAAAAAAATCAGTGATCCCAGCTATATAAAAGGTAGAGAAACAAGTTTTCAGGGTGATGCAAGTAGAATTCTAAGTCCCCCTAAGTACTAGGAAATTTATCTTTTCAAGACAAGCATCACCACCAAACACAAGTTTCTTAAAGAGCCTGGTGAAATCATCCAACTTTTGCCTTTTTCAATTTTGCATGATTGAATTCACTGCCTAAATACACTTGTTGATAGACATGAATATCTACCCTGTGTGCTAAAAAAGTGGGACTTTACAGAACTGTCATCTTGTTGGTGTGTGTTACTATACATTTAGAGTTATAGACAAAGAAGTCAAAGTCTTAGAGATAAGTGAAATTTCTGGAGAAACAATGAGACTAAATTAGAATAAGTAAAAAAAAAATAACACATTAAATCAAGCACAACCCACATTCTCAAGACACTTATTTTCAATGCTTCTATTAGCACTGATTACAGGGTTGTCAAAACATTCATTTTTGCTGACCTTAATCTGCAATGTGATGTGATGTTTTGGGACATGACTAAATTAATACTTTTCTAAATGGAGTCGCTCACTCATGCATGGTTGATGAATCATTCTATAAGAGGTCAATTTTCATTCATTCATTCTAGCAAAGAGGGTTTTTCCCAGCTTTCAAACCCAAATTGAGAGCTTGGTGTAATGTCTTTCCAAAAGCAACTTTTCAGAACGATGAATCTAAAGGAAAGCTTGATAAACCCAAGGGATGAGAAACCCTTACATGACTAGCTTCTGCTGTGACTGGATCTCTGTGGAAAGTTCTACTCATGCTCCCTTTACTCACTTATGTTTTACATTGCAACCCCACACGTAATCAGAGACGCAGATGTTTGTGATGACAAGGATTAATAAATAACAAGAGTCCTTGGTACCTGGGGAATCCATGCTAAGTGCATTGTGTGCCATATCTCATTTCCTCCTCCTGCCAGAGAGCTTCCCTTTTTCCACCCTGCTCTCTGTCCCCAGGGAGGATACCTTGTATAGAATGGTTCTCTGGTCTCCCTCGCTCCCTGGCTTCTAGCTGGGACCAGTCAATGGGGCACAGCAGAGGAAAACCAAGGGAGAGAGGAGAAATGCGCCCTAGATTTGTGCCCCGCCCCAAAGTTCCTTCCTGTGGGATGTCTCTTGATAGCACTCTCTCCAGAGTGCACAGCTCCTGTCTTGACAGCCCTCTTCACAGACTGCCTTTCTTCTAGGTTCTGGTACCTCCTTCCACTCCTGCCCTTCAAGCCAAAGGCCGGTCACAGCATTGCTACTAGCCCAGTTACTGCCCTATGCTCTTCTTCCTGTACCCCAGAGTTTAATGGACTATGGCCCTGGAGCCAGATCTAGCCCAAAGCCTCTTTTTGTGAATCATATTACTGGAAGACACACCTGTTTGTTTAGGTACTGTCCATGGTTGCTTTCCCTCTAGAGCAACAGAGTTGAATGGTTGAAGCAAACGCCACATGGCCTGCAAGGCTGAAAATATTTACCATCCGGCCCTTTACAGAAGTTTGCCGATCTCTGTCCTACACTCTTCTCATATCCTTGAAAATCGTCCTTTTACTAAACTCTCTGATGGATCCTATCTTAAGTGTGCCATTTGTTTACTACTGGGATCCTTTATGATATGGTCTTTGACCATTCTTTTTTTTTTTTTTTTTTTGAGACGGAGTCTCGCTCTGTTGCCCAGGCTGGAGTGCGAGTGCAGTGGCACGATCTCAGCTCACTACAAGCTCCACCTCCCAGGTCCACGCGATTCTCCTGCCTCAGCCTCCGAGTAGCTGGGACTACAGGCGCCTGCCACCATGCCTGGCTAATTTTTTGTATTTTTTTATTAGAGACGGGGTTTCACTGTGTTAGCCAGGATGGTCTCGATCTCCTGACCTCGTGATCCGCCAGCCTTGGCCTCCCAAAGTGCTGGGATTACAGGTGTGAGCCACCGCGCCCAGCCGACCATTCTTTCAAGGTACCTTTAGTTACTGTAACTGTTCCCGTTACATAGGGGAAAAGGAAATTAAAGATTCCTTTAGGACAAAATGTTTTGATGAAAAGGAAAGGGAGAATGAGTGACAAAAAGTAAAAGCCTGGCAAGAAGGGGTAGAAAGAGAGAGATTGATTGATTTTATGGGTAAAGTGTTAAAAATCTGTCAATACACTGGGGATCCACAGGATTTCTTTCTTATTTCAAAGATAAATTAATAGGAGCCATTAATCCAAGTTTGCTTTAGGGACCAATGAGGAACCTGCCCCCCTTTCTGCTTGGATATGAGAAATGTGAACATTTCAGCTAATGAAGTGGAAAGAGTTTAGGACAGAATTATTTCTCCATTCTTGAACTGTGTGAAAAATTACGCAGGCACTTGGTTTGCTAAAAGAGTATTACATGGTTAAACACAGTTCCTCTTAGCCGGTCCCTACTCCCTAGACTTTTAAAATTACCTCAGTAATATCTGAAGACAAAAATTTTCCAAGGTGCACTGATTTTGGAAGGTCCTTGCTTTGGTCTGAATGTTGGTGTCCCCATCAAATTCATATGTTGGACTCTAATACCCAACGTGATAGTACTAAGAGGTGGGGTCTTGGGGAGGTGGTTAAGTCTTGAGGGTTCTACCCTTGGGACTAGGATTAGCGCCCTTTCAAAAGAGGCTCAAGGGAGCTCCCTTGCCCCTTTCACCATGTGAGGAGAAAGCAAGAAGGTACCATCTTTGATGCAGACAGCCTTTACTAAACAATGAATATGTCAGCACCTTGACCTTGAACTTCCCAGCCTCCAGAACTATGAACAGTGAATTTCTGTTGTGTATAAATTACCCAGTTTAAGGCATTTTATTATAACAACCTACATAGATAAAAGGTAGTCCTACTCTGTGGGGTCTAAAGCCAATAAACAGCTACTGCTAGATAATCATAAAGAGTAATCAATTTGAGTTACCAGTTATTTAGCGTGTTAGATATGCCAAGGCCCTTACAAATACTTTACACTGTTTTATTATTTACAGATTCCAACAAACTTATTTTAAAAGTACTACTATGATTTCCATATTTTGGATGAGAACATAGAGGTCGACAGGTATTGAGAATTAGCCCACATTTGTAAATGACAGGGACTACACTTTAAAGAGCTTTTCTGAATGTGGCACACTGCAAGTTGCCCCTGTGTAAGAGTGAATTTCACTCTGAGAGAAGTAAGAAGCCCGCCACTGAGGATCTGACTGTAATAAGGGTGCAACTGAGAGGTTATTTTGTAAATCACGGCACCACTGTTGAGGTTTGCTCCATGGGATCTATCCCATTATGTATGGAGTGTCTCTGTGTGTGTGTGTGTGTATATATATTTATATGGGGTCATATTTACATAATATTTAGACTAAGCTCCTTCAGACCTATACAGAAAAATGTGTAAGTTCAAATCTCACCGAAGCAGCAATGATTCCCGATGAACTTAACCCATGAAAGGAAGGCCTTTCACATCCCCAAGAAGTCTCCACCTATCATTTCCATGTTATTTGGTACCTCAGACTCCCAAGTCTCCATATTCTGTAAAGTGCTCCTATGGGTGTTGATTTATTCAGCTGAAAAACTGAAAATCCATTTTAGGATTGAGTTGATCTTCACTGAGGAAAAATATCAATTTTCAGAGCTTTGTCTAGGACCCTGCAAAGAACTTAAGAATTCTTAACAGAGGTTCACGAATGGTCCCAAGGAGTCCACAAGTCCCATGAAATTGTATGTATACAAGTGAGAGGGAGAGAGGATGAGAGCCTCTGAGAATGTAAATTTTTTGGCATGAAGATCCATAACTTTCCTCAGATCCTTATGGGGTTCTGTCTTTCCCAAACCACAAAGAATCTGAGCTGAGAGATAACGCAGGCCTCTTGTCTGTTGTGCAGCCAGCTCTCACAGCCATGCTGGCTTAGCCAGAGAGGCAAACACGCCAGCATCTTCCCTGCTCTTCTGAATTCTCTCAAGTGTAGAGTGTTTCCCATTACTCTTTGCATTATGCCTTACTCACCACTGACTCAAAGTGATCCTGTGATGTCACCAGGCACTATAGGCACTATTTCCTACAGATGGGAACTTGACATAAAGAGGAGAAGGCTGCACTGGCCTCCATCCAAATGGTTTAGTGACTCAAGTAACAACAGAGCCTCTTCTGTGGCTGGACCTGTTTCACCTGTGAGGCAATTTCTTGACATCCAGCCTAAGACTCAAAATAGGGCTTTTATTTAACCTTGACTTGTTTGCCTACAAAAAGTGCATATGGACCTTTTCCTATACCTCTCTGGACATCTGTGGCTGAGTAATTCTGCCTAAATTACTATGTTTTGTGTTACTGCTATTTTCCCAGAGTGTGGCTTCAATTGCGTCTTGCTTTATAACAATAAAATCTACCTCAAACTAATTCTGAAATACAATGCAGCTGCCTTTGCTGTATCCGGTTAACAACTTTGACATAACATACCAGAAGCAACCAGCAACAGATTTTATTTCAGTAAAATGTCCCTTTTTGGGGAGGAGGGATACATTTTGGAGTTTGAGGTTTACTCAAATGTAAATTTCTAAAGTTCAGATGTACTCCTACATAAGAAGAACAGACCTATGCAAAAGCATAAGCAACATTCCTTTTGGAGTTTTCATGGAAAGAATCACCTGTGTGTGAGAGCAGCTTTCTCTCAAAGAGAACTGATGGTTTGCTTATGATGTTTTTTATTTTTCCTCATATTTTAAAACACACTAAACACTCCCCATGCTGTGAACATACACACTCAACTATGTTATGTTTGTCTTTGAATAAACATGACTCTACTTTTGGAAGACACATCTTTCAATAACCAGCCTTGGAATTTGTGTGGGTATGTCTGTGTGTGGGTGTGAACGCATGATTTAGTTATTTATATTTTAAGATTTCATTTCTATTTTATTTAAGATTTCTGATTATAAAGAAATATCTGCTTATTGTGGAAAATACAATTTTAAAAACTGTATGAGTGTATGTTATACATTCAACTTCTTGGAGTCCGAGTCCCAGGACTATAGGAAATGGGTAGAGGGACATTATTACAGTACTGCTTGTAGGTCCAAAAAAATGCAGAACTATTTATGGCTCTGTCAATGGAACTGTCACTGAATAAAGTGGACTCACACTCATATGATGCAACATCATGCATTTATTAAAACCAGTAAGTTATATTTGTATCTATTGATGGAATGGGCACAATATGCTATTACAGAAAACATGTTGGAAAATGAGCACAGGAGGGTTGCTTCTGTGTAAAGACAATGATTAAAAAAAAAAAAAGCTGAACATGGTGGCTCACATCTGTAATCCCAGCACTTTGGGAGTCCAGGGCAAGAAGATAGCTTGAGCTCAGGAGTTCAAGAACAGCCTGGGTAACATGGTGAAACCCCATCTCTACAAAACATACAAGAAATTAGCTGTGTGTGGTGGCACGTGCCTGTGGTACCAGCTACCCAGGAGGCTGATGTGAGAGGATCACTTGAGCCCAGGAGGTTGAGGCTGCACTGAACCGAGATCACACCACTGCACTCCAGCCTGGGTGACAGAATGAGACCCTGTCTCAAAAAAGAAAAGAAAAACCGACATCTCATATGTGTACATGTGTTTCTATTTTGTATAATCATGAAGAAGGCTACGGAAGGCTTTGTGCTGGGCTGCAAACTGCTTACCTCAGGGTATGGGAAGAAGAAAAGGAGAGGAAGGCACATGTAGATTTGTCTTTTTTTATTTTAAAATGTCTTGTTTCAATGATTGTGGCAACTCCACAAAACATTTTAATCTGGGGGATGGTGCATTGAATAAAATATTTCTTTTAAAGAAAATGAACTATACATTATAGTACAAAAATCTCAGAAACCACTCCACTCACCAAGATAGGCCACTGCTGGCAACTTGCTGTGTACAAATTCTCAATACTTCCTATACCTATACTAACAAAAATAAATTTTAAAACAAAATGTATATTTTATATATATATATACAGTTGGCTAAATGTTTTTATGATGATTATTGTTTATACACACACACAGTTTTGTATATACTTGTTCACTCGAAGAGGCTCCAACAACTTAATGAGGCTCCAACTATCCACTGGCATGGGATCTGGCTGGACAGAAATGTGGCATAAAGGAAAGCACACAGAGCCAGATATGGATTTGGATCCTGTCATCCACAATGGTCAGCTGTGTGACCTCTGAGAAGGCACTTACCCCGCGTCTCAGTGGTGTCACTTGTAAAATGAGAATGATACTATGTATTATTGCAGTGTTGTGGGGACAATGAAATGAAATAGCACATTAGGAAACAGCCCATTCCTCCAATAGACACAGATATAACTCACGGGTTTTAATAAATGCATACTATTTCATCACATGGATGTGACCCCAGCTTATTCAGTGATACTTCTATTGATATAGCCTTACATTTTTTGCATTTTTTGGACCAACTCACTGCCTGAGCTCATTGTGTATGTACTCAACTGCATACAGGAGCCACTCAACAATGGAAACTATCAATAATCATAATGTGATAATGTCACTGAGGACTTGCTACGTACTAAGAACTCTTCTAACAGCCCCTAACATCTTAAGATTTATTAATTCATTTAAATCAGCACACCTACCTTATGAGATAGAAACTGTCGTGCTCATTTTTCAGGCAAGAACATGAAGGTCCAGAAAATTTAAGGAACTAGCCCAAGGCTACGTAGCAAAAATATCAGAGCTGGGATTCAAACCCACACAGCTAGCTTACCCTTATCCACTATACATACTGCTGCTCAATGCTACGACTGAGGTAGAATTTTATGGAAGTAAATTCTTCCTACATAAGCACTTCTGTGGATCATGTAGTAACAGATTAACTATATGGCGAAAATAGCCTCAGGCTAGCAGTTGATATTCTCAGCACTGGTTTCCAGACCTTTTCACCTGGGAACATATGCATGAACTCCACTAGATACCCAACACTAGCCCACTGTGATATTCTGCACCCTCCTCCCATTCTCCCTATGTGTCCATCTGGTCACACTCTGCCAAGGAAACATGGCAGCCATAAGCACCTTCAGGACCCAAAACAAAATTTAACAACAGGAAGGGAGAAAACTCTGCAAGTAAAATAGCACAGGATGGCCTCTGGTCTGTACTCACCTAAAACCACAGTACCTCACACAATCTGTCACTGTAGGAGTCCACCCTCAAAGTGGCCAACTTATGATAGCAAATAGCTCACAAACGTATGATGGAAGGACTGATCCCACCTTAGACTCTGCTCACAGGAATGCCATGACCAGCTTATTAAACCTACTAGGCAACCCTAACATCAAGCAAAAATGGCTTATTTCCAATCTCCAGAGACATTCAGCAAGGTGTCTACCACCACTTTCAGTATTCCCTAAATTAAATGAAAATGGCATTTTAGTTTCCTTAAATAAGGTCTAAATGATGTCAAGTTCTAACTTTGTCTCCTAGGTGGTCTGTAACATGAAGCCACCAACAATTAGCTTTGTGCTTTCCCTTCCAATGCCAGGGCAGTTCTCTTCTCTCTCTGACAAGGCCAGGACATTCCCTCTGTCTAGTGTGGTAAATGAGGGGAGAAAAAAAAAAAAGAGGAAAAAAAAAGCAGGCCATTTATAACTTGCGACTTTTACTTCAATGCTCTTAATGAGCAGAATCTGGCATCCTTGTTACAGGAGCATCTTTCAAGATTACTACTGAACTTTAGGTGGCACAGGGGTTAAGTTAGGAAGGAAAGGAAAAAAATGATCAATAGAGAAGAATAACCACTTCCATCCAGGAAACAGGATAATGACAGACAGACCCTTTCACTTTGGAGTTGAACTTGAGTGCTAAAAACAAGTTTTGTCCAACTAAGTGGCTACATTTCCAGCACAAGTT
The DNA here is from genome assembly GCF_000001405.40 of Homo sapiens. NCBI lineage: Eukaryota > Metazoa > Chordata > Mammalia > Primates > Hominidae > Homo > Homo sapiens. The sequence continues at coordinate 73,584,433 of NC_000003.12, forward strand.
AAGTGGTGCTTCATTTAATGGTGTGTGTGTGTGTGTGTGTGTGTGTGTGTGTGTGTGTGTGTGTGTGTATGCATATGCGTTGTGGATAAGAAAATAAAAGCTGATTTAGAAAACAGAGAAAATATTAATTAAATTTAATAAAACTACCTAGTTTTTTGTTTGTTTTAAAGTCACTTGTAACAGTTATTTTGATTCCTCTAGTGTTCTGATTTAGATTCTAGTATTACTATGGTATGTCCTTAACAGCATTCCATGGCAGTCTCTCTAAATACAAAAGCTACGTTGCATTCTATAGTTAATATGTTCATTCTTGTTAGAATACCAAGCTAAGCAAAATGCTACATTAAATGCACTCAAAATTACCAATATATTTTGACATAAGCAGCTAAGTATGCAGAGAGCTTATCACTATCTTTTTAACTTTTGTAATTGGGATATCACCCACTAAAAACATCCATTTGAATGACTTCTGCCATCTAACACTCCAAAAGGACAAAGAAACTGCACTGGTTTTATCTTCTCCTTTACTCCTTTAGAAATCTTTAAAAAAATTTTTTTTCAAAATAAACTATTTTAATGTGAGTCCAGGCTGCCTCCACTTTGAAGAGATAACATTTCAGCTTTAAATTGGCTGGCATATAAACACATAAGCAGATGCCCCACTAACTCTAAACAATTTTAGTTTCCTTTCTTGGCTGAGTGTTTAAAGCAAAAACTAAGATAGCTGCCCTTAGTTTTACCATTTTAAAGTTTAGGAATTCAAGTTTTAAAGTTTCTTAGCAAATGATATTAGAAAAACAGATCAGAAATGTCTATTAGGAAGTTTCTATTTGGTCTCTTCGTTTATATTAAGATTTACATTGGGTTCAGCATAACTGTCATTCTATGAGAATATTCCTCTATTTTCAGCTTGTCACATTTTCTCACTAGTTCAGCACAGAACACAAATGAACATTTTGGCAGATAGCTAACAATAAAAAGGTAAAATAAATCTGTTTACTACAATAGGCTTTAAACATCATCTTGTTCATCAAAGCAAGGTTGTGGCCTGGTGGTAGGAAGCCATGAAGACCTTTCTCAAGGCCTTTGCTTAATGCCCTCATTTGCATCCACCCCTTTGCCGCACCCCCACACCCCCAGAAACCCTCAGAAAGTTCCACTGTGTTTTATTGCTTCACTGAGAATTCAGTTTAATTAAGCAGCTGTGGCAAAGCAATTATTTCCTGGAAGATGGATGGAAATTCTGTGACAACAACAGTGACTAAACTTCCATCGAAGAAATGGCACACTCAAAATAGGTGTCAGCAAAGGCATCTTCCAGAACTTAGTTGCTACTGATTTTATGTTGCCAAAACGGGTTTTGACAGGCAGATAAGATCCAAGTCATTGAAGGAAGACAGGACAAAGGTGACCAATGTTAAATATTTTCCAAAAATGGTGGCAAAGCTGGCACCTTCATAAGCAAAAAGCACAACTGCTAAAGGAAACTTACACTGTCTTGCATGGAACCAGTTAACCAGAAATAACACAATTTCCTAAGTCTTATTGTTAAACAGGACTAAGAAAAAGGTTTACTTGAAATACAAATACTGGAATTCATAAATGCAGATTTTTAAAGTTTAGATTTTACAAAACCCAATGTGGCATACCAAAAATTAAACTCCTAATTTTCTTATGATACCCTTATATTTATATTTTTTAAAAAGAGCAAAATCAGGGATTCCTCACGATTTCCCTCTGGCAACCCCATTCATTCCCCTGCTTCTAAAGAAAGGAACTCTTTACTCCTAAATTCCTCCTGGCACTGGGAGAGATATCTATTTTAACCCGCTGCTATTCCTGTATGGACAGCTGGCAGATTCCACCTGTCTGCAGGAGGTGTTGTCGAAGTATCAAATGTCCCCAAGGCCTCATGACATACTGTCACCTGCCCTGAATACTTCTAATGTTAGACTGCCTGCAGTTTTACCCTCAGAAGTTGATTGTGTGACTTGTACATCTATTTCGGAGTCAGGCAACACACATTTACTGATTGAATACTCTGTACCAGGCATGGTGCTAGTACTGAGAATATGCGGTGTGCAGAGCACAATCAATGTGTCCCTGCTCTCAAGAGCTTACACTCAAGCAGGGCCTTCCTTGATCTTTTCCTAACAAACTGCAAACCTCACAGGGACACTTCACCGGGGGGGTCTCAGAGATGCTGGATTCAGAGACCTATTTAGGTGTAACTTACTACCTTCCTACCAGAATCCAGAGTGCAGGCAATCACCACACATGCCACACAAAGCATCCCCATCAAACATCAAGCTGATACAAATCTCCTCAACTGGAGATGAAATTACCCTGCACACCAAAGCTACACACTTAGAAATGAGTTATGCCTCCAAAGGCTGGAGCTATGTCCCTTTGTGGTAAGTCTATGATGATGCAAACGACCACCAGTTAATGCCATCCAACTGCTGATGGAGTGCAGGGCCCATGAACTTTGCCTCAAATAAGAAGTTCATAAGTGGAAAGGTGACAGGAAGAGGAGATTATTTTTACAAATATAGTCTAATATCAAATTTGACTCCATTGTTTTTGCAACAGGTTTGATTTAGTTTTGCCATGAGCAGATCCAACAGACCCCAGGGTACAATATCAGAAAGACATCTGCTGTTAACACGAAGGCACAGCCCTATCCTCCAAAGCAGAATGTTTTCAAACTGTGGGCCACTGCCCTTTAGTGAGCCATGAAATCAATGTAGTGAGTGGCAAATGGCATTAGAAGAAAAAGAGTAAAATACCAATACCAGACTACACCGTATGCAGTAAGGGTAAATATCTCGCATGAAACTTTTTTTCCATTTTTATACATACATCCCAGGCTCACTTACATTTGTGAGTGCTGCACTGGGTCACATATAAAATGTATTTCTTACTGTAGGTCAGTACCAAAAAAGTTTGCAGAATACTCTTTCAAAGAACAGTGTAGAATGAGTTGCTGTTTGAGTCATACTTACATCTATGCTTAGGCCGCACGACGGACAAATGTACATACAGTAAATAGCTACAAATGTATAAAGATAGTATAGTTTTTCAGAATTGTATAAAAACAAACAAAAGTTTGTTTATCAAAGAGGGATTCCCCAATTTCTGGTCAGTAACATTAATATTTATCTTCCTGCCTCTGAAGTTTTAGCAGTGAAAGAATTCTTCCTCTCTATAGTGGATTCTAATCTCCAAGGACTCTTTCTTTCCTCAACCAACCAAACCAAAGCAGGCACATGAAAAGTTTAGCTCAGACTGGTACACGACAGCCCTGGGCATGCTGAAGTCAGGGAGCACTTCACTTTATTTTAGGTGACCCTGGGCTCTGCCATTAAAACGACCTTGAATGACATGATGTCATTCCACTGTCAATCTCTAACCCAAGTTATCCAAGTCACTCCATTGTCAATCTCTAACCCATCTGCTTACATCTAGAGCACAGAGTCAATTTGAGGCAAAAATGTTTGTTAACACTACTTGTTTTTTAAAAAAATTTATTTCTTCTAAAAACGAAACCAAACAGGGATACATGTGCAGAACATGCAGGTTGTTTAATAGGTATATGTGTGCCATGGTGGTTTGCGGCACCTGTTGACCTGTCCTCTAAGTTCCCTCCCCTCACCCTCCACCCCTCAACAGGCCCTGGTGTGTGCTGTTCCTCTCTGTGTCCATGTGTTCTCAATATTCAACTCCTACTCATGAGTGAGAACGTGCAGTATTTGGTTTTCTGTTCCTGTGTTAGTTTGCTGAGGATGATGGCTTCCAGCTTCATCCACGTCCCTGCAAAGGACATGATCTCATTCCTTTTTATGGCTGCATAGTATTCCATGGTGTTTATGTACCACATTTTCTTTGTCCAGGCTATCGTTGATGGGCATTTGGGTTGGTTCCACATCTTTACTATTGTAAACAGGTAACACCACTTTTAAAAATAAAGTTTATCCAAATGTAACATAAAGAAAGTGAACTCATCCTAAGTGTACATCTTGGTGTATTTACACAGGTGAACATGCTCCTGAACTACTGCCCAGATCGGGAGCAGAATGGGACCAGCACCCTCAAAAGCCCTCCTCAGTCCTGTTTCCCACCACTGTCCTGACTTCTACTCCCACTAATTAGTTTTGCTCTTAGACAAAGAGAAAGCAAGGCTCAAAGACCAGAGTTTTCAGCTGTCTAGCTTAAATTGACTACCTCTACATGTTCAGTGTTTATTTTTACTCTTATCTTCTATTTACAACACATGACAATGACTTTCCATTTACAGTCATGACACACAGTTTCTTTTTAAAATAAAGTTAAAAGAATGTTGCTTTAAGAATAATGTTGAGCATTTAGCAAAACAGGTGGCACATATATAGCAAAGACTGAGCAGGTGGTGTATGACTGACTCAAGTCTGAGAAACACTTGTTTAGGTTTGATGATCGATGCAAAATGCTAAACAGGCTTCACTGACTATCCCTCACTCTGATTTTTCTCCGATGAAGGGGGACTCTTTCCACTGCCCTGTGATATATCAGAAGGACTGACTTCCTCTCTTGAATATTCATAAAACAGTTTAATGGCCATCCTCCCAGAAGATATGATTTTTTTTTTTTTTTTGAGACAGAGTCTCGTTCTGTCCCCCAGGCTGGAGTGCAGTGGTGCAACCTCTGCTCACTGCAAGCTCCGCCTCCTGGGTTCACGCCATTCTGCCTCAGCCTCCCAAGTAGCTGGGACACTTTTGGTTTGTATTTGTCACAAGCAACGTGCTTAATCAAGACTGGAAGAAGCTGACTCAGAATGAAAGGAAGAACATTGAATTTCTCTCATCTATCTCTACTATTTTAAGTTTTAAAAGATCACCTAGAACTGGGATGGATTATTACAAAAGGCCACAAATGGCTCTTATTACTGAATCCTTTAATATTCTGATCATGACAAAAAGCAACGAACACTTGTTATGGGCTTAACTTTCAAACAAACTAAAGGAGAAAAGAAAAATGTTATTTAAATAGAAATAGCAATTTCCTTCCTTGTCCTTTTCCCTCTGAATCAGTGTAACTCCCTGTATGTTCTGTTAAATCTGGTAAGTTTAATAGATGAGAATCTCTGAATTTCACTTGTAAGATTTACTAAGTCTATCAAGCAAATCAACCTAAACTTACCTATAAATAGGCTTCACAAGTAATTAAGTCCCTGCATCAAAATAAAGATTTCCTTGTCACCACTTTACATAATACCATCTGCCCAAAGGATTCTCCTTTCATTTCTTACAAAGTATAAATGAAGATTATTAAACACAGACTATATACAAAACAGCTTAAAACTTCATCCAATTTGTCTTGGGTCTTCAAGTGACTTACACAAAATGAAGGCAAAATCTCATGAGTTACTAACGTGAAGCCAACAAAGTGCTTGTGTTCAGGCATAAATGTTCAGATTTATATATATATTCATATAGAGTCATATATATTCATATATATTTTACAAGCTCTTTAATGCTAAGCAATCTGAAAAATATTATTTGTCAAAACGCAGATTAGCTGGGCTCAGCGGCTCACGCATGTAATCCCAACACTTTGGGAGGCCAAGGCAGGTGGATCACTTGAGGTCAAAAGTTCAAGACCCTCCTGGAAAACATGGCGACACCCCATCTCTACCAAAAATACAAAAATTAGTTGAGTGTGGTGACGGGCACCTGTAATCCCAGCTACTTGGGGGGCTGAGGCACAAGAATCGCTTGAACCGGGGAAGCAGAGGTTATGGTGAGCTGAGATCGCACCACTGCACTCCAGCCTGGGTGACAAAGCAAGACTCTGTCTCAAAAAAAAAAAAAAAAAAGAAAGAGAATGAAAAAAGAAAAAACGCAGATTAAAAGACTGTAGCTAATAAAAGTTAAACTGTTTTCTGGAACTTCATTAAAATGCAAATACCAAGGTTTAGGTAACAATTCTCTGAGAAAACAATTCCGTCTAACTTGGCACTTAGTGCCCTTCCTCTGGTTAGGTCTCTCTCTACTGGTTCACATACCAGAGGGAATTAGTTCTCTAGGTACTAAGATGCTAACTTGGGCATTTGAATGGAGAAATAATAAACGTCAACAACTTTGGTACCATCATCTAAAAAGAAAGTAGTTCTTTTTTCTAGTTTTCAAATTTACCTTGTAAAATTAAGATGTTGTTCTGTTGAGAGTATTAAAAAGTTTCAAGCTTTCAATAAAAATGATGAAATATTTTCTCTTGCTTGATTCTCTTGCTTCTACAAATTCCTGTATCACCAGCAATTCTATTCCAAGTCCCCCTCATATGTTAATATTATCTCACTCATGTTTCTTACAAGCACATTGACTTTTTCAGATATTTCAAAGAATGACACAAAGCATCAGAAATCCAATAATAATGCTGCAACACAATCATACTTAATCGATTCTATTTTACGTGAAGTTCTCCCTCTTCATTTAAACTAGAGTTTAGAACAAGTAATGAAAATATTAGTGATCCTTATGCAATTCCCATGCCCCATCAGATTCTAACACAGAAGCCATTATATGCATTCCTGAATGATCAAACTGATATTTTGTCAAGATAATACTTAGTATCAGTAAGGGTTTCTATATTCATCTTTATGTCTTATTGTATTTTTCAATTTTTCTACAATGGTGTATTACATTCATATCAAGACATAAAAAGTTACCCTAAAAAGAAACTAAACTATTTCAATTTTAAGGGACATTTTTGCTAAAGAAAGATGAACTGTTCCTAATTTTAAGAAAATCCCAATATTACTCATGAGTCATTATAAAAACAGAAATCTTAATGTTTTTGGCACTTTAAAAATAGCTGATATTGAACACACAATTGTTTGACTTTATTTTTGGAACACTTATGTCAGCACATATGCAATGAATTACCATGTTGTTCACACTAAGATGTAAATTAAGAATTATTCCTGATTGATCAATTATTCTGATTTATATGGCCTTAGGAAGTGGCAGCTCTTAATGCAGATACAAAGGCTCACTAATATCAAAAAGAAATAAAAAACAAATTAAAATGGTCTACTCACAACTGTAATTTCAGGTTTATGAAACTGTGTCATATAGCCGTCATCAAAGTGTTGGCTTGCTGGAAACCTCCTCCAGCCCAGCCTCTAAAGACCCACAGGAAACAACACAGCATAGCTAACCACCTGGTGAGCATTTATTCCGGGGCCAAAATTGCAGTATTCAGACACACAAAGAATATTTTCTTTATTATGGCAACTTTATCCACATTTTACAGAAGAAAGCAATGCTCAGAGATAAGAAGTTTCCCCAAGATCATGAAGCTCGCAAATGATAGAACTAGAATTCAAAAGTTGATCTGATTCCAGAGTCCTTAGCTCTTAACCTCTGCATATACTGGCTGCCCTTCTAATTAACTTGGTGTTATTTTCCTATAAACATAGGTCTCACATGTAAACTCCCTAGAGCCAGGGAGTTTATCTCTGGGTATCCTGACCTATCTCATATTAGGCAGAACTCAGTGCACACCCAACAAGTGAACATATGTCTACTAATGGTTTCTCTTCCCCTGTTATCCTCTCTTATCCTAACAACTCACACAACATGAAGATTTTTTAACAAGTCACAACAATTATACAGATCATGCTATATAAATCATCCCCTATCCAATGTTTAAAATCAACATCTAACCAGTTTTTGGATGTGCGTTGCATTTATCTGGCTAACGGATCCTCAAATCAATATGTCTGGAAACATATGTCCATTTCCTAGCAACAATCATTCTATGAAAAGAACAAAAAAAACCTGTCTTTTTAAATTAGACTGTCAATTTTGCTCCACCCCAGAGTGTCTCCAAATATTGAAAAATAAAAAATAAACATATTTAGTTCGTTTTAATGCTGACTTGCATTTTTTCTTTTTTTGAGGGGTGTGGGAGTGCCTAGGAAACCAAACACTCTTAGGCTTTGAGTTCTCCCGATCCCTGAAAGCTGTCAAATGACCCACTAGGGTTAGCAGGAAAGAAGGAAGCAATGAAAGAAGGAAATAAAGAGAATTAGAAGAGCCTAAAGGGCAGAGGGGAGTGCCACTCTCAGGAGAAAAGGGGTGAGACCCAGTTTCTATGCAGTTCACGTGGTCATCAAAATAGATTTAAACAGGGTAAGAGCCAGAGGTCTCCACTGAGCACTGTGGCACTTGGCATGGCAGACTCATTCCATACCAGCTGCTCTCCACCGTGAGGCTCAAAGTAATCATTAATCCTCATTAGAAGAAAGCAAGCTGCAGCAGCTACCCACCCTGGAGTACTCAGAGTTCCCAGTGAAAGTGGCATAATTGCAAATCAGTGCTTGCAGCTGCCATTCTGCCCTTGCGTCTTCCTATTTGCAATTACCATTGACAATTTCTGATTGTCAACACTCTTTCCGCCTGTTCATAGCACCCTGGTCTATAGGCACTGTGCTTAGTTTAGCTCCACAATGATGTCTGCCTACTGCTTTGAAGCGTTCCCCTAGCGCTCGCTCATGTTACATATACTTCACAGATTAGCATTTAAGTCAGCCCATCCCTAACACACCTTCCAAATTGAATAAAAATGCATCTGGCTCTTTTTGTGTTACAGCAACAGATGAAAAGACAAAAACTTCCTTAAAAAAAAAAAACAGATAAGGTTACTGCTCTCAAAACCCCCATATTTAAAGATAAGTGTCTAGATATCACATGTAAAGATGACAATATAAAATATATTTGACCTGTATTATTGTCAAGAATTTGTTGTTTTGTTTTATGGTCCTCAGGAAATTACCTAAGATTTAATTTTTTGACCTAATCTTCACTCAAGAATTTAATGCGGACATTGGTTACTTCTAATTTATTCTTCATTTTAAAATGCTTTGTGGATTACCTAATTAAATCTTTTTATGAAAGGAAGACTTTGAGGGACAGATTTAAAACTTCTGTGGAGTCAGAACTCCCAAAAAAGTACATAATGTCAATACAAAGTAAACTCTAACACGGACAGAGGATGGGAGAGACACTCTGCCAAAGAGAAGCACCCAATATCCTGACTGCAGGGTTTCAGCAGGAGACAGATGCCTCTGCGTTTCCATACCTGGCGCCATATGCTATGAGCTTGTAGAAATGAGAATGTTAAGTGACTTTTAAAAGGAAATACATAAGCAGGTGTCCACTTTGTGATATTTAAAATCAAAAGACACTTTTAAATTACCAAGTTTTTAATTCTTACTGTTTACCGAAATAAATATACACACACACACACACACACACACACACACACACACACACACACTTTGGAGAACTCCAACATTACAGAAATGTGGCTTTACTTAAAGTTCCCCATAATCCCATCAAACAAAATAACTACAATAACTATAAACTGTTCATTAGCTCAGAGCATTTTTCCCCTGCAAAGACTAATATAAATGCCTTAAAAATAAACAAATTGCATCATACCATGTTTTATTTTTTTGTTTCTACTGGTTTTTCTAGTAAAAAGTGAAAAACCTGCTAGCTAAATTCTGCAAGAGTTGTAGCACTCCATACTGTCCACTCTTCACCTGAGTTTTATATTTATCTGACTAGTATAAAGTGATGTATGTTAGAAAGATATTCACTGAAAGGCTAGTTTTGATAGGAAAATAAGGAAAATAATGACAGTAATAAATATAACAAAGCCCATATACCACACAATAAGCTATGCACAGTCATTAGAAAGAAATTAATACATAATATATTGTTTAAGGCAACCATGGACTAAAGGAGGGCTATTTGTTTTTAATTGGTCATCTTGTTAATTCTGGAAAGTATGTCTCCATGAAATAGGTTAAGATTTTCTCAATAATTCTATAGCAGCTCCACATACTTGCTGATATACATAAACAAGAAGAAAACAGATCTCAGAAAAGTTTTTGTTAACTTCTATATTTGGCTTTAAGTTCTCGTATCCTGTACAAAAATTTTAACTTGAAATAACAACTCTCCACCTTTGTACTTAATTGCAAAAATCCTTTACCTACATTGTTTCCTTGGTCCACCCAGATAGCATGACAGGTAGGAAAGACAAGCAGTAAATACTCCTCCCATTCTAGAGATGAAGACTCAACATTTAGAATCCCAACACCAGAGTGAATACCTGGGTGGAGACTTAAACCTGGGTCTCCTGATTTAAATCTAAATGGTTCTTTCCATTTCAACATGTTCCTTCTAATAGTAAGGAGATCAGCTGCATTTCAGAGAAGTCTTACCTGTGTTAGAGTCTTCTGTTGCTGTAGTAAAGACTATTAAGGTAAAGCAAAAGTGATAAAAGTGGCTAAATCGGGAAATAAGAGAGGGGAAAATATGATATTCACTTTATTTTACAAGTGGAGACTAAAAAGATGGAGATGTACTGACTTATTGAGAGTGCAGCTATGCTAGTGAAAAGACAGTCATTACTACCAAATGACAATGCAATAGTTCCAAAAACATCATTTAAGTGAGTCTATCCAGAGATAGCAAATACACAGCAAAAAGTCACCCTTCTCCTTGTTTATGTGCCCATGACAAACATCAATAAATGATCACAATGCTCATCTCCACTCAATCCAGGAATGTCCTCAGAATTTTTTGACACCATAATCCAAGGTGATGTCATTGTCGTTATGTATACTGAAATTGATATATAAGAAGAAACTCTAGCTTCCACCTTTGGAAACGGAGAGTTGGAGTCCATTACTAATAACTGATCTCTAAAATCTGCTTACTTTTGCAGCTAACAAAGAATCTTCTCAACGCAGCTTGAATTATATCAAGTTTCTTTAATCAAAACAGAATATTTGGGTAACCAAGAAAACAGAGATTTCAAATAACATGAATAGGTTTTACTTCTTAAGTGGATAACTGCTATCAAACTTTTCATACTCCTCTGCTGAATATGGTAAATGGGGATCAGTCCCTGTGAAGGAGAGGAGTATAGCCTCATGTGTTTATTTCTAACATTAACCAAAAATGGATTATGCATATCTGTGTGTGTTTAGCAAAATAAGTTTCCTGTGTATAGTTAAGCAAGAAATATCAAGTCTTTCTTAAAGAAATGAAAGAAAATGAAAAAATATATAATTACAAAATCATTTGGTTTACAGCATATTTTTTCTCCAAAACCAAACCAAAAATTAAAACACTTTAAACAATTTTCACCAATAATTTTTTAATTCACTGATAACATCTAAGCAAAGATCACAGATTTAATTCAAAGGAAAAAAGCACGTGGATCAGTATTTTAAAAAGGATTCCTCTAGGAATTACAAACTGGATTACAAACTGACTTGGACTGAAATTAGAGGTATTGATATAGGCATAGTTTCCAAGATATACAGATGGATGAATGCAGAAAGACAGATGTATATGTTATTATCGTGGTACATGTGTACATGTGTTTATATTACATATTTACATTTTCTAGCTCTATCTGCTGAAGGTGCCTAGAAGCAATGAAATCTCAATCATAATGAGCACCCTAGCACCCATATTTTGGTTTCTAAACACTATTCTCCACTAAATGAAGCTAGAGGTCCTTGAAAAAAATGCACATGTCAGAAGTGGAGCAAGGACAGAAGATTAACCTGGAGTATCTTGTGCCAGGAAGTAGGAAAGTGCTCAAAACATGATGGGAACATGTCAAAATAACACAGGTTAAAAGCCTGAAAGAGCTCCATTGGGCCAAAACTTGGGACAATGTGACCACCAAATTATAAAAACTCATGAGTCCATATTGACAGAGGAAGAGACAGACAGATAAACAGATTAAATAGGGGAAAAAGGAATACTACTTCTTATAGCGGAAAGTCAACTAATGTGGAAGGATTGGAGTTAGAAAAATCACCATTTGTCAATCATCACAATAACAGATTCAACCAAACACAGTCAATGGATGATAAAACCAGTGTGTGACAGTTTGAGGAGTAGCAAGACATTTACATAGCCTCAAAGCATCTACCTACAGGATAACTATTGATTATAAAGAAGAAAATGGTAACTTTATAGTGGAGACAGAGAGATACGACTTTAACCAAGTGGTTCAAGTTAACATAAAGGGACAACTTCACCTCATGTGAGACCTGTCATTATGTACTGAGAAGGACATGCTATCACTTCTGTGGTATTCTTGCCCAAAACGTATGACCTGGATCCATCCATGAGGAAACTTCAAACAGAAATTAAGGGACAGTCCAGAAAAGATCTGGTTTGGAGTCTTTAAAAATATCAATGGTATGGAAGACAAAAACTGAGCAATTGTTATAAAGTAAAGGAAACTAAATAAATATGAAAATGGAATACAACCCATGACAGTGGTTTTATTTTGCTATAAAGGGCATCATAGGGACCATTAGCAAGATCAGAATAAATTCTGAAGATTAGATAACAGTTTTGTACCAACATGAATTTCCTAGTTTAGATTACCATACTGTTACATATGAGAATGTCTTATTCCTAAAAAGTTCACACTGATGAATTTAGTGATAAAGAGTAGAGGAAGAAAAGAATAAAGTAAATGTAGTAGATGTTAATATTTGGGGAATCTGGGTTAACGGTGTACAGAAATCCATGTCTACAAGTCTGAAATTATGTCGAAATGAAACATTTTTTAAAGGGGAGTCTTCTATTACTTTATTTTTAAATAAATACTCCAGCTTAATTCACATTCCATTTTGCAACTTTAGTGGGTCTCAGAACAGTATCTTCTCACCTAATAATCACAAGCAGTGAAATCTCACTTTGTTCCACCAAGTAGCCTGGCTCTGGGAGGGAAAGCATTGCTAATCCTTTCTAGCTGACCCTGTAACAAACCTTGTTAGCAATGACAGTCCAACTAAACCAAAAATAAACAAAAAAAGAGAATGACCGGTTTACACAAAAGCCTTTGAGGTTCCACAGCTTCTGTAATCATATCCTCGGGTCTTCAAATCATAACACTTGCAAGATGAATGCATATTTACAGAAGATTGTACGAAATAATGGTTATTGGGAATAGAGGGCTTAAGTCTCCCACTTTCATTGGATCCAGGGAATCAAGATTGCTAGCTCAAAGCAGAACAGCGTTTAACCCACGCAATCACTACACAGACTCATTTATCACCAAAGGCAAGCCTCCTGTAACACAAAAATGAGCTTGGTTCTCCAAGCCATATGGCTTGAAGACTGGCAAGAAATATAGATGTGGATGGCCTCTACAAGTCTTTGAGAAAGAATTTCAGTGGAGTTGCATCAGAGGAGTGTTTAACTTATAGGCAAGCCATGACCAAAAAAAAAAAAAAAAGATGAAGAGAGAAATAATATATTGAACAGCACATGCCTCAAAGTGAATTTGCTGGTTTCTTAGTAGGCCTCAGTTTCTCGGTGTTTTCTCAGTGTGAGCATTTTGTCAAATGAGGTATTCACAGAACAATCCAAAAACTCCATATGACAGTCAACTGAGAAACAGTGAGGTGATCCAATGCTGTGCAAAACCAGCTGGCTGGACTTACGAAGAGATGGTATGTTCTCCACGTGTCACATCCCTAAGAGAATTTTGAGGGTAATATTGATCTTATGTGATTTTTCACATTTTTGCCTTCTCCTAAATAACTTTCAGTAGAGTAAGATTGGCCTAAAGTAGACTCCAGAGTCCACAGAGAAAGGTGGTGTGTTTGTGGATGAGGAAATCTGCCTCAGTTGGATAACCCACACTTTGGGCACTGGGAAAATTTTTCCAAAGTTCTCAAACTATTTGAAAGAATATGAGCATAGTTCCTTTAAGAAATCTGGTGATATTAAAGTATAGGAACCTTGCATTGTCTTTAAAATATAGTTCAGACAGTAGGTTCAGAGGCAGAAAAACAAAAGGCACTGAGATATTTACAGTTTCGAATGAATATTAAAGACATCAGGGAGAAATTAAATTTAGTTTTCTAACTGCAATAAGTATATGCAATCAAAGGTGGGGTCGGAAGTTGTAAAAAGGACCAGGACAGCTCACAGGTAAGAGGAGTGCAGGGAAGACACAAAAAAATCAGAAGCCAATACTGAGTAAGTCAGAACTTGCTGAATCCTAGTACCAAATGTGAGATGGAATAGGTATGACCAAAGTCTGCCCAACAAGCCCAGGGCAGATGGACACACAGGATTCCAGGGGACAGCATGGGCCCTGCAGCCATGTGGGCTGGAAGGGCACTTCATCTAAGGGGGCCCCAGATTCCCAGCCACAGCCCCAGGACAGGCCAGCTCAGGCTTTCTTACCAGGCCTTGGGAGCACTCATGTAGGGAACCCAAATAGGGGACATCATGTAGGCAGTCTAGCTGGAAGAAAGGGATGTTGACATCTCTGTCCCTGAGCAACTCAATTCCTATCTCAAGGTTTTGGAATAAGTCAAACCTCTACCTCAGTGATTGTCCCTGATGTCCCTGTCACTCCCCAGTGGGAGTTTCAGCAATCTGCAGGGGCATTTTTCACCATCACAACAATAGGGGTATGTGCCAGAGATGACACGAAGAATCTCCTGCAATGAAGAATGGTTCTGCCTCCAGCACAACTATCACATATCCCACCAGACAGTCATGAAGATAAAATAACAAGCTTTTTATAATTACCTGAGCATAGACCTAGCTCTGTTTTACATATAAACACAACAGAGTTTTTGGCAGTTTAAACATACACACATTGTACACCCACATCCACAGCAGCATTATTCAAGACAACCAAAAGGTTAAAGCAACCCAAGTGTCCATCACTGGGTGAATGAATGGACAAAATGTGGTAAATACAGACAACAGAATGTTATTTAGCCTTAAAGAGGAAGAAAATTATAACATGCTACAACATGTACGAACCTTGAGGACATTATGCTAACTGAAATAAGCCAGTCACAAAAGGCAAATACTACATGATTCCGTTTATAAATCAAATTCCTAGAGACAGAAAGTGGAATGGTGGTTTCTAGGAGTTGAGGTGGGGAGGGAGTTAGTATTTAGTGAGTGTAGAGTTTCAGTCGAGGAAGATGAAAAAGTTCTGGAGATGGATGGTGGTACTGGTTCTGCAACATAAATCAATGTAGTTTATGCCACTGCATAACCATTTAAAATGGTTAAAATGGTAAATTCTGTTATGTATATTTTGCCACATGTATGTCTTGCCATATATACATATACACACACGGACATTTCAAGAAATGCAACTCTTGTATAAATCAAAGCAACACTGTAGTTGCCTGTGTCAGAATTTAACCATGACCTGTTCACTACCATGGAAATTCACATCCTGTACGGCAAGGCCATTCATGGCGCCTGGGCCACCAGCAGATGCCTCTTGTATCTGGCAGCATCTGCAGCCACATAAGGTGCATCCCAGTGAGTCTACACAGATGTGAGAGCATCTGACAGTGCCATGGTATCTAATGTCACTGTGCCAGAACACTGGCATATTGATATATTTTATTATAAATTATCTTCCTTTGATTTTCTTTTATGCAACAGCCTATATATTTTTACAATTATTTGTGTATGTATGCATATAAATGTTACTTGTAAATTTCATTTCACCACAGTATTGGTGGAATTCCAAAATATTTCTTATAAAAAAACAGGGAGGAGCTGGGCTGGCACCGATGTGGGTAAGAGCCGCTGCTCTGGTCTCAGAGAACAGATACCATTAAGAGCAGAGGAACTCTGCAGCAAAGAAAAGACTCAATTAGTATCTCTGGATTTAATAATACCCCTTTGCAAGAATTAAGGGTCTTACGGTGAAGATCTGGTGGTGGTTTGCCCATTCCCCTGAAAAAGAAGACATCTGGTGGAAAACTAGAGACTTTGACTCTTCTTAGTAATGAAACACACACACACACACACACACACACACACACACTCTCTCTCTCTCTCTCTCTCTCTCTCTCAAAATAATCACATTTATGCCTCCTGGTAATAAACTCAGACGCAGATGAGGTAAACCAGAGAACATATTTTCAGTCATGGGAATCACTGTATCATGTCAAAAGAGATTAGAATTTGACTGCAAAAGGCACAGTGTTGTCAATTGCAATTATACATATATCGTTTCTCTATTGTGGTCATCCTTCTTTCCATCTCAACACTACATGATTAATATTTTACATACTGTCCAAAATAGGAATGTGACTTACCAGAAACCGTACTCAACATTTCAAATACAGATCATCCTTTGCCAAGAGAAAATCCTGCCCAGCTGTAGATTTCTCATTTGCAAAACACAAGAGCAATGAAATTCCATTACTTAGAGAAACTGGCTGTTCCACCAAACCCTTGGCAACGGAAGCTGTACTTATCTTTTTGAACAATAGTCTCAGAAAATGTATTCACTCTCAAAAAAGACAGTAAGTAACGCATTTGAGCTCTTAAGAAAGCACTCTTGCCCAAGCAAATTCCTGTTAGGGAAAATCCAGTCTCCTGACCTGGGAAGTACAAAGACTGACTCTAAACCATGCAGCAAAAAAAGCTCCAAGTTTAAGAACCCTTCAAACATTCAAAGGGGATGCAACAATATTAATAATGTCCTTAAAACAAAATCAAGTATCATTTTAGCATGTAAGTTAGCACATCACACTCCCTCCGAGGAGGGAGCCTTACACCCTAACTAGTTCAGTTTGCTTTCCCTGTGAGATTTAACTGTGTATTTTCCTGAGGATTACAAATTATCCTGAAGCATACTGCACGTTGCAGAATGTGTCCAGATGAGACTGGAAATGCAAGACTTTGTTCTCTGTCTTGCTGAGGCTCCTTTCCCCAGGAGAAGCCTGTGGCCACATTCCAGTGAGTGATGTGAACTTCACTTATGGCTTAGCTCGTGGTCCTAGCTCCCACTCAGTCCTAAATTTTGAAATAGGCCATGAAAATACTCAGGAAATACAGACATGATAAAAATGCATGTGGAAAACAAACACCCACTGGTATCGGTGCTGTTTTTCTGGTTTCTTCTATTTGCACTATATTACGGCTGTGGCCCATGGGTGAATTTCTTGTGGGGTCTGGCATATCATCGTGGATTCTCAAATTTACTTTTTGCCTAATAGGAAAGCCAATCAATTTAGCCCATATGTGTATCCATCCAAAGAGCTATGAAAATGGTCAAAACACCAGTAAAAAATTACTCATTTATATCAAACTTTGCAACAAGAGCCCATATGAGAAGGCAACAAATCATTCTCTCCCTTTTAGTGACTCAGAGCATCCTAGAACACTGCAACCCTGTTACAAAGTGTTGTCTGGTGGGGCTGAGAGATCCACTTCCCCTACATGAGTCTACAAACCTGCTGTATAAAAGTTTGAAATGATGAATGACGAACTGAAAATGGAGTAAGTGATGATATGTGAACCCTAATATCAACCTCTGCCTGCAAATCCCTGGGCAATCAGGTTGTACAACTAACAACAGGCAAAGACGACAAACTAACAGAGAGAACAATGCATTTGTAGAAATAAGTGTGTGCTGTGTGAGCTCTGAGGACATTAGAATGACTCCAAAGCTGACACAATTGTACCCTGGTAATCAATATGAACAGGGTGCACAATTTGTACAACAGGGTTCGTTCATCTGGTTCTAACATCCAACTCTTCAACGGTTTTCGCGCGAAACTGTAACTGATGCATACGAAACAGATTGAGGTCCACATGAAAAAAGCCAAATTGTGAACATTCCACTCATAATCTGGCTTTTCTACATTTAACAAAAATTTAACACCAAGGCAATCAACACTCAATCTGGTCCCACACAATGGGAAAAGTGAGACTCCCGCTCAACCATCTACCACTTTAGGCCTCCCTCCCCAGTCAAACATCTTGCTTTGAGCTAGACGAAGATGGGATGGCATTCAGCCTATTCAAAGACACTGGCCAGTATTCACATACCTCAATAATCCTGTCATGAATTTGCAGGCCTCCTTCCTTGGCTGCAGGCCCACTGTCAACTATCTTGGATACAAAGATTCCTTCACTGGATGATCCATCGTGGTTATCCTTTGGGTTAAAAAAAAAAACATGCATGAATGCTAGGCATTAAGTTGAGCATGAAAGTAAAGCTTGCACTCTTAAAACAGTAATTGACTCTTGCTGTGTCAAGAGTGGCAATAGGGTAAAAGGTATTTGTTTCTCCTAATTTCTGTTTTAAACTAAAATACACACACAGTAAAATATTTCAAACCACACCAAAGGACATAAAATGATGCATCCCTGCCATCTCCAACCCATTGTCCTTCTTCCCCCGCCTATGGTAGCTATTTGACTTTATGCATCCTTTTGAAAACATTTTAACACATCATATTCCTAAATATGCATTTGTTCCTTTTTGCATACAAATGTGATTATGCTAGTCTGACTCTTATGTCCTTGCCTCTCTCATTTAACTCTAAAAATCATGAAGATCTTCTGCTACCAATTCGTGTCTGCCTTACTTCTTAAAGTGACTGAACAGTATCCAACATGAGGCTAATAAACACTGTTTTCATTTGCTGTGATTAAACAATGCTGTGATAATACTCTCCTACTTGTATTTTAAATTATCTTTGCTATTATAGTTCTAGGGCAAATCCCTAACAATGGAACTGTTGGGTAAAAGGATATGTACATTTCAAAGATATTGCCAAATGGCTTTTCAGAGAGTTTATACTTATTGTTCATTAGACAGAGTGTTTTCCCACATCCTCATTTGCACAGAATGTTATTAAACTTGTAAATATCTAATAATTTGACTGTGAAAACAGATATTTTGTTTTTGTTCCGATGCACTACCATCACTCTAGTCCTAATAAATTCTGATCTCTGACCTCCTTGAATCTCTTTAGATCTTTGAATTAAATGTCAGAACTAAAACTTTCTGGGAACGAAGACAGCTCACTGTTCAAACTCCTTCCTTTCCTTAAAATCAAAAGGCTCCAACAAGCTCATAAAAAACCCTCACAGCTTGTTCACGAACTTCTTTTCAAACAGCACTGCAATGAATTCTCTCCAAGTGTACGGATTAAATTTCTAGTGATTAACAGATGGATTTATAAATTAAATGGCACAAGCATGTGATATTTCCAAACAAAATCATTTGAAATGTAAGCTCAGAATGTTCCACAAAAACTCCAAAATCTAGTCATGGTAAATTCCTTGCCGTATGTCATTAGAAGATTTATTTCAATAACAATTACTCTGAATACAAATACATAAAAATTCCATTTGTTAAAAATAACTCTTCAAATAAAACATTTTCCACTTTAAACAGCAAAAAACAAAACCAAAAAACAATCCCTATATTCTAAAGGGGGAAGGAAACGACTTCAAGTGTGATTCAGTCTACCCCTTCAAATGCAACAGCAATAACTAAGCTTGGAAAAATGTACATTTCTCAGTCCTTCTCTCCTTCCTTCTTCACACTTCCCCAAACACACACACACACATACACACACACACACACACACACAGAGTAAAATGTTATATGATTCACCAAAAGAAACCAAAATCACAACCTAAAATGAGCATTAAGTGTTTTTCCTGACATTTATCCCCACATGACAAAGATATGTCTCTAACTGGCATCTGGATTCCATCAACGCTCTTCCAAGAGAAGGGTCAGGGAGCCTGTGGGTGCTGTGTAGGATCATCTATCCTCAAAAGGCATCCCTGCCTAGCATCACAGTGCTCTGCACAGACCTCCTGCACACTAACCCTTTACCATCTGAATACCTCTGTGCCTCCTTCCTCTCTCACGGCAGCCTTACTGAGGCACTAGTCTGAACACATCCGTGTAGCTCCCTACATGCACACCTGAAATATATGTATAAAGCTGCAAAGCAGCTTCCTTTACTGAGCACAAACTAGGTACCAGGTACATAGTGAGTGCTCTATGTGCACTGTTTAATCCTCACAATAACCACAAGTGGTAAGTACTATTATTACCCATTCCACAGGTGAAAAACCTGAGACTGAGAGAGGTTCGGAAACTCATCCAAGGTCACACAGCTAAAAAGTGGTATGGCTCAGTTTCAAACTGAGGCGAAGCGGATCCTCTTGCACATTACATGCTCTGTGTGCAATATTGTCTCCCACTGAGAAAACTCAAAACACACAGGAATTCAGAAGTCCAACATTTCAGGCTATGGAATATTCCACTAGATGAACTTGAAGAGTCTCAATGGACCACAAAAGATTTATGAACAAGCTTGAGTTCCCTAAGAGGTGATGTCAATATATCAAATGAAAAGAGATCTGTGTTTACTCTGATTTAACCACTTTGCATTTCTTGGCTGGAGAGAAAGAGGGAGATAGGGGATAGGATTTTGGCTTTCGTTTGTTTTGCAAAATACCACATTGCACATAAGTAATAACTCTTAAGGAGTACTAGAAAGTTCAAGCAAAAATCAGAGAGGAAGAAGCAAGAACAAACACCAGCAGTGAGATTAAACTGAGACAGTGGTGAGGGGTGGGGAAGGATGCAAAAAGCACATAAAGCAGGCCAGGCATGGCAGCTCACACCTGCAATCCCAGCACTTTGGGAGGCCGAGGCTGGTGGATCGCCTGAGCTCAGGAATTCAAGACCAGCCTGAACAACATGGTGAAACCCCATCTCTAGCAATACAAAAATTTAGCCGAGCATTTATGGTCCCAGCTACTTGGGAGGCTGAGGTGGGAGGATGGCTTGAGCCTGGGAGGCAGAGGTTGCAGTGAGCCAAGATTGTGCCGTTGCACTCCAACCTGGGTGACAGAGTGAGACCCCCGTCTCAAAAAAAAAAAAAAAGCTAGATTTCTCTCTTAAAAGGCATCTCTTTATTCTTAGTTTGTTTGGCTCCTCTCCTAAGAGAGTTAGTTACAGCTATTTATCAAGGTGAACTAATATGACTTGGAATTTATTTTGTTTTGCTGCCTTGAGTAAGAGAGAAATGAAAGGGGATTGTTTTCATAGCAAGGGTACCTAACGATAAAGTACACTTCCCAAAGGCTTAAGTGAGAGGTTTGATACAACAGACTAGCTGCTGTTTCTTTAGGGTTATGAGGACTAACAAATGAATGATATGATTTTGCTAAGAGTATTGCATACTGATCATGCAATGAAAAGCCTTATGTCAGAGCTATGGCTGGGCTATTTCACAACCCAACCAAGCATCTAACACAGGAATTCCTTGGGAAACACAGACATCATTTGTACTGTATTCTTCTAGTAACTAACAACGTGTGTGCATTGTTGCTCATCTTGGCTTTTTAGCATGTACTCAATGACCTGCCAGATTTTCCAGGCAACAGTGCAGAATACATTCAGGTTTCATGATGCTATTTCTGCTAATCAGGGCAAATTTTGAAAAACACTATGGCAAACACATGCACATGGAATTAAATTTTCCTCTGGGGACCATGCAGGCAGTTCTTGCAAAAAGACCACATAAATTGAAAATACTAATGCAAGCTACAAAATCAGGTCTGGCTTGTACTTAAAGCACCTTTTGTAAAAAAGAAAAAGAAAATAACTTAGACATGCTCTTTGATAAGCACAGGGAAGAACTGTATTCCAGTGGGGTTGGAATGTCATTTTGCACCTGGTGAGTGTGGAAACTGAACACCATCTTCACTGGCTTTAACACAGTAGGTTTCCCAACAATCACTTGGCCACAGGCCTCTCCATTTTGAGCAATTTCCAACAGTAGGCTTTGGTGTGGTTTAGACCTGGG
This sequence comes from Homo sapiens, assembly GCF_000001405.40. Taxonomy (NCBI): domain Eukaryota; kingdom Metazoa; phylum Chordata; class Mammalia; order Primates; family Hominidae; genus Homo; species Homo sapiens. The sequence continues at coordinate 73,606,148 of NC_000003.12, forward strand.
GCAGGGAATAGGTCTTCTTGGTTTGGGTTCTTTTGTTTGCTATAGCTTGTGAAACACCTAATTGTGAAGTGAATCTTAATTTATTAAAGTTGTTTCTCAAAACTGGTAACAAAGGGTGGAGGAATAATTATGAATGTAAACAAGGAACAGCCAACTCATCTGTGCTAAATGGCAAAACATGTTCTTGATGGTAAGTTGTAGAACATGGGCTCATGTTCTGAACCACGGGCTCAAGTCTGACCCTGCTGCTTCCTGGAGCCAAATGTCTAGATATTTGAGTGCAGTTTGCTCCCTCAGTCCCTCCGAAGGCTGGAGAGTACGGAGGACCCCTGGCAGCAAGGACTAAATCAGAACAGCACATGATGACATGCAGCCTGGGATCTCAGACAACTGGTAAAAGGAAAAAATAAAAATATACCAACCTCACGCGGTTCTATAGTTTTTTAAGAATTCCACAGAGCGAATGCAAGAAATACAACCATGTGATGACATCCCTGGGGCTCAATAAAGTGGGAATTATCCCTGTCCCCATCTACCTTCATATTTACAATTTAGTCTCACCATTTAAAATGTTCTTTTTTATATGTATGTTTGATAAGACAGATAATGTTCATCATTTTAACAACTGCAAACACATAATTAAGTTGTTGTTTCTTATAATAAGCCATTGTTTGTTTCTTTTTGAAACTGTGGAATGGGCTAAAAGCAAAGGGAATTTAATCATAAATCTCTTTGTGTCATTCCCTTCAACTGAAGCCATGTGTTGGCCACTCCCGCCCTAGGTAATTTAAATCCCAGACTCAAGACTTAGGCCCTTTGGGGTCAAGCCCTTGTTTTCTTCACCAGGCCTCTTTCTGGCCACTTCCCTGCCCATCCCTCAACTCTTTCCACACTCTGCTTACTTGCAGCTCCCCCAGTTCCCAACTCTGTTCCTGCTCCAGGCCTTGTATGAGCGCCAATCCCCACCCCTGCAAAACCCCAGCGTCCAACCGCTTTCTTCTAGCTCAGGGGTCTTCACAGGTGAATGCGTGTAACACAATGCATTGGAATGGCAGGAGAACATACTTCACATTTTCTTCATAGTCATATTTTAATTTCATTATTTAAAATACTCCCTTTTGTACGTAACTTTTTATAAGGCACATAATGTATTCGTTTGGTACTGTGTACACATTATATATACAAATAAAATATGGTCCTCTGATCTAGCAAATTCCTGTTCAACCTTCTGAACTCAGCTCCAACGGCCCCTCCCCAGGACACCTCCTCCCGCAGGGTTAACTCATCCCAGGGCATCATTAGCTGTGGGCAGGCACAGAGTACATCAATGAGAGCAGTGCTATGCTCTCCCAACTCATCAGTCTCTCCATCTGGAGGTGAGCTCCATGAGGGCAGGGCACACACTATTCCTATCTGGATGGCTGGCATCTTCTCGTCCTTTAGGTTTCTGTTTACTACTATCTCCTCTTGTCTTTCCTGATAACCCAAGCTAATGATACCCTTTGCTTCTTGGCTGGTATCTGCCATGTGCCATCCTCCCATTTTTTTTTCCTTCATCATACTTCTTCCAATCCAATCTCTAATTATTGTATTCACTTGTTTCTTGTCTGACATCCCCACCAGGACTCAATGACCACAGGGCCTCAGTCTTTCTGGCCTCCATTGTATCTCCTGGCCCTTAGCAAACAGCCTATGTTCAATACTTATTTGTTGAATGAAAGATTTTTGTTTTCTTTTCCTTTAACTACTTTCCTTTTAAGCTAATAAACAAGGAGATGGTCAGGAAAAGAAAAGGGTAAAGGATGGGACATATTCAGATAATCCCCCTTGAAGTGTGAGATTCTGAAACACATCCACTGCTACTCTCTGGAGCCCGTTCTTTGAACATTTTCCCCATAATTAAACTGGCAGATTTGAATTCGGCCTCTTCTTTCTAGAGGAGGGTCTGCTGATGAATGTGGTGGTCAAAGAGCTGCAGTGGGAAGAGAAAGCAAAGGGATGCAGTCACCCACAAATTAGAGAATTGTCTCTGACTAATGAACAGCTGACAGAGCAGAACTCAAGATCAGGCTTCCAGTCTGGAGCACCACACTCCAGCTCGGTCTAGGACGGTGGCTGGTTACCCAGTTCCAACTGCACACATCTCACGCAACTTCATTCAGCCCAACTGCTATACAAACAGAAATGTACCCCCTAACAAAAAAAGAAATGCACCCCCAAAACCAAACAGTTTAAATTAGCTGTTATATTACTAGGCCAATGCTGTTTTAGGAGACTACGCAATAAAAATCCCTAAGTGTGAAGATGTTAGACAGCCAATGAACCCTCTAATGACAGAGAGCAGAATGAAGTGAGCAAAGTTTCCTGCTCCTCACTGTCCCCTTCAAACCTTGACCTCTCTTTCCAGCTACACCAGGAAAAGGAAAAACACATTTTAGTAATTAACATACCACACTCGGCCGGCCACCAATAATATTGAATCCCAGGGAGCCGGAGTCCCGATGCAGGACAAGAGTCAGACTTTTGGTTTCTTCGCCCTGCAGGTAACAAATGAGATCAAACTTTTATTTACCAACAGGGAATAGATGGTAGGAATTTTCCTTCTATCTAAGTGTACTCAAGGACTACTCAGCTAATCATTACAAATCCTGTTATCTCTTGGGAAGTTTAACCAAGGAAACTTCTGGAACCCAATCTGAAATTCTGTCTTGTGTTTAAGGGCTTATAAACATTTCTAGATACCATCTAACCCTGGAATGACCACCTAAGAATGTCTGGAGATGTCCAGACATGCCCAATGAACATTTTCTATGAATGACACCTTGGTCTGCAAATGCATCTTTCTTTTGACCGGCCCATCGTACGCAGGCTGTCTAGACGGCTACTTTCTGTTTGTTTCTCAACCATTCTCAACAGCAGCATTCATGTCATGTCATGAAAGGTTCAAATAGCAATTCTTTCGGAAGTGTGAGTGCATGCATGGCCCATCAATAGCCATCTCTGTTTGGGAGACTTGGGGAAAAATAGTGCATGAAAAGTGAGATGCAAACACACACAGAAAACAAAAAATCCTGAATCTTACTGAAAAGGGGGAGGGGGCATTTTCACAAAGTAATTACTGTCCAATCCACACGAGACGCAGAGCTGTTTAACAGAAAGCACTCTGTTTAAGGCTGGTCAATGTGACCTTTAAATCAAAAAAGTAGAAGTGACCCAGGCAGGTCACAGAGCATAGTGTTCGACAGTCAAAGGCAACAGAGATGCCAGGGAGAGTGTTCTCAACTAACACTCTCAAGTGACAGCAGACAGATAAAAATAGATTTAACCTTATGTGAAAACTGTCACGTAATATTCTTTGACATAAACATTCAACTCGCTGATACACCTTTGACAGTTTTCAATTATATGGATGATATGCAAAACATCACAGCCTGTGTACTGCCTATAAATCGGCATTTGCTTCACTTAACGTTTTCTATTTAAACATGGTAGTATTCAAATGTGGTATTTCTTTTAAATATAAAATATTTAATAAGCTGTTTTAAACATAACACTGACAGCTTATGACAAGAGAGATTTTACTCTGACATTTTTGCTTTCTGTTCAAACTTTTGTCTTCTACCTTTTCTGGGGAAATAAATGGCCACATTGGAAAGGCATGAATGCAACTCTCTGACTCAACCACACTGGCAAAGGAAAGTACTGTTTCTACCTGCAGTGCCCTGTGAGTTTTCTGGAGCACCGCTTCATTTATTGCTATGGCTGTCAATGTGCAACTCTGGTTTCACATTTTGCCAGGAGAACTGTGCCCAGTAGAGCTAAAAAAATATTACGAAAGATCAATGGGCTTCACCATGTAGAATTATCTCCATGCTTAAAGTCTTAATAACCACAACCCCTTTCTCACGAGTAGTTATTATACAACCAAATTAAAGACATTTTCAGAACTTTCTTGTGAGCCTCAACATCAATTAGAAATACACTGTAAAAACAAAAATGACAATTTATTCTGAGAAAAAGATACTCTGTTTCTGATGAAAGAACTAGGTGTCCTATAAGGACAACACAGCATTCATTTCTTAAGAGTCACTTACTCAATATATAAAATACAGAATTATATATAAAAAAGAAGCTAGTCTCTATCAAGTTACTGTACCCAACAAAAAACAGCAGAGCCTCTTTAATGACAGGCTATTGGTTTTTAAAAAATGTTCTGACAAACAGCACCACCATCAAAAGCATCTATCAACACTATCCCTCTTTATAACCAATTTGAACTGTAACAAGTTAATAGGCAATAACTTTCACTGCTCTAAAAGAAAATCCAGAATCAACCTAATAGTTTTGAGATATAAACATGATTTTCAAATTGAAACAGTTTATGTCTTTCTACTTAGGACGCTGAAAATCTCACTAAGTCCATTTCTTACTTTGCTATCTTAAAGGGGTGAAAAGTTAGAAATACATGGGAATTTGGCAAGTTATCTTACATATCTTACATGTCTGGCTTTCATAATTAATCAATGATAGAAACTGCACAGTTACACAGTAATCCAAGGCAGATGGCTTTAGTTTGACAATCTCAAGTGATGCACAAAGAATAATGCACAATCATATGATTTAAAAGATTGGTCTTCAATCTACTGTGTGATAACCACTTATTCAAGAAAAAAAGAAGAAGAAAATAATCTTATTACATTGCATTGACAATGATAACAGCTAACATTTACTGGCTGCAAACTATGTGCCAGAAACTATACTGACAATAAAATGCTTTATTTCATTTTTTAATCCAACCAATCTTAAAAATTGCACTATTACCATCCTCATGATATAGGTGGGAAGACTGAGGTAGAGTGATTAAGAAAGTTGTCCCATGCTAAGGAGCTAGTAAAATGTTGAGCTGGGATTCAGACCCATACTTCCCAATCCTACATCTTCATTACACTTCTATACTACTCTCTTTCTGTGTAGAATATAAAAAATAATTCCACATGGGTTAGCAACATCTTAGGTCCTGTTCAAGATGGTTTTATTGTTGAAATTCCAAAAAAGAACTTATCAAAGGAAGGCTTACCCAGGAGGCCAGTATCAGAACAAAATTCCAAACTGTTTACTGAACTATTTATCTCCAAAGGAACCAATCTGAGATGTGTGAAGACATCTAAGTCCAGCCCTGACCTCAGAGATCTCTCCCAAGGGACAATTAAGACACTGTCTGAAATACAACATTCCTCAACCAAACAGCATCTTGCAAAGAATGTTTCTGAACAACTAAGCTGACCTTCTATGCTTTCTTGCCAGATGCAATGCTGGGGAGAAACAAGGGTGTTCTTATTTTCTATAAGCATCTTGATCTAGTCTACTGTCCACAAGTGTCAGACATTGGCTTTAGGCTGCATTGCCTATTTTAGAGTTGATTTACAGTAGTAAAGCAACATGTAGAAGATTCGACACAGGATGCAGGGAGGGATAAAAGAAAATGTTCAGTCTGGGCTGAATTCCTTTCATTTCTCCAACTAATTACCAAAGGTTAATTGCTATTCTTTGACAACGTGATTCTGGTTTTTCCTTTTCACTCCTTTCTCCACAAACAACCTTAACTACTTTAGTTTAACTTCTAATTTTTCACAAGAAGTATTAATTGAGATTGTAAACAGATAGTCTTCATATAAAACATTTAACATGTTAACATTAACCTCTGCTTACCCATTTAACCTGTTCCTAGGGTCAAAATGCTTCAGGATAGAGGGTACTTAAATAATTATCATTCAGTTACATCCCACCAATTGAAAAGAGGTGTAAATGGGATAAGGGCAAAGGCTCTTATCGAAGCTGCTTTCCCGACTGTTCACAGACATGGTAACTGTGATAGGCAGCAGCATCTTTCATTTACAGGAAAATTTAACCAATATTGGTCTGTTTGGGTAGTTTATCATAACCCATGATTTGCAATGGTCTCAAAACATAGTAAAACAAAGAGAGAAATGAGCCTAACTTCATAGAAACTGATAAGCCAACAAACACACTTGCCTTCCGAAGCAGACATTGTATCAATGCTCTAAACCTGGACAAACTGAGGCTCAGGGAAAATCAGACACTTGCTCATGATCACATAGTGGCAAAGTGGGAAGGTCACGATTGGAACCCAGGTCCACATGTGACTCTGGTGCCTACGATCTTTGTACTGTGCTGGTAAATGTTTGCACCCTGTTCTAAATCCTTCTGCCTCCAAAGACTGAGCCTGGCATGAAGGATCAGACAATTAATTCATCTGGCAATTAGAGTTTTAAGTAAGGCTTCTTTGGACTATGCAATAATAATTGCAAAGATTAAGAATGTCTATTATACCCTGAAAAGTATAATAAGACTATTATGCCATGACAGGAGCAGCATAATGGTTAAGTTCTGGGACCATTATGTCCATTGCATCTGGCAAGGAAGCAGAGAAGGTGAACTTGGTTGTTCAAAAACATTCTTTGCAAGATGCTGTCTGGCTGAGAAATGTGTTTTGGGCATTGTCTTAATTGTCCCTTGAGAGAGATTCTCTGAGTTCAGGGCTGGACTTAAGATGTCTTCAGGAATCTCAGATTGGCGCAACATCAGAGTCAGAACCTGTGATGTTTCCTCATCCACAGAAAGGGAATGATAATGGTTCCTTCTCATGTCACCAGTTCTCATGTCACCAGGTTACTAGGATGCATGACTGAGATAGACAGATACCCAAAGACTGCCTCAGTATGGCATCTGGCCAATAATTAGCACCCAAAACACAAGGCACAGTGTTAAGCTGGACATTCACATAGTTCAACACCGAGGTCATGATGCTCTTTTCCCACATACATTACTCTTCTACAAAATCTAGGCAATGGAGAATGCCTAATCTCACTTTAACTTAGGCTAAAGCAAGTTTGGAAGAGCTGGGGCCTGAAAGCTAAGTAAATAAATATCATTATATATTCCTAACTGTATCTATCTTTCTCCATGACTGGAAAAAGAGTGGCACATTTTAGGGGACCAGTGGAGTGACCACCAGGTAGACAATTTTTATTCTGAAGGTGGTGGGAGGAGCCATGGGAAGGAAGACGAGGGGAGCAGCTCCGCTTGGACTTTCAGTAGAGCACAGATATGACAGGGAGATGATACTGACCAAGTGGGCTGTGGGCCAGGAGAAGGGGAAATCACATACATAACATGGTCACACCTGGAAGGGGATGGCCACAGGAGCAAAGGGGAAGGGAAACAGATTTTGGCTCACAACAGGATAGGAGAAACATCAAGACTAAGAAACGGTGAACTTAGGAACGGTGGAGACAGAAACGAGCTGGGGAGTCTGGGAGTACAGGGTACTTGGGGATTGCTACACACTACAGACTGCTCCAAGTTCTACCATATCAGTGGGTCTCGATGGATTGGTACGAAAAGAAGGTGAAGAACAGAGGAAAAACAACAAATGGAAATGGAGTGGCACCTTCTTGGCAGCTTTCACAGAGTTGCCTTCTATTCAGTAACTCTTCCCAGAGGGCAAGTGTCTCTTCCCTTCAGTAACCCCGACCCTGAAGACTGAGGAGTTCTCAACAGAACCTGGGATGCAGGGTGCAGAAGGGCAGTTCTGGTCATATTCTGGAGCCCAGTGACATCTGTTTCCTTGGGCTTGGCAGGAAGCTCTATCAGATACTTAGGACCCCAGCCCCCACCCAAACCCAATTCAAGAGGTTAGCTGGGCCCCTAATGCAACACAGGATCTCCCTGGGAGAAGCTTAGGTCTTTAGGATTAAGAAAAAGCAGGGACATATTAACCTTGGAGAAGGGGTTGTGGGTATCCAGACCTTAACACTGACATGAACCATCCAAAGTGCCTAAGCCAAGTCACAAGCAGAAATGCAAGCTCACTTTTCAAGAAGATACAGTTGATTTTGTTTAAAAGAAGCTTTGCTATCATATTTGAACATGTAACTATTAGATCAATGTTAAAATTACCCCAAATAATCTTCTCAGCTTTCAACTCAAGGTCTAATTGGATAAGAATTGGTTGGGGGAAGAAAAGTCACAGTGGAAAATCAAAAATTGAATGTAATTTGAATGTCAAAATGACATCTTATGAGGCTGCATTTTTTTAAGCATCCAAGAATGTGAACCATCTATTGGCAAAGTCCCTTTTCTCTTTAGTATTACTCTGTCACCATTCTCCTCCAAACCATCCAGCCTCAAAAGCTTGGACACAAGACATCTCCTAATGAGTGTGGTGGTTCACAGGGTCCATCCACGCCACTGTCAATGTGGACTCTTTTTAAAAACTCCTTTTCTGCCTAAGGACAGGTGTTCCCTAATGATGTCTGTTGTGGGACTCACAGCAGAGAACTGGCTAGACTGGAAAGCTGCCCAGTAGGTTTTGAGAAATGTAACTGACTGACCGCTAGTCTGTGTGATGTAACACCTCGCAGCCTCAGATTATGCAAAGTTCACAAAGACTCACTAGTCTTCACACAGCTGGGAAACAGCTCTGTCTGTTGACTAGTGACATGAAAGCACTGTATATTTGGCTGTTTCCAGGCAAAAATGTGCAGAGATGGGAGTTGAGGGGACCAAGAGGTAGAGCTGGCTGCCAGAAATTCTTTACTGAAGAATTGCTGATGTCTTCACTCCCTATGCTCAGATGCTTTTGTCCTCTTTGTAGTTAAAACTTTAAAATTCTTAATGGTGAAGCAGTTTGGACCAGCCCTGCCTTGTAATTCAACCCAGCTCTAAGGAAGTGATTCTTGCAGAAGAACATAAGAGGAAACTGTTCCAAAGCCTAAGACTGAAGGTAGTCATAAGGACGGTGCTTGAAATTAAGTTGAAATTGGATGAGACACTCAACAAAAGTATTAATAGGATGTTTCTGTCATCAGAAAAAGGTGTAGAGAGAATGAAGGGAGACAAAGGGCATGGGGGAACAGGTAGAAAAAAAAACAAGAGCTTTTCCAGAGTCATAATATCTGCACAATAGTTCACATGGTCCTAAGCCAAACGAGATATTTTTGAAAACTAATATGAGAAGACGTTTCAGTACTTTCCTCGTTTAAAAAAGTCTGCTACTATATTTACACAACCTGAAAAAATCCATAAATGTCTAATTTCTTATTTCCACGAGCTTGATTTCAAATTTTCTCTCTCATTTTTGTCACTGACTCATCTGCTTTTCTGGTGAACAACCACAAGCAATGCTTCACCAAAAATGACACCAACAAACCTTTAAGGTGTTACAGCATCTTAACACTTCCACTTACTTATGGGGTGTGCTACGATCTAAATGTTTATGTGCCCTCAAAATTCATATGTTGAAATCCTAATCCCCAAAGTGATGGTATTAGCAGGTGGGGCCTTTGGGACGTGATTAGGGATTAGTGCCCTTATAAAGGGGCCCAAGAGAGAAACCCTCACCCTTTCTACTATGTGAGCACAACAACAGAAAGACAGCCATCTGTGAACCAGTAAGTGGGTCCTCACCAGACCCTGAATCTGCTAGCACCTTGATCTAGGGGTTCCTAGCCTCCAAAATTACGAGAAATAAATTTCTGTTGTTTATAAGCTATCCAATTTCTGGTATTTTTGTTACAGCAGCCTAAATGCACTAAGACAGAGTGGTTTCTGGTATTTCTGTTACAGCAGCCTAAATGGCCTAAGACAGAGTGGTTTTCAAATGTATACATCCAATTACCAACCAGAAGCATTTTCTTCCCTAAATAAAGAAAAAAGTGCTATAGTTTGGATGACTGTCCCCCCAAATCTCTGTTGATATCTAATTCCAACATTGGAGGTGGGGTCTAATGGGAGGTGTTTGGGTTATGGGGGTGGACACCTCATGAAGAGATTAATGCTGTCCCAGGGTGGTGGTGGGCAGAGAGTGAGCTCTGCTCTATTAGTTCTTGCAAGAGCTGGTTGTTAAAAGAGCCTGGAACTTCTCTCCTCTCTCTCTCCATTGCCTCCTTTCTCTCCATGTAATCTCTGCACATGCAGGCTAGTCTTTGCCTTCTGCCATGATCGGAAGCAGCCTGAGGCCCTCATCAGAAACTGAGCAGACGCCGGTGCCATGTTTCTTGTGCAACCTGCAGGACCATGAGCCAAACAAACCTCTTTCTTTACAAATCACCCAGCCTCAGGTATTTCTTCATGTCAACACAAATAGACTAAGATAGAAAGCAAGGCTACTCATCTAAAAAACCATAAGTGCACTTGCTTACATGAAGGTAGGAGGTTTTTCTGGCCAGTCTCTCCATAGCTTTGTTAATTTGGGTGGGAAAAACATAAACAACTCTGTAACCCATATGTTATTCATAAGCTTTAGCCCTCCACCTTTACATCTTAGCCCAAATGAACTTGAATATCCCTCTTTCACACATTTCCACCACTGCAAAACAGACAGAGGATAGAAATCCAGAGAATGGGTTACTCAGGGGCAGCAGGAGGCTTACAATGAAACCAAATTATTGAGTAACAATCTCTTTTCTTCTAGATAACAACTGCTTTAAATTCCTAAACTTTCTTCAGTGATTTATTTGAAAAAATGTTAAAATCCTACAGGTGTCCAGCACTTAATAGACAGTCAAGAAATGCTTGATAAGACTTACTGTGCCCTTATGTACATCATCTCATTTCATCTTAATAACAACCCTAACAACAGGCATATTATGATCCCATTTTAGAGGTGAGGCAATTAAGGCTTGAAGGTTAGAAGAGCCTCCCAGGGGCCCTCAACAACAGGGCAAAGAGAACACATGAACCCGAATATTGCTGATCCCAGGATATGGATACTAACCACACGCAATACACTAGCTCTATTCAGGGCACCTTGGAGTCAGCCTGTGGACCCAACGCCTGCATCTAACCTTCACCCACGATCTGATGGGACTTCATCCCTCACCTATCCAAACACAGCAAAGACACGGGGCACCTAAAAACAGCTTTTAGCAAAATACTAGGGGTGATCTCCTGCCCAGGACTCTTCTCTGCACACACACTGCTGATGCCAGGGGAAAAGCTCATCACTGCCCTTCCTGGGGATGGGGTGGCTGCAAGGCCTGCAACATACAAAGATTACGCGGTGCCTCTGCTCTTTAAATTCCCTGTAAATATATGGATGGAATGAGTGAGAAAGATGGCTGCTCAGGTCCATCTGGTAGTTATTTTCTTTACAAGAGTAATCATTATGTTATACCACTTCCCTTTCTTATTGTAACAGGCTTATTAGGACACTATTAGTCAAGGGGAGACAGAGGCTAACCCATGGCATAAAAGCTTGGGTGAGCAAAGAATAGTAAGACTTGTGCTTTCAAAGGCATATGTGGGTGTCTGATTGATCCCCTGGGTTAAAGCTGCTCAGTTTTACCTTTCTATCCAATGGTGCCTACCACAGGGCCTGGCACTAGGGGTATGAGAATGTGAGGAGCTAAACTGCAGAATACATTTGGAAGAACTTCACTTCATTCCTACTGTTAACCACTCTTAAAATTACCAGGATAAAAATTAAAGAGCTGTTCTCATATTCCATCCAGGACATCATCTCTTTTTTGTCTAAATCTATTTTTTTTTTTAACAGGGTCTCACTCTGTTGCCCAGGCTGGAGTGCACTGGCACGATCTGGTCTTGGCTCGCAGCAACCTCTGCCTCCAGAGTTCAAGCAATTCTCCTGCCTCAGCCTCCCCAGTAGCTGGGACTACAGGTGTGCACCAGCACACCTGGCTAATTTTTGTATTTTTAGCAGAGACTGGGTTTCACCATGTTGGCCAGACTGATCTCAAACTCCTGACCTCAAGTGATCTTTCCGGCTAGGCCTCCCAAACTGCTGAGATTACAGGCGTGAGCCACCATGCCCAGCCTAAATCTCTTTCACAGCCAGGATCTGTTTTGTTTTGTACTCCATGTGCTCTACACTGGACCTATGTAAATGGGAACATGGTATGGGATGAAAACATTTCATGGACCAGAAGCCAACAGGCAAACTAACATGAGCCAGTGGAGGACACTTGGCAAGTTATTTAACTTTCTGAGCTTCTGTTTTTTCATCTGTAAAATGGAAGGAAAGAGTCATGGGTAAGAGCACCGACCTTGCAGGGTCTTTCTGAGGATGAAATAAAATAATGCATGTACACCTCCAATCCAAACAGTACTTGGCATACATAATAATGGTGCTTTGAAAGCCTGTGTGAGACTTCAGAGAAGGGCACCGCCCCAGGAAAAAATTCTTTTCTTATTTTGGTAACAGTGTGAGCTCGGAGATGGGCCACACTGGGTTCAAATCCCAGCTCTACATTTAGAATCTAACTTCTAGCCTTAATCTTTCATAATCTGCTACTCCCATTAAAAAAAGAGGTCTATCTAATGAAGAACATGGAGAAGATAATGTATGCACATACAGAAAGCACCTTAAGTGTATGGCACCCAGTGGAACTCAATGAATATTATTTTCTTTTCTTTTAAGCTCCTTGGTCTACGGTCCAATGCATAATTGCCTTATAAATAGATTCTTACTCATCAAATATTTTTATAGCGAGGCAAGCACCATTTCTGAACACAGAAAGAGCCACTTACAGACAAATCTCAACAGAATTGCCAATTCAAATTGTCTGGTTATACTCATTTAATCCAGTGTAGCTGGGTAACATATTTGTAAAACAAATCCTAATTTTCCTTATAAATCACAGAAATGAAATAGAAGTGACAATCTGTAACTTTTTTTTAGCAGAAGTGCGCTGTTTTGTTAGATATACTATGGAATGGCCCTGTGCAGGAGCTTTTCAGAAACAAAATATACTTCATGGTGAATACTCTAACAGATACATTTCAAAGTGTTTGGACATCTGGAACACCTTTTGATACAATTGTCTATCAGATTTACTTATTTCCAGTTCTGAAAAGGACAAAATAGTTTCTAGGATTTGGGGCTTTATAAAACTTGATCTGGGTGGATCTAGTGGAACAAAAATAATGCCTCCCCTAAACCTGAAAACAATTTTGTTAACTGGGTCATCACGGAGAAACTCATTCTTTTTAAACACGAGCCCACTTTTGGTTAGCAACCTGAAAAGTTTTGATGACTGCCAAGACAGGCCTTTCAATCTTGAACTCATCACCAAATGAATACATATCAAGAGCTTACAGTGCACATGGCAATGGATTAGTGCCACAGACATGGTACTGGACAAGACAGACTCTTCCACTTATTTAGTTACAGCTATGATAAATGCCATGCAGGAGGATAACCAAAGTAAGAGTCTCAGGGCACCAGATGTAGTCTGCGAGGTCCGAGAGGCCTGGCTTCCTAGAGGTAGTGATGCTTCAGCTGAGATGAGAATAGAAAGAACCATTGTCTAGTGATAAGCAAATCCTAAGTGCAGACAGAAAGGCTGTGGGCAAGAGGAGAGAAGTGGAAATTTTGCAGGTTATTTAGTGCAGAGTACTTGGTAAGATTGTTCCAGGTAGACAGAAGAGCAAGTGCAAAGGCCTGGAGGCAGAGAGGAGCTCAGGGGCACATGCATCGACTCTCAGAGACATGAGAAGCTGAAAGAAGAGGATGAAGGGGAGAAGAATCCAGGCAGGTGGAAGCCGGTAGGATCCAGAGCATGTTGGACCTTATAGCCAACCAAGAGAAATGGGACAGCATAGGAGGCTTGAGGGAGAGTGATAAAAGATACACATTTATAAGAGATTAATTCCTGATGCTAGGTAAAGAAGGAATTGAAGAGGAGCAAGAAGATTTGTAGAGGAAAGAGTTATGGTCCAGGCAAGAGTGTCTGAGACAAAGGCCAATTTTGCCCCTCAAGGGACGTTTGGCAATGTCCACAAATACTGTTGATACTACTTGGAAAGCGCTACTAGCCTCTAGTAGGTAGGTAGGTAGATGCCCGGGATGTTGCTAAACATCCTACAATGCACAGGTCAGCCTCCCACCCCCATCACCACTACCACCACCACCAACAACACACCCACACCCAAGAATTATCCATTCCAAAATGTTGGCAGTGCTGATTCAGAAACTCTGGTTTGGACCACGGTGGTCATTTGAGTGAGCTGGAGAGCTGTGAATAGATTCAAAATGTATTTAGGAGGTAAAATCCGCAGGATTCAAAGACAGACCGGATGGGAGGTTAAAGAACAAAAGGTATCGAGGATGTATCTCAAGTTTTTCAATCAATCCAAGGAAAGTTATGTCCAGAATTGTTCCTTTCCCAGAAAGAAAAGCAAAAAAGATGTTTGCTCTGGAGTGCTTTTGCTCTAAGAATCAGGGGGTAAGTCAGGATGGGAAACTGAGGCTGGGAGCAGAACTCTTTAACTCACTCAAGTGTAGCAATCCCAAGTCTGCTGCAGCTCAGATGTGGCCTCAGTGAGATCAGAGATGCCTGTCTAGGCTATGATTACCTGTCATTTAACTGCTAGGCAGTCTGGGTTTTTTTTGTTTTTTTTTTTTTGAGACGGAGTCTTGCTCTTTCACCCAGGCCGGAGTGCAGTGGCACTATCTCCGCTTACTGCAAGCTCCGCTTCCCAGGTTCACGCCATTCTCCTGCCTCAGCCTCCCGAGTAGCTGGGACTACAGGTGCCCGCCACCGCGCCCAGCTAATTTTTTGTATTTTTAGTAGAGACGGGGTTTCACCGTGTTAGCCAGGATGGTCTCGATCTCCTGATCTCGTGATCCGCCTGCCTCGGCCTCCCAAAGTGCTGGGATTACAGGCGTGAGCCACTGAGCCCGGCCTAGGCAGTCTGGGTTTTAAAATTTTATCCTGGTCTTAAGAAATTTAGGAAGGTGTTTAGACAATGACCAGTGAAACCATAACTGTGTGAAGACCAATACATGTTTGGTCTATATCTACCTGAGCGTAAGCTCTTCGTCTAGCTTAGCGGCTACTTAAAGGACCAGCATCATCTGGGAGCTCATTGGAAATGCAGAATATCAGGCCCCTGGCCAGCCCTAATGGATCAGAATCTCTAGGGGTGAGACTGAGGAATCTGTGTTAAGCTCTCCAGTGACTCCAATCACGCTAAGGCTTGAGAATCCTTAATATAGCTCACATGGTAGAACAGAAGAGACAACGTCTATGCTGGTACAGCACTAACAAACCCTAAGCGTTCAGCAGGTGTCAAAAAAACTGAAACCTAAGATAATTTAAAGAATGCCACATCATTTGTGCAAGTTCTAGGCTGCTGAAGAGCTGGTACTGAAAATCTGAGTGTTTCTAATCTCCTTCAGCTTATAACAGAGAAGCAAACATTAGGGCTTATTTTAAAAAGAAAATAAAAATGTTGCACATGAGAGTTTCCAGGACATATAAATCCTTCTGCCTTTTAGAAGAGAATAAACAGTACCCAGCAGGAGCAGAGAGCCGGCCCAATGAAATAAACAAGTTCTTAAACAGCTTCCAATGGGAGGAGTTTTATGGTTGACCCAGGAACAGCAAAAGCGTTCAGTAAGGGCCACTGAGGGTTAATTTCGGGGCAAGGAGAGACAGCAAGCTTCCCTAAGGCCTCAGCTGAGGCCAGGCTGGGTCTGAGGCCAGGGAAACTATCTAGGGCAGCTTCTGGGCCAGACCATCCTTTGCTGTTCTCAAGGCTGGCACTGAGGTTGGTAAAAGTTCCAAGCAGGGCTCCAACACCGGAACAAACCTTTCTCCGTAAGTTCAAAATCAACATCTTGTCTCTAAGCTTAACATCCTTCTTTATGCTACCCACTAACTCAACAGAGCCTCAAAAACATCCACAGTTTTGATTCAAGTATCATATTTTTGACTCTGAGGGAGATTTTACCCAAACACTCCAGAAAGAAAACAGAAAGTTAAGAAGAAATAATAAACTAGCTCAACAATAAATGATGCATAAACTCTGGGGCAGTGAATGGCTTATTTATAAATAAGCGTCACTTAAAACGACGAAGGAAGTCCAGATGACAGCATAAACAGCAGAAACTCGGGAACTCCTTCACCCTAAATCTGGCGCCTGATTGAAGACCAAGCTTTGCCCTCTGTTTTGGTGATTCGAAGGCTCACACCAGTCTTTTGTGTGCCTGTGAGGTCCTGGGCAAGCTGTGGAGCTGTAAATATTTGCCCTTCGCCCAGAGCTGGCCAGCTGCTGAGACTGCAGCTGACAGACAGGCCAGGGGCCAGGAAGGGGGGCCAGGTCGGAAAACTTGCAGGCCTGGTGTGCACGTAAGGAAAGGGGGCTGGGAGAGGGCAGAGAGAGGCAAAGCAGACACAGGCCCTTGGGGGAGCCTCGGGCAAATATTTTCCCCTTTCTGCCACACCATCTGGAGCAGGCAACCAGAGCGGTGGCAGCAGGCCCAGGCCCCTCCCCAGGAAGGCAGAAGTACCCAGCTGTTGAAAATGTGGCTTCTGCAATCAGGGAAACCAGTGGTTCTCAACCTGGGCGACTTTGCCCCTCCAGAGGACACTTGACAATATTTGGATTGTCACGACTTGGGAGGGAGGCCAAGAATGCTGCTAAACATCCTACAATGCACAGCACAGTACCTCCCCTCCCAACTAAGAGTTATGGGGCCCAAAATGCCAATATGCCCCAAAACTGAGAACTCTGAGGTAGAATCTGAGTCCGGCTCTGCTCCCTGAGTCACTACTTAATTTTGGACAAGTTATATAACTTCTCTGAGTCTGTTCCCTCATCTCAAAGGACAACATAGGTAATGCATGTAAAGTACTTCCTATTGTTGGTGGCACTTAATAAACACTCAATAAATGGTCCTTGTGGTTGCACTGAGGAGCAACATGATAGTTTATAGAACGTGGGCTGGAAAGATGGGCACGCAAAGGTTCAACATGCAGCTTTGCACCCAAAAGCTGTGACCCAGGCATGAAACTGCCCCTTAATGAGCCTCAGTTTTTTCATCTACTAAGTGGGAAGGGTCACACCAACCTCACTTGATTAAAAAGGAAATGACTGGGAAGAATGCAGCACCCAGCCTGGAGCAAAGTAAACCCTCGCTCAAGGGGACCGCTCAGGTGGAGATGTTAAAAATAATTCTAGGTAACACTTGTTGAGCATTTATTTACTCTCTGCCAGGCACAGTACGAGGCCCTTCTACTAAACTCTCTCCCTGAAGCCTGACAAAAACCTTTCGCACTGAGGGAAACTGAGGGATCTGGGAATTAAGCCAGAAGCTCACCCAGCTGGTCAGCAAAAAGCCCAGATTTGAAAACAGTTTTAACTCCAGAGGACTCACACTTAATTATTACTTTATACTTGTTGGGGGCAGAGTGCTCCTTTAATTCTTTCTGAAATCCCTGGATGAATACCTCAGGGGTGCCTGGCTGTGTTTTTACTCTGTATACCACGTCTCTAGGGACCATAGTTTCCAACTTTAGAGAGGTTAAGCAGCTTGCTCAAGGTCAGCCAGCTAGTTGGCTGCAAAGCCCACGCTTGCATCCAGCTTTTACCCCAGAGGCCTCTCTTCTGATATCCTTCTTAACTTAATCTACACTGGCTGTGGGTTCCCTTTATTTTTTTTTCTGGAATCCTAGAGGATGCACGGATACAATTCACCCAATGTGTCCATCTCTCCTCTCCTAAGTGTCAGTCTATAGGTTTCTGACCTCTAGAGGGTAAGCAACTTGCCCGAGATCCCCTAGCTGGTCTGAGCAGCAAAGCCTTTGAACGCAGTTTTGACTCTGGAGCTGCATTCTTCATTCTTATCCTACACTTGCTTGTGAATTCTTTTTCGTCCTTCCAGAATCCCTGAAGCTGTACAGCTATACTTTACCGGTTACGTCTAGACTATAAAGGACCACAGTGTTCCACCTCAGGCAGGTTCAGCGACCTGCAAGTAGTGATACAGCTGGTAAGCAGTGGAAGAAGAGGGAGGAAGCAAGGATGTTCCCGGGAAGCTCGGGGCATCCCTGTACCCAAAGGGATGGGGCGGGGCCCTGGGTCCCCAGGGATCCTGGCTGGAGGTCGGGGCGGGCAGCAGGCGCCTACCTTGCCGCCGGGCGGCGCGGCCACGCAGCGGCTGAGCGAGTCGAGGCGCGCGCTGTATTCGGTGAATTTCTTCTGGTAGCGCAGCGCGGTCATCTGCAGCTCAAGCTGCGCCGCGGCCAGCTGGGCCACCAGCGACTTCTCGCGCTTCCCAGCGCGCAGCGCCTCCTTCTTGAGCGCCTTGTGCAGCGCGCCCAGGCGGGCCTGGAGCGCGCCGTTGTGCGCCCGCAGCGCTCGCGCGCAGCAGTGGCCGCCCGCGCGCTGCTCGCCGTGCGTCAAGGGTAGCCCGCAGCCCTCCTGGCAGCGGCCCACTGGCCGCGCGTCGCAGGCGTCGCGCATGTGCGCCTCCACGTCGCGCCGCAGCAGCACCTGGCCGCAACCCGCGTGGCGACAGCGCGCGGGCGCGAAGTCGCAGCGCTCGAGGTGCTCCGGCAGCTGCTGCAGCTTGACCACCCGGCCGCAGCCGCGCGTCGCGTACGCGCACTTGATGTCCAGCTTGAGGATAAGGCGCTTGAGCGGCAGGACGTGGTTGAGCTCTTTGGCCGACAGGCGACCGCGGCAGCGCGCCGGGCAGCTGCCCTCCTGCACCACCCAGGGCAGCACGCAGCCGGCGCAGAAGACGTGGCCGCACGGCGTGGTCAGCGGGTCCTCCAGGACCTTGTGGCACAGCGCGCACTTCAGGTCCGGGTCCACGTCGCCGTCGAAGCGGTCCAGCTCGAAGCCCATGGTGGCGGCCAGGCCCCGGGGTCGCCGCCGGGCGGCCGGGCGCCCCCTCCCTCCCCACGAGGCGGCCCAGACAGGCCGGCTACGCCGCCCGCGCGCTCGCTGGCTCTCCCCGGACTGAGCCTAATTGATCCAGACTTCCTCGGAAAATGCCCGAGGAACAGGACTCCTCCGGCCGTATTTGCGCGAGCGCGAGCGCACATACATCGTGCCTTGGATGCCTCCCGCCAGCCCCCCGAAAAAGGGAGGAGGCTGGAAGGCAGAAGCGCGTGGGAGGACACTGAGGCTCGCCAGAAGGGACGGGCCAGCCCAGGACGCCAGCCTGAATCTTCTCGGGAAACTCCTTTCTGTTCTCTTACAGTCTACGCTATAGGAGACAAAACGCCAGCCGAGAAAAGCTCGCTGAGTTTGGAGCTGAGGCTACTGCTTTCTCCCAAGGGTTCTCTTCGAGCCCCTTCCCGAACGGATCAAAACTTTTTTACTCCCTTCTCCCTCCCCCTTCCTCTAGTGGCTGATTGCAGAGGACTAAAAATATCTTGGGGCCCGCTATCTCAGCACTTACGGTCTTTATTTATTTATTTCATTCCAGGGAAAGTTACAGAGCCTGCGGGAAGCTCCGGCTGCAACTTCAGTTCTGACCAGAGGTTCTGTGAACCTTCAGGATTTAGCAGGTTTCCAGGACCGGTGGGTGAATCTACCCGGGGAAGTTTTGGTGGACAAGAGCTGCTCGCCAGCTGTCGGAGTGGGAGAGGCCAGCGTGCTGGCTCCATCCACTTCACCTAACACCTCTGAAGTGTCTGCCCTGCAGTGTGGCAAGCGTGGTGCTGAGCGCTTCTAAATCCGTCGCTTTAAAGATCATTAGTACAATGTTGTGAGAGGGTTAGCTCCATTTGAAAATTATTTTCCCGTGATTACAAAAGAAGCGATGCTGACTGCAGAAGTTAGAACTGGGAGAAGACTCATCACCCCCATGATCATGTCAACAACTGCCCTCCTTCAGTTTTGGTTTGTTTTGTGTGTACACTCTGTCATCTTTCCATTGAGGAAACTCAGGCTAGAAGAAGGATAAAAACAAAACAGAAAACAAAACAAAACAAAAGTGCCCTGTAGGGTCCTGTAGGTCAGTGTTTCTCACATTTTAATGTGGTTGCGGTTCTGATACAGTGGGTCTGGGGCGGGTTCTGAGAATCTCCATACTGAAAGCACTTCCAAGTGATGCCAATGCTGCTAGTCCATGCTGGTCCTTGGATTCCCACTTGATTGGAAAACCCTGGCGATCCATAGATCTGGACATTCATTCCCTGCAGTACAGCAAACCTGGCTGGGTAGGATTCAGCAACAGTCCTGAGCAATGGAGGAATATTTTTGGAATTCCAAACTGGGTGTAAAGTTCATAGCATCATCCATTGATTTTATTTTATTTTATTTTTACCTCCCAAGGCTATAGACATTCCTAAGAAACACGCAGTCAGCTTTTGGTGAGAGTGGAATCAAGCTATGGAATTCTCATTTGGAATCTGCTTCCAGTTTCTGAACAGTGAAGCGGGAGAGTTCTGAACAGTAAAGCAGGAGCTCTGTATTCAGCGAGACTCTGGGGCCTGGAAAGTGGGATTACAGCATCCATTTTGTCTAATTGCTTTCCTTCTTTCTTTTATGTGGCTGCTAAAGCCCCATGACCTTCACTATTTAACTGCTTCATCAGAGTGAAAGAATTGCCTTGATGTTCATAAGGATTACTTGTTTCACACTGACCTTTAAAAAGTTGTCACTCACTAGATTTTTCAGTGCATGGTTGAGGTCACTGGACAGTGTTCTTTAATCAGTTTTGGTGGCATTTGTTGCCTATTTGAGGTGGAGACTTTCTTTTAATTGCTTTAATCAATTAATGCATTGCTTTGATAGGATTCTGCATGGGGTGGAATATTATTGGCCTTTGTTCAGATAAGCTTGTGCCAGGGAATCCTCCATCAGTATATTCATTAAACTGCTCATGGGCTCTCAGATAATGGGTAGGAAACAAATTCTTTCACCAAAGGTGTGTGGGCTTGTCAGTTTCACAGAATGAGCTAGTGTCAACAGGGTGATAATCTTCAAACCAAACTGGTTTTGAGAAACAGAGAAGTTCTGTCCTACACCATAAATGTAAATTAGTGCTTACTTGGGGTGTACACTTTTTTGGAGATGTTCTACCACCCCTCGGGTGGTCTCCCAGATGGCAGATTGAGAGGTTGTTGCTGAAATGCTACAGCTGAGGCCACAGAGAAGCCATAGCCTACTGTGGATTGGCCTCTTTAGGCAAAAGGAAAGTCTGTGCCACTCCTCAATGGTTAATTTTAGTATCAAAATTCTTGGAGGTTAGAAAAAAAATCCTACAATGTCAGAGCTGGCAAGACTATTATTTCAGTCACCAAACTTAACAGGAGAAACGAGAGCCAAAAATATTAGGAAAAAGGAGTTGAGGGCAGAGTTACTCAACCTTGGTACTACTGACATTTTCATTCAAATAATTATTTGTTGTGGTGTGTGTGGGGGTGGGGGGTTGGTTATCGTCTGCATTGCAGGATATTTAGGAGCATCTCTGGCCACTATCCAATAGACATAGTAACAACCCCTTGTTGTGACAACCAGGTTGAGAACCACAGTTTTAAGGAAGCTTTCTGCTCATTACTGAAGTCAGGCAATGCTGTCAGCCCACATTTTCTGCTGGCTGTGGAACCACCTGGTGAATGCTGCACAGTGAGAGAGGGATGTTATTATAAATCGAAAACTCAAGGCACCATACCAATAAACATGAATAAAAACTGTAGGAAGATGAATGTTTGGTGTGGCAGGCCTCCTGAGAAAAGTAGCTGATTTTTCTGACATGGATTAGATACTTACTCAACCGTCCCAGAAACATCTGAGTGTTTATATATGGATGAATTCCTTGTGGACAGCTGGATTGGTCACTTTGCAAATTATTTTTGCGACTTCCACTACCTCTTGCTCTTACCCCTTCCTTTTATCATCTGATTCTGCACTTTCTAACCAAAATGTGGCCCCAAGCCTAATAAAAATACTATTTCTATATTCACCACGATCCCATTCTGATTTTAAACTCTGTTTTTAGTGTTCTTTCCATCAGCATGTTTAATCAGAAGTTGATAATAATATCTACCACTTTTTTGGGAACTGTTACTAGGTATCAGGCACTGTGCTCAGCACTTGACCTTCATTGTCTCATTAATCCTCACTGCACATAGAGAGGTAGATATGTTGTCCACCCTGTTTTACAGATGGAGAGACTGAGGTTTATAGAGGTTACATAAGATATCTAAGTAGGCGTAGGTACCTTATAAGGTTACATAAGGTATGCCTCCAGTCAGGGATGTCAACAGGAGAATTTCAGAACCCTCACTCTTAATCACCATAAGCATTATGCGTCTCCTCCATAAGCTCCAGCTCAGGAGGCACTCCCTTACAAATGATATGGATAAGAACTCCACCCCTCCATGTTTGCTGGTTATCAATCCTCAGCTGCTCGTAGGGTCTGGATAATTTGTGGCTTCAGTACTAGAAAAAACAAACAAAAAGAAAGTCAAGGGTTTTTACATTTGTTTTTTAAATTTTCTTCCCCAGGCGTACATATTTGTATTCTACTAGCTAAAATAGCACTATACAATTAGATAAGGATCTGCTTTTACCAAATGAAAGTACCACCAGAGCGTAATAAGGTACAGCAGTCATCCACAAAAACAAGTGTGAAACATTTCGGTCAGACTGCTTGCCTGTTAACATAGCCAATGTTAGCCATCCTGGAGCCTGACACATTCGTTTGGCCATGGGTTGAAAGGTAGGGAGAAGAGAAGGTAGTTCTCTATTCTGGAGACTTTTGAAGACTTTGGTAAGTCAGGATGAGTTATCACAGTAGGGACACTAGGCAGAAGAACAAGAATTGCGAAAATACTTCTTACAAATTTGAGCAAATTCTGGTCTGCAAAAGTCTGGCTCTCCTTTCCCAACTCTCCAGATGGGATTAGTTTCCACAGCCCCAAGCACATACCCTTGTATAACAATGATCACACTTGAAATGTCTTAATTTATCTAATAATTATTTAGTAGCTATTATATGCAAAGAAGAGGCTGTTCTTGCACTGGGGCTACAAAGGCTACCAAAAATAATAAGCAGTGTCCCTCCCCTCTTAAGCCTTCATTTCACGATAAGGAACAGCAGATATCAATAAATGAATAATAAATGAGATGATTATGGAATATGATAAGTTCCCTAATACAGTGCTGCTCAAAGTGTGGTCTGGGGACCAGAAACATGGGCATAACCTGGAAGCATGTTGAAAGTGCAGAATCTCAGGCCGCACCTTGGACCTACTGAATCAGAATCTGCCTTTTAGCAAGATCACCAAGTGATTTGTGTGCACTTAAAGTTTGAGAATCACTGCTGTCAACACCATAAAAGCAGCTTACATGCTGGAGAAAAATCAAAGGGGCCCATTTGAAATAGGGCTGTCTGGGGAGGGGAAGTGTGAGTTGTCGCTTGAAGGGTGAGACTGAGCCAGCAATAGCTGGGAGAAGAACAATCCAGGCAGAACAAGAGAAAGTGCTGAGGTTCGAAGCAAGCACATGGTCTATTTGAATTAGACAGAGTGTGCCTAGAACTTGGAGCAGAGTAAGCCGAGCGAAGAAGAATCAAACAAGGGTAAAAAGTAGGCGAGAACCAAATGGACACGGGCCTGCAGGACCTGTGGAGGAAAGAGATTGAATTGATTCTAGTGCTGATTGGCACTGAAGTATTTTGGGCAGCAGAGGAGCACAGCTTGATCAATGTCTAGTGTCCATGCCACATATTACACTCTATTATAGAGTAGGGCAATCGTGTTCACGTTCTGTCCCCCATGTTTAACACTTAGTAGAAACGTAATAAATATTGAACAAATAACTGTTCCCTCTTCCTGCTCCATGTAAGTTCCTGCTGCTCAGCTCTTAAGCGTGGGTTGGTACTACCAGCATGAGGTATATGTATCACAGTATGAGTTAAATAGGCCTCTGTGTCCTAGTTGGAGTACCTATCAACATTTAGAACATTGTTCCCATAACAAAATCAATTCAGAATTATGAACAGCCAACTCCCACATGAATAAGTAGATCACTATCTGGTTGCGAATTGGTAGGCTTTGTATAGACTATGCATGTGTATATATACATATAAATGTTCACATACATACCTATGTATTTATAAACATACATGTACGTGCATACATACATGCATGTGGAACAAAAAAATTGTTTAGCTGAGCATAACAGAACATCCAAATAACCATGGAATAAACTAGTTAGAAATTAATCTCTCTCTCAAGTGAAAAAATATGAGCCATTGTTAGCAGGCTGAGGCTGGTATAGTGGCTTCCAGGTCACCAGGGACTCAGGATTCTTTTCTCTTTCTGCTCCACCATCTGTAGGGCCTGGCGTCTATGCTCATTTCATGGAGCGAGATAGCTGCTGCACAGCCAACCATTCCAGGCAGAAAAATGGAGGAAGAAGGGGCAGGCCAACCTGATTAACCTAGGGGAAGTAGCTTAACTTAATCAGGTTGGCCTGCCCCTTCCTTCAGGAGCTTTTCTGGAAGCTCCACCCAACTACCTTCTCTTGCATCTCAGCAGCAACAGAATTTATGAAATGTACTCTTTTACAAAGGCACATTGCTTCCTGGAATATTAATAGGTTCTACCCTAAGATATCACTTTTTGCATCCACTATGACGACCTAAGACAAAAAGAGAGACAGTAACAAGTGTTGACAAGGATGCAGAGAAATTGGAATCCCCACATGTTGCTGTTGGGATTGTAAAATGGGGCAGCCACTTTGGAAAATAGTTTGGCAGTTCCTCAGAATGTTAAATATTGAGTGACCATATGACCTAGGAGTCCCTCTCATGGAGAGAACTGAAAACACATGTTCACCCCAAAACTCATACACAAATGTTCATAGCAGCATTATTCATAATAACCAAAAAGTTGAACCAATCCAAATATCCACCAACTGATGAATGTATAAACAAAAGGTTGTATATCCATGCAATAGAATACCATTCACCATAAAAAGAAATGAAGTACTGATTCATACTACAACATGGATTTATATTGAATACATTATTCTAAGTGAAAGAACAAATGAGAGACCACATGTTTATTATTCCATTTATATATAATATGTAGAGGTAGAAATTAGATTAGGGCTTAGCAAAAGCTTGGGGAAGGGGGAAATGGGGAATGACTGCTAATGGGTAGAGGTTTCTTCTTTGCACATGATGAAAATGTTCTAAAATTAATTGTGCCAATGGTTACCTAACTCTGTGAATATACTAAAAAACACTGAATTGTACTCTTTAAAACGGTGAATTTTGTGGCATATGAATTACATCTTGATAAAGCTATTCTAAAAGTGCAAAAATGGTAGTAGGGTTCTGTTAATAAGGAAGAAGGGGTTGATGGCTATTAGATACACAAGTGTCATTCTCCATTTGTCTAGATACATTCATAAGCTATTTTTGTTTTCAAAATTATTTGTATTAAAGTAGGGTTTATTTTCCTGTTCATGCTAAAGGCTGCATGTTTAAAGATTACTGAATTAAATTGCATTCAGACTCTTTTTGGCTGCAAGTTTCTGAAGCCCAATTCAAAGTGAATAGGAATTTTTAAAATGGAAAGAATAGGCCACATCATTAAAAAGTCCAGGAAGTAAAGTGACTTCAGGCATGGCTGCATCCAGGTGCTCACATGAACACATTAAGAATCTGCTCTGCTTTCCCTTGGGTTAGCTTCCTTCTCAGGCACTCTCCCCACATGGTTATACACCTTCTGCAGTCCATATTTGCATCTCACTACCTTATCATCCCTAGCACAAAGAGCACTGTTTTCCTAATAGTTCCAATAAGTGTTCAAGGCATGACTCCTGACCTGCCTTAGGTTATCTGCCAACTCCTGAGCCAGGGAGTGGAAACATTCTCACCCAGACCACAGGAAATGAAGGTAAGGGAATGAGGGGTTTCCCACAAAGAGATGCCAGAAAGACAAAAAAAGTATGTCCACTATAGTCTTATTACAAGAGTCATCAGTAGTCATCACCCTCTTCCTTCAGCTAAATCACATGAAAGGTACAGTTTCTGAAGTGGAACTTAAAGTTTGAAAGTGTAAAAGATATCTGTAATGTTGGTCAGTGTTGCATCCCCAGGACCAGGGATGTTGTTTGGCTCCTACCGGCCGCTCAATAAACGTGTTGATTGGCTTTGTAATTTACCCATATATTTCCTGGTCCTAACACACTTTTTGGTTCTTAAACCTCAGAGATACTTGGTTATTCCTAAGGTGAAAAAAATCAAGCCATGACATCTGAAGAGTATAACTTATGATTACATGAATTCCTCTGTCAAAAATAAGACAACTTAATCATCACAAATGCATGGGAAGTTATAAAATCATAAAAATACATATATATACATACAGGCATACGTATATGTACACATACATAGAAATACACACAAGCACTAATTTCATTAATAACTAATTTGGAAAAGCTGCTTTTCCAATATTTAAGTATCAATTTACAGTATGTTCCTTAACATAAACAAGCTCTTTAAAGTCCTTGCAGCTCAAGCCTGTGATCTAGGAACTCATTAATTTTAATTTTTCTCCTGGCACCTTCTACTGCACTCTCATTTACTCGGTCTGTAAAATTATGATAATAATAATCCATGTTTAGGTAGCATACAGTAATAATTGTTAATTAACTAATTTTTATATGTAGAACCCCCTGAAGATTTTACACAAGTGCTGAGTATTATTATTTTAGGGTGGTGGTACAGATTCAACTTTCTGTTTTCAAGTGAGACAGGTCACACTCAAATATTGCATTCTCTTCAGGAATGGAATATTATAAACTGCTTCCATGGGCCATCCCATTGCTGACTGATTTGACATGTGAAACCCTGCAGTATGATAGCACTTTCTCTTGATGCCTAGAGCCTCAAATACCCAGAACTGTGTTCAGTGTTTCATCCAAGGGGGCCTCTTTACAGTAAAATATAAACTGCTTTGGCAGGGACATCAGCTGACACAGACCTGAACACAGATGATGCAGTGTTGCAGCTCTCAAAACTAGTGACTTCCGGAGAGCCTCCTGCCCATAATACATAGCACACAATGCTTTCATTTAAATGTCATTTGATTGTACTAAAAAATTAGGCTTGCCCTTTGTTTTGTTTTGTTTTTCTGTTGCTGTTTTTTTTTTTAATCATTTTTATGACAAAAGAATAACATCTTTTCTTCTGGGAGGGCTTCAGGCAGAACATTTTTCAGATGTCAGCCAACCAAGAGAAATGTGACATTCCTGTTCTTTGAAATCGTGTCCTGAGACTGTGGTTTTGGTACCCAGATCAAACTGGCACTTGGCAATGAAAAAGCCAGAACAAAATATTAACAAAACTGGTCCTACAGTGGTATGGTGTTTCTAGGATAATCGTTTGTTATATTTTAACAAAGTTCACTTTAACCTTTCATTCTATTTTCATTGTTGTACAAGAACAGACACGTAACGTTTCACAAAGCTGGCTATGAACTTCTACAGGGACAAAAAGTAATCGTGGAAAAAACTTCAGCAATGGTAATATTTTTCTATACAGGTAAAATGGAAAATGTGTCCAAATGCTGGCATACTCTCTGTAATTTTGGCAAACATCACACTCCATCTTGACAGAATATAAAGAGCCTTAGAAGTGGAATCCAGAAAGATGAAAGGACTTGAAGGACAGTGAGTCAGTTTGTCATTGGTGGGAATCTTCGTAGTAACTTATAATTTATCTGTGGGTTGTGTAAGCTTACAGATGAAGATAAAGCTGGAATCAGAGAGCTCCTACTGATTTTCCCTCTATTCTAAGTTTCTGATGGTTCTTTAAACTAGAGGAAGTGTTTCTAACTTTTGTAATGTATGTTTTTTGTTTTTGTTTTTGTTTTTCCAGAAGGGTCATAACTGCCTAGCCATGATGGGGATTAACCAGTTTACAAATGGAATGGGGTAGGCAGGGATGAAGCGTGATGGTCTGAAAATTGCACACAATTCCAGAGACTAGCAAAGACTTATGAGTATCTTCTGGGCAGAGCCAAAAGATGCTCCACATTCCATACTTTAATTGGGAATGACGCATTTTTTTCTCCTTGCAGAATTCACCCCATGGATAGACTTCTTATCTTGGTTTTTTGGCATTTGATAAAAAAATCATTGAATTAAGCAAATAGTATATATGGTTAAACCAACCCTGAGTCATTGAATAAGACGAGTCTGTTCATTAGAAAGAATTTCATCAAAGAAACAATATGTATGATTGTGCTCTGCATCAGGGTTGGCAGGCTTTTTCTGCAAAGAGCCAGATAGTAAATACTCTCAGCTTTGCGGGCCATGTGGTCTCTGTCACAACTCTTCAGATCTGATGTTGTAGCACAAAAGCAGCCCATGGACAATATGTAAATGAATACATGTGGCTGTGCTCTAATAAAACTTTATTTTCAAAAGGGCTGGATTTGGTACATGTGCCTTAGTTTGTCTTAGTTTCCGCAACTATCTATGAATATGCTGCTTTTCTGGCAAGACAAAATGATTAGAACTTCAGACTACTGAGGCCATGGTAACAAAATAGACTAATATGGACTTTATAATAAATAGATGCTCAATAAATGATTGTACAATCAGCTTGGGGAATATAGGGAGACCCTATCTCTACAGATAATTTTTTAAAAATTAGCCAAGCATGGTGGCACCCACCTGTGGTCCCAGCTACTTAAGAGTCTGAGGTGGGAGGATCAACTGAGCCCAGGAGGTCGAGGCTGCAGTGAGCCATGATCATGCCACTGAACTCCAGCCTGGGTGTCAGAGTGAGATCCTGTCTCGAAAGGAAAAAAAAAGATTGTTTAAAGGAGACAGTAGTGCTGTATGAACTTGGGAGTGAGAAAAACCTACATTCAAATCCTGATTCTACTACCTATTGGCTGTACAACCTTTGCAAGTCACTCATTTCACTTGAGTTTCTGTAAAAGGGAGATATTATTAGTATCTGCTTCATAGAGTTGAGCTAGATTAAATGGAAACACAGGTAAAGTGCTTGGCATAGTGCAGGGCACACACTGAGCTGAATAACATTAAGACTAAATGAATGGCTGTAAGGAGGATGGGATTGCCTATGCTTCCTGAAGCCATCACCCACAAACCAGGCCCAGGCCCAGATGCTCTGCCCTGGAGCCATGGAACTCAAAGATACCAGGGATCTACAATCAAGCGTTGCTCAGCAAAGGGGATGCGTCCTAAGAACTATTAGGCAGTTTCATTGTTGTGCAAACATCATAGAGAGTACTTGCAAACCTAGACGGTAAGGCCTACTGCATGCCTAGGCTATAGGGTATAGTCCACTGTTCTTTGGCTACAAACCTGTACAACATGTATTGTGACACAATGGTAAGTATTTATGTTTCTGAACACAAAAAAGATACAGTAAAAATGCAGTATAAAAGATGAAAAATGGAACACTTGTATAAGGCACTTACTCTGGAGCTTATAGGACTGGAAGTTGCTCTGGGTGAGTCAGTGAGTGAGTGGTGTGTGAATTGAAGGCCTAGGACATTACTGCAGACTTTATAAACACTGTACACTTAGGCTACACCAAATTTTTAAAAATTTCTTTCTTCAATAATAGGTTAATCTTAGTTTACTATAACTTTTTTACTTTTAAACTTTTTAATTTTTTAAAACTTTTAGACTCGTAATAGCTTAAAACACAAACACATTATGCAGCTGTACAAAAGTATATTCTTTCTTTATATCCTTATTCTATAAGCTTTTTCTTATTTTTAATTTAAAAATTTTTGTTCTTTTAGACTTGTTGTTAAAAACCAAGACACAAAACATATTATCCTAGGCCTACACAGGGTTAGGATCATCAGTGTCACTGTCTTCCACCTCTACATCTTTTCTCACTGGAAGGTCTGCAGGTGCAATGACATGCCTGGAGCTGTCCTCTCCTATGATACCTATGCCTTCTTCTGGAATTCTTCCTGGAGGTCTTGCCTGAGGCTGTTTTATAGTTAACTTAAAAAAATAAGTAGAGTCCGGGTGTGGTGGCTCACACCTGTAGTCCCAGCACTTCGGGAGGCCGAGGCAGGTGGATCATGAGGTCAAAAGATCAAGACAATCCTGGCCAACATGGTAAAACCCCATTTCTACTAAAAATACAAAAATTAGCTAGGCGTGGTGGCATGAGCCTCCCAGCTACTTGGGAGGCTGAGGCAAGAGAATTGCTTGAACCCAGGAGGCGGAGGTTGCAGTGAGCTGAGATCATGCCACTGCACTCCAGCCTGGCAACAGAGCAAGACTCCGTCTCAAACAAAAAAAAAAAAAGAAAAAAAGATGTAGAAGGAGTACACCCTAGAATGACAATAAAAAGTACAGTTTAGCAAATACTAGGCTATAGGAAGTTTTTAGCTCCATTGTAAACTATGGGACCATTATTGTGTATTCAGTCCATGGTTGGCAGGAATGTCATTATGTGGCACATGACTAGTTATGGGCTATAGATATGGAGGGAGAAATGGAGTGATATTAAGAAGCAGTTTTCTGGCAAATTTTGCCATAAAGGAATTAGAGGACAAAAGATAAGAAAAGACCATATCAGAGTTACATGTGAATCATCTGTCTCTTGTAGTTATTTATTATTCTGTTTATTAGCCAGTTAATCACTATAACGATTTTGACAGCACGTGAAACAAATGAAGATGCAAAGAACGCGAAGTCCTCTCTCTTTAGAAAAAGAAATGGTGCCAATAGTCTTTCAGGCAATTCCTCGAAAGTGAATAACTAGACGTCATTGTCTTTCAAAGCTAAATGTGTCCACCATGCTAACTAAAAAACGAAAGGAACTTTGCAGGAACCCTATAACTGAGATTGCCAGTTAAGATGCCCTCATTACTAAAAATGTGTTTTTAACAAATGAGGAAAACATTTGTTCATCCTTTGTTTACAGGGACCAACTGGAGGCAGCAATTGGAGAGCTATTTGTTTGAGGAAGTCATAAGTTCATGTCTTATTCACCTCTGTGTCCCCAAGATTGAGCATGGTCCTTGGCATAGAGTAGATGTTCAATAAGTGCCCATGGCATTGTTGACTGAAAGAAGAGAAGGTGCCATGGCTTTCTCAGACTTCCAAGGGCACAGACACACAGGTCTGGAGCATTCTGCTATTCAAAGCCCTTTCACAGTGCTGAGGGGCATATTGGAGACAGAAAGTGATTGCATCATATTATATGCTTGGCATAATTACACCATAGGCTTTTGTCTCCCTTGGTGCCTGCCAGTCTCAAAACACATGTCACATCCTCCCTTTGCTTATGTCAAGCACTGGGGTTGCCCACTCATTACATTTGGGACTTGTGAACTCTATGTCTATATCCTGAGTCACTTAAGCCTGGAGTTCCATGCTTGGGAGAATCAGGATGGCTTTTGTCCAAAGAAGATGACAAATAATGGGCATTTGAGTCCAGAAGGAAAAGACAAAAGTAGCAGACAAGGACCAGCTGAGGCTGAATCAGATCCCCAATGTGGACCGTGCTGATAGAGATCATTTCCTAGTTTTCTCTTAGCTTAAAAAAATTATGAATAAAGCTGCTTTTCCTTAAATCTCAAAGTGGGAGTTTAATCTGTAGGATGCTATAGACTCTCCCTTCTAAATCTCTCTCCCATCCATTTACTTCATTCCTTTGCCACCATCCTCATTCAAGCCACCATCTCTCTTTCCTGGAAAATGGATGCTTTTCAAAGTAGCCCCACCCCCCATCCCTGCATGACCCTTGCATTTTATTCAGCACACTGCTGCCAGAAAGGTCTTTTTAAAATGGAAAAATGGTCCAGAACCACCCCCTGCTTAAAGCTGTTTAATAGGTTCCCATTTCTCTTAAGAGAAAAATTGTCATCCTGCATTTCACTTCTAAGACTGGGCATGATCTCACTCTGCCTGTTTTGCCAGCCTCATTCTGAGTTCCTTCTACTTCTGCATCCAGCAATTAAAGACACTGCCAATTGTCCCCCAATAGCCATTCTTCCGTGTGTGTGTGTGTGTGTGTGTGTGTGTGTGTGTGTTTTAAATAAAACAAGCTGAGTTTTCCCTAGGCCTGTGATGACCCATCCAAAAACTACACCACTTCCAGCCTTTCAGAGTTCTGACCAATAAGTCACAAGCAGAAGTGATGTAGAAAACTTCCATGTTGTTCCTTAAAAGGGAGGAGGCCTACCCTCTGCTCCAACTCTTGTCCCTCCTACTGGCTAGCATGCAGACCAAGCACATTTGACAAGGCAGGGGTCCAAACGATAGCCCACAGGCCAAACTC
Organism: Homo sapiens; assembly: GCF_000001405.40. Taxonomy (NCBI): domain Eukaryota; kingdom Metazoa; phylum Chordata; class Mammalia; order Primates; family Hominidae; genus Homo; species Homo sapiens. The sequence continues at coordinate 73,638,237 of NC_000003.12, forward strand.
ATCCCACTACCTGTTTATGTAAATAAAATCTTACTGGAATACAGCCATGTCCATTCCCTTAGGCATAGTCTGTGGTTACTTTCACAGTAAAAGGTTAGAGTTGAGAAGTTGCAAAAGAGACCATCTGAACTACAAAGCCAAATATTTCCAATCTGCTCCTTTACAGAAAAATTTTCCAACCCCTGTCCTAGGAGATGCAGACCAATATGATAGAAGGAGCCTTGGTTTACGGCAGTTTAGAGCTGGCCATATTAGTCAAAACAGCCCTTTTGGGACGTTAAATCTAAAAAGTAAATCTATCTTGTTTAAGCCTCTGCATGTGGGCTTCTGTTGAAGAGTTCCTCAACCTCAGCATTATTGACATTGTGGATCTGATAATTCCTTGTTTTAGGGATCTGTGCTGTGCATTGTGCGATGATAAGCAGCGTGCTTGGCATCTACCCATTAGATGCCAACAGAATTCATCTTCTAGTTGTGACAACTAAAAAATGTCTCCAGACATTGCCAAGTGTACCTTGGGGAGCAAGGTCACCCCTGGTTGAGAATTACTGTGTTAGAACAACCTAAACAGCTATGCCGGGCTTCTCACTCTCCTCAAGCATGCCAGGACCTCCCCCAATCACTCGGGACTCACACGTGCTGTCTCCTTTGCAGAAATGCTCATACCCCCTTCTCCCTTAGCTATCTCCTACTTAACTTTCACATGTCACCTTCAACATCACCTTTTCAGGGAACCTCCAGTGATCCTCTGACTAAATGAACACTCTAACAGTTGCCTCTAATGTTCCTATGTAGCAATATTGTGATTACTGGTATAATGTTCACCACTCATAGGCACACATGAAGTCCCTCAGTAAATGGTTGTTGACTGGCTTACTATGTGCCATTGTAATTTTCAGGGGAAAGCAATTTTTAGGGGAAACCACAATTACTTTTGCACTAAGCCAACAGTTATGGTAGAGGAGGCAAACATGGGTCTTACCATGGTACTGACTGAGGGGAGAGGCATTCATATTTCTCATTAGAAAATGAGGGAGAAGCAGCCAGGGAGAAATAGAGTCTCTTATGTCCCAGAATTCCCATAAGCCAAGGGACCTGCCTTCCCTTAGCAGGCCAGAACATCTGCAAAAGTTGGTGCATTTCTGTATTTCAGAGCAACATATGGATTTATACTTTGCCTTTGGTTTTGAAATCATTTGCTTTTTAGCCCTGCACTTTTCAAGCTAAGCTATATGTGATATGATTTATTAACCCTGTACTACCCTCTGCTAAGTAAAGTTGAAAATAATCCCTAGGATCACATTTTACATTCACATGCAGATAAATATGTGAACCCTACATTACCCAGTCCCTGCCATTCTCTGAGGCAAGAGGTGAAACATTCCGACAGGTCTGTGTGCTTCCTTAGCACAGGGCCATAAGGAGAGACGTGTGTGGTCTACTTAATACCTTTAACTTACTTTCTTTTTCTCTTCAGTCAATTAGATTTTGTCTTCTCTCTCAACCCCTCTTGTCAGACTTCTGAGCCTGCAAAGCAAAAACCTCTTTCTTTGTCAAGATCCTGAGAATTCTGTAAGTGAACCTGGATACTGTAATAAAGGGACCCTCTTTTTCCTCCCTTTCTGGGACATACACTAGTTGTATGTGTGTGCACATGTGTGTGCTAATGGTTGCAAGAGATATTTTACCAACATACCAAAAGCATGTATTTTGGAGTCAGATCTGGTTTTGAGACTTATTTCTACCAGTTATTACAATGCTAGGAATACTGTAAGAAATTACATGATCTCTCTGAGCCTTAGTTTACTTACCTTTTAAATGGGGCTAACAATACTTACTTCAAGGTAACATTGTGTGAACTGAATTACACAGCACCTTGCACATAGTAAGCATTTTATGAATATTAGTTATTTCTATGATCCATTCACTCTGTCCTCCTAGGACCCCTGGGGCCAGTTACAGACATTCCTGAGATAACCAGCTGGGGGATGGAACAGACAGTGACTGTCCTCTGCTAACCAGACCATATGGGACTTCACGACTTTACCTTGACCCATCCATTTGAGGTAGCCTCTGGCAGATATTTCAAGAGACAGAATATCTTTATCATCCTAATTCTAGGAGTACATAAGGCAAGCAGTACCTGTGTACTGAAACTAGCCCTTCCACGGAGCTTCACTGTTTGCATGTGTGCAAACCTGGGCCCATGCGTGCAAGCTCATGCTTGCTTCTCAGAACCTTGGTATGCTACTCAAGAAATCTTTATCTTGTGACTTTTCTGTGAAAATCACTGTGCTATGCTCTGTCAATTTTGCAGAGAACCTGCAGACATTTGCCCAGCTTCAGAGCCTTCCTTTCTCCTCCCCTACTTGGCTAGAATTGTTTTTTGGTCATGGATGGAAGGTGTGCATAACAGCTGAAAGAAGCCTTGGAATAAGAAGACGGCATAGACAGATTGTGAAGCCACATCAGAGTGAGGGTGGGGCTGGGAAGACGGAAATAAGAGCAAACTGTCAAAGAATCCTAAGCTGGGCCAGGCACAGTGGCTCACGCCTGTAATCCCAGCACTTTGGGAGGCCGAGGGGGGCAGATCATGAGGTCAGGAGATCGAGACCATCCTGGCTAACACGGTGAAATCCCGCCTCAAATAAAAAAATTAGCCGGGCATGGTGGCGGGTGCCTGTAGTCTCAGCTACTCGGGAGGCTGAGGCAGGAGAATGGCGTGAACCTGGGAGGCGGCGCTTGCAGTAAGCGGAGATCGCACCACTGCACTCCAGCCTGGGCAAGGGAGCGAGACTCCGTCTCAAAAAAAAAAAAAAATCCTAAGCTGTAAATTATCAAACCGAGCCTAAATAAGCATCGAGGAATTTTGTCCCTAGTTGGGTAATAATGATAATAATAGCTGGAACTTGCTGTGCGCTTACTATATGCCCAAAATTTAGCGAAGATGCAAATTACATCATTTAGTCCTCAGAAAAACCCTAGTGTGGTAGATACTGTTACTCTCATTTGAAAGATGAGAAAGGTGAGGCCCATATTTACCCAAAACTTTTGGGCAGACCTGCAAATAACCAAGCAGAATTTCAGACTCCCATGTGTTGCCAGATCTTGAACTCAGCATGGCATGCAGTGGGGTCCAAAGCGTTCCATGTAGTGAAAAGCCTGAAGATCTTTGTGGTTGAGGGTGCCAGGTACACTTCAAATCCATTTTCCCATCTATGACATGATGATATTGCTGTGAAATGGCTTCCCAGCTAGGAACAACATTTGTTTGACACTTTTTGCATTGTGGTATACCATAAAACTCACACTCACTAATGGAGTGTGACTGGAAGTGATGGGTGCCACTTCAGGACCAACATATTTATGAAGGAGGCATACCTTCTCCGTGTTCTTTTTCCCCTTCCACTAGCTGAATTCACAGGACAAGAAACACGTAAAGGATGAACCAGGCACTGTAGCTCATGCCTATAATCCCAGCAGTTTGGGAGGTTGAAGCAGAAGTTTGCTGGAGGCCGGGATTTCAAGACCAGCTTGAGCAACATAGCAAGACCCTGTCTCTACCAAAAAAAAAAACCAAACAATTTTTTTAAACAACTAGCCAGGCATGGTGGTGCATGCCTATGGTCCCAGGTACTTGGGAAGCTGATGTGAGAGGATCCCTTAAGCATAGGAAGTCGCAGCACTGCATTCTAGCCTGGGCAACAGAGCAAGACCCAGTCTCAAAAACCAATAAAACCCCCAAAAATCCCAATAACAATGTATGTAAACCAGTATGCATCTTAAAATTAACATGCACTTCTCTACAAAAAAATTTTTAAAATTAGCTGGGGTGGAGTGCGCTTATAGGTCTTGCTACTCAGAAAACAGGCAGGAGGATCCCTTGAGCCCAGGAGATCAAGGTTATTATTGTGCCACTGCATTCCAGCCTGGGCAACAGGCTCTAAAAAGAAAAAAAAAAAAAGGATGACTGAACTTGGGGATGGAGGGAACCTTGGTCTCTGATTAACTGCACTGCATGGAGGAGAGTGAGGCTGGTTAACAACATCCCTCAGGACACTTCCATGAGTAAGAAATAAACTTTTATTGTGATTACGCCATCAAAATTTTTAGGTCTTATTGACTACAGTAGTTCAGACTACCCTAACTAATACAACTTCTTTCTTTGCCTTAAATTTTCCCTTTTCTCATCTAACTAGCAAAAAAGAAGTACCCAGACAGCAGGAGAAAATGGAAAATGAATCCAGTGGTTTCATGAAACAAGCTTCTCCATGATCCTGAGACAACATTAACTCAAAGATGACTGGTTAGACATGGCTATTATTTCAAACTGTTTATGCTTGTCCTTGTCTTCAAATAAAGCAAAACAGCTATTTGGCAGGGAAAATGTGAAAACGACATCAGACAATGCTCGTTTTCAAGCTGAAAAGTGTTCTGACTATTCAATTATTTCAGACTAATAACAGGAGAATGCTGTTTATTGTTATTTTTTTAAATTGGTGACTTTTTTTTTTTTTTTTTTTTGCCTAGACTTGATTCTCTCCTCCTTTTCCTCAGTCACATGTTATTTAGTTGAGTATCTGGCCTCTGGGCCAGCTTGACTTTTATGAATTTTCCAGGTGGTTTGAAGTCTGGAGAAACTAAGTGACATCTGCAAGGTTACCAGTGAGCTGTCGAGTCTGTGGGTTCTTCGCCTTCAGCTTGAGGCTTCCTTCCACCAAGCCTCCCTGTCCCCATGGCCACAAGCAAAACAAAACAAAACAACAACAAAACAAAACAAAACAAAAACAAACAAACAAACAAACAAAACCCACATAGAACTGAGGTAGTTTTCTTGGAAAACGAGCATAAGAACCTCTTTTAGCCTTAAAATTAATTTACCTGTGGACCATTCCTAAACCACTGCATTTTAAAAGTTTGAGAATTCATATTTGATACGCCAAATCCTGAAAGCATAATGACAAAGAACTACCTTACTACCTTTACTGAAGTTGGTGCCTATTGTGTATTCCCAGATAATTGGAAACAAAACCTCTGTTTTCTGCTCTACATTTTGCACTGGGGTAGAGAGAGGAAAAGTGCATAGAATTAAGGTATAGACAGGGCACCCAGTTACAGCCCCCTGTGGTTCTGGCTTTATGCTTTTATATGATGAACAAAGAGTATAGCTCATACATACACCTAATTACTCTGTGTGCTACTTGCAGGCTGCAGTCTGGGCCTGGGTTTGATTTAGTATTTTTGAATGAAGCATATAAAGTACCACTAAGACTTATTACCACAATTGTGCTTTCCAAGCTATCGCTTCACAGAAATGTTGGGTCAGGCTCCATTTTAAAAAAACTACACATATTTCAGCTAACTCAACACTATTTCTTGCAAAGCTTAAAAATGGGTCTGTAAGCTTTGTGTATTAAACTTGTTATCACACTCACTGTCAAAGTTTCCTTATTAGAGTCCAGGCCCTAGAACCTGACAGAATTGTCCGCCATTGGCCTTGGGGCAAGAAGAGATACAGAGGTGGCTCTTAGATATCAATCACACCACAGTGTCACTCTGGTTTAGAATCCTGAGATTGGCCACTTCCATAAGCAGCTGCTCTCATTTCTTCTGCCTTCCCCTATATCTGTCCACTTGTATTCTTACTTTTTAGGGGACAGGAAGTTAACCTCTTTATTTTGACTTTGTAATTTTGGGATCATCCTACAACAGTCCCAGTCCCATCCCCACTCACAGCTGTCTCCAGTGTTTGACACACAATTACCACCCACCAAAGGTAAGACAACTTTTATGTTGATTGTCTGATGGGAAAAATGGAAATTTCAGATGCCTAAATGTAGTCAGAGAGACTACATTTCAGAGAGAGAGAGAAGTGTTCTGTATGCATGGCTGTTGCTTTTCCTTGCCTAGTGTTGATATACTCTTCTTCTGGAAATGATACCCTGATTTTTTTTTCTTTGAGGCATCATGCATCCCTTGTTTTCAGGTCAAGTCATTCATTGTCCACATCTCTTGGATCTGGGGATGGGCATGGGACCCAGGCCTGGCCAATCAGTATGTTCTGGGTGCTGTGATCAGTATAAGGCTGGATACATGATCTGTGATAGTACTATCAGAAGAAATCCATGAATTTTTCTGGAGTTATTGGAAGGAAGAAGCTCTCTTTAATGCTGCATTTGTTAATAGAAGACTATAAGTCTGCCCTGTTGGGTACCATGTAGAGAGAGCTAGCCTGGAATGAAGCCAACATAGAGGAAAAGAGAGCCAAGAAATGATGAGTGACTAAGTCCTGGTGACATATATGATCTCCTGAATCCATCTGTGCCTGAAGGCATATGGACTCTTGGTCTTATACTGTATGAAACAGTCATTCCTTTTTTTGGCTTAATATAACTTGAATGGAGTTTCTGTCACGAGTGACCAAAAGACTTGCTTAAAATAAAGCCTGTGTAACTCTATGCAATGGTTTTCAACATGTGGGCCATGGTGAGACTTAGAACTGTTCAGGTTCACTAGGTTCCTTTCTTTAGTTTCCCTATATTGCCGCATTCATTTATATGACTTTAAATACCTTTTGTGCTGTGATGACTCCAAAATTTGCATGTGCTTTCCAGATCTTTCCTCAATGCCTCAATCAAAATTATTTCCTGATGTGTTCACCAGGTATATTAGTCAGGATTCTCCAGAGAAACAGAACCAAGGGAGGTCTCTCTTTCTGTATATTGAAACATAGATGGGATTTGTTATGGGAATTGACTCATGCAATTACAGAGGCCAAGAAGTCCCAGGATACGCCATCTGCAACTGGAGATCCAGGGAAGTAAGTGGCATAACTGTTGGTCTGAGGCCAAAAGCCTGAATACTGGGGGCCACTAGGGTATGTCCCAGAGTCTGAAGGCTTGAGAATCTGGGGCTCTGATGCCCAAGGGCAGGAGAAGACGATGTCTCAGGTCCAGAAGAAAGAGAAAATCTGTTCTTCCTCTGCCTTTGTGTTGTATCTGGGCCCTTGATGGATTGATTGGATGATGCTGGCCCACTTTGGTAAGGATGGATCTGTTTTACTTGGCCTACTGATTCAAATGCTCATCTCTTCCAGACATGCCCTCACAGACACATCCAGAAATAGTGTTTTACCAGCTATCTGGGCATCCCTTAGCCCAGTCAAGTTGGCACCTAAAATTAACTATCACAGTATGAAACTCAGAAACATCTTCAATGTTACATTTTTAAAACTGAACTTCTGATTTCTTCCCACAGAAGACATTTTCTTTTCTTGCTCTCATGTTTGTAAGAGACATTGCTGTCTATTATTCAACTGTTCAAGCCAGGAACTGGAGAGACAGATTTGATGCCTCCCTCTCCTTCACCTCCCACATTCAAGACATTCATAGCATCTTATCTGTTCTATCTCTGGAATATATCTCAACTTCACAGATTTCCCTCTGCCCTACTGCCTTCGACCCTAGTTCAAGGATTGCCAACAGTCTCCAGGATTACCAGAGTAGTCTACATCTATTTCCTCATCCATTTACAGTGACTTTCCAATCCATTTTCTACACTACAGCCATTGCTTTGCATTGGACATAGAATTATCTCCTCATGGTGGTCTAAAGGGGTCTTTATGCTTTGAATTTATCTTCGTCTCTAATGTGATTTTGTACCAACTCCTTTACACATATCCACTTCCCTAAGCTTTTTCTTGGTTTCTAGCATATATGCAAGCCATTTGAAGGTAAGCTCCTGGTGTGTTACATCTACCTAATCTGCTTGTCCCTCTTTTCCAATTCTTCACGTGACTCTCACCTTCCTGTCTTTTCAGTTCCCAGCTTAAAGACACCAACCCTAGGCACAGGTTATTCTTCATCTCAACACCTCATTTATTTCCTTCACACACTTCCACATTTTACAATGCTTATTTATTGGTTTACTTATTTACTGTTTGTCTCACCACTCAACCAAACTCCATGAGGGCACAGGGTGAGCACCTGATAAATAGAATTGAATGAAAAGGAGATCTGTGAATCCATGTGCAGACAAGGCATTTTCCACAGAGTAAATAACATGTGTTGCACACACATGGGCTCTTTGTCAAATGTTTGCAGATGCTGTTGTGCGTACCAAAGCACAAGTTCACTTAGGATGTTAATGAATTCATATTGGCTTTTCGTCGTTAGGTATTTTCTTAATCCAGGTTTTGTTTTGTTTCATTTTGCCTTTTTAAATGAAATTTCCCCCAGTTCCATCTCCTGACCACTAGACCCTGGTAATTTGTATGAGCCTGTTTCTCAAGTTCTATTTCCCTCTCTTTTAATGGTAAAAATTTTGTCCTTATTAAGGCATTCACATGAAGACATTCTCATTTTGAGGTTGTCAAAAATAAGACAGATGTGTCCCCAGGGAATAAAAAGGTACAGATTTGGTGAAAAGATATATAACAGACCATAAAGCTGAGTGGAAACTACAGATTGTTTTAGCACTAACTCCACCAATTACACCACTCCTCACTGCCTTCGGGGTCTGTGTGCCTTACTCAAAGATGAGCACTAAGAAAAGAATCAATATGTAATATACACATAAAAAGTGAAAAATAAGACAAATAATTGTGATGGTTAACACTGAGTGTCAACTTGATTGGATTGAAGGATGCAAAGTATGATCCTGGGTGTGTTTGTAAGAGTGTTGCCAAAGGAGATTAACATTTGAGTCAGTGGGCTGGGAAAGGCAGACCCACACTTAATCTGGGTGGGTACCATCTAATCAGTTGCCAATGTGGCTAGAATATAAAGCAGGCAGAAAAAGGTGAAGAGACTAGACTGGCCTAGACTCCCAGACTACATCATTCTCTCATGCTGGATGCTTCCTGCCCTGGAATATTGGACTCCAAGTTCTTCAGTTTTGGGACTCAGGCTGTTTCTCCTTGCTGCTCAGCTTGCAATGGCCTATTGTGGGACCTTGTGATTGTGTGAGTTAATACTTAATAAACTCCCCTTTATATATATCTATCCTATTAGTTCTATCCCTCTAGAGAACCCTAATACAATAATATAAGCAGAAAAAATTAAACATGTTATCTCTCTCTGTCTCTCATTCTCTCTATATCTGGAAAACAAGAAGAAATACAGAAAATATGACAGAAGCAATCTCAAAGGAATTACATACAACATAGTGTTGTTAAGAAAATATCTCAAGTAAGAGATACAAAGATTCACAAAAGAGACTATAAGGCAACAGAAGGAGATAAAAAAGTAATTTGGCATATTTGGGGAAACAAATGAAAAAGAAAAAAGCCATACATAGTGAAATCTATATTAAATGGAACAAAAAAGAAATTGTAACTCCAAACTAGTGAAAGTCTTGAAGAAATTGTACAAAATGAAATGTACATAATAAACATATAAAAACAGTTGTGGAAAAGACAATAGATATAGAATAAAGACAAAGGAGATTCCACACGCATAACTGGCTTACCGAAGAAGAGTATCAACAAATGCAGTGGAATACATTTAAAGATAAAATAGAAGAAACTTTCTTGAAATACACACTTTAATTTGGAGACCAAAGGCCACATCAGTTTCTTAGGAAAATAAAACATTGCAATGAACAAAAGATATATCCTGGGAGAATTTAATATTATTTACACTTTCATTTGTTTGTATCTTTGTTGCTGTTTTGGGAACAGGGTCTTGCTGTGCTGCCCAAGCTGGAGTGCAGTGGCACAATCATAGTTCACTGCAACCTCAAATTCCCGGGCTCAAGTGATCCTCCCACCTCAGCCTCTGGAGTAGTAACCACAGGTGTGCACCACCATGCCTGGCTAATTTTGAAAAAGTTTTTGTAGAGACAGGATCTCCCTGTGTTCCTCAGGCTGGTCCCAAATTCCTGGGCTCAAGTGATCCTCCTGCTTTGGCCTCCAAAAGTGCTGGGATTAAGGTGTGAGCCACTACACCTGGCCTATTTGATGTTTTTTTGTAAACAAGAAGAATGGGGCATTCAGGGCAGAAAATCAAATAACATGCAAGTTGGCAAGATGTTTCCATTGGGATGCTTTTGGCCACAAGGAACAGAAAGCCTTACTCAAATTGGCTTGCAACGTTGCGACTCCAAGTGCGACCCTTTAGCAGTAGCCTTGGCCTTACCTGAGTGCTTGTTAGAAATGCAGAATCTAGCAGTGAATCTGCCTCCTTCCCAAAGGCCCCAGTGGGGTCAGCCAGGAGCCGAACCTTGCCTTTAACCTTGTGGGCTCATCCCTACTTGCCAGTCACAAAGGCATCGTTAACACTCAGACATGCCACCGCTGGGACCCCCTTGGCCCTCAAAGCCCCAGCCTGCTCCACCAACCCTGGCAGGTGTTTGGAACAGCTGGGGCTAAAGGCTTGAGGAACTCCAAACAGAACACCCTTCTTGCCCTTGAACAGCTCTGCCAGGTTCACTGTGTTCCCTCCAACACCATAACTGCAGGGATGGCATTTCCCACCTTGATTGGGGCCATGGCTGCCGTGGCTGTGCTGAAACTGTGGACCTGGCCAGGCACCCACCCTCCTTCACGTAGCTGTCTTGGTGCCACTGCTGCTGCCACAGGCTGAATGACAGTCCCACCGGCAGGGGAGATGGCTCAAGAGCTTCTCCATGCTAATAGAGGATGACATAGTGGAGGCTCTGAATGTCGAAGCAGATGGCACAGGCCTCACCTGCAGCCTGGCACCCAACATCATCTCACAGCTTGGAGGCCCCAGGCCCAGATACACTCCCTCTACCCTTTCCTATCTCATCTGCCCAGCCCTGGGCAGAGGGCCCCTGGGGCCCCCTAATTGGAACCTTGGCCAGATTTCTGCAATAAACATTTATGGTTCAAAAAGAAAAAAAGAAAAAAGAAAAAAAAAAAGGAAGAAATGCGGAACCTGAGGCCTTACCTCAGATCTATTGAATCAAAATCTGCATTTTCACAAGATTCCTGTCAAATCCCTAGTGATTCAGGTGCACATTAAAGTGTGAGAAACACTGGCTTAAATGATAGAGGATTTATTTTTAACAGTTGTTCTCAACCTTAGCTGTACATTAGACTCTCCTAGTAGCTCTGAGGAATTTTGCCACTGAGGCTGCACCCTGTATTGATTAAATGAGAAACTCTGGGATTCAGGCTACATTTCATTTTTATTTTTTAACAGTTCAGGAAATTCCAGTGTGAAGCTATAGTTGAAAACTTCTGCATTAAAAGTCTAGAAGTAGGTGGGATCTCAGGGTTGGTAGAGTCACAGCTCAACAGCATCATAACAGGTCCAAGCTCTTTCTATCTTTCTGCTTTGCCATCCTCAGGACTAGCTTTAATTTATAATGTACCTTCCTTCTTTCCCCTTCGTTTCCATCCCTCCTACCCACTTCTTCTTTCATTTTCTTTGTTCTTCCTGCCTCTCTGCTTTCCTGCCTTCCTTTTCATCTTATGTGCAAAGAAATATTGAATTAAATTATCATAGGGTATTAAAAATTGTTACTTCTGGGTATTCTGAGCAATTTTTGGGGAGGTATAATTTTAAAATCTTATTTTATTACTTTTTACATATCTCAAAATTATTATTATTTTTAAACGTGGGCTGAGTCCCCATAATAAAAAATATTGAGAACCACTGGCTTAGTCTAACACTCTCATCTTACAGGTGAGGAAACTGAGGCCCTAGACGGTAGCATTAGGTCCAGCACTAAGGGGAGGGAAGTGGGTAAAGAGCCCTCGTACAGCTTTGTGTGGTCCAGAACCACCAACAATGCCCACTGCGTGGCTGTGTCTCCTGAACCTTCACTAAGTGATTCCTGCACAAAATTCTTCTAAGCATTTTGAGTCCACTGAGAAAAAGAAGTGGGAGGCAACTAGAGCAGGATTCAGCCAGATAATTGGGGTGCTGGAGGCACAGAGATCACCAGGAAGAAAAAGAGAGACTTCCTAGCGAGGGCATCTTCAGTTGGTAACAGTTATTAAGACAGAAACCATGTAACTGAACTCACAAGTGACAGAGAGGACATTAGTGTTCCAGACCATGCAAAGGTGTGTAAATGTGAGGCAGTTACCTCTCTAAGAGGTGACATTGGAGTGGAGACTTGAAGGAGGGGAAGAAGTAAAATTTAAGCTACATCTCAGCCAGGTTACACCAAAGGGCTCAGAGTTTTTATTTGTTGATTCATTCATTTGTATATCTTCATGGTGGAAAGAAATGCAAGCTTTTCTGTTAGAGAATGAACAGATTGCTTCTTATATTCACAGTTTACATAGCTGATTTTGTGCTTTTTAAACATCATTTTACTATGTTTCAAATAATTGCATTTTTTTCCTATGGAGTTGGGGACATGTAAACTACCCCATGAACTACTCTGACACTGTATTTTCAGCCATTCCAAATACATTGTTATTATCTAAAACTACACTACCCCAAATGGTGGCCAGCAGCCACATTTGGCTATTAAGCACTCGAAACATGTCTAGTCTGAAATTAGATGTGTTGCCAAATGTAAAATATACGCTGTAGTTTGAAGACAGTGTGAAAAAATAAAATATCTCGCCAATAATTTCTTTTATATTGATTACATATAAAATCATATTTTAAATATATTAGGTTAAAGAAAATATATTATTAAAATGAATTTTGCCTATTTTTGCTTTTTAAGATATGACTATTAGAAAAATGTATCTTTTATATGTGACTTGCATTATCTCTATTGAACAGTGTTGTGCTGGAAACTTTCCAAAGCTCAAGTCACTTCCCAATAGCAATAGGCAACAACTGGTATTTTAGATGGTGTGAGAGTTACTGTTCACCCTTCAGGGCCTAATTTGTTACCACAGCGATTGAAATAAAGGCAGGAGCACTACTAACAGTAATAATATGAATGCTCATTAGTGTGACTATTACTACTGCAACCACTCTAATGCTACAATTTTTGCTACTATTACAGCCACTACTAAAACCAAAACTCTCGTTCCAGATACTGGAGCAAGCTCTTGTTCCAGATACTGAGGCAAGCTCTTACTTACAAACATTCTTTCTGATCCTTTGCAAGCAGACTAGGAATGTGTTATTGTTTAGATGTTTATGTTTTCACCCAAATTCCCATGTTGTAATCCTAACCCCCAACGTGATGGTACTAGGAGGTCGGGCCTTTGGAGGTAAGTTGACCATGAAGAGGGAGCCCTCATGAATGGAATTAGTGCCATTATAAAAGAGACCTCCAAGAACTAGCTAGTTCCTCCATCATGTGGGAATTCAGGAGAAGTGGCCATTTTTGAACTAGAAAGTGGGCATTCACCAGATACTGAATCTACCAGTGCCTTGATCTTGTACTTTCCAGTCTCCAGAACTGTGATAAATAAATCTTTGTTGTTGATAAGCTACCCAGTCAATGGTATTTTGCTATTGCAGCCTGAAGAGATTAAGACAATATGCACTTGTTTTTCCTCACCATTAACAGGGGAAGAAAGAGAGGGTCAGAGAGACAAGTTACTTGCTGTAGATCACACTGGAACTAAATGACAAAAGAGGAAATCAAACCCAGGTCTCCATTCTCTGCCCTTCCCACTCACTGCAGTCTCTGACATTTGGCTTTGGGCCATCCACAAGCCTCCCAGTGTTGAGAAGGGTTTGTCAAGGGGTAGTCTAATAGGCTAGTAGTGCTGAATATAAGCTAATAAACGCATTTCCTCTCTCAGTTAACAGCAGATGTGGAGCCAAAGTAAATCGACTGAGCTTCTCCAGGGGATCCTTAAAGAAGAGGACAAATGCCGGATATTTCAGACAAAGGGCCAGGACCATGGAGTGGTAGACATTTTATCTAAGCACCTACAGGTGGCCCTGAAATTCTACAAAGTCATCATCTGCTCTGCTTACAAAGAAATTTGATTCTATAACCAACAAAAAACCCAAATGTTGGAATTCTACCTTTCTAAGTAAAGGGGGGCATATGGTTCTCTTTCCTTGAGCACATTTTCTCCAAAGTTTTGCCTCACTAACCCCTGTTCCTCCTTGAGTTCTAAATTTAAATGTTAACTCCTCAGAGCAGCCTTCTCCAATTCCTTTATCTAAAGGTAAGCCCATGTGTGTTTCTCTTTCTCAGATCCTTGTATATTTCATAGCAATTATTGCCATCATAACTGGTTTCTTTTTCCTTGTAAATTCTCCTGCTGAAAGTTAAGTTCCATGAGAGCTGGCTGTCATATCTGTATCCTTTAGCCTACTGCCTGAAATGTAGTAGGTGCTCAGTAAGTATTTGTGGTATGAATATATGATCCTAACATATTTCTTTTCCTTTGTCTTATAAGAGTGACTACTAAGAAAACATGCTATCACAGTTTAATGTTAAATAATGGTCATAGATGCATCAATAATAACTTGATGACTGTTTACCCCAGTGCTGCTACCATATGTGCAGGAACACCTAGCTCTGTTACTTCCTATCAGTGCGACCTTGGGAAAATCATTTATCCTCTTTGAACCTCAGTTTTCTCACTTGTATAATGAAAGTAATAACATCAGTTGAAAAGATTATCTAGATAATGCTCTAGAAGCATTTGGTAAACATTTTAGAGTTATACAAAGTAATGAGTTCTAATTTCAAAATACCGTATATCAAAAGGCAGAACTTGAAGATGCTCTTGTAACCCTGTGGCTTAGATTGGTCCCCACAAGCAGAGCCTTACATAGGGATTTGTGTGAAAGCAATTGATTAGGAAGTATTCCTGGGAAAAACCAGTGGCAGAGTGGGGTATGAAACCAGAAGGAGAAGGTCAAACGTGGATGCCATATTATGTACCATATCCTCCCAGAGGTAACTCGATCCTATGTGGGGAGCTCTGGACACATCATGGCTCACACCTCAGTGTTTTCTCAGTCAGGGGTGAGGGAGTGTGAGTGTTTATAGCCCCACACCCATCAGTCATTGGCTAAGAGCTGCCCCAAGAATGAGGGTGCATAAATTCCTAGGTACTTCTACTTCTTCTCTTCTGCAGGTAGGCAAGGCCCTCTCAAGTAGGCCAAAGGCACTTGCTGATGAACAGCTACAGGTGCTGGCTGTTGGGTGCGATCATTTTATAAGAACTAGTGTGCACAAAAATGGTAAAGGGATTAAGGGGAGTGGAAACATGAACAGAGCACACACCAAGGAATTCCTGTCTCAATAATAGACTCTTGTACTTGGCAGTAGAGTTCACCATTATGAGTTAAGACTGGATTTGAGTACACTACTACCTTGAATTTATGCAGCATTTCTCTTTTCTCTTTGAAGTGCTTCTATATATAACTCATGCATAAGGATAGCTGAGAGCAGGCTTGGTTGGATCACGTGCGAACCATAAAAAAGTAAATTTTCAGGGGCAGTAGGTTAAATAAAGGAAAGAGGTTCACTGGTTTTACAACCACGAGTGGTTTCTATTTTTCAATAAGTCAAACCCCTTAGAAGACATGGCTGAATGAGCAAAAAACCCTCTCAGGGAAATTCATGCTTTTATAGTTTGATTTTCTTTGGGGTAAAGAGGAAAATGCAAGCCATGGTTCAAAACTATCCATTTCATCGTGACCCTGAAAAAGTGTGCAGTGTTTTTGTAACAGAGAGGACATTTTATAAACATGCTTTAAAAGTACTTTTGGATTTTAAGTGTTGCTTTCCACAATCAACCCTAGCTGGAAACATACAGGCTTCTTTGCAGCACTGGTATGGTTTGTCTCTTTTTCTTTCTATCCACCAGAATGCTCCAACTTTAGTGACTGTCAATGGCTGACTCTCAGGGATGGTACTCTTAGCCTATGAAGTAAGAGTAGATTTTACATGCTTAAATAGTTGAAAAGAAGCCAAAATAATTGTAATCTGTGTCATGTGAAAATTAAATGAGACTCAAATCTCACTGTCTATATATGAGGTTTTATTGGAGCATAGCCATGCCCGTTTGTTTATGTTTTGTCTATGGCTACTTCTGTACTATAACAGCACAATTGCATAATTGGGACAGAAACCTAAGGTCACAAAGCCAAAAGTTTTACTATTTAGCCTTTTACAGATAAAGTTTTCTGATACCTAACCCAGGGCAACTCATTTCTCTGAGCCTCACTTTCCTCATCTATGAAATGAGATAGTAATGGTAACTACCTTCTAGGCAGACAACTTAGGAGACAATGTAATACATGGGCAAAAGCACGGACTTTGAAGCCAGATGATCAAGATTTAAATTCTACCTATAATTCCAGCACTTTGGGAGGCTGAGGCAGATGGATCACTTGAGGCCAGGAGTTCAAGACCAGCCTGGCCAACATGGTGAAACCCCATCTCTACTAAAAATACAAAAATTAGCCAGGTGTGGTGGCACACGCCTGTGGTCCCAGCTACTTGGGAGGCTAAGGCAGAAGAATTGCTTGAACCCGAGAGGCAGAAGTTGCAGTAAGCCAGGATCGCACCACTGCACTCCAGCCTGGGTGACAGAGCGAAACTCTGTCTCAGGAAAAAAAAAATAATTCAAATTCTATCTCTGCCATTTACTAACTGGATAACTTCGGCACATAATAATTTCTCTGTGCCTCATTTGCTGCTTCTGTAAAATGGGGATAATGAGAGCCTCTGTCTCATGGTCCTGAGTTTATTATATGTGACGCACTTGAAATAGCAATTGGCATGTATTAAATACTATATGTTCGCTATGTAAATATTGCTACACTCACTGGGTTGTGGTGAGGAAACACATTCATGTTTATTAAAGAGAAAAAAGGTGAAATTATGTTTTTCGTTCGTAATGCCCTGGTAGCTGCTCATCTCATGGTAAAGACCCTCATCATGGCACAGGAAGAACAAGGACTCTGGAGCTAGACTGCCCCTTTGCTAATCCTGGCTCCCTCCCTCACTAGCCCTGTGATGGTAAGCATGTTACATAACCTCTCTGGGCCTCAGTTTCATCATCTGCAAAATGTGGGTAATACATAATACTAGTAATCATCTCCTTAGGCTGTTGTGAGGATTGCATGAATCTGAATGTATGTAAAGGAGTTGGAACCATGCCTAGCACAGAGTAAGTAAATGTTACTTGTCGTTATATAGTTCTGAATGCCATTAAAATAAATGCATAAATATGAAAAAATGTTTACCCTATAGCCATCTAAAAATCACGTCTCATACCACTCATGGTATGTGTACCATTATTTGGGAAACACTGACGTAGGGGAAGGTACTGTGCTGACAGATGGACGGCAGAAGTGTTTGGAGGAGAAGGGGAATTTTGTTTGTTTGTTTTTGAGTAGAGTCTTGCTCTGTTGCCCAGGCTGTAGCGCAGTGGTGCAATCCCAGCTCACTGCAACCTCTGCCTCCCAGGTTTGAGCAATTCTCCTGCCTCAGCCTCTCAAGTAGCTGGGACCATAGGCATGTGCCACTGTGCCTGGCTAATTTTTGTATTTTTTAGTAAGGACAGGGTTTCACCATGTTGCCCAGGCTGGTCTTGAACTCCTGACCTCAGGTGATCCACCTGCCTGGGCCTCCCAAAGTGCTGGTATTACAGGCATGAACCATCGCTCCCAGTCGAGAAGGGGAATGTTAACTAATAGTGTTCACAGGCATCTAGCTTGTCTCTGTTCTTTCAGTGTTCAAGATCTACCCCCAAAATATCTAAGGATGGTAGAAACCATATCCATGAGCATTGGCTACCTGCCTTTAAACTTTGGCCATATAGTATATCCCAACTGGTTCTAGTTGTGACCTACTGGTCTCCGATCATGTCTTTCCTGGTTATTTGATGTCAACTTCAAGCCACCTCTGCTCACATTTCTCAGCTACTGTCAATATTGCTTCAACCTCTATTTAGGGGAACCATCTTTGGCTTAGCTTTTCCTCTCTCTCAGACACAGTACTGACCCCAGACTCAGAAAGAGTGGTCCTCTGACATTTTGACTACATAAACTCTGAATATTCTACATTGGGCAATTCCAAGATGAGAGTAAAGCAAGGCCCAATAGCTAAGAGGCTAAATGCCCATGCCCTCTCCTGCTCCCTGCAGTGAGATCAAGGGCTCAGGAGCCATCGGGTGCCAAGTCTTGGTGAAGACACAAAGGCTCAGTATCAGAGATGTCTTGCTGCAGCATTGAGAGCCCAGGGGCATGAAGGGAGCCATCAATGCCAATGGCTTCAGTGGTAGTGACAATGGCCCTCACAGCACCCTACGTAGAACATTCCTGTGGCTAAACTTGGAATTGAATGCATTCTCCTGGTTTCTGCCTGAGCTATGAGTGTCTCTGCTTTCTTTGGGACTAAGAAATATTGGATATCCTTCCAATAAATTTCTTCTGAGTAAGCTAACCAGAGAGGTTTCCATTGTTTGTAACCAAGAACTTTGACTACTAGTGCACTAGGGTTGTGGAACCGGATCATAATTGGTGATCTACTCTATTTACACCCATGGTAGGTCTCCCATCACTGAACCAGAATCTATACTGTGAGGCTCCCCAGGGAGCACAGACTATGACCTACATTTCTACCATAGCAGTCTTATTTTTAGCATCATTAAATTGCCACATGAATAATTTTTTGCTATTTGCCATGTGTTTCTTGCATTCCTCATTTCTTTTTGACCACAAAACATTCATCTGGCTTACAATATTTAAAAATGTTGGAAGCTTCGGATTAAGCCAGCAAAAGGGGGAAAACTTTCATTAAAATATAAGTAAAATTTCTTCAAACGAAGCCAAGTGACAATAACTGGCAAAGAAGTCTGTCCAATTTTCTTTATTGAATTTTCAGTGATTTGGTAACATTGTGTCATCTATTCCATGCACGGTTTTTAACTTTTCATTTTCATTGTTGTCTTGCATTTCTAAAAATTGCATGCAAAAAGCAGATCATTTTTAGGCTGATAGGGGGTGATATTTAGAGTAGAAATGAGGATGCACTCTTGTCTGATGAAATATCAAAGCGACATTAGGAAAATGTAAAACACACAAATCAGCTCCTTCATACAAAGTAGTCACTACTATTCATATAATTCCAAAAAATAGAAGAAAGTGCTTTCCAATCTAATGACTTACATAGATTGCTTTCTTTCCAGTGGTTTCTGTTGTTGAATGTATTCATCATCTAATTTATGACCCTTTCAACATAGATATTCACTTAACAAATATTCATTATGAACCCACCTTCTTCCAGGCACATTAAAGACATAAAAAGAAAATATCTTTTTTCTGTACCTTTGTTTTTTCCAGATTAGGAGCTCACCAAGAACAAATTTATAGTCCATGTCTTAGTCATCTTTGCATGACCAGGGCTTATCCCTGTGCCTGGTATATAGCAGACATTCAATAAAAGTTTGTTGAATAAATGACTAATTTCATTCTCAGGGAATTCATGAAAATAGTGGCATAGGCAAATGTGCATAGTATAAATGTGGCATGAGGGGATAGGTGCTATTAATGGAAACAGAATGTAATCTAGGTGGGTCCCCAGGGGATGAAGGATACTAGTCTATTTAGGGAGGTGAGGACCAATATTTTATTATTTTTTGCTTCCTCCATATAATGTAATGAAATCTCCCTGCCACTTTCAAATCCCCCCTTTTAAGTATTTTTATGAAAATGGGGTTTGCTCACCATGCTGACCCCTCTGTGGTCTCTCTTCTCTTTCTGGTTTTGTTTTTTGGCACTGCCATCTACTCTCACCACCTCTACCCTGGACTGGACCACTTTTCCTTCCCTTCCCTAAAGCACTTTAAGCAGAAATGTTGTGGAGAGTAGTAGCCTTTTCCTGAAGTTTTGGGTAATCACAGACCATAGCCAGATATGATTCCAGATGTGGTGTTTGACATCCTCTGTCCACACAGTTCCCACAATCTAATAACCATTCCTCACCTCTGGAAAATTTCTCCCTAATCATAATACCTGTCCTCCCCCATCCCCGATAGGCAGCTGCTCACAAATCCTGGTTTATTTCTTCATGCCTACCAGGTGAGCTCTTCTCTTTCTACTTCCAATTCATGCCTAGACTTTTGTGTATCCCCAAATTCCTGGTGATGTTCTGCTACACGACGGACCATTGACACTAGGTGTCTGGCCTTAGCATGACAAAGAACTGGAGGGAACTTCACACTTCAAGATCATACCCTTTCGCTGGAATCTCTTCTCCACGGACCAGAACAAACTGGACTATTGCAAGGGTGAAGAAATGTCTTTCCTGTTACACATCTTAGCATAGTGCTAGACATGGACAGGCACTCAAAGGTATTTAAAAACAGCTTGAATGGAATGCAAAGGAGGCAGAAGAGTGGATGGTTCACCAGGGAAATTCCTAAGGGGAGTCAAGCAGAGATGGATACAGGCTCACAGGTTAGTCTTGGCAAGGAAAAGGGGCTATTCTTTCTCAGAAGCAAGCAAAGGAAGACAGGGACAGTGAAAATTAAAAAGTAAATGGAATCAAGGTGTATGTATTCCCTTTGATTTACTCTGTATGAAGATAGGAGTGGGTTAGGCTTGGGGAGACTCACCAATTTGATTTGCCCCCAGGGGGGTGAGACACGTGGCATATCTAGAGAGGGAACTGGAAACTTGGGAAAACTGATGAAATCAAGGGGAAATAAAGAGTTTAGACCTTTGTACTCCCTGAACATGTGGAATCAGCTTTAAACATGCCTTTCAGAACTCTTGGAGCTCTTTTATCAAATTTATAGGAGTTACTTCTTGTTCCAAAAAACAAAATGTCAGCAGGCCTGGTTCTTATTTCTTTTCTTTGATTTGTCTGGAACTCCCTTTATCATCTCTGCCAGTTCCAAGGACAGTTAACACACGGAGTGAGGCGCAGTCAGATCCCAGCCATTGCTTTTTATAGTCCCGCTACCTTACCAGACTGTACAGACACACACAATTTTCCAGCTTTACACCGAGAAAAGAACAGAAAAGAGAAAGAATAACGAGTCATACCCTGTTGTTTTCGTAGGATGTTCTGACTTTGAAAAGGGATTGCCTTACACTTAAGTAATAAACAGTGTGTTGTGGGACAGATATATGAACATTCGCTCTCCCCAGTTTGCCCAAGTCTAAAATAAGTAAAATAGTTTTTTTTACTGTGTATTTATTTTACTGCATATTTTTATTATCTTTTACAGGCATGAACTGAAATAGATAATGAGATACTTATAAATTCCGTAAACATCCTGATTGGCAGAATTGCATGATTGGAAGGATGCTTTCAGATCACTGAGTTCCATACCCTCCTAGCATTTGCCATCCCTTTATAAAGCCCTCACCAAATGTCATCTGTCTTACCTGTACCAACCCCCTGTATGCATAACTCGTCATCTTTGGAGGTATTAGATTGGTACAAAAGTCATTGTGGTTTTGCGATTACTTTTAACAGCAAAAATCGCAATTACTTTCTCACCAACCTAATACTTCATGCTCTCTTTTGCCAGATAGGACTATTGGGAAGACTTTATTTATATAGCAACCCAGTCCATCCACCATCAGTCCCGATTCAACCCTATAAGGCCCTACAGCAAATGGAATCTTTACTCAAATGTTCATGTCAAAATTCTAAGAGTCATTCTTTATTCTCCTCTGTCGCATACTCCTTTTCCAATCCATCCACAAACACTGTCAGATCCGCCCTCAAATTTTATGACAAGCTTTGTCCTTTTTCCTGTCCAAGTCCACCGCCCTAATATAAGCCACCATCATTCTGTAGCCTGGACTATGGCAATAGTTTTCTAACTAGGGTTCATGCTTTCATAGTTGCCTGCCACCATTTATTGTCTCTGTAGCACCCAAAGAAGATGTTTTTAAAAATATAGTCATGCATCACTTAACGACAGGAGTACTTCGTGAGAAATGTGTCATTAGGGAATTTTGTTGTTGTGTGAACATCATAGAGTTACACTAACCTAGATGGTATGGGCTCCCACACACCTAGGCTATATGGAATAGCCCATCGCTCTTAGGCTATAAACCTGTGCCACATGTGACTGTCCTGAGCACTGTAGACAATTGTAACATAATGGTAAGTATTTGTGAATCTAAATGTAGAAAAGGTACAGTAAAGATAGGGTATAAAGGATAAGAAGTGGTACACCTGTATAGGGCACTTACCACGAATGGAGCTTGCAGGACTGGAAGTTGCTCTGGGTGTCACTGAGTGAGTGGTGAGTGAATGTGAGGGCCTAGGACATTAATGTACCCATGGTAGACTTTATAAAAACTGTACACTTAGGTTACACTAAATGTATTTAAATATTATTTTACTTTCTTCAATAATAACGACTGTAACTTTTTAAATTTATAAACTTAATTTTTTAAAACTTTTTGACTTTTTGTAATAATACCTTAAAACACAAACACATTTTAACAAAAATATTTTATATATTTTTATTTATATATTTATTTATATATAACATATAATATATAATATATATTATAAATATATATATATATATAGTTTTTTTTGAGATGGAGTCTAGCTTTGTTGCCCAGGCTGGAGTGCAGTGGCGTGATCTTGGCTTGCTGCAAACTCTGCCTCCCAGGTTCAAGTGATTCTCTTGCCTCAGCCTCCCAAGTAGCTGGGATTACAGGTGCCCGCCATCACACCCAGCTAAATTTTGTATTTGTGGTAGAGACAGGGTTTTGCTATGCTGGTCAGGCTGTTCTCAAACTCCTGACCTCAGGTGATCCACCCACCTCAGCCTCCCAGAGTGCTGGGATTACAGGTGTGAGCCACTGCGCCTCAGCTCTATATTCTTTTTCTGTAAACTTTTAATTTAAAATTTTACTTTTTAAACTTTTCTGTTAAAAACTAAGACACAAACACACATTACCCTAGGCCTACACAGGGTCAGGACCATCAATATCACTGTCTTCTACCTCCACGTCTCGTCTCACTGGAAGGTCTTCAGGGGCAAGAACACGCATGGAGCTGTCATCTCCTATGATAATAATGCCTTCTTCTGGAATATCTCCTGAAGGACCTACCTGAGGCTGTTTGATAGTTAACTTTAAAAAATGGAAGTAGAAGGAGTATGCTCTAAAATAATGATAAAAAGCACAGTACAGGAAAGTTATAAACTAGTTAACATAGTTTTTTATTACTATTATCAAGCATTATGTACTATACATAATTGCATGTGCTATTCTTTCACACAACTGGCAGTGCAGGAGGTTTGGTTACATCAGCATTACCACAAACAGGTGAGTAATACATTGCTCTATGACATTAGGATGGCTATGATGTTACTGGGCAACAGGAATTTTTCAGCTCCACTATAATCTCACAGATCCCTGTTGCATATGTGGTCTGTCATTGAACAAAACATCATTATGCAGCATGACTGTCTATTCTATGTTATCCTCTTTGTAAAAACTTGCTAGTGCCTTCTCATCCCACCCACAGTGGAGCCATACAAGGGTATATGATGTAATCTGACCCCTGGTTCTCTTTCTAATCAACTCTCCTGCCTCTTTCTAATTCACTGCTCTCTAACCATGCTTGGACATCCTTTGAAAAAAATCTAAACTTTTGCATTTGCTGTTCCCTCTGCCTATAATGCTATTCCTTCAGGTAGCCGCATGATTAAATCTTTTACTTTCTACAGGTCTCTGCTCAAGTGTTTCCACCTCAAGAGAGGTCTCCTCTGGCCCCCCAATCTAAGATATCACCACTACTCTTTATTCTCAGCTTTGATGATCTTCATAGCATTTCTCCTCTCCTGCTAGTTGATATGTCTATTTTATAACCCACTAGATCACAAACTCCTCAAGAACAAGGATTTTGTGTTACTCACTTTTGTAACCCTAATGCTTACCACATTTTAATGAAGTAATGTTACAAAAATAGTGAATGAATAAATGAATATAGGTCATTTTTAATAATTCCTCCAAACAACTATCCTTCCATCATTTGGAGATATGTACTTATTTCCACATCATTTTTTTTTTCTAGAATATACAATCCGATTTCCATCACTGGTCTACACGTGGTTTCTAATCCTCTCCCTTCTTGCTTCCCTTTTCTTTCCTCCATTCAATTTGCCAGCTACCTTCTCACAGGCGCTGGTGCCAAACCAGTGTGGTAGTTATGTGTGTGAGTTCTAGAGTCAGACTGCAAGGTTCAAATCCAATTTCCACCACTAACGACTTGTTTACCTTGACACAAGTCATTTGATATTCTTGAGTAATAAGCAATAGTAACTAAATTAAACAATAAAAAGATAAATTTATTAGAGATATATAGACTGGCTAAGACATATGGTAAAAAAAATAGTATCAGGCCCTAGAAAAGTCAGAAAGGAAAAGAACTTGGAGGCCAGAGCTCTATGGCCATCCTTTCAGAGGACTACTGTTGAGATGTTGAGGTGTTATTACTTTATGTTACTTTATGTTCTTATAATACTCCATTCATTATTCAAATTCCTAAAAAAAGTAATACTATGGGTTCGGTTTGATTCAAATTTTCACCCTTTAGCTTAGGGTTTGATTGGTGTTCAACTAAGCCTGTCCATAAAGGTGGAGAGGTAGTTACCCAAAGAAGAAGAGATGGAATGGATATTGGCCAGGCCAATAGGCAGATGGCCACTGCACACTCTAACCTTCCATGTCCTCACTTGCAAGTAGGGGATAATAATAGTTACTGCTGCATTTGTTGTCTTGAAGCTTAAACAGCCTAATGTGTATGAAAGGTTTAGCATAGTGTCTGCATGTAGTGAGCATAGTAAGCCTCTAGCAAGTAGGGGACCCAACATGGAATTTAATACTCCAGGTGTGTTCGAGTGGGATGCCAGCTTCCTCATTTCAGACCCTTAGTAACAGAGCCTGAGGTGAAATGTACATTTCATCAGCCACAGTCAACTCTAATTGAGCTTTTTGTAAACTAAGACCCCCGAGTTGTTTCCATAAGTGCTTCTTCTACCAGCTCTTGAACCCACTCCTTGCACAAACACAGCTGATTAGTCCTTACCCTTACCCCACGAATTAATCTTGTTAGATATGATCCATCACTGCCCTACGTAGCCTGAAATCTGAATTCTGTCTTCTAACAAAAACTTTTAGCTGTGTGTCACCTGCACATTTATGGCCAGATTAACTGAGATTACAAGAGAAAGTGCATGTGAAGTCCTTTGCAACTACGAAGCACAACACAAATGAAAGGTGTTATTTTTGTTCTCATTCAAGAAGTGATAAATGTAAACTACTTAGTGCAGTGTCCATTTTCCTGGCATATGCCAAATCCCCCTTTTTTTCCCCTCATTTCAGTTCCCCAGATAAACCTGTGCACCTTCCCAAAGTGGATAAATTTAGGTATGTTACAAGCATGTGGTGTTTTCCCATGAGCATCAGTCTTGATAGTTTCAAGGAATTGAGACTTTAAACAGACAGCAATCTAGTTCTTAAGCCACGTGGGCATATGTTCTCCATCTTCTAAGTTTGACCATGGCTAGCTTCAAAAGCAACAACCAGTGCTATTTCAGAGCAAATGTAATTTACATTATCTGATTGTCAACAATACAATATCTCTACATATCATGCTCATGGAGATAGCTACAATAAAGACTTTGTATGAATAGCTCTGGTAAGGGATTTAGGGCAATGTTATTTACACAGCTTTAGCTTTTTCTGCAGAAACCACGCAGAGTACTGATACTCTGTGAAGAATGTATTGATGACATATGCCTACTGGGTACGTGTCCTTCACCATTTTACAAGTCTACTCAGATGCCAAACAAAAATCCTTAGCACTACTGTTCTTTGGATTGAAACTAGATTCACTTCACTGTATTAAGGCAAAATAAATATGCCTTAGCATGTCAAAATATTATACATCCATGTGGTTTAAGCCATGGGTGGTACACCTAGGTACCTAATGCTGTCAGATACTGCAGCATAGTTCTATATTTCTATTTCCCATGACACTATAAATGTTCATGTCTTTCCCATCAGTCTTTCACATTGACATTTCCTGTGTTTTTATACTTGGGGAAAGTTAATGTCTTTCTTGTTCTGTTCAAAAAAGAACCTTCTCAGGAGTTACCAAACTCATTGGATTATACTTTTTTGATGTTCAAATCTAGGCATCTTTGAAGCATGCAGTGAGAATTTTGAGGAATAAAGGCCATTTTTCCCAAACCAGCACTTGCTCCTCAAAGGAAAAACGATTATGTTCATAATTAAGCTTCAATGAAATCAGGCAGAGACAAAAACTGAATGCAAGAATGAGTGCTTAGGGCAAATGCTGACCGTCAGCAGGCACTTTTCTCCTCTCTTTGAGAATTCTCCATTCCTGAGGTCTGATCAAGCCATATTTCTGCTATTTTTAAACAGTCCTGGGCCCTTTGAGGGCACTCTGGTTTCAATCCTCCCAGAGATAAGAAACGTTCAGCTGTGACAGGAGGCTATTTCAGGGTAGAGCATGTACTGTTATAGCACAGGACCAGGAGGGTCGTGAGGTTTGCTGAGCTGTAGCCAAGAGTATTCAAAGCAAAGGCCTTTGAAAGGGAGGTTTCCCTTTGCAGAGAGATATGATGATTTCACCTAGCTCCCCGTCCTCAGGCATAGAAAGGATTTCACATCTTGTTAGAACTTTTATGCTCTGCATGCTAATTGGAAAATGTAAGCCTAATAATGTTGTTTCTCTCCCATCTATTTATTATTTGTACTTGGATGAATTCTCACCTCACAAGGCATGCTCATGATGTTGGTATAAAATTCTTTATTTTGGCAATGTTTTTATTTTTTCCTGCATACTGATTTTTAAAAATCCTGGGGCCAGATTCCATTATTTCATATTTCTCCTCCGACTTCACAAGGCAGATAATTATTACAGGCAACCAGCCACCTTCTGTCTTTTCACTTTTTACTGGTAAGAGATGACTCCTAAAATACAAGATCCAAGTGAACCTGAAGAGTGATATATATGTGAACTGGTATAATTAATTAAAATAGAATGCAGTTTCAATAACATGACATCATGACTTGGTATTTGGAAAGTAAACATAGGCTGGAATTTAATGACAAGATATAGACTAGGTGGAGGAAAACATAGGTTGAGGGCTTACATAGTAAGATTTTGCAATCTTCTTTAGTGATAGGAGGCAAGATCTCAAAACGTATGTAAGCTCAGCATAACTTAGGGAATTCAGTGCAATGCTGATCATGCAATGTTGTAAATGGTCCTTAGGTCAGAGATGGCTCTCATCTCACTGTCTGTTTTGTGTCATCCCTTTGGATTCACTCTTCCATGCAGCTCATGATCTTCAGAGCCCTAGGCTGTGCTGTGGAATGTCACATGTATTATAACAAATGACCTTCTATGCATGGAGGCAGATGCAAAGTGTGCATCCGAGCATTCAGGGCCTTGTTTTGCCTATCTTGTTTCATATCATATGTGGGAAAATGATCTGCTTTAGGTTTTGTTGTATGGGATTAGTTAACTTTTTCACTGTGTCTTTGCTTGAATTGCATAGCTCACTAGCATGGAAAACATGCTATGCCATATGCTAAATTCTATCCCATCATTTACTAAGATAAAATAAAGACCAGAGAACTCAAATGCCTCCAGAAAGGACCAGAGGAGGGGGGAAGATTTCTCCAGAAGACAAATGCGTGAAGAAGGAGGATAGTTGGAGCAGCAATTTTCAAATTACTTTGTATAAGATTTACCAGGAACTGGCCAGGCGTGGTGGTTCACGTCTGTAATCCCAGCACTTTGGGAGGCTGAGGCGGGCAGATCATGAGGTCAGGAGTTCGAGACCATCCTGGCTAACACAGTGAAACCCTGTCACTACTAAAAATACAGAAACAAAATTAGCCGGGTGTAGTGGGGAGCCTGTAGTCCCAGCTACTCAGGAGGCTGAGGTGGGAGAATGGCGTGAACCTGGGAGGCGGAGCTTGCAGTGAGCGGAGATCGTGCCGCTGCACTCCAGCCTGGGTAACAGAGCGAGACTCCATCTCAAAAAAAAAAAAAAAAAAAGATTTACCAGGAACTTGCTAAAGCACACACTCGCATGCACATGTACACACACATGCACAGTATCCTAGACCCCAGTCATGGAGAATCTGATTCTCTAAGTCTTAAGCAAGGCTCTCTGTACTTTTAACAAGCTCCCAGGTACTTGGAGGCAGTAGTCCATTGACTATCCTTTCAGAAATAACTGACTTGGTGGGTGCTAATTGGTAGAGGAAAGAACACACACTTGGGAAGCCAGATGGCATAGGTTTGGCTGAAGCATTGACCACTGGTCAAATTCTTTAACTTCCTTAGGCTTTATTTTGCTTATCTGTAAAACCATTATAATGGTATGCCCCCTGAAATGTGGATCGGTGTCAGTCAAATGCCTAGAACACTGCTGGATAGATGATAAGAACTCAATATATCACAATTATTATGACTATCACTACTGCTATTTTAAAAAGTCATGTCAAGGAAGTACTAAAGTGACTTAAATACTAGACAATGGGGTTCTAGGGCCAAGTCAACAAATGAGCTTTAGTAACTGGTAGATAGACTACTATCAACTAATCATGTTGGTCAGTCCAATCTTCTGTACTTGCAGCTTCCTTGATTTTAATCTCTGTGACATTGTGCTCTTTTCTTATTTAAAAGTACATGTCATGGGAACCTGTTTTATTACCATAAATTATATTTCCTTGTGGATATACCAGTAAAACCGCAGAGTGAAACATTCTTACTTTTCTTGATTTTCCTATACCTACATAAGGTGATATCACTACAGGTGCTGTACTGTTCCAAAGAGGTAACAGTTGAAAATAGTGGCAACCATAAAGGAAAAATGCCAGAAAGATATGTTCCAAAACCCTGCTACTCTACAGTGATGGGAATGCATGGCATACACACAGTTCTGTCTTCCAAAGCAGGATTCAGTGCTCCAATGTACTGGTTGCAAAAAGAATATAATATGTTGGATGGTTAGTCATGGTGGCAGTGGAGACAGGGCTGGCATCATTAGAAAGGTCCCACATTTGTTTTAATACTTTCCTGTCACCATCTTGAAATTTTTAATAATTTTTGAACATGAGGCCCCACATTTTCATTTTGCAGTGGGCCCTACAGGTTTTTTAGCTGGCCCTGAGTGTAAATGAGGATGGGTACTAGGGAGACATTGTGGGTTATAGTTAATGAACGCATCAGAGGATTTTTTTTCTTTCTTTTTTTTTTTTTTGAGACAAAGCCTCGCTTTATTGCCCAGGCTGGAGTGCAGTGGTGTGATTTCCACTCACTGCAGTCTCTGCCTCCCAGGTTCAAGTGATTCTTCTGCCTCAGCCTCCCAAGTAGCTGAGATTACAGGCACCTGCCACCATGCCTGACTATTTTTTGTATTTTTAGTAGAGATGGGGTTTCATCATGTTGGCTAGGCTGGTCTTGAACTCCTGACCTCAGGTAATCCACCTGCCTTGGCCTCCCAAAGTGCTGGATTACAGGCGTGAGCCACTGCACCCGGCCCGTCAGAGGATTTTAAACATAGATACACTCTAATTTATATTCTGAAGAGGTATTTTTATTTACTTATTTTTCCTGCTGGGTGAAAATAAATCATGGGCGAATGGAATGAAAGGAGGTCATTTTTCTATTCAGATGAGAGTTGACAGTGGCTTGGGGTAGATTGTCAAAATGGAGTCTTCCAAGCATCCAAAAGAACAGAGTTGAGATATATTTTTGGAGGCAGAACCAACAAGTCTAAAAGTTTAACAAAAAAAAAATTATTGATGTCATAAACTTCTCTCCTCTACAAGGTGGCTTCTTGTCAAGCCAGAGGAAGGCTCAAAGAACCATGCTGGTGGAAGCAGTAAGTTGAACACAAGATTCTTGGCACTGACCCTAGCAACTTTTGGCCTGGAGTCTAATGACCAGGCCCAGTGAGAGCTCTGCTGAGCAGGTTTCAGGCTGACCAAGGTCATCCAGCAGCGAACCCTGTAGATGGGGTCAGAGGAAGAGTCTAACTTGCAGCTGTGGCCTAGAGTCGCCAATGACAGCAATTATTGATGGCTGTCCTTTGTCCTGACTTGGGGGCAGTCAGATGACAATGAATATAAGGATGAAGACGTTAACATGGGACTAGGTACATGAGTATAGGCTTGTTAAGAGAAAACAGTGGAAGAAAAATGCCCAAACACCAGTTAAATGGCTCTTTTTAGAGCTCCAATATTGTCTAGATTAGAAAGGGCTGCATTTTAATATTTATAATGGTTTCTTGTTTATTACATCTTATTTGGCCTTTGGAAAATATTTCAAGGATGAATTTCATGGTTGTTACTGATGATTAAGTTCCACAATTAATTTTAAACTTAACATGACCTACTGCTATTTCTTTAATCTATCCAGTGAGACTCCTTGGAATTTACATTAGCCAATTAATCAACATGACTATGGGGAAGATACCAGGGTGGCATGCTCTCACAGCCACAAAGTCAACGCAGTTCATTCAAATATAGAAACCTCAGAGATCTAAGCCTATTTTATCCCCACCTACATTGACTTTAATCATGTTTATAAAGTGCAGTGGGGTACCATTCTTTTTCTTTAATTTCTTGAGATTATTTTGGCTACTGAGCTGAGGATGTCACATGGCCTTGAGATAATGAGCTTTTTCTGTAGTGGCCCCATGATGGGCTTTTGTAACTGTTCCATTAAAATGGAAAAAGAAAGCTAGGTTGGCCATTCTTAAATGAAAAATAGTTCTCCAAATCTGTGCTGACACTTTAGGTTAACAAGTTCACAATCCTATGTTGAAGTGAAAATGGAACCCTAAAAATGCTCACTGCCCACTCATCCATTTTCCTTTAAGAACACCTGAAATACAACTTTAAGGTTTTCAAATCACTTCTGCCTTGTTTTGTTTTGTTGTGTTTTTGCTAAGGCAGTAACACCATTTGATGAAATGAATGTTAAGGGGAAGGAGGGGCATAGATTCTTCCAAAAACAAGATAACAAAATCAAAGGCACTCTTTTATTCCAGTTAAACCTTTATATCTGTTTTCATGTGTAAAGCAAAACTGGGCCTCAGAAATGCATTGGCCAGCAGGCAAGTATATTTGTTTGTTTTAATTTGTGTATTCAATTGGTCTTAGAATCCACTTTAAAAATACATAAATATTTTCCTTGGAAATGCAGATACTTCCTGCATTTATGAAGGAAAAAAATAAATGAAAGCCCTGTTTGTTTTACATGACCAGATGTGGACTGTATACCATGTGGGATGGAGATAAAAAAGAACCGGACTGGCTTGGAGCTCTATGCTATCCCCAGCTATGACCCTGGGTGAGTCATATCCACCCTCCTCCTAGCCTCAGTGTCATCTCTAAAATATCAACCAAATAATAATGTGAATGCTAAAGATTCTTCTAGTTCCGTAACGTATTACTACCAGGAGCCACTTCCTTTTCTTTCATTTCTTACATTTTCAATAACTTAATGAGTTTTTTTGCACTAATGTGAAACTTGGTTCAGTACTTTTCCTACATCATCTCATTTTCTCTTCTATTAAAAAAAGATTTTTCTTTTACCCTTTGGTAAGCCTCCAAAATAAAGCAGAGTATCTGTACAGTGGGAATTAATTGGAGGTTTATTGATCCTTTTGTCTTTTGGTTGTTTGTAAGCATGTGAACTTGTATTTAAGTGTTTACAGGCATAGATTATTCCAACAATCATTGTAGAGTCAAGAAAACATATAATGACAAAATGAGTTGGTTGTTGATATATTTAAAAATAATATTTGACATTTCTCTTGGAAAAAATAGAGATGAAGAAATGTGGAAATAGCCTACAGCCTATATATATGTTATATAAACTTCAATCTCATCTAATTCATTCATCCATCCATCTATCTTTTTCCCTAGCAGAAGACATTGATGTATGTAGTATAATGGCAACATCTGCTGATCTTGAGAATGATATGAATTTCAGTACTATAACTCTTAGAGTTGCCCTGTAATTTCACTTTTTGACTAAGTTATGCTACTCTCATCTGTCAAGCCAGCACACATATTCCAAGCATTAAGACACAATTATGAAAGGCCCAATGAGCTACATACTTTACAGTTGTTAATATTCAGCTGTAGGATATCTCTATGTTGTTAGTACAGGGTGCTGATTTCATTGGTCAGATTGTAAAATAATATTACAGATGTTAAAATTGAAGTTCGGTGGGATCCCATAGACAAAAATAGACATTACATTGTAGATTTTGGTATCTTAATACTCTCTTAATAATTGAGAAAACCTAAGGTTGTGGGCACAAATCTTGACATAAAAGTGTCACATCTCTAGAGTAGCACTGTCTCATAGAAATACAATGTCAGTCAATAGGCAATTTTAAACTCTCTAGTAGCCACATTTTAAAAAGTAAAAAGAAATAGGTAAAATTAATTTTAATAGTACATTTCATTTAAGCATGTATATCCATAACCGTATCGTATCAACATAAAATCAATATAAAAATGATTAATGTGATATTTTAATTTTTTAATACTAAGTCTTTGAAATTTGGTGCATATTTTACAGTTAAAATACATCTCATAGGACAGAGAGAAGATCATTGGTGGGGCCACAAGCTGAGTGCAGGGGGAAAAAAAGCACATCTCAATTTGAATACTCTATTTGCATTGGAAATTCTCCAAATTTACACTTGAAAAACTAGATTCACATATCAGTTTCAGATAGTGTCCAGATTAAACAAATTCACTTCTCTTACGTCACTTCAGAATTATTAACATCAAATCAAAATAGGTATAAGATAAATTGAAAAGCAACTCTCAATTTTTCTAATAACAAAGTATTCCTCAATTTTTTCTTGTAGTTTTGGAAGCGACTTTGTATAAGGCTAGCACTTATAATAATTATCTTCTTCATTTTGACTAATGTTAGAAAATACATGAAATCATTATTGATTTGTATTATGAGAAGTTTACATTTTAACATAAATTCTCATAGTTGTCTAGCTGGGTCACAAATAAGCTTCAAATTTAGCTTGTTCAAATCTAGTGTGATATTGGTGGAAACAAAATCATCCTGACATTTTTTGGTTTTGATTATTGAATATGTGGCAAGCATTCATTTTGTTTCAAGAGAATCTAGGGTTGGAGTTAAATCTTTATAAAACTCTTCCATCACTCAACCAGTGATATTGACAAAATACATAAGATCATTACAATCATTGCCTTCTATTCTCATCAGCAAATCTATAATGCGGCAATAATTTCGAGCATTTGCACATATACTGAATGATTTTTAACAATTGTACCATGACACTTTTCATAGAGTATTCTTTAAGAAAATGGAGCACAAATATTTTCAATATAAATCTTATAGTAGAACCAAACAATAAAGGGATCACCCATCTCTTGCTTTAAAGTTGCATTAACTTTGAATGTTTGACCTAACATACCTGGAATGCCATCCATCATGATAGAAACTTTCATATCTAGCTAAAATGCTTCTTTGGCAGACATGAAAAGTTGAAAAATATATATCCAAGTTTGACTTTTTTGTTTGATTTAGCATTTCTTAGTCAATTTGGAAATCCTTTAAGATCAAATATACCCAGAGTAATAATTGGGCAGTGTACCTGCTAAAAAAGAAAGCTACAAGAAAGTAGTTGCAATTTTTTCATATTTTGAATAATTTGATCTTTGACATCATTAGAAAAGTCTTGCATTCTATGGGCAATTGTTTGCTGATGATCTTTAATTTTTTATATATTTTTTGTCTTTTTCTGTGGTTTTCTAGTTCGATTTCCATAATGGGGTTTAATTTCTTTACCATGTCTCTATCTAAAAAATAGCTTTCTTTCTTTTTCTTTAATGAATCCAAGTTCTTCATAGCTGGCCAAAATTATAAGCCATATCCTATTCAAAAAACATTTAAAATTTGTTGGATATTTTATTTGGATTTTAACTAATTTCATTGATCATTTTTTGACTTTTGAAAAGAAACTTATCAATATCATTGAACAATATTTTGTAATGGATTTTATAGCAGAATGAACATATAAGTAATAGACTCAATCATTCTTAATCACAGAGTGGCTGCTGAGAGCTTAGTGTGAGTAGAGTTTAGTAGCTAAATTCAGGCTTCATGATAAATGTTACCGGTTTAATCCAGCCATTTCTGTCTGGGGCATGGAGTAGGAGTGGTAGCCAATATACCACTTATCTGTTTTAGAAAAATCACCTGTCTGAGGTTGAGAAGTCAGACTGCTTACTGTGTGGAACCTTGGGTAGATAACTTACATTTCCTGTGTCTACAACTATGAACTATAACTGTTAAACAAGGAACTAAAACAGCCCCATGACCTAGCTATTACAATCACTGTCTTTCTCACAGTCTATTTGCTGCAAATTCTTCTATCCACTAAACGCCTTTTTCTGCTTTTTCAAAAATTCTGCTGCTTCTGTTTGCCGTGGCACCAGTTCTAATCTGTATCATCTTTGTGGCACCCTTTCAGTTCTTTCTACCCATTCTAACTGGCTCCAGCTCTCTGTGTTTCCCAGGTGAAATTCCTACGAGCGATGATGTGACTGGCCGGTTCAGTTTTTTCACATTTAGCACATCACTGGCCAGCCTACTGGGTCAGATATTAAACATCCCTGAGCCACTCAGCCACGGAAGCAAGGTCTCAGGATAGAAAACAAGGCCATGTGGGCTGTAATGGTTCTACATAGGGTGGTTCCCCTTAGAAAGAGGTGTGGGCAGGCAGGAAGGAAATAATTGACATCTGAAATACCAAGGATTGGCACAGAAAATCACTCTAGCTTCTATTCTCACATACTTTCAACCAAATCATTTGAAAGACTTAGAAGAAGCAGAGAGATTTGTGAAGGAGAATTATTTATCCCAATATAAGAAACGAAGAAAATAAGGACTTCAATATTATCAGTGTCCCCAAAGTAATTATGTCCAAATTTGATCTCCTCTTTCTGTCGTTTTCCATCCACACCACCCCTGAATGCACGTCCCTTCACCTTGTCTCTTCCCTTACAAACTCCTCTGGCAACCAGCTTCTGGCTGGCCTCCCTGCATCCAACTCTTCCCGTTTTGATTTGGTCGATGCACAGAGAGAGTATGTTCTTTTACTTAAATGTGATGCTTGAGCCCATCTTTCCATTTCCCAGAACTGAGTTATGACTTGTAATTAATTCCATGTGATAAATACATATTGAACATATACTGTGCTAGGTGCTTTGGAGAATAAAAATGTGAACAAGATATCTATCCTGGCCTCCAGGAATGTAGTCTAGAAGAAATTTTACGACTTGTAACCAATGATGTGTAATACAAAGAAGAACACAGTGTCCTAAGAGAGGTGTAGATTTTTTAAAAATTATGAGCATTCAATAGAAGGATAAAAGCAACGTTATTCCACTAAATAGTTAACACCTGGCTCTCAATTGTGGCATGGGAAGAAGCCCTGATTTGTAGTGATTGCTGGTTTCCATAATGTAACTATTTTCATCATGGCTAACTTTAAACTACCCAACTGAAATCACTGAACAAAGAGTTGCGAAGAGACGTGTAGTAGCCCACCATTAAATAGTATCTCTACCATACAGATAGGATACACCTAAATAATCTCAAAAACATAGCAGTAAAATGTATCAACAGTAAAATAATTAGGAAGTGTATTATTTTTGTTTTTAATATAATTCATTGAATTTTAATTTTATATAATTTGATTTTAAACGGTGCTGTGTTGAACAACTGGCTTAGAAAATTCCTGAAAATTTAACAATTGCTGTTCTTGAGCTGGTACAAGCCCGCTTCAGCACACTGCTGGACAAAGGGCTATGAAAATTTGGATTCTAAATTGAGGGCAGAATAGAGCAGCAGGAGGCCCTTGAGTTTTGGAGTTGAGCCTGAAGCCTATGTAGGATTTTGCTTCTGGGTATTGGGGTGGGGTGGGGAGGCGTGTTCCTGAGAGAAAATCAGGAAAGAAATCTGAGGACAAAAAGCATGGGGCAGGAATGGAAAAAGTGAATAAATTGTTTCTTTAAATGCAAATTGATCTCTGGCTACAGACCTAACTCAGCACTAATTCTCATTTCCAACCCCACACATTTCCAACCAGTGACAATGATATGACAATAATAATGACAGCTAATATTTGTTGAATGATTGATCAGTGCCAGGTACTGTTCTAAGGAGGTGCTTGTTATCCCTCACACAAACCTTCCCGGTTGGTTCCTTATTTACTGTGTTGCTCAGCAGCCTCAGCCTTCTCTGGGTGAGGCCACTGTATTCTCAGCTCACCACAAAGCCTACCGCTCACCATTGTTTTTCCCACACGACAGCGCAAATTGCCATTTGTTATTGAGCTTGCAAAAGCACTTTACGCAGTGAGGAAATATTTCTCTGTATCCATGACTCAGAAGAGTGAAAAAAAAGTACAGATGACCATATCTTTCAAGAAAGATGGAAAGAGTGTATTTCTTTGTAGAAGTAAAGAATACATCTATGTATTTAATGTGGAAATATCTGGCTTGTTACATTAATTTATATTCTGTTGATCCCTGTGGGCATTTGAGTTTGGGGTCCTATTTCTGTAGACAAGACAAATAGAAAGATAAAAGACAGTAAGTTTTGCAGTCAAGGACTTGCTGTACTCAGGAAGCCTGCAGATTCAATATGTATCTGATAATTTTTTTAAGTTGGTGTAGAACTTGATAAGTACCAAAACAGTTGTGAGAAAGGCTTTCTGGACAGAAGTTCTGAGCAGTTAGGATTAAGGGAAGAGAAAGAGACTTGGTTTTGTTTCTTTCTACCGGTTTCCCATATACCCTGTCTCTTTGGAAGCATTCCTATTTCTCACAATTTCAGGTTAAGAAATTATAGGAGCATCTCACTGTATTGTCCTCAGATTCCAAGCATTACAGGAAATAAAAAAAAAACAAAATACAAAATAAGATGAATGATGTTTCAAATTCTGCAAGACCAATAATTCTGTTTTTATTTGAAGATCCATTTATTTTGGTAAAATTCACCTGCTCTCCACTTGGAAGAAAAGTTCTGCTTAGGGAGAAGCAATTTCTGTGGCTCCTGTTTGAAATTTGTTTGTAAGGATAGATGAAATATACAACTGGAAAGGAAACGAGAGCACACTTAAGGGTTACTTGCACACTTGAGTGTTACTTAGCTCTTATTCAGGTTACATATCGGGCTTCTCACAGGAGCCAATGTTAATTGAGAAACTCTATAGCTAGAGACACTCTGGGGGAAAGAACATAACTCCTTAATTACAATGACAAAATATGTGTGTGCACCCACGCGTGGTGGTGGGGAATTAACCAAATGATGGTTGAATTTCTTGCACTTTGTAGTCTAGCTGGATTCTGCAAAACACCCCAAAGACGAATATTCTTTCCCTTCTCTATTAAGGCATGCTGATTACATACATCAACATTATTTTCTTGTTAAAGATAAGCCCTGTTGTTTGCTGGGGGTAACATGAGGAATATGGCTTTAGAATAACCACCCCCCACCCACCACCCCTGCCAATAAACAAGTTTAATGAACTTAATTTTCCCTAATTTATAGGCAGCCTGTTTAAATTATTGTTACTTGGCCAGGATCATTTCATAGGGACTTAATTGTGCTTGTAAATTGTGTTTCTTTCAAATTCATCTCTTTATTCACTTTATTTCCCTCCCCCATGTCTCATTTTGCATATGCTTCAAAATATATCAATAATTTATGCCACAAAGCCTTGTTTTCTCCTTTGTAACTGCGCACATGTTCTGCATTGTGTAATGATGTCAAAGGAAATGTGTACATTGAGTAAAGGTCTTGAATTTTTCATGAAGGTTGGTTGGGGCCAAATGGCATTTTGCAGATCTTTGGGAGAATAACAAATCCATTTTTAAAAAAGAGTTTCAGAACTGAATAAAAACAATGATAATATCAGCACTAACAAAGTTGAGATTTGTTGAGCATTTTTTTCATCATAAGCAAATCTAAGTGTTTACAAACTCTATCTCATCCTCACAATCACTTTGCAAAGAAGGTATTGTTATCTCCATTTTACAGGTCAGGAGACTAAGGCTCATCACTAAGACATCACTTCCTCAATGTCACATAGATAGGAGGTGACAGAAAGAGATTTGAACTTGGGCCTTTTGACCTGAAAGCCCAGGTGGTTGTCTCATAAAATCACTTGCATATAGCTTTCTCATATCTGGGCCACTTCAAATCTGACAAATCAGTTTTTCCTTTGCTCTAGGTCTACTATGAGAACCCCCAATTCTTCTTTTTTTTAAAATTAAAAAATATTATCATTGTGTCATCCTCCTGTATTCTGGATGACTCTTAACTGACAACCAAATTAAGTGAATAAAACCTGAGGATCTGACGGAATCTGCAGTAGAGAAGGAAAGGAAGGAGACATCATTTACACTGATGTTCGTCAGGGCACAGTGTGAGATCTTCCTGAGCTGATACCGAGTTGATACTGAATATTCATTCATTCAGTATTTATTGAACTCTGTTTGCTAGAAGAGGAGTCAGCAGACTGTGGACCAAATATGCCTACTTTCTATTTTTGTAAATAAAGTTTTATTGGAACATGGCCATGCCCACTCATTACATATGTCTATGGCAGCTTTTGTCCTACAATAGTAAAATTGAGTAGTTGCAACAGATACTACATAGCCTGCAAAGATGAAAATAGTTACTATCTGGCCCTTTATCAGAAACATTTGTTGACTCTGTGCTAGATCATGATCAAAACAGACACAACCTCTACCCTTAAGAAGTTATAATCTCATGAGAGAGACAGACATTAATTCAATATTCAACATATTGTTAAAAGCTATAATACATGCTCATTACTTGCCACTGGTTTTTGAAATTTAATCATCTGGGCCTTATTCTTTTACATTAAAAAGTTCTTGCCTGGGATAACAAAAACTTCATTCATTTATTTATACTCCTTCATTCATTCAATTCAGCAAGTAAACACTGAGTATCTACCATATGTTGGACATTATTATATTAGGATCTGAGAATATACAAGTGCACAAAAGTTGATAGTCTCTCATTTGTTGACCCTTCGGCCTTATTTTCCAACTGCTTTAGAACCGAAGAAATGAAGAAGTCTATGTATTGGGCCTCCTCAGCCTCCCAATAGAGTTTATTGTAAAGTCTGCCTCTTTTTTACTCTTGTAGTCTCTGAAATGGTCTAGTGTTCTTATAGTGTATTCCTTTTTTAAAATGGAAACGAGTTTGAGCGGGTTTCTGTCACCCAGAACTCCCCCAAACTTGGAATTTTGAGATGAAATCAGCTAAGTGAGCATCGGCTTTCCAGACTTCAAGATGAAAGGAAGCGATGACAAAGGGGTTGGGAAAGAGAAAGAGAACAAAGATTGGTGAACTATGCTGTCCATTTTAGCATGGCTCATGAGCTAAGAATGATTTTACTTTTTTTAATGGATGGAAAAAAACAAAAGAATAAGAGTAATTAGTGACATGTGAAAATTATATGAAATTCAAATTCCAGTGTCCATAAATAAGATGTTATTAGAACATAGCTGCACCCATCATTTATGTATTGTTTATGGTCACTTTCATGCTACAATGACAGAGCTAAATAGTTGTGACAGAAACCATATGTCCTGAAAAGCCAAAAAGATTTACTATCTGGCCAACTACATCTGTACTGGTTCTTTTTTTTTTTTTTTTTTTTTTTTGAGATGGAGTTTTGCTCTTTCTCTGTAATTGTGGTTCACTGCAACCTCCACCCACCCAGGTTCAAGCTAATTCTCCTGCCTCAGTCTCCTGAGTAGCGGGGATTATAGGCGCCTGCCACCACGCCTGTCTAATTTTTGTATTTTTAGTAGAGACGCGGTTTTGGCTTGTTGGCTAGGCTGGTCTTGAACTCCTGACCTAAGGTGATCCACCCACCTTGGCCTCCCAAAGTGCTAGGATCACAGGCGTGAGCCATGGCACCTGGCCAACATCTGTACCAGTTCTGATCTTGGCTTCCTCATCTTCCTTACCTATGTGTTCTTTTTGATCTCATCTTTGAGGACCTTAATGAACGCTACTCCCCCAGTGGATTCTGGCTGTAGCTGTGTCTCAATTCCTCACTTCCAGTTGTCTGTTGTTCATGTATACTTGACTGTCCCATTGGCTCCTCAAACCCGACAGATCCCCAGTAGAACACATCAACTTCTTTCACTCCTGCGTACATACTTCTCATCTTGGCTACACCCTTGGGGATAAATATGGATAATAGAAACAGCTGAAACCACAAGTACATGTCACACTCAGGTGGGGAAAGCGCTGCAGGGGTTAGGTGGAGGCCACATTGTTAGAAGCATCCAGGTGAATTCTGTTTCCCTGTCCTTAGTCTTGCCAAGTTTATAATAATGAGGACGTGTATTTCCTATCCTTCCTAACTCTAACCTCTTTCTCCTGAACTTTGACTTGGTTCTCTGATTCTCAGACTGAAGTTTCTGAACTTGATTTTGTATTTTCTCATTCTGTCATTCTTGACCTTGACCTTTGTACATGTCCATAGCCTAAGTCCACCACATAGTGAATATTTATTAAAAAGTTATTGAATATTCAGTGCTTCATATATATTTAGTATAGTCCTTAAAGCAATCTTGTGACGAATGCAGGATTATTGTAAGTATTATTATAATCCATTTTCCAGGTGAGAAGTCTAAGTTTGGAGTTAGGATTCCAACCTGGTTTGTTTGGCTCCAAAGTACTACCCCAGCTTCTTCTTTCTTAAAATGCAAAATGATTTCTGTTCCCTTCTTTCCTAATTGTTTACTTTGAGGGTCCTGCTCTTGTAACTTACTTTAACACCTATACGAAGAGTCAGCAAACTTTTTCTGTAAAGGGCCAGATAGTAAATCTTTTTGGCTTTTTAGGACATGTGGTTTCTGTCACAACTATTTAGCTCTGTCATTGTAGCATGAAAGTGACCATAAACAATACATAAATGATGGGTGCAGCTATGTTCTAATAATATCTTATTTGTGGACACTGGAATTTGAAGTTCATATAATTTTCACATGTCACTAATTACTCTTATTCTTTGGTTTTTTTCCCCACCCATTAAAAAAAGTAAAATCATTCTTAGCTCATAAGCCATGCTAAAATGGGCAACATAGTTTATCAATCTTTGTTCTCTCTCTCTCTCTTTTTTTTTTTTTTTTTGTGTGTGTGACAGGGTCTTGCTCTGTCACCACCAGGCCACAGTGCAGTGGTGCAACCATAGCTCACTGCAACCTCGAACTCCTGGGCTCAAGGGATCCTCCTGCCACAGCCTCCCAAGTAGCTGGGACTATAGGTGCACACTATTGCCCCCAGCTAATTTAAAAAAATTTTTTGTAGAAACAGGGTCTTGCCAAAGGGGTAGCCCAGGCTAGTCTTGAACTCCTGGCCTCAAACGATCCTCCCACACCTCAGCCTCCCAAAGTGTTGGAATTATAGGTGTGAGCCAGCGCACCCAGCCACCAACCCTTGTTCTATACCACACTACTTAACTTTGGGTTTATAATTATTCTGAAAGACTCAACCATTTGCTGCCATTTAGGGCAAGCTTACTATACGTCAATGTTCTAAGCATTATTACATATATGTTACCTATTATTACATACATAGGAGAAAGGTACTGGTATCATCTCCATCTTACAGATGAAGAAAATGAGCCACAGAGAGATGAATTCCTTGTCCCAAGGTTGTACTAAACTAGGAAATGGTAGAGTTCAGATTAGAACCCAGGGGATCTCACTCCAGGTCTGGCATCTTAAGTACAAAGTTACACTGCCTCTCTGGTTCCTATGAGATA
The DNA here is from genome assembly GCF_000001405.40 of Homo sapiens. NCBI lineage: Eukaryota > Metazoa > Chordata > Mammalia > Primates > Hominidae > Homo > Homo sapiens. The sequence continues at coordinate 73,680,019 of NC_000003.12, forward strand.
ACGTACGTTAAAGAATTTTGAAAACTATGAGGGGTTATATAAATATAAGTGAATAACTATCATAATTATTCATGTTACATCTTTATCTGGGTTTCGAAAGTGATCGGATTGCAATCAAATTAATGTTAATCAAAATAAAAACACTCAGGCATGCTGTGGGTTGGTATTTATTTTTCTGTCCATCTTAGCATTAAACGTTTTTGAGCATTGGATTTCTATCTCAAATAAGCAATGGAGGAGACTTATGCTTTTAATGTAGTTTGCTATTTGCTCCCATCTTCCCTGAATTTGGCATTATGCCCCAGTCCTGATTAAAACCAAAATGAAGCTGCAGATAGGAAAGAAGTTGCATATCAATAAGGCTTGTGATTAAGTTTTTGTCAATTTTTTTTTCACTCTTTCATTTCTTTCAGGTTCTTAAATTAGATAGCAGGAGAGACATGACTTAATTACTGAGACTACTTTGGAGCCAAACGGAAAATTATACTACCACTTACTCAGATGCCAGGGTAATTAGAGCCCAATTATTTCTCTCATTTGGCACTAATGAATGAAGATCAATTAAAAAAATAATGTAACTGTGAATTGCTTTTATTGAGCAGAGAAACTGTAAGCAGCTGAAATCGTCTACTCTTTCACTAATTGAAAATACGAAGTGAAGGCAACCCAGAATGTGATTGTCTCCATGTAATTTTAGAGCAGTTCGATTTTCAAAAATCACACAGATGGCCGAAGCTTTGTATTATAATTATTTCCTGGCTACAGCACACTGCTCTCTCTTCTATAAGGGGAGTCAAAACATGGCTCAAGAAATTCCTATTTCCCTAGCGATAACATCAGTTTTTCTGGCAGGACTTTATTGTTGCTTCTGGGCTGGTCGTGCTTGGACTAAGATGGAATGTCTGATTTGCTTGGCTATTTCACTTTTCTCCTGATTGGTATATCCATTTCATCAAATGTATCCTGAAAACAACATTTATTTCACTGTAAAAATCTGATTGAAAGAGGTGTCTTCTTGATTAAAAATTTAGATTGAGATTATGTGGACATGGACCTACTTGCTCAAGGATACCTCGGAGTTCAGAGTTCACCTTTTAAATATCTGGTTAAATAGCAACCACTTAAAAAATGAGCCTACACTATTTTATTTTGTTTTATTTTGTTTTATTTTATCTAGCATATATTTTTTGAGGGAGGTGGTGTAAAAATTGTAATTCTTTACATTTGTTTGTACTCTGAATAAACATTCCCATGTAGTAAGTAGAGGGTAGGCTGGGAGCCTCCATTCTAGGGATAAAGTGAGCCATTTGTAACAATGGAATTCTGCTTATAGAAATGCAGCTAGTCAACCCTCTCACCCCACCCCAACACAGACACTCTCACGCCCTCTCTAATAAACTTTGCAATTCATGAATCATGTTTACCTCTATTATTTCAATACATCCTCAAATGACTTCAGGGAATAAGTTAGGTTTTATCTTCTATTTACAAATGAAAAAAATGAGGCTCCAGAACTTAAAGGGCACCAAAGCACCTTAGCCAGAGCTATTGAGTCTCACTTTGTGGTCTTTGTAAATGGTGCTACCCAGAGTTGAGCAGTGTGCAACCTGCACACTGAGACAGTACCCCCGTTTTGACAACTTCAGCTTAAAAGAAAATAAGAAAGGAAAAGCAAGAGAAAACTCTGAAATGCATGAGTCATAATAAAGACAAATCTTAAGAGATTTGTTCTCTTAGCATTTCCCCAAATAAAAAAGAAGTGGGTGTGACCAAGGTCTGAATCAGCTTTGGTCATTGGGGCTTAGCTAAGTGGCCAAGCAAGTGAGAACTCAGAAGAACACATTCTTCTGGCCTGGTGCACACGCCCCCGTATGTGGATTGTGCCATTACACTAATGCAGGAGGCCTGGGGATGGGGATTCTGAACTCAACGACTAGGTCAAGCTTGTCCAACCCACGGTCCAAGACGGCTTTAATACAACCCAACACAACTTTGTAAACTTTCTTAAGACATTATGAGATTTTTTTTTCTGATTTATTTACTTTTTAGCTCATCATTACTGTTCATGTATTTTATGTTTGGCTCAAGATAATTCTTCTTCCAGTGTAGCTCAGGGAGGCCAAAAGATTGGACATCCCTGCACCAGGTTTTGGCTTTTGCCTCTATGGTCCCACCAGCTGCAATGGACTTCTCAATTAAGCTCTTTTCATCATTGTCAGGGCCTATTGCAAAGTGAGAAACATGTGGAAGTAGGGCTTTTTAGCCTAGGACTTCCAGCAGCCAGGTGCCTCCAGTTATTACTGAAATTATTACTGCCAAATGAGGTCATCTATATAATCCTAGAGGTGCAGTGGTGGGATTAGAAGAAGGTCACATTTTTCTTGTGTCATAACTGCATCTCCCTACCTACAGTTTACCTTCTTTTGGTATGTCTTCATTAAAAACCCAGTGAAACATATCAAAAGCTTAAAAAAAAAAAAAAGGGAATAGCCTGTTTGTTGTTGTTGTTTATTGCTTGTTACGATTCTGGGAAACTTGCTCAGCATGTTGAGGATAAAGAGGAGATGAGGAAGAGGAACGGTGCAACTGTGAGGTCAGAAGGCTTGGGTTCAATTCTGAGTTGTCTGCATCCTAGGCCTTGAACAAGGCACCTCTCTTCATATCCTAGTTTCCTTGTCACCAAAATGGGGACAATTATCATTAACTTTCTTATAGTGTTGTTCTTGAAATTCATGAGACCTTGCAGGCAAAGGGCTAGGTGTAATACCTGCCCCAGAGTGATGCTTAGCATATCTGAGTGCTAATTATTTCTCTCTTTAAGATGAATGCCCCTATCTATGGGGAAACTGCAGGTGAGTGATGTTTTCCCAAAGGTATGGGGAGAAGGTAAAAATGGGAGCTCTGAGGCTGCTATGGCTGAAGCTGGCACTTGGTTGTTAATTAGTTAATTCAACAAATGTTTATTGCGTCCTGATATGAGAAGGCCCCTGCAAGGCAAGGGAGACACAGTGGTGAATGAAATAATTGTTGGGCCTTCAGAGAGCTTGCATTCTAGTGAGGGAAACAGAGAAATAGATCTTAAAAATACATACTAGAATATGTGCCATGAAGAATAATAAATCAAGGTAAGAGTCGGTGTGGAGCATTTGTATGTAGCAGGTGGCGATTCTGGGGGCTGTGTTATAGGGTGGATAGGGACCTCCTCTCTGATGGAGTAACAACTGAGCAGAGCTCTGAAGAAAGAGAGGTAGTCAGCCACAGGAGTAAGCGGGAAGTTGATTTCTAGAAAGAAGAAAAACTAAGTGCAAAGTCTCTGAGGCAGGAATGAAGTTCCAGAGGCAGAATAAGAACTCTGCATGTCTAGTGCAGAGGATGGATGTTGGCTGTATGTCCTGGTAGGTGATGAGGTTAGGAAGAGAAGCAGGCAAGCCATATATGTTTATGTGTAGACCAACTTAAGGACTTTGGATTTCATTCTGGCTGTATTAGGGTTCTCCAGAGGGAAAGAACTAATAGGATATACGTATATATAAAAGGGAGTTTATTAAGGAGAATGAACTCTCCTGATCACAAGGCAAAGTCCCACGATAGGCTGTGTGGAAGCTGAAGAAGGAAGAAGCCAGCAGTGGCTCAGTTTGAGTCCAAATGTAGGCAAGCCAACAGTACAGCTTTCAGTCTGTGTCCAAATGTAGGCAAGCCAACAGTACAGCTTTCAGTCTGTGTCTGAAGGCCTGAGGACCCCTGGAAAACCACTGGTATAAGTCCAAGAGTCCAAAGGCTGAAGAACCTACAGTCTGATGTCCAAGGACAAGAAGCGTTCAGCACACGAGAAAGATGAAAGCCAGATGACTCAGCAAGCCAGCTTATCCCACCTTCTTCCGCCTGCTTTGTTCTTGCTGTGCTGGCAGCTGATTGGACGGTGCCCACCACCACTGAGGGTGGGTCTTCCTCTCCCAATCCACTGACTCAAATGTTAATCTCCTCTGGCAACATCCTCACAGACACACCCAGAAACAATACTTTACCAGCCATCCTTCGATCCAATCAACTTGACACCTAATATTAACCATCACACTGGGTGTGTGATGGAAAGCAAATCAAGGGTTAGAGGAAAGAAATAATCTGATTTGCATTTCTAAAAGATCACTTTGCCTCCTGGGTGGAGGATTTTTTTCCAAGAGACAAGAGAGGAAGCCTGAGGATACTTAAGAGGCTAAGGCAGCTGTCAGTAAGAAATGATGGTGCTTTGGATGAGATTAGCAGTAATGAAGGATATGAGGGATGGTCTGATTTGGGATCAACTTTGAAGGGATCAACTGTGGAAGAATGTGCTGTTGGGTTGGATGTGAATGTCAGGGAAAGGGAAGAGCCAAAGATGCACGACTTCCAAGATTTTTGGCCTGAACAAATAGGTCAATAATGGTATTCTTTACTAAGGTGGGGGAGACTGGCAGCAACTGAGTGCAGATAATAACATCAAAAATTCTATTTGAGATGCCTATTAAGCAGGCACCTGGATATAGAAGTTTGAAGTTTAAAGGAGTCTTTCGACCTCGGTGTATTGAACTTGGGAGTCATTAGCATAGAGGTGGTATTCCAGATTTCATAATATACCTTAATATTGATCAACTCAAGCATTAAGTTTCACATGAGTCCCTTCCTCATATAGTCAATCATTGAATATTAAACTTTGCTGTGATTTTCTTTTTTTTTTCTTTTTTGAGACGGAGTTTCACTCTTGTTGCCCAGGCTGGAGTGCAATGGCGCAATCTCGGCTCACTGCAATCTCCACCTCCCGAGTTCAAGCTATTCTCTTGTCTCAGCCGCTGGAGTAGCTGGGATTACAGGCGCCCGCCACCACGCCTGGCTAATTTTGTATTTTTAGTTAGAGATGGGGTTTCTCCATGCTGGTCAGGCTGGTCTCGAACTCCCGACTTCAGGTGTCCTGCAAAATCATCTGGAGGAGTTTATTAAAAATATAATTGCCCAAAGCTGTATTTATCAGAAAAGTCAAGCTGCTTTTCATGGCTTTTATCTGTTAGTTTTTGTTTTGCATAATAAAGGTACACATAGGCGTACTTTTCCACGCCCTTCCTTGGGAGCCCTTCCAACATTTGAGCACTCATAATAATCATGGCTGTCAACCTCTGAACACACTTCATACTCCAGCCCTTAATCCCCAAAACAATAGGAGGATTCAGGGGTGCAGACAGCTGCAAGGGATCTAGTTACCAACACCAGGAAGCAGAAAGCAATGATGATGGTGTGGTCTTTACGTTGCTAATTGGAGAGTGTGCTGTCTGTATCTAAGGTGTTTCAGGAAGTCTGCTGAACCCAATGAATGTGTTCCCCTTTTATGAGAAATGTGCACTCTAGTGCTAAGTGCTTGGAAGTACTGCGGAGGACACTGCAGGAAAGGGTGGAGGTAGACATGAAGAACAATTTCAATCTTTCAGTTGTAATTGTGACTTAGGCTTAAAGCTGTGGCTTGGGAAGGCTCAGGACTCTGTTGCTTATAAAGGGCAAAACCCATACAAAACTGGCTTAAGCAAAAAGGGGAATTTACTGGATCATGTAGCAGAAAAGTTAAGCAATTAATTTCAAACAAGAATGGATCCAAGTGCTAAAATAAAGTTGTCATGAATATGTCTCTATTTTTTGAGACATGGATTGAGAAGCGGGCGAGGGTTATTCTGCAAATGCAAATTAAGTTTCTGTTACCAGAAATAAGGGGAAGGGATGATGGAGAGGCAAAAACAACAAATGTCCACTGTAGCAGGATAAGAAAGAAAGGAAAATGGGGACTTGATTTACACATGATTTGAAAGGTGAGATTTGTGTTTTTCAATGATATTTTAAAAACAAACAAATAAACAAAACAGGGCAATGGGCTCTCAGCAGAAAGGGTAAATGTGACCATGACTCGGACTTAGAAAGTTCTCTTTGTGACTTGGGGAGGAGAGGTCAGTATGGCAAAGGGTATGGCCTGACCTCTAGGGCTTTCTGGTCCTGTTTTATCATGCACAGCAGATTAAAAAGTTGGAAGAGGACTTGGGTTTCAGCATATATCTGATAAATGTTTAAGCCTCTAATCCTGTCATTTTTGCAAAGATGGTATTGACAGCTTGGTGCAGTAGAAAGGGAATGCGTCTCATAGCTCAATACGGTTTCAAGCCACAGTTCAGACTCTTAGTCATGTGACTTAGGAAATCTACTTTACCTGTCTAAGCCTCAGGCTTCTCATCTGCAAAATGGAGGAGCTAATGGAGTCTACTTCTGAGGGCTATGATAAGAGAAAACAAAAACCTTCATGAACTGTGCCTAGCACAGTACCTGGCATGTAGTAATCACTCAATAAAGGTAATGAAGCTACCTCTTCCTTCTCATCCTTATGATTACTGCTCTTCTTTTGGCTAAACTGAATTCATAGTGCATGATACAGTGCACACAAGCCTGACTCAAGGCATTTTATTATCTGCTTAGGCTCAAAATAATTATGTTTGTCGAGACATAACCATTTATAAACCCAAAGTCAATGGCTTAGCTTTGGGTGCCCAAAGACTTGGCTGTTTTACTTTGAACCAGGTAGTTGCATTAGTTAACCTGAGCCTCACTTGCCCCATCTAATAATCTTCATAAGGTTGTGAGGCTAGCATGAATAATTCATGTATTGGGTTTAACATAGTACCTGGACCTTATACAATTTCAATACAAAATAATAACAGTAATCATATTTATTATTATTATTCTCTAGCAATTTCTGCAAGGCCAACCTTGGGTCTTGTGTAAAGAAGGGTTCTGATGGAAAGGCAGAGTTGTCTCTTGAGGACAAAGCAGTTGTCACATGATAAGCCTTCTCCACCGTATGGGTCACCTTTCTCATCTTTGTTAGTTGGTTGGAATCTGACATCAGAATCCAGTTGCCTGTTGGGTTCCTTTTGAGGTGGGGACGTTGACTCCATTCCACCAATGATTTATTTGAAAATGCCTGGAAGTGGAGGGACACAAAATGTTCTGAAAAGTCAACGTGTGCATCTTGTCCCAGAGTGATTCCGTGACTGTTCGCTTGGTGTTTACATGGCTTAAACTGTCTAATTTATAGACTCTGAAAGCACCGGTGAAAGAAACAAACTAGCTTTTGGATCACTTAATATAGTTTATAGTGCAACTGTAAATTTGGAACCATTTATGGAACATTACGACTTGCAAACATCTCCCCCAGTTTTATTACTCAGGGAAAAAAAATGTGTGGTGCTTACAAATCCTCTAAAAACTGTAAAAGCATTAAAAAAAAAAAAATCCAAACAGCATTCATGGACTACATAGTGCAGGATGCAAGCTTTTATCTTGAGCAGTATATTGAAAGCCTAATTTTCTACTAAAATGTCAGCTTGTTTCAAAACACAGGAGATGACTGGCTTGGAATCCTTGCTGAAAAGAACTCGTCTTTGCTCTTTCTTCTTCCAAAAAAAGAAAAAAAAAAAAAAAAAAAAGAAATGCACTATGCTTAAGGAGGAATTTAGCAATTAGATGATTGCTATAAAATAGCAGTTGACATCTGCCCTATATATATTTTTTCTTAGCATCAAAGATGTTTAATTTGAATAAAAGCTTTCTCCTCCACAATCTGACATTTTCCCTGAGTTTTATCTTACTCTAGAGTCATTATCTTACAATTAGGTCTGAACTTAGGGGTAAAACAACAACAACAAAAACCAGGAACTCCAACACAGGGATCTTACTTGGGCTGCAGTTTTCTGATGTTATCTGAGTTGAGCTGCTTTTTATCATCCTGGCGTTTAAAGGGAAAAGTCTCTGTTCTGCCTCCTGTCCAACTACCCCCAGCCCAGACCTTATTCTTTTCACTTGAACCTGTGGAGTACGCCCAGACCTCTGGATGTCAGAACAAGATACTGCTATCATACAAATGAATGTGGAGGTCATGCATTTATCTTTGTCTCTGTCTCCCCTGCAGCATCCAGAGAAAGGCAAATTATGGATGAGGTGATTTAATCCAAGCAAAGTTTGAATGGAGATAAATGGGGTAGGGGGCAAATAGGAACAGAGCGAGGCTAGGGAGAGTCTTTGGGGAGAAGATTCTGTTCTTTTGAGTCCTATAACTGGCACCATGGAAGGGACCCTAGAGACAATCTAATGAGGCTCCATCATGGTGCAGAAGCAGTGCAGCATGGGATATTTGAAAGGGCAAATTCCTTCCATATTGTTCTTACACTAGAAGTTAAGGGCGCAGGGGGCATAGGTTAGGTGTGTGGGGTCTGGGGTCAGACCGTTTGCTTTGAGTCTTGTTTGTGTTGCTTTTTGGTTGTGTGTGGGCAAGAAATGTAACTTCTTTCAGCCGGAGTGCACCAGCTGCCAAATGGGGAAGAACAGTAGTTCCCACCTCATGTAGTATTGAGTGCATGACTTGGAGTAATGGGTGGGAGAGCACTTCCTGCCTTCCTTCCCTCATTCATCCCCTTACTTAACAAATAATTATTGAATATTTATGATGTGTCTAACCTCTTCTGGGCACCGGGGTTATAGTGATAAACAAGATAGTTGGGGTTCCTGATCTCATGACTTTTGTTAAAATTTTAACTACCATTATTATAATAAATGAAGAAGACTGAAATTCCAAGAAGCTGAGTCATGCAGCTATGCAGCTATATTAATAAAAGGGCTCAAATAGAGCGGGGTCTTGAGTCTCCAGTCCCATGCTTACTCCTCCACCCCCCACCAACACGATGTTGTGCTCTACTTTATTACCCTCAATTTTCTTGGTAAAGAAAGGTGTTTTTTTTTTTTAAAACAAAAACAAAAACAAAACTTTATTTTTAAAGCAGTTTTAGATTTATAAAAAATTTTTGAAGCTAGCACAGATAAATTCCATATACCTCACACTTGGTTTCCCCATTATTAAAATCTTATGTTAGTATTGGTACATTTGATTCAATTAATGAACCAATATTAATGCATTATTATTTTACTAAAGTTTATACTTTACATACTTTATTCAGATTTCCTTAGTTTTTTTTTTTTTCCTCCAGTGTTCTTTTTCTGATCCAGGATCCTATCCAGCATGCGACATTGAACATCGTTTTCTATGCTCATTTGCCATGTGTGTCCTATTTGCCCTTACACCTTCTTTTGTGTGATGTCTGTTCAGACTCTTTGAGCTTTCTAAAATGGGTTTCTTGGTTCCTTACTGTTGAGTTTTAAAGTTTTTTATATATTTCAGATACAAGTCCTTTTATTTTAAATACAAGTCCTTTTAAATGTGTTTTGCAAATATTTTCTCCCAGTCTCTTACTTGTCTTTTAATTTTTCTTAATAATGTTCCTCACAGAGCAGAAATGTTTAATTTTTATAAAATCTAACATCAAATTTCATTCATGGATTATGCTTTTGGTGTTAGGCTCAAAAACTCATTGCCAAATCATGGTTACTAGATTTTTCCCTACATTTTTATCTAGAAACTATATATTTTTGCATTTTACATTTAGTCTAAAATCCAGTTTTTTATGAAAGGCATAACATCTCCCTCTAGATTCATTTTTTTTTTTCAATGTAGATGTTCAGATGTTACAGGACTATTTGTTGACAAAACTAACTTTTGTCCATTGAAATGCCCCTACTCCTGGCCAGACTGGGTGGCTCTCACCTGTAATCCCAGCACTTTGGGAGGCTGAGGTGGGCAGATTACTTGAAATCAGGTGTTTGAGACCAGAACATGGTGAAACCCTGTCTCTACTAAAAATAGAAAAATTAGCTGGGCATGGTGGCACACACCTGTAATTCCAGCTACTTGGGAGGCTGAAGCAGGGGAATTGGTTGAGTCGGTGAGGTGGAAGTTGTAGTGAGCTGAGATCAGGCCACTGAACTCCAGCCTCTGTCTCAAAAAAAAAAAAAAAAAAAAAAAAGCTGCTGCTTCTTTGTCAAGGGTCTGTTGCCTACATTTGCATGAGTCTATTTCTGGGCTCTCTATTCTGTTCCATTGATCTATGTGTCTATAGTTTCCTCAATACCACGCTGTTTATAAATCTTAAAATTTGGTAGTATGAGTCTTACAACTTTTTCTTTTTTTTCTTTGTGTTTTTTTTTTTTTCATTTTGTTTTTGTTCTTACTCCTTACTATTGTATTGGATAATCTAGGCCTTTTGCCTTAGTGTGTATGTGTGTGTGTGTATTACATGCATTCTAATATATACATATTAGAATGTGCATTTTATGTATGTATGAATCAGTTTGTCAATATCACCAAAATAGCTTGCTGGGCTCTTGGTTGGGGTTTTGTTGAATTCTGAATTCTAGATCAAATTGGGATAAATAGAATTTTCCAATCCATGAATACAGAATATTTCTCTATTTATTTACATGTTCTATTATTTTTTATATCAGAGTTTTGTTCTTTTTCACATATAGATCTTTTACATTTTAAAATATTTATATCTATGCTTTTTTTTGATACTACCGTAAATGGCAATCAAAAAAATCAAATTTCAATGGTTCATTGCTGGTATATAGAAAAACAGTCGACTGGCCGGGCATGGTGGCTCACACCTATAATCCCAGCACTTTGGGAGGCTGAGGCAGGCCGATCACGTGGTCAGGAGATCGAGACCATGCTGGGTAACATGGTGAAACCCCGTCTCTACTAAAAAAATACAAAAAATTAGCTGGGCGTGGTGGCAGGTGACTGTAGTCCCAGCTACTTGGGAGGCTGAGGCAGGAGAATGGCATGAACCCAGGAGGCAGAGCTTGCAGTGAGCTGAGATCACGCCACTGCACTCCAGCCTCAGCCACAGAGCAAGACTCCGTCTCAAAAAAAAAAAAAAAAAAAAAAGAATCGAACTTTGTATACTAACTTTTTATCCTGCAACCTTGCTATACTCATTTATTTGTTACAGAAGGGTTTAAAAAATTATTTGGTATTTTCTACATAGACAATCACATTGTCTACAGACAATTTGGTTTCTTTCTTCCCCAACTGTATGCCTTTTATTTTAGCTTTTTATTCTGTTACACTAGGTACTTCAAGTATGGTGTAAATATGAGCAGGGAGAAAGCACCCGTTTTTCCCCACTAAGGGTGATGTCAGCTGGTAGTTTGTTTGTTTTGTAGATGTTCTTTATCTAATTGAGGAAGTACCCCCAGTTCTATTTTGCTGAAGATTTTTATCAGCAATTGATATAATCATATAATTTTTCTTCTTTCATCCATAGATGTGGTGGATTACACTGATTGAATTTAGAATGTTGAACCACCCTTGCATACCTTGAATAAATCCTACTTCACCGTGTGTAATTTATACATGGTTGAATTTTATTAGCTAATTTTTTGGTGAATATTTTTTGCTAATATTTTGTTGAAGACCCTGGAGGATACTGGTCTGTATTTTACTTTGTTGTAATGCCTTTATCTTTTTTTTTGGCATTAAAGTAATATTGGCCTCATAGAATGAGTAACAGAGTATTCCCTGACACTTCAGTTTTCTGAAAAAGATTATGGGGAATTGTTATTATTTCTTCCTCATACGGTTGATAGATTTCATTGGTGAAACCATCTGGCCTTCGTTCTTTCTTTTTGGAAGGTTATTAATCATTAATTTAATTACTATAATAAACATAGGCCTATTCAGATTATCTGTTACTGCTCATGTATGTTTTAATCGTTTGTGTCTTTCGAGGAATTGGTTCATTTATGTAAATAATAAAATCTGTGTGTATAGAGTTTGCTCACAAATGCCACAAGGATAATTCCTTTATTATACTTTTAATGTTCATGGAGTAGTGATGGCCTTTTATTTCTGATAGTAATAATTTGTGTCTTCTTTGTTTTTCTCTTGGTTAGTCTAGCCAGGGGTTGTCAATTTGATAGATATTTCCAAAGAACCAGCTTTTACTTTTGTTGATTTTCCCTTTGTTTTCCTGTTTTCAATTTCATTGATTTCTGCCCTAATTTTTGTTATGGTATTTTTTCCTGCTTTATTTAAGCTTAAGTTTTTCTTTTTTCTCTAGTTTTCTAAAATGGAAGCTTAGATTATTCATTTTTGATTTTTCTACTTTTCCAATATAAGCATTTAATGCCATAACTTCCCTTTAAGCTTTTAATGCATCTCACAAATTTTGATAAGTTATATTTTCATTTTAGTTCAAAATGGTTTTAAATTTCATGTAAGACTTCTTTTTTGACCATGTGTTATTTAGAAGTGTGTTGCTTAGTTTTCAAATATTTGGGAAATTTCCAGCTATTGTTCTCTTATTAATTTCTAGTCTAATTTTATTGCAGTCTGAGAACATACTTTGCATGATTTGTATCCTCTTAAACTTATCAAGGTATGGTTTTATATCCCAGAATGTGGTCTCTCTTGGTGAATGTTCCATGTAAGCTTGAGAAAAATGTGTATTCTGCTGTTGTTGGGTGAAGTATTCTATAAGCATAAATTAGATTGAAGTGATTGATAGTGCTAGTCAGGTCAACTATATCTTATAAATTATCTGTCTGCTTGGTCTATCAATTACTGAAAGAGGGGGTTTAAATCTCCAGCTATAATAGTGGATTCATCTATTTCTTTTTGGAGTTCTATCAGTTTTTACCTCGTGTATTTGACATTCCCTTGTCAGGTGCGTACACATTTAGGATTGTTATGTCTTCTTAGAGAATTGAGCTCTTTGTCATCATGAAATGCCCCTATTTATCTCTGATAGTTTTCTTTTTCTGAAGTCTGCTTTATATTTTTTATATGGGAGCTGATCCCAAGAACTGAGAGTGAGGGAATAAGAAGGATAGAACAGGGAAGGAACAAAAGCCAATACTGAGACTGCCGCTCTGGGAAATGGTGGCTTGATTCTGCTGGACATCTGAGAAGTGTGTGGAATGCTTTCCAGAATTGTCTACCCCAAAGATGGGAGGCTGGGGTATTCATCCACCCCAACCCCTTTGAGATGAGGGTTGCCCCTGGGAATTAACTTCCTCACCCTCAGGAGCTGGGCTTGCTCTGGGTCCAGTAGCTTCTAGAAGTCCCAGAAAAGGTACTGAGGCAGAATGTAAGGTGTAGGGTATGCACTTGTGGGAGTGCCAACTGTCAGCATGAGGTGGGTGGGACTGTGACTGCAACAGGAGGCAAGCCTAGCTGATGGAACACAGGAGACAAAAAGTAATCTGCTATGATGGGTTCCTATTACAATCCTTAGTGTGGAAAATTGTTCTAAAATACATCCATTTACTTTCCTACCTGAAGAGTACACTTGAATGTGAATGGCACCCAGGTGCCAAAGGGTGATATTTATGCCTCTTCACCATGCTGACAGTCATTCCAAATAAGCAAACTAAGAGAATACAGTGTGTTTACTATGATCTGTGGCTTCAAAGCAATTCCTTTGGCTGTTCATTTCCACTCAGATGGCTGCTCATAAATTAAAATTCTGAAGGCTTGATAACCTGCAGGGCTGCTGGTGCAAGTCTTGAAGGCCAAAGGGCAGAGGACCTTGAGTCTTGATGTCCAAGGGCTAGCAAAAAAGTGTGTTCCATCTCCGAAAAAGAAAGAAAATAAATCTTCCTTTCTTCAGCCTTTTTGTTCTATCCAGGCCCTCAGTTGATTGGCTGGTGCCTGCCCCCACTCAGCCCACTGTTTCAAATGCTAATCTTGTGAACATGTACTGGAAACACCCTCGCAGACATATGCAGAAATAATGTTTACCAGTTATCTGGGTATCCGGTCAAGCTGACATCTAAAAGTAATCCAGTCAAGTTGATACCTAAAATTAACCATCAAAGGCATCTAGACTGGTTGGTGAAAGAGAAATTTATTGAATATCAATCACAGCCTCAGGACCAGCTGTAAGTAATATGGTAACCTGGTTCATTAACGCCTTTGCATGAAGTCTTTGCAGAGATTGTGGTGGCTACCACGCTGAAGGAGACTGTGTATTGTTTGAACTTAGAAGGCAAAAGCATAGCTGAGCTGTTCAAGAGGTGGACTGTATCAAATACATCTCATGCACCATCTCAAAGCTTCTGATGTTCCTTTATCCTCACCTCTCATTTCAGCCAGTCCAAGACAACTGGTTCCACTCATGCTTCATCCAGTTTCCTGCAGGAGAAATGTGACTGTGTTGCACCTCTGGCTTCCATGGCATCCCTCTTTCTTTCTGCTTTAGATTTTTCTCATGTCATGGTATGAGATGCCCTTGGGAACCCATTTGGCACTCACATGGCATAGTCAAATCAACAATTGATCCATGAGAAATGGAAGCCAACAGATAAATGGTTCCTCCTTTATTCCTCTAGGGTAGATCAAACTTTTCTGACAGTCCCATGGGGTTAAGTATCCAGTCTCCCCCAGTAGTGACAACTTGACAATGCATCCTTGTATTTTGTCTTACTCATTCTCTGTGTTTATCTATCCAACACCCTCACAATAAGCTACTTGCACCTCAGTCTACTCTTGTGGAAATCCAAAACTAATGAAAATTAAAGCAGTTTGAGAGAACTATTATGGACAATTGACATTTTCTCAATTTTAGGTAAATTAAGAACAAAAAGCATCTTTAGAAATCTTTGACATTTTGTTTTAACTGTCAAATATAATGTTATTAAAAACATCAAGGCTTCTATGCAAATAAAATATCAAGATAAAGCCTTGATGTTTTAATACAAGATAAAGCCTTGTAGGATTATAATCCCTACAGAGGATCATAGAGATGCCACTGAATCAGAGATTCTGACATCTTGGGGAACAAGCACAGAATATGAGAAGGGGGCTAGAGAAAGGATCTAGCCAGAAGTAGATTTACTGCAATTGGATGGTGGAGAAGTTTCCATTTTTAAAAGCACATAATAATTTTCCTTCTCTTTCTATTTGTCTCATGTTCTGACCATTGATGTTTCATTTAGGTACTGAAGAGAGGGACCCTTGTGTTTCCGCTAACATCTTTTCATCGTGGTCTGAACTTCATTAAAGATTCGTTAAAGATACTTTGCTAAAGATACTTCATTAAAATGTGCCACTTTTTGAGAATATGTATGTTTCAGTTATCCATTTGTGTGTAATGAACCATCCTAAATACAGTGGCTTAATACAACATTTTTTGGCTCATGGTTCTGCAGTTAAGACAGGATGCTGTGGGAACATCTTGTCTCTGCTCCACCCAGTATTAGCTCAAGTAGCTGAAAGGCTGGAACCTGGAATCATCAGAAGGCTTTTGGGTCTAGAGTTTAATGCTGGCTATCAGCTGCAGCTGTAGTAAGAACTGTTGGCCAGAGCACCTTCATGTGGCCTCTTTACATGGCAGGGGCTTTCTTAGAACATGGTGGCTGAGTTCCAAAGGTGAGCATTTTAAAAAAGAGACAGTCAAGCAGAAGCCCTATTGCCTCTTCTGACATAGCCTCAGAAGTCCCATAACATCACTGTCATCTCATTCTGTTCATTAGAAGCAAGTTCACCAAGTTTGGCCCATACTCAAGAGAAGGAGAATTAGACTCCACATTTTCACTGGAGGTATGTCAAGGAATTTATGGCACCACCACAGTGTCTGGGCATTTAACAGTTGCCTTGCTCCTTAACCAGCTATGGCACTATTTATCATGTGAATCACTTGTTCCATGATGCTTAAGCTTATTTCCTAGAGCAACACTGCCCAACAGAATTTTCTATGATGATGGAAATGTTCTATATCTGCTCTGACCAATACACAAGTGGCTGCTGAGCACTTGCAATATGGCTAATGAGACTGAAGAACAGAATACAAATTTTATTTAATTCCAGTTAATTCAAGTTTAAATAGATAGGCACATGTGCATAGTGGCTACTATACTGGGAAGCTCAATTGTAGAACAACAAGGAAAGAGATAGAGTTAAATTCCAGAAGTGATGAAAGCATTGGGCCAGCTTTCTAGTACAATGCTACAACATTCCAATTACAAGCAAAATGCTTCCAGGCCTGACTGCGTTCAAAGGTCCAAATCAAGATGATTTGGCATAGGATGTCCTAGAGAGAAGAAATTTCTTAATGTGTAAGTGTGGAAATGCAGAATAATTGCTGATGAGAAGTGTCAGGACAACTTCTCCGGTGGGCAAGATGCTGGAATCGTTTAGACATGCAGATCCTTGCTCAACAACCCATCTCTTCACACAGAGACTCTAGCCAACTGCTTTTGGCCTGAAGTATGAGGAATCTGCAAGGCTGGAGCTCAGAAGATGATGACTTCTGAAACTCCTGTGTGTGCCTGTCTTCCATGCCTGCTTCCCCAAGCCTCCTTATTTTCCTTACCTTTATGCTTCTTGTTCTTTAGTTTTGAAACTTGTGATTTTGAAGTGGGTAGTCACAATGTTGAAAATGCCTTGAGTATCCCATTAAAATAATGAGCAATCATTATCTAAAAAAATTCTTGATCACCTATTAAGTGTAAGGCTCCATGATAGACAGGACAATAGTCTTCACTCTTGGAATGCTGTCATCTAATTGTGATTTAATAGAACAGTTAACATGTATGGAGATGTTAGTGTGTGCCAAATACCATGCTATTATTTTGATGAATATGATCTTATTTGGTCCTTTTAAAACCCTATGACACAGATACTTTTTAAATTCAAACTTTACAGATGGGGAAACTGAGCCTCGATGAGGTAAAATAGCTTGCCCAAAGGAAAGCATCTATGATACAGTTGAGTAGAAATTTGAAGCTAAATTGGGTGAGCTCCCAAGTCTATACTCATAACCACTCATCTCCAAAGTCCATACTCATAACCACTCATAACCATGTCTAAATGATTCCAGCAACCACTCTCCTGTGCTTACATCCCATTACATTGAATAGCATTTCCCACTTCCTTGGGGACTCATGTTTGACAAAGCCAATTTATACATAGTTGGGAAGACCTAACAGAGTTTATGAAGGACACTGAGACATTGGTATTTGGGTCATGCCCAAGAGTGAAGATGGCAAAATTTGCTTGTCTGCTCCAAAGACATTATAATAGGTTTGAGGAAACAGTTATCAGGAGAGGCCGCGAGAAATTTTTCTTTTTAGCATTACCTATTGGAGGAAAGTATCTTAAGGAAAACAACAAGGTAACTGGGAAGGACTAGTGGTAAATGAGAGGCTCTTTTGAGAGTCATAGCCCGTGTGAAATGTTGAATCCTGCCAACTTACTCTACCTGGGAAGGAATGTTACATCAGGTGTACATGTTTCAACTTACTTAGCTCATCGGAAAGCCTCGAGGAACTGCATTCAAATGCCAGCATCAGCCTCCATAAGACTGTGAACAGATCCATATCACTACGAAATCCAATTTGAAGGAAGCTGATTAGCTATAGGGGGGAAAAATATCTCCACTGAGGACACACAGAAAGATAAAGAATTTAATAGGATAATGATTTATCTAAAACTCAGTATAGGAGAGAGACTAATTACCCCAGCCCTGGATTCAGAGATCTGGATTCAAATTCCAGCTCTGTTATTAACTAGCTCAGTAACTGTGGAAAATATAGTTCACCCTTCATATCTGCAGGTTCTGTATGTGTGGATTCCATCACTAGATCAAAAAATAAAAATATGTTTTTAAAAACCCACAATTAAAAATTACAAATAAAAATACATTATAACAACTGTTTGCATAGCATTTACATTGTATTGTTATAATCTAGAGATGATTTAAAGTATACAGGAGGATGTGCACATACTATACCATTTTATATCAGGAATTTAAGCATCCACAGATTTAGGTATTGGTAGGAGGCCTGGTACCAATCTCCCCACAGATACCAAGGAATAACTGTACTTAATTTCTATCTTCCTCATTAGAAAAGTAGATGCAATTATAAGAACTGTCTCACAGGCCAGTTGTGTGGATTAAATAATTAATGTAAAATGCAGTGCCTGGCACATGGTAAGTGCTCAATAAATGGTAGCTTATCTTATTTTTAAAAGGTCAGTAGAGAACAGCATGGACTCTGGAACTCCATTACCTGGGGTTTGAGTCCCAGTTCTCTAACAGTTAATAGCAATCTGACCCTGGGCAGGTTTTATTTTTACCTCTCTATGCCTCAGTTACAAAATGAAAATAATCCCTCACACCTTATACCTGTTAGGATGGCTACTACCAAAACAACAGAAAGTGATAAGTGTTGGCAAGGATTTGGAGAAACTGGAATCATTGTGCACTCTTGGTCGGAATGTAAAATAGTGCACCTTTTGTAGAAAACAGTTGTTAGTTCATAAAAATGTTACACAAAGGATAACCATCTGATCCAATTCTACTTCTGACTATCTACTCAGTTAAAATCAGGGACTAAAGATATTTTTATACCTATGTTCATGGCAGCTTTATTCACAATAGCCAACAGGTGAAAGCAACTCAAATGTCCATTGATGGGCAAATGGATAAGTCAAATGTGGTATATATGTACAATGGAATATTATTCTGCCTTAAAAACAAAAAAAATCACATATGCCACAACTAGAATGAACTTTGAATATATTACGCTAAGTGAAATAAGTCAGTCAAAAGAGAATACACATTGTGTGATTCCTTTATGTAAGTACTTAGAGTAGTCACATTCATAGAGACAGAAAGTAGAATGGTGGTGGTCAGGGGATGAGAAGAGTGGGGAATGAGGGGTTATTTTTTAATGGGTACATAGCTTTAGTTTTGCAAGGTGACAAACTTCTGGAGATGGATGGTAACAATGGTCACACAACTACGTAGATGTACTTAATGCCAGTGAATTGTACTCTTAAACATGGGCAAGACAGTAAATTTCAAGTTGTCTTTATTTTACCATAGTGAAAAAAGAGTTAATTTGTATCAAGTGTTTAGAGTGTTGCCTGGCTCTTAGTATAAGGCTTTGCTATGATGATGATGATGATGATGATAATGATGATGATGATGATTGTCCTTATCATTATTTATTAACAACTTTACTTGTGCACTAGCCCTTTGTAAGTCTGTGTAAATTAATGCTCCTCACTTTCTGTCTCCATATCGCAAGGATGATAATAAGCCAAGAGTTAAACAGAAGATTCATACTTGGCATAACCTACCTACCTGCCAAATTCTTCACAATGCTGACGTTTTAATGTCTGAGAGAAATGAATATTAATGATTTCCAATTTCTTTCTTTGACCTTCATGACTAACCTTATAGCATCCAAATAAAGTAGAGATGCAGGAAGATTAAACTGATTTCATTTTTTAAATAGCAATTCAAAAAATAAAGTGTCTTACTATTGGTAGAATCTAGAAGGGACTTAGAAAAATAAATAAAGTATGTCATCCCATCATTAGTGGAAAGGTTAAGGAAAAACTCTGCAAACCACTAGGCTGTAAGAAATTGCTCACATGCTAAAAGTAATAATGGTAATTTTCAAATAAGATGCCAAAATAGTTGAACTGTCAACTTCTGGGAAATTGTATGTTACCACTGACAGTAATTCCTAATGCTGAGGAGAAAAAGAAAATGAAGTGACAGGCTTGTTTGACTTTGCTAATTTCAAAGGTTGAGGCTTATCTCTTGGGTGTGTCTGAGAACCAGGGTCACTGTGACCCCAGCTACTGATTAAGGCAGTAGACTCCAGAATTTAACTCAAACACTTATAATTTGTGTTGACAGTAGTGTTTGCATTTCCTTTATTCTTATATCTCCACAACAGCATCTGGCACATATGTAGTAGGTGCTCAGTGCAAGTATGAAAAATGAATAAATGTGGAAATAGTGACCCAAATGAATGTATGCATTACACACTAATACTTTCTAGTGTTTTAGATTTATAAAGAATTTCCATGCAATTTCACTCGATTCTCATAATATCCTTGCTGATGCCTGAATTTCTTTAGCTCAGAAAGCCTGCCCAGGACTTGCAACTTCAAATCATGAATGCTGTCTCTCCTGCTACTATCCTTGGACTTGGCACTGTGGAGAGGCATTCGACCTGCAATCATATTATTTCCTATTTCTCATATTTATTCTCAATCTCCTCCACTAGTCCGTAAGCCAAGTGAAGGCAGAGCTCCTGTCTGACTTATTCTTTGACTACCAAATCCCTGGAGCTAAAAAAATTTGTTTTTTAAATGAATGAATTGGAGCCTTCCCACATTAGAAAATACAGGGTCATGCTTTAACGTGGCAGTCATGTTCTTCACTGTCATCATGTTGGAATTGGTTTGAACTCTGTTTACCTATTTGTTTTCCTAAGGAGCAAATTACTCTTCATATTATTTGTGCCTCATGGGCTCATTCAGCTCTGAATCCACGTTCATGACTCAGGACACTGGGGACTTTATTCTTTGACTGACTGAAAAACATACATGTGGGTACAAGAGCTCTGTTTTGCCTGTATATGCAGAGGTGCCAATTCTTACTTTACATCCTGCAAGACTCCTTTCATATAAATGGCAGCTAAGTCATTCATTCACACATCCATGTTCAAATAGTGTTTGAGCATCCACTATGTCAGGCAAGGTACCTGGGGGGCTGATCAGGGGATAAAGCAGATATGGTTCCTGCCCTAGAAGGATTTGAAATCTAGATGGGGAGATGGCGACAAACAGGTAAATGTGCAAGTGATCACACACAGGCTGGCTGTGAGGTGACCTTTTGACGTAGAGTTTTGTTTGCTTGTGTTTTACTTTGTATGGCACCTTGTGTAAGAAGGTGATACCCACAGGAAGCCTCAAGTTAAAAGAATTTGGTTAAACAAAACAGCTATTACCCCTAAGAAGTTTCAACCACAGGGCATTTTACTGCTTTGCTAATTGGTTTTGTTTTCCTGATTAGACTCCTACTAGATACTTGGTATCTAAACATAGGCAACTGAGGTGGGAGCAGAAGATGAGGTCTCAAAAGTCATCTGAGCTCTGAGTAGAATACATAATTAACAATATCGTTAAACCCATGTGTTGTAACATGGTTGATTTTATTCAACTTTTTAAGTGTTTTATTTTGTAATAATTCTAGATTTACTGAAAAGTTGCAAAGATAGTACAGAGAGCTCCTGTATACTCTTTACCCAGTTTCCCCTAATGTGAACAGCTTACACTACTGAGGCACATTTGTGAAAACTAGGAAATTAACATTAGTGCCTTTCTATCCATTAAACTCCAGACTGTAATCAGTTGTCTCACTAATGACTTTTTTCTGTTCCAGAAGTAAATATTGCATGTAGTGTTATTCATTTTGGGGATAAAGAATTATAAATTAGAAAGAAGTGCTTAAAAAAACCTCCATCAGTACATATGATTACTTTTTAATTTTATTTTTAAAGAGACAGGCAGGGTCGCAATCTGTTGCCTAGGCTGGAGTGCAGTGGTGCAATCACAGCTCACTGCAGCCTCAAACTCTTGGGCTCAACGAATCCTCCTGCCTCAGTCTCTTGAGTAGCTGGGACTACAGGTGTGTACCACCATGCCTGGCTAATTTTTAAATTTCTGTTGAGATGGGATCTCACCATCTTGCTCGGGCTGGTCTCAAACTTCTGGGCTCAAGACATCCTCCTGCTTTGGCCTCCCAAAGTGCTGGGGATTACAGGCGCAAAGCACTGTGCTGGCCACGATCACCTTTTGAAATTACTTTGTTTCCGTATAAACATGTGTGAAAGATAACTAAAGTATACCAACTAGTTTAAAATTTGCTTACCAAGATATGCATTTGAAACACAAGAAATGCCCTATGGCAACTATTTTTGAGTGATAAATATTTATTTAAGAAATGAAAATTCATCTAACTGCTGCATGAGCTTTTCTTTTCTGTAAATTTTCAAACATTATTCTCAACTGGATTGCTTGCAAAAACATTTCGTACTTAATAGTCTGAGATTTTTCTCTAATTTTAGCCAATAATTCATTTTGATGGGCAAATCACAGCTCTCTAAAAGAGAAATGTTGATAGGCCTGAGGTTTCTGAATGGTGTTTCTGAGTTATACAGTTATCCCTTGTTATCGGTGGGTACTGGTTCCAAGACTGCCCCCCATTGATACCAAAATCCATGGATGGTCAAGTCCCTGATATAAAATGGCATAGTATTTACATATAACCTACTCACATCCTCCAATATACTTTAAATTGTCCCTAGATTGCTTATAACAGGGGTCTTGAATCCCTGGGCTGCAGACCTATACTGGTCCGTGGCCTGTAAAGAGGTGAGTAGTGGACAAGTGAGAGCATTACCACTTGAGCTCTGCCTCTTGTCAGATCAGTGGCATTAGATTCTCATAGGAGTGGGAACTCTATTGTGAACTGCACACGTGAGGCATCTACGTTGTAAGCTTCTTAAGAGAATCTAACTAATGCCTGACGATCTGAGGTTAAACAATTTCATCCCCAAACCATCTACCCCTCTCCCTGCTGTCCCGTAGAAAAATTGTCTCCCACAAAACCAGTCCCTGGTGCCAAAATGGTTGGGGGCCACTGGCTTATAATACCTAATACAATGTAAATGCTATGTAAATAGTTATTATACTGTATTGTTTAGGGACTAATAACAGGAAAAAAGTCTATACCTGTTCAGTACACACACACCGTCCTTTTTTTCTGAATATTTTTGATTTGTAGATGGTTGAATCCATGGATATGGAACCCACAGACATGGAGGGCTGACTTTTTCAACTGTGCTAATCCTTTGGCTAGGCCACATCCCTGTACCTCAGCTACTTTATAATCTGAAAGCTGTGCCTGCATGGAAAGGTGAGCTCCTCTAATCTTACATACACACACACACACACACACACACACACACACACACAGAATGGCAATTGCTTTCAAACCAGACAGCAATTGGTTTCCATTTGGTGCTTGACCCTGAGGTTAGTAATGAAATTAACATGGAACATTTTGAACTATGACAAGAGATGCATTTGGAATTTGTAAAGGCATTGGACATTATATGTTAATGTTTTCATTTTAGCCATAGAGGAGCCTGGCTATACTTAATGTTTCTCAAAGTATGTTTCTCAAGAATAAAGAACAGGGTTGCATGTTGAGAATATGAATGTTGGAGTTAAGCAAAGTCTCAATTCTGACCTCTCCTACTTACTAATGGTGTGGCTATGAATCAAATTACTTAACCTTTCCAAACCTCAGTTTACCACTTTATAAAATGAGAATAATAATCACCTCTTAAAGGTTGGTAGAATTATATAGTATTTAAGCATGTAACACAGTGTCTGCAAGGTAGTAAGAACTTTATAAATGTTAACTGCCATTATTACTATCATTATTAGCCTGTGGAGTATTAATAGGTCTTCCCAGGAAAAAAAATTTGGAAACAGTGGATTTCAAGAAGTTAGAAAAGGTTCTTCAGTGCAATATTTCTCATTGTAGTTTTCACTTAAAAGCTCTAACAGGAGGGTGTGTGGGGTTTCCAAAATTTATTTGATCAAGAGGCTCATTTTTCATAAACTACCCTTATTAGTTCTCTATTGCTCCTATAACAAATTACCTCAAACTTAGGGGCTCAAAACCACAAATGTGTTCTTTTATAGTTCTGGAGGCTAGAGGTCTGTAATGAGTCTTACCAGGCTACAATCAAGGTGTTGGCAGCACTGTGTTTCTTCAGAAGGTTCTAGGGGACAATCTTTTATTTCCTTGCCTTTTCCTACATTCATTATCTTGAAAGGCAGCAGGCAGTATCCCAAATCTCTCTCCCTCTCCTCTCTTTCTTTGTCACATCTCCTTCACTGACTATGACCCTCCAGCCTCTCTTTTATAAGGACCCTTGTAATTAGATTAGCTGCCTCCCCTCGTAATGTAAATAATCTCCCAATATCCCTAACCATAACTTAATGATATCAGCAAGGTCCATTTTTTGCCATGTAAGGTGACATAGTTATAGATTTTGAGGATTAGGACACGAAACATCTTTGGGCGGGGGGCAGTATTTTAGTCTACCACCCCACCTAAGAGGTCTAGATTTTTGAGGAATCAACAAAAATCCTTGCCTGCATTTCTCAACATTTTTTGTAGATTGGAGTGAAGCAGAGAGGGGAAATAAGAATATAATTGAGTAATATCACTTATGTTAATAATAAATATGGCTTGTATATCAGTCACAGTACTAA
Source organism: Homo sapiens (assembly GCF_000001405.40). Lineage (NCBI taxonomy): Eukaryota > Metazoa > Chordata > Mammalia > Primates > Hominidae > Homo > Homo sapiens. The sequence goes on from NC_000003.12 coordinate 73,704,074, forward strand.
CAGGAAATAGATGACACACTCAAAGGACTTAATAAAGTGACTTTTTTCAAGGGTGTTTTCCAAAAACAAAACAAGGCAAAAACAAACAAACAAACAAACAAACAAAAAAGTTGTTTTCTAGGGGTAGGGGAACCACAAGGAATAGTCCCAGTGTTGCAATCTTGTTTCCATTCTATCTCCTGCCAGGGTTAAACATAGGTCAGACCCAACCCTAAAGCCAGAAGACAGGAGAGTCTGTGGATACTGACTAGTTGTTCTCAAACTTGGGCATGCATCAGAAACACCTGGAGGGCCTGCTGCATGATAGACTGCTGGAGCCTATCCCCAGAGTCTGATTCCGCAGCTCTGTGTGGGGACCCAATGATAATTTGCATTTCTAACAAGTTCTCAGGTGATTCTGATGCTGCAGTTTGGGGTAACACTTTGAGAACCACTGCAGTAGACTGAACAAGTCAGGCTCCAGGGGCACAGAACAGGGTGAGAAGGATGAAGAATGGGTTTAGAGGGGAAAACAGAAGATACCTGGCACAACAGACAATAAAACACAACAGACTGTGAAGTAAAAAGTGTTAATTACACGTGTGATGGGAGTTCAAGCATGGTTGAAAGCCAAGCAGCCTGAAAGAGTGGAAGATTTTGTGGAAGAGATGGAATTTCATCAGAGGGATTATAAAGGTTTCAAAAGGAGGGGAGGCGGGGAGGGCATTTAGCAGGTAGGAAGTTCACAGACCAGGGTACATTGGCATGGTCTCTTTTAGGAGATTTAATTGCTTAAGGATAGCAATCTTGCTCAATGAGAAAGTCAGTTTTTAGGAACATTTAGAAAAACAGCTAATTGTATAAGAGCAGAGCAGAAAGGTGGATAATTTTGTCTGGGATTGATGAGGGTGAGAAAAGGGAGCCAGTACAAGTTCTTGAGTAAGGGAATGTTAAGAAAGACCAGGATTACTAGAAGGGAAAAGAAGACTGACTTGGTGACCCAATTAAGAAAGCTGTTAAGATAGTTGACTATAGTAAAAATAAAAAAGAAAAAGAAAACATCCCCAATCAATCTGGGGACAAGATACCAGGGTTTAGGTCAGGCTTTTCTATTAACTAGCTGGGTGAGGTTGATCTGACTGTTGAACCACTCTGAAGGGAGCAGATATATTTTATTATAAGAATGAGATAATTACCCGGAAAGGAAAAAGCAAATAGGAGACACATTTCAAATCCTACCCACATCCACACCTAGAAAACACTGATGTCTGACAACCAGGGAATAAACCTTGTCAGTCTTTCGTAAGAACAAACTAATCCTTGCTGGTGCTGACTTGTTAATGACCAAGCAAGGATTATGGCTCACACTTTGGGTAGATTAGATTCATCACTGGGGCAGGGCACGGTGGCTCACACCTGTAATCCCAGCAGTTTGGGAGGTTGAGACAGGCAGATCACGAGGTCAGGAGATCGAGACCATCCTGGCCAACATGGTGAAACCCCATGTCTACTAACAATACAAAAATTAGCTGGGCATGTTTGTGCGTGCCTGTGATCCCAGCTTCTCGGGAGGCTGAGGCAGGAGATTCGCTTGAACCAGAGAGCTGCAGGTTGCAGTGAGCCGAGATTGTGCCACTGCATTCCAGCCTGGTGACAGAGTGAGACTGTCTCAAAAAAAAGGAAAAAAAAAAAGAAAAAAAGAAATCCATCATTAATTTTTTTTAAAAAAAAGGTAAAAAAGAAAAAAGTATTATACTACTGAGGTTAATTTACTTTGCTTTAAATGCTTTTATTTATTTATTTTTGTTTTTAAATGAATTGCTACTATAAATATGAACACTAAGCCTTGGAGACTTTGAGAATATGCCTTAAGTGCATAGTAGCTCTTGTTGAAGAAATTTATTCTCTTCAAAGTAATAAACATGGAACTGACATGAACCATCTGTCAGTAGATGATGTTGGAGGTTTTGTGTGTGTACTAAGCATGGTGTCTACCTTGCTCTAAAGGACAAGAAAAGGAGAATTTTTTAAAAACAATTTTTATTTCTATTCGAATACATTTTTTCTCAGATTTATTTGCTTCTGCTGTCCTTGGAATGTTTTGGATACACAGAACTTAAGTTTAAGACAATCCAGTTAAATATAGTAAATCGTGTTTCTGATATATTTTAGAATAAAAAATAAACAAGAAAAGAAAAACCCGATAAGCATTGAAATGGTACTCTGTTCCCTGCAAAGTCAGGCAGTGCAGGTCAGCAGAGTGTGTCATGTTTACCTTCAATGAAGCGGTCACTAATAACATACCTGTCTAGTGTCTGCTATGTGTGAAGTAGGTATTTCCTGTTCATTTTGTCTTTTGATCTATAGTAACTATGTGAAGTAGTTACTATTATTTTGAGAACACAGATAAAAGGAGACATTGATGCTTAGAGACTCTAAGTGTTTGCCCAAGGTCACATAGTTAATAGGTGTCAGTGCTGGTTTCAAATTCATGTCTGATTTATCTTAAAACCCATGCTCTTTACCAGACACTATTCTCTTTCAGCCTCTCCTCCCTCCAACTCCACTCCACCACTTGCTGTCTATTTTTTTTTTTTCTGTTTGTTAAAATTTTTGGACTGGTGGTTTATATCTAATGCCTCTATTTTTCTTAGAGTATAAGCTATCCACTGCTCATAATAAATTACCCATAGACTTAGTGGATTAAAAAAACTCAAACATTTCTTATCTTACAATTTCTGTGGGTCAGAAATTCAGGAATGCCTTGCTGAGTGATTCTGACTCTGGTTTCTTGTGTCAGCTGGGGCTGCAGTTATCTGAAGGCTTAACAGTCTGGGGGTCTTCTTCCAAGATGGCTTGCTCATCTGGCAGCTGCCAGCAGGGCTTAGTTCCTCACTGGCTGTTGGCAGAAGGCCTCATTTCTTTACCATGTGAGCTCTTCTATAGGGCTTCTTGAGTGTCCTTATGACGTAGCAGCTGGCTTCCCCCATGTGAGTGATCTGAGACAGCAAGATGGAAGGCAGAGTGCCTTTTATGACCTAGCCCTGGAAGTTGTGCTCCATTGTCCTGCAACATCCTCTTGGTTACATAGGCCAACCCAGTTCAGCATGGGAGGAAACTCTGCGAGGGTGTGCATACCAGGTGAGAGTTCTGAGAGCCTGGTTAAACACCACCCACTGGGAAGCTGCTGGACACACCTTGCCATTCATTCCCTTCTTTTTTCTTTCTCTTTCTTTTCTTTTTTTTATTTTTATTTTTTGAGACAGAATCTCCCTCTGTCATTCAGGCTGGAGTGCAGTAGCACAATCACAGCTCACTGAACCCTCTGCCTCCCAGGCTCAAGTGGTCCTTCCACCTCAGCCTCATGGGTAGCTGGGACTACAAGCGTGTGCCACCACTCCTGGCTAATTTTTGTATTTTATATAGAGATGGGTTTTGCCAGGTTGCCCAGTCTGGTCTCAAACTCCTGAGCTCAAGTGATCCACCCACCTTGGCCTCCCAAAGTGCTGGGATTACAGGCATGAGTCCCCACATCTCGCCGTTAATTCTTAATAATGTACCTTTTCATCTTTCTGCCTGAGTTTTTACAGACTTCCTCTCAACAAACTTAATAATTTCCTTCTTACTGATCTTACTTCAAAGTTTCTTTGCTGGATTTAACAATTTCTTATCACCTCCTACTTCTTGTCTTGGTTTTTCATTCACATCTAATGCTTAGCACAGTCCTGGGTGCATATGAAGGCCACCTGAATGGACATTTATTAAATGAATGAATCCTTGACTTTATCTCAGTTTCCTCCCCTGCTGCTCTTCCCTAGTTCTTCTCCACCAAGGCCCAGTTGCAGGTTGGCCCTATTAGGCCAACCAATGTGTTTTATTTGGCTCACATAGAGTTTTAAGGTTATGAGTCAACATTTGAAAGTTAGGAGGTTTCACACAAAAATATGAGTTCCTGCTTTTCTTGAGCAATTTGAAGATCTGGCATGGAAACAGTTGCTAGAACGAAGGGGCCCCTTTTAGAGATGACAGGTGCCCTTTTGTTCCTCATGGTCCCTGGCATTCTTGCTTTTTCTCTCCCTGACACCGAGGCTCTTTTAGATTTTCATTTCTTACTGTGTTTACAATATTGTTGTTCTTACAGTGTAGAAATCATCCTAAAACACGTGTCTCTATCAAAGTGGGGAAAATGAAAGATAAACCAGGTGTTCATGTGATTTTTCTCACACCCATCTGACTGAAGCAAGAGAGTTAGTGATCTGTGTTCTGTACCCCCAAGCTGTAGAAAATGACCCTATCATGTAACTTGCCCAGTAGGCCTCCTGCCTCCTTATCTTTGATCTCTTTTCTTTCTTATCACTCCATGTTTGAAATGGAGGATGAGGTCAGTGCTCCACTGCAGGAGAGATTAACTTTTCTATTTCTATGGGGGTGGAGAGAAGCCACCATAGAATGCATAGTCCTCTGATAAAAATACACTTCACTCATGCACACACTTTAATTATTTTGTTTTGTGTGAGAAATCTATTTGTCCAGCCAGGTGCAGTGTCTCACACCTGTAATCTCAGCACTTTGGGAGGCCAAGACAGGTGGATCACCTGTGGTCAGGAGTTTGAGACCAGTCTGGGCAATATGGTGAAAGCCTGTCTCTACTAAAAATACAAAAATTATCCAGGCATGATGGCGGGCGGGCGCCTGTAATCCCAGCTACTCAGGAGGCTGAAGCACAAGAATTGCTTGAACCCGGGAGGCAGAGGTTGCAGTGAGCTGAGATCATGCCACTGCACTCCATCCTGGGCAACAAAGCGAGACTCTGTCTCAAAAAAAAAAAGAAAAAAAAAAAAAAAGAAAAAGAAATCTGTTTGTCCAAGGCTTCAGTTCCACTGTCAGAGACTGTTCTTGAATTTCTTCTCATCTTCCTATTCAAGACATCCTTGCATGTCTAGATCAGAGCTCATGTTTGTGTGTGTGTATGTGTGGATCAAGGAAGAAGGGGAAGATGAGAGTACAGTATTCAATAAGTAAAGTTGTAGGTAACTGAGGGATGTTCATCTCCCCAAAGGAAAAGTGAATCCTGGGTTAAATGGAAGGAGCAGATTATTCCCACAGAGGCAAGTGATGAATGAAAACGGAGACAAACTAGTTACAGCTGTGCAAGTGTTTGTTGGCAGGTCAACAGGAAAGTGGATGGAAATGCTGAAGATTTTCAATATTTAGTGTATTAGTTAGAAATTACTTTTTGCTCTTGATAACAGAGACTCAACAATATTAGCTCAAACCAATTAGGGACGAATTTTCCCTCATTTTAAAGAAAATTGGTGACAGTAGTCCAGGGCTAGTTTAGAGGCTCCATACAATCACTGTGGATCCAGCTTCCCACTATCTTTTTTGCTCTGCCAGCCTCAATGCATGGCTTCCATCCTTAGGTCCTGAGATGGCCACTAGAGCTCTAACCCTCAGCTTGCCAAGCAGGAGGGAAGAGAAGAGCAAGGGCAAGGGTCTCTCCCAGAAGCCCTCTGCCCAGAGCTTCTGCACACATCTCATTGGCCATCCCTATGTATAAGGGAGGGTAGAAAAGTAATTATTTTTCAGCTGAACACATTGCTCAGCGTTTTTATACTAAAGACCAAAGGATAAATAAATATAACGTGCTCTGCCAAATCTAGTTAAGGGAAGATAAGAAAAGTAATGGTCATTATCTGGCCATTTACTAAGAGCTAGCACTGTGCTATAAGTCATCAAAACAACCATATGAAATAAGGTTGTTGCAGATAAGGAAACTGAGGCTCAGAGAAGTTAAGTAACTTGACTGAGGTCACATATTTAGTAAATAGGCCAGCATTTCCAAAAGCTGCTGAGTCATCCTTGGAAATTTAAAGGAGTTAAGATATCCTTTCTTGATAACCGTCTTTGGTTTCTCATTTCTCCTAGCATGGTAGAATTCCTGCAGACCAACATGAACTCCTACCATAAACTCTCCTACTCTTTACTATTAAGCTTTAAAGCCACTATAAAACAGTAGTTAAAAGCCTTTGGGAAATTTAGGCAAGTGATAAATTATCTTTGGATTTTCACCATTTCTAGACATTTAACTTAACATTTATTGAGGCTCTACAACGTACAAGGTGTTTTTTTTTTTTTTTTGAAGCTGTGTTCCTGTATATGTACCTTGCTTGTGCAAATCAATATTCTTTGCTCTTTGTTTATGCATTTTGTCATTTTGGGATGAGAAGTTGTACTATTCTAGTCAAACCAAGTATAAATTTTGTCTTATACACTTACTCTTTGTAAATTGTCTACTGTAAAAATAAAAGCATAATTTTGTTGTTTTAATATGCTAGTTCATTCTTATTTGTAAGATTAAACTCAGCAATTTATGAGTGAGATTTTCAAAGAAAGCATATTACTCATAAAAGCTCATGATGGGAAATTCAGCCATACTAAGCATAGTGTCATGGGCTTTGTGTTCTGTGGGAGAACAAAGGAGGAGATTTCCTCAAACCCAGGAACAAAACAAGTTGCACCTCAGAGATTGAACTGTGGATCAAATGTTCAAAGCCTTAATCACATAAGTCATTGCCATCTCGATCAAACTCCTAGTGCTGAGTTAAAAAGATGTCTTACTGCTAACTCATCCAGGTTATTCTTAGTCTCTTTCAGAAACAAAATTCAAAGCTTACTGTGTTACTGAGGAGTTTGAATGTCAGTGTGCAGAATATACAGTTGGCCCTCCATATCTGTGGGTTTTGTACCCATGAATTCAACTAACTGTCATCCAGCATATTTTGGGGAAAAAAAAAACTGCATCTGTGCTGAACATGTACAGACTTTTTTCTTTGCCATTATACCCTAAACAATATAGTATAATAACTATTTACATAGCATTTGCGTTGTATTAGGTATTACAAATAATCTAGAGATGATTTCAAGTATATGGGAGAATGTGCATGTGTTACATGCAAATAATATATCATTTTAAATTAGGAACTTGAACATCCATGGATTTCGGTATCTGAGGGAGGTTCTGAAACTACTCCCCCTCAGATACCAAGGGATGACTGTACTAGGATTGAAGCTTTCCAGAGGAAGCGATCATTGTATATCTGCTTCACTTCCTCTGGAAAGCTGCAAGCACATAGTGGGCACTCAGATATGTACTCAATGAGTGAACGAAAGAATATCTAATTTGCTAGTTCCCTCTAAGTCTGAGGATCTAATTAGGGCCATACTTGTGGCTTCCAGACCTTAAGGGCACACCACCTTCAACTTATCACCTCTTACCCCATTTGACATCCACCCTCTGTGTACTTTGGTCTAATGAAATGGTCTTGAAAATCACCTCTTGCTTCTTACTCTTTCTCTGAGTCCTTTTCCTACCTGGTATGACAACAGCATTGGTCAAGGTTGGCTTGACCATGTAGCAGTCTCCTCTCTTGGTTCCTGTGATGCTACGTCAGCTTGATTCTCTTTCCCTCTCTGACTTCATCTCTGTCATTCTTTGGTTTTTCTTTAATTGTTATATGGAAAGTCATAATGTTCAGTTGTCCACTGAGGTCTCCTCATACCTTTCTAAGCCCTCTTTTTTGAGGATCTTGTCTTTACAATTGTCTTTTATTATTTTCTCTCATTTGGTTCTAACCTGATTTCTCTGCCTTGTGTCTTTTTTACTCTCATCTCATGCTTCCATTATCCAGCAGCCTGGAAAACTTCTGCATACATGTCTAAAGTAAGAGTGATTACCGCCTCTCCAACACCCCCCCACACACACACTCCACTATCCCATGCTCACACTCACACAAGCAGCTCCTCACTAAAGGCTTCCTAATCCTGGATCCTGCACCACAATATCTCAAGGAACAGTCTTCAAGGTGGCTTTGACCCACCAACTCCTTCATTCCTCAAAGCCAACCCATTAAGCACTGTGGATGCCTCCTTTCGTGATACCTTTCAAAGATAATTTCCATGCCATTTGAAAAGTTGTTTAAAAATAATTTCAGTCTTACAGAAAAGTTCAAAACTAGTACAGAAGATTCCCATGCATTCATCACCCAGCTTCCCTTAATATTAACACCATACACAACCATTGTACCATTATCACAACTGAGAAGGTAATCTAAGTATAATACCATGAACTAAACAACAGACTTTATTCATATTTCATCAGTTTTCCCAGTAATATCTGTTTTTTCAGCTCCAGGATCCCAAAGTACATTTAGCTATTATATCTCCTTGCCTCCAGCCTGAAACAATGATCATGTTCGTCTTAATTACTTGGATAATATGTCTTCTGGGTTCCTCTGCTCTCAAGTTAATACTTTCTCCTTTGTAATTAATAAGTGTCTTAAGGAAGATACTTTGAGATTCTACAGATATGCCATTGTATCGTTTTGTTGCCCACTAATTTTAGCATCCATCAGTGGATCTTGCCTGTCTTAATTATTACTGTGATGTTCTAACAGTGATTTTCTATTTCCCTCATTCTCCTTACATTTATTAATTCCTTCAACTTCATTTGAATTTAAAGTTGTTACTGTAAAAATAGTCATGAATAGTTTTTTTTGAGTGCTTACTTGGTGCCAGGTATTGGACAAAACACTTGAACACTCACGGTGTCATTTGATGCCCATGGTAACCCTTTGAATTAGATACAGTTATGTCCATTTTACAGATTAGCAAATGGAGGCCCAGAGAGGCCAAATAATTTGACCATGGTCAACAGAATGGAGTCAGCATCCCACCCATGTTTGTCTGATGCTAAAACCTGTTCTCTTACTCCCTACAAAATGCTGCCTCGCTTTGGTTAAAGCACTTGTTTTGTTAGAAGTTCTGTGAGAAATCTCGCTGCCACCAGAAACTCACCCTCAAAATGCTTCCCAGAGTCTAACTCATTTCCCTAAGCCTTAACATTCTGTCTTGTTATTTTTCCCAAAACATTGCAATATTTCTCACTGAGGACAGGATGATGTCAGAAGTTCTTAACCCACACTGAAGACATCTATTATAATATCTGACTCTAAACTGACCTTCCATGGCTTCCCTATATTAGTTCTCCACTCTAGTCAAATTTTCTATTTACAATGGCCTGTTAATTAATTGTGTTTTCTTTCTTTCTGCTTTGCTTTTCTATTTCATTTAGTTTGGAATGTTTTTTTTCTTTCTCTTCTTGTAAATCCTGCCCATTTCTTAAAGCACATGAGCTAGTGGAGGTGGAAGGTAGAGCCATAGGAAGTGGAAATCCTGTGGGCTCTACCTTCAACACTTATTCAGAATCTGGCTCAAACCCGCTTCCAACAGCTATTACTCAGGTCCCAGCTACTATCAACTGGCTCTGGGATTGATGCAATTGCCTCCTAATGGTTGTACCTGCTTCTATTCTTTTCCTGCTACAGCCTGTCCTCTACACAGCAGCCAGAGTGATCCTTTAAAAATGTACGTCAAAAGAGGTCACTCCTCTGCCAGACCCTGCAATGGCTCTCATTTCACTAAGAGTCTAAGTGTGTAGAAAGGCCAGGAAGACCCAACCACGTCGGCTCCACTTCCCACTTCCCCACCATCATCTCCCCAACCTGATGTCTTTCAACTCTCACCTTTGTTCGCACCAGCCCAGCTACACTGACCTCTGTGCTGTTGCTGGAATATTCTAGGTTCACTGAGGCTGCAGAGCCTTTGCCTTGGCTGGTCCCTCTGCCTGGAATGCCCTTCCTCCAGATATTCACATGGCTCATTCAGCTCCTTCAGTGTTGACTCACATGTCACCTTCTCAATGAGGCCTACTCTAATATTGCAGCACCTCCAATCATCCTTACTTTACTCCATCTTTTCCCATTTTTCACAGTACTTATTGCCTTCTAATAAACTCTACAGTTGTTTTTACATCTGTGGTTTACTATCTGGAATGTCAGTTCTAGAAGGGCAGGAATCTCTGTTCTGCTCATGGATGTATTCCAAGCAGCTAGGACCGAGGCTGGCACATAGAATGTCCTCAGGAAATGATATTTGAATGATTGACGTGTCTCATTCAAAATGACCTCCTCCTCATCTGTTGTCGTGCGATATGCATCATGGCTGAACCATTCTTTTCGTATATCGTGTATGCACTGCCTCACTTCATTTCTGGTACCCACGACCTGTCTTCCCAACTAGATTGTAAGTTTGGAGTGGTGACATCTGTGGTTTCATCTTGCGAATGATCCAATCTGCCTTCTTTGGCACAGCACTCTAATTTTCCTTAATGGAAACTATCCTTTCTCCATCTCTTAATCCATGTGATTTTGGTTGGGCTAATATTATTCTGCCCCAGGGATGGATGTGTGGCCCAGACTTATCTGAATAGAACATGGCATTACCCTAGCAACAGGGATTGCTTTGGAAATGTCTATTGACTCCACCAAGGTACTGATGGGGAAATAGGAGTACTTTTTTTCTATTGAGATTGCTAGAAATTTCTAGTATATCTCTTTGCCCTACTTTTTGAGTTCGTGTCTGGAATTAATGCTTTAACAGAAGAAAGCAGAGTTCAGAAATGAACAGTGGCAGATTTGTGACAACATTACTTAAGTACCTAGATCCAGTTATGCCTAAAGTCCAGCCCTAGAGTTTTCCAGTTACCTGAGCTAATGTGTCAATTTTTAAGAAACTAAAGCCAGTTTTACTAAAGTCAATAGTACAGTGCCTTATGCTATTTATTTACTTATTCATTTATTCTTAAATCTGTTTCATGAAGAACTTAAAGATGTTTACAGAGGTACATACAACTGTAAAATCAAGAGTTTAAAAAATAGTCGAAGAAAACAAGATAAGGGAGCAAAAGAGAGGAAAAAAATATATTAGTCTGCAAAGCATCTGCTGGGAAGTTCTGTACATTTTCATGGTAGGCCACACATTTAGCCCTGATATTTCAAGAGCCAAGGTTAAAAGTACAGTGAAGTTGGTTATAATCCCAGCACTTTGGGAGGCCGAGGCGGGTGGATCACGAGATCAGGAGATGGAGACCATCCTGGCTAACATGGTGAAACTCCATCTCTACTAAAAATACAAAAAATTAGCCAGGTGTGGTGGTGGGCGCCTGTAGTCCTGGCTACTCGGGAGGCTGAGGTGGGAGAATGGCGTGAACCTGGGAGGCGGAGCTTGCAGTGAGCTGAGATTGCGCCACTGCACTCCAGCCTGGGTGACAGAGTGAGACTCTGTCTCAAAAAAAAAAAAAAAAAAAAAAAAAAAAAAAGAGTCACAGCATACATAAAAGACATGAAACTGTGAAATTCCAGACTGGAGAGATTGATCTTATTTATCACCTATTTCTGGAACTCCGTAGGTTTATTAAAAGAATTAAATAAACGAATGCAAACAAGTTGTATAGAGCTACCCAAATACTGCTGCTGTTGAGGCCACAGGGAATTACCTGCAATAATCTATCTAACTCTTAGTTTAACAGTATTATTCCGAATCATAAAATTCACTCATCCAGGTTTCTCTTTGGGCTATAAACATTATAGTCATATAATGATTTGGACTTGAATTAAATAACAAAAACCCTCCAAATTGCATTTATTTTATGGGTAAGTTTGGCTTTGTGCAACAAGTGCGTTGTTTGTAAAGTAGATTATGTCACAAACATTATTTATCTTGACATTTGTATGCTTCTTTATGTTTTGTACACAACTTTGAAATTGTAGGTGATTAGGGGTTCTACATAGAATGGTAACTTCTCGTTGCTTTGAGTTATTTGCTCTTTTTCATGTTTTCTTTTTGAGACAGGGTCTCACTCTGTCACCCAGGCTGGAGTGCAGTGGCACAATCAGGGCTCATTGCAGCTTCGACCTCCTATGGCTCAGGTGATCCTCCCAGCAGAACCTCCTGGGTAGCTGGCACTACAGGTATGTACTACCACTCCTGGCTAATGTTTTTATTTTTTGGTAGAGAGGGGGTTTGCTATGTTGCCCAGACTAGTCTCAAACTCCTAGGCTCAAGTGATCCACCTGCCTTGGCCTCCCAACGTTTTGGGATGACAGACATGAGCCACCATGGCTCAATGGTGGCTTTTGGCTTCAATCTGTCAGCTCTATGATCAAGCCAACCCACTAGCCTCTCTGTTCATTAACTTCATCACTTCCAATAATCTTTTCTTCTATCTACCTCAATCAGCCCAGAACTACACTTATCAAGAAATATACTTCCTCCTATCCTTCCAAATCATTTTCCCAGCACAATAATTCCATCCATTCCTTCAAGACGTCTAGCCATTGATTCTACCACTTTGTCTTCTTCTGAGACACCTCTCATATCTTTTCCCCATTTGCCCAGGTGAGAGTCCGAAGTCTAACATTCTTATTCTTGTCTTCCATATACCTGCAAATTTCTTGCCCTGGCACATCCCATCCCTAGTTATATCCTCAACCCAACCCTCTGCCTGCTCCATGCTTGATCCCCAGCAAGGAAATGTGATGTGAGGAAACGCTGCTGATGGGTTCCACATTACATTTACAGACACCATATCAAGTGGGAAAGAGTGTAGTTCTGCAACTTGATTACATATCCTTAGTTGGTTTATTCGCTTACTCATCTAGGTGACTCATGTTTATTAAAGCTTTGTGTTTCCCTAATCCTGGGTGGAAGAGAGTTTGCCCATCTTCCCAATCACCTCTGAACATGTACTGCATCTGCATTCTCATTCTCTGTGTACTGGGTCTCTTCTTTTCTCATCTACTCACACACTTCACTCCTGCAGTTGACACTGCTCTTTCCTACATAATCCATTTCTCGCTCTCTTCTGGATTGTCTCTACCAGCTTACAAACAGGATAAGCAATCTTCCTTCTTGAAAAACCTCCCAAGTCTCCACTTCCATGTCCTACCACTGTCCCATTTCTCTGCTCTTCTTTATAAAATATGTTCACTGGGATAGTTATGTCTACTCACTGTCCTTCCTTCTCCATGTACCATTCTTTCCTAACTCATTCCAATCAGGTTTTCATCTCCACCACTTCACTGAAACTGCTTTTGTCAAGGTCACTGATATGGGTTGGCTCTGTGTCCCCACCCAAATCTCATCTTGAACTGTACTCCCATAATTCCCATAATTCCCATGTGTTGTGGGAGGGACCTGGTGGGAGATAATTTGAATCACGGGGGCAGATTCCTCTGTACTGTTCTTGTGGTAATGAATAAGTCTCAGAGGTTTCTGCTTTCGCACTTCTCTCATTTTCTCTTGCCGCTATGATGTTTAAGAAGTGCCTTTTGCCTCCTGCCATGATTCTGAGGCCTCCCCAGCCATGTGGAACTGTAAGTCCAATTAAGCCTCTTTCTCTTCCCAGTCTTTATCAGCAGCATGAAAGTGAACTAATACAGTCACCAAGGGCCTCCATTTTGCCAAATCCAATGATTCCTTACCTCCCACTGGGTCCCTCCCACAACACATGGGGATTATGGGAACTACAATTCAAAGTGAGATTTGGGTGGGGACACAGCAAAACCACATCACCAATCCTACTCCTGTCTCAGGGCCTTTGCACTTGCTCTACCTCCACCTGAAATCTTCCTCCACTAGATCTTCACATGACTTGCTCACTCGTTTCATTCAGTGTTCTGCACATGTCTCCTCCTCAGAGAGGCCTTCCCTGACACCCCATCTAACAGTGCCTCCTGCCTCCATTGTTCTCTGTCCTCTTGTCCTGCTTTGAATTCCTTCATAGCACTTAGCACAAACTGACATGACTTTATAAATTTCTTTGTTTCCTACTTGGCTGCACCACTAGAATGGAAACTCTCTGAGGACATGGGACATCTTTGTCTTGTTCACTGTGGAATTTCTAGTGTTTAGAACAATTTCTGACAAATTGTAGATATTGAATACTACTTAGATAAATAGCTACAGTCATTTATTAGAATATGGATGTGTAACAGACACAGCACTAGGTGCTATGAATACTGGGACAAATGAGACTATTCCTGCCCTCGAGGAGTTGCCAGTCTTGTGCGGTCATTCTTGACATGTTCTCCTTGGGCCATCAGCATTGGCATCATGTGGGAATTTATTAGAAAGACAAATTCTCAGATCCCATCTGGACCTACTGAAATAGCAACACCATGAGTGGGGCATCTGTCTGCATCTTAACAGGACCTCCTGACAGCACAGATGTGGGGTGGAGTTTGAGAACCACTGGTCTAGTGGGAAAGTCAGATCTTAAGCAGTTATGGTATAGTGCTGGCCAGTGTCATTAGCAAATGCTAGAAGTTTAAAGAATTTCTTTGTTATAGGTAAGACTACTGTGCCAGTTCAAATAAATTCCCCAGCATATTTGTCATTTTCCATTTTCTTATTGTTTCCATTTTTCTAAAGCAAGTGAACTTATACTCTGAACAGAAGGGAAAGAAAAACAAAACCAAAACCAAAACTGCAGGTTCAAGACCAAGGGAGTTGTAGCCTAGTTTAACCAGTTTTCTAAATCCAGTTAAACTAGGTTATAACTCTCGGGGCTGGCCCACGCTCTGTGCTGTTTAAATTACAGAATCTCAAAGTGGATTGGAACAACAGGCCCAGTGTTGCCTGGTGTGAGCCTGCAAAGTACCTAGACAATAGAAGTCACTCACAAACAAGGACTTAATACAGTGCTACGGATCAAAACCTCAGTGGAAAGTTAGCCTTGGTCCAAGAAAGCAGGCCAGCTCGATTTCAGCCCCACTCTATCTGCACTGTCCACATGTGAGTGTCTCTGCTTGAGGTTTCTGTTAATGAGTTATTAGTACAGTTTTTAGTGAACACCAGTGGGCTATTTCCCCACCACCCTTACAAACACCAATTAGCCTGTCCAGACCTCTGATTTCAGCATCAGATAAAAAGAAGACCTCCTGGATGTTTCTACCTCATATTTACCCACTGAGCAATACTTTGTGAACCAGTTTAATTGGCTTGAATACCTCAGACATGCTATCAGCTGATAAATCAGCAGGCGGCTCTTAGAAAATTAGGTCAACCTTAATCTTATTTTATTTAGAACCTGGAGTTGGAAAGAAAGAAAGAAAGAAAGAGAGAGAGAGAAAAAAAAGAAAAGAAAGGAAGGAAAAGGATAGAAGTTTGACTAGGTTTCATTGTGTTGAATTTATTGGCTATTTCAAATCTTCCAGGATGTCTGCTGAAGCCCATATGAAAACAGTTAAATGCTATTCTAACAGACTCCAATATGCTAGGAATATGATAGGGGATGTTGAATGGAAAATTCTCTAATTACTATGTTCATATTTCATGGTGAAATATATTCAAGATTAACTATATTCTAATGGGATGGTACATGTATCCAAAACATTTGGGGGCAGCTTGGTTGGGTGGGAAGGAAAAATAGCTTAATTAGGCCAGAGATAGAGTGTTCATAGAATTTCTTGTTGTACACAGCTAGTTTTAAATTTCTTGTTTCACAACTTTGAGCTACTGTTTATGAAATCAGCATTGTTAGGAAATAAATTTGGTCAGCATGCCCATCTTTCCATTTCTACACATGTGGGGCCATATTTGATGCAATGTGAGCCGTTAAGAGTCAGGGCAGCCGCCTAAGGTAAGGTATGAGGTACATAAGGCCCTCTGTGGGTTTCACAGTCATCTACTGAACTTGGAAGCCAGTCAGATTTTCTGAAAATATACTGAAAATGACGTTAAACTACAAAGCCGAGTTTTCAATATGTTGTAAACATCCTCACAGCGAGAGCAAAAATAGCCCACTTTGATTCATTGCCTGCCAATGCTTGCTCTCAAGAGTAGCCAAGAGGAGCAAAGAAGCTGGAAAGGAAAAAAGAAAACCAGAAAGAGACAAACAGAGAGACAAGAGAGAGAAAAAGGGTCGCGGGTTAAGAGAGACAGAGAGAGAGAGCAAGAGAGGAAATTTTAAAGTAAACAAGCAGCTCTAAGTACCCTGGACTTAACTTGCTGAAAACTTCAGTGGAAAGGGCAAGCCTCACTCGGAGGATCCTCGGATAATAAAAGA
Organism: Homo sapiens; assembly: GCF_000001405.40. NCBI lineage: Eukaryota > Metazoa > Chordata > Mammalia > Primates > Hominidae > Homo > Homo sapiens. The sequence continues at coordinate 73,720,020 of NC_000003.12, forward strand.
CGTCTTGGTTTTATGAAGGTAACTGGCATTGGCAGAGCTGCTGGCTGCCTGCCTGCATAGTCCCACGACCTATGACTTAATTTGGATTTTGGATTCATGCAAATATGAGCATCAGAGAGGAAATAAAGTCTCAGCTGACAACCAGAATGAATTTCCTAGCAGAGCTCATGAGTACATCCTTACTGTGGAGAAATAAGGGGTTTTCCAGGGCTTCCCAATTCTCAATGCTTCTAGCACTTGGATATAAAATGTTAAGCAGGGTCCATTTATAGATGACAGAGGGAGGAAAAAATTACAAGAAGAAATGATGTTCATAATATTTAGAGTACGCGCATGGGAAAGATATTCAAAAGAAACAATGCTGATTATGTAAATATTTTCACTCCAAAGTTTGATGAAGTTAGTATTTGTTTTCTTATTCTCTACTATTTTTATTGCAAATTTATAGAATTTAACATTTTTTTCTTTTACAATGGCATTTTTAATTGAGTTTTTAAAACCTTCAAGCATGTTTAATTCCATTGCATTCTTCTTCTTATTCCATATTCCTTTGAGTAGCTCACATCTTTCAAAAAACTTTGCTCCTGGATCTCGTAGACTCAATTTTAGAACTGATGTTCCCTGTTTCAGGCCACCATATTTGCTCTATTTAATAACATGTTATTCCAGGGATTTCATAGATCACCAGAGAAGCCCTAGTTATCTGCTTCAGCCCAGATTCCTGGGTCCAAATCCCAGTTGCACAGTTTGATAATTGTTCAACTTTCACAAGTTACATATTTTCTCTGTAATTCAGTTTCCCCATTTTCAAAATGGAGACAAAAATAATACCTATCACATAGGGTTGTTGTGGAGGTTAAATGAGTTGGTATAAATTAAACGCTAGAATAATTCCTGGCACATGGTAAGTACCATAGAAATGTTAGTTGTTATTCTGAGTCACTCAATCATTAATTTATACATTCAAGTTTTATTGGGTTATCTATGCTCTACTCCTCTGACTACAGGGCCTTTGCAACTATAGTTCTCTTCGTCTCTGTTTTTTCCCTCTTTACTCGAATAAACTATACTCTTCCTAACTTAACCTGAATGCCATTTTCTCTCAGAGGTTCCCCTGTACCCCCAGAATAGATCAGATTTTCAGTGTCCTCAGTTCCCTTCCTTCATCACGTTTATAAGAGAGTTTGTAATTATGCATTTGGCTTTTATTATTTGGCAACTATATGCTCCTCCCTAGACCATGCACCCCATAAGAGCATGTACCACGCAAGTTTTTGTTCACCATTGTATCCTCAGTGACTAGCGGAGAGTAGATGTTCAAGAAGTAATTGCTGCTGAACCAGCGGGCAAATGTGCCATCACTGTACTGGGCACTAATGAGTAAAGATCAGTAATTCCTGCTCTTAAGGTACTTGCAGACAACTAGAGGCTGGAGTCCAGTCTGGACTCAATTTCAATTGTCCAGGTGAATAATGAGGAAAAGCACAACCTAGGGCAGTGGCAATGTTTCAGATCACCTGGCTCTGTGGCCTCATCATCTGCCCTGGTGGCCTCCAGAACACTTGATGGCAGGGTCCCAAGAACAGGCAATAAGAATCTGGCTAGCAGAGGAGGATAAAGTGCCTATGCCCTTTCAGAAAATTGCCCTTGGGAACCCTCAATTCGTACTGAATCTCTAGCTTAATGATAGCAGGAAACTCCAAGAAATTTCTCTCCAATTTTTTTCTTGGATAACTTATTCAGGCTGCTACTGACAGTGCCTCTGCAAAGCTTCCTCTTCCTGTAAAATAATTTTAAACTTAATTGTGAGTTCAGTGGTAGTTGTGATTCTCAGATGTCTATTCTTTTAAGGAGTTGGCATTGGTCTACTGTTTTATGCATAACATTTGACTGCATCTTCAAACTTTGCCTGGTGTTTCACTACCAGGCATACTCAGTTCATCTACGTAGTGTGGAGAAAAATGGAGATTGGAGGACTTCATCTCAAAACTTTAATCCAGCCAAGCTTGTATCTTATTTCTATTTCCTTTCTACACTCACAGGAATAATAGTTTTACAGCGATGAACATCATCAACATACATTTATTAAGTACTTATAGCTTAGTAAGTAGGTCATGGCATATAGGACTTTAGGTTATAGGTCTTTTATATCTCTACCAATAGCTGGTTATATGACTTCAGGTTAATTACTTAATATACTGTGCCCTCATTTTCTTTCTGTATTATGCAGGTTATTTTGATACTTGCATCATAGTTTCTGTGAAGTTCAAGTGTGAGGAAGCAGTGAAGTAATTAGATCAGGGGTCCCCAACCTCCAGGCTGCAGACCTATACACAGGCCTATTAGGAACCAGGCTGCATAGCAGCAGGTGAGCAGCAGGCGAGTGAGCGTTACTGTCTGAGCTCCACCTCCTGTCAGATCAGTGGTGGCATTAGATTCTCATAGGAGTGTGAACTCTATTGTGAACTGTGCATGTGAGGGTTGTAGATAAAGTGCCCCTTATGATAATCTAACTAATGCCTGATGATCTGAGGTGGAAGAGTTTCATCCCTAAACCATCTCCCCCAACTCTTCCCTGGTCCATGGAAAAAACTGTCTTCCATGAAACTATTCCCTGGTGTCAAAAAGGTTGAGGACCAATAGCTTAGATAATACATGCACAGAATGCTCAATAATGGTAGGAATAAGGCTGATGCTGGTACTGATAATGTGTTCCTCGTTTGTGAAGTTCATCATGATCTCAACTCAGGAATTTACATTAAAGTTGTCCTGGACTGCCTATGTATCTAGGTATGTGCTAGAGGCAAACTCAAATTATCTCCAGAGGAAGTCACTTCAACTTAAGTCACATAGAATCCCCTCAAATACTTAAGGACAATGACCAACATACAGTTAAAAATAATCAAGCACATAAGGAAACAAGGAAATAAGGCAACAAGAGTGAGAGTTGAGAGTGAGAACCAGCAGGGACAACAGAGAGCAAAAACAATGAAGACTTCAGATATTGGACTCATCAATACAAAATTATAAAACAATGAATTCAGAGTATTTACATCAATAAAAAGCAAGCTTGAGAATACCTACAAGCAATAGGAAACTCTAAAAATGGCAGAGATGAGCTCTGGGTATCATTGTAGCTGAATCTTTTCATTAGTTTTCCCTTTACCATAGCCCTTTACACAGCCTGGTCTGCCAATTTCCCATTTTAGGTCTGGGCCTTGACTTGAACCCTAATTTTAAAGTTGGGGTCCCAAAACATGCTCTTTGATATGTTGCTTCCTCTAGAATGGGATTGATTCCACTTCCTGTGCTTCCTTGGCAGAGTTGGAAATCTTGCCAGGAATGAACAGATATCCTGGGACTTCAACTTGTTGTAGGGTAGTAGCAAATCTCACTCCCTATCCTCTGTCCACTTTGGTTTCTATTTCACAGAGAACAGATCTCAAAGTGGTTAAAACAATAAAGAATTTTATTATTTCACAAAACAGGAAATCAAAAGGTAGCCTGGGCTGTAGGGTTGGTTAATTCAGCAGTTCAGCAATGAACTCAGATTCTTTCTGCCTTACCATCCACACCATTGGCTTGATTCTACAGCTGGTTTTACTCTTCATCTCAAAGTGGCTGTCAGGAGCAATCAGAAGCATTTGTGTGTTTATTCAAACCCAGTCAGGGAGAGAGAAAGTGAGGCTCCCCAAAATCGCTGGCTAAAAGTCTTTTCTTTGTTCTGATTGGGCCAACACAAGTCATGTGGGCACCCTGCTAAACATATTTACTGATTGGCTTAAATCCGAATTTCTCAACCAATCACTGGCAAGAAAGAACTGATTTAGAGAAACGGCTTAGACCAGTGAGTGGTTCCTGATTCTCCATGGGGCTGAAACTAGCACTGTGAGGAAATGTAAGGGGCTGTTGTTGTCACAATGATTTGAGAGAACAGGTGGAATAGAAGTTAAATGTCTTGCAAAGCATAAAGAAGATGACAATATAGTCTCACACAGTACGAAACTGTCCTCTGACCTGCAGGATATTAAAAAAAGACCTTTATTGAGATATAATTTACATACCATAGAACTCACCTATTTAAAGTACACAGTTTAATGTTTTTTACATTATTCAAGGAGTTTTACAACTATCACTATGATCAATTTTAGAACATTTTCATCTTTCTCTCTTCCCAAAAAACCCATACTCATAGCAATCACTCAATCTCCCACTCTCAGTCCTAGGAAATCTCTAATCTACCTCCTGCCTCTATAGATTGTCCTAGTCTGGATTTTTGATATACAGTCAGGTGTCACTTAACAATGGCAATACTTTCTGAGAAATGTGTTGTTATGAAGTTTTATTGTTGTGTAACATCATAGTGTGTACTTATACTAACCTAGATGGTATGGCCTACTACATACCTGCGATATATAGTATAGTTTGTTGCTCTTAGGCTACAAATCTGTACAACATGTGACTGTAGTGAGTACTGTAAGCAATTGTTACACAAAAGTATTTATGTATCTAAACATATGTAAACATAGAAGAAGTACCTGTGTTAGGCTGTTCTTGCATTGCTCTAAAGAAGTACCTGAGGCTGAGTAATTTATAAATAAAAGAGGTTCCTTTGTCTCATGTTTCTGCAGCCAGCACAGGAAACATAGCTCTGGCATCTACTTGATTTCTGGGGAGGTCTCAAGGAGATTTTACTCGTGGCAGAAGGCAAAGCAGGAGCAGGTATGCCACATGGCCAGAACAGGAGCAAGAGAGAGAAGTGGGGAGGTGCCACACACTTAAACAACCAGATCTTGTGAGAACTCACTCACTATCACAAGGAGAGCACCAAGCCATGAGGGATCCACTCCAAGGACCCAAACACTTCCCACTGGGCCCCATCTCCAACACTGGGTATTACATTTCAACATGAGATTTGGTGGGGATATATATATATATACACAAACTATATTGGAGCTGTAAAAATATGGTATGGTAATCTTATGGGACTACTGTTGTGTATACAGTCTGTCATTGACCAAAACATCAGCAGCACATGACTGTAAATCAAATGAAACAATATGTGGACTTTGGTGGCTGGCTTCTTTTAGTTAGCATGTTTTCAAAGTTCATCCATGTTGTAGTATGCATCAGTACTTCATTCTTTTTCAGTGTGAATAAGATGTTCAGTGTGAATGAACAATGTTCCATTGTTTGGAGATACCATATTTTATTTATCCATTCATCATAATGAATATTGAATCTTCATTGATGGGCATTTCAGTTGTTTTCTCTTTTTTGCTGTTTTGGACACTCACATACAAAGTTTTGGGTGAACGTATGCTTACCTTTCTCTTGGGTATATACCTAGTAATGGAATTGCTGGATCATATGGCAACTCTATTTTTAAACTTCGGAGGAACTGCTAGACTGTTTTCCAAAGCAGCTGCACCATTTTACATTCTTCCTTGATCTGCAGGTGGGAATATCTCTATAACCATTTGAGTGCATTATATGACTGATTTACATATAAACATAAAGCACTGATTTGCAAGATACAATTGGCAACCACACTATTTGTTGTATTTCGGTTACCAAAAAAACACATCTTCTATCAGTCTATACCAGTGGCTGTCAGCCAGAGGTAATCTTTCCCCCAGAGGCAGTTTGCAATGTCTGGAGACATTTTCGGTTGTGAGGTGTGTGTGTGTATGTGTGTGTATGTGTGTGTGTGTATGTGTGTGTGTTACTAGTGTCTAGTAGATGGAGTCCAGGGATGCTGTTATATATCTTACAATGCATAAGACAGCCCCCGACAACAACAATAAAAAGACTTATCTAGCCCAAAATGTCAATAGTGCTGAGGCTGAGAAAACATGATGTCAACTCAGAGTCCTCAAATTCACAATGCTTCTTTTTACAAGTACACCACTTTCCTAGTATTTATTATGTGCTTTAAAGGAGTCATGCCTGGGCATTTTCTGATTGGAATGCATATAATCTTATTATAGGAAATGTTTAAAATCTTTTATATCATAGTTAGGAAATTATGTAGATTGTATAAAATATATAGATTATACTAGCTTTGAGCTTCATTTCTGGATAATACAATTGCTAGAACAGGAATCAATGGCTTGGATCCCTCAGGTTCAACACTGGGAGCTGGGATGGGTGCAGCTTCCTCAGAGACCATTGAGCCTCCAGGGGAGGGATGGATGCTGGAGGGAAACTGGGGCTCTGTGAGGGAGGAGGAAGAGGAGAATGCTGCACAGACAGTAAACAGGGTCTACTATAATTCCTAGTGTTTGCAAAGATCCAGATTTAGCTCCTGGGGAAGCCTAACTGTATTTCCTACCTTGTTACTTTATAATCTTCTTTCTTTTGTAGCTTCAACTCATTTCAGTAGATTATGTTATTTGCAACCAAAAAGATCCAGAAGTAAAACAAAGGCAGGTGGGAAGATAATGTAAGTGAAGGAAAAAATAGTTTGATATCCTCGTAAGTTTAAAGAAGGACTGTTATAGATATGAATTAAAATTGTCTTGCCTGTTGCCTTTTATCAGCAGATGTGGCTATGGGGCTTATCCGTTTACAAATTTGAAAAAGATGGAGAAAACTTAGGCTTCATATTGAAGATGCTGCAGAGTTTGCATGTGGGCAACAAAGGCTTCACAACAAACGAGGTGTCATGGGAAAAATAAGAGCTGAAAACGTTTCCTGCCTCTGGGAAGTTGGTGCTATGAAAGTTTCCTCTGCTAAGTAATCAAGTAGCACATTTCTCTACTGGTCTGTGAAGAAGAAGGCAGTACTATGGCTGACGAGTTAAACTTTTCTTTGCAGCTTCGAACCTCACTGTGCGTGAGAATCTCAGCATATGTGTCCAAGCCTACCTCTGCATGTTTGGGTTTAAATCAGATTCCTGGATACTGCTCTAAGGGATGACAGTCTTAGTAGGTCCTGTGGGTGCCTGGGAATCTGCATTTTAAACAAATGCTTCCTCCTCATCCTTTATTCCCCTCTCCTCTTCATGATTTTGATCCAGGCTTTGAGAATTTTGCTTTAGATGTAATGATTCTTGTCTTTTTCATGACTGAGGCAAGAGTTGGGAAAGACAGTGCTGCCAGCTTGTCGTGCTGCAGTGAGCTTACTCAGATCCGTTTGTCAGCTCAGCTTTCTGACTGCTTAGAGAGCCAGAGAAGCTGGCTCTTCTGGGAATGGCTGACATTCCCGCGACAATGGAATTTCCTTTGCTGCAGAAGATGTGGCTTGCATCACGCTGTGCACAGATTTTGTTGCTACTCAGTAAGATTTCCCTGAAGTGGCCTCAATTGAGTGATGGCTAGGAATGGGGCTTGCAGGCCCTGAGAGCACACTGATTGCAGTGTGAACATCATGCAGGGTTTTGCAATGCAGAGGAAAATGGTGTTGGGCCAGTGATCATGTCGGCTGCCTTATGAAATGTACTTCTTGTGCCCTCGCAGAGGAGTTACTCTTGATACTGACCAGGGTTAGCGGAAGTGATGAATGTATTTATATGTGTATATAACCCCTGATGGGTTGAAGTTTCTGTGTTTTCAATGGACTTTGATGTGGAGGAGAAAATACATTTCAAGAAGAAATCCCTGTAGGAGAGAAGCCTGGGTGCCTTCCCCCTCCCCCAAAGGCATTCTGATCCAGATAGAAAGCAGGCCCTGAGGATATAAAAATTTGAAGTGCTGTGGAAAACAGTAATTTCAGCTGGGACTGCTGGTGGGTGTGGAGAGATGACTCAGATTCATGAAAGAGAATCAAAGACATCCTGGAAAGAAGAAATGTGTTTGGTAGCATATGGCTGTTTTGCCTTTTTCTTTCTGGGAATGGGGGAGCTTTGAGAAGGAATACAGGGCATATACTAGTGTTAGGGAGGACTAGGGAGCTAGATGTCACCTGCCAAGGCCAGAGGTGTCCTTAGAAAGAACAATAGGCCATCTTGGTGACAGAAATGGTACTAGTGCTTCCTGGATAGCAAATACCAGGAACTCTGTAGCACTGCTCTCCTCACCCTTCCCCATAACTGACATTGCCAGTGGATCACAGTGCCCTTTTTCACTTGAGGCAGTCATTAGCAACACGTCAGAGTTAGCACTCCAGATGAGATTGAAGATACTTAAGCATTCCACCGAAGAAGATCAGAGAGAACTTCTCAGACCAGATGAAATGTAGAAACAAGACAAATATCACAGAATGGTTCCAAAGCTTCAAAATATCTTGGGGGATTCTCTGATTCCTTTCTAAGGACTGTGAGAAACCTAAGATAATTTATATCAATGACAATAAAAGCAGCTATTATTTGTCAAACACTTTCAATATGCAGGCACTGAGCTATTTTTGTGTCATTTAATCCTCATAGCAGTGTTGTGAGGGGCTGACATTCCTATTTTACAGGTGAAGAAACTGAGCTCAGAGAGGTTGATTGACTTTCTCAGGGTCACACAGCTGATAGGTTGTAGCCTACTGTCATTACTATATTTTACTCCCCCTGCAGTTACCCTTTTATCTCATTCCTCATATTCTCCCTCCAATGTTTATCTTATATTTAGAGTTTACCTGTCACCTATAGTCAGGTAGTGTTTCCTACACTCAAAAGGGTGCAAAACTGCATGGGTGCATGCACACAAATACACACACACATCCTCTAAGGGTAGCTAAGGCATCCCTCCCCTGTACTCCCACAGTACCTTATGATTACTCCAATCAAAGCACGTATCACTCTGTTTTTAATTCCCTTATTACTTATTTCCCCCATAAGACTGAAATCATTTAACACAGGGACTTTTTTTTTTTGAGACAGAGTCTTGCTCTGTCGCCCAGACTGGGGTGCAGTGGCGCAATCTCGGCTCACTGCAAGCTCCACCTCGCGGGTTCACGCCATTCTCCTGCCTCAGCCTCCCCAGTAGCTGGGACTACGGGCGCCCGCCACCACGCCCTGCTAATTTTTTTTGAATTTTTAGTAGAGACGGGGTTTCATCATGTTAGCCAGGATGGTCTCGATCTCCTGACCTCGTGATCCACCTGCCTCGGCCTCCCAAAGTGCTGGGATTACAGGCGTGAGCCACCGCGCCCGGCAACACAGGGACTTTCTTGTTTATTTTCTGTACGCTTTCGATAACTAAATTATTAAGATTCCAAGTTGTTCCATAACTTGGCAGAATACTATCTTGGTATCTTGAATGTGGTATCTCGTATTCAATGAGCAACCATATACGTGTTGCTCATTGAGTATTCTGACACCTTTTTTTCAATAAACTTCTGTATAGAAACACTGTGTGAACAGTACTTGCCAGTTGGTATTTTGAGCCCTCAAATTGGTGAGATTTTTGTAGGATAGGATAAAAGCTCTAAGTGAAATGCTATGATTCTTTCTTTCCCCAAAGAGTATGAGGCTCTTTGAGCAAAACACATGTGTATATGCATACTTCTGTCTATATACATTTTAATAATAACAATAGCTGTCATTGACAACTATTAATTGACAACTTAATATGTTATAGGCCTGTGCTAAGACCCCAAGTAACATTCTCTCATTTGTCTTTTGCCTTAGGATATGTTTTGAGCATAATTTTCCAGAAGAGAAAATTGAGGCTCAGAGAAGTTAGGAAATCTGCCTGAGGCCACACAGCCAGGAAATGACTGAGCTAATATTCTGACCTAAAACGTTTACCTACACAGTGTCAGTCTTAAGCAGGCATTTAGAATCCAGAGGGCTTGGGCTCAAGATTATCTCTCTCAGTCTGGTGAATGCAAGGTAATGCAAAGGATTAGCCCCAGTCAGACTTCTGACCAGCTCCCTGAGGTTTGTTTATCCTCTGAATTACCTGTGCGAAGATTTCTGCCATCGCCATCTCCCCTTTCTCTGCTTGTGGAGAGTGGGCTCAGGAGTGAGGGGAAGCATGCAGAAATTGTTAGTTGACACCTCGCCCTGGTCATTCCCATGACTTATGAGTGCACATCAGACACACAGTTGCCAAACACTCTCGCGTGATACTCATTTTCCCTGGGTCCCAGCTGCCTATGAGTCCAGAAAGAAAGCTGGGGCCAGCGCTGGGGTCAGCCAAACAAACAGATGGAGATGAGCAGAGGTGACAGCCGATCACTCCTCGGCATCTGCTGGGCCTGTCGCGGCTGCTCTGGCTGGCTGATGCCTTGACCCAGCTAATCCTGTTGGTCATCCTGGTGCCGGCTGTGTTGTGTCACTCATCCTACCCTTGGGGTGACTTCTGCTTTCCTTTGGAAAGTCAGATGGATAATGCTGGACTGCTTGCCTCCGTCCTGGTCTTGGGTCAGCCAAGCCCTCACATGGACTAAAGGGCTATCCAAGGTGCCAGTCTCTAGGGAGTTTACAGATAATATTAGTCTATCTCCAGGTACTTCCCATTTTGGCATTTTGTTATCTGACACCAACAGTGCTTCTATTCCTGCTGTGGTTAGCTAAGGTTTTAAGAATACCGTGCTAAAAGAGTAAAAGACCCAGGCTTATGTGGGGGTGGTTTTTTGGGTCCATGGCCACAAACTTCACCCATCCCTCTACCTCTCTAATAGTTCCTGAGCACCTATTATGTGCCAATCACTGTATTAGGATTACTGCCAAATCGATAGTGAAAAAATCCAATTTCATTAGTGCCACCACAGAACGTAGAATCCACTAGAGGAGCTGAAAAATAAACTAGCTAGAAATAGATTGATATAATTACGATTTGAGCAAAGTCATAAAGGAGAAGAGTGTTGCAGGAAGTGGTAGGTGAAGACCCAGAAGCAGCCAGCAGCTTTACTCCTTCTAGGAACTGAAAGGTGGCCCTGGTACTGGGGTGTGGTAGATGGCGGGGAGCGGGGAGGAGATTGGGAAGGCCAGGAGGGCACAGGTCAGATCATGTGAGGGAGCTTGAGCTTGTTTTTTTTTGTTTTTTTTTTTGTTGTTGTTGTTTTGTTTTAAGTTCCGGGATACATGTGTTGCCAGACGTGCGGTTTTGTTACATAGGTAAATGTGTGCCATGGTGGTTTGCTGCACCTGTCAACCTATCACCTTAGATATTAAGCCCCGCATGCGTTAGCTATTTATTCTGATGCTGTCTCTCCCCCGCCCACCCCCTGCCCCCAATAGGCTCCAGTGTGTGTTTTTCCCCTCCCTGTGTCCATGTGTTCTCATTGTTCAGATCCCACTTATAAGCGAGAAGGTGTGGTGTTTGGTTTTCTGTTCCTCCATTAGTTTGCTGAGAATAATGACTTTCAGCTCCATCCATGTCCCTGTAAAGGACATGATCATATTATTTTTTTTTTGTTTTTGAGACTGAGTCTTGCTCTGTCGCCCAGGCTGGAGTGCAGTGGCGTAGTCTCGGCTCACTGCAAGCTCCGCCTCCCAGGTTCAAGTGATTCTCCCGCCTGAACCACCCGAGTAGCTGGGACTACAGGTGTGTGCCACCACTCCCGGCTAATTTTTTGTATTTTTAGTAGAGACGGGGTTTCACCGTGTTAGCCAGGATGGTGTCTATCTCCTGACCTCATGATCCACCTGCCTCGGCCTCCCAAAGTGCTGGGATTACAGGCATGAACCACCGTGCCTGGCTAATCTTATTCCTTTTTATTGCTGTATAGTATTCCATTGTGTACATGTACCACATTTTCTTTATCCAGTCTATCACTGATGTGTATTTGGGTTGATTCCATGTCTTTGCTATTGTGAACAGCTTGGGTTTTATTTGAGTTTCACTGGAACACACTGAAGGGTTTCAAGCAGGTGAATGACATAATCTGGGTGACATTTTAAAATAACTCATCTTCTTGCAGTGTGGAGAATATTTGGGACAGAGTTAGAGTGGAAGAAGTAAAATAAATTAAGAGGCTATCACAGTGCCTCGGGAAAACTAAGATAGCTATAACAGCAGTGGAGAAAAGTCAAGGATCTTAAGATTATTCTTTGTGGTCATGTGGAAACAAAATGACAATAGGTCAATGGCCTGGGTGACTCAACTTCTCTGCTGCAAGTTAAAAATTCTAAAAAATAATCTATTTAGAAATTACCCTTCTCATCATGTATTAAGTGAAAGTAATTGGACAACTGAACACAGATTTTGTGCAAGAATATACATTGCAATGCTGTTCATAATAGCAAAAAATTCTCCATGAGTTTTTCCAAATATCAAACCTAGGAACTTGTTTAACATATCACAGTTCACTATATAATGCTATTACATGAAACAATTGTCATACATCTATTTATTGATATGGAGAGATATTCATAGTGTAGTGAGTGAATAGAGCATATTTAAAATCATATGGACAATATGATGATGCCATTGTTTGGTTACATCTGCAAAGAAAACTCTTAAATAACATGCAGTGAACATATTAACAATAATGAATACTGGGTATGAGAAATTATGGGCAATTACAAATCTTTTCATCATCTGTATTTTCTGTTTATTTCACCATATATTAGATTGGTGTAATTTTAATAATTTAAAAATCATTTCCTGTACATAGGTAGTGGATTAGATGTGATAAGCTTCAAATACACTACATATATTTATCTGTGTTGTTGCTAAACACATTGGTTTACTCACTGAATCTTTGTACGTGCCTTATTTTCCCCTTTCTCTTTTTGTAATCTTCATTTATGTCATTTTGGAATATCTTTCTCACTTTCCTTCCTTGTGTCTAAATTCACTCTTCCATAAATAGGGTGAGCACATAATTTCTTATACTAACTGCAACACTTATGAGAATGAAAAGAGGCTGGGTGCAGTGGCTCATGCCTGTAATCCCAGCACTGTGGGAGGCTGAGATGGGTAGATCACCTGAGGTCAGGAATTCAAGACCAGCCTAGCCAACATGGCGAAACCCTGTCTCTACTTAAAACATAAAAATTAGCCAGGTGTGGTGGCGGGTGCCTGTAGTCCCAGCTACTAAGGAGGCTGAGGCAGGACAATTGCTTGAACTTGGGAGGCAGAGGCTGTAGTGAGCCGAGATCATGCCATTGCACTCCAGCCTGGGTGACGGAGAGAGACTCCATCTCAAAAAAAAAAAGAAAAAAGAAAAAAAAAAAGAATGAAAAGAATAAATATGATACCAGGACAACAAGTATAAACTGATGTTGTCACAGCCAAATCAGTATACTTGGTCAATCATAGTAGCCCCTTAGTTAGTTTGTATTTCCACTATAATACTCTCTCTGCCATTTTGAACTCTAATTATTCTTATATTTCATCCTTGGCAATAGTTACAAATATACCTTTTGCTATTGGTTCTTTTTCAGATTGTTATTTACATCTTTGATCGTCATTGATCATTTCACCTGCTTGTATGTTCTTTGTTAACTGGATGCCAAACTCAGTAATAGCAGATACTGTGTTGTTTACAGGGCCCCTCTCACTTCAATGCTAGTACAATGCCTTATAACTCATAAATGCTTAATAAGTGTTGTGATTAGTTAGTAGTAAAATTGTTCCACTATTCCAGGCAAATGAAAAAAATATATAGTTAACTCAGGTCAGAAAGAGAGTGAAGGCAAGACCCCCTGGGAAGGTGCAGCTAGCAGAAACATTGCCAAATCAAATCAGGTTTCCAGTTTACCAAGAGTCAGCGAGCCCTATGGACATACTCTAACCCAAACTGGGGAAATTGGGAACAAATGATTTTGGAACCCCACATATTTGGGGATGGGGTGGGGAGACCTTCACAGGCTTGTAGGCCACATGGCAGTTTCAAGTTTTTCATACACAAGACTTGGAAGTGAAAGTCAGAAGTGATTAAAAATACACATCTTACAGATGTCTGGATACTGTTCAAATCCCCAAAAGTGTGATAGAAAATGCAGTTGCTTTCCAGATTTTTAGGGCGGAAAAAAAAGCCACCGTGGTCCCTTTGTCTCCTTATTAAATGGGTATGGTTCAAGTGACGTTTTAAATTTGTAGTGTTATGTCAGCTGCCTGTTTACCTTTTGAGCGGCCCTGAAACTGAAAACAGGGTAATTGGAGGAACACGTGATGTGTCCCAGGACATGAAAAGTCCGTATTATTTTTAGCATATGCCAAGTAAGCCTAGGTAAGTGTAACATGCATATAAACATAATTTATGGAAATGAAAAATATAAAAACCTTGATACTGTCTCCCTGATACCAAAATAGAACAAAATTATCGTCTTTTTACATTTTTCTACATTCTCATTTTTTAAAAGAAAATTTTAATTTTATTTATTTTACTTTTTAAAAAAGCACTCTGTAACCATGTCCAGCTGTTTGGCTTTGTTTATAATAACCTGTTTACTTATCATCAATTTAAACACATGATCTGAACATCTGTCTCCTTCTACCCCAACTTATTTGCTTTCAGTCTTTATTTCAGCTTGAACTTGAAGTCAACATCTTTTTTTCTGGGGCTCAAAGGAGTGCAGAGACCCTAGAGGTGTTTCCTTGCAGAGGACTTGAGAGGTATGTTTAATTTAAGAAGTCACATCCCCCTCCCTTCCTAAAAAAGAAAAAAAAAAAGAATTGTCTCTGTTACACAGGCAGAGAACAAAACGGGAAAGAAAGGCACTTTGTTTTGCCAGACAAAGACAGGCTATCAATTTTCATAAATCTGCATTCCCAAGACAACTGCTCATGTCTGGTAAGGGGTCTATTTCTTTGAACTTACATACCAGAAAGTATTTTTTCCCTTGTCTCAGAAAGCTGAAGAATACAGTTTAATAATAGTAGTATTTGTATAATTTAATCAATATAAGACAGATAATTTTATTGATCTCAACAATTCTTTTTCATAAGAATAGGGGTAGTGGACGTGGGAAGGGTGTGCAGAGCTGAATAGGGAAGTCTTAAACACAATTTATGCAAATACACTTTCTGATTGTCCAGAGAACACTCTTTGCAAATGTAAAAATTATACGTGTATGTGCTTGTTCATATGTATTTATGTGTATATCTATCAGTTGCTAATTATAATATGGACATTTACATGCAGTAATTAAACAAGAACCTGGCACATCTGAAAGAGGACTGACAATCTGTGATTAAAAAATATTTTGCAAAAAGCCAAACATTCCCCAAATTTACTGGTTTTCAAGTCTTATAACCTTTCATCTTGTTCTTTTCCTTCTTCCCCTCCAGTTTTAACCACTGAGCAACTGACACGCTTGGACAAATAAAACCCTAGCCATACACAGATATCAACACCAAGCATGCATATGTATAGTATCTGTTCATCTTAATTCATTTCTCAGCAAAGTTTTATACCTGGGTCTTTGAGACAGAGGGGGCTCATGTTGTTAAGACTGCCTAGCATACATACAGTTAGTTGTATAATGAGATCCCATAAATCGTTAAGCATAGATCAGTTAAAACAACACATTGAAAGAGGGCACAACTTGGATTTTTAAAGTTGGTAGTTGTTCCCGTGTATCCATAGTATCAGAGAGTGTCAGGCTTTGATTTTTGGGGTAATTTAGACCAGGGATTCCTACCTGGCTGATGACCTGAGTCATTTCATGTGCCTGACATATGTGTGGCTTTCCTGGCCTCTCTTCTAGAGATTTTGATTCAGCAGGATGGGGGGTTTCCTGAAAATGGTCATTTCTCACAGGTACCTCAGATAATTCTTGTGACGGGTCAATATGGGAAAATGGCACTTTAGATCTATGCCGCCCAGAGTGAGGTCCATGAATCAGAAGCTTCGGCATCACCTGTGCTTAGCAACCAAACGGCTCAAAGAGGACAGCCTGACTGATTTGTTTGTAGGAGATAGGGACTGATTTCGTGCAAGACATCCCAGAAGTGGGGCTTAAGGTAAGCTGGAGGGCTTGGCAAAGGAAGGTGTGAGGCAATGTTTCCATTAGGGATGATTGGAAAAGAAAGAGGCTAGAAAGGAAATATCCAGGGGCAGGTTGTGGGACTGCCAAGAAGAACATGACCTACCAATAAGAGCTTTGTTATCGGAGCCTCTAAGTCCCTTCTTGAAAAGTGATACTTTTCCTGAGGTGGATTGGACTCAGGAAGAAAGAGATGTGGGAACCTGGATGGGTTCCATTCCGAGGGCAAGTGATACCAGACTATAAGCTCTGCCGCCAGTACCCTCAGAGGCAAGGTATTGCATTTTCCCCTCGACTAAATTACAGATGTACAGACCTGATTGGCAATTGGAGGTGCAACAGACCAACCACCACAAACCCAGAAAATCACTTCCACGGAGCCTGTACTCATGCCTGGGATTTGTCCTTGCTTCCCTCTCTTCTTCCTCCACCTTTTTTCCCACGTGTTGAAATTCTGCATTACTTTAAAGGTCAAGCCACAAATACTGCCTTCTTTGAGGATCTTCCTTGATCCTCTTAAGTTGGGACTAATTGCCCCTCCTCACTGCTTTCCTAGCAGCGTGTTTACTCTTGTTGTCAAATCATGCCTTGCATTGGCATAGCATGACTTTTAGTGTAGCGAGCTGGAAAGACACTGGTCTTCTCTGCTATTGTGTATGCTCTTTGAGGGCAGGGACTAAATCTTGTTGTCCCTAGATCATGACTCAATGCCTTGCCCAAATATAAAGTCAACAAATATTTGTGGAGTGGAATTAAAGAGGTTCATCTGCATGCCACAGATGCATTTATATAGTGAAGACTATGGGATGAGGTAGGAGGCACACCTGGGAAAGGGAGGGAAGGAGGTGGATATGATGCAGTACATAACAGATCCAAGATCACCAGAAAGAAGAGTCAGCTACATCCTTTACCCTTTTTCCTCCAAAGTTAATTTATGAACTGATCTGAAGTCAGTAATGATACTTAACGACACGGAAGATTAAAGGGAGAGAGCACAACGCTGCTGGAAGAATGTCGGATTAGGATCCTGAATGTCTGCTCATCTGGCTTTAAGAAGGCCATTTAACTTCCAGGCACCTTAGGCTCTTCACCTATAAAATAGAGATAAAATATTGGTCCTCCCTCTCCCCTGGTTTGCTGTAAAGATGCATGAGGTCACTGTGAAAATGATCTGTAAGCTGTAAGGATTCTCTTTATGGCCTTTGGGCATCATTGGCACACCTAGGAGCTGGTTAGAAATGCAGACTCTCAGGCCCCACCCTAGACCTACTGAATCAGGATATACATTTTAACAATGTCTTCAGGCAATTTGCATGCACATCATTGGTTTCAGAAGTACTACTCTAAAGGACTATATAATAAAAGTTGCAATTGTTGTTAATAAGGTCCACGTGTGTTGGCAAAACTGAACATAAGCTCTCACCCCAAAGGACTCCGCGATGGAGGGGCAGCAGGCAGGTGAGTGAAGGATTCTGGCATTCATGGGTCCCCTCAGTAAGGTAGGAAACAAGATTCCTTTTCTGTTGCATAAAAAAATGGTGGGCAAGCAGACCCCTCAGATATATGTTCTCTTGATGTCACCTCTTGCTTAGTACTTTTTCCCCATCCGTTTCCCTCATCAAAACTCCTCTGTCTGTGTTCCTTGCTCTCAAGAACTGTTGCCACATGAGAGCTAGGTGATATAAAATCTTGACTCAGTGTTAATAGGTGCTGAGATGGTATCCCAGACATTTGTATTATGTTATAGGTCTTCCTAAGACAGCGTTTTCATCCCAAAGAGTTAAGTGGGAAATTTGGAATGTCAGGGAGGACCCCAAAGGGCTCATTAAACAACACCATATAAATAGTCATGGCTATTAATGACCATAACTTTGTTTACCTCAGACAGGTGGAGTTATAGCTGGATTGAAGGGGTCACATTCATCTTTGGGCAGTAAGAGACCTGAGAAGAGGCTACAGGAATATTAGAAATTGTCATGAGAACTGCTATATATTAAGTGCTTGCTGTGTGCTGAGCACCCTGCAGGGCTTTTTACCCTCACAGATATGATCCCATATAATCCATACTTTACAGTTATCTTGTTTCATAAGCACAGAAGCTGAGATTATGAAATTGACCCAAGGTCACACAGCTTGTGGAGCTGAGATTGGAACTTAGGTTGATGATGGCAGAGAATCCTACTGACAAGAGTGCAAGAAGCAGGGATTTCTGAAAACGTACTGTGGACATCTAATTTTTGATACCATAAAAACAGATATAATAAAATTCAGAGGGACTGGTTAGGATACAAACAAGACTTTCCCTCCTTATAATTTATTTCTGCATGTGATAATATTTCATAGCACAAGTCAATACTTTGGATTGTAACTAGAATACTCTTGAAGCCTTATCCTCAAGTTTTGTAATTGAAAAATAAAGCCAAAAAAGCTGACCACTTTCATTATACCTTTGTTTTGTTTTCTGCTGAATTACAAACAGCTCTTCTATGAAGACACAATGAAGATTAATTGAATTTGACCTGAAAGAAAATCTCCACAAGTTTATATGGAGAGAGAATTTTTGTGTTCATAAAAGTATACCTTGAATTGTATATTCTCCCTTTATATTTTTGAAAAATAGATTCTAAAGGACAAATAATTGAAATATTTTTGAGCTTACACGGTCAGGAAAAGATAAAATACTAGTATATACTTTCTGAAATTTTAAGGAAAATTGCAATATTGTGCACTCGTGTATGTATACGCCAGATGTATAGATATATGCCAATTTTTGCCAGATTTGTAATACGATAGTTTTAATTTCAGAAGACCAGGACTGTGGAACAATATAATATTAATATATTTCATAATAATAGACCTTGAATTTTCTTTTACTCCTTGTCTGTTCTACTAGTTACACTGTTAGAGGCTGGAACAATATAATATTAATATATGGAACAATATAATATTAATATATTTCATAATAATAGTCCTTGAATTTTCTTTTACTCTATGTCTGTTCTAGTAGTTACATTGTTAGAGGCTGGAACACATGTGACAGCGTTCCTCCCAATCATTTGGGAACACAGATGTCTGTTAACTAATAGGGGTCATTTTAAGAAATGGCTGGGCCAGAACAACAAAACCTTTTGTGCAAACATATATTATGAGTGCATCTGTTCTGAAGATGTCATAGAATTCTCTCTAGTTATCTGCTAAAATGAAGACAGAGAAGATACAAATTTATAAGGGAAGCAGGAGTATCTCAAAAGTTTTAGCCATGGTTTCAAGTGTAGCTTCCATGACTTTTGCGGGAATTTGAACAGGTTATTTAACTCCTTGTTCACAGTTTTCCAATAAAATGGTGGACATGAATAGTATCTATATGCTATAGATAGGGTTATTGGGAGAATTGAATGAGATAATCCATGGTAAGCTTTTAGGACAGGACCTGGCATGTCGGTTCAATAAGAGAGGGTTATCATTACTGACACCAACAAATGTTTGCTCTTGTTATTGTTTACAAAAAGAAAAGCAGTTCTGACTTGAGTTATACACGGACGCTCTGGATGAAAATTGGGGTTAATTAGAATTGGAATTGTGGAAGTTTGCTTCAGAACTTGTGCACCTCCCTTCTGGTTTTTGCTCCCTTGTCAAGAACTGTGGTTTCTTATTGGGTCTTGTGAAGTCCTTAAGTCTCAGAAGGCAACAGTTGGGACTTAAGCAAACAGGGTCCTCGTAGATATATATTCATTTGTATTTGTGCCAAGCCTTTTAAGATGCCCTAAAATCCTGCCAAGAATTGGGTTTTCCAGAGTTCTATCAGCTCTGAGAATTTGAAAACCAATGTCTAGGGCATGATGGGATATTTGATAACTAGACCAATGTGCAGCAGATAATGTTCCCCAAAGATCAGCAAAATCTTAGATCAAGCTGTGGTTGACGCTTCTGTTCTTAATTGAAATGCTTCTGCTTTAAAGGCTAGCAATGGCCTTCACTAGGAACTGATAGCATATCATGTGGGAAAATGATAAATTGCACATGAACTTTTTCATCTTTAGATAATTATGGTTTAATTTTTATTGTTTATGTGCAACAATATGGATGAAATTGTATCTTCCCAGCAGCTGGTTTGAGTATTTTTTCTAACAGAGGAAATATGCCCTTTGCTGAGAAGATGCATTCAGCCAGCTGTGGAGTAGGAGACAGTATGGGGCTGGGACAAGATTTCATACAGAAGAAAGAAGTGACTCTACATTTATATGAATTAGGAGCTGGAGTCAGGACGAGGGGCCACGGGAGACTGAGAGGCTACATGGGGAAAAAGACGAGAGACAGCAGGAAACCCACTGGTTACTTGGAAAAGAGCCCTGATGTAAGAGAATGTCTTGTGGGTTTTTTTTGAGATAAACACTGTGGGCTCTGAGATGAAAGCATCCTCTCTCTCTTTCACATAAAAACTTCCATAGAATTTACATTGCTCACCAAAGCTCATGGGTGGAGTAGATTCTTTCTGGAGAATGCAGAGGTGCTGTGTCTGCCTCAAACTGGGTGTCAGGAAAAAACAGAGCCTGAGTGGGAAGAAACCGACATATGGTACACACAAGAGGCGCATGCTAATTGTGGAAAAATGAGAAAATATGGGGGAGTCCAAGGAAGGAAAAAATATCCAGATTTCTACCAGCCCAAGATAGCTATTGTTAATGTGTTGATGTCGTCTGGTTCTTGTTCTAGATTATTGTGCACATTTGTGTCATTCTATTATATTTTTCTCAAAAGAAAATGAGATCCATACAGTATACACTGCTTTATAATTCTTTTCATTTGCTTGACAATATGCTGGGGTCATCTCTCTAACTGTAGGGTATCGTTGGTAGAGGCTAGAATATTGATACGCAAAACATTGGTTTCCAAGCTTTTGTAGTTATAACTATTGGTCTGATAAACATCCTGAATAGTTAAATCTTGTACACTTATCTGATTATTTCCTGCATATACATTTCCCTCCTCCCTTTCTTTCTCCCATCCATTTATCCAATAGATGGGAGGAAGACATCAACAAACAGTTGCTGTCTTAGCTTGGGCTACTATAACAAAATACCATACACTGGGTAATTTTAACCACAGACATTTATTTCTCTCATTTCTGAAGGCTGAAAAATCCAAGATCAAGGTGTTGGCAGATTTCGGGCCTCTTCGTGGCTTGCAGATGGCCACCTTTTCACTAAGTCCTTATGTGACAGAGACAGAGAGAAAAGAGAGAAAGACAGAGGGAGGGAGAGAGGAAGAGAGCTCTCATCTCTCTTCCTCTTATAAAAACATTAATCCTGGGGGCTTCAACCTCATGCCCTCATCTAAACCTAATTACCACCCAAAGGCTCTGCTTCCAAATACCACAACATTGGGAGTTGGGGATTCAACCTATAAATTTTGGGGGGAAATAAACATTTAGTTCATAACAGTTGCTGAATGTTTCCTCGGTGTTGGGCTGTGGGTGAGATTCTGGGGTTACAGATCTATTCCCCTTCATGTGGAAGACATAGGCAATAATCATATAGCCACACAGAAAGAATGTTAAAGTAGCAGTTGCAACAAGCACTATGCCAAAGAGATACATGACTCCATGGGGACCTAGAGCAGGAGATTTTGTTAATTTAGGCAAGTTATGAAGACTTCCCTGAGGAAGTGACACTTGAGCTGGAATGTGAAGGATGAACAGGAAACAATTAGGTAAAGAGAGAAAGGAAGAGGACCAGAGGGAGAAGGAACAGTAGGTAGTCTTAAGGGCAGCAGGGAATTTTCTAGAGCAAAGGACTAAACAATGGTCAGTATTAGGGGAGCAGGCACAGCCAGAAGGTTGAAAGAATTGCTGGTTGAAAGGATACAGTAATTCCAGGTCTTAGTTTAAGTAAAAAGTTAAGTAAAAAGTAAAAGTAAAATGTTAAGAAACATACCGTATTTAATTATATTACATTTAAAATGCCCCATTGAGTTTTAAACCATTCTAAGGAGCAAATTTAAATATGGGATAATGGATATGGTATTGAGAAGGTTGAGTAAACCCGCATGAATCTGCAAAAACATATAAGAAATACCACTCTACAGTGTTTGTGACTCCTTTTTATGGTCCATATATAAGATCTCATCTGGTTGGGCTTAAAGGAGACATCCATATCACCAGCTCAACAGATCAGCAGAATAACCAGACGGCCCCTCACATGGGGTAGGCTTCATCAAAGAACCATTTTGCCGCCACTAATCCTGGCCTGAGTCTCCTCTCAGTCGGATAAAAATATGGTATCTACAGAGCAGAACAATGTGGGCTAAAGGCAAGAATGCTATCGCTGAGCTGACAAAACTCCATGATATTCTTGGACAGGGTGCTGAATTAGAACACATTTTCATGAAAACTTCCATTATTTTTTGACATGGGTATTTGTTGACACTCCTGGTGAGGCTTCTAAAGAAAATATCACTTCCTAGTCAAACGCAATACTTGGCAATCACATTGCTTTGCTTCAGGGCTGGTCCTAGCTCATACAGACCCTTTGTGTGAATTAGAAAATGGCATCCCCATGGCAGGTACTTGGCATAGTGATCTTATATGTTGTCAGTGTGGATAAGGAAAAGATAAGCCTTCTCCCACTCCATCAGTGTGGCGTCACACTGAGATGTATGGCTTAACAAGGGGGACTGTAGGCTGCACTTCAGCTTCACTTGGCCCCATATCTGGGGACCTCTGTGCCAGGCACAATAAAGAGAAAGAAAAAGCCAGAGAAGTATCTGCAAGCAAGAGTTGTATTTCTAGCGGAGCAGAGATAAACACAGTAAGAAAACAGCAGAAACTGTAAATGAGCGGTGTCCTTAATCATAACTAAATTTGCTGAACTTCCTTGTGGAAATAAGACATCAGTTGTACAATATGACATAATTGTCATCAGTGTGAAAGATAAGACCGGGTTATGTATTGGATCAGATATTGGAAAGTGGTCCTTCTGTCCTGTGCTCATTGTGATGCAAGGCATGACTGTGAGGTTGCTCGCCTCATCTCTTATTTTGATGATTTTTCACAGGAAAATTGAAAAATAAAAAAGCAATATTTGCAAACTACCTCCTTGTTTATATGCTTTCCAATACTTGATCCAATATGTAACCCAGTCTTATCTTCCATACTGATGACAATTAGGCCATATTGTACAACTGACGTCTTATTTCCACAAGGAAGTTCAGCAAATTTAGTTATGATTAAGGACACCGTTCATTTACAGTTTCTGCTATTTTCTTATAGCGTTCATCTCTGCTCTGTTAGAAAAACAACTCTTGAATGCAGATACCTCTCTGGCATTTTCTCTCTCTTTATTCTTGGTCTAGAAAGGCCCCAACTTACAGCTCTTTATGCCTTCAGAAAGTCCAAACTGGTACCAATTGGGTATAAAGGGAACATGCTTAGTTTTTGAAATTTTTTTTAAATGTAGTTTTAGTTGCTGAATAACTTAGGGGGAAACAAACAAAATGGTTTACTAGAAAGGCTCTCCCCGCAAACCACTGAGCCCAGGGAAAATTATCAGTGGTAATGGAGAAAAATACTGTGCTCAATTGAATCAATTTTCTTTTGTTTCTGAATTGTGCTTCTCAAGTATATAGTCAGTATGCCAAATATTGGCCCAATTTAGGCCAACCATTAAATGAAGCCTGGCACCAAATTTATAACAATTGTTCAAGAAAACAAAGCTAGCTGGTTCCTCCCAGTGAGAATTTGTGGATATGATCTCAAAAAATTCCAGACATACACAATTCCATTGAAACTTATTCTACCCATGGGTTTCTTTTGAGCTTCGATGCTACTTGAATCATTCTTTAGCTCTTTATTTATATTGCTTTTTTCATTAGAACACTGTGTTTTTCACTTGGAGGGAACATGATCTTTTGCTCTCAAATCCGTTTTCAAGACAAACAAAATGAGATTCCTCACTCAAAATGTGCCAAGTTTTCTTGGGCATAAAAGCAAAAAGAGAAAGAAAGAAAAATACGTACAGTAACAATTATTCAAAGCAGGATGAGAGACAACGTAGGAAGCAAACTCAAAAAGTGGCAGAAGGTGGGTGAGGGTTGGTACCCTAGGGGAGCTCAGAAGCTTCACCTAAGAATTAGGGTTCATCAATGATTTCACCCCATAAACACCAATTCTTCTATCTTGTTCAGGAAATGGTGATTATGGTGCAAAACAAACCACCTGAAATCTCAGTGGCATGCAGCAATAAGCACTGATTTCTTCCTCACTGGACTGTGGGGTTGGCAGGCACAGGTTTGCTTCTGGTGGTGGGTCTGAGGGTCAGCTGGGGTGGCCCTGCATCAGGTGAGGGCAGGCCAGGCTGAAAAGGCAGCAGCTACCTAGGGCATATTCTTCTTCATGAGGAAGGCAAGAAACTGCTGGAGGTCCAAATGGAAACCCTTGAATCCTCTTAAACCCTGTACTAAGCACTGGCACATGGTCACTCCACCCTGGTTAGCCTCTCTGCCTTAATTGGCCAAACTGAGCCAGCTGACCAAACCTAGGATCAAACGGCAAGGCTGGGGGTGGGGCTGAGGGGAGAATATTCCTCCCTTAGAGGGGGATGAGGAGTAAACGAACTAGAATTTGCCACAACTAGATTTCAAGTTACAACTGTATTTCTATTTTTTAAATTTGTAAAATAAGGCTTTGGACCATATAGGCAGAGAAAAATCTATCCTGCCAAAGATCAAATCGGGAAACAATGTTTATGAAACTACCCATTCATTATTTTTTATGGGCAAATAAAAATTGTATATATTATTGTGTACAACATGTTTTAGCATACGTATATATGGTGGAATGACTGAATCAAGCTAGTAAACATAACTGTTGCCCCACATACTTATCAACTTTTTTGTAGTGAGTACATTTAAAATCTATTCTTGGCAGTTTTCAAGTATAGGATACCTCGTTTTTAACTGTGGTCCCATATTGTAGAATAGATTTCTTGAGTTTATTACTCCTGTCTAACTGAAATTTGGTATCCTTTGACCAACATCTCTCCAAAAGCACCTCCACCATCCCCAGCCCTGGGTAACCATCATCCTGCTTTCTGTTTCTATGAATGTGATGTTTTTAGATTTCACAGATAAGTGAGATCACACAATTTTTACCTTTCTGTGCCTGACTGATTTTGCGTAACACAATATCCTTTAGGTGCATCCATGGTGCTGCAAATTATAGGATTTCCTTCTTTTTAAGGCCAAATAGTATTCCACTGTGTATATGTACCACTATACACAGTGGTACCTATACTATATTATCCATTAATACATATATTATCCATTAATCTGTCGATGGGCACTTAGGTTGATTCCATATCTTGGTTATTGTGAATAGTGTTGCAGTGAGCTTTGTGGGGAGGATATCTCTTTGACATACTGATTTCATTTCCTTTGGGTATATTCCCAGAAGTGAGATTGCTGGGTCATATGGTAGTTCTATCAACTACCCTTTTTAAAAGTCAAAATTAAATAAATTTGATGATCTCCATAAAAATGATAGATTAAGTATATCATTAAATATCAGAATGTCAATGAGAAAATTGTCATTGCTTTTTAGCTTCTCAAATGTTTCTATTGCAGCCTATTTGAGAAGTAGCCACCACGCTGAGGCAAATGTGCAAAGCTATCCAGGTTGCATGTAACAATTTCTCACTCTCACCCTGGGGTTTTTTGTCATTGAGCTAAATCAGGGGGTTAACAAAAGTTGGCTGGTAGCCAAATCTGGTAACCACCAAATCTGGCCCACTGCCCGTTTTTGTACCACCTGTGTGCTAGAGATGCTTTTAACATAGTTGAATGGTTGTAAAAAACACAAGAATATAATCTGTGACATGTGAAAAGTATATGAAATTCAAATTTCAGCGACATAAAAAAGCTTTATTGGACCACAGCCATGCTCATTTGTTTACGCATTGTCTCTGGCTGCTTTTGTGCTACAGCTGCAGAGTTGAGTAGCTGGGACAGAGACCGTATGGCCCACAACGCTGAAAATATTTTCTGTATCTTTACTGGCCCATTATAGGAAATCTTTGCCAATATCTGGACTAAATGATTCCCCCAGATACAAAATGTCATAATTCTAGATGGTTCTTAAAAGGTTTGAGACTGAACATTTTTGTCCCATGAGACAGAGGTGAACAGAATACTTGATGCATCCGTTTGCCTCCTTGAGTCCACATTCTGAGAAAGCAGGAAACGCAGATGAAATGGTCCGTGACACTCCCTTAACACTCTCTGCAGAATGCAACTTGGATCTGCCATTTTCTGTAACGAAGATGGAAATGGCTCCTTTCTGTCTCCTCAACAAAATTTCACACTGTGCTTTTTAGGTATGTTTTATCACTTGTTATAATTAAAGACTCTGGCTGGGCTTATAACTGTAATCCCAGCCCCTTGGGAGGCCAAGACAGGAGGATCACTTGAGCCCAGAAATTTGAGACCAGCCTGGGCAAGATAGTGGGAGCCCAGGAAGTTGATGCTGCTGTGAGCTGTGATCACTGCACTCCAGTCTGGGCAACAAAGCGAGACCCTGTCTCGAAAGTAAGTAAATAAATAAATAAAAATCAAAATTCAACTATTCAATGGTTTATGTAGCATGTCTCCATGTCATCTCCATTTATGTCTCATATTGAATTTTGAGTAATGCCAAAAAAATCTCTGCAAGCTCCTCCATGGACATTTATTTACGTTCATGGTAGTTTATGCTGACAATTTATTTTCTGCCTATTGTTTTCCACACACTTTTAAAAAACCTTTGCAAGCTTAGATTTTGATTTAATTTTGGTTTTATAAAAACAAATGTCATCCCACAAGGGGAGATAACTCTTGTTATAAACACACGTGTGGAGGATTGTAAAACTTAATGAAATTCACAACCCAACGTTATAATAAGATGGCCTCAGGACAGAAACAATCTAATCAGCCTCCAGTGAGTCACAGATGATCAGCTAGAATCGTACACAGGTGGCTGAGGGCACAAGGCCGTTGGCGTCTTGCCTCACAACGCACAGGGGACATGCGTTTTATGACCTAACTCTGCTTGCCCTGTCCCGCTTTATTGTTCGCATATTTTTGTCCAAACCTGCCCTGGCAATGTAGCTGCACTGAAATTACAGTTTGCAAATCACACTCATTAGGAAAAGTTTGCAAATATTTTACTGCCTGAAAAAGGACCAATTCTTTTGCAAAGCAGCATCCAGATGAGGTAAGACTCAAGTTTTGGGATCTCTGGCTGAGTTTGCAGCTTTGAAAAGGAGCACAAAGAAACAATTACCCCTTTTCCTCTCCTTATTTGCCTTCAAGTCTTCTTTAGATAATTCTGTGAAAGAATAGAAAGTATTTTCTACAAAGCTGAGCATGGTGGCTCACGCCTGTAATCCCAGCAGTTTGGGATGCCGAGGTGGGAAGATCATTTGAGTCCAGGAGTTTGAAAACTGCCTGGGCAACCTAGAGCAAGACCCCGTCTCTACAAAAAAAAAAAAAAAAAAAAAAAAAAAAAAAAAAAAAAAAAATTAACTGGGCTTGGTAGTGCACACGGGAGGATCACTTGAGCACCGGAGATTAGGCTGCAGTGAACTGTGATCATTCCACTGCACTCCAGCCTGGGCAACAGAGAGAGCATGCCTTAAAAAAAAAAAAAAAAAAAGAATTTTTTACAATTTGTACCGCATGCTTTGAGTTGAATAGAGTCATTGAGAAAGTTGGCATGACTTTTAGTTAATAAAATATAAACATCTGAGCAGTTTTGGAAAGTAGCAATATGGAGAAAGATTTTTCAATCTTTCATCCTCAAATTAAATTGTGAGCTCTATCGCAAATCATGGTAGGTGCTATAAGGTCATTAAAACTAACCAGGGGGCCATTTACTGTACTTGATTATGCACTATTATGCACTAATATTAAGCAAGACAAGTGAGAAGCAGGAGCACATTCTAAGATAATGCAGACTTTTTTATGGCATTGACTGATGCTAAAAGAGGAAAATGGATGCATTCATCAGCCACGTGAAACTGTAGGTGACAGAAAAATGTGCTTTGCAAATAAGTGTGTAAATAGTATTTCATTATTTTGAGAACAAATAAAGTACTTGGGTTTTTTGTATCACACCAACTATGGCACAACCACTACCAGCAACTTCCTCCAAGGACATCTACAGTCCTTGTTATGATGGCCTGTAGACAGCAAGTGGTGAAGAGTAAACTCTGGAACGAGGGCACCAGGGATTGACTCCTGGTCCACCATGTATGAACTCTGCGACGTTGGGGCAATGCAGTTAACACCTCTGTGGCTCTGTCTCCTTTGTAGAAAGAAGAGATAATAACAGTACCTGCTCATAGGGTTATGGTGTTGATGTAATGAGTTTATCCATGAAGAGAGCTTAGCACAGCTCCTAGCACATAGTAAGTGTTTGATTGATGTTAGTTATTATCAATACAGTTATTTGGTAAATATGTTTATTCATCCACCTAGAACTCTATAATCATAACGTTATCTAAGAAGAAGAAAGAGGTGTGAGAACTAACATTTATTGAGTACTGTGAGATAGGTCTTGGCTGATTGCTATTTATTATCTTATTAATTCTTTTTATGATCTTAGGTAGTAGATACTATCTCCACAGATGATAAAACAAATTCTAAAAAGGCAAGAAACTCAGAAAGTGACCATCAGCTAAGTTAGGAGAGCTAGTGTCAGCCAACTACAAATCCATGCTTGGGCTTAAGGGTTGGGGATGTAGATTTAATTTCACCTACATCTCTTATAAACTCTCTGATCTTGGGCAATTTAACTTCTTTAAACTAAGTGGATACTGATAGACACTACCTCACAGATATGGCAGAAATATTAAATGAAATATTAATATGTAAATGTTTACCATAATACTCAGTACTTGAAAGATGGTAAAGTCAATAGCCTTAGTCATTATAATGTAATTTCTCTGTGTACTTGTGGCTCTGTGTTCCGCCATCCTGGCATTTGTCACATTGTTAACCCACCCATCACCACTGTGGGAGTGAGAACGCTGTGTATTAGTGGTTACCCCAACCATATTGATCACTGCGTGTCCTCTGCTCCTGACACACAGGTTTAATACACATCAGGTATTCAAGAAACGCAATAAATGTTTGTTGCATGACTAAATAAATCCCTTTTTATATTTAAGTCATCCATCCTTGTGTTTACATTGAAAGTTTAAAAAGAACGCACAAGAACTGAAATTCAAAAAAAATTCTCCTCTTAATCTTAAGGGAACTTAGCTAAAGAAACTTATTCTGGTTCCTTCCTTAATTTGTCTCAAACAACTGATATCTTATGGACAACTCTAATAGGCCTCTTATCTCTCTTTTGCCCTGTAAATAAAGAGAAAGAGAGCGATCCATCGAAACAGGAAGTTATCATGGTCAACCTGGTACCTTAAAGACTCTGCCTAGTGTCACAGCCCCATCACCATCACTTTGTTACCACCATTAGCTCTTTCTCTGTGGAGCAAACTATAACAAGACCTTATAAACAATATCTTCTTTAATCCTACCTGAAATTTATACATGAGAATTCTCATTCCTATTTTCTCAGGGGAGAAAAAGAAAGTTCAGAAAGGTTAAGTGACTTGCCCAAGTTCACACAGCAGGAATATGTCAGAGTAAGGGCTGGAGGACCACTTAATCTGACCCCCAAGGGGTGCCTGAGGTCAGTACCCCTTAGTATATCCCATTTTTAACCATTCTACAAATATTTATTGAGTACCTACCATTAAAGGAGTTGATTCTTTCTAAAGAGGTTAGAATAACATCAGGCACAGAATAAGTGCTGTGTGCCCTTGATAAATAAGTAAACAAATAAATAAGTCAGTCAGTAAGTTCTTGGCTTGATTGGAATATATCAGTGAACAAAGCATATCACCATCCTTGCTTTTGTGAAGCTTACATGTATGGAGGGAACAGAGTATGGTAGAAGGTCATACATTTGACGGAGAAAGTAGAGCAGGATAGAGGGGATCCATCAGGAATGTCCGTGGGGTTGTAGGTTGCAGTATTTAATTGGTGGTCAGGGTAGGACTTATTGAGAGGATGAAACCTGAGTAAAAAGTTGTGGCTATCTCAGGGAAGGGGGCTCCTGGCAGGAGAACAGCTGGAGCAAAGGCCTGAGGGGGACTGAGAAACAGTACATAGACCAGTGTGTCTGGACTGGAGTGAGCGGGGCTAGCAAGGCAGGAAATGAAGCCAGAGTGGGGACACCTGTGTAGGGTATCCTGGTCCTGGCTGCTTTACTTAGATCCCATCTTCTGACCCCTATAGTCCAGGAATTTACAATTCCTTCTTGGGGCCAGTTAGAAAGTCTCAGTAACCCCACCCAATGCGTGACCCCTTCCAATGCTTGTCCCCACATGGCAAACAAAGCCATATTTGTAGAATGGTTAAAAATGGGATATACCAAAGGGTACTGACCCCAGGTACACCTTGGGGGTCAGATTAAGTGGTCCTCCAGCCCTCACTCTGACGTATTCCTGCTCTGACCTTGGGCAAGTCACTTAACCTTTCTGCTTGACACCTTTAGGGATGAGAGCATTAAGATAGAATGCTCAAGCATCAGCTGGTTGGCAGGGTCTGCTGGACCCATGGATATTAGATACCATAAAGGGGAAGGGTTATCTGGGGGACTGCATACCTGTAATATCTGTCAGCCATGCACAGATATTGTAGGAGCCAAAACTGATTTGAAGAAAATGAACATGTAACTGAGGCAAGGGCTTTCTGGGAAAATAAAAAGCTGAGCATCAGCAACAGCCCCAAAGTAATTCATATTAAATAGATACATTTAATTCAATTCCATTTAATTTAATACAATTAAATCGCTATGTAGTAACTGCCTTCTATGTGCAAGTCACAGTGGGGAATACAAGAGAATTTTATGACAGGGAGTGAAATTTCAGGCATTTTGAAGTATTGGAAGGAGCAGTAATATTTGGATTTAAGAGTATGGGTTGGCAAACTTTCTCTGTGAAGAACCAGATAGTAAATATTTTAGGCTTTGCAGGTGATACAGTCTGTGTTGCAACTCTTCACCTCTGCTGTTGTAGTGTGGAAGCAGCCATGGTAATATGGAAACAAATGGATGTGGCTATGTTCCAATAAAACTTTATTTACAAACACAGGAAGGAGTGAGGATGTGGCTCATGGGAAGCAATTTGCTGACTGCTGAGTTCAACTGTATTCCATTGATTCTGTAGATGTTGATATCCACTGAGTGTCCCTACTCACGGCTAGGACCGTGTTTAGTGCTCCTCCTCCTATCTAATCCTAACATAATATTCTAGCATAAATATTATTGTCCCTATTTTACATATGAAGAAGAAATAGAGGCTCTGCCCAGAGAGGGTAAGATAATTGTTTAGGTCACACAGTGATTAAGTTACAGACCTGAGAAGTGAATCATGGCACATAATTCCACACAGCATATTCTCTCTATTACAAGCCACTGTATCTCACAGAAGAGCCAGCACAGATAATCAGATGTTTAGGCCTCTGCCTAAAGCATGAAAGACTACACGGAATTGAATTATTAGTCACTGGGTATCTTACAATTATAATGTTCATTTCAGCTTTGGAGAAGGAAAATAAAGATGTTTCCACTTTGCCTTCACTCGCATGTATGTGAACTTCCCTCCAGAAATTTCCAAGCTGCTTGATTTGCAGGTTCTGCATACCTCTTGGAAACAGTCTGTGCCTTTGTGAATAACACAGGGGGTCTTTTAGGCTATGGGAGAATAAATTAACACTCTCTCTGTTCGATGCAATGGACTGGCAAATTTGAGAACGAAGTTAGCAGAGCAAAATGCAAACATACTCCTCGAGTCAGGTGAAAACCTGCGACTTGTACAGAAGTAATAATGCTGCCACCAGACCACCCTCTCTTCATTCTTCTATGCCTGCTTCTCACAGTGCTCAAGTCACATCAGCATTCTTTCTGTCCACAAACAGAAATGCCAAGCTCACAGCTTTTACACTTGTCCCTCTGCCTGAACATTTTACCCCAAGATTTTCACATGCTTCGCATCTCTTTTCATTCAGGCCTTAGTTCAGTCTTCACAATTTTGGAGGGGTTTCCCAGACTCCTAGTCAAAATTTCCCAATTCCAGGTCTCTCTCTATCACATTAACCTGTATGTTTCTACATTGTGTGTGTCACGGCCTTGTTTGTTTATTCATTTGTTTCTCTTCTGTTTCCACGGATGAAGTCATAAACTGCGTAAGAGCCAAAACTTTCTCTATCTTGTTCACCACTGCCCATGGTGCCCAGGACAGTGCCTGGCACAAAAAGGGCATTCAGAGAATGTTTATTGAATGAATACATGATCAACTGCAGCAGAAACACACATATATTGAGTGCTTACTATCTGGCAGGCACTGTTCTGAACCTTTATAAGCATTCCCTCAGTTAATCCTTTCAACAATTCCAATTCCCCAAGGATTATTATCCTCACTTTACCGACGATACAATGAAGGCTTGGAAGATTCAGTCTCACAGGTGCACAGCCACAGAATGGGTATGCAGCAGAGCCACCGTTTTCATACAAGTCCATCTGACTTTGAAGATGCTGTTTGGTGAAACTGGAAGATTGAACTACACAGTTTTTTTACCCTGAAGGATAATGAAAAATGTTCTAAGGGGCAAAGAGCCAGGTCAGAAAAGACAACAGAACTATTCCAGCTGCACTTTCTTAGTGGACCTGCAGAATGGTCAAGGAATTGCCATCTGTGTCCAATTCAAAGCAAAGTTCAAAAAGGGCAGTGGGGCATGCTGTCTGCACATTTTCATGAAAGCCCACAGAAGGGTGCATGGGCACAGCTTGTTCTGGTGTCGCGGGGGAAACGGCACTTTGGTCATTTGTGTTTGCAGCATTTGCAAGGTAGGTTATTAAAGAAGCAAATTCGAGGTTAGACTAGAGATCTTGGTGGGAAGCCATAGCCTCCACTCAGGCTGGCATGCCTCAATTCTGCTTCGGGTGTGAGTGTCATCACCTCTGCTGGTATCGTGGGCTGTATGAAGAAGTGACACTTCATAAGCCTTCTCCAATTTGGCCTCTTCCATTTGGGCTTTTGGCACATTTGCTTTGAGGCCCTGGCTTTGATGTTGGGCCTTGTTCAATGAGCTCTGGGAGTTGGGGTGTGTGAGCTTCAGCAAGCCGGAGGAAGGCTGTGTGTTTGAACTGGCATGGTGATTGATTAACCCTTTCTGCAATGTATCTGGTGAAAAATGGATGGCTCAGCAAAGCAGTCTCCAGATGGCCACAGGATGCAGGCCTTGCTTCCTGAGATGCTGATTTCGGGGGCTGTAATACCCTTTAGCAGATTGAGTTTGACATGAGACCATACTAACATGCAAACTCCCGGAAGGCTAGTTGCCTGGAGTGCAGTTTGCATGTGTGGGAGTGGAGATTTTATTCTCTGAGCAAGTTTTAATCTCAGGATGGCTCTGGTCTCCTCATGGCAAACAAAGCCATCCAAACAGAAAAGACAAAAATAAACTCTAAAATAAGGAATATTTACAAATTATTCTGGTCTTGATTTTTTTCATTTTATATTTTGTAGACTCCACTATTAATTCCCAAGCCTTGAATACAATTGGGTAGAAAGAAAGAAAAAGAAAGAAGAAACGGAGGGAGGAAGAAAGAGAGGGAGAGAGAGGGGAAACTACAAAACTAGTTTAAAATAACTGACCATCTAAAAAGTTTAGGAAACATGACTCTGTTGCCCCAACATGCATGAGCAAAGAAATATTTTAATTTCTGAAACATCACTTAATATTTTAAGGTAGTAGAGATTGGCTCTCCTTTTTCACTTATTATGTTATCCGAAACAAACTTATTCTGAGGGTAAGGTAAAAATAATTTAGCCTTATTTTCTTGCTTAAGTGAAAAGGAAGGGAGTGTTTACAAACATGTTTTTAATCAGACTTCTTTTCTTTTCTTTGTTTCTTGCCATGGACCAAAAAATGTGACACTCGAGTTAATTCCCTCTGCTACTCTACCTATAGGTCCAGCATTTACAGTTACTGACTGTGAGAGTGGGAAGACTTGGTCATCCACCATCAGGACACCAATATGTAACTTAGGGACTGATTGCGGCAGCTGGGCTAAGCTCCTCACACAACCTCAGAACCCAAACCAGAAAAATAGAACAATATATCCTGCTCTGTTTCTTAGGCATGTTTTTAGTGGAGAACTGGATGCAGAAGCACAGAATGGTTCAATATTGACTTGGGCGTATGTTAAAAAAAGCAAACAAGACAAGGCACCAGTTGTTCACAGTAACTCAAGCTGTGCCATTCGTCCAGAGCACATTGAGACACAGCTATCGGAAACATGAATTTTAGCCAGCTGACCATTTCCTCTGATAAATGCCATGGAGAAATGCTTATGTATATCCAGCCTGGACAAACGGGCTCTGATGTTGTTAGAATGGGGCATGCACATATATGGGTTTACGCTGTTCCTCTTCCATCTCTCATTTGTGGCAGATATCACTAATCAATGATGGCACTCATTTCTAGCAAGTCCATGAGGCCTCAAAATCTTGTCAAAATCAGGCTCCAGGTAGTCAGCCTGTCAGTGTTTGTCTCCAGGTGACCCAAAAGTGTCCTGCATTTTTGGTAGCTTTCTACCATGCCAAGTATTCCTTCTGAGATCTGGATCCTTGTCTTGCCCTTCCCTCCTGAGTGTGGGCTGGACCTAATGATTTGTAACTTGATCCCAGAAGTGACATCCCATCATCACTTTTGCTATGTGGTGATGGGATAGCAAAAGTGATGATGGGATGTCACTTCTGGGAACAAGTTACAAAAGACTGTGTCTTTCATCTTGCCAGCATTTTTTTCTTCTCCTCTCTCTCTAAGGAAACCAGCTGCCATTTTTTGGACTGCCTAGTGGAGGGGCCCACATGGCCAGGAAATGAAGGAGGCTCTAGTGAAGAGCTTGAGAGGAACCGAGGACCTTAGTCCAAAAGACAGTGAGCAACTTAATCCTGCCAACAATGATGTGAGTGAGCTTGGAATTGGATCCTTCCCTAGCTGAGCCTTGAGATAACTGCAGCCAAGGCCAACACCTTCCTTGCCACCTTGTGAGAGACCTTGAGCCAGAGGACCCAGATTCCAGACTCATAGCAACTATGAGACAAAAAAAGCTGTTGTTTTAAGCCACCAACTATTAGGATAATTTGTTACACAGCAATAGATAGCTAACACAGCAAGAATTTAGCAGACTTCATAAAAGGAAGTCTTTGAAATGAAATTCGGTCTTTGAAGGAAGATCTAAATTTCTCTGGGATGGCAAACAAACAAAAAAAACCCAAAACACCTAAAATAAAGTCAAAGCACAGGGCTGGGCTACTTGGATTTGAGATTTTATCATTATTATCAAACATTTATTGCATGTTTAGTCTAACTAAGGCCCTGCGTGAGATGTTGGCATTTTAAAGAGGTAAGCCCCAGTCTCTATTCTTAGATAACACAGAGTTAGGAAATATCAGCTTAAAGATAAGAATACAAAGTAAAATAAATGCAGTGGGCATTGGTTTTTTTTTTCTTTATCTGCTCAGCAACCATCCTCATTCTTTTAGTTTCAACAGGCTGACTTTTCTTGGGCAAACCACCTTGAACTCTCCTAAACCCACTTGATCTGAGTGAAATTGATGCCATCTTAGGTCAGGTCTGACACTGAGGTTGCTAAACTCGTAGAATATAAGCTTAGGGACATTGATGATCATCTGTATCCCTAATTGAGGAGAATCGATTTAAATGAATCAGATAGAGGAAAGCAAAGCTGAGAGAAGGAAAGAAGCACATTCCTGATGTAATATGTTGAGCACCTTCTCCCACCTGCTTCTGGACTAGGGTTTTCTGTTTTATTTGCCAGTGGTTCCCAAACCCTCTAACCCCTACCTCTGCTTTTTTTTTTTCTTAAAAAAACAAAACCTTATACCTGTTTGAGTTGGGTTTCTGCAACTTACAATGAAAATAAGCCAGAATACTATAGTATGAGAGATGCAAAAATGTAGAGAATTTAAAGAACTAGCACCCTGTAAAGCTGGACTTGAGACAGATTAGTCAAGAGGAGACAGACCCATGCAATTTTCTAGGCTGCTAAGCCCTTTGAAGACAACTCAGAGGGAAACAGGGGCATCACTACTGATATGAACTCTGTGAGTAACCCTTGAACCATCTGGGGTCAGCTGAGAAAAAGAGCCAGGATATTAATAATATTCATTCATTCGGCACAAATTTATTAAGTCACTACTACATGCTAGGCACCACTTGAGGTGCTAAGAATACAATGATAAATAAAACACAGTATCTGTGCTCAAAGAGTGTCTGAGAGTCTAGTCCATGGGGGAAGTGGATGACAACTAAGCCTCTCAGTGTATGATAAGGCTGGTGGAGACGAGGACCATTAGAGACAATGCAGGGAAGGGCTAGAGAATGATGATGGTGGGTGCTGAGGAGTATGGGTACTATTTTGGAAATATTGGCTAGGAATATTTGGCCATTGATCAGAGGCATAAATAAAATGGGGGATGAACTATGCAGATATGTGAGGGAGGTGTTCTCAGCAGAGGGAAGAGTAAGTGCAAAGGCCTTCAGCTGGAATGAAGTACCTGGCATGTTTGGGGAGTGCACAAGGGCAAGTGTGTGAGGGAGAAGTGTGAGTAGAGGATAGTGAAGGAGGTGGTCAGATTGCCTTGGAGGCCATTTTAAGGATGTTAGCCTTGACCCTGGGAGCAATGGGCATTTGGATTAGTGCCATGATCTGATTTGTCGGGATTACTCTGACGGCTCTATTGAAAACAGACTATTGAGGACGAAATGAAAACGGAAGACCAAATCAGAGGCTGCCACAACAGTCCTGGAAGAGCTGATGTAACAGTTGGGGTTAGATTCTGGACACATTTTCAGGTAGAACTAACAGGATTTGCTGATACATTGGATGTAGTATGTGAGAGAAACTATGGAGCAAATAAAAAGGTGGTGCTACCTTCAATCAAGATGGGGAAGATGGGTGGAGAAGAAATTGGATTAAACCTGCTAAATGTGTGCTTGTTAGACTCAAGTCACTGAAGTGTCCCTCTGGGTGGGTGGTTGGACGTATATGTCCAGAGTTCAAGGGAGAGGTCTGGGTTAGAGACACACATTTAGGAGACATAGTGGACAGGAGGTATTTAAAGCTGAGACCAGATGAGATCACCTAGGAAGTGAGTCTAGACAGAGGACAGGACAGGTTCAATGAACCCTAAGACAATCTGTCATTTATAGGCCAGGAGGAAGAGGAATTTGCTAGAAAATAAAGAGATGGAAAGTTAGAGCCACGGTGCTTTATAACCAGGTACAAAACAAAAGTACTAATCTTTGTGCTTCTATTTTTCTCTATTTTACTTAATGCCACTTCTACCTTATTTAGTACAGTACTTTTTCATTAATTAGGAGAAACACCAGACTATAAGTACACAGAATTTCTCTAGCAGAGGTTTTTTTTTTTTTTTTTTTCTCAAAGATAGATTTAAATCAAAGCATAAGACACCAGCTTTAAAGAAGGTGTAGACTCTCAGGCACAATGAATTGTGAATGCAGGCTGAATGGCAGGTACCGGAGAAACCAAGGCAAGCTTCAGGGAACCCGGGGGGTATTCAGGATTAGAGCGGCACGAGGAGCCAAAACTATAAAGGCAGGCAAACCTGAAATGAACAAGTACTGAGCATGAAGTTTGGGGAACAAGCAGGCAATAAGTAAGTTAGATAAGGGTCTGACAGGTCCAACATCCTGAAACTGAAGGTGGGAGGTCCAAGTCCAGGTACTCAATAAATACACAGAGCAGGAGACGGAATAGCAGTTCAACAGATGTGATGACTTAGTAACATCAGCTAATCATTGAAATGACTTTTGACCTATGAGGCTTACCAATTATAAAAGCAGAACATGTCTGGGGGTTGTAGGTAGAGGTAAGTAGAAGTACTCAGCTGGAGGGAAGAACCACAGGACAGAAAGAAAAGTGTCCATTGACACTAACATCCCAGAAGTCAAGCAGGACATTGCCGTTCTTGGCATTCATGGCTTTCTGCTACATATAGAATTAATACACAAGCCCTTGAAAGCACGTTAGGTCAGCATCTTTGTCTTAACCTCCTCATACCTTCTTCAGTGCTTAGCAGTGTGCTGCTGTGCAGAGAACATGGGCTTTGGACCCAGCAGATATTTTAAATGTCTTGAACACCTTTTATTTTGCATTTTGGAGCCTCCTTGTCCCCATGGAACCAGCAAATTGTCAAGCTTGGCTATATCACTTGCTCACTTAGAATGTAAATTTCCTCACCTATAAACGAGAGCAAAGCTCATTGTGAACAACAACAACAACAACAACTACATCAGAGTACTTTCCATGTCTCAGGCACTGGGCTAATGCTTCATTTTGATCTTACAGCAGCTTATAAAACAGGGTCATTATCACCCCATTTTACAGATGGAGAAATTAAGACTTAGTGGAGTTAAGCAATGTGCCCAAGTTCTCACAGCTTGTGACTAGGGGAGCTGCAGCTCACACCTAGAGCTTTCTGACTCCATTTCAACAGCCTCAGAGGTGTGCAGGCTGGGGGTTAAATAAGTGCTGGGTGAAGTGAGGCTGGATGAACCTGGGTTTGAATGAGGGGCTGCCTGGCCATGGGGGCCATAGTAGGTGTTGAGCAAA
The DNA here is from genome assembly GCF_000001405.40 of Homo sapiens. Taxonomy (NCBI): domain Eukaryota; kingdom Metazoa; phylum Chordata; class Mammalia; order Primates; family Hominidae; genus Homo; species Homo sapiens. The sequence continues at coordinate 73,758,599 of NC_000003.12, forward strand.
AGTGACAGCACAGGTGATTTGTAACACACTCTATGAATGTGTTCCGTAGTCTGCCACCTTGGAGTGGAGTATCTGCCTAGGAAAGACTTATCCTGATGATTTAGATGAGTATGGGGAATTAGAATATGCTGGTCTTTCTGGGTTCGGGGTCTGTGATCAGTAGCCTCAGTTCCTGATATGGTTTGGATCTGTGTCCCCTTCCAAATCTCATGTTGAATTGTAATCTCCACATGTTGGAGGAGGGGCCGGGTGGGAGGTGATTGAATCATGGAGGTGGACTTCCCCTTGCCGTTCTCATGACAGAGTTCTCATGAGATCTGGTTGTTTGAAAGGGTATAGCCCATCCCCCTTCACACACTCTCCTGCTCTGCCACGGTAAGATGTGCTTACTTCCCCTTCGCCTTCTGCCATGATCTTTAAGTTTCCTGAGGTCTTCCAGTCATGCTTCCTGTACAGCCTGCAGAATTGTGAGGCAATTAAACCTCTTTTCCTCACAAATTACCCAGCCTCAGGTGTTCTTTATAGCAGTGTGAGAATAGACTAATACAGTCTCCTAGAGAAGAAAAAGGTGGGAAACACACATTTATTAAGCATCTATGAGGCTAGATAACCACTGAGCTAGGCACTTCCCCACGTGGGGTTTTAGTGCCTTCATAGAACAATTCAACAGGGTAGGTATTACTCTCCCTATATTATAGATGAAGGAACTAAGACTCAGGTAATTGTAGTTCCTTATTTAGTTCCACCTAAAGTCTACGCAGGTTTGCCCAATAGTGAAAGAGATGATGTCAGTTTATAGCAGGCTGTGCTTGATTCCAAAGCCTATGCTCTTTCTCATATTCCTTGGCAAAGAGTATTCTTTTTCCTATCTTCAAAATCAGTACAAAACCAGACGCATCTTTTCTTGCCAGATTTCCCTCACCCTCTAGTTCTGGGGAACATTCAAATAGTGAAAAACAATATTTCTTTCCCTCCCTCCTGTTTCCTTTCCTCTTTTAGTCGCTTAAGTACATTTGAAACTTTGCCCTCATTCCCTTCCTCCAGAGTGAAAGTTGCTGTCTTGTTAACTCAGAATTTCAGGGATAAATTCTTGGGAAAGTCATGTGCTTTTTATTATTATGCTGTTTATTCATGTACTTGAAACACATTTATATTGTTAGGCTATTCATGGAATAAAACATTCAAATGAAAAAACAATCCAGTAAGTTTGGTAGTTTTCTTGAGGAAACAAAGAGAAGCCTCCTAGAGAGAAGCACATTTAACTCTTCTTGTCCCATTTCCTCATTCAGGAACCCTGTTGACCACCACCATGGGTTGAAATGGATCCCAGCTTCTCCATGTGAAACTCATCATGGCTGAGGCTTGGAGTTTGTTGTCACCATTATAAAGGAAACTAGTTGCC